>NC_000017.11:35685980-36935980 GCF_000001405.40 Homo sapiens
TCGAACTCCTGACCTCAGGTGATCCACCTGCCTCTGCCTCCCAAAGTGCTGGGATTACAGGCGTGAGCTGCCATGCCCTGCCTATTCATTCTTAAAATGTAAAATACATTATGCCTTAAATATGGGAATTAAATACCTAGTAGAGATTTGAACCTGGAAGAATTTTTCTACTATACTGACATCGACTGTAAAAGCTTTTGTGAATCAGCTTATAAACATTATACAAAGTAAAGTTAAGCTTGCTCCTACTGGGAGCCTTTCTTGAGTTTATTTATATCACGTAATTATATTCCTTAAAAAGAGAATTGATTCTCTCTGTTTAAATACAGCAGAAACCTTAATAAGTGTCTAAATGTGTTTCCTCTAAATGAGTTTTCTCTGACTCTTGATGTCCTTGTTTCTCATTTCGTGTGTTAGTTGTGCTTAGAAACATTTTCCCAGTGAACTTCTTCAAACTTGGACTGCTTTTTCAAGTCAGTGTCTGCAAGGAGACAGTGGAATTATGATTTAACGTGTTCATCTCCAGGGTAATGCTCATGGTCTTTATGTAGATGCTGCAGGGTTCCCACAGCTGCTTGGCCTCCTTTTTCCAGGGCCATAAACTCTTTTGAGAACATTGATAGCATCATTCTTTCAAGTTTTCAGGATGATAAAAGCACAGTTTAAAGAGCCAACTAATTCTACAATTATTTAAGAAAAACTGGCCGGGCATGGTGGCTCACGCCTGTAATCCCAGCACTTTGGGAGGCTGAGGTGGGCGGATCACGAGGTCAGGAGATCGAGACCATCCTGGCTAACACGGTGAAACCCCGTCTCTACTAAAAATGCAAAAAAAATTAGTCAGGCATGGTGGCAGGTGCCTGTAGTCCCAGCTAATTGGGAGGCTGAGGCAGGAGAATGGCGTGAGAATGGCGTGAACCCGGGAGGCGGAGCTTGCAGTGAGCTGAGATCGCGCCACTGCACTCCAGCCTGGGTGACAGAGCGAGACTCCGTCTCAAAAAGAAAAGAAAAGAAAAACCCAGTCCTGAGACTTTTCTCCCTAACAAGACCTCCAATATCTCCTCCCACAAAGCCAATTTCGTTCACCTCTTTTGATAATTACCTAAATAACATGCTCATATTGGGACTCCTGGATTTTTATTTATTTATTTTTTTTGAGATAGGGTCTCACTCTGTCACCCAGGCTGATGGTGCAGTCATGAGACACTGCAGCCTTCACCTCCTGGGCTCAAGCAATCCTCCCACCTCAGCCTCCCGAATAGCTGGGACCACAGGAGCACACCACTACACCCAGCTAATTTATATTTTTTAAAATTTTTTGTAGAGACGGGGTCTCTCCATGTTGCCTAGGCTGGTCTCAAATTCCTGCGGTCAAGCAATCCTCCCACCTTGACCTCCCAAAGCACTGGGATTACAGGTGCGAGCCACCACACCCAGCTGGATTTTTCTGTTTTAGATATTCCTGTACATGTCCCCACTCACTGCCATCATCTACATACTTTTCATGTTCCCATTTTTTCTGACAGAACTATCTTAAAATTTACTTAAATCAGTGTTCAATGTTTACATCAATTTTTTTTTTTAAGAGATAAAATCTTGCTCAGTCACCCGGGCTGAAGTGCAGTAGTATAATCATGGCTCATTGCAGCCTCAAACTCCTAGGCTCAAGCGATCCTGCTACCTTAGGAGAATCTCAAGTAGCTGGGACTACAGGTGTGTGTCACCACGCCTAGCTAATTTTTTATTTTTATGTAGAGATGGGGTCTCACTGTGTTGCCCAGGCTGGTCTGAAATTCCTGGGCTCAAGTGATCCTCCTGCCTCAGCTTCCTAAAGTGCTGGAATTACAGGTATGAGCCTCCACACCCTGCCCAGTGTTTACATTATTATGACTGCATATATTCTTTGAAGCTGAGCCATATATTAAAGTGATTTTTCCTCAATAAAACTTTTTGTAGATAATTGGAGTTAATACCCATTTATGTTGGTGTTTTTAACTGTAATTCAATCCCAAATTCCATTGAGATCAGACCCTTCAAAGTATACTATTGGTTTCCCTTTCTTAAAGTCTCTTCTAGACTGATTTACTTGAATGCCTGGAACATAGCTGTCTTCCTGGGACCTCCTTTCATCTTAACCCTGGAGATTCATTCCCTTCATCAGCTCTCTCCTACTCAGGATCTCCTGTTATAGTGTCCTTTTCTTGGTTTACTCCCTCTTTTGATGAAACACATTTTCCAGTGGTTTCCTGAGAATAGGTATGTAGACTATTCCATAGGTTTGAGCCTTTACATGTTTTTAAATGTCTGTTTTAGTCTGTCTTCATACTAGGTTAGGAATCATTTTCCTCCTAATCAGAAGCCGTTCTGATTCTTGATACTTGCTTTAGCCCTGTTTTTTTCTCAGTGAAAGCTTGTACTTTGTCCCCAGTGTTTTAAATTTCAGTGATGTGCCTCATTGTGACTCTGTCTTTTCACCCATCATGCTGGGTACTCATTGGGTTCTTTAAAACCGGAAACTCATGTCCTTCAATTTTAGGAATTTGTCTTTAACTTCTTTGCTGCTGCTCTCCCCTTCATTTTCTCTATTTCTTATCAGACGTCTTGCTATTTGGATGTTGATTCTCCTGGACTGACTCTGTTTTCCCCTCCTATTTTCCATCCCTTTTTCCTTTTGCTCTACTTTTTAAAACCTTGTTTATGGGAACAGGCACAGTGGCTCACACGTGTAACTCCAGCACTTTGGGAGGCCAAGGAGGGCGGATCACTTAAGGCCAGGAGTCCAAGACCAGCCTGGCCAACTTGACGAAACCCTATCTCTACTAAAAATACAAAAATTAGCCAGGCATGGTGGCACACGCCTATAGTCCCAGCTAATCAGGAAGCTGAAGTAGGAGAATTGCTTGAGCCAGGGAGGCAGAGGTTGCAGTGAGTTGAGATTACGCCACTGCACTCCAGCCTGCGTGACAGAACGAGCCACAAGCCTTTATCTCAAAAAGAAAAGAAAAACACTTTTTTATGAAACATTTTTAACATTGCAGAAGTAAACAGAATAGTATAACGAGCCCCTGTGTACCCATCATCCAGCTTCAATAATTATCCATGGTTAATATCATTTATACCCCTTTCCATAACCCTACTCTATTGTTTGAAACAAATCCCAGACATTTATATCACTTAATCTGTAAGTATTTTAGTATGTCTCGTATTTTGTTTGTTTGAGATGGAGTCTCGCTGTGCCGCCCAGGCTGGAGTGCAGTGGTGCAATCTCAGCTCACTGCAACCTCTGCCTCCCGGGTTCAAGTGATTCTCTTGCCTCGGCCTCCCGAGTAGCTGGGATTACAGGCACGTGCCACCATACCTAGCTAATTTTTGTATTTTTAGTAGAGACGGGGTTTCACCATGTTGGCCAGGCTGGTCTCGGATTCCTGACCTTGGGTGATCCGCCCTTGTGGGATTACAGGTATGAGCTACCACCCCCAGCTCAGTATGTGTCTTTAAAATAGGTCTCTTTTAAAAAATTTAACTACAATAACTATTCTCACAACTTAAAAAATTAGCAAGAATTCCTTAATATCACATATCGAATCAATGTTCAGATTTTGTCATAATTTTTTTTGTTTTATTATTTGTGTTTGAATCAGTAAAGTGCACATATTATGGTGGGTTGATAGCTCTTAAGTCTCTTTAGCTACACTGTTTAATATGATAGCCACTAGCCACATGTGGCTATGTACATTGAAATTAAATCAAACAAATTCAGTTTCATCATTGCATCAGCCACATTTCAAGTACATGTGTGGCTAATGGTTACTAGATGGGACAGTGCAGAAGTAAAACATTTACATTACTTTAGAAAGTTCTGTTGGCAGTGCCAATCTGTAGGCTCCTCTTCCATATTTCTTTTACCTTTGGTTTTCAGCAGTTTGGCTATTATGCATGTAGTTGTTTTTCTTGTATTTCTCTGGCTTGGAGCTCACTGAGCTTGGATCTGCAAGTTGATAGTTTTCCCCAATTTTGGAAATGTTTTGTCATTCTTCAGATTTTTTTTCTGCCTCATTATGTCTCTTCTCTCCTTCTAGAACTCCAGTTACATATGTGTTAGACTACTGGATATCATCCCTCAGATCACTGAGGCTGCTTTTTTTAAATTTAATCTTTTTTTCTCTCCGTTCTTCAGACTGGATAATTCCTATTGATCTGTCTTCATGTACACTGCTTCTTTCTTCTATAGGCAACAACCTTCTGTTAAACTAATCCAGAGCATTTTCATTTCAGATATTGTACTTTTTAATTCTAGGATTTCCATTTGATTTTTTGCTGAATTTTCCTCACTGGGCTGGCTCAATTCTTTCCAAAGTTATCTTTAAGTCTCTGTCTACGATAGAAAGGCTTTCTGCAAGCCTTGTGGGGAGCTAAATTGGGAAAGAGGGCTGGAGAGTCTTAGCATTCAGTATGCATTAATTCATTTAATTCACCACCCCTCAGCCATGTCTGGCTTTTACTTCTAAGTGCCATCTATTTTATCCTCTCTAAAAGAATCAATCTTCAGTTTTGTGCAGGGCCTAGAGACCTAAGAGCTGTCCAGCAGTATAGAATCGGGGTTGGTATCTAGAAATCCTATTGACATCTTAATCCTCTCGTTTTTAACACTCTCCTCCTCTCCCCACCATACAGTTCCAGAGGTGCTACCAGTCCTAAGCCTTTGAGAATTCTGTGGTGGTATTGCTAATCCATCTGTTTTCCAGGTACCAAGTTTTTGTTGCTGTTATATCTTTTTGTTAGTATCTCTATGAATTTATACCTTGAAAATTTTTTATTTTCCCTTAGTTATGGCAGAACTTTTTCCAGGAGAAAGGAAACTTAAATGTGATTTTTCAGTCTACTGCCTCTGCCTAGAGGTCTGATAGCACCTTAACATTTTTTCTTTCCTTCCTGCGATACAACTTTATAATTAGGAACCTTAGAGGTGAACCTGTGGAGAAAGAATTGACCCTTTCCCATATATAGTTTTTGTTGTCCCTGTCTTTATTGCCTTTAAATCTCACATAAACATTGTCGAATAAGAGGCTGAATATTAATTAGAGAAAAGAAATAGACACAATGTCTCTTTTTTTTTTCTTTGAATATCTTTCTAAAACAAGGCAATATTCATCAGTCTGTTCATGTAACCTTTGATTAGGGCAGAAAGTGCTGAAGACACTAGCTGCAAAGGACACGATCTTACAGTCCTGTTTATTCATGTCTTAAGATCATTGTCAGCCAAATTTTGCTGGTATATGGCTCTGAGGAAATTCTGTCCCTTGCTACTCCTACATGTAGTTCCAGCCTGTGAGACAGTCAGTTGCAGATGGTGCTTGTCCCTGATATTTCATGTCTTGCATATGTCCGTTCACACTCAGAAAGCCCACAGCTATAGCTATTGTACCAGAAAAACTGGTAGACGCTTCCAAGCGGAAGACCTTTTCAGCGCTCCCATCAAATGAAGCAAACCAGCTTGGCATTTGCTGACGTTTCTTGACTGTTGTGCAAGCCAAACCAGTCAGTGTTGAAGCCTTCTTTGGTCTTCCAAGATCCACAATTGAGGACTGCACACTCTGATTGCATTTGTGGGACCACGATGCTCCTTGAATAGATAATGAGTCCTTGAAGTGGTGGATCTTTCGGAAACTATATAGCGATTCCCACGTCAGACAGTTGGATCCAGCGTTGGATCTACTATCCAAATGATCCCTGTAGACCTAAAAATATTCCACCTAAAATATTCCATAAGCAGTATGTAGGTACTGGAGTCTTCATTATGAAAGATTAAAACATTTTGCTGTCAAAAAATAAAATAGAAAATTACTTACTGTGATTGCTACTTCCAGTTTGACATATTCTTCATGTCCCATCAGGACTATAAACATATTATTTAATCTCATCTGAGAAATTCAATATATTATGTATTAGATATTCCTTTTTTGCTAGATTGTCCTTAGTGAGAACACTCCTTTATCTTTTTTTATCAAGATAATCGAGAGTCTACTAAGCAGTATCTTTTGTCTTTCTGTAACCAGCACTCAACTACTGGTTTCTGGGATCTTTTAGCAGTATATCTATTAATAATAACTGTCTTCTTTGAATGGCCACACATAAGCAATCGGCAAGAGTTCCATATTCTGATAAGCAAAGGTGTCTGATGGATCAGAAATCTGTCCTCAAAGTCAGGAGACAGTTAAACACCCAAACTTGGGTCACATTACCCAAGTAATAGAAATCTATGCTGATATCCTGAGAAAGGATAATGAATTTCACACAGTAGTTCTAAAATAGTAATAAAAGTGATTTGTGGGCTTTTATTTGTTAAATTCACAGGCATCTTTTTATCATGATTATAAGCTAGGAGTTAATGATGGATAATGGCATTAGTTTTATGTTTCTAATTTAATAAATGATTAGAAATAGATTTAACCTTGTGGTCTTTAGATTTAGCTTGTAGTGCAGTAGAGGACTTTGAATTCTGGACGTAAAATAGCTACCTCTTTCTCGTCCCAGCTGATAAAAACCTATATTATAGGTTGAAATTACAGAGAACTCACTCAGTTTTTTCCTCAGCTGGATTGAATTTGAGAGCCATACCCTGCTCTCATTCATGTTTACTCTCTTATATTTTGCTATAGCATGATGTTTAATGAGATGGGGAAGAAAGTACATTATTCATACTTTTTAATGAAGGGGTTATGCATAGGCTTTGTAGTATTAAGGCCCATACATATTTGAATAAAACTGCAGGAAAGCTTTGAGCCATGTGACCATGTACACATAAGGAATGTAAAATCTCATAGTTGGAAGGGATGGTCTTTAATTTTGTCTGTTTCAAACCCTATCTGTTTTTGATGGAATTCCCTCTTTCTTGGCAGTGATGGGAAAATCAGTGTGTACATGAATACCACCAGTGATTTGCTACTCTAAATGACCCATTCTGTCTTCATAAAACCCTGTTACGGAGTTGTTTATTTGGCGTTTTTTTATGTTTGTTTTCTTTGGCGCGGGGCGGTGGGGGGAGGGGCGGTAAATTGGAGTCTCACTCTGTTGTTGCCCAGGCTGGAGTACAATGGTGTGATCTCAGCTCACTACAACCTCTGCCTCTCAGGTTCAAGTGATCCTCCTCCCTCAGCCTCCTAAGTAGCTGGGATTGCAGGTGCCTGCCACCACGCTCAGCTAATTTTTTGGATTTTTAGTAGAGATGAGGTTTTTTCACCATGTTGGCCAGGATGGTCTCAAACTCTTGACCTCAAGTAATCCGCCCACCTCGACCTCCCAGAGTGCTGGAATTACAGGCGTTAGCCACCACACCTAGTTGTTTATATGAAATAAAATGTCTTCCTTTAGGTTCTATCTGTAGATCCTAGTTCTACATTTTGAGATTTTTATAAATTAAGTTTCTGAATCAAGGCACCCAGGGCCTGAAAGTCAATCAGGTGGGCCTGTAATGAAAACATACTCCGTCTGAATTTATTTTCTTTTTTTTTTCTACTTAAGGAAAGCCTAAGTTTATGGAAAGGCATTTATATAATGTCAGTTTTATTGTTCTAATTTTAGAAGAAAATCCATTTAGAAGGAGGGACCCTGGTAAATGTAGTTGGAATCAGTTATAGTTTGGAGACTGAAGGAAAATATTATCTAATCACTTTTGAAAAGTGTGTGAATGAAAGATGATCCTTGACTTGGTAGCAGTCTTCCTTTCCAGGAACCCCTGAAGGAGTTGAAGGGCAAGTACTCAGAACAGGAAAGCACAGAACTT
This sequence comes from Homo sapiens, assembly GCF_000001405.40. Lineage (NCBI taxonomy): Eukaryota > Metazoa > Chordata > Mammalia > Primates > Hominidae > Homo > Homo sapiens. The sequence goes on from NC_000017.11 coordinate 35,693,764, forward strand.
CTCGATTCCATAGCTCCCACTGTGCTCCTGACAGTAATATGTATATGTATATGACCTTCTTCCCCAGTGGAACTACCCAGAGACAGCATCTGTGTTCAGTGGCCTGCCCATCTGTCCAGTCATCTTGACAGTCACGTGTCCTCCTTTTGTCCACGTAAGGTTGTACTGTCCACCAGGCAGAACATAGGCATAACAGTGAACTCATTTGATTTTTATCTTGCAGCTAACTAATCTGAGGATGTATGCTTAATATCTAGAACCTAGATTTGATTCTAGATCAGTTTTACCCCTGGATTGAAAAATCAGTTATGTTCATTGACACCAATTACTGCCTATTATTACTGAAGTTTGTTCTTTTATTGAATTTCTACTAGGTCTTCTATGACATATTAAATTAGAGTGGAATTTTAATCACTTTAACTGATAGTTTTCTAGTCTTGCCTTCACGATTTTTTGATTCAATACAGTATGTATTAAATGCTTTTGTTTGTTTTTTTTCAGTCAGGGTCTTGCTCAACTTCCCACGTTGGAGTTCAGGGGCACAAACATAGCTCACTGCATCCTCAACCTCCTGGACTCAAGTGATCTTCCCACCTTAGCCTCCCAAGTAGCTGGGAATACAGGTACATGCCATCACACCTAGCTGACTTTTTTTTTTTTTTAATTTTTTAATTTTTTGTAGAGTTGAGGTCTGGCTATGTTTCCCAGGCTGGTCTTGAAGTCCTGGGCTCAAGCCATCCACCTGCCTTGGCCTCCCAAAGTGCTGGGATTACAGGCATGAGCCACCGCACCCAGCCTAAATGTATTTTTAAAGTTTAACAGTAAACCCAGGCTGAGCGCCATGGCTCACACCTGTAATCCCAGAACTTTGGGAGGTTGAGGCAGTTGGATCACTTGAGGTCAGGAGTTCGAGACCAGCCTGGCCAACATGGCAAAACTCTGTCTCTGTCTCTACAAAAATACAAAAAAGTTAGCTGGGCATGGTGGCACACGCCTGTAATTCCAGCTACTCAGGAGGCTGAGACAGAAGAATCGCTTGAACCCAGGAGGCGGAGGTTGCAGTGAGCCGAGATTGTGCTGTTGCACTCCAGCCTGGGGAACAGAGCAAGACTTCATCTCAAAAACAAAAACAAAACAAAACAAAAACCCAGTAAGCCCTACATAGCAAATAATAGCTCAAGTTGTGCCTCTGCCCCCCTCTTCCCACCCCTCACTATTAACATAAACAATATTCGAAGATGAGACAGCAGCAACCAAGGGCACATCAGCCAGTACATGTAGCTGTGTAGCTATCATTAAAGGGAAAAAGAAAGACTGGTCCCTTTCGGCTTATCTGTCAGGCAGGCTGAAAGGCCTGTGAAATTATTGCTGACTGTTTCTGGCAACTGGAACTATATAGAGTAATTCTATTGTAGGCTGCTAGAAGAGGAGAGGATTAGGGGCCAGTAAGATTTCTGAAGAGTAACTGGGTTGATCAATATAGTATCACAGGTGGGTTATACATTGGCAGAAAGCAGTCACATATACATTTGCTGTAAGTTCTGGATTTATTTTATTTAACTTATAAAACTTTCAAAATGAGGGAGCTACCCAGGAGTAGGAACAGATGCAGTGTATCTTAGCATGATTTTCCCTTGATCCTGGGTTCCCTGTGAGGCACACAGCTGCCAGTGACATAGGTATGTCACTGGCATACCTATGTCAGTGACTTTCACATACTGGTGAAAGTTGCTTAATTCTTGCTATACCACTGGCCTGTTCCATTCAAGTAACCCTCAGGTAAGTTACCTGTTATACTCAGATATCTAACTTATAGCAAATGTATATGTGACTGCTTTCTGCCAGTGTATAACCTCCCTGTGATACTATTCTGACCAATCTTTTTTATTGGCCCCTAATCCTCTCCACTTCTAGCAGCCTACAACAGAATTACTCTATATAGTTTCAGTTGCCAGAAACAGCCAGCAATAATTTCACAGGCCTTTCAGCTTGCCTGAGAGATAAGCCGAAAGGCACCAGTCTTTCCTTTTCCCTTTAATGATAGCTACACAGCTACATGTACTGGCTGATATGCCCTTGGTTGCCGTTGTCTCATCTTTGAATACTATTTATGTTAATAGTGGGGGTGGGGTGGGGCTGAAGGACAACTTGAGCTATTTGCCAAGTAGGGTTTACTGTTAAACTCAGGTAACCATGAGTATAACTGGCCAGTGCTATAGCAAGAATTAAGCAACTTTCATCTGCCCACTCGGAAGAGCTTGCATTAACAGTTTCTAAGCAGAAAAGGCAAAATCCTACCAAAGGTCTCCAAGACCTTGGGTGATCTAGCTATGCCTTTCCCTCCCTCCTTTCCTCATTAACTTCATCTGCTACTCCTCCTCTTCACTATAGCCATTCTGGTCTCCTCACTTATCTTAGAATAGGGTATGCTGCCACCTCATGACCTTTTAATTGACTATTGTCCTTGTCTGGAATGTGCCTTCTCCTAGTCTCCATATCGTATAGCTTACTTACTTACTTTAGGTTTTTACTAAAGTAGTACCCAAAAAAAGAGAATAGAATGATAGTTACCAAAGGATGGGAGGTGAGGGGAATGAAGAGAAGTAGGTTAATGGATACAAACATACAGTTAGGTAGAAGGAATAAGTTCTTTTTTTTTTTTTTTTTTTAAGTCTCACTCTGTTGCCCAGGCTGGAGTCAATGGTGCCATCTTGGCTCACTGCAACCTTCGCCTCCCAGGTTCAGCCTCCCGAGTAGCTGATTACGGGTGCCCGCCACCACACCCGGCTAATTTTTTTATTTTTATTGGAGACAGGAGTTTCGTCATGTTGGCCAGGCTGGTCTCGAACAACTAACCTCAAGTGATCTGCCCACCTCAGCTTTCCAAAGTGCTGGGATTACAGGCCTGAGCCACCGCACGCCTGGCTAAATAGTACCTTTTTAATAAAAGATTTTCTCACTTCACTCCCAGTACTACCAGTCTCCCTTATTTTTACCCCATAGCATTTCATTATATTTTAATTACTACTTAATTATTTATTACCACCTCCTGCTCCTCTCCTACTAGAATGCAAATTCCAAAGGAACAGCAGTTTTTGTCTATGTTTTTCCCACCACTGCTATGTCTCCCAGGGCCTGGAACGATGTCTGGCACACAGTAGGTGCTAGATAAATATTTGTTGTTGAATGAGTCTTTTTGCTTTCATTTAGGAAAGTATTAACCAGCATCAGATTCATCTAGTTCTTGAACCAAACTAAGCAAGGCTATCTCTTCATCTTAACAAACAGAGTATCCCTAAACACAGCCTCTGCCTGTTGTTTCTCAGCAGCCTTGCGTTCTATCCTCTGACTCTGATACAATACCCTTTTATCTGGATAGGTCTGGTCCTGGTCCCAAGTTTAATCTGAAGACTACAATCACAAATTCATTTTCTCTCAAGTAGGCAGAGCAAATATTAGAAGCTGTTGCTTCCTTGATATTAGGAAAGGCAAGATCACAGCACATTAATGGACCCTGTTTTCAAAACTGGAGATGACTAGGAACATAGCACATGTTAACTGTGCTCACATTTTGGGAATTTTTTCTGTTGCTAACTTACGTCTGTATGTCTCTTTAAAATAAAACCAAATTGCCACCATGAGACTATTAAATTATTATCCTAAAGAGCCTTAGACTATTTTGGTTAATTTAATATTTCTAGAGTAAATTTGGAAGCTCAAAATCAGAGTAAATGAGGAAGTTCAAGGATGCTCTTACAAGTGTTTTGGAGCCTCAGGGAAAACCGAAATCATTTAGATGCCCGACAGGAAATGGTGCTGAGCAAGCCCTTTTTACTGTGAAAACAGAAGAACCCTGTCTTTTTCCTAATCCTGATAGACACAAAAGTGTAAGGAGGCAAACTTTAAAAGCAAGTGCCTGCTGGGCACGGTGGCTCACGCCTGTAATCCCAGCACTTTGGGAGGCTGAGGCGGCAGATCACTTGAGGTCAGGAGTTCAAGACCAGCCTGGCCAACATGGCGAAACCCCATCTCTACCAAAAATACAAAAATTAGCCGGGTGTAGTGGCATGCGCCTGTAGTCCCAGCTACTCGGGAGGCTGAGGCAGGAAAATCACAAACTCAGGAGGCAGAGGCTGCAGTGAGCTGAGATCCCACCACTGCACTCCAGCCTGGGTGACAGAGCAAGACTCCGTCTCAAAAGCTAGGGCAAAAAAGTTGTCTTTTAGCAATAGATATTCATTATTTCTCTTTACTTTTAAGAAAACAATTTTTTCAGGTATTCAAAACAGTCTTTTGCCTTTAAATGGAAAAAAAAGTTTTTAAAAAAGGGTAGTCATCTAGCACTTTTCAATATCAGGTTTTTCTTTACTTGCTATTAGAAAGTTTACTTTGGTGGGAAATCGGTGTGATAAGGAGTGAAAAGACTGAGACACATAAACTGAAATTCAACTTTGGAAATGAATTTTTTTCACTCAGTGAGACTTAAAAAATGAACCACCCAGCTGCACTGGATTTTGTGTTGGAACTTTGAGGGTGTTTTTTTTTGTTTTGTTTTGTTTTTTGGAGACAGCATTCTCACACTGTCTCCCAGGCAGGAGTGCAGTGGCGTGATCACAGCTTACTGCAGCCTTGACCTCCCAGACTCAAGCAATTGTCTCACCTCAACCTGACCAGTAGTTGGGACTGTAGGTGTGCACCACCATGCCTGGCTAATTTTTTATTTTTATTTTTGTAAAGATGAAATCTCACCATGTTGCCCAGGCTGGTCTGAAACTCCTGGGCTCAAGCAGTCTTCTGCCTTGGCCTCCCAAATTGCTGGGATCACAGACAGGTGTGAGCCATGCCTGGCCTCCACAGTTTAGATGGCTGCAGTGATGGCTATGGGTGGGCTACTTTTTCTATCCTCCACAAAGGTAGTCTTTCATGAAAATTGTGACCTACTCACCCTTTTTCCAAATGGCTTTACAGGGGCAGGGTGGGGGATTCTCTTTTAAAGAAGTACTTGAGAATCTATTTCAGTTGCAAAATAGTTAACAAAATTTGATTTGAGTAGTTCTGACCTTGCTGTGCTTTGGACTCCCATTTGACAGCCCTGAAGGTTCGTCATTCTAATTTACTCCTGCCCAAATGGTGATTTTGACAGTTTAATCCAAAGTCTTTTAAAGCAATGTCTATTCATACCACTTTACAATCTTTATCTAATCTTTAGTGTTCTGAAGATTTAATTTGCTGACATTTCTAATTTATGGTCTAAATTATTTGAGAGTTTTTTGAGATTGAGATTAAGCAGATCTCATAGCAGAATGGGTACTACAGGAGAAGTCATAGTATTTCAGTTTCAGTGTCTTTTGGTTTCTGTTGGCTTCCTTTCGAATCAAGGCTTTACTAAGAGAGATTGGCTCTTAGGAGCTCATTGCCTTTTTAAAGCCCAATAATTATATGTGCTACTAGAGGATTTACAATTTTAGAGATCATCTGGAGGGCTCTGTTCAAAGCTTTCATTTCTGGTTCTGAGAACTGTTTAAATATGGAAACTTCAAACGCTGAAGTGCATATTAGGGACATGGAACCACTGCCTAATCTGTCAAATTTTCCCTATAAAGGGTTCCACTGTTCACATACTCTTAACGAACAATGTCCTAATGTCTCCTGAGAATAAATCAGTATGGCTTTATACTCAGGATGAACAGCAGTTTGGTACCATTTGAGGCCTCCTCAGCTATCATGTAATACCCCTGATCTATTGGGTGGACTGAGAAAGAATATGGGAAGAGAGTTCTTGTTTGAATCCTAGCCTTGGAAGTGAACTAAAGACGCTGTCCAGTTTAAAATGGAATTAGCACTGGAAGGAAAGTCAATTGACATTTCCTGTGGTTCATTACTCTTTCTGCTATGTTTTTAACTCTATCAGATACTGTCTAATATCATAAATAGACCTTTCTGTTTTGTCAGGGTCTCTGAGAATTCCCAGATAATTCATTGGTCAATAGAGTTTGAAATGCTATTTAAACTTTGGGTCACCAAGCACAGTGGCTCATGCCTGTGTAATCCCAGCACTTTGGGAGGTCAAGGTGGGAGGATCGCTTGGGGTCCAGGAGTTTGAGACTAGCCTGGGCAACATAGTAAGACTAGTATGTCTAGTCTATTCCAGTATGTAGACTAGTGTCTACAAAAATAACAGAGTTAGCCAAGCATGGTGGCACATGCGTGTAGTTTCAGCTACTCACGAGGCTGAGATGGGAGGATCACTTGAGCCCAGGAGGTCAAGGCTGCAGTGAGCTGTGATTATGCCTCCACACTCCAGCCTGGGTGACAGAGCAAGACCCTGTATCAAAAAAGAAATTAAAATAAATAAAATAAACTTAAGATGGTAGATACCTTTTGGCGTTGATTAGAAATGCAGAACTACATGTTAATTTAACTCCAGCACCTAGCAGAAACGGCCGCTTCTGCTTGAGTCTCAGATGATATATATCACATAGTTGGAGTAAGTACCATTAAAAACCTGTCACTCCGAGCCATTCCCCTAGGATCTGTTGACTAGGTTGTGTGGTACTTAAAACACATCTGAATCATCATTCCTCAGAGAACTGGAGATGGTTGACGTCACTGCCTGGTCCTAGCTTGGACCAGCCTGCATATAATCATTCCAAAAGCTAAAAGGAGAAGAGAAATAAAAGAAAAAAATAATTCTTCAGAAATGTGGAAAGGTCACAAGTGACGTTATGGAAGAGCAGATGATATAATCTCAAAGGCGAGCCCTGTACTATTTCACTTGGTTTTCCTTGTGGCAGTGCCTCCTTTGGTTACCTGTGGTGAGAGGTCGGGTAAGAGGCCTCATTTGCCAGAGTTCAGACTGAGTTCATGTTATACCTTTTTATAGTACTTTTGAGTATACTGGTACAAGGTTAGAATATTAATTTAGCCTGTTCATCTCCAGCTGTCCCACCATAAAGAGATTGTAGCTCCTGCAGCAGGCTTTCTATACTATGGAAAGAAACTAATTGCTGGTTACAGGCTTAAGCTGACAGGTTGTTCTTTCCTTAGCAGCCTCTTAAAGTAACTTTAAACAATCATTGTTATTATTAAGCATTTATAGCCTGCTTTTGTGTTTTCAAAGTGCCTTATAATTTCTGTTTGCTTTCCTATTGATGTCCCTAAAAAGCAAGTTAATATTGTTATGGTCACATGTTGCACATGACATACCAAAGAAACAGAGGGTTAGGTAATCTTCTTGGTACCATCTGTGATCTGCTTTGGGCATTCTCAAAGCAGAAGCTGAGGTGTGCATTCTCTTCCTTCACTCATTGAACCCATTTTCTCACTGCTTGCTTTAGTGTGTGTGTATTGTGGCTTTTATACTTTTTTGACTGCAACTTACAGTAAGAAATGTATTTTACATAGTGTATACACACACAATATGTAAAACTGAACAGTTTCAGGAAATATTACTTACTCTTCATGAGATGCACTGTGATATTTTTCATTTTATTTTTTTAATGCCAGTTTGAACCCACTTAGTTAATTTTAAGAACTACCGGTTGGTCATGACCCACCAAGCTAGGGATACTTGAAGCTAAAGGATACACAATAGCACATTTTCCTAGAGCATCAGTTTTATTGAAAGGTAAAGAGAGAAACACATATTAAAACATATATGGGTACATTATGGGATTTAGCATGGAACTTCAAAGATATTTTGTTCTTATGATAGTCTACTTCATATTATACCCCTAATCTTGACCCAGCCCCATGCCTCCTTCACAGTATGTGTCCATTCTTTCCTCTTCTATTACGGGAAATACACTAGAAAAATGTGAGAAGTACTGTGCTTTTGGGACTTGTTTGTTCGTTTGTGAGACAGGATCTCACTCTGTTGCCCAGGCTGGAGTACAGTGGTGCAGTCATAGTTCACTGTAACCTTGAACTCCTGGACCCCTATCCTCCTATCCTCTTATCCTCGTGCTTCAGCCTCCTGAGTAACTGGGACCAAAGGCTCATGCCACTGCAGTCAGCTTTTTTTGTTTTGTTTTGATAGAGACAAGGTCTCACTTAGGTTGCCCAAGCTTGTCTCGAACTCCTGGCCTTAAGTGATCCTCCTTCCGCCTTTGGTCTCCCATAGTGCTGGGATTACAGGAGTGAGCCACTGTACCAAGCCCCATAGAACTTTTAAGTTCATTATTGTGTAAACCCAAGTGAGGTCAGAAACTTTGTATAGTTTATTTTACAACTGTTATTCTTACTCAGCACCTATTCTGTGCCAGTCACTATTCTAGAAACTGAGAATATTGTGACAAATAGAAGACAGGAATTCTTTCCCTCATGGAATTTATATTCTACCACAAGTGGGGTATGTGGCATGGGGACAGGCAATAAACCGGCAAATCAGTACAATACATAGTATATCAGATGGTAGGGAGGACAGTGGAAAAATATAAAAGAAGTATTGGGACAGTGGAAAAATATAAACTGGAGTTGGAGGTTGGGTGGTACAGTTTTACAAAAATATGTTGGTCATGGAAGACCTATCTGAAAAGATAATATTTGGTTAAAGCAAAGACTCAAAGGAGACAGGGAAAGAATCATGGATTTCTGGAGGAAGAGCATTGTAGACAGAAGAAACAGCAAATGCAAAAAGCCATGAAGTAGGAGTGTACCTGCTATGTGCAAGGAAGGAACAACAGGCTCCTGCAGCTGGATTAGAGCTAGCAAGGAGGAGAGTATTAGCACGACCTCAGAGAGGTTGGAGGAGTTGGATTATAGGCAATTGCAACTTGGTTTTTATTCTGAGTGAGATGGAAAGGTTTGAGCAGAGAAATATTTATGAGCTGACCTACATTTTAAGATCACTCTGGCTGCTATGTTGAGCATATACTGGGGAAGCTAGGTGCTGTGAAGGGAATGTATAGGGGGATGTGGCTGGAAGACTAGTGGAGAGGCAGAGAGACTGTTAAAGGCTTTGCAGAATCCCATAGTAGTTACCGAGTTTGGAAAGACAGCAGGAGGTTGTATTTGGAGGTGGGGAGGGGAGATTAAGAGTTTGGTTTTACCACAATGAGATACTATCTCACACCAGTTGGAATGGCTATTATTAAAAAAATTTTTGAAAATAACAGATGCTGGTGAGGTTGTAGAGAAAAACACAACACTTATACACTATTGAAGAGCATGTAAATTAATTCAACCCTTGTGGAAGACAGTGGTGATTCCTCAAAGACCTAAAAATGGGCCGGGCGCGGTGGCTCACGCCTGTAATCCCAGCACTTTGGGAGGCCGAGGCAGGTGGATCATGAGGTCAGGAGATCGAGACCATCCTGGCCAACACGGTGAAACCCCATCTCTACTAAAAATACAAAAAATTAGCCGGGCGTGGTGGCCAGCGCCTGTAGTCCCAGCTAGGCTGAGGCAGGAGAATGGCGTGAACCTGGGAGGCGGAGCTTGCAGTGAGCCGAGATTGCGCCACTGCACTCCAGCCTGGGTGACAGAGCCAGACTCCATCTCAAAAAAAAAAAAAAAAAAGACCTAAAAATGGAAATACCACTCGACTCAGCAATCCCATTACTGGATATATACCCAAAAGAATACAAGTCATTCTATCATAAAGACACATGCACACCTATGTTCATTGCAGCACTATTCACAATAGCAAAGACATGGCATCAACCTAAATGCCCATCAGTGATAGACTGGATAAATAAAATGTGGTACATGTATACCGTGGAATACTATGCACCCATAAAAAAGAATGAGATCATGTCCTTTGCAGGAGCATAGATGGAGCTGGAGGCTATTATCCTTAGCAAACTAACACAGGAACATAAAACCAAATACCACATGTTCTGACTTGTAAGTGGGAGCTAAACGATGAGAACACATGGACACAAAGAGGGGAATAGCACACACTGGGGTCTGCTAGAGGGTGGAGGGTGGGAGAAGGGAGAGGATCAGGAAAAATAACTAATGGGTACTAGGCTTAATAGCTGGGTGATAAAATAAGCTGTACAGCAAATCTGATGACACAAGTTTACCTATGTAACAAGCCTGCACATGTACCCCTGAACTTGAAATAAAAGTTCAGTTTTAGACATATTCTTTTTGAGCAACCTATTATCCAAGTGAAGATATTAAGTAGGCAGTTGGTTATATATGTGATCATTGATTTCCCTCAAGCAATCTAGGCATGATGTTATAGCTTTTGGAAAATAGTTTAGAACTTGTCTGGATTATATCTTCCTACTATCTCTACCTGTTGGGATAGTGAATTTTTAAATAAGAAAACAAGAAACTGTCTTTCTCTTTTCCTGTCTCCCTCCAACAACAATATCATGCTCTTTAAAGCTGATTTAGTTATATTTAAGAGCAATCAGCATCAGGATTGGAATTAAACTGGCTTCATACTGTGTTTTTCCCTTGGTTCTTTTTTAACACCCAAAATATGATTGGCATATCCTTGGAGGACCTAGCATTCTTTGGGTTGTGATCCACTACCTGTGTTGTCCTTTCTTAGCATGTAGATATTATTTAACTCAGTGATTTGAAACCAAAAGAACCCATACATCATCCCATCCCCCCATTCCTGCCTCATTGAGAATCAGTGTGCCTAATCAGAGATGTTGCTGATGGGATTCTGTTATGTATATGAATGATATGGAGGTAGAAAAAATGTTGAGAAACACAGTGTTTCATTTTTATTTGTTCAACATCTTCCACTTATTTTCATGCAACAAATATTTTTTGAGGTAGTCAATATGCTAGCGAAGATGAGAGACAGACCCTCCACTCAAGGAGCTCATTGTATTATAGGTGAGCCGGAAGTAAGCCATTATTATATGCTATCATAGAATTGTATGCGTTGGGTGCTGTGGGGAGGTGTTAGAGCTTTCTGGGAAGTGTTAATCTTGAACTGAACCTTAAGGTTAAATAGGTATTTTCCAGACAGTGCTAAGCTTAAGGAGAAGAAAATATTAAGCAGAAAGAACAACATATAGGCTGGGTGCGGTGGCTCACGCCTGTAATTCCAGCCCTTTGGGAGGCTGAGGTGGGCAGATCACGAGGTCAGGAATTCGAGACCAGCCTGACCAACATGGTGAAACCCCGTCTCTACTAAAAATACAAAAATTAGGTGGACGTGGTGGCACACGCCTGTAATCCCAGCTACTCAGGAGGCTGAGGCAGGAGAATCGCTTGAACCCGGGGGGCGGAGGTTGCAGTGAGCCGAGATCGCGCCATTGCACTCCAGCTTGGGTGACAGAGCCAGACTCTGTCTCAAAAAAAGAAAAAAGAAAGAACAACATATAAAAAAGGTACAAAGCTGTGACTTTCAGTGTTTGGGGAATAAGAAGTAATTTTGATGTGGTTGAAGTTAAGGAAATAGGCTGGAGAGGTAGTCTGGAGTCAGATCTGGGGAAGCCTATGTTACTGAAATGAACCCAGTTCTAGCCTAGAGTGAAAATATGAGAGCTGCAAAATACAGATTTTGAAAAGCTAATGTAAAAGAGATGAACTGCTTCCCCCAATGAATGACCTGTGTAGTTGATCCTATAAAGAGATGACAATTTACCAAGGCAGTAGCAAAAGGAATCATTAAGCTAACAATCTGCCGATAAGCCTTTTAAAAAGTCTCTTCTAATCTCTTTTTTAACATAATAGTAGTACTACATCTGAGCATATGTAAGATTTCAGATAAGTCTAATGTGGTTATCCTTAATTAGGATGCTGAGTAAAAAAGGTAAAACAGGAGATGGTGAAAGCAGAGTGAAATTTTTTTTTTTTATTTGAGATGGAGCCTTGCTCTGTTGCCCAGGCTGGAGTGCAGTGGTGCAATCTCAGCTCACTGCAGCCTCTGCCTCCTGGGTTCAACTGATTCTCCCACTTCAGCCTCCTGAGTAGCTGGGACTACAGGTGCATGCCACCACGCCCAGCTAATTTTTGCATTTTTAGTAGAGATGGAATTTTGCCTTGTTGGCCAGGCTGGTCTCAAACTCCTCACCTCAGGTAATCCGCCTGCCTCAGCTTCCCAAGGCTCACATGGTGGCTCACGCCTGCTGGGATTACAGGCGTGAGCCACTGTGCCCAGCCGAATTTTTCTTTTTTGAACAGACACTTTCTACAGTACTTATGAGTCAAGGCTGTTCACTGTGCTGTGCAAATATTAACTCATTATCCTCATAACAACCCCATGAATTTAGTACTTTGTGATCTACATTTTACAGACAGGAAACTGTCAGAGTCAGAATTTGAAATCAGGTGTTCTGGCTCCCAAGTCCATGCTGTGAACCTCTGTATCTGCCGCTTCTGATGTGTGGGTATCCTAGCTCCTCAGAAAATTGTTCTACAGTAGAAGTCCCAGGAAAGCCCTCAGGGTGTCCCAAAACTCCTGAAATTCTATGGCAAAATGTTGTGTGTACATTTTTCAGCAAGAGAGTCAGTGGCTTTCCTCTGTTTGTCCAAAGGGTCTACAGTGCAGAACAGTTTAGCACCACTTACCTAGAGGACCTTTTTGTGTCCTTTCCATTGTTAAAAGGCTCCTGTTGGCATAAGGATTCTTTTGGAAGAACAAGATGTTTACAAACCCATTCAGACTTCTTAGATAACAATGTTCTAAATTAATTGCTTATCCGGTTGATCTTCCTGGGAACTTTTTCCCAAATATTTATGCCAGGTCCCAGATTCAGAGATTGTAATTATTTCATGTAGGGTAGGGCCTGGCATCTGTTTTGAAAAGCCTTTCCAGATGATTCTGATACAGGTCTTCAGTTAAGAACCACTAATATTATCCTCTAGAGAATGGGGATACTACTTTATAGTCAAAGATAATCACTTGCATTTCACATGAGACCTTTACATGACCCACCATTAGCCTACCCCCATCACCCCAGTTTTCACTTTTTTTTTTTTGAGGCAGTTCACTCTTGTCACCCAGGCCAGAGTGCAATGGCACAATCTCGGCTCACTGCAACCTCTGCCTCCCGGGTTCAAGTGATTCTCCTGCCTCAGCCTCCCAAGTAGCTGGGATTACAGGTGCCCGCCACCACACCCAACTAATATATATATATTTTTTTGTATTTTTAGTAGAGATGGGGTTTCACCATCTGGCCAGGCTGGTCTCGAACTCCTGACCTCAGGTGATCTGCCTGCCTCAGCTTCCCAAAGTGCTGGGCTTACAGGCATGAGCCACCACACCCGGCCCCAGTTTTCACTTCTAAATGTTCTTTACAGAGCCTAGCGCTGTCTCAAGATCTTCTTGGTGCCCTTATTTGAAATAAGAATTCTCCTCCCTTACCTGCCAAGTACCAGATGAGTTAGAAAATACTCTTTCCCGGAAGCCCACGGCTGGCATCAATCTTTGAAAGTAGTGCTCTGGTACATCCCTTGTTGTTGTTGTTGTTGTTGTTTTGTTTTTTGTTGTTGAGACGGAGTCTTGCTCTGTCACCAGGCTGGAGTGCAGTGACACGATTTCGGCTCACTGCAGCCTTGCCTCCCAGGTTCAAGCGATTCTTCTGCCTCAGCCTCCTGAGTAGCTGGGACTCCAGGCATGTGCCACCACACCTGGCTAATTTTTTGTATTTTAGTAGAGACAGGGTTTCACCATGTTGGCCAGGATGGTCTCGGTCTCCTGACCTCGTGATCTGCCTGCCTTGGCCTCCCAAAGTGCTGGGATTACAGGCGTGAGCCACCGTGCCCGGCTTCCCCCCTTTTTTTTTTTTTTTGACAGAGTCTTGCTTTGTCACCCAGGCTGGAGTGCGGTGGCGCTATCTCAGCTCACTGCAGCCTCCACCTCCCAAGTTCAAGCTATTCTCCCACCTCAGCCTCCTGAGTAGCTGGGACTACAGCCACGCGCCTCCACGCCCAGCTAATTTTTGTATTTTTGGTAGAGACGGGGTTTCTTCACGTTGGCTAGGCTGATCTTGAACTCCTGACCTCAAGTGGTCTGCCTGCCTCATCCTCCCAAAGTGCTGGGATTACAGGCGTGAGCCACTGCACCCACCCATGCTCTAGTACATCCTAAAGAATGCCTTTAGTTCCTCTTTCCTGACATTACTCTGCTTAAATTCCCCAGATTCAAGCTTTTTGAGAATCCTATCTCAGCATTTTGGGCATCAGGCCATGTTATATATAGGTCACAAACTCCTAGCCTTGTTAGTTGACAGGTTAAAAGCAAGGAGAATAATTGGATGGACACTTCTGGGAGAGAGAACGCAAATATTATGGAGAAGGGAATACAGGCACCATTTAAAGTAAGGAAGGTAAGTTGATACTAAATGTAGAAGGACTGGAAGTACTTTAGAAAGAGGATATTTGGATCTCATAGCCACAGTTTTAAGAGGTCAGTATGCTGTTGAAGTGTAGACATTTGCCATAAAAGACAGAGAGTGAGAATAGTGTACTAGATAAGCACTTTTTAACTCTGTTTTTAGAGCAAAATGAGAAAGAAACAGGTATAGTTACTGATCATAGAACTTGCTCAGATAAATGTTTTCCTACAGCGCTAAGAGCATAGATAGGAAAGTCATTAGTGACAGAAACCAGTGGGAGGTGGTGACTTAGAGCAAGTCTCCTCCTACTCCCTCTTCTTACAGTATAAGGGCCTTATGATGTGCTGCTGTGCAATCTGCCTGTTCCTGAATGTATATACCAATCAGTGTTGCCCTGAATAAAAGTACTTACTGTAGCTTTAAAAAAAAAAAACAAACAAACAGGATGCTCTGAATTAAGCAGGCTATGGTAGAATCATAGTCGAGAAGTTTGTATTGTGAGAAGAAAATTTATTTATTTGCTCGCTTAAAGGTTTTTTGTTCTTATAGTCATCAGGTTTACCAGTGTTGGGCCAAACAAGCTTTTTCCAACCATAAGACCTGGGAAATAAGGTTTTATAAAAGAAACAACTTTAAAACTGATATTTAAAAAAATAAAAAATAAGAGATAGTATGGCACTAGTTATTGTGGGGAGAAATAAAAATCAAGGTTTAGCGTCAAGTTTCTGTTTGAATCGTAATTCTTCTGTGTACTAGCTACATGACTCTGGATGTTACTTAGTCTTTCTAAACCTGAGTTTCATTATCTGCGAAATGAGAGGGGAATGATATCTACTTTGTTTGAGATCATTATAGTGTGAGTTAGAAATAATATCATTAATAGGTAACTTAGTAAGTGGTAGCAGCTACTATTAATAATCATAGAGAAAAAAATCACAGACTAGATTATTCCTGGTATACAAGTTGTGCCTTGAAGACAGGCCTTCTGGAAGGAGGTAGAGTTGCAGGTTGTCACAGTTCTATGACAATGGAGTAAGTAAGGGTGTGCTTTGCAGTATATGGGCCAGTTTGTTTGATTTGGGGAGACCTGCACTGAGAGAAAGAGGAAGGAAATAGGGAGGCCTATTTCTAGACACAGCGCTGTTCTTTTCCTCCTACCTGGCTCCCTGCGATGTCCTCATTTGACCTTGTTGCTTTCCTGGCAGGTGGCTGTGAAAAACAATATCGATGTCTTCTACTTCAGCTGCCTCATCCCACTCAATGTGCTTTTTGTAGAAGATGGCAAAATGGGTAAGTACCTTCCTGCCTGTCCTGCTGAATATACCTTTGCCCTTCCTGTGCATGTCAGGCAGAGCATAGCCCCAGAAGTTTTGAGTTATTTTGAGGTTAAAAAAAAATGGGTTAAGGATATTCTAAAGCTCTTAATAATTGCTCATTATTTATTCTCCTGTGTCACAATTGTTCTTGCTCTGCCATTGGTCTCTAAATCACAGTGCCCAATATCTGAATAATCCAGTCACCCCAGGATACAGAATAAGAGGTTTGGGGACCAGGTAAATATGGATTTGAATCTCAGCTCTGCTATTTATTTGCTGTGTGACTGGTCAAGGTGATAAACTTTTTGGAACTTCCGCTTCCAAATTTGCAGTGTAAATAATTTTTATAATTATTTCATGAGATAATACATGTAAATTTAGCACTTTACTCTGTACTAAGTTCATACTGCCTCAAGCTAAGAATTCAGTAATTTGTAATAAACCGTCAGAACTCCCGATGTGCCTATTGACATTTCTCTCTTCCCTTATTTATGAATCACAATCTAATAAAACTGGCTTATATTGGTGCATATTAAACTATGTTGGCACTTAATTGATTTGATTCTTACAATAGCTCTTGGAGTAGGCAGGACAGATGTAATTATAGATAAAGAAATTAAGGCTCAGAAAGGTCATAAGTCACCAAAATAGGAAAACAAGGGAGCCAAAATGAAACCCTAGATATAGACTCTTTTCCAATTATCCTAGTGTTACTGATGACGGATTAATTGATCTGAAGTATAGCACTTTTGTAGAGCTCAGCATTGGCTCCATTCCCAGCCTGCTGCTAGCTGTATTGCAAGAGCCAGCATGCCAAAGGAAAAATGATGCAAGGCATCGAAAATCAGAATACTGACAGCTTATGCACATCCATCCTTCCCCTCTGCTTTCCCATACAGAGCGCCAGGTCTTCCTTGCAACATGGAAGGATATTCCCAATGAAAATGAACTTCAGTTTCAGATTAAGGAATGTCATTTAAATGCTGGTGAGTAATATACTCTAAATTTCAGTTTCATCTTAGTAAATCAAATTAGATATTTGAAATTTTAATCTTTCTTTTGCCTACCCTTTTATCCTCCCCCGTATCTACTATGTTTCTAGTGGGTATATATGGTAGATGCATTACTTTGCAAACCTCTGTTTAAAAACGTGATATGTTTTGATGTAGGTACTAGATTACTTACAAGCTAACATTTAAGAAACAAGCTAGAATCGACCCATCTACCCATTTCTTCACTAAAGATGTGTTAGTTCTGTTACTTAAACATCCTAATAATCAAAAACTGAAGTGGCACTTGAGAACATGCACTCCCTTAGTAATTGAAAGGACCATTTTCTTCTTTTATATCAATTTTTGGTGTTGGAGGAAGGTTAACTTTCTTTCTTAGATTCTGTACTTAGAACCCTGTGTTTATAATGAAATAATGTATCATCATTAGTGAAAGCCTCGTTGGGCCAAGTATGGTGGCTCATACCAGTAATCCCAGCACTTTGGAAGGCCAAGATGGCAGGATCTCTTGAGTCCAGTTCAAGACCAGCCTGGACAACATAGTGAGACCCCATCTCTATAAAAGAAAAAAAAGCCTAGTTGGTAACCTTTTACTACACTGCCCTGTGCCACCTTTCATATGATGATACTAACCTCTTTAATCACCATTAAAGAGCTCCGTACTCTTTCATAGTTAACTTTGTTACTGTAAAAGAACATGAAAGGGGTATCCCAAGAAGAGAAACAATAGCAGCTATTAGTCCCTTGGGCTGTGTTTCTCTGAAGGATTTCTCAGGAATGAAAGGAGCCCTAAGTTATTTAGAGTCCTGCCTTTGTTTCACTGTTGCTCTCTCTTTCTCTTTAGAGCTCTTTCTTTCTCTCCTTTTGAAGTTAGTACTAGGCTTTGTGAGTTTGAATGAAAGTGAGCCTTGGTGCTTGGTCGGTACCTCCTCTTTCCTCATTTACCCCTCATTTACTCCTGCATACATTGGTGGTTCTCATAAGGGATTTCCAGCACATTGCCATCCTCCCATTGCAGCTGGAGCATAGCACTGGGGAAAGGAGGCAACACGGCAGCACAGAAAGCAAAAAAAAAAAAAAACACACACACACACAAAATAATGCCTTCTCATTCCAGCTTCCCCCACCCCACTCCCCGGCCCAAGATGGAGTCTCGCTCCATTGCCCAGGCTGGAGTGCAGTGGCACAATCTCGGCTCACTGCAAGCTCCGCCTCCCGGGTTCATGCCATTCTCCTGCCTCAGCCTCCAGAGTAGCTGGGACTACAGGCGCCAGCCACCACACCCGGCTAATTTTTTTGTATTTTTTTAATAGAGACGGGGTTTCACCCTGTTAGCCAGGATGTTCTTGATCTCCTGACCTTGTGATCCGCCCGCCTCGGCCTCCCAAAGTGCTGGGATTACAGGCATGAGCCACTGCACCCAGCCCAGCTTTTTAATTTTAGTTTTTTATGGCTCTATGTAATATTCATCTTCTGTGTTCAGATGAATCTTATAGGGCTTTTGAAATCCAACATCATAGTGATCAGCTTTATCCTGTGATACCTCTTTTAAATGTGATGCTCCTATAGGCCCTCTCTGAGACATTCAGGAGACTGAAGCCCTCCTGGAACCCTCAGAATAAAAGACATTCAGACAGGCATCTTTGCATATAGAAACTTCAGGCAGATGTTTGCCTCTGATAATTGTTTCACGTCTCTGGAGCTCTTGGAGAGGTGTTTGAAGCATGGTCTTCTGTAATTTCCATCATAATAATTAATTGTTTCAATTAATTCAGTAATAATTGATTTTTTTCATTTTGTGTCATATTTGAAGAAGATGACAGTGTCATCTTTCCCTCACTTTGAGGCTCACTGGTGGATCCTATTAGAGGAGCCACCTCTGTACCCAGCTAGGAAGAGACCAGGCCCCTGGTTATATTCACCTTTGTGGGAGTTGGTTCAATGGCAACATTTCAAATAGAATGTTCCTCAGAACACTTTTCCCTTATGAAAAAGGGTTTTGGGCCGGGCACAGTGGCTCATGCCTGTAATCCCAGCACTTTGGGAGGCCGAGGTGGGCAGATCACGAGGTCAGGAGATCGAGACCATCCTGGCTAACATGGTGAAACCCTGTCTCTACTAAAAATACAAAAAATTAGCCAGGCGTGGTGGCGGGCACCTGTGGTCTCAGCTACTCGGGAGGCTGAGGCAGGAGAATCAGCTTGGATCCAGGAGGCGGAGCTTGCAGTGAGCCAAGATCGCACCACTGCACTCCAGCCTGGGTGACAGAGCGAGACTCCGTCTCAAAAAAAAAATAAAAATAAAAATAAAACAAAGAAAAAAAGCGTTTTGTTATCCATGAAAGTTGAAAAATACAGCATATGCTAGGCTTCACCTGGAAATTGCCATTGCACGTTAGCAGACTAAAAGTTCTGAGAAGTGCTATACTGAAGAAACCTATTTAACTCAGTGTTAACTGAACTTATTTGGCCTTGGAATTTAAAATCACAAAATACTTATTAGTAACATCATGTGGACCACCAGTATTCCTTGAACATGATCTGGAAAACACTCTCCGAGAGAGAACAGAGATAGACCAGAGTGATTGGAAAGCAGGTTTTGTTTCAGACATGTTCAGTATGAAAGGGACATGGTTGTTCAAAAAAGAAAATAGAAGTTGGGGTGACTGAGGACTTTGGTCTGTCAAAATAACAGAGAAGAAAAAATCCTCCTGCTTTTAGACTGGAGTTTTGAACTCTTATTGCACCTCGGCATGTTTTTGTGATCTTATCAAAGAGGAAGTGTCTGGCATTTCTCCTAGTGGGGCTGTGCCCTTTGATGTCGTTTCTCAGAGCAAATTCAGTTTTGATCAATTCTGTCATGGCCTCACGCCAATCGCTCCATGCTGTAGGTGCTCCAAATACCAATGAATCAGATTCCAGTGATACACTGCTCTGTGGCCATGCCGCACATGAAACATAGGGGAAAACAGTCATTGCATTTTCTCCAGGAGTCCAAGGCCAACATTTTCCCACATTAAATCACTGCTAGTCTTGCAAGACCACTTCCTGCAACTAATCCTTTCCAGCTCTTCCTTTGAGTCCACCCCCAGGTCTGGAGTGCCCTGGCCTTTAGATTTCCTTCCAGTCTCGAGGGCTCTATTAACATGAACGTTTTTGGCTTTAGTGCCTTCTGATTCAACACCCTGGGTCTAGCTGAGAGCTAAAAATACCATCCTTTCCAGCTGATCTGCCCTAATCACAATAGCACCAACACTTTAAATAGCTTTTCTGTGCTAGCATAGACATTTGACAGATGGAACTAACACTCTGAGGGCTACAGGAAGTCACAGGCTTAAAGGACTTAACCAACTTAGCACTGAGCTTTACTTTGCTCTTTCATGTCTTTCTAGAGAATAAAGAAAGAGACCCTCTTCCCAAGTCTTAATAATTAATCAGATCTTAAGAGAAAAGTGTATGGTGGGAGTGCTTATGATGCCGCTAATTGTGTTAAGTACTAGAAAATGTTAGATCAGAAAGCTGCTAACAGAAGTCTCTCCTTTCTAGCACCGATCATTTCTGTGGATGTTGGGAGATCTGTATGAATCTGTTTTACATCTTACCATTACAGCTGCATTTGGGGTTAATAGGTATCTGGGACTACTGTCTTAAGTGCACAAGAAGTAGTTGCATCTCCAGCCATATCTGGAAAGGAATCTTTGTGACGAACAGTTCTACAAACCAGTTTTTTAAATTAAGTGTTTATAATATTAAGAAAAGCTCAGAGACTTAATGTATCTATTTTCATTAGTTAGGTACTGTAATGAGAGACAAATATTTGTTCCAGCATGGGGGCTAGGTAAGGGTGAATTCTGTTTCATTGTTTTGTTGCGGCTCTCCCCATCCTTTGGAATATTTCAAAAATGGAAACACTCTTCCAGCTAGCACCTAACTATCATTTGGTTGCTTAAATGGTAAAAAGCATTCTTTTCAGCAGTCATAGTGGTTTTGAACTTGCTAATAAATACCACAGCAGGGCCCCAGATGTAAATTCCCCCATTCCCACTCTCTAATATGAGTACCTGCTTCACCCTTGTTGCTGTCAGAGGATGTGTGACCTTAGCTAAAGTAGAAAGATAAAAGAAGGAAGATCACATCGACACCTTCTAAGAGTTGAGGCCCCAGATTCAAAATGCCAAATTTATGGAAGGATACAAATGAACCATAAGAAATCTTATATTGGCTGGGCTCAGTGGCTCACACCTGTAATCCCACACTTTGGGAGCCTGAGGCAGGAGGATAATGTGAGCCTGGGAGGTCGAGACTGCAGTGAGCCATGATCACGCCACTGCACTCCAGTCTGGGCAACAAAGAAAGACTCTGTCGAGAGAGAGAGAGAAAGCAAGGAAGGAAAAAGAAAAGAAATCATATCTTGAACGAAGGGTAACTATATTTGACCATCTTTTTTTATTCTATGCTTTGGGATAAATCTCAGTGTCTTATGCCTCAGATGATATCATCAGCACACAGTGAAACAATATTACATTACATTCTCATTATCAAACTCTCACAACTATAAGATTCCGTCCTGTTTCCCAGAAGGTCAAAATGTGTTTTAAAAAATTAAAAACTATGATATCTTGTCAAGAATTCTATCCCAGTCAGACCAGGAAGCCTCCTTATATCTGGCTTCCCTTGCCATTCATCATACATTTAGCAGAATCTCATCATTCTGCAATCCGTAAATCTTCAAACTCAAACCTAATAACTAAAATGTATAAAAATCGAATCACACATACTAATGTTATGGAACCCTCTCTCTAGTCTTCTGATAAAAATCACAGTACAGTCATTCATTAGGAACAGAGTCAGGTTGCTGGCCAGAATGCTTCCAAATGTATTAAAGTTACATCCATTCAACTTGCTTATTCTTCCTGGCTGTTTGGCATGTTTTCTAATTCTAGAAGAGTGAGAATAAGAGAGAGAGAGACAGAGAGAGTTTCTTAGCCTGTCATCTCTTACATAGGTGGTGAAATAATTGAGAATATTTCATGATTATTTCTGTAGGAATCTGGCCCTTGCCACATGTATATGCTAGAATGTATTTGTGCCTATGCAACAAGGTGGGTGTTCAACAAAGGCTCCTACTTTGTGTGTTTTTGGGTTTCCTGGGAAATGGGCAAGGGCCTAGAAAGTTAGGAATGATTTTTACAACTTAAAGCAAGCCCCTCTGTGTTCAAGACAATCCTGTCAAAAGGCATTAGCCAAACCCTAGCTGATGATGTTGCCTAGCAACCCACTCAAAGCTGCAAGAGCCCTTCATTGTGGGAAGCAGGGTGGCAACCAGAACTGCCTCATCCCCCACAAGGTGATTAAAAGGGCATATTGAGGCCCCTTCTTCCAGCAATATTGCATAGATGTACCCTGAGATACATTTTTTGACTCCTCAAATAGAGCCATTTCTTAACTACTCTGCTTGGTGTCAGTGAAGACATTGGAAATAAAAGGGGAAAAGCTAAGTAATAACTAAGTGTGGTAAAAATGTCTCATGAAAGGAGTCTTAGTGCCTCCTCTCCTGAGCTGTCAGTGGTTTGAATGTGCGAGAAAGACATCAGGGTGAGAGCTACCTGCAAAACTAGTTCACGTCTATGTCTATGGTATTATGTAAATATTGGCATCTCCAACACCTATCAGAGCAGATATTGATGAAAGGTACCTGTTGTATTGCAGATAACGTGGGAAACACAGTGATGAAAAACTCCAGGATCCCTTTGTTCAGAGAGCTTACCATTTAGAAGGGTAGAAAGACCATCCATCATGGCAACCTTTTCCCAGAGAGCACAATAGAATATGACAGATTTTTATGTGGGGAGAATTTAGTTCTTGAAGTAGGCATGAGTAATTTGAATGCTGTCTTCAGAAATGAATATAATAAACAGTCAACAAAGAAGCAGTGCTTGTCATCTCTATTCTTAAAGTTTCTCTTTCTCTGATACAGCAACATCTCATAAAGAGAGAAATAACCTTTAATTCTGGAACGTTATGTCCTTTTTGAAACTGTAGTCATGAGGAAGAGCCAAAACACCAACCCATTCTTACCCTGAGTTGGTGACTATGAAAACTTCTGTCATAGTTTCTGTCATAGCTGGGATCTTAGGATCTAGCAGCAGTCACCTTTGCACAGCTTCAGTCTTTCTCAAAATCTGTGGTTGAGACAGTTTGTTTCGTTATTATTTTCGAGGCATAGTATTCCCTAAAGGCTTAAGAAATCATTTCTGCCTGCTTTGAAAAAAAAAAAATCTTAAACATCTAGGTTAATAAATTTGATTTGCAGTTGACTTCTGTAGCTCTGGGCCCTTCCTGATCCTGGCAGTTGAGGCCCGAATGGCTCACAATGAAGTAGTAGTGACTTGGGAAGTAGCACTATGGATGTGGTCATCAGTCTGTGTGTCCCCATTGATCTGGAACCAGCATCCAGAAACAGATACCAACATGACAGTCACTATGGCATACCCACACACTTATTTCTGTCTTTGTCCTCTTCAGAGTCTTCTTTACCTGTCTAGCACCTAATTTGAGATTGCCAGCTCCTTAGGCCCACCAATATCATAATCTCCAAAGGTAACTCGCACTAAACCATAGGTGTACCTTATTCTGTTTTCAGTCCTGGAATGTGATAGGCAGACAAGTCATGAACCTGTTCTTCACTTTTTGCTATTGTGTGGGAGAATGGCTTCTGAAGTGTACACATGTCCATGTGACAGTACTTGTCAGGGAACTGAACACACATGGCTCATAAGGATGTGAGAAGAGAGTGTACATTTGTTTGAGATTTTAACTGAAGGTGTTGGATTTTGAATCTGTATTTCTAGACACTGTTTCCAGCAAGTTGCAAAACAACAATGTTTATACTATTGCCAAGAGGAATGTGGAAGGGCAGGACATGCTGTACCAATCCCTGAAGCTCACTAATGGCATTTGGATTTTGGCCGAACTACGTATCCAGCCAGGAAACCCCAATTACACGGTAAGGCCTTTCTCAGAATGGGTGAGATGGATTAGAGGAGGGAGGTGAGAGCCCTTTCATGTTTACTTAGCACCCTAGAAAGACCTGGAGGAGGTGCTTTAAACCTGAGATATACAAAATAAGTAGTCAATGAAGAAGCTTCCATTTGCCTCAATGGAAGACCTCCTCTCTGCAGTGTCTGCCCCATCCAACAGGAATGGTATCTCTGGCAAGTGCCTCAAATCCATCCCTCCCCCCTGGTGTATACAGAGTTGCTCACAAAACTTGGCAGCTTCATCCTCAATATCAGTTAATACATATCTAGTGTATCTGTGCATGTGGTACTATAATAAGCTGCCGAGAGGATTGTTTACATAGTTAATGTCCAGAAGACCTTTCTTGCTGTTGGAGTTCATGACCTAAGGCTATCAGAGTCATTAACACATGAGCTTTTTTCAGCAGCATTGTATGACCTGAAATGCTTGTTATTAAAGGTGAGGCAAAATGGAACACACCTTTGGAAGCGTATAAGGGGACTTTAGTTTGGGAAATTTCCTTCAGTATCACACTGAACTAAAGTAAAACTTCTGGCAATAATAAGGCAGAAGCAGTTGCTTTGTTAAACAGCAGATTGATAGCCAAGCACTAGGCATTTGTTTGCTGTTGTAAAATGCAATTTCCCAATAGGATGTCATCTGCATTTTGAAAAGTAAAGGAAAAACCCTTGGGATGGGAGAAATATCTTATTCCTCTGTTATGTTTGAGGGTTTTATGGGGATCTATTTATTTCTGAGGAAGCTGAA
This sequence comes from Homo sapiens, assembly GCF_000001405.40. NCBI lineage: Eukaryota > Metazoa > Chordata > Mammalia > Primates > Hominidae > Homo > Homo sapiens. Next base: position 35,718,132 of record NC_000017.11, read on the forward strand.
TAGTCAGTAGCTTAAGGGAGCCTTTTAGTCATTTAGCTGAGAAAACTCTGTGACCCGTTCCTTAATTTTGACAGCTAAGTCTGTTTTCACTAGCATATATCAAGGGAATAGTACCATCCAGAACTGAAAATTCTTGGTGTTTTTCCCACTAGTTCCCATCCTTGTAGTAAGTTGGAGTAGCTGTGTGTGTGTGTGTGTGTGTGTGTGTGTGTGTGTGTGTGTGTGTGCTCGCTCCTGAGGCCTATCAAGTTAGACTTTTGCCCAAGCACTTATGAGCTGAAAAACTTCAGGCTTCCCTCATAAAATGTATGCTCCTCTCCCCAACCCCCCACCAGTCTCATCTCTTTTGGAGAGTAACATACACTGTCATTTATCTTGAGTTTCCCAAGAAAGGAAAACCCCTCTGTGCTGTTTCTGGAGGGACAAGTTTTACTATAAAACCAAGATAGCACATGCCTGTAATCCCAGCTACTGGAGAGGCTGAGGCAGGAGGATCACTTGAGCCCATGAGTTCAAGACCAGCCTGGGTAACATAGTGAGACCTTGTCTCAATTGGAAGAAAAAAAGGGTTGGGGGGAGAATAACTCCATTTACTCTCTAGAAATTTGCCAAAAGTTTATATATGGGTGTGTGTGGTTTTTTTTTTTTCCTTTTTTTCTTTTTGCTTACTGTCCATTATTTTATTGTATATAGTCTTCCATCTCAGCTAGGTTAAAGGAGCATGATTACTCCCAGGTTGCAGATAAGTAAACCATGGCTAAGAATGATTAGTGACTAGTTCAAGATCATGTAATTTGTTGGTAGGTGAATTTTGTTTAGAATTCAGGTGTTTCTTGACACTCTTCTTACACAATATTCTTGATTTTGAGAAGAGCTTCTTAGTATCACTGTCCTAAACATAGTTTGTTAAAATTTTAAAAAGTATTTTATTTTGAAATAAAGACTTAACAAATTTTTTAAATGGAACAGTAGAGTTTCTACATCTCTTTTACCCAGTTTTCCCCATTAATAATAACATCTTACACACCCATACTACATTTTCAAAACTAAGAAATAGGTATTAGTACAATATAATAAACTAAACTATAGACATTATTCTAATTTCACCAGTTTTTACATTACTTTTGGGGGTGGGGGATTGGTAGTGGATAGTACTATGAACTCTTATTACATGTATCAATTTGATAACTGCTGCCAGAGTCCAGACACAGACTTGTTCTGTCACCACAAAAAAAAAAAACTTCCTCTTGCTGTCCCTTTATGGTCAGACTCTCACCCCAGCCCTAACCCCGGCAGCCTTTCTCCATTACTATAATTGTGTCATTTTTAGAATGTTGTATAAATTACACATGTAACATGTAACCTCTTAAGATTGTTTTTTGCACACATAATACTCATAACATTCTTCCAAGTTGTTACATGTATCCATAGCTTGTTCTTTTTTATGGCCAAGTAATAGTTCACTGTGTCCATGTACCACAGTTTCTCCATTCATCCTTTGAAGAATATTTTCTCCTTTATATTTAAACAAAAGTTTGGAAGTAATTGTAAATTCATATGTAGTTGTGAGAAATTATACAGTGACCTGGTGTGGTGGCTCATGCCTGTAATGCCAACACTTTGGAAGGCTGTAATGGGAGGATCGCTTGAGGACAGGAGTTCAAGACCAGCCTGGTCAACATAGTGGGACCCCATCTTTATTAAAACATATTTTTTTTAAAGAAATACAGTGAGCTCTTCCTGTAAGTGACCTGAGATGATCTCTGCTCAGTTGGCCTAGAAAACCCCCAAAATCATACAAAGCAAGAGATTCAAATCTTCATGTTTACTTTAAGAACACCCGTGGAAGTGCCCAGGCCATCAAAGGTATGCATATCCAAATAGCCACCAAGTACTTGAAAGATGTCACTTTATAGAAGCAATGTGTGTCATTCCATATTATTATAGTGGAGTTGGTATGTGTACCTAAGCCAAACAGACGGGCTGGGCACAGGATGACAGGTGGCCCAAAAAGAGTGCTAAATTTGTGCTGTACATGCTTAAAAAGGCAAAGAGTAATGCCGACCCTAAGGGTTTAGATGCAGATTCTCTGGTCATTGAGCATGTCCAGGTGAACAAAGCCCCAGGATATGTTGCTGTATTTATAGAGCTCAGGTCACATTAACCCATACATAAACTCCCCTGCCACATATTGAAATGATCCTTACTGAAAAAGAGTAAATTGTTCCTAAACCAGAAGAGAGGGTTGCAGGGAAGAAAAAGATATCCCAGAAGAAATTGAAGAAAACAAAAATTTATAACCTGGGAATAAATTCAGCATGGAATAAATGCAAATAAAAGTTAAAAAAAATAGATTCTGTCCTCGTGGTTTAGCCACATCCACCTTCCTTTGTCCCATATATTTTTATTTTATTTATATATATATATATATATATATATATATTTTTTTTTTTTTTTTTTTTTTTTTTTAATATAGAGATAGGGTCTCGCTATGTTGTGCAGGCTATCTCAAACTCCTGGCCTTGAGCGATCCTCCCATCTCGGCCTCCCAAAGTGGTGGGATTGCAGGCGTGAGCCACTGCACCTGGCCCACCCGCCCCCTGCCCCATATTTTTAAATGGTGAATTTGTTTATACTTCCTTGCCCTCTTTCCTATTCTTCATCCTGTCTGGTGACTAGGTTCTCTGCCCACAATACCATCTAAATCTCCCATCATAGCACTTGACAAATAGGTCTAATTTGTTCCCCTAAGTGGCACCCTTTTAGTCATTAGACTAAAAGAAGAGGTGGTGGTAGAGGGGTATCAGAGGTATCTGATTTGCCTATCTAAAGAGGCAGACTCTAAAGTCATTCTGATCCATTCCCTTCATCACCTTAAGTTCCTATTATACTATTAATCTGATCTGAGCTAAGTATTAAGAAAGAAATCGGGTTGAGCCAGCACTAATGCATGACAGACTGATGGTCCCTTAGTCTCCTAAGAGGGGTTAATAAAACACTTCTCCCCAAACCCCAGTTTTTATTGTATTTTATTAAGAAGATAGGTTTATCCTATAAGGGTGAGGCTATATCTCTGTAAGTAGGTAATCCTCACCTGAAAGATAACTTGTCCCACGTGAAGCAGTGTATGTTCCACACCATATGCCAAAAGTGGATGCATAGCCCCTTAATTTTAATTAGGCAGGACAGGGTGACTCTTCTGCCCTTGGTGTGTCTAGTTTGGACTGGATTCCTGAATGGCTGATGTTAAAGACATGTCACATAAGGAATTAGCAGTTGGAAAGTTAAGCCCCAAGGAAGGCCTCTTTCTCCCTAGGAGCCATACAAAATGAGAGCCAGAGTCCTAGCTATATGTAATAAACTTGACACTTTGTCAGAGGCTGGGGTGGAGGTAGGGGTGGGGAGGTGTGGATATTAAGAGTCCAGACACAGGGAAAGTTTCTTCCCCATCCTCCAAAGACCAGCGGTAATGCCCAGGGCCTAGGGTCTGGTCAGTCCATGACTTCCCACCAATGCCAGCCTTGGCAGTTTGAGCCATTGTTGAGGAAGGCAACATTTCCTTACTAGTTGTAAACATAAAAATGAACCTCCAGCTGGAGGAACTTCAAGTATTGTTACAAAGATGTGGAAAAATACAAGATAGTATTTTGGGGGAGTATTTGGGGACTACCTCTCCTTAGTCTGGGAGTTAACTCTCTTAAGCTGTTGTTTCTCTTTTTAGATTCCTCTTCTCTTCCATTTCTGAATCCACATATTCTCCCACTAGAATTTTCCACAACACTGGCAGTAGAGAAGGCTGTAGAGAAGGAGGTACAAGAATTGCTTTAGGTCCAGCGCAGTGGCTCATGCCTGTAATCCCAGCATTTTGGGAGGCCGAGGTGGGTGGATCACCTGAGGTCAAGAGTTCGAGACCAGCCTGGCCAACATGGCAAAACCCCTTCTCTACTAAAAAGACAAAAAAAAATAGCTGGGTATGGTGGCACGCATCTGTAATCCTAGCTACTCGCGAGGCTCAGGCAGGAGAATTGCTTGAACCTGGGAGGTGGAGGTTGCAGTGTACTGAGATCACGCCACTGCACTCCAGCCTGGGTGACAGAGCAAGACTCTGTCTCAAAAAAAGAATTGCTTCAATAGGGAGTTTGAAAGTCAGGGAAATGCCTAAAGATGCAACTTGGACCAAAATAGGGAGCTGTTTTCTATATATAAGGAATAGCTATATTCTTAAGTTAGTTGTTTTGGTTTTTTTTACATTTATCAGAATTGTCTTCCTGACTAATACCAAGCAGCAGTTTTGGGAATGCCTTGGGGACTGAATATTAAAGCTGTAAATCAATAGAATATCTTCCCATGTTCTTTTGTTTGGTTTGGGGTTTTTTTGCATTTTAAATTTTACTTTAACTTTTTAGGTTGTTAGTTTTTAGGAAATTCACCGTTGACCAAAATCTTCTTGACCTTTTATTCAAAGATAGTCTCACTTTTGCACTATGTTAAATTGTCCTTAGTCTCTAATAAGAGAATAAAGAGGTAAAATAGTCTAAAATCTCACGGTGCTACATCATTCAAGACAATTTTTGTTGACCTGCCCTAATTAACAAGAGGAATGATGTCAGCAATATAAAATATATAGCTATTAAATTTTCTGGTTCTAGAGTGCGTTTTGCATGCTTATATTATTGTTAATAATATTCTGCCTAATCTAATACAATTAAGATTCTAAATCTGGGTTTAAATTTTGTCCTTACTGACTCACAAAGTGAAATTCTCAATATTCACCATTAAGATCTTTTTAATATTGATGTCTAATTTGGTATTCATTAGACTAAAAGAAGAGGTGGTGGTAGAGGGGTATCAGAGGTATCTGATTTGCCTGTCTAAAGAGGCAGAAAATAAAAGATTAAGCTGTTGATGTGAATTGAGGTTGGGTTATACTAAGTAAGTGTCTTTTCATGTTCTTGTCTTCCCTCTTAGGGGTGTATACTCTCCTCATTATAATACAGAAAGGACTAATACCTTGGACCTACCTAGTTTATGGTTTTATTTCACTTGATTGTACATCCTCCTGAAGTTGGGACTGAGATATAGCCATCCTCTTGTCAGACTGAGAAACTGAGGCAGGCAGCTGAAAGGACCATCAACAAGTTAAGGGCTTTGGCCCTTCCCTTTTCATTTAATAATAATCCCTATAACTCTTAGAAAAGCATTAGAGCAGCTGTTGCTCTGCAGTCAGTGGCTTTGATGTTTTTAGTATGGATTATTTCCTAATCTTATAGACCCACATGGAATGGAGGTAGAAGCACAGCACAACTTGATATTGATTAAATTGAAATGCTAAAACCCACAGCACTTATTAACATAATCTCTTTGTTTAGCTACTCCAGTGATAGAAGTTTCTCTCCCACTGTGTCAAAAGTTTTCTTGAACTGAGTGCTTGGATACCTTTAGAGCTAATGCCAACCTCTGTGCTAATCTTCCATCTCCTTTTTCTCCTAACAGCTGTCACTGAAGTGTAGAGCTCCTGAAGTCTCTCAATACATCTATCAGGTCTACGACAGCATTTTGAAAAACTAACAAGACTGGTCCAGTACCCTTCAACCATGCTGTGATCGGTGCAAGTCAAGAACTCTTAACTGGAAGAAATTGTATTGCTGCGTAGAATCTGAACACACTGAGGCCACCTAGCAAGGTAGTAACTAGTCTAACCTGTGCTAACATTAGGGCACAACCTGTTGGATAGTTTTAGCTTCCTGTGAACATTTGTAACCACTGCTTCAGTCACCTCCCACCTCTTGCCACCTGCTGCTGCTATCTGTCCTTACTTGTGGGCTTCTCCATGCTGTGCCAATGGCTGGCTTTTTCTACACCCTCTTTTGAGTGTAGTTTGGTATTTTGTAATTGAGAGCTCATTTCAAAAGCAGAAAAAGACAACAAATATTAAAGCAAGGAAAAGTGTAACTGAAACACTGCACTTTACTGTTTTATACTTTTGTACATATGAGAAATCAAGGGATTAGTGCAACCAGTAGAAAGCATTGAAATGACTGTCATTAACCACACAGTCCTGGAGGCAGAGATGCAGTTACCTACCCTAGCTTTTGATGGGTTCTCTTACCTGTAGTAGCCTTATCCCTGGTCATTTGGATTTTCAGTTTGCTTTTTTCTTTTTTTCCCCTCCAAACTCCTTTTCCTTGGCCAAGCCTTCATGCTTCCCCCTTTCCATATTATAATCTCATTTGATTGCTCTGCAGTTGGGAACGGTGATCTTCTTGAATGATGTTTCAGTGTGCAAAAACTATAGAGCCTGTCAGCACCAAAGCTGACAGAAGTTATACCTTACTCCTTTCCTTTCCCCTGAACAAACCTGCTAATCCCACTAATTCAGGAATTTGAGTAGAGATGGGGAACAAGAACCCAGATGCTGTCCCCTCACCCCCTCTCCTGTATTTCTCAGGTCCAGTTCAAATCTAAAATTCTACTTTTAGAGTTGAAACAGAGTAATAACTTATCTAACCCTCTTTTCCTACAAAGGAGAAAGATAAAAGGCACAAAGGTTACCGCCAAGGCCCGTCAGCTGTGTAGTGGCAAAGCCGAGACCGAGTCTCCTAAGTCCCCGTCAGTGTGGTTTTCACCACAGGACTGTCTCTTGTCGTTTTCCCCTAATGCCTTCTCCTGCCTTTTCTGTGCCTAGTTTTTGGCTCTTCACATATTCCATATTGATTTTGACGCTCTGTATATTGGCATCAGGTGGCAGCTGAATATCTTTTGAATTACTCGAAGGTAAAGCCAGATGCCAGAATGAAGGTGTAGCCAGTGTTTCCCATATGCCCCTGGAGCCCCACTTATTGAGGCCAGCAGAATAGGTGCAGAGATGAAGTGAGCTTAGAGATGTTGCAAATGCTCTTTATCCCTTCAGCTCTCTGATCTGCTCTTTCTTCATGATACTTAGTCTGCAGGGCATATTAAGATCATCCCAGAGGTTCAGGCAGTTCCTGTCATCTCTGAAAAGACTGGGGGATATGAAATCTTCCCCCTACCCCACTTAATGCGTTGGATATGATTTTTCAAAGAATGCTTCATGCCCAAAATACCAGCCTGTTTAGCAGTGTTACACTGTTTGATCTGCGGGCACTTGTTGCATTGCCTGGCACCCAATATTCAGGGTCCATGACTAAGACTGGTCTTCTCAGATGCCCTGCTTAAATCAGGGGCACTTCAGGCTCCACAGGCGTCATGTTGGACTGAGACCTAACTCACTGGACTCAGAGGAGGAATCGTGGAAAACAAGAGCAAAACTACCCCACACCCCTATTTCATGTCTGAAATAACCCTGTTTCATACCAGTTGCAAAGCTTGTGGGGAGCGGTCCCACAAAGCACTTTCTTAAACCTTGAGAATCTCCAAGAGAAAAATATTTGGGGAAGGAGGGAGGAAATATGTCCCTTGCACACCACCCCTGAAGCACATGGCAGTAGGAAACAGCATAGGATTGTATGTGGGAGGTGGATAGGTCGGTGATGTGTGGAGCGGAAAAGCAGGTTGGTAAAGTTCCCTTCTTGGGACTTATTCCTGGAGTCAGTGGATACAAGTAGTGCAGAAGGTTCACACTGCAAATAGTGTTCTCATCTCAAAGCAAACTATCATTCCAGAAGGAAAAGTGTGTCAGGGCAAGCAGACAACACAATTTCCTATCAGAATATGTCCCTCAACCCCCGAAACAAGGCTTCTCTCAGCCTCCCCACCAGTGATGGATAACAGCTCCTATTCTCAGCTGACCTGACTGAGCCAACCCATGAACTCTTCACTCCTTGGGGAAGCCACCTCCCATCACACCCCTGAGCAGAGTTAGGGAGGAATTCTACTTCCCATAAAAGGACCTCTCCTGAGAGGCAAAACCTGTTGCCTCCACCACGGCTTCCCTCTTGGCTCATTCCAAGCTTGGCCAAATTGGGGAAGTGGGATGGAGGTTGCCCTGCATCCCCCCTCCTCTGCCTGAGTGTGTCTTTGTAATGTCAGCTGGCATCATACAAAGAGCAGGAGAAGCAAACACCCAGAACTCTTTTGCTGGTCAGAGATTCCCTGAGTGTCTGTCCTCACCCAAGCCTGCTCTGTGTCTGTGTTGTGAAGCTTGAGACTCTGGAAAGAAATGGGGAGGGGGGGCAGGGGAAATGTTGCCCTAAGAATGCTTCTCATTCCTCTGTTCTTATTGGGTCCTGTTTTTCGGGAGGGTGGGGGTTGGGGGAAGCTTGACCTTGTGTCTTCGTCAATAAACTCACATTTACACAAAATGAAGTTTGTGGTATGTATTTTTTTCCCCAGAACTGACATTCTAGGAGAAAACACAGCAGGCCAGAGAGGGACAGAACATTCATAACCACTCTATTAAAACTTTTCTGACTGCCCCAGCCCTCCCAGGGATTCAGCCACATGAAATTAAGAGTGACTTGAGGAAGAATCATATACCTCCTGGGGGCTCCTTTTGACCAAGACCCAAAGCACCACTGCAACTCCAGGCATCTTTGCAGGCAGGGAGTGCTCAGAGGAGTCAATCTGTCTTTTCCTGGCAGTTCCCCTGCTGGGGCCCCAGGCAAATGGTCCCAGGGGCAGTAGCCGGAGCCACAGGGCCTTTTTCTGACTTGTCAGTTGGCATCCAGCCAGCAGGGCCCAGGGCGAGAGGAATGCAGCAGAGCTTCTCATCGGTTTATTACCCAGGATGTCTCAATCATCTCTCAACTTACAAAAGTCTCTCAAACCCGGCCTCAGGGCCTGCATATTCCCAAGCAAATGGAATTAATCCTGCTTTAAAACAAGCTTCCCAGGGAGTTCCAAGACTAGAGGCCTGCATTTGTGTTGTTGGGGGCATATGACCCATATGTTGTCAAGACAGGAGGCCCCCCGCCAAGCCTAGGTTCTGATAAGCTGACAGCTGCTGAGATCTCCCACTGCCTGGAATGGGGGGAAGAGGCTGGAATGAGGGATCTAACACCAAGATGCCCCTGGATAAGTCCCTGAACCTCTCTCACCACTAGAGTGAATGTAGATAAAGCACTCTGTAGCATTTGAGACTTAGTAGGTGCTCAGCAACCGTAGCTGCCTTTATTACTTGGATGTCCAAACCCCATGAGCAAACTGCCTTTTGGCAGCTAGGAACTTTCTGGTTGTCTCCATGTTGCCAGGCTGCAGTTAGCTGTAATAGGAAAAACACTTGGTGAGAGGGGTCAAACCGGGGTTGCCAGTTAAGAATGACGTTAATTTGGGCAAAGAAAGTCCTGAAGGAGAGGTTCTCAACTCTTCGGTGCACATTAATGTCACCTGGAGAGCTTTCAAAAAAGACATGGTTCAGTTCAATCAGTCTGGGATGGTACCTGGGGGAATCAGCATGTTTTAAAACTCCCAGGTGTTTTCTAACGTGCAGTCAAGGTCAAGAATCACTGCCAGAGAGAGAGGCTCACACCTGTTCACCTACTTCCTCTTCCACAGTAATACTCATGTTCTGTGGCAGTTGAAAAATGGTTAAAGCACTTCCATATGTACAATACCTGCCTATTCCCTTACCTATCTCATGAATTTAATTTCATCTCCAGTTTACAGATGAGATGTGGCAGAGCCACGTCTTCTGACTCCCTGTCTGTGTCCTTAGAACTACACTGTAGCTTCCTCCTTCGTCCACTGGAGGTTCTGTAATAGGTTCTCTCCTACCTCTGCTCTCAGCCACATCCCAGCTTGCTAAGCCCCTAGGATACCAGTATGTTCAGAGCACACCGGTCCCAGACTTGCACCTGAGACTACACTGTCTTTCTCTGCCTGTAAAGTGACAACTAGGAAACACTGAGATGTCAGGTACATTGTTTCTGAGGTCAGAAAACAGCTAAGGACTCGCAGGTTTGGGCTTTCTACTCCCACTTCGTGCATTAATGCTTTTTCTGGTTTTGCTTAGACCCAGATTCTTTTTCCCTGCCACCCCCAGCTCCAGGAGGCAAGAGCCTGTTTATTTTAATACCTGGTATGGCACTTGGAAAAGATCACACCTCCCCCGTTGTTACCCAATTCTATCTCCTGAACACTAATCCTAGAATCCCAACCAGCCCCCAGACATGTTATTAGCAACAAGGGATGTTTCTTGAAAAGTTTCCGAGTTGGCTCCAAACTTACCATCTCAATTTCTCATTTAGCTTTTGCCCTGCCATGCTTGATGCTGCCAACAAAGGGAAGGCTAATTTGGGGGTTGGTTACACCCAGGTTCTCAGCTGGAAAAGTGCTTGCAATGGCTGTTTCCAAGAGCATCGTTTTGAGACAAGACTGCCATCTCTGGGATCATTTCTCAATGCTCTGGGGCTGAGATTACTCCACTCATCCCACTTCTCCCACCGGGTAGATGTTAGAGGATGATGTTCAAGTCCAGCCTCTAGCTCACCCTCTCTTGTTTCATTTACTCTTCACTTATGGTCGGAGACCCCAGGATCTGGCCTAATAGCCTCTGAAAGCTCAGTAGGATCCTCAGCTATGATGGAGCAGGGGCAGAGGTAGGCAGGTCTGGGTTTTTGACATTTCTGTCCCACTTCGTGTCTGGGCCTCAGCTACTGCAGGCGGTCCCATGTGTCTGCTCCCTGAGTTTGCACCTCAGCCAACAGGCAGGCATCCTCAGCTGAGCCAGACCCACCTGAGGCTCAAGGTCAGACCCAAGTACAGAGTCTTTCACATGTTCCCATCAAAGTGCTCCTAATGATGGGGGAGAGTGAACAGGCTCCTAGGGGTGCATGTTCTTAGGCCAAAGTGACTCTCAGCAAACCAAGATGACAACTGTATCCTAACTTCAGGCAAATCTTCCACTTCATGTAGATAGAATTGCTGTTTGTTTTTTTAAATAAAAATAATCCTTTAAATGACCTTTCACTGAAGGCCAGTATGAGGCTCCATAATTAACCTGCAGCTTTGTGTTTCCCTAGTGCAGCGGCACTATCACGGCTCACTGCAGCCCTGACCTTCAGGTGCAAGTGATCTGCCCCAGGTAGCTGAGACTACAGGTGTGCAACCACCATGCCCGGCTGTTTTTGTATGCTTTTTAGAGACGAGGTTTCACCATGTTGCCCAGGCTGATCTTGAACTCCTTGACTCAAGCATTCAGCCCCCCTTGACCTCCCAAAGTGCTGGGATTATAGACATGAGCCATAGCGCCTAGTGTATTTTAATTTCTTACTTCTAGTCCGCCTTTGGAATGGAGGGCCACAGCCTGGGGGAGCAGACATAAAGCCTGGGATCCTCGGGCAGGGTGAGGATTAGAGATTTTCAGATACAGTGGAGGGACAGGTGATGCAATCAAGAGGCCCTTAGCGACCCCATGTGATCCCACAGGGCCAGTTAAAATCTGATTTATTCTCCCCAAAAGTGGTGCTCCAGGAGGAAGCCAAATTCATTCCAGCCCTATACTTGCTTCTAGCTGCTGCTCTGGTCCTTTCATACCCCCACCCCAACCCTCTGGGAGCCTACCTAGAATAAATGGAACCGCTGTACCACGGTGTTGCTCATCCTCCTGTAGAATGCCTGCGTGTCCCTAAAAAGGCAAAAAGTAAAGGCCCCATGCTGAGACTTCCTACATGCCAGGCATTGTGTTAAGGATTTTACACACCTCAGCTCATTTACACCCTGTCAACAACAGTGAGGGACAATTAATCACACTCCATTTAATAAATGAGACTATAGACTTCAAGTTACTTGCCTCAGTTACAATAGTAAGTGGCAGAGTCAAGATTTAAATCTAGCTCTGTCTGATTCTGAAGCCCAGGCTCATACCCATTCTCCTCTGTGACTGAACAGGAGAGGGAAGGGAGGAATAGGGAAGGTGCCCAAAATGCAGAGGTCAGACTGTGGAGGAAAACTGAGTTCTGTTTGGGAGCCTGAGAGCCGGAGCACAGGGTAATAGGAGGTCACAGTGGAGGATGCAGGGTCCCAGGGGTAAAAACACTTGGGATATCTCTCAAGCTTCTGCTCCTCCTCCTGCCCTGGAGGCTCTAAAATGCAACCTGAGCAGGTGTGTCCCTGCTTTAAAACTCTTCCATAGAGCCGGGTGCAGTGGCTCACGCCTGTAATCCCAGCACTTTGGGAGGCTGAGGCAGGTGGACCACCTGAGGTCAAGAGATGGAGACCATCCGGGCCAAGATGGTGAAACCCCATCTCTACTAAAAATACAAAAATTAGCTGGGTGTGGTGGCGCGTGCCTGTAGTTCCAGCTACTCTGGAGGCTGAGACAGGAGAATTGCGTGAACCCAGGAGGCAGAGGTTGCTGTGAGCCAAGATCGTGCCACTGCACTCCAGCCTGGCAACAGAGCGAGACTCCATCTCAAAAACAAAAACAAAAACAACAACAACAACAAAAAACTCTTCGATGACTTCCCATCCAGCACAGGGCTGGATCCCAACTCCTCATCCTGTCAATCAGGGCCTTTGTGACCAACCTCTCGCCTCTCCACCCACCATGCTTCCTCATGGGCTCCTGTCTGGTTCCCAGACTCACTTCTCAAGCCTGTGTAATTGCTCTTGACTTCCGTAGCTTTCTTCTGCTACAATCTCCCTCCACCCAGCCCCAAAATCTACTTCTTTCAAGGTTGCTTCCTTGAAAGTTGCCTCCTGCGAAGCTTCAGTGACTCGTCTAATGAGTTGTCCCACTTCCCCTGCCCTCCGCAGAACCTTGACTTTGCACACAGCACATTTTAATGTTGTGTGGTCTGCTTTTGATCTCACGTTGGACTGTGAGCCTAATACCAAACTCATCAGTGACTGCTCAGCTAGGGACTCCCAATCTTTGTATTCACATTTTACATCTAAGTGAGACAAGCTTCTCGACCTCAACTATCTCATCTGTAAAGTGGAGGAAACAATCTACCCCGTAGAATTGTGAGGATTCAATCTGAGGATGCATGCAAAGCTCATAGCGCACTGGCAAAATAGAGGTTGCCTATCAATGATGACATTGATTATGACATGACGTTGATCATTAAAGGTTAGAGATGATGACTTTTAGAATAAATACATGGGTGATTTTGCCCTCAATCCTGACAAATGCTGGTATCTCCCATTCTGGAGAGAAGAGGCCTATGACAGTTTTAGGGGCGTGGAGGTCAGCATTGGCAGGGGAGACCTTCTTTGTGCCAGCCAGCTCTGCCTTTCACTGCAGCAGTGAAGGGTGAGAGTGATCACCCTTCGCTCAGCCCTTGAGGAGGGTGGAGGAGCAGAGCCTGGATGTCTCTAACACACTGTGCCGGGCACACAGTGGCCTGGTGACAGGCCTGGGCGAGGGGCATATGAGGCCAAGAGTCGGAATGAGCAAAGGCCTTGAGGGCTTTCCCATGCCTTTCTTCAGCTCCTCCAAGTTACAGCTAAATTCCCGCAGGGAGAGTCTGGAGGGGTGCGAAGGTCGAGGCCAGGGATTAAAGAATTCGTCCAGGGCCGCCCAAGCGAATATGTCAGGCTCAGGGACCCAGCGGAATGCCAGCCCGCACCCCCGCACCCCCTCCTCCTTCCAGCGCGAGCAGGCGGCGCGCTCCGGAGGGAGAGCTGGGGCTGGAGGTTCCTACCCCCTCGGCGGCCCGCATCTGCCCCCGCGCGCCCGCCCTGAGCCCGCCCCGACTGGGCAGGCGGGGGAGCCCCTACTTCTCTCCCCCCGGGCGGGGGAGCCGGGGGGCAGCGCCGGAGCCCGGGGGGAGCTCAGCCCCGCCGACCGGCCGGCCAGGGCAGGGGGCAGCTAGGACGGCCCCGGGTAAGCGGCGGGAGGAGGGGAAGCGGTCAGGGGTGGAGCGGGGCCGGGTCAGGGGCTCGGGGGGTCGGGCCGGGGTCGGGGGAGGAGGAGACGGCCTGGGCGAGGGGCGTCCGGGACTAGGAGGGGGCCGGCGGGCGGGCGGGCGGGGAAGCGGCGCGGGGCCGCCACGTGAGAGCTGGAGCTGGGGGTGGGGGTGCCTGCAAGGTGCTGGAGGCGGAGAGCGAGCTGGGCTTCTACATCCCCCCAAACTCCTACCAATCAGGTCATGGGGAGCGCAGCATCCTCTGTCGCCCCCAGCCCACCCCCAGGCGAACGTGGTTGGAACAAACAGCTGGCAGACTTGTGACCCGGCCCTCGGGATCCGCGAAGCCCCCGCTCTCAGCCTTGGGCAGCGACCCAGGTGTCCAGACGCAGGGAAGGGGACGGAACCAGGCTTCGCCCCCTGTGTGTGTCTCTGGTCTCTTGCCTCTCTTTCCGGGCAGTCTCTTGCCGGGCGCTGTCTGCAGACTCACTGCAGAGCGCAGGCCTTGGGGAGAAAGCGCTCAGGGGCCTGGGCCCTGCTTCCTGGGACAGCCCCCTCCCTTCCGCACTCAGCCAAGGGTGTTGGATTAATATACTCTTAGATCCAGGACCTCTGCCTGGAAAGAAGGAAGGGGCACCGATCGCTTCTGAGTTGGGGACAGGGCCACACTTGGACCTGATGAGTTCCAGGAGGCTGGCCCCAGCCTAGGGGCCTCCTGCACCCCCTTCCTAGCTCCTGGGTAGTGCCCCTCTTGCATTTCCCTGCCGCTCCCCAGAAAGGGCTGGTTTCTGGGCAGGGAGTGTGGTGTCCGCGACAATCTGCAGGTAGGGTGCATCCTAGAAATCTCTGAGCTGCCACACCCAGAGAGAGGCCAGGACTCTTCTTGGCGTTCCTTGCCCTCTCTTCCTCCCCTAGGACTCCCCACTCCCCACCTGCCTGTACTGGTTATGTAATTAACCCAGCTGAGTCTCTCTGCCATGCTGGTGGTAGTGGTGTCCAGGGATGCCTAAGGGGCTTCGGGACCTGGAGGGACACATGGGGAGGAGGGATAGGTACTTCCCCCTAGTTGGGAGCCCATGTAAGTGTATAAACACCTGTTGGAGAAGGGACACTGCATGGGGCAGGAAGGAGTTCAGGGTCCTAATCTTAGTTAACAACTCAACTGGCTATGAGGTCTTCACTTCCCTAAGTCACTGGGTTTGTTTTTTGGGGGGTTTGTTTGTTTTTTAAACCTTCAATAAAATGAGAAGAATCTCTCTCACGCACACTGCATGCATGTGAGCTCATGCAACAGTAGATAGCAGCCCCTCCTGGGATTGCTAGGAGGTTCCACTGCTAAGTTTGTGGGAAGCTTAGATGAATGAATGACCCCTGCCCATAGCAGTGGTCACTGTTTATTGAACACCTACTCTGGCCTAGGCACTGGGCTTTACATGCACACATCATAACACTTAATAAAGTTTCTTGCCCAAGGTCACACTTCAGGTGAATGGCAGAGCTAGGAATCAAGCCCTGGCGGTTCTCATTCCACATCCTGACCTGTATTTACTATGCTGTGTGCGCACATACCCCGTGGAGTGAGTCCTCTGAACCAGGACAACCTGGGGGACATTCAGCTGTGGCTTGTGCATATGTGGAAAGAACATGCATCTGCAGAGAAGTATGCACCCATGCGGAAAAGCATGGCCTTGCCAGAATCCGGCGAACCCACCTGCCCTGGAGCCAGTTAGCAAGTGCTGATGTCACCCTCCTGGGAATCCAGACAGGAGGTCTCAGGCATGTAACAGCCTCTCTGGTCACCATCACCAACAAAAGAAGAAAGGTTCTCTCCTTTTCCTGGCTAAGAGATTTACTTGGATTTTCTCAGAAGTAGGGGCTGTTGACCTCATTTTACCTATGTGCAGAAGCATGGCTCCAGTTGAGAAGGTGATTTGCCCACTGACCTGCAGCAAGGACACACCAGAGCTGATGAATTCGTATCAAGGCCCAAACCCCTAGCAGCCCTTTTCTGGGCACCTGCTATGTGCCAGGCCCTCTGGGCTCTAGGGGATGCCAGAGAATCAGACCCAGACCTTGGCCTATATGCATTCACTGGTTAGAATCACTGAACTTGGCCAGGCGCGGTGACTCACGCCTGTAATCCCAGCACTTTGGGAGGCCAAGGTGGGTAGATCACCTGAGGTCAGGGATTCCAGGCCAACATGGCGAAACCCCATCTCTACTAAAAATACCAAAATTATCTGGGTGTGGTGGCAGGTGCCTGTAATCCCAGCTACTCGGGAGGCTGAGGCAGGAAAATGGCTTGAACCCAGGAGGTGAAGGCTGCAGTGAGTCGAGATCATGCCACTGTACTCCAGCCAACTTGAAAGTTGGAAGAAGTACTGCGACATCGTAGAAAGGAGTAGCTGCCCTTCGGGTTGTGATTGGGCACACTTCTTACTCCTTCTAAGCTTCTCTCTAAAGTGGGAATAACAGTACTTATCCCTTAGAGATGTCGTACTGACCAAGGATAACCATATGGGCATGCCAGCAGAGTAAGTGCTCAGCAGTGTTGCACCCCAGAGGCGACGTGGTCATCTAGTGCAGCATTCTCAACTAGGGGCATTTGGAAATGGGGGCAGGGGGAGTTTTTGGTCATCATGGTGTCTGGAGGCTGGCAGTTACCTCTTGGGGGCCACGGAAAGCAAATGTCCTGCAATGTGTGGGCAGTCCTGCACAATCGAGTTCTCTCCCCACAAAATGTCAGGAGTGCCAGCACTGAGACACACCTGCCCAGTCCCACCCATTCAGGAGGACACAGACTCAGAGGTGTTGCCGTCTTGTCCCAGGCTCTGTGGGGAAGCTGGGATCAAACCAAGTCCAGTGCGCTTCCCACTCTGCTCTGCAGCCTGTTTTGGTTGGAGTTGGACCTGGAGAAAAGTCAAGTCATAAGTCAAGAAAGATTGGGCCCTACTACTGGAATGCAGGAAAAAATGGAGGAGGGATGGAGAGGTTTTGGAAAGGCAGCCACAGGGGTTCTGGGAGAGGGAAGGCATTCTAAGTGGCAGTAACAGCTTCAGCAAAGTCCCAAAGGTGGAAAAGTGCAGGACACGTCCAGGGATAAGCCAGTGCACTAAGCCCACCTCTTGTCCCCACAGTCCAGGTGGAGGCCGCAGAGGGCCCAGGGCAAGCAGAGGCAGCAATGGTTGGTCCTGACGGTGGCTGAGCCCCCAGCCCCTGGAATATGCAGCCCGGGGGAGCCCCAGACAGCGGCAAGGACGAGGTGGCGGAGTGGGGCGGGAGGCATGGTCTCCACCTACCGGGTGGCCGTGCTGGGGGCGCGAGGTGTGGGCAAGAGTGCCATCGTGCGCCAGTTCTTGTACAACGAGTTCAGCGAGGTCTGCGTCCCCACCACCGCCCGCCGCCTTTACCTGCCTGCTGTCGTCATGAACGGCCACGTGCACGACCTCCAGATCCTCGACTTTCCACCCATCAGCGCCTTCCCTGTCAATACGCTCCAGGTAGGAGGACCCTGGGGGGCATGGGTTAGTGGGGAAACGGATGGGTAGGGGAGAGGCTGGATTCCAAACTGCTGTAGCTTGGGCCCTATTGCCAGGGCCCCATCACTGAGTTTGGGAGCTCCACACTGCACCTTGGGCCACTCTGCTTAGAGCCGTTCCAGGAATCCATTCATTGGTGTGCTAGTTTATTCAACAAATATTTGGTGACCGTTCAATGTGTGCCAGGCCCTGCAGTGGGCACTGGTGCAGAATGGTGAGCAAAAAATTTATGGAATTTGCTTTCAAGAAACTCATAGTCTGGTGAGAAAAGGCAAATATGGTGTGATAAGTTCTATGATTGGAGGAGCAGGGAGCTGGGGCAGCCCTTAAGGGGGCATCTAGGCCATCCAGATGTGTTGGGGTGGAGTTGGGGGGTCACAGAGGGTGATGTCTCAACTAAATAGGTTTTAGGCAGGTAAGAGTCAGTAGAGAAAAGGACAGGGAACACTAGGCTACTGTGAGTATTCGGAGCTGTGCCTACCGTAACCTCACTCCACATCCTCTGGAGAAGGGACAGCAGCAGAACAGACGGGGCCCTGGGAAAGGTGTGTTCTTGGAGACTCTGGAGACCCCAGTCAGGTCTCTTGCCCAAGGCCCTCTTCTCTTAAGTGATGCTCTGCCCCTGACCTCAGGACCTGCCTGCTGGGCACCCTCCCTGCCAGGTTTGGATTTAAATGCCTGAGGGTCCTCACTTATTGTGTTCCTTCCCCACTGCCTGCTGGAACCAGGTCCTCTTGCCCTCTCTCAACCTCTGACTTGAGAGGGAGTGGAGAGAAAAAGGAAGCTGAGCTCTAGGACATGTTTGCTCACTGAAGGAAGCCTCTGACCAGAGTGTACAGAGCTTTTCCAGGAAGGACAGGCACAGTGGTGGAGGCCCAGAAGACAGGGGACAAGGCTCGTCCAGGTGTAACTGAGCAAATCAAGCAGTCTCTCAGGCTGAGACCCTGGGCTGGGAGATGGCGGGCAGCTCAGCACTCAGCACTCTCGGCAACACCAGGCAGGAGGGCCCTGGCCTAATCTGCCGGAGACACCTGTTCACCCATCCCAGGCACCTGGGGTCAGGAGGAAAGATGGAAGCCTGATCCCGCATCTGCCCTGGAAGCAGTGAGGCTGAGCCTGTCAGGGCAGACAGTCTGGATGCAGGGCCTTCTAGTTCTCTTCTAAAGGAGACTTTAACAATCACCTGATTGGACATTCAAATCTTGCTCCAAGCCTACACACTGAGCTTTGTTGATTTCATCTTGCCCCCTTTACCTTGATTCCTGCCCCACTCTCTATAACCACTCTTATCGAATTTTTCTTTCTTTTTTAAAATTTATTTATTTTTTTATTTTAGATGGAGTCTCCCTCTGTCGCCCAGGCTGGAGTGCAGTGGCACGATCTCGGCTCACTGCAATCTTCGCCTCCCGGGTTCAAGCGATTCTCCTGCCTCAGCCTCCTGAGTAGCTGGATTACAGGCACCTGCGACCACACCCAGCTAATTTTTGTATTTTTAGTAGAGATGGGGTTTCACCATGTTGGCCAGGCTGGTCTCAAACTCCTGACCTCAAGTGATCCGCCTGCCTAGGCCTCCCAAAGTACTGGGATTATAGGCATGAGCCACCACGCCTGGTCTCTTATCCATACTTTCAGTGTTTCTTTACCCAAGTAAGAAAATGCATTCTTCCCTGCTTCTTACGTAAAGAACAAAACAAAAACAAGAACCATACTGTTCTGTACCTTGATTTTATTTTATTTTTAAAATTTTTTGTATAGATGGGTCTTGCTGTGTTACCTAAGCTGATCTCGAACTACTGGCCTCAAGCGATCCTCCTGCTTTGGCCTCTCAAAGTGCTGGGATTACAAGTGTGAGCCACTGTGCTTGGCGCTGTACCTCAATTTTTTTAACTTGCTATTATAACCTGAAGATTTTTCCAGGCCATTATCTAGAGGACGTCCTCATTCTTTTTTCATGGCCACGCCCTACTCCATTGAAGAGCTATACCATGGAGTCCTTTCTTGTTGGATAAGTGGGTGGTATCCAGTCTTGTGCTGTTTCAAACAGTGCCACAATGAGTGGCCTTGTAGATAGGTCATTTTGAACATAAGTAGGTATATCTGTGGGATCAATTACCGGAAAGGGCATTGCTGGAAATGGCACTGCTGGATCACAATGCCTGGAAATGGCATTGTGAATACAGAGCCAGGTGAGGTGGCTCATGCCTATAATCCCAACACTTTGAGAGGCTGAGGCAGGCGGATCACTTGAGCTCAGGAGTTCGAGACCAGCCTGGGCAACATGACAAAACTCCGTCTCTACCAAAAATACAAAAAATTAGCCAGGCATGGTGCTCCATGCCTGTGGTCCCAGCTGCTTGGGAGGCTGAGGTGGGAGAATCGCCTGAGGCCGGGAGGTTGAGGCTGCAGTGAGCTGAGAGTGCCACTGCACTCCAACTTGGGTGACAGAGTGAGGCCCTGTCTCAAAAAAAAAAAAAAAAAAGTGTGACTGTAACTGGAGTTTGGAGGGGAGGTTATTTCCAGATTGCCCTCCATAGCAGTGGCGTATGCTGTGCTCCTGTGAGCAATGTATATGAGAGCCCGTTTTCCTACAGTCTTGCCATCAGAGTATATTGTCAAACTTTTGACAATATATTTGACAATCTGAGAGATGAGATATGATATTCTCCTTGTAGTCTCCATTTGCATCTCTGATCGTGGGTGAAATTGAGCATCTTTCATAGGTTTAAGGGCCTTTGTGTTTCTCTTTTCAAGAACTATTGATGTCCTTTGCCCATTTTTCTATTGGGTTGTTGGCTTTTTTCTTCTTGACTGACCCTGAGTTTTGGACTCTAAGATATCCAAGATTTCACTCCTGGAGCCCAGTAAGGGACTTTTGGCAGAGAAATACTGTGAAAAAGGTATCCTCAAGGCACCAAAGATTAAGTATAAAACCTAAGAATCCTGATGGCCACCATCTGGAAACAAAATAATACATTCTTCTCCAATGCCAGATGAGATAGAGCCCAGGAGAGTAGTGTTTCCTGGGTGTGAGCCTCAGTGTCTTCTGCAGCCCCTTCTATCAGAGAAGGAAGCTGAGATTATCAGGTGCTTGCAACTCACCAAAGGAATTATCAGCAAATGCATGGTTGAGATGCAGGTGGCTGAGCCTTGTCCCTGAAACTGGACTCCCTTTCTATTGCTCCTTCTCTGTCTTGACAGAGCCCCAAGATGGCCTTTTACAGTTTGGAACCCTGCTTCCTCCCTTCAATCAAGGGGGAAGGGATAAGCTAGCCAATCAGGGGCCTTCCTCCTCTCTCTTTTAGGAACCCCCAGAGAGGAGTGGGTGGGAGGAAGCCAGGAGTTCCCCTCAAGGAGGCAACATGTTGGGGGAGAGGTGGGGCTGTCACCCTCAAAAGCTGGCAGCTGCTCCCTCTCCCCAGCAGACAGCTTGAAGAGACTGGGAGCTTCTCATCCCTCCCACTTCTCACTGATCTCCATTGGTCTTGGGGGATCGTGGGAGCATCCGTATACACAGGTTCCAGGCTCCTGGAGATCACTGTGTCCAGCAGAATGCAGTCTTCCCTGGCCTAAGAAACCAGTTTCCTATGGTTTTAGGTTTGTCCTCGGCATCCTCCCGCCGCACCAAAAATTTAAACCTCAGCACAAAGAAAAGATGCCACATCATCTCCCTAGGGAAATCCACTGCAGCATCTTCTAAGCCTTTGAGTTGGGAAGTGCTGTTCTGAAGTTGGACTTAACTCTGCACTACTGCCACCAAAGTCGTTTCCTTTTGATCCTTCTTGGAAGTGGAGAACTGTAGTCCTCCTTTGTGCCTGGCCCCTGCCCCACTCAATTCAGATGCTGGGACAGGAGACATACCTCCACCTTCTTCTAGTCTTTTGCCTGGGCTTTGGTGGGAGAAGACTCTGGTTTCCTTTGTCCTTGGAGGCCTCTGTCCCCCCACCTTTAGGGACCCCCTTCTTTCCACACACTGGCTGCCTGAAACCGCTCTTGCAGCTGGCACGTTGACTAATGAATCTGTTAAGGAAACTTCTCTTTAGTGTACTTGGCCTTTCTAGGAGTCTCTTCACCTTGAGCTGTACCCCCCAATCCCTTGAGAAGTTGCCACAAACATTCAGGAAGTTCATCTCCCTGGAGCTGCCCAGGGGCCCTACTCTACATCAGCCCATTATGCATCCAGTCTGAATCTTTTTCTGTTTCTCAACCCTGAGGGCAGAGAGAAGCATACAGAAGGGGCACATCAGGTAGCAGTCTAAGGGCAGTGGCAGAGGCAGGAGTTGCATTGATCCCAGCTTGGGCCATGGAGAGCTCACCAGCCCAGGTAGTGCTATTAAGGAGCACCTGCTTTGAGCCAACAGTGCTAGACACTCAGGGAGGAAGAGGGAGTATATACAAATGAGGATGGCCTGGCTGTGGCCTTCTCAGGAGCTCACAGCAGAAGTGGGGAACTGGAGATGGAACAGCTCTAATGAAAGTGTAATAGAAGGATTGTTAGAACACAGGAGATGAAGGGAGTAGTCCCCTGCTTGCAGGAAGGATGGGAAATCAGGAAGCTTCTTGGAGGTGGTGGCACTTTAGCTGAACCTTGGAAGATAGAATTTTAACAGGTCCAACACCCAGCTCAGAGCTGGACTCTTAGAGGTACTTAATAAATGTACTTGTTGAACAAAGGCCTCGATGGATGGATGAGGGCACGACATGGAGCAAGGCAGAGCTAAACTCCAGATGTGCACAAGACAGTGCAGTGGCCCTGTAGATCAAACAATGTGACCTGCTCCATCCTGGCTTGGGAATGGGGAGGCTACAGCTCCTCCATTCTCCCTGGGCCTGGTCTCCTGGGGATGGTCGGGTATGGAAGGCTTCAGGTGCAGTGGCAGGTGAGAGCACTGCCCCTCTGATGGGAGGTGTTTGGGGGCTAGGGGAGCCCTCATGGCTGCTCTGACCCTGGTACTGGCTGGGGATATTGCAGGAGTGGGCAGACACCTGCTGCAGGGGACTCCGGAGTGTCCACGCCTACATCCTGGTCTACGACATCTGCTGCTTTGACAGCTTTGAGTACGTCAAGACCATCCGCCAGCAGATCCTGGAGACGAGGTGAGAGGCTGGAACACAGTCCATTGCCACCTCTGTGGATGCCCCAGTGCTAGCCAGTCCCTGTGAAAAGGGCACAGTATAGGGACACAGATAGAGGTATATGTGTTCTAAGATTTCCACACATACACTCAAACATGCATACATTGTGCTGTTCCCATTTCTGTCAACTCATGTTGGGACCGTGGCTGTGGGGGTGGCTAGAGTAGTGCAGTAGTTAAGAACTGGGACTTCTGGAACAAGACTTCCAGGGCCACTCAGCTGCATGACTTGAAGCCAGTAAACATTTAAGCCTATGTCCTCATCTGTAAAATGGGGATAACAGTAGAACCCATCTTTTAGGTCAGTTGTGCTGATCAGAGAATATAACACCTCCAGGGCTTAGGGCTGCGCCTGGAGCAGAACCTACGGTGGTGGTAGTATTGGCCAGGCACAGCCTGCCCTGCTGGGAGTACAGCGGTTGTGGGGCTGACAGAGTTCTGAGCTGCCTGCCTCGCCCCACAGGGTGATCGGAACCTCAGAGACGCCCATCATCATCGTGGGCAACAAGCGGGACCTGCAGCGCGGACGCGTGATCCCGCGCTGGAACGTGTCGCACCTGGTACGCAAGACCTGGAAGTGCGGCTACGTGGAATGCTCGGCCAAGTACAACTGGCACATCCTGCTGCTCTTCAGCGAGCTGCTCAAGAGCGTCGGCTGCGCCCGTTGCAAGCACGTGCACGCTGCCCTGCGCTTCCAGGGCGCGCTGCGCCGCAACCGCTGCGCCATCATGTGACGCCTGCGCGCCCCTCGGGCTGCACCGGCACTGGCCGAGCGGAGGGCGGGGCCGTACTGCGGGGCTGGGGCGGGGAGCGGGCGGGAAATGGAACTGTGACGGTCCCGGCCTGAGGCCCCTGCAGCCACGCACCTCCCGGTGAGAAGCAGAGCGCGAGAGGGAGCCCTCCGTAACTGCCCAGCCCTGCCCCTTGCCCCCGTGGCTTCCTGGGACAGCCGCCTTCAGTGCTGTATTTAGTGCAGTGCCCGGCCCGACCCGCGGGGGTGCCACAGCCTTTTGGGATGGGGGTGAGCGTGCAATGGAGGCTGGGGGTGGCGAGGTGCCGCCTTGGCCGGGCCCCCACGTGTCTTCTCCAGAATGTGTCTGTCTTTGCCTGGTGTCTTCCTTTCCCGTGTCCGCCCACCCCAGCGTCTGTTGGTACTTACCTGTCTCACCTACCCTCCAGTCCCCTCCCAGCTCCGCTCACAGGGCTCTCATTTCGTCCATCCCCTTGTCGCAGATCCTGGCAGCTTCTTTGTGAGGCCAGGCCTTCTGACTGTCAGCACCACCGGCACAGGGCAGAGATGCGGGTGGCCCAAGGACCACGATCAAGGGGTCCGGGGGACCGAGGTCCCAGATCAGTGAGGGGAGAAGGTTGAGCTCTCCGGCTTCCAGGGAGACCTCCCCGCCCAGCAGCCCCCAGAGACACAACAACCTACCTTCCAGCCTTAACTCGATGGTCCGTCCCTGCCAGGTGCCCCTCACTCTTCCTGACCCCAAAGCCAGATCACCCCCTGGGTTAAAACTTTTTTTCTTTTTTTTTTTTGGACAGAGTGTGGAAAGGGAGCCCCCCAAAGGATAGCTTCTTTTTCATGATGCCAGGCTCCAGTCCTTTATTCCCTTCTGCATACTGCAATCTGATCTGTCAGACTGGGGAATGTTGGGTTCTGGGGTCTGGTCGTGGGCAGGATGGTGCCCAGAAGGGGGTTAGGTTGTCCCAGTGAAAATTCTGTTGCCCCGTCTCAACCCCATCTGACTACCCCAGACTCTGCCTGCCTCAGATCTCAGACTATCCTGATTAATCTGGGGAAGAACAGAGCCAGGGAAAGAATGGTGGGGACCCCTGTACTTGGGGGAGACACACCTGCATCTTCCTCCTGCCACAGATGGAGGCCCTCAGGATCTGACACCCTCTTGTCCCAACACCAGTCAGCCCTATACCCTAACTCACTCCACCCCATTTTCTCCGGCTGCCTGGCCGGGTTTCTACCTCTCGTCACCGGAGCTGATCACTGTCAGTTTTGTACCGATTTAGAAATAACAATAATAATGAAGATTCTAGGAATGGCATGAGGGATTGATGGGGGACTTGGAGGGAGGGACAAGTGGTGCCCTGTCCCCTGCTCCCCTGGCCAAAGAAAGCTGTCCTTGAGGCTGAGCCCTCAGCCCTGGCCTGGTGGGGGGACAGCAAGGTCCCTTGTTATAAGAGGGGCAGAGAGGACAACTCCGCTTTGGCCAACCTAGCCAAGGCTGCAGCATATAGACCAGGAAATCAGGTAGCCCAGACTGGTGATGGAGCAGAGTCTGGGGGAAGGGTCGTGGGTGGGGAATTTATCACCAACATCCATTGTAGGGGGAATCTATGATTCTGCTTCCCCAGCGGATTCCCACTCTGTCCACCAAGTGGGGGGTAGCACAGCCTCACAGCAACCGCCCTGACCTTGGGCAGTCTAGTGTTCCTGCATTCTAGTCCCTGCTGTGCTGCAGGACTTTGGGCAAGTGACCTGCCCTCTGTGAGCCTCCCTCTGACACAGAGGAGGTGGCTCCCCTTCCCCACACCTTAGAGTGGCTGGGAGGGTAACAAAGAGGGCCTGCCCCTTTAGTCTCCTGCACCCCTGCCCCCTGGTTCACCAGAGGGAGCGGATGAAGGATGGCAGCATCTCACATGCCCCATCACCAACTCTGAGGCACCTGGGGTGGGGGGGCGGAGCCCAGGCCTCTGGCTGCTCCCCTGTGGGAGCCATTGGAATGTATCCCCTGACAGGCCCCCTTCCGCCTCCACCTCAACCCAGGTCTTGGATTTCAGGTCCCTCCACCCCCATTCTGAGTCTCTGTCCTTCTCCTTCCACCCGCTCCCAGGGTTTCCCACCACAGGGTCTGGAAGTGTGTGTGACGCCCATTGAGCTGTTACCCGAAGTCAGATTAAAAATCAGGGAGTGTTTTCCCTCGTTTCTGTACCAAGGTGTTGGCTCCATTCCTCATGGTAGGAGGGGAGGGGTCCCCACAGGGCTTGCCTGCTGAGCTCCGTGTGGAAGGAGGGTGAAGGTGGTGAGGTGGCCCCCAGTCCCAAAGCCCAGGTCAACAGGGAGACCACCGGTGAAGAGTTTGGGATTTATCACCTTTCCACCTAACCCCAAACCCTCCAGCTAATTCCAACCATTCAGAAGGGAAGCAGAACTTCTCCCCTGCCACTGTCTGGAAAATTTCCATAATGGGACTCAATCCCAGCTTCTCCGTCTGCGTCTCGTCCTTCCCACTCAAGGCTGAGACTTTACAGCCTCTCAGTCATAACTTCTTGGATGTAGATGTGTTAGGAACACTTTCAGCCACCCGTCTTGTCCCTGAGTGATCTCAGGTCCCAAACTCCAGAGCAAAGCTTTGAAATCTTGGGCAAGGGTGCCTTGTGGGAGCCTGTGTGTTGAGGGCAGGACTGGTCTCTGTCCGTGGTGCTGACCCACCAGCCACTTCCAGGAAAGATGGGGCTGCCTGGCAAGGTTGGCTGAGCCTCAAAAGAGGAAGCCTCTCTCACCACCAACTCCTTCCTTCTAGTCCCCATCTCCTCCAGTGGGATAACATCTGAAGCTATACCTCCCCGCACCACCACAGTCCTGGAGTGAGGGACTCAAGAAGCTGGGGGGCAGGGGGAGGCAGGTTCAGTGGTTCACATCTTTAATCCCACTGCTTTGGGAGGCCAAGGCAGGAGGATCACTTGAGGCCAGCCTGGACAACATAGTAAGACCCCATCTCTAAAAAATAAAATAAAATAAAATTAGCCAGGTGTCATGGCACCTACCTGTAGTCCCAGCTACTTGGGAAGCTGAGGTGAGAGGATCACTTGAAGCCTGGGAGTTCGAGGCTGCAGTGAGCCATGATAGCGCCACTGCACTCCAGCCTGGGTGACAGAGCAAGACTCTGTTTCTGAAATTTGAAAAAAGAAGCTGGGGGCTCAAGGGCAGAATCACATGCATTTAATAACTTATGGGAGTTATGGAAACAGGTGGGCATGGCCAGGGGCCAGAGGCCAGGAGTGTGGTGAGCCGTTCTAGGGGAGAGTAATGAGATACAGGATGGTCCTACTGCCCCTGGCCTACCTCTGGAGTTGGAGTGAGAGCAGTGGGTTGCCCCTTTGCTCAGATGAGCAGATGGAGTCTATATTTGTCTTCTGACCCACTCCTGCCCAAGGCCCTGTGTGGAGGTGAGGGAACATCCCTTCTGTTCCCGCAGCTGTGAATCCAGTGTATACATGGCCATCCTTTTTGCTTCCCTCCTACCCAACACGCTCATGTGCCTCAGACCCAGGACTCCTCCTCAGGTGGAAGTGGAGCTTGATTAAGCCAGTGAGGTTGCAGGCCCTCTGGAGGTTGGGGGCTGCTCTCCAATGGAGCGGCTGGCTCTTTCTCCTCCTTTCCTTCCTCCTCCTCCTCACCTACTGAAGCTCCATCCACCCGGGATGCCTCCCCTCCCTTGCTGCCCAGCACAGCTCTCAACAGCCTGTCCTTGGGGGGCTGCCTGGCTGGACCCAGGAAGACATAGGCCAGTGGCCTGGGGATTCGTGAAGGCTGCTTCTCAGGCCTGTGGTCTCTCCGGGGCCGAATCCTGGGTCTCAGCTTCAGCTTGTAGATGGACGGGACCCTCTTGGGCTTCCGGAGAGTTCTCCTGCCCTTGCTCAGACATGCCTTGGCTTTGTCAGAGTTGGGGTCCAAGGGCGAAGGTGTGGGGGCCTCCGGGCTGGCAGACACAGTAGAAGCCGAGCAGTCCTGCCCTCCCTGAGGTGGGACCTTCCTCATGTGGGTGCCCTTGGCACTCAGGCTTGCCTTTGTCCTGGGCCCACTCTGTCTGGCTCCCAACTTCCCTTTGAGGCTTCCCGGTCCTGGGGTAACAGCTGGCTTAGGGGAGCCAGTCGGGGCTGCCTTCCAGGCTTCCAGGTCCACTTTAAGGAGGGATGGGGACCCCTGAGCCAGTTCTTGGATGGCTTTGTCATAAGGACCCCCAGGCTCAGGCCACTGCCCAGCCAGCCTGGGGATGTAGACCCCACTGCGAGGGATGACCCCAGACCTTGTGCCCTGCGGACAGGCACTCCTGACTTCTAGCAGCTTCATGTTGCCCAAAATCTCCTCTTCAAGGCTACAGTAGATGGCTTGCTCCTTGTTCCCGCCCAAGGGCAGAGGTGTGTACCGCCCCTCCTGCTCCTGTAGGCCCAGGTCCCAGGACTCTCTGGCCTCTGCCATGACCTGGATGTCCAGCTGCTGGTCCTCCTGCCTCACTTCCACAGAGCAGTCCCCATGCGTGGACCCAGCCAGGTCCACAGTGACGGCCCTTAGTGGGATGGGGTCTCTCCCAAGTTCTGTCCTGGGACTTCCACTTGTAGCACCAGGAAAGCTCCTTCCTGGTGTTGGGGGGCGAGCAGGGGGCAGCCGGATGGGGATCTTGGTTAGGCCTTGGACAGGGGTTGGAGAACGGACAGACTCTGGCTCCCTGAACTGGAAGAACGCACCCTTGGCCTCATCCCGGAGTGGCAGCCTGAGGCCCAGGCACTCGGCTGGGCCAAAGGAACGAGGCAGGGGAGATGGTCCTCTTGCTGATATCCCTTTGGTGGTGGCCTCAATGGCTCGGAGTCTTTGTGGGGTGGGGTTCCCGGCGTCGGTTCCCCAGCTGTCTGTTTCTTCATGAACCCAAGATGTGGGAATCCTTCCCCTGGGGAGTTCAGGGGGGTATCTCTCCTCCCTCTTTCCTGACGAGGTACACTGTGGGTCTCGGCCTTTTTGGGTAGATGAGGACTGGGGGCTGGGTGGGCTGTCCCCAGCTGTCGGCTGCCTCCAAGATGGGATGAGAGACCTCTCCTGGCACCTGAAAGGGAGAATCACAAGGCTGCAAAGGGAGACTCATCAGGCCGGCAGGGTCATCTAGTGTGGTCCCTGGCTTTGGGAAGTGACAGTCTTTCCCCAGTGAGAACACCCAGGAGGCTAGACTTCACGCTGAATGAAACCTATGCTCCCTCTCCTCCGTGACTGCCCAGAAATCCTCCTTATGGCAGTCACTGCCTAAGTCTATTCGCCCTTGTTCCCTGTGTAGCAGATAGAAGGAAGCCTGATCCTGGCCTGAGGTGACTTCAGATCCTTCGAGGGATGGCCTCAGACCAGTTGCAGGGCAGTGGAGAGACAGAGGGGAATGCACAGTCTCTGTCTTAGTCTCTGCTCTACCATGAAATGGTAGGAAACCTTCAGTAAGTCTGTTCCATTTCTGAGCTTCAGCCTCCTCATCTGTGAAATGGGAAGGCATATGAAGTAACCACATTATCCCAAAGGTACTGGGTATGCTTCTGGTTCCAAAACCTGTGGTCTCGGGGTAGAGGCACTGCCGAGGATCTGCTCCTTTTATCTTGGAGTGTGGTGACCTCTGAGAATGTGCACTCCAAAGGAAAAAGAGCCCCATCCCTGTCTCTTCCCCATACCTCAGGAATGGTGCCATCTCTCTGGAGGCCCCCGTCCCTGCTCCCCGTTCCCTGCGGGGTCTGGGGGAGGATGGGGTGGGGGGCCTCAGCCTTCGGTCTGAAGAGGTATATGTCTTCCAGTCCACAGGGGGTGGTGGGCTCTGTGAGCGGCTGATGGTCATTGTAGGCTGGGTCTGTGAGGGTCCATCCTGTACCCTTACTTCATGCTGCACTGGTGGGGCCGGGGGCTTCAGGAAGCTGCCTGGCTTGTGTGCTACCAACAGTCCCCCGGAGAAAGGAGAGGAGAGAAGGGTTCAGTTCCTGCCAATGGGGACCATTGTTCCTCCCCCAGTGGTCCCATGCCCCGCATCCCACATTAAAAACAGTGGGACCTACAGTGGCAACACCGGAGTTTCTTTACGGGAGGGGCTTAGGGGACCCAGCTGGGGGATTTATTTAAAGCTATGTTTTTAGTGCGGGTACACAACTTTCCCTTAGAGCATGTGCTTATTTGGAGTGGCTGGAGGCGTTGATGGAGATTATGGAAGAATTAAAGACCCTCCAAGTCACACTTGGTGCCAACACTGTGGATCCCAGAGCCAGACCTAAGCTCTGCTAAAATGCACCGTGGCCAAATGCTGCTTCTGCGTGTGTTGCCCGCCATCTTGTGGCGACATTTAGTACTGTACTGTGCCCAACTACTGCCTGCCTTCCTCCAGCCTCCCCCACACCTCCCCACCTACCGCTCCCCTCCTGGAGATCAGACATACCTCCCACCTCTGCCTCCAGCCTCCCAACCCAGAGCTAGGCCTCTTCAACCAACCCCACAGGGAGAGGGCCCTCAGGGGACTCACAGAGGGATGTGCAGCGGCAGGGGTCATGTTTGTCCAGGTAATGGCCCAGTGTGTCCCAGCCGCCCCCTACACGTACCATCACATGGTTCCGGAGGATCTGAGGGGGCAAGGGTGAGGTTAAGGGCGGGGTGGAGGGCAGCCCCTCTTCCTGGACCAGCTCGCGGGCTTCCGGCACTCACTCAGGGATGCTCTCATCCATGTACCCATCCACACGTAGATGTATGTGTGTGCTGTAAAAAGGCAGCCCGAATCTCCTCCTCCATGACTGGCATCAGATAACACATGCGGTCAAGGTGGGAGCCAGGCTGAAAGCTGTCCCACAACTGGTCAAGGGATCCCAAAGCCTGCCCCCAGAGCGCTCCTTTTGCTGTAAACGGTTTTGCATCTGTACATGCCTGTACCCAAAACAGGGCCCTAATGCCACTGGCTTTGCCCCTGTGGCCTGTGTGGAGAGCCCATGGGAGTCCTGGTCCCACTCCACCCTCAGGCAAGTCACATGTCTCTTCAAGCTTCAGCTTCCTGTGTTGGGAAGTGGGGCCACAGGTTCTTGCCCCTATCTGCATCACAGGGCTACTGCCTCAGGTCTAGGGGAGGGCCCAGAGAGCTGGCTCTGCTCCCAGGTTTGGCCTGTGCCCAAGGAAATGGCTGGGCCATGCCCCGAGCTGCTGGCCGCTCATGTGGGTACAGACCGTTTCTGGTGAGGCACAGCCAGGTATTGGGGTAGGAGGCACATTTTCAGACCTGTGCTGCTACTCACTCTGCTGAATGTACCCCCAGGCAAGTGGTAGGGGTGGAACTATGGGGTCCATGTGGCTGGGGCCGTGCACTGAAACCAAACTTGGGGTTCTCAAGCTGCTTCCTCTAATCAAGTCTGTGGGTGGAGTGGAATGGAAAAGTGTGATCACCCTTCTCCATACCCCACTCTGCCTGAGAACATGCTCTAGATTAGGCTACAGTGGAGGAGAGGGAGGGTGGTGGCTCTGGCTGCCCTGATGGGAGGAGGAGATAGGCTTGCCACCTTTGCCAGGAATCTCCTGGAATTCTCCCAGGGTGAGAAGGAGAGCTCCAAGGCCTGATGGCTTGGGGTGAATGATGACTTACTGTCATTGTCCTCAAGCCTGGACAAAGTCCCATATTCTGGGAGGTGTCATTGTTCCAAGCCTGGGCAAGGTCCCATATTCTGGGAGACTTAGTGTCATTGTCCCAAGCCTGGGCAAGAAACCCTATTCTGGGGGTCCCTTGACCCCCAGCCTGGACTTACCCGGATGAAGATGAGGGTGTTGGAGTCACCCACACGGTACTTCCCCTCAGACACTTTGACCATGGAGAACTGCACTGGGCACGTGCAGTGGCTCACAAGGCTCTGCACCTGCGGGCGGGTGGTGAACTCAGCCCTCTCCTTTGCCCACTCTGGGTCAAAATGGGGGGCCTACCTGCCCCCCAGGTCACCCCTGAGGTTTCTGCTGAGGTCAGAGCTGGGGAATGAGAAGCAAGGAGGGAGTAGATAAGGCTGTAAATGACCCAGCGAGAACGAGACCTGGGTGGTCACCCATGGACCTACCTACCATGAGGTCCAGAGCTGATGGAAGCGGCAGAGTGCCACGGGGGGACTGTGGGATCTGACAGGCTCAGGTCAGTGCCCTGTATCCACTGCATCATAGGCTTTTCATTAAGAAAACTGCCTGAGCTCCATTTTCCCCAGGGGTTAACCACACAGAACTAATTGCTGTGAAGTGGCCCTCTGTGCAGACCCTGTTCCAAACACTTTGTATGTGCTGGCTCATTTACTGATTACAGCATTCATAGAAGGTAGGTGCTGTTACTGTCCCCATGCTGCAGATAAGGGAAGCCAGACACAGAGAGGTTAAATAATTTGCCCAAAGTCACACAGCTGCAAAGCAGTGGAACTAAGACTTGAACCAAGGTGTCTCGGAGAGTGCCACAGTCGGTGTTCTTGAAAACTGTCCCAGCAGGGGTTAAATGAGAGGGGCATCCAGTGCTGGGTTGGTAAGAACGCCTGAGAAATGACATGGCCATTAATTACTACGCGTGGTTAGGGTTGAGGCTCAGAGTGGAACCGTGCCTTAAAGCCACACAGTGAATTCGGGTCAGGGTGGACAATGGAGCTCAAGAAGGGGGTGGGTTAGTGGGGGCTGGAGTGGGACTGGGGAGAGGAGCACGAAGGACAAAGGGAAGGGGGCCCTGAGGGCGTGTGCAGAGCCCCTCACCATCTGGTCCAGGTTGCGGAAGTGGCAGGGCTGGCGCCTGGGGGGCGCTGGCGGCGAGGGGTCGGGCGGGGGCAGGGCCAGCTCCCGCCGCACCTCCTCCTCGATCTCCTCCTCCAGCTGCACGAGTGTGGGCGCCGCAACACCAAAGCGCCACGCCCGGCGGCCCAGCTCCAGCAAACACAGCACCACGTTCTTCACGTTCTTGCGCAGCACCAAGTCCTCCGTCTCGAACATCAGCACCTCTGGAGTGGAGGCGGGGAGAAAAGGGCAGAGGCAGCGTGAGCCCCCAGAGGACCTGAGCCTCCGGGGCAGGGGCTAGCGGGGAGGAAAGCACTGGGGTCATCCCCGGTCTGGGGCAGCAGACATGGGGAGTGGTTTGGGTCTCAGAATCTTGGGGTCAAGTCAGCCCCCTAGGAGGGGTCTGGGCGGAATTGCTCAGGTGCTGGGTACAGACACGCGGCCCATCTCACAGGAGAGGCTGCGGGTGAGAAGAGGTGACAGCAAAGCAAAGGGACCTGGAGACTGGCTGTGACTGTGACTGTGGATGAGAGAAGGATGAACTCCACCTTCCCCTCTCCCCACTCAGCTTGCCTGGATGGGTCCAGGAGCAGGAAGCGGTTTGTTCCACTTTCCACCCACGCCTCTCTCCTCCTATCTCCACCAGGCATCTCAAACTCAGCTCCCACCCAGGCCCAACCAGGCATGCTGAGGACA
The DNA here is from genome assembly GCF_000001405.40 of Homo sapiens. Taxonomy (NCBI): domain Eukaryota; kingdom Metazoa; phylum Chordata; class Mammalia; order Primates; family Hominidae; genus Homo; species Homo sapiens. Next base: position 35,750,791 of record NC_000017.11, read on the forward strand.
TGCTCTGGAGCCAACCACTAAGTCTGGAGTCCTGACTTATTACCAGCCGCATGACCTTGAGCTAGACCCTGAGCCTCAGTTTCCTCTTCTGTAAAATGGGGATGTAGTCTACTTCGTGGGGTTGTTGTGAAGATTGGATATGCTCATAGTTGCTAACCATTCACAATGTCCGGCACATGCAAGCATTCCTTAAAGCACTAGCTTCTATTAACCTTCCAATTCTGTTCCTCAGTGCCCAGCCACCAGCCAGTAGCCCAGGCCTGACCCTTTCCCCAGTCTCACCCCTGCCACCTTTGGCCTGGAGAATGGCACAACATCCAGTCTCATCCCATTCCTGGTTTCAAGGCCAATGAGATGAAGGATCCTGACATGTCACTCCCTGAGCCCTACAAGCCCCAGCATGATGGAGCCCCTCCCTGGCGTCATCCCATCTGTCTCCTCCCATGTTCTCTCCTCATCCTAGCCCTGTGCCCTCACCACCAGCCTCTCCCTAGTCATTCACACACCATGCTTTTTCTGCGCCTTTGCCCCTGTCATCCCCCCTGCTTAGAATTCCCTTCCCATAAACTTCTATTTATCCCTCAAGACTCAGCCCAGCTGGGTGTGGTGGCTCACACCTGCAATCTCGGCAGTTTGGGAGGCTAAGGCGGGCGGATCACTTTAGGTCAGGAGTTCGAGACCAGCCTGGCCAACATGGTGAAACCCCATTTCTACTAAAAATACAAAAATTAGCCAGGCGTGGTGGCGGGCGCCTGTAATCCCAGCTACTCAGGAGATGAGGCACATATAATTGCTTGAACCCGGGAGGTGAAGGTTGCAGTGAGCCAAGATCGAACCACTGTACTCCAGCCTGGGTGACAGATCTAGACTCAGTTTCAAAAAAAAAAAAAGACTCAGGCCAAATCTCCTTCCTTTATGATGCAAACTTTCTCGGCCCCATTCCACCTAATCAGGCTGCTATTTCCTCCCCTGGCTCCCAGCATTACACCTCTAGGTCAAGCCTTTGCCACAGTAGGCTATAATTTATGTATCTATCCCTCTACCTCTCTCTCTCTCTCTTTTTTTTTTTTTTTTTTTTTTTTTTGAGACAGACTCTCACTCTGTCACCCAGGTTGGAGTGCAGTGGCGCCATCTCAGCTCACTGCAACCTCTGCCTCCTGGGTTCAGGCAATTCTCCTATCTCAGCCTGCCACTATGCCCAGCTAATTTTTGTATTTTTAGTAGAGACAGGGTTTTGCTATGTTAGGCCGGGCTGGTCTTGAACTCCTGACCTCAGGTGATCCACCGGCCTCAGCCTCCCAAAGTGTTGGGATTACAGGCATGAGCCACCACACCCAGCCTTCTGCCTCTCTTGCTAGACCATGAATTTGTTGGGCGCTGGGTCTCTTTCCTCTCTTTCCTTGGTGCCCAGCAAAGTGCTCAGCACAGAAGAGGTGCTTGATATATGCTTATTGAAGTAATCATCAACAAACATTTATCAATCATCAATATATTTATTTATTGAGGATTTACTATGAGGTGGGGAAACTGAGGCATGAAAAAAGAGCTGGTTCAAGGCAAATCTAGAATGAGGATCCAGGCTCCTGCCCCCCAGAGCTAGCCTGTGCATTTGAGAAAGGACCAATACCCCCCAAGATAAGCATCTGGAATGGGGACGAGGGTGCAGCGTGGTTACCTTGGATGCCCATCTCCTTTCGACACCACTGGATGAAGTTAGAGACATTGTCCCTGGCCTGGAAGGTACCTGGCTGGGCGGCCCCATTGCAGGAGACCCCGACCCGGGGCATGGGAATCTTCTGGGCTTGGGCAGGTGCCTCAGCCAGGAAGGCCAGGGCAGCGTCAGTGACAACGTTGGCGTGTTGGCACAGCACCAGGCCCGTTTCCAGCACCTGCAGGAAGTTGGCTGCGTCGATGTCCAGCCCATAGAGGTCGCGAAGCCACTCAGCCAGGTCTTCCTTCATGGCCTCCAGGTACTGCTCACTCGACTTGAAAGGCCGGATACTGCACACAGGCGGCCCTAGGGTCCTGGGCTTCCTCCTGCCTCCCGCAGGCTGGGACATGGCTGGACCCCAGCAGGGCAGGAGGTGGGCACCTCCCCTCTCCCACTGCCGCCTCTTTCCTCCCGCTGCTGCTGGGTCTCGGCTGGGTTCTTCCTGATTCTGAGGTTCCCGTGTACTCGCTGAGAGCCCGGGACCTCCAGTGCTGCTACTTGCCACTGGCTTCAGCTGCCAGGCCTGGCCCAGCCCCTGCCCCCCCACATTCCTCAGTCCTTGCCAGAGCTTTCCCTGGTGGCCCTGCAGCAACCTTGCTCTCAGGCTGCCCAGTCCACTTGGAGTTCACCCCTCTGAGGCCAGATGGAAGTGAGGACACTCCTCTCTTTCCCCAGAGCTGGAGAGATCAAGCTGGCTGCCTCCTACCCTCTGCTGGCTGCGGCCACAGAGCCTGGGGTGGCTGCCGGCCTCCCCACTCTGCTTTCCTCCCCTCTCCTTGGAGACAGCGGCTGCTACAAACACTCCTTGTTAACCCTTCCCAGCAGGCGAGGACTGCCCTGCAGAACCAAGGGAGAGGGAGGAGAGGTTGGGGCTGGGGCTGGCTTCTCTCACGGGGCTGGCCAAATGGGAACTTTGGGGGAGTGGAGGGAAAGCAGGGGTAGGGGTTGCCATACCCCTTGGTGTTTAGTGAGTACAGGAGAATGGGAATGAAACAGACATAGAAATAGGGCCCAAAACTCATAAGTGTAGCCTTAAATCCTGTGTGACCATCATATACTACCTAGCCTCTCTGTGCCTTAGTTTCTCAACTGTAAAATGGGGGTAATAATGTTTACCTTTTTGGTGTGTTGTGAGGGATAAAGAAATAATGTATGTGAAAGTATCAGACCATCAGAACTCACAGGCAGGCACAGGTCTGAGTGGGTCCCAGTTCTCCCGGCAGCTCTGTTAGCACCATGATCCCCACTTTCTCTGAAGAACCTGCCCCACCCCCCACACTAACCATGTGATTGCGCTACAGCAGGCTGTGGGTCATAACACCCTACCACCCCCATGGCCACAGCAATGCATTCATTCAACCAACATTTCTTGGTTGGTCACGGTGTAAGTGCTGCCTGTAATCCCAGCACTTTGGAAGGCCAAGGCAGGAGGATGGATCACTTCAGGCCAGGAGTTGGAGACCAGCCTGGGCAACATGATGAAACCCTGTCTCTACAGAAATAATACAAAAATTAGCCAAGCATGGTGGCACGCACCTATAATCCCAGCTACTCAGGAGATCGAGGCTGTACTGAGCCATGATTGCACCACTACACTCCAGCCTGGGCAACACAACAAGACCCTGTCTTAAAAAAGAAAAAAGTCTTGAGCACCGACTATGTGCCAGGCACAACTGCAGGCCTGAGGATACAGCAGTAAACAAAAAAGACCAGGTCCCTGACCTTATGGGGGCTACTTCCATGTTACCGAGTGGTGAATGACAGATAGACAAATAAATCTAAGGCTGGGTGTGGTGGCTCATGCCTGTAGTTCCAACACTTTGGGAGGCTGAGGTGGGTGGATCGCTTGAGCCCAGGAGTTGGAGACCAGCCTGGCCAACATGGCGAAACCCCTTCTCTACTAATACAAAAATTAGCCAGGCGTGGTGGTGGGCGCCTGTAATCCCAGCTACTTGGGAGGCTGAGGCAGGAGAATCACTTGAACCTGAGAGGCGGAGGTTGCAGTGAGCCGAGATCGTGCCACTGCACACCAGCCTGGGCGACAAAGACTCCATCTCAAAAATAAATAAATAAATAAATAAATAAATAAATAAATAAATAAATAGTCAGATGGTGATCCATTCCAGGGAGACAAATAAAGGAATAAAGGAGGCGAGGGTATGTGTGGAATTTTCTATAAGATGGTTAAAGGCCTCAGGGATAAGGTGATAATTGAGCAAAGACCTGAAAGAAGATCGGAAGCGTGCTCTGCAGCTGTCTGGGGGATGAGTGCTCAGGCAGAGGGACAGCCAGTGCAAAAGCTCTGAGACCCCCATCTCTACAAAAACTTTTTTTAAAAGTTAGCCAGGTGTGGTTGGCACACACCTGTGGTCCCAGCTACATGCGAGGCGAGGCAGGAGGATTACTTGAGCCCAGGAGGTTGAAGTTGTAGTGAGCTATGACTGCACCACAACAGAGTGAGATCCTGTCGAAGAAGAAGAAGGAGAAGGAGAAAAAGTAAAAGGAGAAGAAAAGAAGAAGAATCCCTAAGAGAGGTAGGGTATGTAGGATAAGAATCTAGGAAATGAGGTCCTAGATCATGCAGGGCCTTGTAGGTGACTCTGAAGAGTCTGGCTTTTTCTCTGAGTGAAATGAGAAGTGCCCTAGAGTGTTTTGAGAAGGGTAGGGGTGGCCGGGCGCGGTGGCTTACGCCTGTAATCCCAACACTTTGGGAGGCCAAGATGGGCGGATCACGAAGTCAGGAGATTGAGAAGAGTAGGGACATGCTCTAATTCAGGCTGCTGTGCGAAGAAGAACTGCAGGGGCAAGGACAGAGTCAGGGGGACAGTTAGGCTACTGCAGTCATCCAGGGCAGAGCAAGGGTATCTTAAACCAAGTGGTGCCTATGGAGTTGATGACAAGTAGTCACATTCCATATTAACCCTTGAAAAGTTAATAGGATTGGTCCAAAACAGGGTTCCTTGACCTTGGCGCTATTAACATCTTAGGTCAGATAATTATTTTGCTGTGGAGGTTGTCCTGGGCATTGTAGGACATCTAGCAGCATCCCTGGCCACTACCCACCAAAAGCCAGCAGCACCCCTGCCCCCATTTTTTTATTTATTTTTTTATTTTTTGAGACAGAGTCTCGCTCTGTCGCCCAGGCTGGAGTGCAATGGCATGATCTCGGCTCACTGCAACCTCCACCTCCTGGGTTCAAGCGATTCTCCTCCCCCAGACTCCTGAGTAGCTGGGATTACAGGTGCACACCACCATGCCCGGCTAATTTTTTGTATTTTAGTAGAGATGGGGTTTCACCATGTTGCCCAGGCTGGTCTCAAACTCCTGAGCTCAGGCAATCCACCCACCTTGGCCTGCCAAAATGCTAGGATTACAGGCATGAGCCGCCACACCTGGCCCCCTGCCCCCATTAAAACAACCAAAAATGTCTCCAGACATTAACATTTGGCAATGTCTTCTGGGGGACAATGTCCCTGGGGGGCAAAATCCTCTCCCTCCCCACTGAGAGCCAATAATCTAGGAGGTAAGCATGGGACTCAGCTAGTCCAAACAGCCCTTCCCTGGGCTTTTAAAATTGGAGCTATAGGGCCAGGTTCTTTTCCCAATCAGATGGCGAAGATTTGGGGGATGCATTCCTATCACACAGAGAAAGCCCTTCTGCAATAGAGGCAGCCACATGTCTGCCTTTATTAGTTAGGGCCAAGCTAAGCTGCTACATATAACAAAAAGGCCACTGAAAACAGTGGCTCACACAAAAGAAATGTTTATTTCCCTCTCTTAGAGACAGATGATCCAAAGTAGGCAAGTGGCTCTGCTCCATGAAGTTCTCCAGGCACTCGGTTCCTTTCTTGTTGCTTCTTTAGGCCGTTGTTGTTACTTACATAGTCAATGCCGATCTCCCAGAACTTTGTCCTCAGGCTGCAGTAAAGCAGAACAGAGAGGACGGAATGCACCAAGTTCCTCTTTCATTTTTTTTTTTTTTTTTTTGAGACGGAGTCTCGCTCTGTCACCCAGGCTGGAGTGCAGAGGAATGATCTTGGCTCATTGCAACCTCTGCTTCTCGGGTTCAAGTGATTCTCCTGCCTCAGCTTCCCGAGTAGCTGAGATTACAGGTACACCGTCACGCCTGGCTAATTTTGTATTTTTAGTAGAGACAGGGTTTCACCATGTTGGCCAGGGTGGTCTCGAATTCCTGAGCTCAAGTGATTTGCCCACCTTGGCCTCCCAAAGTGCTGGGATTACAGGCGTGAGCCACTGCGCCCGGCCTATCTTTCTATTAAGATGTTCTCCACTGGGCATGGTGGCTTTTCTATTTCCTAAGAGGACTCAGAATAAGTCATAGGGCCTGTCTGAGTTGTTCTCCAGAGACAAGGGAAGAAGTATTTTCCTCCCTTGAGCATGTTTAAAAAGACTGGGCCGGACACAGTGGCTCATGCTTGTCATCCCAGCACTTTAGGAAGCCAAGGCGGGCAGATCACTTGAGGTCAGGAGCTCGAGAACAGCCTGGGCAACATGGTGAAATCCTGTCTCTACTAAAAATACAAAAACTAGCTGGGTGTGGTGGCAGGTGCCTGTAATCCCAGCTACTCGGGAGGAGGCAGAATTAGCCACTGCATTCCAGCCTGGGTGACAGAGGGAGACTCTGTCTCAAAATAAATAAATAAATAAATAAATAAATAAAATAAAAAATAGACTGTAGGAGACAAAAATGAAATTGTTTTATAACTATACTCCATGAGTCCCACTTGATCAAAGGTACCAATTACAACTGGTCTAGGACAATCTTGACAACCCTCTTTTTGCCATAAGTTGGTTTAGGAATGGGTTTGTGCTCCAGTTCTGGCCAATGAGATTCAAAGAGAAGTCTGTTGGAGAGCTTCTGAGAAGTCTCTGCCATTCCTTTTCTTCCTGCTTTGGTCATAGTTGCATGAAGCCACAATGCCTGGAGCTGCAGCAGCCATTTTGTAACCAAGAGGAGACAAGGAAGGCAAAGAGGAAAGGTGAGAATAAGCAGGGCCCTTAATAACTCCATCAAGACACTGAACCAATCCTGGAGCCCTTTACTAAGTAAATTAATAAATTGTATAAAGTTTGAGCTATTATTAGTTAGGCATTATGGATTTGACTAGCCAGTTACATCTTAATTGACATGATGCTCTAAGTTTAGGAGGCCCCATTCCTTTTCTCTATACAAATGTAAGATGTTGTTACAAATATTCCCAATCAAGTAGCACTTACATACTATCTTACTGGATTATTGTTCTTTGTTGTTCTTAATAAAATTTTTTTTAGAGATGGGGGTCTTGCTATGTTGCCGAGGCTGGAGTGCAGTGGCTATTCACAGGCGCAATTATTGTGCACTGCAGCTTCAAACTCCTGGACTCAAGCAATTTTCCCATCTCAGCCTCCTGAATTGCCAGGACTATGGGTTCCCCTCACTGTGCCCCGCTTAGATATTATTTTCTCTTAAGTTATATTTATGGCCCAGGCAAAACTAATATTGCATTTCTGTGTCATACCTATTAGAAGTTAAGGAGCTATTTATACTATTAATTTCAAAAGTTAAAGTTTAATATGAAAAAATTGTAGCTTTACCTGTGATAACTGACTTTGTCTTGTCTTTTAGGTATTATTTCTATAAATAGCAGAAAATAATGCTTGAGCTTGCCAATAGAATATAGCCCATTCTCTTCTGGTTTCAAACAGTCTCTTTTGGAGAGATATTCAGTCAATTCTGAGTTTTCACTCATTACCGGGATGGTTTCACCCCTCTCAAGAGGTCTCCCAAGCAGACGTCTGAGTGCAGGAGGCATACATATGTTCCTGGGGTTAGTGGGATTACCTGCTTGCTCTCATGTTTTCAATGAAGACTATACTAGTCCTCTGTGAGATCAATTTCTAGTGTGCTGGGTGGGCATGGTGGCTCACACCTGTAGTCCCAGCACTTTGGGAAGTCGAGGCAGGCAGATCACTTGAGGTCAGGAGTTCAAGACCAGCCTGGCCAACAGGGTGAAACCCCGTCTCTACTAAGAATCCAAAAATTAGCCGGACATGGTGGCACACACCTGTAATCCCAGCTACTCAGGAGATTGAGGCAGGAGAATTGCTTGAATCCGGGGGGCAGAGGTTGCAGTGAGCTTAGGTCATACCACTGTACTCCATCCTGGGCAACAAAGCAAGACTCTATCTCAAAAAATAAATAAAATAAAATAAAATAAAATAATAAAATAAATTCTAGTGTGCTTTTATGCTAGCATGGGTTGTTTGACAATCTGACTTTTTAGGAAGGTCCCACAAAACCCAAAACAGCCTTGGGAAGAGGGGATGCACATCCTAAGGATGGATGGCAAAGGGCTACTAGGCAGATTAGGGTTGGGGAGGCAGGATGAGAAGAATGACCATGCCAGGGGACACTCTGTTGTGGTGTCTTGGTGGGATGGTCTTTGAACAGGCTCACTGGTTTAGATGTGCCTGCCAGGGGCATTAAATCTTAGTGAGTGTCTCAGTGAGATTGCTCATGGTGCCAGTGTCCATGGGTGACCCCCAGCAGTGGCCTCCAAACTGAATTGTTCCTGTAATGCGATCTTGACTGTGTTCTTATTCGCCACCCTTCCTTGATTCCTATCCAGTTCTCAAGTCTTTTGGTCATTCTGTGAGGTCTCACTATTCTTTCTCTTTAAATCAACCAGAGTGTGCAATCAAGAGCCATGGTGGCTTTCAGTAAGTTTAAAGAGAATGAGCTTGTTGGGAGACAATTCTCCTTGAGCCTTTTGTGTTTATGCATGTCTTGAAAGCAGAGGCCCTGACTTTTCAAGGGTTTTTGGATAAGTGAGCAATCTTGGAAAATAGACGTAGTGCCTCCTTTCTGAGCAAACAGCAGGTTTGCTCACTACCAATTATAAAAGATTCAGGTTTCCTGGCTGGGCGCAGTGGCTCAGGCCTGTCATCTGAGCACTTTGGGAGGCCGAGACGGGCAGATTACGACGTCAGGAGATCGAGACCATCCTGGCTAACACAGTGGAACCCCATCTTTACTAAAAATACAAAAAATTAGCCAGGTGTGGTGACACGCGCCTGTAGTCCCAGCCACTTGGGAGGCTGAGGCAGGAGAATTGCTTGAACCCGGGAGGCAGAGGTTGCAGTGAGCCGAGATTGCGCCACTGCACTCCAGCCTGGGTGACGGTGAGACTCTGTCCGCTACCCCCCACCGCCCCCCCAAAAAAGATTCAGGTTTCCTAAGCTTGGGATTTCTGTAGTAATGCAAACCTCTGCATATACCGGTATCCACTGGCACTCATTTGTGTCACTCATAGGACACCGAAGCAAGGGAAGCTGAGGCAAACAGGCCAAAGTTGCTGTGCCACGAGTAATAAAGTCCTTTGTCTCTGACTTGGAGCCTCATGTTTTCTGGCAGCACCCATGAAACTACAACTAGTTAACATGGTAGCTTGCAAATAGGATAACATTTCAGATCCTTCACAGTTCTTGATAGGGTTGCCCCCTTGTGACTACGAGATTCCTGGGGGCCAGGTCTGCTCTCTGTTCTCCAGCCCATCAACTTGCCTCCACCAAACTTAGATGCCCAAAGGAAGGGACTCCATTGCCCTCCACTCTCAGACTTGGATGGAGGATCGCAGATCACTATTAGACTGGGCTCTCTTTGAGGTCAGCAACTTCATCTCAACAGATGGAGGGCTTTCCAGAGCTGAATCTGTCCATTGTCCATCTACACATTCCTCTCTGTGCCAACACACTCCACTTCGAGTCCAGGAAAGGAAAGGATTTTCCTGAAGCTCCTTGATTTTACTCCCTCCCTCACCCCTGCCCCCCAACAAATACACAATATCCAGGAGCTATACCAGCCTGGTACCCGAGTCCTACTTCCTACTGGACTTGGCACCATTCCCTTGTGTTCCTTGGTACTGGCAATGAAATGGAAATAGGAGAAGTGGAGAGCATGGGGTGAAGAAGGATAAGGATAAGACAGGAAGAGGAAGACAGAATATAATGATACAAACAAACCCAGTGCTTTCAGTGCTTCCCATAGGCCAGGTAAAGCGTGGTACTGTATTACTATCTCTGACTTACAGATGAAGAGACTGAGGGTCAGAGAGATACCATGCTGAACATCAGATAACTTTTATATTTATGTGGTAGAGCTGGGATTTGAACCCAGTTTATTGCGGGCCAAAGCCATCCTCTCTTCCCCTTTAATGCCTTCCTAAGAGGGAAGGTAGGAGACATCTGAGTTGTTAGTGCTTTGGGAGGCTCTGGAAAAGGAAATTATTCCTGGGCAGAGCCTTATGGGCAGGTGAGGTTCTAGCCCCACCCCTTGTGACCTAATAGAGGCCCTAGACATGAGACAAAGTTCTATGGGTTCTGGGCACCCTCTCACATCCCAGTCTCTGATCAGGGAAAGCAGGGCACAGCCTTGGGAAGAATGGATAAGCATGGTGAGTGGGGCTGGAGGCAGGGTGGGGCTGGAGGACAGGACCTCTTGACCCTAGCTTGGACAATCCAGCCCATCACCATGAAGTCCAACCTTTTCTCAGTTACCCATCCATGTAGCTGCAAGCCCTCTCCTTTCGCCTTCCTGAATTTTTTTTTTTTTTTTTTTTTTGAGATAGAGTCTTGCTCTATCACCCAGACTGGAGTGCAGTGGCGAGATCTCAGCTCACTGCAGCCTCTGCCTCCCGGGTTCAAGTGATTCTCGTTCCTCAGCCTCCCGAGTAGCTGGGACCACAGGAGCATGCCACAACACCCAGCTAATTTTTGTATTTTGTATTTTTAGTAGAGATGGGGTTTCACTATGTTGGCCAGGCTGGTCGCGAACTCCTGACCTCAAGTGATCCACCCACCTTGGCCTCCCAAAGTCCTGGGATTACAGGCATGAGCCACTGTGCCTGGCCTGTTTTTTGTTTTTTTTTTTTTAGAAACAGTCTTGCTCTGTCACCCAGGCTGGAGTACAGTGGCGTTGTCACAGCTCACTGCAGTCTCAACCTCCCAGGCACAAGTGATTCTCCTGACTTGGCCTCCCAAAGTGCTGGGATTACAGGTGTGAGCCACCACATCTGGCTCCAGAATAGTCTTAACATCTGCTTCATCATCTCCACCTGCTCCTGTTCAGACCTTTGTCTTCTCCGGCCTGGACCACTGTAATGACTCCTAAGTGGGGTCTCCCTCTGTCTTGTCAGAGGGAACATCCTAAAACACAGCTTGGAACACGTCCCTCTACAAGAATGTTCAGCGGCTCCTCACTGCTGAGAGGCAAAGTCCAGATTCCATAGCGCAGCACTCAATGTCCAACCCTTTGTTTTCAACTCCTTTTCCTCCTCCCCTTCCTCTTGAAACATCTCTGGAACCCTTTTCTAGCTGTGAACTAGGCCTGGCCTTTTACAACCAGAAGGCTAGAACACCAATCATGAGCAGTACCTTTGCTCTTTAAATAGGATGGACTGGGATCAAAAGAAACGTTTCTTTTTCTTTCTTTCTTTTTTTCTTTTTTTGAGACGGAGTTTTGCTCTTGTTGCTCAGGCTGGAATGCAGTGGCGTGATCTCGGTAAACCACAACCTCCGACCCCTGGGTTCAAGCGATTCTCCTGCCTCAGCCTCCTGAATAGCTGGGATTACAGGCATGCACTGCCACGCCCAGCTAATTTGGTATTTTTAGTAGAGACGGGGTTTCTCCTTGTTGGTCAGGCTGGTCTCGAACTCCCGACCTCAGGTGATCCGCCTGCTTCGGCCTCCCAAAGTGCTGGGATTACAGGCATGAGCCACCGTGCCCCGCCTAGAAATGTTTCTTGACTTTTCCATAGCAAACTCCACGAGTTGTGTCTTCCCTGCCTTCCTCCCCTCTTTCCTTTACAAACCTAGCTATCCAGATGTGACAGACACAGGATGCATGAAGCCTGGTGAATGTTTGCTGAATGGGCGGCGGACACCTTCTAGGGGAGGCCAGCTTAGTTTCCATGTCAGCCCAGGAACTTTCTGCTGGGGCTACTGCTTGTAGTTGTAGTAACTGTGCCCTGAACAAAGGCACCAGCAAGAGGGGACAGTGGTGGCTGAAGTCAAGCCTGGAAGAAGGAGGAAGCGTCTTTTCCTAATTGGCTCACCCTAAGGACAGCCTTTTCCCAATTGGTCTGCCCATAGAGGGTCCTTTTTCCATTTCCCTAACTATAAGGCACCTTTTCTAATCATACAGAGGTGCTGTAAGCCCACCCGCCTGCCCACCCCACCAGCGGAGATGCTGGGCTTCCTTAAGGCAAGGCCCACTTGGAGGAAGGAAATCCCGTTCAGAAAATAAAATATTCTGTAAATAACCACCTATTAAAATGGGATCAGTGGCCAGGCGCGGTGGCTCACGTCTGTAATCCTAGCACTTTGGGAGGCCGAGGCGGGCAGATCACGAGGTCAGATCGAGACCATCCTGGCAAACATGGTGAAACCTGGTCTCTACTAAAAATACAAAAAATTAGCTGGGCGTGGTGGCGGGCGCCTATAGTCCCAGTTACTCGGGAGGCTGAGGCAGGAGAATGGCGTGAACCCGGCAGGTGGAGCTTGCAGTGAGCCGAGATGGCACCACTGCACTCCAGCCTGGGCGACAGAGCGAGACTCCGTCTCCAAAAAAAAAAAAAAAAATGGGATCAGTAAGCCAGGGGAGGCGGCTCGTGGCTGTGATCCCAGCACTTTAGGGAGACCTAGGCAGGAGGGCTGCTTGAAGCCAGGAGTTCAGAGACCAGCCTGGACAACATAGTGAGACCCTGTCTCAAAAAAAAAAATCTTTTTTAATTGTGGAGACGGGGTCTCACTCTGTCACCTAGGCTGGAGTGTGGTGGTGCAATCATGGCTCACCATAGCCTCGACTTCCCTAGCTCAGCTTCCTCTCACCTCAGCCTCCCAAGTAGCTGGGACCACAGGTGTACACCACCATGCCCAGCTTTTTTTTTTTTTTTTTTTTTTGGAGCGAAATAAAAAGAGTCTGACCTTGTTGCCCACACTGGTCTCGAACTCTTGAGCTCAAGCCATCCACCGACCTCGACCTCCCAAAGTGCTGAGATTACAGGCGTGAGCCACCATGCCTGGACTTAAAAAATTTTTTTGAAAAAGTATCCAGGGCCGGGTGCAGTGACTCACGCCTGTAATCTCAGCACTTTGGGAGGCCGAAAAGGGCAAATCACCTGAGGTCAGGAGTTTGAGACCAGCCCGGCCAACATGGTGAAACCCCGTTTCTATTAAAAATACAAAAATTAGCAGGGCGCAGCGGGGCGTGCCTGTAGTCCCAGCTACTTGGGAGGCTGAGGCAAAAGAATCGCTTGAGCCCGTGAGGCGGAGGTTGCAGTGAGCAGAGATCACGCCACTGCACTCTAGCCTGAGCTACAGAGAGAGACCCTGTCTCAAAATAAATAAATAAATAAATAAATAAATAAATAAATAAATACATGAAAAATTATTCTGGACCCTTTCTCGGGGACAGCAGGACTGCCCTGACCTCCTCCCGGCCCGCAGGTGTGAAGACCCCCTTGTGGAAGAAGGAAACGGAAGAGCTCCGGGCCGAGGACGCGGAGCAAGAGGAAGGGAAGGAGGGGTCGGAGGACGAGGACGAGGACAACCAGAGGCCGCTGGAGGACAGCGCGACGGAGGGCGAGGAGCCGCCGCGGGTAGCGGAGGAGGGCGAAGGCCGCGAGCGGCGCTCAGTGTCCTACTGCCCGCTGCGCCAGGAGTCCAGCACCCAGCAGGTGGCGCTGCTGCGGCGCGCGGACAGCGGCTTCTGGGGCTGGCTCGGCCCCTTAGCGCTGCTGGGCGGCCTAACAGCTCCCACCGACAGGTGCCTGCGCGCTCCTCGACCGGGGCACGAGGGAGGCGGTGCCCGGGCCCCAGGGAGGAGGGGCTGCCCCAGGCACTGAGCGCCTGGTCCCCGCCGGCAGGAAGCGGAGCCTCCCGGAGGAGCCGTGCGTGCTGGAGATCCGGCGACGACCGCCGCGCCGCGGGGGCTGTGCTTGCTGCGAGCTCCTCTTCTGCAAGAAATGCAGGAGTCTGCACAGCCACCCAGCCTATGTGGCGCACTGCGTTCTGGATCACCCGGATCTGGGTAAGGCGGGGGCCGCTGGGAACTCCTGAGCGCCCCCGCTCCCAGCCTTTGTGCCCTCCATCATTTCCTGGCCCCAGACCCCCTACCGACCTTCTCTCTTGGAGCGCGGAGCCCTCTTCGACGCATTCCGCAGGACCGCCCCTTCTCAGCTGCTGCCCAGAGCGCCCCCATCCGTCAAGAAGGCCCACTGTTGGTGCTTGGTTCCCATCTGTCACCTAGCGCCCCCAGTGCAGAGCCCAGCATAACCTAGAGCCCGCTGTCAACAGCGCCCACCGAGGGCTCCCCGCCCCCACGCAGCACCAGCGCCACCGCACACCTGACTCTGTCCGCTCACACAGCCTCACCTTCACCTCTTGGGTATTTCAGATCCGCTCTGGCCCAGTGGGCAGAGGCATCGCCTAGAGAAAATAACCTCAGGGTTCCCTCATCCCTCTGACAAACCTGCCTCTTTCCCTGAAACCATTCAATAAAACCTCTGATCAAAGTGTCAGTGCTTTGAGGTGGCGCAGGTGGCTCCGGGTGGGGATGATCCTCCTGGGGTTCAAGCCAGAGGTAAAAGTGTGGGCAGGGAGCCTCTTCCCTCTCTACCCCAGAACGGTACAAACATTTGTATCCAAAGGCAAAGGCCCTTCTGCCCACTGCGCAGAGGAGAAAATGAACGGGCAGGGCCAACAATGGCCCTGGGGAGGTGAGGGCTGAACCCTTGCCAGACCATTCTCGCCTGCCCTAGACGCCCTGGCTTGCTGAGGTCAGTGCTGTGCATATGAGGCACTAGCAGGTGTGGAGGGGTGGGAGAAGCCTGGAAAACCAGATGCTAAAATAAATGCTGGCATGGGTGGAGGCAGAAGACAGGGAGGCTGGGGAGCTGGTTCCTTCTCCAGGAATCCCAGCTATTCTTGGCCAGACAGCAGGAGCTTTGGGAATGCCTCGTGTGTGGCCTGGAGAATGCGGCCACTGTGAGAGCACAAGGCCACCCTCAGCCTGCAGGGCTGCCTGTTGTGGAGGCTGCATCCCCAGCGCCTGCAGCGTTGCAGAGCCCCAGGAAGGCCCCTTGACCTCTCCCTGCTGCACATCATTCTCCATCTGGCCTGGAGCTGCAAGGACATTTTGCTTTTTGAGGAGAGGCAGGCCCCTTCTCTCCATCACAGCTCTGCACACACACACACAGCTGCCTAGCCCTGGCTTGGATGGAAGAGCATGGCCCTGGCCTCCCCTGCACCCATGCCCACCTGCTCTCACAGCAAAGGATGGAAGAACTGCTCCAAGGAAGGCTGCTTCCTGCCTCTCGGCCCACCAGCTGAAGGCACCTCTTTATTCCAGCCCCAGACAAAAAGCCAGGGACTGGTAGGCCTGCATCAGTCTCCCTCCCACTCTGTGTCCTGACCCCACAAAGGGCCTCTGAGGTTGGAGACGCCTGTGCCTTCATCCCCATCCATGCTTCCTGGGGGTGGGGCCTCTGACTAAATATGACACCGTTTTTCAAGAACTGAGCCAGGGGGTCCTGAGGAGAAGGGCACAGTCTTGCAAAATGGTCTCGAATTTCTCTGCTGAGTTTTTCATCCCCCTGCTTGGATCCCAGTGCTGTTACCTCTTGAAAGGAACTGTACCTTTAGCCGAAGAAACAAAGGCCTGGGGAGGATAGAAGTCCTCGGAGGAAAGGGCCAAGGGATCTGGGACCCTTTTTTGCTTTTCCTAAGATTGATCCCACCCCCACCTCCATGTGGTGGGGACAGACAAAGACAATGCTGCATTCTTCAAGGAACAAAGGCAGACAGACTTCCAGATGGAGGCTTTGCTGCCCGGTCTTCTGCAGAGGGACTCAGAGGCTTCTAAGAGGGGTTCTGCCCCGGGGGTGGGGAACATGATTTTGCCCTGAGAGCACCACCAGTTTCTGAGGTGAGGAGGTGCCTTCAGAACAGGGCGCTCCCCGAGTTGGCATGCCAGCAGCCCATCCAGGGCAGCTCGGTGGCCCAGCGGCCCGAGGTGGTTGCCTGCAGTTTGGCCTGGTCGAGGCGCCAGTAGCGGTCATCTCGGAAGAAGATGATGGAGCCATCGGGCCTCGGCAGGGCGCCGCTGACCTCCTCAGGGATGCCTCCCCAGTCCTGCAGACTTCGGGGGTAGTAGGGCTCCACTTGCAGTCCCCCTCGGGCCAGCACGTAGTAGCGGGCACCCTTGAAGAGGATGAGGCGGCGCAGAGGAGGGAAGAAGAGGGCGGCGTCAGGATGGCGGGGCAGGCCCCCTGCCCGGCACAGCTGTGGGAGACCCCACACTGGCTTGGGGCCCCGGAACCTCCAGCATCGACCCCCTGTGGGGAATTGGGAGAGCCAGGGTGAGCTGGAGGCTGTCACCCATTGGCCCTCTACCCCACTTCTGTCCCCCATACCTCTGCTCTCCTTTAAGCTGGAGCCCACGATGGTTGGTATTCATATCAATCAAACGGATTGCACTACAAATTAGTTATAAATAGCAGGGTGGTAGTAGCAACTCCTATTATTTATTGTCTAGACTCCCAGCAGGTGTCAGCAGAGGGCAGATAGCCCCGAAAGGAAGGCCCAGAGCTTTCTCCACTGCCATCATTACTAATAATTCTATGAGGGCAAGGATTTTTGTTTCATTCACTGCTGTATCCCTAACATATCCAACCACGTCTAGTGCATACAAGGCACTCAATATTGGTTGAATGAATGAACAAATGAATGAATACTATTTACCTAAGTATTAACATGTATCTAGTAAGATATTGCACACTCTTCAGGCAATATTCTCTTTTCACACTCCTTCCCCAGCAAGTGTGAGGTATTGTTTTCCCCATTCGAGAAATGCACACTCCAAAAGTTAAGCGACACGTCCAACCCCACACAGCTAGGATTCCAAGGAAGATCCAGCTTTCTGCTCAGTTGCAGAACTCCAGAGCAGTCCTCTGCTTCCCTCTAGACTCCTCTCTGAAACTCTCCCTGGGACTTTGACACTTGCTGCTCCCTAATCCATCCCTGAAAGGTATCTTCTGATAGAGTCTTCCCTGGGGTCACAGGTTCAGATTGGAATGGAGACTCCACCATGGACTCGTGTGAGAGTCTTCCCCTCTTTTGTCCTCTTTTGACCTTGGGCAGGACACCTTCCCTCTCTAGGGCTCAGTTTTCCCCGCTGCCCCAGAGCCAGTACCTTTGAAGAAGTAGAAATCTCCATCATTCAATGACACTGCCGCAGCCTCAATGTTGGGGGGCAGCCCGACCCATCTTTCCTGCAGTGGACGGGGCTCTGAGACGTTGCCATCAGCTGCCACCTCCCAGAAATGGCTCCCTTTAAAAATGTACAGTTGCTGTTGCCTGTCTGCCCAGAGACAAGAGAGAGTTGAGGAGTGACCATCAGCTTCCTGCTGTCTTTCCAGGAAAGATGCTGTCCTGGAAGCCAGTTTCCCAAATGGACAAGCATAGGGTATGGTGTGTACAGTTGGCGCAGAGGGGAAAGTGGGCAGGAAGAAGCGGTGTTTTGCTGGGTGTGGGGTTGCTACCTGCAGCGTGCTTGTGGCTTGGGATTTCTGGCTTTTACAGTCCATCCCCCCAACTTGTACTGCAGCTCTGGAGACACTAAGAGATATGGAAGGAGAGAAAGAAGCAAAGCACCAGTGGGACCTTCTTACCTACAGTGATGGCATCGAAGGAAGAGTGGCAGTATTTAGGGCCCTGCGTTTCAGGGCGCCTTCCTTGGGGGCTGTAGGAGTCCCAGGTCTCAAAGTCAGTGAACAGCTTTCCTGGGAGCTGGACGGCCACTGAGCCCCCTAGGGGCTTCCCTTTGTGAGTAAGGAAATAAGAGAGAGAGAGAACACACATAGGGTAGAGGGTATGCTGTGCACTCAAGACCTTCCCTTGGTTACTTTCATGATTATCTAATATGAGGGGCAAGGAAGGAGAGTGGGAGTGGGGGTTAAGAGTTGTTCCTGGGCCAGGAATGGTGGTTCACACCTGTAATCCCAGTACTTTGGGAGACCGAGGCAGGCAGTTCACTTGAGGTTAGGAGTTTGAGACCAGCCTTGCCAATGGTGAAACCCTGTCTGTACTAAAAATACAAAAATTAACCAGGCATGGTGGTGCACACGTGTAGTCCCAGCTACTTGGGAGGCTGAGGCAGGAGAACCGCTTGAATCCGAGAGGTGGAGGTTGCAGTGAGCTGAGATCATGCCACTGCACGCTAGCCTGGGTGACAGAGCGAGACTCCGTCTCAAAAAGAAAAAAAAAAGAGTTGTTCCTGGTTGTTGGTGCTAACCATCAAACTAAACTCAGGAATCTTCTTCTACCCAACATCCTGGGACAGAGGAACCTCCTGAGATAAAATTGGAGTGGGGTATCAAGCAAGGGAACTAAGCGGGTCAGGGAGTCCTCTTCTCTGATTCCTGGGCAACACAGGTGTCATGAGGGCAGAGTCCAGAGACCCAGGCTGTGATAACTACAGCAATTATAATAATTACATCACTATCCTTCACTTATGAGAGGAGGGAAGCAGAGTCCAACAAGCTTATTATTTGGTACCATCACCTGAATCCCAGTCTGCAATTTCCTAGCTGCATGACCCTGAGCAAGTTACCTAACCTCTCTGAGCCCCATTATCTTGATCTGTGGACAAAAAGATGCATACTTCATGGGTGTGTTGCATGTCAAGTGCCTGGCCCACAGTAGGTACTCATGAAATAGTAGCTGTTAGTATTACAGGGTATAAGTTTCTCAGGCTACAAAGCATGCTCATACCCAGTAGCACAACAGCCCTGTCAGGTAAGCAGGACCTCAGTTGTTATCTCTTTTCACAGAAGGTAAAACTGAGGGTTCACAGAGGGAAAATGCCCAAGAGCATCTGCTAATCAGGGATGGAAGGTGACTTGAACCCAGGCCTCCTGGCTCTGCCCATGGCACTCTGAGGGAGACAGCCCTGGGCTGAGATAGATCCCAGGGCAGTAGCACTGGCCCACCCTGGGGAAGAAGACCTGGTCTGAGCCCACCACCAGGCAGAGGTGGGCAGGCTTTGGGGATAGGGGGCATCAGCATCGTGGTGAGAGAAAGGCTCGGGGAGAGCTAGTGGCTGGGGCAGGAATGAAGGCTTTGGGGTCCGGGATGGGGGAAGAGGTGGGCCCAAGGATTGGGTATGGGTGATGGGGCGGGCACATGGTGTGAGCGGGAGCTGCGGGGGCTGGGGGTTGGGCAGAAATCCAGTAAGTGGAACGCAAGGGGCGGGGTTGGGGGTACTGTGCACAGGAATTAGTTGGGACTGATGGAGAGATGAGGGCCATGGACTCGGGGGAGCAAGAATCCGAGGTTTTTCAGATTTGAGGAGGGGCATAGGGCTTTAGAATTGGGACGAATCGGCGACAGGGAGGCCAGATCTATGAGCTTAGGATGGGAAATCCTATTTGCAGAGCCGGCGTTCAAGGACAGGAGGCCTTGGGGGCAGGAGTGGGACCAAGAGCGGGGCATGTCCCGGGGCCTCACCATACAGGCTCTGCACGGCCAGCACGTCGTCCCAGCTGAGCAGCGCGTCGCGGCCCAGCCTCTTGTAGTAGGGCGCCATGAGCGCGCGCGGCGCGGGCGAGTGGGTGAGGCCAAGCGTGTGACCGATCTCGTGCGCCAGCACCACGAACAGGTTGCGCCCGCGGCGGCGGCTCAGGGACCAGCGCTCATCTTGGTCGAAGTGCGCTTCGCCGCGGCGGGGCAGGAAGGCGTGCGCCAGGGCGCCCCCTGCAGGTGGGGCAGAAGGTCAGGGGGTGCCACGGCCCACGACGCCCCCAGGTACTCGCGGCCCAGCGCAAATGCCACTGGGGTGTGTGTGGCTGTTCTCTGCTGTATAGTTTCCCTCCTAAAATCTGGCAGAACCTGAAGTGTGCAGAGGTGAACAGTAGGCTCTGCACTACTTCAGGTGAGTAGTGCAGTGGACGATGAGTAGGCTGTGGACGCCTAAGAGGCACTGTGGTGTAGATATGGCATGGGCCCACCAATTTGGGTGCCATTCCTACTTTTACAATCTACTAGCTGTATGACCTTCAGCATTTAGCTTAACCTCTCTATGTCTTAACTTCCTGATCTGCAAATGGGAATGATGATGGTGAGCTTCTTCCTCACAGAGTTGTTCTGAATAATAAATGTGTGTGTGTGTGTGTGTGTGTGTGTGTGTACATGTGTATTACAAATGATGCAGCAGGGTGTGGTAGCTCACGCCTATAATCTCAGCACTTTGGGAGGCTGATGTGGGAGGAACATTTGAGCCCAGGAGTTCGAGACCAGCCTGGGGAAACAAAGCAAGACCTCATCTCCACTAAAAAACAAAAACATTAGCTAGGCGTGATGGTGTGCACCTGTAGCCCCAGCTACTTGGGAAGCTGAGGTGGGAGGCTCTCTTGAGTCCCAGGAGGTCAAGGCTGCGGTGAGCTGTGATTGCGCCACTACACTCCAGCCTGGGTGACAGAGTAAGACCCTGTCTCAAACAACAACAACAACAACCACGAAACAACAACAACAAAAAAGTGATCCTTGGAACAGTGCCTAGCACGTAATAAGGGCCACTTAAGAATTACTTTCAGGCTGGGTGCGGTGGCTCACGCCTGTAATCCCAGCACTTTGGGAGGCCGAGGCGGGTGGATCACGAGGTCAAGAGATTGAGACCATCCTGGCTAACACGGTGAAACCCTGTCTCTACTAAAAATGCAAAAAGTAGCCAGGCGTGGTGGCGGGTGTCTGTAGTCCCAGCTACTCGGGAGGCTGAGGCAGGAGAATGGTGTGAACCCGGGAAGCAGAGCTTGCAGTGAGCTGAGATCACGCCATTGCACTCCAGCCTGGGTGACAAAGCGAGACTCTGTCTCAAAAAAAAAAAAAAAAAAAAAGAATTACTTTCAAAAAGATCTAGGAGTAGGTAGAGTATAGTTACCCCTAAAAGGAGGCATGATGGGACCTTCTGTTTCTTGATTTGGGTGCTGGGAGCATTCAGTGTATGAAAGTTCATCAGGCTAAACTTGAGATGGTTCACTTCTATATGTATGTGTATTTTATTTAATAAAAAGTATAATTTTTATTTTTATTATTTTATATATACTTTTGTTAAAGAAAATATACATACATATAGAAGTGAATATATATATATATATATATATATATATATATATATATATATATATATATATATATATAAAATTGTGTTCTTGCCCTCCTCTGCCAGGGCACCTCTGGGGGGCCTCTCTCTACTTCTAATAGGAATGAGCAGAGGTAGTTGGGCTGGATCAGTGATTTTCAAGCTTTTAGTGTGCCCCAGATGGAGCTTATTAGATGTGCAGGTGCCAGGGTACCACCCCTAACAATTCCCCTTCCACAGCGGCAGGTGACCCTGACACAGGAGTCAGAAAACTGCACTATGATAAAGTTTGCCTAGAAGCTTGTCGAGGGTCCCTCCAGCTTTGCCTTCTTGGACCCCAGGCCAACTGTGACTGGCAAAGATGGGGGTGCTAGACTAAAAGGAGATCCTCCTGGGGGCATGGAAAGTCAGCCGCATGTAGGAGGAATACATGCCTATTTTGAATATGTCTCCAGCTGTTTCAAGCATTGTTCACTCTATTCAACTCTCACTGGGAGACGGATGGGCAGGTTTGGGAGAGAAGACCACTATTCAAAAAGACAAAGTATCTGTCCCAAATCAGAGGGCTGCTTGGGGATCCTGATGTCCTTACTCCCAGTGCAGTGCTGTCTTAACTAGGTATGGATAGAACCATGTCAGGTAGATCACATGGATGAAGTCAGTTACAAATAAGTGCATGTGTGCACTACATGTGGATTCTTGCAAAGCCTAGATTCCTCCTGGTCCTAACCCAGGTCTCAGCAGTAGGGCCTGGATGTGGGCTTTGCTGTAGGTGGGCTTGACTGAAAGCAGGAGGGTGCGAGGGAGGTGGGGGCTCAAGTTCCCAGGCCATACAAGGGCTTAAGTCCCCAGCTTGAAGGGGTCTGATTAGGTTTCCTTTCTTCATTAGGAGGGGAAATGTGCAAACAGCCTATATTCAGGTTCTGAAGGCTAGCGTTAGGCAGAAGGGGAAAAGAGCGGTTTAAACTGCAGCCAGAGTCTTCAGGTTGGGGACAAACAGAACTATCTGTGGCGTAGGTATATGAAGCACTTCCCTGTCAGGGCTGTCGGGAGTAGGGTGCCTCTTGCCCTGTGGCAGCGGCTCTGGTAGTTGGGGGTGGGGGAGCAGTGGTGGGCAGTGGATGTTTTTTAGGGCTCTGGAGTGAACATCCACTCTGGAGAACAAGAGAAGCACAGGCCTGTCTAGAGGCAGAGGATGGATGATGGAACCTCGGGAGATTCTCCCAGAATGCATAATACTCTTGAGAATTTGCAAAGCACTTCCCTTGCAGAGCTTCATCTGACTGTCCCTTCAGACATGTGACACATAATAGGGCAGGGACCACTGTTCCCATTTTAGGATGAGGAGACTGAGGGTTCTCTGCAGGGAGATGTGCCTCAGCCAAGGCCACAGGGAGGGTGAATGCTTCATTGCCACCCCCAAACTGCTTCTCCAAGTTGGGTTCCCCTCCTGCTGTGCGGGAGGGAGGCTTTGTGCCAGCACCTGGGCCATCAAAGGCATTGCCCAGCCCATCGTTGTGGTCCCCTTGGAAGAAGGTGAGCCGGATGTCAGCGGGGCCTGTGGCTGGGGCCTCCCAGAACTCCAGCGCTGAGACGTTGCTCCACAACTGGAAGGCGGCGCGCACGGCGCCCCGAACTGCCGGCTCCGGCAGATGCTCAGGCCAGTTCACCAGGCGGTAGGAGAGGTGCTGCTTGTACCATTTGTTACCTGCCACCCAGAAAGCCCACGTCAGTCACACCTGCTGCAGAGCCCGAGTCTGGTCCCCACAGACCCAGTAGGATGGCGAGGGGTAGGCCCTCCCCCAGCAGCCCCTCGTCTGACGGGGAAGACACAGTTTTTGCCCTGGGCAGCTCCCCCTTTGACTGGGGCGATACTGCCTGGCTGAGGGCAGCCCTCAGACTGAGAGGACTCCCCTTACCCTGGACAGTCCCCAGTACAGTGGCTTGGACTGTGGAGGTCCCAGTGTGTTGGAGGGGAAGCAGCCTCTGCCCAGGAGAAGCCCCCAATCTGAAGAAGTCTGTCTGAACCCTTGGTCTAGGGTCTTATTCTTCCCCACAGCCTGGGCTGAGTCTGAAAACAGTTCTGTGTCTGTTGCTACCAGCAAATCCCAGCCCCTCCCTGCAGTGTCAGAGTGGAGGAGAGGTGGGGCCACAGAGGCCACAGCTGTGACTCCCCCTGCCCCCCACCATCTCTCTTCAGGCCTCACACCCTCCTGCCACCTCTAGACACTTCACTCTGCCCTTTCCAGGGCCTGGGGCCTATGGCCAGCCAACAACCACAAGACTCATTCATTTGAGTTTCTTTCCTGCCCCTCTCCTCCTCGCTTCCTCAGGGACTCTGGAGAGCTCTGAGGTGAAAACAAATAAGAACAAAGCGTGTGTTTTGTCACTGACTGAGAGAAAGTTTTCCATCTCTGCTTTGTTAAGGGTTTCTCTCCCTTTGCCCCAAATTGCAACTCCTCCCTGAGGGCTGAGACTCTGGCCTCTTACCCCAGCCCCCGTCAACTGAGTCTGGGCCCAACTGCAGCTCAGCGTGCACCCGGCAGCAGCATGGCCGGAAGGGCCAGATCCCGAGTTTCTTGTGGGCTATTTCTGAGCCCTGCAAACTCAGGGGCTGGGATTGTAACCTCAAGTGGAAGACTCGCGGCTTGGAGGCAGGACTCTTGGGCCAAGGATGTGGTAACTGAGACCTGAGACCCCAGGACAAGGGGCCTGCCCAGGGTCCCGGAATGAGTAAGTAGCTGAGGCAGGCCCTGACACCTAATCCAGGGCTCTTCCATTATTCCACATAGACAGGCAGGCACATTTGCCAGGACGCCAGGCTTATAAATCTGCCCAAACATCATTCCTGCCGGTCAAAGCATGAACTAAGATTCTCCAGATGTAAGGGAGGGTCTTGGAGAGCAGAGGAGCTGGACTCTCTTCTCCTCACCAATGCAAGTGGGGGAGGGGTACATCCCTTCTCCCACCCCTGAGCCAAGCTCCATTCAAGGCAATGCCGCCTCCCTGGGCCTGTTTGGCCTGGCAGCCACCCAACCTCTGCCTCCCAGCCAGTGACCAACCCTTAACGAGGAGAGAGGGAATGACTCTAAGGAAGGGAGGGAGACAAAGAAGGCAGAGGGAAGACCTGGGGTCCAGAGGTGCGGCTGAGGGTTTGTGATGTACCAGTCATGCTTCTGCTGGGCACACTGTGAGTCTTCAATGGGCGCTGGGCTCTTTCACGCCCTTGCTGTGGGGGACGGTCTCCCAGGCTCTTTCTTTCCCCTCACAAACCTCTAATCCATTAGCATAGTGTGAGATGGCTCCTTCTGCCTCTTTGCAGCTAGTGGGGTCCCTCACTTCACAGGCAGAAGAGGGGGTGGCGGGCAGTTTTCTCATTCTAGGCCGCCAGTGAAGGTGACAGGTCTCAGAATAAAATCCTGTAGGAAACTCTGAGTATGTGCATGTGTGTGTTTGGGGGAAGAATAGGGAGGATGAATAGGAATGGGAATTGAGAGAAAACGACTGTTTTCCTGAGAGGACCAGGGGAGGGGGTGTCGCTGGTGTGCCTGCCAGGAAGAAAGGACCTGGCTGGGGGCCAGCAGTCTGAGCCCTTGCCCCTGTCTCCCTCCAGATTTGCTCCCATGGAGAAAGCTAGCCGCTTCAGGCCCTGACCCAAACTCCTGGCCAGGGAGGGCTGGTTTTTGTGGTGACCCCCAGGCCCTAGCAGCACCTGGCATTGTACTCCCTGACACCCTTGCTCCAAAGTTCAAAAAGGAAGGGGGAAGGAAAAAGTATGGGAAGGGGGAGGAGAACTAAAAGCTTTGCCTGGGCAGAACCCTGGAGTTCCGACTCCCAGCAGGGAACTGACACTGTGGAAAGAACATGGGTTAGAATCCCAGTACCTCTACTTGCAAACTTACATAACAAATTATGGAATCTCTCCAAGCCTGTTTCCCTATGTGCAAAATGGGGTTGATAAGACTTTTCCCATGGTAAGATGTGAGGCTTAAATGAGACAGCAATGTGGAGCTGCTGGGCGTGTAGTGCATACTCAATAAATATACATTCCCCTCTTCCTTCCTTTTCCACCCCGGATACACCCTGGTGCCCCCAACCTCCGCCAGCTTAGTGAAGGAACAGGAAGCCTGCAGGCAGGCAGGAGGAGCAGGTACCTGCAATGAGGTTGCCAGATAAGTTTCTTTTTTCTTTTTTTGAGACGGAGTCTTGCTCTGTCACCCAGGCTGGAGTGCAGTGGTGCCATCCGGGCTCACTGCAAGCTCTGCCTCCCCGGGTTCACACCATTCTCCTGCCTCAGCCTCCCAAGTAGCTGGGACTACAGGCACCCCCCACCACGCCTGGCTAATTTTTTGTACTTTTAGTAGAGATGGGGTTTCACCGTGTTAGCCAGGATGGTCTCGATCTCCTGACCTCATGATCTGCCCGCCTCGTCCTCCCAAAGTGCTGGGATTACAGGTGTGAGCCACCGCGCCCAGGCTTTTTCTTTTTTTTTTGAGACAGAGTCTCACTCTGTCACCCAGGCTAGAGTGCAGTGGCGCGATTTTGGCTCACTGCAACCTCTACCTCCCGGGTTCAAGGAATTCTCCTGCCTCAGTCTCCCGAGTATCTGGGATTACAGGTGCGTGCCACCACACCAGGCTAATTACTTTTTGTATTTTTAGTAGAGACGGGGTTTTATCATGTTGGCCAGGCTGGTCTCAAACTCCTGACCTCAGGTGATCCTCCCGCCTCAGCCTCCCAAATCGCTGGGATTAAAGATGTGAGCCACTGTGCCCAGCTGCCAGATAAGTTTCTTTTTTTAACTTTAAAAAACTATCTGTTGTTCATCTGAAATTCAAATTTAACTGGGCATCCTATATTTTATGTGGCAACTGAGTAATACTATCCTCTATCAAAAAGAGATGCTCTGGCTGGGCACGGTGGCTTGCGCCTGTAATCCCAGCACTTTGAGAGGCCGAGGTGGGCGATCACCTAAGGTCAGGAGCTTGAGACCAGCCCGGACAACATGGTGAAACCCGTTTCTACTAAAAATACAAAAAAAAATTACCCTGGCATGGTGGCGTGCACCTGTAATCCTAGCTATTCAGGAGGCTGGGGCAGAAGAATTGCTTGAACCCAAGAGGTGGAGGTTGCAGTCACCTGAGATTGCGCCATTGCACTCCAGCATGAGTGACAGAGCAAGGCTCCATCTCAAAAAAAAAAGAAAGAGAGAGAGAGAGATGCTCGAAATTGTATAGTGACAGATGAACTCTATTAGATCCTTCCTTTGGGGCATGAGAAGGTGAGATACAGCCAGAAGGAAGCAGCCCCGGAGCTCAGGTCAAAGTACAGCTGCTGAACTGTTTCTGGGGCTGCCCCACTTTCCACTGCATTCTCACAACAAGCCCCTTCCACCTGGTAATCAAGGACCATCTCTCCTTTGCAACCTGGAAGGGCCTATGTCTCGGATGAAGGAACGGAGCCTCAGTGAGAAAAGTGACCTGGCCCAGGCCACACAGCTGAGACTTGAACCCAGGGCCTCTGGCTCCAGGGATGCTGCTCTCTGTTCTACCAGTGCCTCTTGAACTCGTAGCTCTCTGCTCTTCTACTTCACTCTTCCTCTCCATTGCCCAGAAACACGGTGGGACACAGAACATGTTGACACCAAGGGCATCCTGACTCCGGAGCCGGACCCCATTGCTGACTCCTTGCTTTACCAGGAAAGCAAGCAGTCAGTACTGAGGACCCAGAGTGGCTGGGCATATAGGTGAAGCAGAATTGGTTTGGCAAACACCTGGAAACAGCCACCCTCCAACAGTGAAGGGGAACTGCCCACAATTTCCTTACAGGTTAGCTAAGAAATGAGAACAAACTATGTGCCTTCTGTCCTGTTCCTAATGAATACTATCAGTAAAAGTAGTCAACACAAATTAAAAGTGGCAATGGCCCAAAGTGTTCACAGTAAAATTAATGATAGATGAAAACCTGGTTAAAAACCCCCATCTTGTTAGAAATCTTGAAAGCTGCAAAAATTGAGCAGAGAAAATTAGACTTAGTTAAAACAATCAGGTTGTTAATATTATGCACGGTAGGCCAGGTGCGGTGGCTCACGCCTACAATCCCAGCCCTTTGGGAGGCCAAGGCGGGTTCGAGACCAGCCTGGCCAACATGGCAAAACCCTGTCTCTACTAAAAATACAGAAATTAGCTGGGCGTGGTGGCATGTGCCTGTAGTCCCAGCTACTTGTGAGGCTGAGGCAGGAGAATCGCTTGAACCCAGGAGGCGGAGGTTGCAGTGAGCTGAGATTGCGCCACTGACTCCAGCCTGTGTGATGGAACAAGACTCTGTCTTTAAAAAAAATTATGCATAGTGAAACTTGTTATTTGTGAAAAACTGACAAAAGAATCAAATCTTCATAAATCTTAGATCTGTACCATTTAACCCCTGGAATATTAAATTTGGCTAAAAGAAGGAGGAGAAGAAAAGAAAGAAACAAAATAAAGTTACAAGAGGAAAATCATGACAGCAGAAACTGTAATGTGTAAACTGTGCTATGATGAAATGTTCAGAAGAGGCAAATCCATTGAGACAGAAGTGGATTAGCGGTTGCCAGAGGCTAGGGGAGGGGGAGAAGGGGGAATGACTGCTAATGGGCATGGGGTTTCTTTTCAGGGTGATGAAATGTTCTGGAATTAGATTGTGGTAATGGTTGCACAATTCCGCAAATATCCTAAAAACCACTGAATTGTACACTTTAAATGGGTAAATTGTATGGGATGTGAACTACATCTCAATAAAGTGGTTAAAAATATGCTATGGACAAAGTAAATCAATAGATCACACATTTGTTTAATAACTTATGAAAAAGAATGAATTCTGATGAAAATAACTTCAGTAAATATAAATGAAAAATGTTAGCAACAGTTTATCTGCCCTGCATTGAAAATTTATCAAGGAATTACATGGGTTTTGTGTTTGATCTGGAAAAACACTTGTACAATGAAAATTCATCAATGTAGGTGTCATTCTGAATTAAATGTCTGTATTCACAATCATGGTCCTCAAGCCAAGAGGTCCTATTCACCCACTCCTCCCGTGCCCTAGGGAAGAGAGGTTACTGACAAAGTCCAGTCCCAGGCTCAGCTGTTTTCCTAGCCATTGGCTTCAAGACATTGGGAAATCTTGGCCTAGCCGGATTTTAACAGTGCTCACCTTGCTTTGCAAAGCGTTTCTTACGCCTCATTTTGGTCCGGTGTCTAGCAAACAAGTCACTGATCCTCTCAGCCCAGGCCGCATAACTGTTGGTATCTGTAACCCCGCAGCGGGGACGAGTCATCTGGCGCAGGGTGGCGCGGTCCAACACGCCGCTGACAGGTAGCTGGGACACCCACTGAAACGCTCTGTCAGGAGGAAAGGACCGCAAGGGGAGGGTGAGTGGTAAGGGTGAGGGCAGGGAAGTCTGCCTCCCTGGGGTGTAGCCAGCCAGGCTTCCAGGAGGAGGGAGGAAATGGTCAGAGCTTGGCATCCTAGCACCCCTACCCCAAGTCCTCCACATCCCTCCACCCTACCTGATGGCATCGCTGAATCGAGTGGAGGTGGGAGCTTTGGGGACCTGTTCATTGAGGTATCCGTACTTCTCTAGGAATGCCTGCGGGAGAGAGGAATATCTGCTTTTTCCATAGCATCCTTTCCCCTCCCTTGGTCCCCAAGGGCCCAGGGCACATACATCCTGCCCAGTCTCACCTCTTGTCTTTTGCCCAAGAGGGTCTATAAGCTATAGCAGAATGAGTTCTGGGATTAAAGTCAAAAGGACCTGGACTCAATTCCAGGTCACCACTGACTAGCTGATGATCTCAGGCAAGTCACTCAATATTTCTGAACCTTTGCTTCCTTATGCCTAAAACTGGGCCAGTAGTACCTACCCATATCTTACGGCATCAGTAGGAATCTAGCAGCACATGCTAGGCAGTACAGTAACAGGCTCTGGAGTCAGATCCACCTAGGTTTGAATTCCAACTAGTAAGATACTTCTCTAAACCACAGTTTTCTCAACTGTAAAGTGGGCTTAATACTAGTACTTACCTTACAGGGGTTTTTTTGTGTGTGTGAGGACTAATCGCAAGAGTGTTTATAAAGCACTTAGCACAGTGCCTATTACATAGGAGGGACTCCATACAGAGTGGCTATTATAATATGTGTTATGCGTTACGTGCATATACACTATTCATATGCATCCTGAAACAACTACATTCTCTAGAATATCTTTTGGTATTGATTAGGAGCTTATCAGGTGCTAGCTCTGCCATGGCTGGGTTGTGAATTGTCTAATTCTGGATTTTTAAAAAAACAGTTATCTTCCCCACCGATGTAGATATATTTATTTATTTATTTATTTTATTTATTTTTTTCTGAGATGGAGTTTTGCTCTTGTTGCCCAGGCTGGAGTGCAATGGTACAATCTCAGCTCACTGCAACCTCCGCCTCCTGGGTTCAAGCAATTCTCCTGCCTCAGCCTTCCAAGTAGCTGGGATTACAGGCATGCACCACCACGCCTGGGTAATTTCTTGTATTTAGTAGAGATGGGGTTTCACCATGTTGGCTAGGCTAGTCTTGAACTCCTGACCTCAGGCGGTCCACCCACCTCAGCCTCCCAAAGTGCTGGGATTACAGGCGTAAGCCACCGTGCCCAGCCCAAATGTAGCTATATTAAAGGTCCTAGAACAACAAATGCACTTACCACTAACCTTATAATTGATATAAAAACTTGACTCTCTAAAAGATGTATTTTTTGAATTAGAAAGCTTCTTTTATTCATTCGTTAATTAATGCAATGTACTAGGTACCCTGCTAGGTACAATAAAAAATAAGACATCCCTAAACCAGGCACAGTGGCTCACGCCTGTAATCCCAGCACCTTGAGAGGCCGAGGTGGGCACATCACCTGAGGTCAGGAGTTCGAGACCAGCCTGGCCAACATGGCGAAACCTCATCTCTACTAAAAACACAAAAATTAGCTGGGCGTGGTGGTGGGTACCTGTTGTCCCAACTACTCTGGAGGCTGAGGCATGAGAATCACTTGAACCTGGGAGGCAGAGGTTGTAGTGAGCCGAGATCACGCAGCTGCACTCCAGCCTGGGCGACAGAGCAAGACCCTGTCTCGAAAAGAAAAAAAAAAAAAAGTAAATAAAGGACATAAATTGGTACTATGAAGAAAAGAAACCAAGTGATATGACTGAGAATAATTTAAAGAAACTTCACATCGGAAGGTCAGGAAGGAGTTGAGTCTCTGAGGAGCTGATACGTAATCTGAGTCCTAAAGAATGAGAAGCTTGCCATGCAATGAGGTGGGAAAGGGTGTTCCAGACAGAGGAAACAGCAAATCCAAAAGCCCTAGGCTAAGAATGACAGTGACATGTTTAAGGAACAGAAGGAAGGCTGGAGCACAGCAAGTGTGAAGAAACAGAGCGTGAGATGAAGTCAGAGAGAGAGGCAGGGCTGTCAGCCAGGATAAGAAGTGTAGGTTTGTTTTAGTCCTGCTGATGGATTAATTGGTGGGGAATGAAAGACAGAAATCCAGGATGCTCCTAAGTTTTTGGCTTGGAAGGTGATGCTATTTAATGTATGAGGAAGCCTGCAGGAGGTACAGATGGGGGTGCGTGGGTTTAAGATTACCTTGGA
The DNA here is from genome assembly GCF_000001405.40 of Homo sapiens. NCBI lineage: Eukaryota > Metazoa > Chordata > Mammalia > Primates > Hominidae > Homo > Homo sapiens. Next base: position 35,781,354 of record NC_000017.11, read on the forward strand.
GATTTCAAAGTGGCACTGGCTGTATGATCCTAGAGCTCAAAGCAGCAGCCTGAATATTTCAGCATGTAGGTGATATAAAGCTGTGGACCAGGACGAGCTCCTCTGGGGAAATTGGTATAATTGAGAACATCTCAGGGTCCAGGTACCTTTGACTCTGCCTACCCTAACACACCTGGAAGCTGTTCTCTCAGTAATCAAGTTATTTGAGGCCAGTGGAGAGAAAAGTGTGACTATTATTCTCACCTATCACCAGTTCTACCCTTTGGGCAGACGATGCACTTGGCTCCCTGATTGCCCTTCTCACTGATAAAGTTACATAAATGTCACCTTGGATAAAAAAGAATGTTGCCTCAGCTGCATAATTCTTCTACAAGGAGAATTCTTCTACCTACATAGCCTCAATTTTTACCCCTCCTTGTTGTGTTACCTATACAGAAATAATTTTCTGTCTTCTTCTCTTACCCCTATTTTCTTTGCTGTATTTCTTTTTTCTTTTCTTTTCCTTTTTTATGTTTTATGTTTTAGAGATGGGGGTCTCACTATGTTGCCCTGGCTGGAGTGCAGTGGCTATTCACTGGCATGATCATTGCTCACCACAGCCTCAAACTCCTGGACTCAGGTGACCCTCCTATAGCCTCTTGAATAGCTAGGACTACAGGTGCTGCATGCCACCTTGCCTACCATGTTGTATTTCTCTCTTTTTTTTTTTTTTTTTTGAGACAGAGTCTCGCTCTGTCGCCCAGGCTGGTGTACAGTGGCGTGATCTTGGCTCACTGCAAGCTTCATCTCCTGGGTTCATGCCACTCTCCTGCCTCAGCCTCCCGAGTAACTGGGACTACAGGTGCCCACCACCACACCCAGCTAATTTTGTTTTTGTATTTTTAGTACAGACGGGGTTTCACCATGTTAGCCAGGATGGTCTCAATCTCCTGACCTCATGATCCGCCCGCCTCAGCCTACCAAAGTGCTGGGATTACAGGCGTGAGCCACCGCGCCCAGCCACCATGCTGTATTTCTTAACTCAAAATAATTCCAATCATAGCTGCTGTCTCAAGGAAAATGCACAAGTTGGGAATGAAGCTAGATACTAAGACCAGCAAACCCCTAAATCTTTGCAAGTATCCAGCTTCCCCTTGTGGATTTAATTCACATTCATTTTCAGCAACCTCCACATCCTCTTCTCAATAAAGTAACTTTTCATAGACTCCTCATTCTACGTAACTTTCCTAGTCCATTTCATTGTTTTTCTGCATTAATTCATTAGTATTTCAGAACTATTGTTTCCTTTTTTCCCTTTGCAAATGTACACTATTTTTGGATGCATAATGGATTGAAAGTGTTCTGGTGGCTTAATTTGGGAAGCTATTTCCTGCTCAAAATCGTGTGGCATCACGGTATAGCCACCAGGTTTGGGAATGAAAATCTATTCCCAACCCTGACTCTGCCAGATGGCTGGGGACAAATTATTTTTTTTTTTAATTTTTATTTTTTGAGACGGAGTCTCGCTCTGTCACCCAGGCTGGAGTGCAGTGGCGCCATCTCAGCTCACTGCAAGCTCTGCCTCCAGGGTTCACGCCATTCTCCTGCCTCAGCCTCCCGAGTAGCTGGGACTACAGGCACCTGCCACGATGCCCGGCTAATTTTTTGTATTTTTAGTAGAGACAGGGTTTCACCGTGTTACCCAGGATGGTCTTGATCTCCTGACCTTGTGATCCCCCCGCCTCAGCCTCCCAAAGTGCTGGGACTACAGGCGTGAGCCACCACATCCAGCCAGCTGGGGACAAATTATTTAATCTCTCTAAGCCCCTCTTTCTTTATCCACAAAGTGAGAATAAGTTCAATTTATTCTTGATCTTATTCAGCGTTCTCAGAAGGACTAAATAAAAGAATGCACATTTAGCATAGTGCCTGGTACAAAGTAAATACTCAATAAACAATTGATCTGGTTGATTTACCTTAGAGGGAACGTTAACAACAGACTTTTGGAATGCAATCCATCTGTAAAAAGGGAACTGCTTTGAACATGGCAGTTACACCTCTGTTCTCAATTCAGGTGCTTCTGTCTCAGACTTGCCTGACCTCAGCTGGATGCCTGGTTCTCTTCCTTGTCCCCTCCCTTTCCTTTGGGGAGGATGGACAGAGGACTTTCTAAAGGTAGCCAGGGAATTAATGTCTCCTTAGAGGCAGTTTTGCTAGGTGAGTGACTTGGGAGAGACCAGGTCACAGGTCGGCATGGCTGGCACTCCCTTGTGCCTCTCTCCACAAACACACCCAGCCCTTATCAGGGAGTTGGCTCCGGTTCTGGAACTCTGAAGCCTTGGACAGAGTGGGAGGGAGGGGAAATTAACTGGCAGCGTCTCTTGTTTCCTGGCTGGGCTGCTGTGCCTAGTACTCTGGCAGGCAAGACGGGGTGGAGGGCAGGATGGGGGTTGGGGGTGAGGGCCTTTTTCAGGGGTCCCTCAGAGGGGAAGTCCTGGGCCTTTCTTCCTAACTCGCCTCTGGGACCCTGTAGGTAGCAAGGCAGAGTTAAAATCTCAGTAAGCAGAATGAGCATGTGCCCGGGACACGAGCCAAGCAGAGCCACTGAAAGAATGAGAAAAAGAAATTTTAAGAATTTGACATTTTGTATTTCTATAAAAGCACTGAAGTGGCTGTGCGTAGTCATGCCTGTAATACCAGCACTTTGGGAGGCCGAGGCAGGTGGATCACTTGAGGGCAGGAGTTCAAGGCCAGCCTGGCTAACACGGTGAAACCCCGTCTCTACTAAAAACACAAAAAATTAGCTAGGCATGGTGGCCAGTGCCTGTAATCTCAGCTACTCGGGAGGCTGAGGCAGGAGAATCGCTGGAACCCGGGAGGTGGAGGTTGCAGTGAGCCCAGATCACAACACTGCACTCCAGCCTGGGCAACAAGAGCAAGACTCCATTTCCAAAAAAAAAAAAAGCACTGAAGTATTATAACAGGGATTATCAGGATTTATGGGCTCCCTTATACTTTTATGCTTAACATGTGTATATTCAAAAAAATTTAAAACACATACAGGAAGGGGCTCCTTAATGCTGTCAGGGCTGGGTGCTCTCACATTCTGTGGAGTGGAGGCAGATCCAACTTCCCGGGTGAGGAGGTGGTGGGGTTGAAACTCCCTCTGCTCCTGGAGGTGTCCCTAACCCTCTTCTGTGAGGCATTTTTCATGCCTCAGTTTCCTCCTGCAAAGGTAAGAGAAATGGTCTACTCTGCACAGTAGAAGGAGCAGGGGTGTGGGGTCAGGGTGGAGGAGTGGCAGCATGACAAAGGGATCCCAGGAGAAGACACAAAACTGGGAGGTGGAGCTCCAGTTCTTACCCCAGCTTGACCACAAACCCTCTTGGGGGCCATTTTCCTTCTAGGCTTCCATTGTCCTGGGGGCTTGTTCAATGGTTCTCTTAAGGACTCTCTGAGTTCTACCTGGCACCATTCCTGCCCCACTTCAAGGAGGCAGAGTCTAGACCACTCCTCCTGGCCTTGAAGTTCAAGGACCAGGTTTTCTCTCTTCTCTATTTTCCACCCGTCCTCTCTCTTAGGGAGCCCAAGGCTTGAGCTGAATGGAGAGGAAGCTGGAAGGCTGTGCCCCTTAGGTGACTCACCCTACTCTGGCCTAAAAGCTTGTGCCAACATGCCTTACCCCCTTGGTTAGGGCTGGGACCACTTTCCTGGGGAGTCACTTCTGAAAGTCCCTGGGAGTGGCTGTGGAGTCTGGGTAAAATGGAACTAGTTCTCCTGGGACCCAGCCAGCTTGGTGGAATCACACAGTGCTAGGGATTCTAGGCCTGCATCAGTCCTGACTTGTCCTGGGAGGGTGCATATAGCCTAGCCTATTTAGTGCCTGAGGGAAGGGAAATTTTGGCCATTTCTGCGCAGGGCAGGACCAGTGATGAGGTGCAGCAAAATGAACCCAAGGCCTGAGTCAGGAAGTCTGCATCATTGAACTGGCAGGGCAAGGGCACTGGACTGAGAGTCTTGAGTTTTATTCCTGGTACTATGGCTAACTTGTATGTCCTTAGGTAAGTCCTGTGCCTCTCTGAGCTTCAGTTTCCTCTTCTATAAAATTAGGAGGTTGGATTATTATTATTATTGAGACAGAGTCTCACTCTGTCACCCAGGCTGGAGTGCAGTGGCGAGATCTCAGTTCACTACAAGCTCCGCCTCCCGAGTTCACACCATTCTCCTGCCTCAACCTCCCGAGTAGCTGGGACTACAGGCGCCCACCACCATGCCCGGCTAATTTTTTGCATTTTTAGTAGAGATGGGGTTTCACCGTTTCAGGCAGCATGGTCTCGATCTCTTGACCTCGTGATCCGCCCACCTCGGCCTCCCAAAGTGCTGGGATTACAGGCTTGAGCCACCGCGCCCAGCCAGGAGATTAGATTATTAGAGCTCTAATATATATTCCAGCTCTATCCGTTATTCTATCCCTGCTTCTGCAACTGACTAGCTGTGTAAGCTAAGACAAAGTTACTTAACCTTTCTGTGCCCCAATGTATAAAATGGGAGAAAGAATACTGTTTTACCTTTCTCGCAGGAGCATCATCAACATCTAAGAAGATGGTCTGGGAAAGCTTTATGACAGTTGCCCCATTAACAATGTTATTTTTACCTCTATGTTCATGGAGCTTTATTGCTGGAAGGGACATTTGGTAGGTGAGCGTGTAGTACTCACCTTCTTGTTTTTTTTTTTTTTTTGACACGGAGTTTCGCTTCTTGTTGCCCAAGCTGGAGTGCAATGGCACGATCTCAGCTCACTGCAACCTCTGCCTCCTGGGTTCAAGTGATTCTCTTGCCTCAGCCTCTCGAGTAGCTGGGATTACAGGCGTGCGCCACTACGCCTGGGTAATTTTTTGTATTTTTAGTAGAAACGGGGTTTCACCATGTTAGCCAGGCTGGTCTCAAACTCCTGACCTCAGGTGATCTGCCCACCTTGGCCTCCCAAAGTGCTGAGATTACAGGCGTGAGCCACCATGCCCAGCCAGGACTCACCTTCTTAGACATCCTCCATATCACAGAATTTCAGCAGCAGAAATGAAATTAAGAATTTAAAAATTGCCAAATGCATGCAGAAACTGTCACTTTACCTATGATATACTCCATCTCATGTTACATTTTATTATTATTTTAGTTCCCATAGTGACTATTTGAGATTGTGCTTATCATTCAAGTGTATCTTTGGCATTATTAGCCAAGTCAAGATGCAAAGGATGGCAAGGCATAGTGGCTCACGTCTGCAATCCTAGCACTTTGGAAGGCTGGGGCAGGAAGATTTCTTGAGGCCAGGATTTCGAGACCAGCCTCATAGTGAGATCCTGTCTCTACAAAAAAAAAAAAAAAAGATGAATGATAGCTGGTATTCTGCCTTGATGTGTTCTACATATGAAAATATTTTCTGGTAGTCAGGAGCACAATAAGCCCAGGCAACTGTAGAGCTTTTTAAAGATATCACACCTTCTTTGAATCTCACAATGATCTTGCAAGAATATAGACAGGACAGGTGTTGCTATTCCCATTTTAAAGATGAGGAAATTAAGTCTCAGGGGAGTGTAGTGTCTTACCAAAGTGATCTAGTGTGTGACAGAACCAGTACTCTAATCTGATCCTCTGACATCTACCCTAGGATGTTTTATTTTACATTTAAACAAGTGACTCAGAGGCTTTAAAACTAAAGGGGCAAGGGCCAAGCTGCTCTCTCTACTGGGGAGCTGACTCTCAATTAAGAAAAAGGTCAAACTGGGGTGTTTCTGGCTGGATTTCTCTTATCTGCTTTACAAGAAAGTTCAGGGTTAGAGCAGAGGAAAGAAGTTGCTCAGGCAGTGGGCTCTGGCTTTCAAATAGGGGCTGGGATCCTGTTTTCCATCACAGCCAGAACAGGTCGTCTAACAGGCCAGAGGCATTCGACAGGACTGAAGCATGTTCCTGCGTAAAGATAAACATCTGCTACCAGAATGCTCTGCTTTCACCCTCTGGCTCCTGGGAGCTAGTGAAGACTTCAGGGCAGTGGGGTTAACTCAGCTCCTTTCCTTTATTTTGGGTAAAGGCTTCCCCTTCCCTCTGCCTGACTCCCTTTCTTTTTCTCCTTCTTTCTTTTGTCCTTCAGTTTTTTGTTTGTTTGTTTGTTTGTTTGTTTTTAGTCAGAGTCTTGTTCTGTTGCCCAGGCTGGAGTGCAGTGGCATGACTTCAGCTCACTGCAATCTCCGCCTCCTGGGCACAAGCGATTCTCCTGCCTCAGTCTCCCGACTATCTGGGATTACAGGCGTACACACCATGCCCGGCTAATTTCGTATTTTTAGTAAAGATGGGGCTTTGCCATGCTGGCCAGGCTGGTCTCAAACTCCTGACCTCAAGTGATCCACCTAACTTGGCCTCCCAAAGTGCTGGGATTACAGGTGTGAGCCACTGCACCCAGCCCCTTTGTCCTTAGTCTTATAGTCACAAAGTTCTGTCTAGGTGTAACCTAGATACCTCTTGCTATAATCCCTGCTCCTTCTTTCTCTCTCTCTCACTCTTTTTTTCTTTCCCTTTTTTTTTTTTTTTTTTTTTTTTGAGATACGGTCTTGCTCGTCGCCCTGGCTGAAATGCAGTGGCATGATCACAGCTCACTACAAACCTTGACTTCCTGGGCTCAAGTGATCCTTGTACCTCAGCCTCCTGAGTAGCTCGGACTACAGGCATGTGCCATCGTGCCTGGCTAATTTTTTAATTTTTGTAGAGATGGGGGTCTCTCTATGTTGCCCAGACTGGTCTCAAACTCCTGGCCTCAAATGATCCTTCTACCTTGGCCTCCCAAAGTGCTGGGATTACAGCCATCATGAGCCATTGTGGCCAGCCCTCCTTTCATTTTCTGCCCTTAAGGAAGATGGAAAACACTAGCCAGTTAGTCTTTATCCAGACCACATCTTGTACTCTTTCTCTAATGCCAAATAACTATACCGTATGGACTCATGGTTCTCACTAGACTTGTGGGACTAAGTTTAGGGCACAAAATAATGCCTTGATCAAGGGTGGGTTTAGGGAGATATTGTCCAACCATGTCTCCCTGCTATTAGGGTCATGCTTCCACTACCCAAATCCTGGTAATTGGCTAGACAAGTGCTTTTCCACCAACTGTGGTCCTCTAGGACCCTTCAGAGCCTCTTCTGCACTTCTATTCACCCTATACCCATGAGTCACTGAGCTAAGTTCTTGGGAACGGCTTCCACACCCAGGCTTCTGGGTTTCTGACTCACAAAAAGTCAAACGAATGGCTCTGGGGTATGAGAAACAGACACTGCATCTGGGGGTGGATACTCCACAGAAGCTCCAGTGTCTCCCTGGAGAAACAAACTATCCAGCTCCTGGTACTGGCACACTGGGAGTAGCTATACAGATATAGCTAGACCACCCAGTGGAAGGCAGGTCCTGAAACTCCTGCCTGGCTGTTCTAAAGAAGGTCCAAGCAAAGCAAATGATAGATAGAGCCCTTGGGAATCTGTGTTACCCAAGCACAGGACAGTGTCTGGCTTGGAATGGGAGTGGGGGACAGGGTGATGATGTCATCTGTTAATTCTCAATCTTGCAACTCAGCAGAGCATGCTCTTCCTACTTACTAGTGCTGTGAGCAGCTCTAGTTTTCCTAAGTTGCCCACTGAACTTGTTCCTAAGTTGCAACAATGAACTTGTTTGTTCACAACACAGCTTTGTAAGCACTTAATCTCCTCCCTGGCAAAGCCCACTCTGGAAAGGCCTCAACTTTGTTACATTGTGTGCACAGAGGGGACACAGAGCCATGTACACAGGGTACAGGAATACACACAGAGACTTGAGAACACAGGCACATCCAGACAGACAGACATGGACACAGAGGAAGATGATGTATATACACACACAGGCACACACATATATAGAGGCACAAGCATACAAGCACACCAAAGCCAAACAGTGTTAGAGCTAGAGAGAATCTTAGAAGTCATTTAAGAAATTTAGCCCTCTTATTTTACAGGAGAGGAAACCGCAGCCAAGTGAAGGAACTCTATGATCACACAGTTGTTTTTTATTATTTCTTTCTTTCCTGTGCCGTTTTGGTTTAATTTGTTCTTTCTTCAGATTCTTAAAGTGGAAGCTTAAATCATTGACCTAAAACTTTTCTTCTTTCTTACTATAGGAATTTAAAGCTGTGAATTTCATTTAAAGCACTACTTTAGCTGCATCCCACAAATATTGATATGAAATGTTGTATTTTCATTATTATTTAGTTTCATTGCTCTGATGATTTCTGAATCAACTCATGGGTAATTTAGGAGTGTGTTGTTTAATTTCCAAATATCTGGGGCTCTGCTAGATGTCTTATTGTTACTGATTTTAAAATTAGTTCTGTTTTGGTAAGAAAACATAATTTGCAACATTTAATTTTTTTTTTTTTTTTTAAGACGGAGTCTCGCTCTGCTCAAGCTGGAGTGCAGTGGCGCGATCTCGGCTCACTGCAACCTCCGCCTCCTGGTTTCAAGCAATTCTCCTGTCTCTGCCTCCTGAGTAGCTGGAATTACAGGCACACACCACCATGCCTGGCTAATTTTTGTATTTTTAGTAGAGACGGGGTTTCACAATGTTGGCCAGGCTAGTCTCGAATTCCTGATCTCAGGTGATCCACCTGCCTCAGCCTCCCAAAGTGCTGGGATTACAAGCATGAGCCACCGCACCTGGCTTTTTTTTTTTTTTTTTTTTTTTTGAGACAGAGTCTCGCTCTGTTGCCCAGGCTGAAGTGCAACTGCGTGATCTCGGCTCACTGCAACCTCCGCCTCCTGGGTTCAAGCAATTCTGCCTCAGCCTCCTGACTAGCTGAGATTACAGGCGTTTGCCACTACACCTGGCTAATTTTTACTATTTTCAGTAGAGATGAGGTTTCACCATGTTGGTCAGGCTGGTCTCCAACTCTTGACCTCAAATGATCCTCCTGCCTTGGCCTCCCAAAGTGCTGGGATTACAGGCATGAGCCATCACACCCAGGCTTTTGCAAAATTTAAATTTTTTAAATGAACTGAGACTTATTTTATGGCCCAGCCTATGGTCTCAGTTGGTAAATTATTGATATGCACCTGAAAAGAATGTGTATCTGGAGTTCTCAAGTGTAGTTTTCTATCAACATCAATTAGGTCAAGAAGGTTTACAGTATTGTTCAAGTCTGCTACATCCTGACTGATTTTTTTTGTCTATTTTTTCTATTCATTATTGGGAGAGTGGTGTTAAAGTTTCCAACTATCCAGTTCCAAAAGGCCACATATAATATGATCCCATTTATATGAAATGTCCAGGATATCCAAATATATATACACAGAAATTAGTCTGTAGAGGCTGAGTATGGTGGTTCAAGTCTGTAATCCCAGCAATTTGGGAGCCCAAGGCAGGCAGATCATTTGAGGTCAGGAGTTCGAAACCAGCCTGGCCAACATAGTGAAACCTCCATCTCTCACTTCCCACTTGACACATCCCATTTCCCACTTCACACTGACATTCCAATTCACAAATGTATTAATGTTTTTTTTTTTTTTAAATGTGTAGAGACAGGGTCTCTCTATGTTGCCCAGGCTGCTCTCAAACTCCTCGGCTCAAGCAATCCTCCAGCCCCGGCCTCCCAAAGTGCTGGGATTACAGGTATGAGTCACTGTGCCCAGCCACAAATGTACTAATCTTACAATAGTAGAATTCCATTTACCTGCCCCCGCTTGCCTTGTGCCATTGTCATAACTGCTACTTTTACATGTGTTTTAAAGTCCAACTTATGGCCATAAGGGGGCATGGCCATTAAGTTGGACTTTAAAACACATGTAAAAGAAGTAGTTATGACAGTGGCACAGCACCTGGCCAAGGGAAGCAGGGGTGGGCAAATAAAATTCTACTATTGTAGAATAGTAGAATTCCAGCCTTAATCCCAGCACTTTGGAAGGCCGAGGCAGGAGGATTGCTTAAGTCCAGGGGTTTGAGACCAGCCTGGGCAACATGGGGAGACCTCATCTCTACAAAAATATTTTAGAATTAGTTGGGCATGGTGGTGCGTGTCTGTAGTTCCAGGTACTCAGGAGGCTGAAGCAGGAGGATCACTTGAGCCCAGGAGATTGAGGCCGCAGTGAGCCATGGCTGTCTCAAAAAATAAAAATAAAGTCCAATTTATGATGTTATTATTTTGCTTTAAGCAGCCAGTTGTCTTTTACAGAAATTATGACAAGGGAAATAAGTGTTTTATGTTTACTCATTTCCAAGCTTTGTTAGAGTAGGTCTTACTCTAGTTCATGGTGCTTACACCTAAAGCATGGCATTGCTGGTGTTTTACATAGATGCCCAGGGTGTTAAAGAGTTTTTTCCATTTTGGCTGGCCCAGACTGCCAATATCTTCCAGAACTGCTCAACTTCTCCAGTCTTTTTTCCTGTTCTCAATCACATAGCAGCTGTTCTCTGGTAAGCATCACACAGTCTCACCCTACACGTGCTAGCACAGTCCCCAGGGAAGGACTTGCAGTGAACCCCATACAGACTTATGGGAACCCCCTTCAGTATAGCTCCCTCCTCTGTGACGCACCCCTCCACAGATTCCAGCTACTTCAACAGCCCTGAACGCTGAGCTTTGTCACTCAGCACAGCAGGACTGCTGTGTTCTGCTTGAGGTCTAGTTCCCCGCACTGCAGTCAGGAATTGTCTCCAAGCAAAGAACTGGGGCAACTGTGGGGCTCACTTTCTGGGTTTTCCTTCTGTGGATGGTTGTTCCCTAAACGACACAACAGTATCTCCCATTCCCACGTTCTTCTCACGATGTGACTTTAACACTCCTCTCAGCAATCGTGGGGTCTATGTTCCCTCCCCTTGAACCTGGGAGGCAGCTGTGACTGCTCTAGCCAATGGAGTGCAGTAGAAGCAATAGTAGGTCATAAAAAGGATATAGTTCCTCTCTCTTCTCCCCGCTCCCAACACTCATCCCCAGGACCCAGACACCATGTTATAAGGAAGCCCAAACTAGCCCACACGGACAGACCATGTGGATAGGTCCATGTGAAAAATAACTGAGGCCACCAGCCAACAGCCAGCATCGACTGCCAAATATCTAAACACACTTCAGATGATGCCAGCCCCAGACACTGTAGAATGGAGACAAGCTGCACTGATGTGCCCTATTTGAAATTTCGACTCACAGTTATCTGTGAACTTAATAAATGGTTGTTTTACTTCACTAAGTTTTGGGGGTAATTTGTAATGTAGTCATAGTAACTAAAATACTCTCTTTAGGAATTGCAGCTCTGTGCTGTCTGTTGTCCAATGCTGAAAATAGTTGCCTTACATATTTTGTCCTGTATTATTGTTGTGGGGGAGCTAGTCTTCAAACCCAGACTTTAAGCCGAAGCTCAGTTCTCTAAAGTAATGATAAAGGTAATAACAACACTGAGAGCAACTTCCTTTTATAGACTGCTTTCTATGTCCTATGAGCTGTGTTAGGCATTGTACATATGTTATTTCAATGAAACCATACAACAATCTTGTGAAATAGGCATTATTAACCCCCATTGTATGGAGAAGAAAACTGAGGTTTATAGAGGTTAAATGAGTTATCCATGGTTTACGTATGGGTTTGTCTGGCACTGAAGCTCATGCAATTAACCACATACAAAAACACATATAGACATAGACACATCCCCAGTTGTGTGTGTATATATGTAATATATGTATATATACACACACACGTGTGCTTGCATAGGCATATAGAGACACGTACACACCCATTACACATTTCCAGAGTTTTTATGCTTTTAAAATATTTTCTTGTTCTCAGAGTTAAAAATCCCCTTCCCCAAATTTATGTTAAATAGACTGAAAGAAACTCAATCTGCTGGATATTAAGTTTCCCAAGCATACCCCAAGATGAAATTCTCTCCATCTGGGGCCACCACAGGCATGGGCAGCAGAGATATGCCTCTGTTCCCTTGCGAGGGATTGCCTGGGACCCGCACTTGCAGGGAGGTGGGGTGGGACTCTTAACAAGACTTGGCTTGGCAGACAGAAGCCTTCTCCTGGGGCTGCAAAGACTCTGTACTTGATGTTGTAAGAGTCTCAATTCAGAGAAACAAAGTGCTTCTCTGAATATGCAGAGAAACCAGAGAGCACAGAGCAAGAGCCCAGTGCTAGGAAGGGGAGGGGTGGAAGGCAATGAGAGATGATCCCTTGTTGAAGCAGGGTCATTTCCAAATATTCCCCAGTAGTGATGGGAGCTGGGTGATGGAAGGATGAGGCATTCGGAGAGGGCCCTCTTCATTCTGCAGTTTCCCCAAATTCAGCTTGCCCTTCGAGGGAAGGGGAGTAGGGAGGATACTGAGAAGCTCTCAACGGGCAGTTTGAGGGCAGGAAAGAAGCTCTTAGAGGAGCAAGAGTCTCAGGGCAGAGCATTGGGCTCAGTAATTCAGAACCTGTTCATATTCCAGCTGGATGCAGTGGCTCACGCCTGTAATCCAAGCATTTTGGGAAGCCAAGGCAGGCGGATCACTTAAGGTCAGGAGTTCGAGGCCAGCCTGGCCAATATGGTGAAACCCCGTCTTTACTAAAAATACAAAAATTAGCCTGGCATGATCGTGCATGCCTATAATCCCAGCTACTTGGGAGGCTGAGGCAGGAGAATCGCTTGAACCCGGGAGGTAGAGGCTGCAGTGAGCCGAGATCTAGCCATTGCACTCCATCCCGGGCAACAGAGCGAGACTCTGTCTCAAAACAAAAACAAAACAAAACCTGTTCATATCCCTTCTCCTTAAAATAGTGGAGACCCTGGCCGTATTCTTGAGAAGAAGTAAGAACACAAGCAGACATGCTTCTTTGGGGGAGGAAAGAAAAGATACTGTTGTGTTATTACAACCACTTTTTTTTTTTTTTTTTTGAGACAGAGTCTCACTCTGTCGCCCAGGTTGCAGTGCAATGGCAGGATCTCGGCTCACTGCAACCTCTGCCTCCCGGGTTCAAGTGATTCTCCTATCTCAGCCTCCCGAGTAGCTGGGATTACAGGCGCCTGCCACTACGTCTGGCTAATTTTTGTATTTTTAATAAAGACGGGGTTTCACCATTTTAGGCAGGCTGGTCTCGAACTCCTGACCTAAGGTTATCCGCCCGCCTCAGCCTCCCAAAGTGCTGGGATTACAGGCGTGAGCCACCGCGTCCGGCCTACACTTTTATCTAGAAAATAGATGCCTTATATTGATCCCCACCCCTACCTCACAAAAAAATTCCCCTTGCGCAACCTACAACAAGCAAGTTGAGTCCAAAGCAAGAAAATGGAAAGGGAGCTCTCTAAGGTTCACCTTCCTGCCCCCTTAAGTTCAGTCCTGAAGCCCCGTTTAAAGCTCCTTAGAAGCAACTCTTGAGAGTATACTACTCTTGCCCATTTTACAGACAGAAAAACTAGTTCTGAGCAGTTTAAATGGCTTGCCCAAGCAGGTCAGCGGCGGTCCCCGGCCAGGAAGCCAGCGCTGTGTCCCGCGTCCCGGCCAGCCAGCGGTACCCTCTCCACAGCACCAAACTGAGGCTTCCACACGGTTCGGGGGCATCCGACGAATGAACCTCATTCTCCCCAGCCTAGGTGGTGAGGGAGAGTGGCCCCGTGCCAAACTAGGGTAGGATGTCCCCTCTGGGCTCTTGCCCGTCTGTCCGGTCTCGTCTCTGCACCCACCCCAGCCCATCAGTGCGGATCCGCGTGCCTGTGTGGTTCCAGCCTGGCACGGGGAAAAAACTGCCCGGCTCTTTATGTTCAAGTGCGAAGGGGGCGGAGGACAGGGGTAGGGTAACGCAGATTGTCTGCTCACAGGGGACTGCCGGGTGGCCTGACTGCCGAGTTCTGACAGGTCTCAAGCACACGCACCGCTCTCCGCCAGGTACACACGGCGTACCTCCGCCTCCTTGCGCAGCTCCTGGCCTCCGCGCTCCGCGGGCTGGGCGTCCAGGTGGCCCCACAGTAGCAGCTGCAGGGCGCGCAGCAGGAGGCCGACGCGCGCGACCATCTCGCCGCCTCCGGTGCAGCCCGGCTCGGGGAGCTACTGCGCGCAGGGAACCAGCCGGCAGTCAGCCGCGCCCGGGACCCCGGGGATGGGACTGCTCTGCGCCGCCCCCGCACGGAGAGGGACTGTCCCGGGGTTTCGCCAGTGCCCTAGCTGCGCGCTCTGGGCCGCTCCTCCGCTGCCCTTCGCCGGGAGCCGGCCAGACGTCGTCCAGCCCGGGCAGTGCCTGCCCGCGGGTCCGCCGGCCCCGGGGACCGAGGGAGGGAGGAAGGAAAGGCAGGCGGAGGGGGCGGAGGCCCGGCACTCCCGCCCCACCCACCCCGCGCCGCTGCTGGAACGCGAGGCGGTCCCGGAGCCTCTTCCGTTCGCTGCACAGCCTCGCCCTGCGCCCGCCACCGCCCTGCGGATCGGTCCTCTCGCCCGCCACCTCCAGTTGACCCGGATCTGTCCAGGGAGGGTGAAGGAAGAAAGGCCTTCTCCTGGCAAGCGTGGCTACCTAAGACTTCGATGAAGAGAGGTCCTGGTCTACCAGAGGGTCGTTGATTGTTTCAGCTGGGTGGGGAGCGAGGCCCCCACCCAGGGTCGGGGTGCGAGAGAAGCAGCACAGAGCTGGAGTCAGAACTGGGTTTGAGTTCCAGACTTGCTCCTTTGCTAGCCCTTTGAGTCCTGCCTCAGCCACCTGCTGGCTGTGTGGTCTTGGACCAGTCACTCACCCTCTCTGAACCCACTTTTCTCATCAGTAAATGGGATAATAAGAATACCGATATTCTGTGACTGTTGGGGAGATAATAACGCCTGTAAATTACTGAACAGGGTGCATGGCATCACGAAGTGTGCACTTAATAAGGGGCAGGCTGCAGCTGTGTGATCTTTGGCAAAGGATTTAACTACTTCGAGCGTCAGTTTCCTCATCAATAAAATGACAGCATACGATATTTAGTGCCCAGCGTTGCATGAGGATGAAAAGAGAAAATGAGTGTAAAGTGCCTGATTTTATATACCCCATAAGGTTGGAGTGAAACGGTTTACGTGAAAGCCTTTGCTAAACTCATATTGAGCAAAAAGTAAACTATTTTCATTATCTGTCTGTGTAACTGAGAGCTGGTTGCTGTCTCACTTCTACCCAATTCACTACATTGTAAAATGCAAATGGAAAATGATACTGAGCTCTGGGGGTCATTGTGGGATTAGATGAGTTAATGTGTGTAAAAATAATCTAGAATCCCTAAAGTGCTGAACAAAAATAATGCTGTGTTCCAACCCTAAGGCTCAGGGCCTCGGTATCACACAACGTTTTTGTACTATTTAGAAAAATACACCACTTGTGTGGAGGAATTGGAAAAAGCCCTTTTAATAGACATTTTATGTGTGTATATATGTACATATGTATTTTTAAGACAGGGTCTTGCTCTGTCGCCCAAGCTGGAGTGCAGTAGCACAATCACAGCTCACCGTAGCCTTGACTTTCAAGGCTCAAGCAATCCTCCCATCTCAGCCTCCTGAGTAGCTGGGATTGCAGGCATGTGTCACTGTACCCAGCTAATTTTTTAATGTTTTATAGAAGAAGGGATGGAAAGATTCTGCCTGGAGAAAGAATTGGCAAACCTAGGTCTGACTCCAGCTTGTTCCACAGTGTCCTTACCAACTGATGATCATCAGAGCTCCCTGCCCAAAGCAGGGCTATCCGGCCTGTCAAAATCCATCTACTGGTAAAAGCCACCATATATCATGCCATACCTGTAACTACAAACACACACACACACACACACACACACACACACTCTCTCTCTCTCTCTTGCTTTCTCTCTTTCTAAGGTTGCCAGATGAAACAGAGGATACCCAATTAATCCTGAATTTCAGATTAATGATGAATAATTTTTTAGTATAAGTGTCCCAAATATTGCATAGCACCCAGTTACTTTTTAAAATATTCATTAATCTGAAATTCAAGTTTAACTGGAGTCCTGTATTTTTATTTGCTAAATCTAGTAATACTATCTCACTCTCCTTCAGAAGCTCCCTCCCCAAGGTCCACTGCAGGGTTTTGATTGAATCAGCCGCTGTGTTACAGTCTGTTCTTTTTGGGGGGATATGGGTTGAGTACAGGGTCTTGCTGTGTTGCCCATGCTGGCCTCAAACTCCTGGCCTCAAACGATCCTCCTGAGCAGCTGGGACTACAGGCATGCACTGCCACGCCCACCTCGCAGAAGGAAGGAGGACCTTCCTACTAGTTACCTGACAAGGCTGGAAGCTCTCTAAGAGCAAGGGGCAGGCCAGCTTCATGTCCACTACCTCTGGGGCACCAACCCAGGC
The DNA here is from genome assembly GCF_000001405.40 of Homo sapiens. Lineage (NCBI taxonomy): Eukaryota > Metazoa > Chordata > Mammalia > Primates > Hominidae > Homo > Homo sapiens. The sequence continues at coordinate 35,797,688 of NC_000017.11, forward strand.
AGGGATGCTTCTTATGAATGTGCAGAGGGCATCCTCAAAGAGGGGACATAGATGGCAAAGAGATCCATCCTCAACTCCAGAAATCTTGAGGCTCCCTGACGGGGATGCGTCTGCACATCCTTTTTCTCATTGGTCTGCCCAGAGAAGTGCCTTTTTAAAATTGGTATGCCCAGGATGGATGCCCCTTTTTCATTGGTTGGTTGGAAGGTGAACAGGACCTGTTTCCAATTAGTCTCCCTCAAAGGAATGCCTGTTTCTTTTTATTTTGTTTCTTTTTATTTCGTTCTTTAGAGACAGGGTCTTGCTCTGACTCTCAGGCTGGAGTACAGTGGCATAATCAGGGCTCACTGCAGCCTTGACCTCTCAAGCTCAAGCCATCCTCCCACCTCAGCCTCCGGAGTAGCTGAGACTACAGGACACACCACCACGCCCGGCCAGGAATGCCTGTTTCTAAAATGTTTATTCTGGCTGGGAATGCCTGCTCTAAAATGTCTATTCTGACTGAGTGCGGTGGCTCACACCTGTAATCCCAACATTTCAGGAGGCCAAGATGGGAGGATCACTTGAGCCCAGGAATTCAAGACCAGCCTGGCCAACATAGTGAGACACACTATGTCTGTGTCACATCCCAGAGGTTCTCCATTTCAGCTTCACTGGGAAGAGACGGTAAGAGGAGAAGTCATGGTTCTCTGGAGGGCTGAATGTCTGGGAGGAGACAAGCTTGGCCACTTGGAAAGCTGATCCTGACTCTCTCTGCATCCCAGCCTAGCTCTGGTCCCTGAACCCCTCAAACTAGCACCACTGTGCATTTGAAAGTTGACTTTCTCTATTTTCCTTTTGTGTTCTTGGTTGGATTATTTCATCCCATCCTTTCCTCTCCCTATGCCATCTCTGCTTGTGGTCACCTTGAAGTGCCATCCAGACTTGAAACTGCCTGCAAGAATTTATGCAGAACAAAGCTTTCTCCACCCATATGCTTACCCTGGGCTTCAACCCTGCCTTTGCGTAGGATGTCTCTTTCCCGGGAAGATAACATATTTCCATGGTTTGAATTTGGGCAGCAGGAGGTTCCGGTTCCCTTCTTCCTCTGAAGATTACTCATAAATCCCAGAGCACCAAATTCTGTGATCTTCAAAATCCAGGGGCCTGTGAAGCCCCACAAGTGTGACTTGCTGCATGTTTTCATGTCTAGTACACATCCTGAGCCAAAATCACTTTGGATGGGGTGGGGAGGGTGGGCAGCAGCTTGCTGTGTGGATGCTGGGAGGATGGGAGGGGGTCCAAGGAGAAAAGGAAGATGAAATCGGGGCAGTTTATTGAGAAGAGACTCAGTTCATAGCAAGGGAATCTGGAGAGTGACTGGAGAATGGCTTTGGATCAGGGATTCTCAAACCATGACCCAAAGATTACCCACATCCAAAAGAATACTGTGGTGGCAAGTCCCTATGTTAATCCAATACCATTATTTCCTACTCTGGTAGGAGTGGGTGTGGGGATGGGAATGAGGAGTTGGAACAAATGATAGTGATTAATACTGTTGAGAAATTAACATGGGCCACATATGTGCTAATGTGCTTTACATAAATCATGTCATTGACTCTTTGCAACTTCCTTATGAGAAAGCTACTATTACAAGCATCCTAATTTTAAAGATGAGGAAACTGAGGCACAGAGAGATTGTATCATTTGTCCAGAGTCACAAATCTTATAACGGTTTCTCGTTTTTTTGTTTTGAGACAGAGTATCGCTCTGTCGCCCAGGCTGGAGTGCAATGGTGTGATCTCAGCTCATTGCAACCTCCACCTCCCAGGTTCAAACAATTCTCCTGCCTCAGCATCCCAAGAAACTGGGATTACAGGCGCCCGCAAATGCGCCTGGCTATTTTTTTTGTATTTTTAGTAGAGACGGGGTTTTGCCATGTTGGCCAGGCTGGTCTTAAACTCTGGGTTTCAGGTGATCCACCTGCCTCAGCCTCCCAAAGTGCTGGGATTATAGGCATGAGCCACTGCACCCGGCCACAAATCTTATAATGGAAACTGTAATTCAACCTGGATGCTATAACTCCAGATCTAGGGCCTATAAATACTACACTATCTTACCTCAAGTCAAATTTATAAAATATGATTCTTAGATCACTTGCATTGAATCACCTGAAAAATTCAGATTCCAGACCCCTACTCCAGACCTACTGAATTACTAATTAGTAAATACCAGCTTCCAGGAGGAAGATAGGTTTTCCCAGGGTCTGTTTCTCTCCTTCCTTTTCTCCCTGTTTTGGCTGAGCAGATTCCTGACCCAGCTTGGATGGTAGTTCTCTTCACAGCTCCTCTTCAAAGAGAGCTGCTTCTCCTCCCTCCCTCTCTCTGCACTGGGGCTTGGCTTAGATCCACAGTGCCTCCCAGCACTCCCAGAGTGGACAGGATTCTGTGGAATTCATGCCAGGGCCTGGGCACATTGCCTGCCCAGGGGAGTGTCTGGCAGTGGCTGCTTCCCAGCCATTCCTCCTGCTCTGACAGAAGACAACAGCAGGACCTCTTGAATCAGGCAGGATGTGTGAGCCTGGACAAGGTTCCTCTGGGCCTCAGTTTCTCTCTTTGTAATATGTGGAACAATCAGCTTTGTCTCTGCCCCTTCCTCCTCCCCAGGAAGTGTGTGGAACACAATGTAGATTTTCTCAGGAAGAATTCTGGGCTCTGGGGACAGGCACTCAAGAGACCAACCTCAAACACATAAGCAGAGGAATAATTAGCAGAATAATGAGGACATGATGTTAGATTGGGAGAGCTGAAGAGGAGGCCTTCCTGAGTTGTGAGGACTTTTGCCGTGATAATTTAAATTCATTTTTGAGCATAGCCTCTGCATTTTTAGCTGTGATTCAATTCCAGAAGCCCTGACTCTAGCAACCATCTCTGCCTCTGGAAGGGAAATGTCCTCTCTCTGGCACGTGGGGATATGGTCTCAGCAGTCTGGGTCCCATTCACAGGCATACCTCACTGTCTGCTCCCCCGTACGTGTACACATATGCTCATACGGGACTGGAAAAAGTAAGAAATTTGGAGCAAGATAAACCTGAGTTTGAATCTCAACTTTTTCACATTCTCTGTGACTTTTGCAAGTCAACTAACCTCTCTGAGTTTCTGCCATTATAAAATGGGAGGAAAATAATTCCTGCCTTTTCTGCTATCCCGTGTGCAATGCGGAACAAGCTAGACAATTAGAAAGTGCTAAATCCGGCTGGGCGCGGTGGCTTAAGCCTGTAATCCCAGCACTTTGGGAAGCCAAGGAGGGCAGATTACTTGAGATCAGGAGTTCGAGACCAGCCTGAAAAACATGGTGAAACCCCGTCTGTACTAAAAATACAAAAATTTGGCTAGGTGCGGTGGCTCACACCTGTAATCCCAGCACTTTGGGAGGCCAAGGCGGGAGGATCACCTGAGGTCAGGAGTTCGAGACCAGCCTGACCAACATGGAGAAACCCCATGTCTACTAAAAAAAATACAAAATTAGCCAGGCATGGTGGTGCATGCCTGTACTCCCAGCTACTTGGGAGGCTGAGGCAGGAGAATCGCTTGAACCCGGGAGGCGGAGGTTTCGGTGAGCCACGGTCACGCCATTGCACTCCAACCTGTGCAACAAGAGCAAAACTCCATCTCAAAGAAAGAAAGAAAGAAAGAAAGTGTTAAATCCTGCAAAGTGCTGGATATTGGGTGCACAGACCTGAAAGCACAGTCATGCATTCTGTGCACAGGTTCACACTGGAGCACGCTTACATCCAAATGACATACACAAACCTGCCCCAGGACAGTCACACGAGCACCTCCGCTCCTGGCAATGATCTGTGTCTCAGAGCAGCCCCATCTTCCCTAACTCTCATCATGGTCTAGCAGGGCGTCATCCTCTTCTTGTTTTTTACTCACACCAGGACCCAGCAGACTTGCAAGGAGCACAATAAAAGCCTGGCCAATCTGGCGCTGTGCCCCACTTCCCTTCCACATAAAGGCTGTCTAACCACCAGGCATCTGGCCTGAAAGCCTGGGCCAGGACCTGCTCAGCATCTGCTGCTTTGCTTAAAAGACCTGCTAACAGGAAAGTGTCTGGTTCCTTTCTACCCAAACAGGAAGCGCCTGCCACTGTTGGGAGGACGGGGTAGCCTGGTCATTTACAAGGAGCCTCCCTCTCCTGCACTGGAGCCTCAGAGTAATCACCCTGGCAGGGCCGCTCTCTAGGAAGGCCAGGGGAGAAGGGCTTCAGGGACGCCTCCACTGGGGTGGGAGTGGGGTGGTGACAACAGCTACACACTGCCTGTGGCAATTGGCACCAGGTGGTTGTCGTTCTTTCAACAAACACTCACTGAACACTTACTCTGTGCCCCATGAGAGACATAAGGAAGTCCTAGATAAGGCCTTTGAGCTTGAGGAGTTTAAAGACGAGACAGAAAGACAAGTCATGCTCTTTTTTTCCCCCATTTATTTATTCATTTATTACATGCCATTGTTTTTTCCTTTTTAAAAATGCTAGTGTTGGGCCAGGCGCGGTGTCTCACGCCTGTAATCCCAGCATTTTGGGAGGCCGAGGCAGGTGGATCATGAGGTCAGGAGATCGAGACCATCCTGGCTAATACGGTGAAACCCCGTCTCTACTAAAAATATAAAAAATTAGCTAGGCGTGGTGGCGGGCGCCTGTAGTCCCAGCTACTCAGGAGGCTGAGGCAGGAGAATGGCGTGAACCCGGGAGGCGGAGCTTGCAGTGAGCAGAGATTGTGCCACTGCACTCCAGCCTGGAGGACAGAGCAAGACTCTGTCTCAAAAAAAAAGAAAGAAAGAAAAAGGTACACCATGCAAATAGTAAGCATCAGAAAATTGTATTAATATCAGACAAAGTATACTTCAAGAAAAAGAATACTACTAAAGAAGAAGAGAGAGATTTCCTAATAAAAGGATCAACTCATCGAGAAGATATCATAGTCTTAAATGAATATAAGAACTTCAAAATACATGAAGCAAATATTGAAAGAACTAAAGGGAGAAACAAAAACTTCCCAATCATATCTGGAGATTTTAGTACCCAACTCTTAATAACTGCTAAATAAACAGAAATCAATAAGGATATGTAAATCTTAACACAATGAACCAAATGGACCTAACCGACATTTATAGGTTATTACACCCAACAAGTGAAAAATACATATTCTTTTTCATATACACATGGAACATTCACCAAGATACACTGTATGCTGGCCCAAGAAACAAGTCTCAATAAATATTCAAGAATCAAAATAATACCAAGTATATTCTCTGACTATAATGGAATTTGATTAGAAATCATTAACAAGAAGATATTTAACCCCCCCAAATATTTGTAAATAAAGAATGTAATTCTAAATAATCTGTGGGACAAAGATGAAATCACCAGGGAAATTAGAAAATAACTGAATGATGAAAACCTGTCACATGAAAAACTACGGCATTATGAAGCTAAAGCAGCACTTAGAAGAGAATCTGTAGCGTTCAATGCTTCTATTCAAAAAGAAGAAAGGTGTAAAATAAAAGAATGAAGCTTCCACCTTAAGAAGCTAGGAAGAGTTGAGGAAACTGAACCCAAAGGAAACAGAAGAAAGAAAATAATAAGATTGTTATTCACTGAAACAGAAAACAGACTAAGAAAAAGAAAATCATCAAAGTCAAAATGAGTCATTGGAAAGACTGATAAAATTAATAAACTCTTGCTGCTTCTCAAACATTTTCCAGTAGGTTATTCACAAATTTGCATTAGAGACCAGCAGTGGATGCTCTCAGCATGTAGGTGTAGCCCTCTTGCCACTCGTGGGGGAGAGACATGGAGGGACGCACAGCCCCCAAGACTCAAGAGATGGAGGGGGAACCTGGGAGACCCAGACCTCCAGGAACTCATTAGACATACAGGACATAGGGATAGGTCCCTGGGGTGTTTTCTGCATGGACCCACAGCCTGTAGGGAGCCAAGGAAGAGCCACCTTCATGCAGAGAAGAGGAAAGGAAAGGATAGCAGAGGGAAGTCAACCTGAGAAGAAACTCATGAACAATTTTTTAAAAAATCTAGGTCTTGGGGCTGGGCGCGGTGGCTCACGCCTGTAATCCCAGCACTTTGGGAGGCCGAGGCGGGCGGATCACGAGGTCAGGAGATCGAGACCATCCTGGCTAACACGGTGAAACCCCGTCTCTACTAAAAAAAAAAAAAAAAAATTAGCCGGGCGCCGTGTAGTCCCAGCTACTCCGGAGGCGGAGGCAGGAGAATGGCGTGAACCCAGAAGGCGGAGCTTGCAGTGAGCCGAGATAGCGCCACTGCACTCCGGCCTGGGCGAAAGAGCGAGACTCCGTCTCAAAAAAAAAAAAAAAAAAAAAAAAAAAATGCTAGTGTTGGACTGGGCGTGGTGGCTCATGCCTGTAATGTAACTTTGGGACGCCAAGGCAGGCGGATCGCTTGAGGCCAGGAGTTCGAGACCAGCCTGGCCAACATGGTGAAACCCCGTCTCTATTAAAAATACAAAATTGGCCGGGCGAGGTGGCTCACGCCTGTAATCCCAGCACTTTGGGAGGCCGAGGTGGATGGATCACGAGGTCAGGAGTTCAAGACCAGCTTGGCCAAAATGGTGAAACCCCGTTTCTACTAAAAATACAAAAATTAGCCGGGCACAGTGGCAGAAGCCTGTAATCCCAGCTACTCGGGAGGCTGAGGCTGAACCCGGGCGGCAGAGGTTGCAGTGAGCGGAGGTCGAGCCATTGCATTTCAGTCTGGGTGACAAGAGTGAGACTCCGTCTCAAAAAAAAAAAAAAAAATTAGCCAGGTGTGGTGGCACATGCCTGTAATCTCAGCTACTTGGGAGGCTGAGGCAGGAGAATCCCTTGAGCCTGGGAGGCGGAGGCTGCAGTAAGCTGAGATCGTGCCACTGCACTGTCTGGGTGACAGAGTGAGACTCTGTCTAAAAAAAAAAAAAAAAAAAAAAAAGCCTACTGTTTCAGGCATTGTGCTGGGCACTGGACATTCAGAAAGGAATTATGCAACCCAACTAGAGAGCAAACAGGCAAAGCATGCAAGCCTTGAATTATGCAGTACAACTGTGAGTTCCAGAGGATTTCAAAAAAGGCAAAAAATCATCATGGTCTGGTTTTTACTTTGGTCAGAGCAATAACCTTTCCCTGCCCTCTAGAGTCTATGCTTTAAACAGCAGGCAGAGTAATCCTGGTAAAGCAGTTCAGATCCTGCTGGGCCTCTCTGTTCAAATGGCTCCCTCTAATGGTTTCCCCTCTCACTCTAAGTGAAACCTTACAATGTCCTTACAAGGTCCTATACCATTGGTAGAAAGGTTGGGGAAGCCAAGCAGGGGATGGAGGCAACTCAGAAATGATCAATAGCAAGAAGACTATAAGCTGTAGGTGGGGGGACAGAGGGAGGAGGCAGGTTACTAGGGCCAAGGAGCCGGGGTCACCAATGGAAACTGGAGCTCTGAGACTTCCCTGAGGCAGAGTGGGAGGGGGAAAGATAACCCTCTTCTTTCCTTTCTTCCTCTCTTCTTCCACCTAATTTCCCACCACGTCTCCCCTCGGCCAATTCAAGCTGAAAGATACCACCAGAGGGACTTTCTGAAACTGAAACAAGGCAACTCTGTAGGGGTCTGCTCCCCTGTGAGGACAGGAAGAATGGATCCAGGGCCAACAGGCCCAGTACCAAGACTTTCTTTTTTTTTTGAGGCGGAGTTTTGCTCTTGTTGCCCAGGCTGGGGTGCAATGATGTCATCTCGGCTCACTGCAACCTCTGCCTCACAGTTTCAAGCAATTCTCCTGCCTCAGCCTCCCAAGTAGCTGTGATTACAGGCATGCGCCACCACGCCCGGCTAATTTTGTATTTTTAGTACAGGCAGGGTTTCACCATGTTGGTCAGGCTAGTCTCGAACTCCCGACCTCAGGTGATCTGACCACCTCGGCCTCCCAAAGTGCTGGGATTACAGGTGTGAGTGAGCCACTGCGCTCGGCCTGGAGACCTTCTCAGATACATTCTGCTAAAGCTGATGTGTAAAAATGTACCTGCTGTCTTCCCTAAATATGCAGCCTGAGGCCAGGAGGGAGGATGTAGAGGGAGCAGGATCTTGCAGCATGAAGAATGCCTGGGTGATTGCCGGGCGCAGTGGCTCAAGCCTGTAATCCCAGCACTTTGAGAGATCCAGACGGGCAGATCACCTGAGGTCGGGAGTTTGAGAGCAGCCTAACCAACATGATGAAACCCTGTCTCTACTAAAAATACAAAAATTAGCTGATTGTGGTGGCCCACACCTGTAATCTCAGCTACTTGGGGGGTTGAGGCATGAGAATTGCTTGAACCCGGGAGGCGGAGAGCCAAGATCACGCCACTGCACTCCAACCTGGGCAACAGAGTGAGACTCCGTTTCAAAAAAAAAAAAAAATGCCTGGGTGATGGCTTAAGTTTGTTGCAGATAACCATTTGCAATGGAATCATTTCCAGGCAAAGACCTGGAATGCAGGAGGGCACAGGAGTCAGTCTGTGGTAGAGAAGGACCCTTGGAAAGAGGCCCCAGAGCAATGCAGACCTGGGAGGAGTTCTTTGTATCCCAGTGTGGGAGAACAGCGACACTGTGAAAAGAACACTGAGCATTGTCCAAAGGCCTGGGTATGAGTTCTCATCAGCTGTGTGAATTTGCTCAAGAGTTTCACCTCCCTGAGCTGCAGTGTCCTAATTGACCAAATGTGGATAGCAGCACTACCTGTTTCATAGGCCCATTCTAGAAATAATGGATATAGAAAATGTTAGTCCTTTGATTACATTCCTCAGAAGTTCCCCATTGTTTTAAATTTAATGTTCAAACTCCTCTGTAAGGCACACATGGCTCTTTGGAATGTGGCTTCTGCCTACTTCTTTCACTCCATTTATTACAACTCCTCACTCCTGCAACTCCATAGACCAGCCAGACTGAACCACTTGCAATTCCCAGAACTTTGCTCTCTCCCAGTCTTTGCAAATACAACCCTTTCTGCCTGGAGCATGATGTTCCTGGTATATCCTCGCTGCCTAATTCCTGTACTTTCTTCAAAGTTCAGTTTAGGGGGCACCTCCCACAGGAAGCCCTCTTTGATACCCCCCATCCTTCATGTGGGCAAGGTGCCCTTCTTTTGTGTTTTCAGAGCGCACTCTGCATCCTCCAATCCTAGCACATCCAGCAGTTGATTGAAATCACAGGTTTGGCAGGACAAGATAGAGTTAGTGCAGGTCCTGATGCACGGGTGGCAGCAGGTCAGCAGACACGCAGCCTCTGAGACTATCTACAGAATTTTATCAGGACAAATGGTGTGAGGGTTGGTACATTAGTAGGGGAAGACAAATACAGAAACAAATAGTATGAAGACAACAAGAAACTTTTTGGAACATGGATGGAGCTGGAGGCTATTCTCCTTAGCAAACTAACAGGAACGGAAAACCAAATACTGCATATTCTCACTTATTATAGGTGGGAGCCAAATGATGAGAATTTATGAACACAAAGAAGGAAACAACAGACACTGGGGTGTACTTGAGTGGGGAGGGTGGGAGGAGGGAGAGGAGCAGAAAAGATAACTATTGGGTACTGGGCTTAATATGTGGGTGATGAAATAATATGTACAACAAATCCCTGTGACATGTGTTTATCTGTGTAACAAACCTTCACATGTACCCCCAAACCTAACATAAAAGTTAAAAAAAAAGAAATCACAGGTTCACACTGTTCCTGTTATGAGACTGTAGTTCCTGGAAGGCAGAGGCTCTCCTTCCTATTTCTGTCTCTCCAAGGCCTTCCAGAGCCTGTCACATAGTAAACCTCCAGAGATGGCAATTGAAGGAGGAGTGAATGAATAAATGGTGGTACAAACTTAAGGAGTCGATGAGTAACACTTTTGGTATTTCCTTCTTTGAAAAAAATTCTCAAAAAAAGAAAATAAATAAAAAAGAACAACCCTCTAGGTCCCTTTAGGGATCTTCTAGAATTACCTCTTCCCCTCCCCTCCATAACCCAATTCTCTTCTGTTGGACATGCCCATCTTCTCTGCTGAGCTGCCTTCCTCAATATATATGCTAAACAGTTTAATGGTTTTTAGTCATGAAATAATTTTCACTCCTTTAGTCTTGCTTGTTGGAACTTATCTAGAGCGTTCTGTGACCCTCTTTATCTAGAGTTGAGGGCACAATCACTGCTGGTATAATGGGGAGAGATGACCTCACGTCTTTTTTCTGACCTGAAGGTATTAACTCTGAACTTCCCTTTTCACCTCCATTGCAACCTGCTCCTCCTTTTGTTCCCTATCACAGTCAATGACACTACCACCCGGCCCCCGTGTCTACGCAGGAAACCCAGAATTCACCCCAGACTCTTCTCTCTCCACTACCCTCTCCAACCCAGGTGATCACCAGCTCTTGTCTAGTCTACCCCGGGGTATCTCTGAGATCGCTTCACTTACCTCTGTCTCCAGAGCTACTACCTAAGTCCAGGGCACTGTCATCTCTCACCAAAATTACTGCACTGGCCACCTAATTGGTCTCTGCTTTTAAGCGCCTCTCATCCCCGTGCATTTTTCATTTGGCAGCCAGAAAATACAAATCTGATATTACTCCTCTCCTATAAAATCCTCTGGTGAGTGGTTCTCATTTCCTCCAAGATAAAGTGGGAACTCTAATGCATTTGACAAGGCCCCAGCTATTTAGCCCCCTCCTTTTCGGGCATCATCTCCTTCTACTCTCCCCTTGAAGAACTACTTGTTACACAACTAGTCTGCAAAGTACTTTGCTCACTTCTTTACTCGGTCAACTTCTGCACAACACCTAGGGTTTGGCTCAGATACCATGCCTTCCCGGAAAACGTCTTTGCTGGCTCTCTGAGCTTTTCCAGCCCGTTTCCTGCTGCAGAGCCCAAGCGGCCTTGGGCCCACCCCGCTGGGCCGTGCAGCATTTTGGTTAAACTCATATGCAATATATCGTTGGGTTACCAGGCTTCAAATTCCACCTTGGCCGTTTACTAGCTGTACGACCTAGGTCAAATGAATTCTGTCTTCTCATCTGCAACATGGGGAAAATATTTCATCAGTCTGTTGTGAGAATTAAATGAGATGATGTAAGGTGCCTGACAATTAAGAGTCAGCTATTATTATAGTGCTGAAAATTAAAGCTCGATCCCTCCGCCCCGCCACATTCTCAGGGTCAGATTCGTGTACGATTTCGTTTTAATGTACCCTTTTCTTCCAGCATCCTTGTTTGCTACTCGGCGAGACAGTTACAACAAACCGGGAAGCGATCAGGTACGCGAGCTGGTCACGACTCACAGTCCCAGAGCTCGCCGACTCCGAACGCCCCCAGGTGGCCCAAGCACTCTGCAGCAAAAGCCGCCAGCTAGGACGTACCATTCGAAATTGTAGGGAAAGAAAGGCTTTGCATAACCAAATACTCTGTGTTTATAAGGTCCCTCCTCTTTCGTTTCCTAACCGCAAATTCCATCACACCCAATAAAGTGAGAAATAGGATTGTAAATAAGACGGAGCAAGTAGGTTCCACTTCCTCCCCGATCGTGATCGTGGCATTGGTACTTTCTCTTCTCAATTCCCTCTCAATAATGGTACGGCTAGCGGAGGGGGGAATAGAGGGCCCTGGGAAGGCCTCAGGGCTCGGCGGCTAGTACCAGTGCAGAAACATCCCTCCTGCCGCAGCTTTGTGGTACCACCCGCTGCCCGCTGATTGGCTGCCGGGGTCCCGCAGTCCGCCTCAGCCCGCCGCGCCGCCCTCAGTACAGCTCCGGCCGCCGCGCCGCCTGGCTTTCGTATTCGTTGTTCTCGGCGGGCTGTGGGGCCTCCGCGCCGCGGCCGTTAGTCATGTCGGGTAGGTGACTTCTTCAGCGAGCAGCGGCAGCGACGAGAAGGTCCTGGCGGGGTTGGGCTGTCTTCCCGCCCACCGGAGGGCCCTGAGGAGAAGCCTCCGGCCCTGAGGGAGGCTTGGGGTGGGGGGGCGGCCGCTGCCGCCGCCATGTTGAACTGGAGGCACGCACGCTCCCAATGGCTCCCCGGCTGCAAATCACGGCGGGAGCGCCTCGGGCCTCTTGTCTTTTGACCCTGTCCTTGGAACCCGAGGAGACTTGCCGTTCCCGGGGGAGGGTGTGTGTGAGTCGGGGGGCGGAGGCCGTCTACGCCATCGTAGGGGCGGGGGGAGCCGAGATTAGAGCATCAGCCTGAGAGAAGCGGTGCTTCTGGTTCTCCGCTCCGCCTCGGATCTTTCAGCGAGGCCTCGGGCCAGTCATCTCGCCGCCTCGTACCTCAGTTTTCCCATCCTCGAAGTGGAGCTGGGCCTGCCTGACTCACCCATTCATCAGGTGGGGGCCTTGACGCTCTGGGAGCCCTTTCAAAGGACGTTGCCTTACACGAAATCGTACTTATCGTTATTCACTCTGCAGTAACCACCTGGATTTGAGTTGGGGGTGTTTGCATAGTAATTTAGCTTCCTCTTCACCCTCCTGCCATTCGTCTTCCCCACCAGTTTATCTCCTGAAAGAGTTTGAAAGTGAGCCTTGTCTATCTATTATTGATAAGCTCCTGTAGGTGTATGTGGCATTTACCTTAAAACATGCAGACCAAAGGAAAGGCAATCTTTTTTCCCCCCACGAAGCAGTTAACTTGGCAGAGGCCACCCATTGTGTGGAAGAGAAAGAGAGGCATTAGTCTCTTCAGGACAACCAGTTTGGATCCTGCTAAACCAGAATAAAAAGTCTAGAACATGGATGTCCTCTTGATTTAGCAGATCTAGCTGTTCACACAGGGTCCTCTATTGTTAGGCTGCATCACGGGCCGCAAAGACCCAGGTGTCTATCCACTTGCTAGAAACCATCATGAGAGTTAGATACCAGTTTTCTGCTGGAAATACAGAACATTTCCTGAAACCGTGTGGTTGAGGTGAAACAGGCATTTTGCAGTCTTATATTTTGAGTAAGGCCAAACCTGCCTAGTGTTATAAAACTAGACAAAAAACCCAGGTACCCGGTCTTGCAGGATAGAAATGTGTGACTAAAATGAAGCATCGATCTGAGAAGACTACAAATTAGCGGGAACCTTTGGACAGGAGCATGCTATACATTACTTAGATTAATGTTGATATTTAAGGAGCCAGGATATTGATTTGTTTTTGAGGGGTGCCCATCTACTTCATATAAGAGGCTATAAACTGCACTTCTTTCAGTTTCTGCTTAATCCTTGCTCAAACAAGAAATAATTTCTTATTCCAAAGTAGACATTGGTACATCTTTTTCTAGGTACGTAATTTGGGATGAAGTCTGATAAAGCTCCTTAGAAGTTCTTATAGTACACCCTCACAAGAGTGTATCATCTACCCGTGGTTTAAACAGAAATTAAAATTCTACCCTCGTGGAGAAATTTACCAAGTTTTAATGGTTTCAGTCCTCATTAAAAACTTTTAGCCTGTCTTGATCTTTAACATAATTATTGATATAAAACAATGGCTTCTGTGGAAAGTCGAAGTTTTAGTGGTTTGCTATTTGTAAAATACAGGCTTTTTCATGTATCATATAAGCATATAAGCTGGCTTAATCATTAGTATTGATCTTCAAGTTACTAAGACACCAGATATTTGTTATTTTGTAGTTCGAGTATTTTTTAAAATACGAAATTGGCTTTTCGGTGTGTGAAAAGGGCTACTTACTAGACGCTTGTTTTTAAATTAACATTCAATTAATTAAAGCTAGACTCTTTATATTCTTAGGCTTGGTATACTATTTATATGTTTTGTAATAAGTGTATAAAAATAATACCTTTGACTTTGTGTAAAAATAATGCTTTTGACTTGTTCTTTGATGAATGTTTATTAAAATCCCCCAAAACAACTAATGCCATTAATAATTTTAGTTAAGTCCTTTAAACATTCCAGACTACACATGTAAATTTAATATATCAAATTGACTCAACCACTCCAAAAAACCTAATAAAGTATAAGCACTGAAGTAATCAATAAATCAAAATTGTAGAAATTATAAGTCAGAGTCTAACATTCAAATACTGTTTACAACGTGAATTAGCTAACACCTTAACGAATTCAAATCAGTTACACACATAAAAATTACAAAGTCAAGATAACTTCTCATTCTGGCAGTGTGGCAGACCACGATTAACTTGAAAATCTATCTACAAAGATTTAAAAAAATGGAAAAACTAAGAAAGGACAAACCCCCAGTGCCAAAAATGAAGTAGGAGCCAGCATGGCAGGCAAAGAGCTAACTTGCCAGCTACCCTGGAGAGGAGGGCATACACCTTTTTTAGACACCTGGGTTTTATTGCTCAAGTAACTGTGTAGGGACCAGAGATAAAACGTACGGACCATTAACGCCAGGTAATGGGAACTGAGACTCTTAACATAAATTCTAGACTTAATGTGTTATGGAGTTAAAGGACTGTACATTATGTGAAGGAATGAACTGGAAAAAACCTTAGTACCAACATAAGAGATGACAAGGTAACATGGACGTTTAGGCTCCAGGAAACTTTAAGACAAATTAACGTAAAAATGGTTTCTGGGCTGGTAATACCCTTGGTGTTTCTGTTAAAAACATGAAGAACGGCTGGGCGTGGTGGCTCACGTCTGTAATCCCAGCACTTTGGGAGGCCGAGGCGGGTGGATCACCTAAGGTCGAGAGTTCGAGACCAGCTTGACCAACCTGGAGAAACCCCATCTCTACTTAAAAAATTAAGGCATCCTACATGCCTGTAATCCCAGCTACTCAGAAGGCTGAGGCAGGAGAATCGCTTGAACCTGGGAGGCGGAGGTTGTGGTGAGCCGAGATTGCGCCATTGCACTCCAGCCTGGGGAACAAGAGAAACTCTATCTCAAAAAAAAAAAAAAAAAAAAAAACCTGAAAAACATTTTCTGGAGGAAATTTCATGGTTTAGATCACAAGGAATTTCAGATAAAGCAAGCCTTGCAAAAGATATGTTCATAGTAAATTGCAGAGCTTTAGGAAACATTTCACTGAAATGAGAGTCAATGACAAATAGGATTAGAGCCTCTAACAGATTATCTGAGAGAATATTTTTATGTTTAAAATTGTTAAAATAAACCTAAAGGAAGGAATCAACCCTAAGATCAAGGTTGGCCGGGTGCGGTGGCTCATGCCTGTAATCCCAGCCCTTTGGGATCCTGAAGCAGGTGGATCACCTGAGGTCAGAAGTTCGAGACCAGCCTGGCCACCATGGCGAAACCCCATCTCTACTAAAAGTATAAAAATTGCCAGGTGAGGTGGCGGGAACCTGTAATCCCAGATCCTTGTGAGGCTGAGGCACCAGAATTGGTTGAAGCTAGGAGGCAGAGGTTGCAGTTTGAGACACTGCACTCCAGCTTGGGTGACAGAGCAAGACTCTGTCTCAAAAAAAAAAAAAAAAAAAAAAGATCAAGGTGTTAATAAAACAAGCCACATAGATTTGAAAAAGAATCAAGTAAAACGTTTAGAATTAATTAGGAAAAGTGAATAAGTTGGAATAGCAGACCTAGCAGAAGAAAGAATTACAGATATGATGGATGTGACTTATCTCACAGATGTGGAAGGTAGATGTGATCTTCCAGCATTCAATTCAGGGGGATAAGATATGAAAATGAAAGATTTCAGGCATGGTGGCTCATGCCTATAATCCCAGCACTTTAAGAGGCTGAGGTGGGTAGATCGCGTGAGCTCAGGAGTTTGAAAACAGCCTGGGCAACGTGATGAAACTCCCATCTCTACAAAATACAAAAAAGATCAGCTGAATGTGGCGGTATGCATGTGTAATCCCAGCTACTCGGGAGGTTGAAGTGGGAGGATTGCTTGAGCCCAGGAAATCGAGGCTACAGTGAGCTGTGATTGTCCTACAGCACTTCAGCCTTGGCAACAGAGCGAGACCCTGTCCCCCCCCCCCCGCAAAAAAAGATTAAGAAACATGGGAAATAGATTAAAAACTCCTGTCATACATCTAATAAGAGATTGAGAAGGAGAAAATGGAGGAAGAATCAATAGTTGATTTCCAAAGTAAATGAACATTTTGAATTGAACACTAGATTTAAACATGAAACATTCATACCTAGATACATTGATGTAAAAATGCAGGTTATGAAGTACCAGTAACCTACTAGAGAAAATAGGAAGCAGTGGTATGATTAATAACAGACTAATTAAATATTTGAAGAAGCTGGAAAATAATGAAATTATCCATTAGAGTTTAGAGAGAAAGTAACCATTGACTTTGAATTTTCTTTTTTCTGTTTTTTTTGTTGTTGTTGTTGTTGTTTTTGTTTTTTTTAAGAGTAGCGGGGACTGACAACAGGTGCACACTGCCTTACCTGGCTAATTTTTAAAATTTTTTGTAGAGATAGGATCTTTCTGTGTTGCCCAGGCTGGTCTTGAACTCCTCAGCTCAAGCAATTTGCAAACACCAACCAAAAGGTGATTTTTTTTTTTTGAGATGGAGTCTCGCTCTGTCGCCCAGGCTGGAGTGCAGTGGCGCAATCTCGGCTCACTGCAAGCTCCGCCTCCTGGGTTCACGCCATTCTCCTGCCTCAGCCTCCCGAGTAACTGGGACTACAGGTGCCCACCACCACCACGTCCGGCTAATTTTCTGTATTTTTAGTAGAGACGGGATTTCACCATGTTAGCCAGGATGGTCTCGATCTCCTGACCTTGTGATCTGCCCACCTCAGCCTCCCAAAGTGCTGGGATTACAGGCGTGAGCAACTGCACCCAGCTGATTTTTTTTTTTAAGTTATGTTACTAGCCAAAATAAAGTTCAGACGTAATGTTAAAAGGAAATCACCAGGAACATAGGCCTATACTTTTGTGTGCCTAATAATATATACAGAAAACAGGCCCACCTGTAATCCCAGCACTTTGGGAGGCCGAGGCGGGCGGTTCACCTGAGGTCATGAGTTTGAAACTAGCCTGGTCAACATGGTGAAACTCCATCTCTATTAAAAATACAAAAACTAGCCGGGCAAGGTGGTGGGCACCTGTAATCCCAGCCACTCAGGAGGCGGAGGCGGGAGAGTTGTTTGAACCTGGGAAGCAGAGGTTGCAGTAAGTCAAAATCGTGTCACTGCACTCCATCCTGGGTGATAGAGTGAGACTCTGTCTCAAAAAAAAAAAGTGTGTGTGTATATATATATGTATATATATAAAACCTAAATGACAATTACAAGAACTTGACAAGTCCATAGTTATATGGGAAGTTAAAAAAAATACCTCTTTGTGTAATTAATAGATCAGGCAAACAGTAAGAATATGACCAAACATTAGTAAAATATGAGTGATACAACTAATGAGCATAATGTTATAGACTGATAGAATTCACTTGAAATTTAGAAAATACATAATTATTTTCAGGCACACAGGGAACATGTGCCAAGGGGGAAAAGCAAAACAGGAAATCTGAGCAAATACCAAGAATAATAAAATAACTTTTCTGGCTGCAGTGGAATATTAGGAAAAAACACAAAGAGAATCAAAACTATACACTTGGAAATTCAAAAGCACTTTAAATTTAAATTCGTAGGTCCAGACACAAAGCACAATTGTCAAATAATCACAATGAACAGTTGTTTAGGATGCCTTAATCTATAAACTGATTTTCTCTGATGAATGTAAAACACCTGCACTTTATCACTCAAGGATTTATACCAAGGGACAGATTTACTAGTCAGTACGCTTATTTCTATATCATCTGGGAGTTTTTAAGCTAGCCAGCTAAAGAAGTTAGATTTATAATTTCAGAGGGCTGAAATGACTGGGTTAAGATTAAGGGCCTTACTGTTAGATTTGAGATAGGGTTACAGGACCTATGTGCTGTACCCTACTAAAATTTTGCCTGAACCTAAAGAAAATATGCTGCGATTATGTATTTTGTCACTGGGAGAACCTACATCCATGCTTCAGGATATAGTTTAACCTAAAGCTTCATGCATCCACAAATACCTTGTTTTACTCATTGTTTTCCCCCTCATAACCCTTTTCATCCTTTGATTTGGGATAATCTGATTTCCTGTCATTTCATAGAGGCATCTAATCTCTTAATGGTCTAATTAGATTGTGTATTCTTTTCCGATTTTTCTTAATTGGTTGTTAGCTACAACTCTAGCTATCTTCTCATGGGCCTGGCAGTGATGTGTAATTTTTTCTTTTTCATTTCAGCTAGTTTTATGCCCTCCATATTCATAGAAGTAGTAGTTTGTGTCAAGATTTCATTTAATACTTTTTTTCTCTTTTGAGACAGGGTCTCATTCTGTCGCTAAAGCTGGAGTGCAGTGGTGCAATCATGACCCACTGCAGCCTCGACCTCCTGGGCTCAAGCAGTACTCCTGTCCTGGCCACCCAAAATGCTGGGATTACAGGGATGAGCCACTACACCTGGCCTTCATTTACTATTCTTAAGCATTAAACAAAATCTTGTTCGGTCTAATTGGAGAGCTTTACTGCAGAAAAGTGGCAAATTTGGTATCACCCACTTATATTTGGTGGCAATATTTTCATATTGTAGCGTTATATAAATTGGATGAAAAAGTTTGTTCTAAGGACATATTGTATAATTAAATTTTAAAAAGAGAAAGTTACTGAGCCCCTATCTCTAAAAATTAAAAATAGCTGGGCGTGGTGCTGCACACCTGTAGTCCCAGCTACGCAGGAGGCTGAGGCAGGAGAATGACTCAAGTCTAGGAGTGAGCTGTGATGGCACCACTGCACTCCAGCATGGGTGACAGGAAGAGTTCATCTCTTAAAAAGAAGAAAGAAAAATTTCATTAGGTTTTGGTGTGTTTTAGAACTATTTGACAACAGTGATTTTTGTTTCAAATTGAGTGAGGTTGGGCCTGATGGTCAACAGTTTGCGACTTAGAGCCATTTTTTGCAGTTGCAAAAGCGTTTCATAAAATCTGCTCTTATGCGTCACATACTTGGTCATTCATTTGACTCTGAGTAAAGCCTGAAGGATAGATAAATAGAACCTCTTCAGTAATTTTTGATATGATTGACATTTTGAAGTATTGAGAAAAGCTCATAGTTCAAATTCTTTATTTTTTATGTTACCACCCCCACCCCACCCCCACTTTTTTTTTTTTTTTTTTTTTTTTTTTTGAGAAGTGTCATTCAGTCGTGCAGGCTGGAGTGCAGTGGCACAATCACAGCTCACTGCAGCCTTGACCGCCCCTGGATCAGGTGATCCACCTCAGCCTCTCGAGTAGCTGGGACTACAGGCACATGCCACCATGCCCAGCTAGTTTTTGTGTTTTTTGTAGAGATGGGGTTTCGCCATGTTGGCTGGGCTGATTTCAAGCCATCTGCCTGCCTCAGCTTCCCATAGTGCTGGGATTGTGTGAGCCACCATGCCCGGTCCCTTGGTCATTTTTTTGATTGCTAAATTGAAGCTACAAGCAGGTATTGCTGACTTGCTGTGCCAATTGGCTGAATCCCTGAAAGCTTGGTAAAATCAGAATAGAGCAACTAACTTAGCTGCTTTTTTTTTTTTTTTAGCAAGTCTTTGGAAATATTTTTGTTGGTGCTGACAGCCAAAGCAGTCCAATACAGAGGAATGGTGTATATCTTGGGGTGGTAAGGATGTTCAAGTAGATGTAATCCTGGGGATGTCATAGTGCATGTCTTTCCCCTTTTTGGACCTGATTAGTTTTAACAGATGTCTTTTTGTATATAATAATATTGCTTAAGGTCTTGAGTCTGTTTAAAGAATGGATTTTCACTGTTTACATTTGTTCACTGGGTTCTTGTGACCCTAGCACACATGTAGAATAGTAGTTTGCAAATACGTAGTTATTGTAAAAAGTAAATACTATTTGTACAAATTTCTTGTTTCATAGTATTTAACTTGAGTTAGTTTTTCTTTCTGCAGTTCTTTACATTTTCTTACCACATTTCTTCTGTATGAGCTAAAGTCAGCCTTTGAAGGAACCATAATTTTAAATAAGATTTAAAATTCTTTTTATGTGTTCTAGATTCTGGAAGTTACGGTCAGTCTGGGGGTGAGCAGCAAAGGTAAAGTATACATACATTTTAATAATATGAAAGGGTAGAACTGAGGTGAATTTTGTCAAGCTTCTTCTCTTGAGACTTGATGCTGGATGTCATAAGTTAAATATTAGCTTGTCACAGAGTGAAGAGAGTCAGTGTAAATAGGTGCTGTAAGACATTTATTCCCTTTCTGTTTTTCTTTATGTTTTGAGACAGAGTCTTGCTGTTTTGCTCAGGCTGGAGTGCAGTGGCAAATCATAGTGTACTACAGCCTTAAATTCCTGGGCTTAAGCGATCCTCCTGCCTCAGTCTCCCAAGTAACTGTAATCTCCACTACAGACATGTGCCACTCTACTGGGCTTCTTCCTTTTCTTTTTTTTTTGAGACTGAGTCTCGCTCTTTCGCCCAGGCTGGAGTGCAGTGGCGCGATCTCGGGTCGCTGCAAGCTCCGCCTCGCAGGTTCACGCCATTCTCTGGCCTCAGCCTCCCGAGTAGCTGAGACTACAGGCGCTCGCCAGCACACCCGGCAAATTTTTTGTATTTTTAGTAGAGATGGGGTTTCACCGTGTTAGCCAGGATGGTCTCGATCTCCTGACCTCGTGATCGCCCGCCTCAGTCTCCCAAAGTGCGGGGATTACAGGTGTGAGCCACTGCGCCTGGCCTCTTCCTTTTCTTAAATCTGTTTGCATCAATGAATATACCTCCTACAGATTAAAACAAATCTCCTTGGTATTGTAAAGTTTATGTTTTATTTAGGAAATCTCTTAGAAGAAACAATTATTAAAGAAATTTAATGTCAGACGCTATGGCTCATGACTCTAGTCCCAGTACTTTGGGAGGCCAAGATGGGAGGATTGCTTGAGGCCAGGAGTTAGAAACCAGCTTGGGTAATATAGCGAGACCTTGTCTCTAAAAAAAAAATTTTTTTAATTATCCAGACATAGTGGTGTGTACCTGTAGTCCTAGCTACTTGGGAGGCTGAGGTGGGAGGATCACTTGAGCCCAAGAGTTCAAGGTTGTTACAATGAGTTATGACCATGCCACTGCACTCCAGCCTGGGTGACAGAGCGAGACCCTGTCTCGAAAAAAAAAAAAAAGTTTAAGCAATTGAACTCAACAGTTGTTTTAGAAAAAGCGTTTTATTATGGTGTATAATATGCTAATGTGTTTTTTCAGAGCACATTTTTTTAAAATACCATAAAAAATATTAAGCGTTTTTTTAGTGTGCTTACCATCCTCACAGTAAAAAGGAAGTTCTATTTTTATGTGAGTGTATATATGCAGTGGGCTTCTCTTACCAAAATACAGCCTTCAACTTATAGGATAAATGTTTTACAGCTCAGTGTAAGATACTCAGAATAGCACCTCAGATATCTTGTCAAATTTTAAGCTTCCTGAAAAACAAAACTGATTTGACTTTTTTGATCTTGTAAGATAGTGCTAACTTCCTAGTAGGTATCTAGCAAAATGTTTATTTGGTGAAATGTATTTTCAAAAGTTAAGGAATCTTGTTAGCACTTGATACCTTTAAAATGATAAAAAATTTTGCAAGTGTTTTAGTTTTCTTTGGATATTAGAAAGTCATAGTATAGATTCAGAAAGTTTGTTTCTGACTTGTTAGAGCTTATATACTATAAAATTAATATTCAAATCCCAGGAGGGTACATTTATTTAGTCAGTCAACAAATATTTATTGAGCTATGTGCCAGGCCCTGCTACAATACTGAGGATACGGTATAATTTCATTCAATGACTGTACTGTGGGGATAAACATGCCTCTAATTATTGAGACTTTTAAACTGGACTTCTAGTGCCTCCCTGTGCATCTTTTAGGAAGTTAAAGCCATTTAACTAAGGCAAATGGTGGGAAAAAATTAATCTGTCAAGATGTGATTAAATTGAGTAAGGTGTTCATTTTTTGTGTAGTCATCATTTTTGTGCTTCAGGTATTTATTATAAGTCTTGCTATGTAGTTTTTATTCCCCCCACACCCAAGCATAATTCTCTTGGAATTTTCTAGCTCTTACCAAGTTTTGTTTATTTCTGCAAGATTGTGAAAACAAAACTTTGGGTATTTGTTTCCCATTCAGGAGATCTGGGAGTGACTTCATGTATTTCTTTAACAGTCTTTGATCGTCACCTTTCAATTTAGACTCTAGAGACAGGGAGATTGATGATTTCTCAGCAAAGAAGCTTGTATTTGAGTTGAAAGTTGAAAATGAAGGCAAGGTCTTCATTTAAACTTTAAAATTTCTACACATTTCTTTCAAGTATTAAATTTTTCTTTTGCAGTTATTCTACCTATGGAAATCCAGGCAGCCAAGGCTATGGACAAGCATCACAAGTAGGTTGAAATATAAATTGTATTCTTCATAAGTAGTTATTTTTATCTTAAGTAGGTGATGAAACTTGAGTATTTACCTAAATTTCAGAGCTATTCTGGCTATGGGCAAACGACTGATTCCTCTTATGGACAGAACTACAGCGGTTACTCCAGTTATGGACAAAGTCAGTCAGGTTGGACTAGTTTGTTAAATTTGTTGTTTCAGAGATTGAAAAATCAGAGCCTTCACTAAATGATATACTCATCTAATCTTTAGGTTATTCACAGTCCTATGGTGGTTATGAGAATCAAAAGCAGAGCTCATATAGCCAGCAACCATATAATAACCAGGGACAGCAGCAAAACATGGAATCATCAGGAAGGTAAGGAAATAGTAAAATACTGAGATTGTTTTGGGCAGTGGAAATAACACTGATATTAAACAGATTTAACCAACAAAATCCTAGCTTTAAACTTTTTTTTTTTTTAAAGGAAATTTTAATGGAGTGTGGATTTTACAACTGTATATTATGGAGAATGTGGAAATAGCATTGTCATTTGATTCTTATGATGTATTTGTGAAATCATTGTTTAGCTATAAATTGATGTCCTTAAAAATGTTAGAAAATTTTGGACCTCTGCTTTATCCCTGAGATTAAATAAAAACCTGTCTTTAGAATTAAGACTTCTCAACATCTATTTTTAAATTTCCATTTTATTTTTGAACCATTTGAATATATTAACTTTTCAGGGACAAAAATATTTTTTAAAAGGGTCAAAACTTACGCATATATCAGATACCCTAAAATGTGTTTTCTTTGATATATGTAGGTGAATATTTACTGATAAATTTCAGGTTTTATAAAGTTTTTTTACCTTTCAGATTTAAAGAGCTGGTACTTAATTTTATGCTATTTACTTAATAGCAAGTTACTTTTTAAAAATTGTGCTTTACATTCTGTGAAATGCTTTTGCATTCTCTAATGTGATTGATCTTCAGATACCACTATGAAATAGTGTCAGTGATTCCCATTTTACAGAGGGTAAAGAAATTATTTGGCCTATCAAGTGACGTGGCTAAAAACTGAGGTCTCTAGTGTTTTCTTTCTACAGTGAAGACATTTATTCTAAGTGAAAATTAAATAAAAGCATTGAGGAAAGATTGGTGAGGTCAAATTATCACCCTTACAGATGTGAGAGTGTTTTGAAAAGTAGAAAGTAGAGTACAAATGTAGGGAATAATATCCAGAAGGCATACTACATTAAGAGAAATAACTCTTCAAGCCTTGTTGGTTAGTTTTAAATTTAAGGAGAATCGTTTTATAAATGATGTATTTTTGGAAGCATGACCTATAAATATAGTCTGAAAAGAAATGTTAAGTTTGATTTGACAGCCATTTTAAAGTGCTAGGGTTTGGACTGTGGTTGTGTTGTGCTTTCGACAGGGAGTTAGGGAACATACTGATCTTTTATTAGATTGTTCTGATCCTCTGGTGAAGAATAAAATGTAAACTATTAAGTTATGAGATCTTTTTTGTCCCCCCCCAGCCCATTTTTATAATAAGTAAACCTACTGGAACTCAAATCCAATTAAATGTTGCCTTTTAACATTCCCACCCTGAGAGCATGTAATTAATACAGTAATATTGTTCTGAAGATACTTAGAATTTTCCTTTCAAATCGCTAGAATAAGCAGTCTCATTACCTGATAGAGTTTTTTTCAGATAAAAAAAATTGTGTTACAAAGCAGGTTCTTTTACTGTTTTCTAAAATGTACTATCACTGAAGATGTTTAGAAGACTGTACTATAGGTTCTAAAGATAATTCTAAGAGAAAAGATCTAAAAATATTTTAAGAGAAGACACTTGTTAAACTTCAGTGATATAGAGCCTTTCATTGTAACTATTAAAAGGACTCAGCTCTTGTGGCATGTTTATTAAAGAGTCAGACATATTACTGTACTTTGTAGCATCTTTTACTTTTTTTTTTTTAATTCATAGAGATAGGCCAGGCTCGGTGGCTCACACCTGTAATCCCAGCACTTTGGGAGGCCGAGACGGGTGGATCACGTGAGGTCAGGAGTTAAAGACCAGCCTGACCAACATGGAGAAACCCCGTCTCTACTAAAAATACAAAATTAGCCAGGCGTGGTGGCACATGCCTGTAATCTGAGCTACTCGGGAGGCTGAGGCAGGAGAATTGCTTGAACCCATGAGGTGGAGGTTGCGGTGAGCCACGATCGCGCCATTGCACTCCAGCAGCCTGGGCAACAAGAGTGAACCTCTGTCTCAAAAAAAAAAAAAAAAAAGTTCAAGGAGATAGTAAAAAGCCATAGTAATTTTTTGCTTTACTGCAGTTTTCAAAGATACATTTTTTTTCATAATGTGGCACCTCTTCAATGTTGGCAGAATCGTCTTTCGCAGGGAATTCCAGGAGACTGCAGATAACTAATTACCATGAGAAGGTAGTCATAAATATGGTTAATGTCTCTAACTGGTCAGGACTCTTAACATCAGTTTCAGCCAACTTGCTACAGCAAATGTAATCTTCCTATGAAGTCTCTTAAGTTCTCCATTTCTATTTAGCCAAGGTGGAAGAGCACCTTCCTATGACCAGCCAGACTATGGTCAACAAGATTCATATGACCAGCAGTCAGGCTATGATCAACATCAAGGCTCATATGATGAGCAGTCAAATTATGATCAGCAGCATGATTCCTATAGTCAAAACCAGCAGTCCTATCATTCACAAAGGGAAAACTACAGCCACCACACACAAGGTAAGATTTACTGACCTCTATTATTATTTTTCCCCCTCTCAGAATTATTTGTATGAATTTCTGATTAAAAGAACCACAGAGGATTTCACCTGTTTGTAAAAATTTAGGGTAACCTTGAAGATATGTTCCCTCTCATGGTAATCAAAACTAGTTTATCAGATTTCTACTTCTGAACTTGGAGGCCCTCAGATGGTCATGACTTTTGATGGCTGATTACGTGAATTTCCTTTTTGTCTCAGTGAACTCTGATCCTTGACAATACTGCTGGTACCAGTTCTTTTGGTGTTGGTGTTGTACTTGATTTGGGGTACTTATTTATGTACCTTTAAGGCCTAGTACATGGTTTGGTTCATAGTAGGTGCTCAGTTGAATAATTGTAAGTGTAAGTAAGTGCTTGTTGAATAATTGAATAGTAAATAGTAAGTGCTTGTTGAATAATTGAATGAATAAGTAAATAAGTAAAAGTGGAAGCACATTCACTAAATATCTTCTCTCAGTTTGAAGATTCAGTTATTCCTTGTCCATGCTCAATTTACATTTAAATGTTTCTGAAGTGAAGAAAGTGGTAACTTTTAAGATTGGGGGGCCGGGCGCAGTGGCTCACGCCTGTAATCCCAGCATTTTGGGAGGCCGAGGTGGGCAGATCACGAGGTCAGGAGATCGAGACCATCCTGGCTAACATGGTGAAACCCTGTCTCTACTAAAAATACAAAAAAAAAAAATTAGCCAGGCATGGTGGCGGGCACCTGTAGTCCCAGCTACTCGGGAGGCTGAGGCAGGAGAATGGCGTGAACCTGGGAGGCAGAGCTTGCAGTGAGCCGAGATTGCATCAGTGCACTCCAGCCTGGGCTACAGAGCGAGACTCTTGTCTCCAAAAAAAAAAAAAAAAAAAAAAGATTGGGGTCGTGCTTTTCATCTAAGTTACTAAGGTTCTTGTAGCTAAGATTGTATTTTAACTCATACTGTTCCACATTACTGTTTTGCCATGTCACTTTAGCAGAATGGAATTTGACACAGATACATTACTGTTTTGCCATGTCAGTTTAGCAGAATGGAATTTGACACAGATAAAATTCTCAAAAACATGTAATTCCAGATGATTTTATGATGACTTGCATTTGAGTTGTGTGCACATGTGCCATTTTCTATAAGGATATGTGTGGCCTAAAGAGCCATTTAACATTGTTATTTGAAGCTTTAGAAATGAGAGTGGTTATTTGTGTGTAATATTTTCTTTTTTGTAGATGACCGTCGTGATGTGAGTAGGTATGGAGAAGATAATAGAGGATATGGCGGGTCACAGGGAGGAGGTAGAGGGCGTGGGGGATATGACAAGGATGGAAGAGGTCCTATGACAGGATCAAGGTAAGTATGTAGATAAAGATGCGTACATTTCTTCTTCTTCCTCTTTTTTTTTTTTTTAAGGTGTTACTTGGCTGGATCAATTCCAGCATCTAATTTAGTTAAGAGACTTTAAAAAGGGATTATATATTGGAGAAAAAGGCAGAAATTAAAAGTGTATTTTCAGTCTTAATATCTCACATAAATGACCTTAGAATTGGCTATGTTAGTAGTTAGTTTATGTGGTACATGTTAAACACCAGTAGAGAAACAACTATGGTTGTGATTAAATCACTTGACTTTCCTGCCAGAGCTAGAATCTTAACTCCTTTAAAAGACGACTCTGGGAAATCCAGTGTTTGTATGTAAAAATAAAAGGTAAGTTAATTCTAGATTGAGGGGCAGAGGCTATTTCTTAATCTCCAATCTCCTTGGGAAGGGAAAGTATTAGGAGGCAGTAATGGAGTAGAAAGGTGGGGATGGCAAATAAGAGAAAGATTTAATGTAACAAAACTGTTTTGTCCCTCTTCTTAAGTAAATAATTATTGGAATAATTAGTGTAACATCACATAGTAATGTGTATTTTGTCTTGACTAAGTTGTGTAAAGGAATGTCTTTTTAATTCAGCTTTTCTTTTCTCCATGCTAGTGTTATCAGGTTTTGGTATTTATTTACTTACAGCATATGTTATGAAGCTGGTTTGAAAATTGGTTTTAGATATATCTGCAAGTTTACTACTTTGACTGTAAAAAAAAAAAAATGAAAAAGTAGTTGACATCTGTCCTCAGAAGAAGTTTGCAGGTTGCATATTTGTGTGTAAATACACAGGCTAAAAGGTAATTTATGTTCCTTGGGAATTGAAATGGTCAGTGGCCCGTTACAGAAACTTATCAGTCATATATCAGCACCAGTTCATTCTTTTGCACCTTAGGGACCATCTGTCCCCTGAGGTGACCTGAGAAACAACCAGTTGCCCACAGACTGTTATTTCTTCAAGTGAGCCAGGATTTGATTTCACTGCCTTATATTCTATTTTTAGTGTACAGTGCTTTGATTTTTTGGAAAAACTAAATTTTAAACATATTTGAAAAATGTTATAAGACTTGGACATTAAGTCTGTTGATAGCCAAAGTCAGTTTACCAAAGTAAAACAAATAAATTCTATGCTTCTTCATTGTCAAAGAGCAGTCTGCCATCATGTGGATATAAATGGACTATGTAAAGTGACATGGTGCTTACTCTCTACCTAATAATAGCCTCCCTCCTGTTCCAAACAAGATAACCAACAGGTATATTTAATTTACCAGTTAATATGTTTTGGATAATTGGCTGCCTTGAAATGCTATATGTTTTATAGTACATCATAGCTTTAGTTTTCTTCATAAGGAAATTACAGTTACATCCTAATCGATTATTAAACTATCACTGTGTCTAAGAATGGTGGAAGAAGATAGGGAATAGGTAGGGAAGTCATTATAAATATATTTTCACTGGCCAGGCATGGTGACCCATGCCTGTAATCCCAGCACTTTGGGAGGCCGAGGCGGGCGGATCACGAGGTCAGGAGATGGAGACCATCCTGGCCAACACAGTGAAACCCCGTCTCTACTAAAAATACAAAAAATTAGCCAGACGTGGTGGCAGGCGCCTGTAGTCGTAGTCCGAACTACTCAGGAGGCTGAGGCAGGAGAATGTTGTGAACCCGGGAGGCGGAGCATGCAGTGAGCCGAGATCGTGCCACTGCACTCCAGCCTGGGCGACAGAGCAAGACTTCGTCTCAAAAAAAAAAACATTAAAAAAAAATGTATTTTCATTTGTGACTCATCTTGTAACTAGAGGATCGAAAGGACTTTGAATGATCCTCCTGACAAAGGAGGGAAGCAGTACCTTAATCAACCCTGGGGTCCAATTAAGTACTTTTATAAACCCCTTGCAACATACTTCATATAATTTGTGGCCTAGATACTGACTTATAAACTAAATTTTTTATTTTCCTTTAATACCCCTTAATACAAAATCATATGCAGAAGTCCAATATCTAGTTGGTCCAAATGATGTGCTGATCTGGTTTCAGTGGGGGAAAGGTCGGGTGAGGAAGGGATCTGCAATCTTGCCTTATACTCTGTTATTTGTTGAGATGTTCATGAAAGGCCTTTTTTAGAAATCCGTATGGATGCCGATTACTCTTTATATTGAGTTGGCAAGCTGTGTGAAAGGCCAGATAGTAAATGTTCTGGGTTTGGTGAACCATATGGTTTCTATTGTAACTATTCATCTCTGCCCTTGGAGCACCAGAGCAGCCGTAATTAATATGTAAATGAATAAACAGAGTTGTGTTCCAGTAAAGCTTCATTTATGGATACTGAAATTTAAAGTTCATATAATTTTTTTTTTTTTTTTTGAGATGGAGTCTCGCTCTGTTGCCCAGGCTGGAGTGCAGTGGCACCATCTCAGTTTACTGCAACCTCCACCTCCCAGGTTCAAACAGTTCTCCTGCCTCAGCCTCCTGAGTAGCTGGGACTACAGGCGTGTGCCAGCACACCCGGCTAATTTTTTTTTTTTTTTTTTTTTTAAGTAGTGATGGGGTTTCACCGTGTTAGCTAGGATGGTCTCGATCTCCTGACCTCGTGATCTGCCCGCCTTGGCCTCCCAAGATTACAGGTGTGAGCCACCACGCCTGGCTGAAGTTCATATTATTTTTATGTGTCATAACACATAAAATTATTTTTATGTGTCATAACATCTTTTTAAAGATGTGCTTTTTAGCTTATTTATTGGGATAAAATGTTTTGAATTTGAATATAGATGCCCTGTTTTAAGATTTTTTTTTCCCACACAGTTTTGCATTTAAGTACCAGAATACCCAAACATTTTTCATTAGTCTTCATCAACACTCCCGTTTGTGTTCTCAGTCAAATTAAAAATAGCAATTCTTGGCCGGGTGCGGTGGCTCACACCTGTAATCCCAGCGCTTTGGGAGGCCGAGGCATTTCCACTAAAACTACAAAAAAATTAGCCGGGTGTGGTGGCGGGCTCCTGTAGTCCCAGCTACCCTGGAGGCTGAGGGAGGAGAATGGTGTGAACCCAGGAGGCGGAGCTTGCAGTGAGCTGAGATCGCACCACTGCACTCCAACCTGGGCAACAGAGCAAGACTCCGTCGCAAAAAAAAAAAAAAAAATAGTTCTTTTGGGGGCTGTTTGAAGAATATCTGGCATTAGTTGGGTTTATATTAAAAGAAGAAGGGGCATGGGCCAGGTATGGTGGCTCACGCCTGTAATTCCAGCACTTTGGAGGGCACAGCGGGTGGATCACCTGAGATCAGGAGTTCGAGATCAGCCTGACCAATAGGGTGAAACCCCGTCTCTACTAAAAATACAAAAAATTAGCTGGACACGATGGTGGGTGCCTATAATCCCAGCTACTCGGGAGGCTGAGACAGGAGAATCAGTTGACCTGGGAGTTGGTGGTTGCAGTGAGCTGAGATCACACCATTGCATTCCAGCCTGGGCAACAAGAGTGAAACTCCATCGCAAAAAAAAAAAAGAAGGGGCATAATTTGTGGATGAGGATTGGATATAAGGTAAAGGATGGGACATTCTTGGACTTACAGATGGTGTGATTGCCTGGCTAGAAGAAGAATTCCCGGTCAAAAAGAAACCATCAGCTTTCCAAGTGTGAAAGAGAGATAAATCTGTGAAGATTATAGGGACTACAGGAAACTTAATCTTTTTCTTTGAAAAAGCAATTGTAGCAAAAAAAAAGAAAATTTCTTACTGTCATCTAAA
This sequence comes from Homo sapiens, assembly GCF_000001405.40. Classification (NCBI taxonomy): domain Eukaryota; kingdom Metazoa; phylum Chordata; class Mammalia; order Primates; family Hominidae; genus Homo; species Homo sapiens. The sequence goes on from NC_000017.11 coordinate 35,827,960, forward strand.
ATTGACATGGACATCTTAGTGGACTAGAAGTTAAGGGCATAAATTCTCCCAGTGATTTTTAATTTTAGCATTGTGATTAACACCTTCTAAAATTGCCAGAACTTAATAAATAATTGCTTTTCATTATTAGTATGCCATCAAATTTAGTAGCTGTTTCAGGCTTTAATGTGTCAAGCCTAAAATCCAGATTTTTGAGGATCTTCTCCCTCTTAAAAGAGTATTCAGTTAACTGCCGTAGAAATACACATGTATACAAGGGCACTGTATACATCAGTCTAAAAAATAAAAATATGTATACGTTCTGGTGAGTCTAGCACAGCATTGCCCAATAGAAATACAATGGAGGTCACAAATGTGACCCATATAGTTAATTGTAAATTTTCTAATAGCCACATTAAAAAGAAAACAGCACAAATAAACAAATGAGAAAATCTATTTAACTCAATATATTCAAAATATTTCATCATGCAATCAATATAAAAAATTTCTTTTTGTTGGTCATGATGGCCTGCGCCTGTAATCCTAGCTACTTGTGAGGCTGAGGCAAGAGGATTGCTTGAGGCTAGGAGTTTGTGACTAGATGGGCAATATAGTAAGATGTCATCTTTTAAAAATGAAAAAATTAGCTGGCCACTGTGGCACACGCCTGTAGTCCCAGCTACTTGGGAAGCTGAGGTAGGAGGATTGCTTGAGCCCAGGAGTTCAAGGCTGCAGTGAGCTATGATTGTGCTTATGAATAGCCACTGCACTCCAGTCTGGGCAATAGTGAGTCGGTCAAATTCCATTTCCCCCTCCGCCCCATACCTCTTCAAATGTTTAAAAAAAAAAAAAAAAAAGTACTGTACATTCCTTTTTTCATATTAAAATTTAGAAATCCATTTTGTATTTTGCATTTAGAGCACATCTTAATTTAGACTGGCTACATTTCCAGTGCTCAACAGGCCACATGTAGGTAGTGGATACTGTATTGGACAGTGCAGCTCTAGAATGATAGATTCTTGGCCTCCTGAGATGTTGATAAATGCTGAATCCAGAAAGCCTTTTTACCATGCATGTAAGACATAGGAGGAAATAAAATGTAAATACAGCTGTTATGGAGAATAGTACTTAAATCCATTGAGTCACTTAAATGTGGAATTAATGTTGGTCTTTTCCTCACACTCAGAAAATTGTATTCTGGATTTAGTAGTCTGAAAACCCAAGCACAGCATGGGTTTTTAAGCTAACCTTTCTCCATTTTTAGCCAAGTCCTTTCTCTCTAGTTAGTGAAATTTTCTAAGAATAGAGATTCCTGCATTGTCCTTTTACTTCTTGGCAGTTTTAGTCCATAAATAGATATAGTTAGGTTTTTATTTTATTTTTATTATTTTTTTTTTTATTAAAAGATTTGGAGGCTGGGCGTGGTAGTCATGCCTGTGATCCCAGCACTTTGGGAGGCCGAGACGGGTGGATCACGAGGTCGGGAGATCGAGACCATCCTGGCTAACATGGTGAAACTCCATCTCTACTAAAAATACAAAAAATTAGCCGGGCGTGGTGGCGGGCACTTGTAGTCCCAGCTACTCGGGAGGCTGAGGCAGGAGAATGGCGTGAACCCAGGAGGCGGAGGTTGCAGTGAGCCGAGATCGTGCCACTGTACTCTGGCCTGGGAGACAGAGCGAGACTCCATCTCAAAAAAAAAAAAAAAAAAAAAAAAAGAGAGAGAGAGACCTGGAGTAGAGATTCTGTCAAAGAACTTTTTCTTTCTTGAGAAGCATCTGAAATGGAATCTGTTGTCTCTTCGAAATATGTACTGCTGTAACAGTGAAACAACCCTCAGAGTATGCCTTCGTGTGGGCTGCTCGTTGTGGTTTTGAACTTGGGGGAACTGTCTGTGTTTGGGTCAAGAATATGCAACTGGCTGGGCACATTGGCTCACGCCTGTAATCCCAGCAATTTGGGAGGCTGAGGCAGGTGGATCACCTGAGGTCAGGGCTTCAAGACCAGACTGGCCAACATGGTGAAACCCCGTCTCTACTGAAAATACAAAAATTAGCTGGGCATGGTGGCAGGTGCCTGTAATCCCAGCTACTCGGGAGGCTGACGTGAGAGAATCGCTTGAACCCGGGAGTTGGAGGTTGCAGTGAGCCGAGATTGCACCATTGCACTCCAGCTTGGGCAACAAGAGTGAAACTCTTGTCTCAGAAAAAAAAAAAAAAGTATGCAACTAGCTGGGGGCTGTGACGCGTACCTGTAGTCCCAGCTACTTAGGAGGCTGAGGTGGGAGGATCACTGATGCTCAGGAGTTCGTGACCAGACTAGGCAAAATAGCAAGACACCATCTCAAAAAACAAACAAAAAAACCAGCTAGTTTTCTTATGCAGGGGGTACTCTGCCAATAAAGTTGAGTATGCTTATATTGTGTTTCTGTTAAATATCTCTGCTACTTCAGGAATTCTTTATGTGTAAATGTTTTCTGCTTTTTCTGGGAATTAAAGCAAATTTGTTGTGTCAACATCTTGACTCAGATGTTCAAGTACCTTTGTGTCTTGATTTGCCTTAGCATGTAGAAAAGGGACTTGTAACATTAATGCAGATTTGAAAGAAAGATTGTTAACCTCAGGCACATCTTCTGTTAATATCTAATAGTACTACTTGAAGGTTATTTTCTGTATTTAATAAATTCCTTAAAAAGGATAATTTTCTAATAAGAAGAGAGAAAATGATTGAAACGTTTGAACTTGAAAGAAGGCTTTGCATAAAATTACAGATCATCTAGATCAATGCCTAAACCAAATGTCTAGACATTTTAGACTTAAATGTGCATATGAATTACTTGGGGGATCTTATTAAATGCAGGTTCTTATTCAGTAGGTCTAGGGTGGGGCCTGAGATCCTGCTTTTCTCAGAACCTTCCAGGCTATGCTTACGCTTATATTCCATCATGTTTTGATTAGTAAGGGGACAGACCCTTATTTTGTTAAGGAGATTGAAGCTTATGGAGAACCACTGACATGTCCAGATTTTCAAGATTGATTAGTTATAGTTAAGACTGTACCCTGAGTTTCTTGAAGACTAGTTCTTTTTCCAGTGTACTATGGTATTTCCAAATTTATGGCCATGTGTTGAAATCTTCAGCTGCTTTATTTTCAAAGGAAATGCACAGTAAAGATGACGTTCAAGGCCGGGCGCAGTGACTCATGCCTGTAATCCCAGTGCTTTGGGAGGCCGAGACGGGCGGATCATGAAGTCAGGAGATTGAGACCATCCTGGCTAACACGGTGAAACCCCGTCTCTACTAAAAATACAAAAACAAAAATTAGCCGGGCATGGTGGCGGGCGCCTGTAGTCCCAGCTACTCGGGAGGCTGAGGCAGGAGAATGGCGGGAACCCAGGAGGCGGAGCTTGCAGTGAGCCGAGATCGCGCCACTGCACTCCAGCCTGGGCGACAGAGCAAGACTCCGTCGCAAAAAAAAAAAAAAAGATGATGTTCAAATGTATTATATGGAGGAATAGGAAATCATAAACCTATTTAAATGTCATTTGTTTTATATCCCTTTATTTTTGCCAGGGGTATGTCCTTTTTCTGTTGTTCAAAGTTATATTACTGGCCAGAATGGAAATTATAGGAACTAGCTATGTATGAAATTGCATGTTTTCCATCCATTGTGGCCAGGTTTGGTATTCCCTTAAGATGGCAACAAAGTAAGAGGCATTTCTTCTAGCACTTATTCGTGAACCCAGTGACCTCCAATTTCCCATTTTAAAAGTCATCTTTATCCTCGGAACTTTAACCTACTGGCATAAGAACGTGGGCTTAAGTTCTTTTTTATCACTTTTTGGAGTTAAAAAACCTCTGAGAGGCCGGGCGTGGTGGCTCACACCTGTAATCCCAGCACTTTGGGAGCCTGAGGCGGGCAGATCACGAGGTCAGGAGATCGAGACCATCCTGGCCAACACAGTGAAACCCCGTCTCTACTAAAAATACAAAAAATTAGCCGGGCGTGGTGGCGCCTGCAGTCCCAGCTACTCGGGAGGCTGAGGCAGGAGAATGGCATGAACCCGGGAGGCGGAGCTTGCGGTGAGCCAAGATTGCGCCACTGCACTTCAGCCTGGGCAACAGAGCAAGACTCCGTCTGGGAAAAAACAAACAAAAAAAAACCTCTGAGATACCTTGGTTTCTATTAATAATATTTTCAGCAGTTTAATCTCAACTCTGTTGGCTTCCCTTTCTTAAAGAGTTAGGCAGTGATATACATGTCATTTAGAAGTAAAGGGAGGGCTTTAGTACTGCCTGTTCTGAAGTAGGAGTCTTAGAAATTCAGTGGCAAACTGTATAGGAAGGGCCTGAGTTTCATATTGTCTATATTGCCTTGAAATAGCCTTAGTCTCCTGCTTAAAAAGGCATCCTGGAAATCATATAAAAAGTAACAACAAATTAAAATGCATGTGTCTGTACCTAAGGCAGCTGTAAGTGGAAATATTTTTACCTCATAGTGAAATAGAATGGATGTATTAAGAAGGGAGAATTTTTTTTCAGAGTGTTTTATCTCAGTGTGGCTCAGAAAAGCCATTTATAGGGTAGGGTAATCACTAGAGTTGAGGGTTCCTCCCCCCACCCCCCATAAGATTGGTATCCATAAAGCAGAGATTTCTAAGCAGTGAGAGACTTCAGTATTTTAGATTAGATTCTTGGGTTATAATAGAATAAGATCATTAGTAGTAGAACATCTGGTATCAGAAAACTTGAGTGTTTTTATTGCCATGTTAGCATATGAATCTTAAAGGATTACAGAATTCAGTTAAGAGAAACAAGCTTTTATTGGATGGGTATTTAAAGAGTTTCTTGATAAGAGAGACCTTAGATTTCTTACGTAAAGCCATGTTCACAAGGACCACTGTCCTTGTGATTCTAATTTGCCAGATAAAAGTCTATGTCCTGGCGCAGTGGCTCGTGCCTGTAATCCTGGCATTTTGGGAGGCTGAGGTGGGCGGATTATTTGAGGCCAGGAGCTGGAGATCAACTTAGCCAACATGGTGAAATCTCATCTCTACTAAAAACACAGAAGTTACCTGGGTGTGGCGACACGCATCTGTAATCCCAGCTACTAGGGAGGCTAAGGCAGGAAAATCACTTGAACCTGGGAGGTGGAGGTTGCAGTGAGCCAAGATCCCACCACTGCACTTCAGCCTGGGTGACAGAGCGAGACTCTGTCTCAAAAAAAAAAAAAAGTTGTCCTGTTTGGAATATGTTGCCTGCTGTCTGTAATGTGCACTACTGATAGTGTACAGAGCATGTGGCAGCATGAACCTCCGTAGCTCTGATGTGAAGAGATGTAGTATAGTGGGTATAGAGTAGGAGGGCGGTTTTTAAGTGATGCTCTTTTAGTCTTTTATAAGGGTTTTGAATGATTTGAAATTTTAAGACTGCTTTTATTCAGTCTCAACTTTTGTGTATATTTGTATTTCACTTTTAAAATTCATCTCATAAAATCCACTATTTGGTATCATAGCAGATCCTAATACTCAAGTTTTTATTCTCTCCCGTTCTACCATCAAAATCTTAACCTTGCTTTGTATTCTTCTAGTCTTTTTTCTTTTTCTCATATTTAGAAAATAACCGTTTGGAAAAAATACTTACTCTAGTTTAGTATTTTTCATGCTGTGCCTCCAGCTTTATGTTATGGTTTAATAGTATCCCTTTGGCTTGGGGTTGGGAAGATTTAGAAATAAGAGTATATTAGATATGTAATAAGCTTGAAAAGACATCTTGTGGAAATAGATCCTTGGGAAAACACTTAGATGGAAACAACATTTAGAACTCTGTGAAATGGAATTTACTGAAAACTTAGAGGTGCTACTGTTTTCCTAAGCACTCTACTTGTGACAGTTAAGTGTAGATTGAGCCCAGGGCTCAGCACATTAGAGACTTAAGGAAGAAATCATTTCTTCAATTTTTCCTCTGCAGTGGTGGTGACCGCGGTGGCTTCAAAAATTTTGGTGGTAAGTGCTGAGTATCCCAAAATGTTTCAGTGGAAATGCTATATAAATCTAAAAGCCACCAATATCCCGCAGATGTAGTCAAAAGTCCTTTCTTACTCTGTTGAGGCTGGTGTGTGTTGTGTGCTTTAAAAAAAATTTTATATATATATATATACACATATATATATCAAAGTAAACATTAAAAAGCCAAAGTTGATCTCAAAACAGTCCAATGGGTTTTCTACACAGTGAATTTGCATGAAAGAGTCTGTGGTGACCAATGAATGACACCTTCACTGGATTTTGACAATTTGTTCTTATAAAGGTAGCTGACATGGTGTTTTTAAATTATTAGGGTTGTCCAATCAGCCTTTACAACCAGAGCTTAACAAAAGTGATACTAGCATAATGCTAAAGTGGCAGGTGCTGTCTAGGACAAGTTAAAGGAAATGTTGACATTCATCTTGATTTCCTAAACTTTAAATAAAACATAATTTATATATTTACTTTGTAAATCTGTGATGGTTGACTTTCAAGGATTTTGGAAGTATTGACTTTTCATGCCTTGGTTTATTACTATTTTTTTTGTTAATGATTTTAAATAAATTGCCTTAAATAGCTCTTTTTTCTTTTCTTTTCCCTTAGGTCACAGGGATTATGGACCCAGAACAGATGCTGGTAAGGTTTATGGTGGTTTGTCACTTTGCCATTAAGAAAATGTTAGTTTTTTTTTTGATGGGAAAAGTGTGTGTTTGGAGGGGCTTAGTACAGGAGGAAGATTTAATTTGATAGTGCTGCCAGAACTGGGGAGCTTTATTTCTTTTTTTTTTTTTTTTTTTTTTGAGATGGAGTTTCGCTCTTGTTGCCCAGGCTGGAGTGCAGTGGCACAGTCTTGGCTCACTGCAGCCCCCACCTGCCGGGTTCAAGCAGTTCTCCTGCGTCTGCCTCCCAAGTAGGTGGGACTACAGGTGCGCGCCACCATGCCCTGCTAATTTTTGTATTTTTAGTAGAGGCAGGGTTTCACCATGCTGGCCAGGCTGGTCTTGAACTCCTGACCTCGAGATCCGCCTGTCTCAGCCTCCCACAGTGCTGGGAATACAGGTGTGAGCCACCACGCCCGGCTGGGGAGCTTTATTTCTAAAGAAGTGTCAGAAAAATTCAGGAGTATTGATGGGACAGTTTGCTGGGGAAAATTGCTGTTTGTGCTTTCCCATATTCTTTCTTCCGTGAAGAAATACTTGAATTTTTACTGCTAGTTAGCATTAATTATTTAAAATTATTGCAAATCAGATTAATGAAAGAATTTATATCATTGTGGAATTAGAAGTAGAAAAACTATTTAAGAAAGAAAATCCTACGTTGGATTGGTAGTCTGCTTAAGTGTGCTGACTTAGTGAATTCAAGAAACCTAAATTCATACATGAGAGAATTGTCTTATTTTGGGTAGAGGTCACTAATTTTCTGTGGCTTTTTATTTAAATGAAATTCAAGGCTACAGATTTACCTGTGGAGCCTGTTGAAAGTTATAATTTAGAGGTTAAAAATCTATTTGAGCTAAAAATTTGAAATCAGAACTTTTGTTTTTATTAAGATGCCAAAGTATTCTATGTGGATGGCAATTTCTGAATTATCCCTTCATGGACTGAATTCTTATACATCTTTCTTTCTTTGTTGTACTAATCCAAAAGTGTGCATGTCAGGTAACATGTACAAGGTGCCTCCGCACTCTGGTATATACAAAGCTTATTGCAATGAATGGGAAACCAGCAGTTCTGCTTTGTGGCTTGCTTGGAAGTTCAAAGTATCAGATTTGGAGAATTTTGTACTAGAGAATCTTAAAAATGTTTAACCGTAAAGAATTAGAGTTCTCCAGAGAAAGAAATGCTAAACTAACTCCATCTCTTCATGACGTTTAGCCCTATGTCTGAATCTGAAGAGTGAGGTTTGTAAGATCATCCTTAATTGGTATATAGGTATTTCACATAGTGTGGACTTGATCCACTTTACTTGAAATTTAGTTGTAAGAATTGATCAACCAAATAATTACTGTGAATACTTTGCATGTTTATATAAGGTTGTTCTTATATTGGTCCTTTCCTTTTGGTCATAGAAACAATTGAATATTGGACAATAAATTATTGTCTTTGATTACTGAACAGAATGTCATAACCAAGGAATATGTAAAATTAACCATCACTTTTTTTCTCTTAGATTCAGAATCTGATAATTCAGATAACAACACAATCTTTGTGCAAGGACTTGGGGAGGGTGTGTCTACAGATCAAGTTGGGGAGTTCTTTAAACAAATAGGAATTATCAAGGTGAGTAAAAATATTATATGTTGAAAATCTCATAATTAATGTTCTGATTACAATACATAGACTATGTAGTAAGCCTACATACTTCAGTACGCCTTGTCTCTTAAAATTTTGTGATGCACATGCTCGTTTATGTCTGTAGACGTTTGCTAAATTTGTTGAATATATGAAGATTTTATTCCTTGCTTGTGTTTACCTTTCCACAGTCTACCTGTGCTTTAGCTTCCATCTTAGGACTCTAAAATTAGTCTCTGCTTAGTTCTTATAACTGTGAGAAATAAAGGAGTTGCTGAGAACATTTTATAGACTGAAATATATGCAAGTTCAAGTTGTTAGAGCTCTTGGGAGGGGTTATTTAATGTTTATGCTAGAGATAATACGTTATCTTGTAATTGCTCATTGTTCACTAAAGCGTCTTTTGCACTATTTTCATGCATATGTTTTTCATCTCTTCAACTAGAAAGCAGCCTTAGTAATGTTTAGATAGTAACAGTTTCTTGAAATCAGTTTACATCTGCCCTTGTTTTGGTGTCTGTGGAATTACTCTTTTTTTTTTTTGAGACAGAATCTCACTGTTTCACCAGGCTGGAGTGCAGTGGCGCGATGTCGGCTCACTGCAGCCTCTGCCTTCCGGGTTCAAGTGATTCTCCTGCCTCAGCCTCTTGAGTAGCTGGGACTACAGGCGCTACCACGCCCAGCTAATTTTTGTATTTTTAGTAGAGATGGGGTTTCACTGTGTTGGCCAGGATGGTCTTGATCTCTTGACCTCAAGTGATCCGCCCACCTCGGCCTCCCAAAGTCCCAGGATTACAGTAGGAATGAGCCACCGTGCCCGGCCTACTCACTTTTTTCTTTCTTTGGGAGTTATAATTTGTTAAGGAATTAATTACACACAAAATATGTAATTTTGTTGTTGTCGTTGTTGTCTTGAGACAGGGTCTTGCTTCATTCCATCCAGGCTGGAGTACAGTGGCATAATCATGGGTCACTGCAGCCTCAATCTCCTGGGCTCAAGTGATCCTCCCAACTCAGCCTCCTGAGTAGTTGGAACCACTAATGCATGTCCTCACACCCAGCTAGTTAAAAATTTTTTTTTTTAGAGATGGAGTCTCCCTATTATTGCCCAGGCTGGTCTTGAGCTCCTGGGCTCAAGTGATCCTCCCACCTCAGCCTCCCACCAAGTGCTGGGATTACAGGCGTGATCCACCATGCCTGGCCTAAATTCACAGAGTTTTGAAAAAGTAAAATTCTCCCTTGTCTTATCCCAGCCAAATCCCAGTGTAACGTTTTAGAAGTTACATATTTACGGCCGGGCGTGGTGGCTCACACCTGTAATCCCAGCACTTTGGGAGGCCAAGGCGGGTGGATCACAAGGTCAGGAGATCAAGACCATCCTGGCTAACACGATGAAACCCTGTCTCTACTGAAAATACAAGAAATTAGATGGGCGTGGTGGCATGCGCCTGTAGTCCCAGCTACTTGGGCGGCTGAGGCAGGAGAGTGATGTGAACCTGGGAGGTGAAGGTTGCAGTGAGCCGAGATTGTGCCACTGCACTCCAGCCTGGGCAACAGAGCGAGACTCCACCTCAAAAAAAAGTTACGTATTTACATGAAGCATTATCTACATTTAATTTCTGTGGATTTAAAGAAATTATAAACTGGATGTGGTGGCTGATTCCTGTAATCAGCACTTAATCACAGCACTTTGGGAGGCTGAGGCAGGAGGATCGCTTGAGGCCAAGGGTTTGAGACCAGCCTGAGCCATATAGCAAGACCCCATCTCTACAACAACAAAAAAGCCGGGCGTGGTGGCACTTGCTTGTAGTCCCAGCTACTCGGGAGGCTGAGGTGGGAGGATCACTTAAGTCCAGGAATTTGAGGCTACATTGAGTATGATCGTGCCACTGCATTCCAACCTGGGTGACAGAGTGAAACCCTGTCTCAATTAAAAAAAATTATACATAGATAAAACAGTATACTATATCATTTTTATAGCTTGGTTTTCACTTAGTGTAGCTTAGAGAGTTATGCTTGTCTAAACCTACAGGTAACTTATTAGGTGCATAGTATTTTATAGTATGAATGTGTGAATTCCTTGTAAAAAAAATAAATCTTTGATTATCTAAATGATACATGATTACTTATTTTAAAAATGCTAACACCAAGTGTTTCTGTTTTTCCTCAGACAAATAAGAAGACCGGAAAACCAATGATAAATCTTTATACAGACAAGGACACAGGAAAGCCAAAGGGGGAGGCAACAGTGTCATTTGATGACCCTCCTTCAGCTAAGGCAGCCATTGACTGGTTTGATGGTATGCCTCATTCGTATAGTTTTCAGCATGAAGTTGGATAAATGTTTTCTAGTCTGAAAGTGAGAATATGCTCTGGGTGACAGTGATTATATTCATGTTTACTTTTGCAGATATTAAGAATACAGGTCAGAATTTTTATGTACCTTTAGAAATGAGATGAGCTCTATCGTTGTTGGTCTAGCATATTTCGTTATATCATGCCTTGTGCATGAGGCTACCCTGATACAGATGTAGAGAGTTGGCCTGGTTGACAGTATGTTATTTTTTCTTTTTAAAAAAATAAATTTAAAAGGTACAGAGATGGCATTTTGTTACATGGATATATTGCATAGTGGTAAAGTCTGGGGTTTTCCTGTATCTATCACTTGAATAATGTACATTTTACCCATTAAGTGATTTCTCATCCCCTGACTTTATAGTTTGAAATTTAGGCCAGGTGGCATTGCTTATGCCTATAATCCCAGTGCTTTGGGAGGCTGAGGCAGGAGGATCAGTTCAGCTCAGGAGTTGGAGACCAGCCTGGGCAACATAGAGCTTGCCTCTACTAAAACAAAAAAAAAATTTTTTTTTTTTTTAAATAACCTGGACGTGGTGGTGTGCAGCTGTGGTCCCAGTTACTTAGGAGTCTGAGGTGGGAGGATCACTTGGGCCCAGGAAGTCGTGGCTGCAGTGAGCTGTGATTGAGTCACTGTGTTCCAGCCTGGGCAACAGAGCGAGAACCTGTCTCCAAAAAAAAAAACCCTATAAATAAATAAAGTAAAATTTAGGCTAATTTCCCTTCAAATATAAAGTTAATACATACTTAGAAGAAATAGACTTTTTTTTTTTTTTTTTTTTTTTTTTTTTGAGACGGAGTCTCGCTTTGTCTCCCGGGCTGGAGTGCAGTGGCGCAATCTCGGCTCACTGCAGGCTCCGCCTCCCGGGTTCACACCATTCTCCTGCCTCAGCCTCCCCAGTAGCTGGGACTACAGGCGCCCGCCACCACGCCCTGCTAATTTTTTTGTATTTTTAGTAGAGACAGGGTTTCACCATGTTAGCCAGGATGGTCTCGATCTCCTGACCTTGTGATCCGCCCACCTCGGCCTCCCAAAGTGCTGGGATTACAGGCGTGAGCCACCGCACCCGGCCGAGATGCTTTTTTTAACAGAAAGTAGAAGAAATGAGTAAAACATCTCTATAGCCCTCTACTCAAAGGTAGCCACTGATAATATTTCTTAATAATTTTCCTTCTGGTGTTTTAAGATGTATCTTGTAATACTCCAAATAGAGTTTTGTCTTACGGTATTTTTCATTTAACATTTAAAGGTAGTCATTTCCCCATGTTACAAATTCATCATTTTTGTTGCACCCTAATTTAACAGTAACTAACACTTACTGCATGTTTACTGAGGTTTATGAGCTAAGCACAACTTTAAGAGCCTTACACGCATTAACTCAATTTAATCTTCATAATAATCTTATGAGACATATGCCCTGTTACTCCCGTTTTACAGAGAGTGAAACTGATGCATAGAGAAACTAAGTAATTTCCAGGATCATAGAGTAAGTCGCAGAGTCAGGATTCAAACTCAGCCGTGCTGGATCTACTCTTTCCAAAGTACTTAACTATGCTGGATTGACAAACACTTGCAGTTCCTTTCAGTTTCAAGATTATTGTACCTCCATCTTCCAAAAACATAATTGCGTTATTTTCCTTTTTTTTTTTTTTTTTTTTTTGAGACTGAGTCTTGCTCTGTTGCTCAGGCTGGAGTGCAGTGGCGCAATCTCGGCTCACTTGAACCTCCGCCTCCTGGGTTCACGCCATTCTCCTGCCTCAGCCTCCCGAGTAGCTGGGACTACAGGTACATGCCACCACGCCCGGCTAATTTTTTATATTTTTAGCAGAGACAGGGGTTTCACTGTGTTAGCCAGGATGGTCTCCATCTCCTGACCTCGTGATCCACCCGCCTCAGCCTCCCAAAGTGCTGGGATTACAGGCGCTCACCACCGCACTGGGCCAGCTCTTTTACTTCTTTAAAGATGAGATTGTAGGCCAGGCGTGGTGGCTCATGCCTGTAATCCCAGCACTTTGGGAGGCTGAGGCAGGTGGATCACAAGGTCAGGAGTTCAAGATCAGCCTGGCCAACATGGTGAAATCCCATCTCTACTAAAAATACAAAAATCAGCCAGGCGCGGTGGTGAGCACCTGTAATCCCAGCTACTCAGGAGGCTGAGGCAGGAGACTTGCTTGAACCCGGGAGTTGGAGGTTGCAGTGAGCCGAGATCACGCCACTGTACTCCAGCCTGGGTGACGCACAGCAAGACTCCGTCAAAAAAAAAAATGAAATTGTAGTACCCTGTCTGTCCCCGTCTCTGTATTCTTTACTTTTTTAGACTAATTTGTCAGACTTCATCACCTTGCTCTTGAAGGCTAAGTCCATTCTTTCTTACTTTGCTGCTTTCATAAGAATGAGAGAAATGAATCATGAAGCTATGTCTTTTGCATATGGTATATTCAGAAATTATAGTGACTTTTGCCCATAGGGCATATGAGCCTTTTAAACCTAACTCCATAGTTCAAATCTTGCCAATTCTTATTTACTACTATTTTTTAAAAAGTTACCAATTGTTATATTACTTTGGAAATGATAAAAAAAATTTCAAATGGTACCAAGGGCATATGGTAAAATATGAGTTTCTTTTTCACCTTTGAATCCCAGTGATCTTGTGTCCCCTAGTAAGCACAGTAGGCAATGCATATAAGCATATGTGTAGATAAATACGTACATGTTACTGCACTTGCGCACGTATTCATTCCCTTAAATAAACAAATGGTACCATACTTCACATATTCTACAGCTGGCTTTTTTTCCCATGTAAAAATATTAGATACAGGTTTTAGTTTTTTTTTCCCCATGGGAACAGGTAGACATGTGCACCTGACTCTTTTTTTTTTTTGACTTGCTGGGCTTAGGTGATCCTCCTACCTTAGCCTCCCAAGTAGCTAGGACCACAGGTGCCACCACACCCAGTTAATTTTTTTGTATTTTTTGTAGAGACAGGGTTTCCCCATGTTGCCCAGGCTGGTCCCAAACTCCTGAGCCCCAAGCTTTCCTTGGCCTCCCACAGTGCTGTGATTGCAAGCTTGAGTCATCACGCCCAGCTTTTTTTTTTTTTTTTTTGGAGAGAGAGTATCACACTGTCTTCCAGGCTAGTACACAGTGGCACGAAGATAGCTCACTGCAGCCTTGAATTCCCAGGCTCAAGTAATCCTCCTGCCTCAGCCTTCTGAGTAGCTAGGACTACAGGCGCATGCCACCATGCCTAGCTAATTAAAAAAATTTTTTCAGAGAAAGGGTCTCATTACGTTCCTCAGGCTTGTCTCAAACTCTTGGCCTCAAGTGAGGCTTCTATCTCAGCCTCCAAAAGTGCTGAGATTACAGATATAAGCCACTGCACCTGGCCTTTTTCTCCACCCCTGACACCATCTCCTTCCCCAGGCTGGTCTCGTGCTCCTGGACTCAAGTGATCTCCCACCTCAGCCTCCTGAGTAGCTGGGAGCTGGTGCTACAGACACATACCACTCCACCTTGTTTTTTGTTTTTGTTTTTTTTTTAAGCTTAGTAAGAAGTGACTGTCTCCCAGTGACAGATATGCTCTTTTCAGTAGATAATGTCACTTTTAGCACTGTTATCTTGACTCTTTGCATTTGAATTTCTGTGAGGACATGTCAGTTACTCCTCTGAAACTAAAGATTTCCAAGACTTTTTCATTTTTGTTGACAGGTGGAGGTATAGAGTAGCATTGCTTCAAAGCTGATTTCTTTTTTCTTAGGAAAAGAATTCCATGGCAACATCATTAAAGTGTCCTTTGCCACTAGAAGACCTGAATTCATGAGAGGAGGTGGAAGTGGAGGTGGGCGGCGAGGTAAGATCCTTGCTGCGTACAGTCCTGGATACTATCCAAGGGTTTAAGTTTGAGTTCATACTCTGTTTCTATTTGTGTGAACTTGCTACTGCTTTTTCTCTCGCTAGGTCTTTTTCCCTCTATCTTAAAATGAGTTCAGGTACTGAATATATTAGGTAAATGAGATATCGTAATAGCTAAGAAAGTAGTGGGAAATGGTTGTAGAAATCCCTTTGGAAAGCTTTATTGTGATTTGCTGTTCACTTGGAAATCAGGAGGCAATTTTTTTTTTTTGGTTTTTGTGTTTCTTTTGAGATGGTGTCTCACTCTGTTGCTCAGGCTGGAGTGGAGTGGCGTGATCTCGGCTCACCACAACCTCCGCCTCCCGGGTTCAAGTGATTCTCCTGCCTCAGCCTCCCAACTAGCTGGGACTACAGGCGTGCGCCACCATGTCCAGCTAATTTTTGTATTTTTAATAGAGATGATTTCACTATGTTGGCCAGGCTGGTCTCAAACTCCTGACCTCATGATCCAGCCACCTTGGCCTTCCAAAGTGCTGGGATTGCAGGCATGAGCCACCGTGCTTGGCGAGGCAATTGTTTTAATGATACCTAATTAGGTAATTAATCTGACCAGTTTTTAAGCTGCCTGATACAGTTACTGCCAGCTTTTTTTTTATTTTTTATTTATTTATTTATTTTTGAGACAGAGTTTCGCTCTTGTTGCCCAGGCTGGAGTACAATGGCGCGTTCTTGGCTCACCGCAACCTCTCCCTCCCGGGTTCAAGTGATTCGCCTGCCTCAGCGTCCCAAGTAGCTGGGATTACAGGCATGCGCCACCATGCCCAGTTAATTTTGTATTTTTAGTAGAGATGGGGTTTCTCCCATGTTGGTCAGGCTGGTCTCGAACTCCCGACCTGAGATGATCTGCTTGCCTTGGCCTCCCAAAGTGCTTGGATTACAGGTGTGAGCCACTGCACCCAGCCCAGCTTCTTTATTTCTATTGGATTCATATTCTTGTCTTTTTTCTTTTTCTGTTTTGTGGGTGGATGTTACTGTGGCCTTTGCATTCATATTCTTACATTTGGAGTTTTTGTCTTCTCACCTAATCTTCTTCATGGAGATTCTCAAACTAAGTAGGGTATAGGTTAGGCATCCTAAGTTTGAAAATCTGAAATTGGAAATGCTCTGGAATCCAAAACTTTGAGCACCGACATAATGCTCAAAGGAAATGGTCATGGTCATTGAAGCATTTCAGGTTTTGGGTTTTTGGATTTGGGCTGCTCAACTCGCAAGTATAAGGCAAATATTTCAAAATCTGAAAAATCCAAAATCAGAGACACTTTTGGTCCCAAGTATTTGGGGGAAGGGATACTCAACCTGTATTACAGAAAATGGACTTTGAAGTTTTCTAGTGCATTATTTGCACTGTGTTGTGTGCCTAGGGTCTGTTTTCAAGGTCCTCTGTTTACTAAGTACAAGACCCAAATCAAAGAATTACAAAGTCCTGGTATAAGGGGTTAATTTGCAGAGTGCTGCCTAAGTATTGATGGGTATCTACTCTTATGTTATCTGATGCTTTTCTTCTGTTTTGTTAATATCTGCTGCTGATTTTTCTCCCCTGGCCCCATCCCCCTAGGCCGTGGAGGATATAGAGGTCGTGGAGGCTTTCAAGGGAGAGGTGGAGACCCCAAAAGTGGGGATTGGGTTTGCCCTAATCCGTAAGTGTCTTGTTTACTTTGGTGAGAGTAGGGGTTGGGATTGGGGCTGTGGAGGATACAGAAAGGGGTTCTGAGTCCATTAGAAACTATATAGGAGCATTATATTTTCCTCCTTTCTTAGGTCATGCGGAAATATGAACTTTGCTCGAAGGAATTCCTGCAATCAGTGCAATGAGCCTAGACCAGAGGACTCTCGTCCCTCAGGAGGAGGTGGGTCAGCCTTTTAATAGCATCTGCATCGTGCTTATCTTCTGACTAGCATTAAGGGGGCTTTACGTTGTTTCTGCTGGCCTCATTGTTTGCATTTCTACCTTGCAGATTTCCGGGGGAGAGGCTACGGTGGAGAGAGGGGCTACAGAGGTCGTGGGGGCAGAGGTGGAGACCGAGGCGGCTATGGTGGAGACAGAAGTGGGGGTGGCTATGGTGGAGACAGAAGCAGCGGTGGTGGCTACAGCGGAGATAGAAGTGGGGGCGGCTATGGTGGAGACAGAAGTGGGGGTGGCTATGGTGGGGACAGAGGCGGCGGCTATGGTGGGGACAGAGGAGGCGGCTATGGAGGAGACCGAGGAGGTGGCTATGGAGGAGATCGAGGTGGCTATGGAGGAGACCGAGGTGGAGGCTATGGTGGAGACCGAGGAGGCTATGGAGGAGATCGAGGAGGTTACGGAGGAGATCGAGGAGGTTATGGAGGAGATCGAGGAGGCTATGGAGGAGACAGAAGCCGGGGGGGCTATGGAGGAGACCGTGGTGGTGGCAGTGGCTACGGTGGAGACCGAAGTGGAGGCTATGGAGGAGACAGGAGTGGTGGCGGCTATGGAGGAGACCGAGGTGGGGGCTACGGAGGAGACCGAGGTGGCTATGGAGGCAAAATGGGAGGAAGGTGAGTATTAGAATGTGTTTATTAACCTTTTTACCTCACTGCACCTAGATTGGGGGATTTGAACCACATTTTAACAATTTTTTGGAACTTGAATTTCCCATTGCCAGTTCTCTCAGGATGGAGAAGATGATTTAGTTTCCTGCTTAGCAATTTCTAAAATTTTGTTTTGGAACTTTTTATTTTTTAACTTTAATTTTTATTTTTTAGAGACAATAAAAATTAAATTTAGTGACAGAGACAGGGTCTTGCTCTGTCATCCAGGCTAGAGTGCAGTGGTATGATCATAGTTCATTGTAACCTCAAACTCTTAGACTCAGGCAACACTCCTGCCTCAGTCTCCCAAGTAGCTGGAACTATAGGTGTGTGCCACCACACCTCGCCAATTTTTTTTATTTTCTGTAGAGACAGGGTCTCACTATGTTGCCCAGGCTGGTCTCAAACTCCTGGCCTCAAGCATTCCTCCTGTCTTGGCCTCCCAAAGTGTTTGGATTACAGATGTGAGCCACAGCACCTGCTGGAAATTCTTTGCAGTGGCGCAGTCTCGGCTCACTGCAAGCCCCGCCTCCTGGGTTCACGCCATTCTGCCTCAGCCTCCCAAGTAGCTGGGACTATGGGCGCCCGCCACCACGCCCGGCTAATTTTTTGTATTTTTAGTAGAGACGGGGTTTCACCATGTTAGACCTCGTGATCCACCCGCCTCGGCCTCCCAAAGTGGTGGGATTACAGGCGTGAGCCACTGTGCCTGTCCACCTGCTGGAAATTCTTATTCATAAATCTTTATTTGTTTCGGTGTATCTGTGTATTATTTTTTTCTCATAAAGATAATTGAGATTGAGAGATAATAACTTGAAACTGTGTAAATCAAGAGTTCCTAATCTAAGTGAAGGAACATACCTTTCATAGGGTGGTTCTTTTTCAGATCATATATACTACCCTGCAGTTGTTTTTCTGGAGATACTGATAACTTTTCCAGATGAAAACCACTGATGGGAATGTCTTGTGCACACGAATGGTGTAGAGGCAGAAGAAGACCAATGATAGAAAGTAACTTCAATTATTATACTAAGGACCTGTATGCCAGCGGCAATATAAGGCAGTGAGAATTAGTATAGAATATGGTTAAGAGCATAAAGTTGGGAAGCAGACTGTCTGGGTTTCAATCCTAACTCTACCACTTATTAGCTGTGTGATCTTAGGAAAGTTACTTAATCCTTTGGAGTGTCAGTATTCTTATCTGTAAAATGGGGCTAATAAGACGTCCTTTTTAGACTTGTATTAGATTACGTTGTACTAGTTGCTGGCCCAGAGTAAGCACTATATAATTTTTAGCTATTAGTAATTATGAGTAACCTAATTACCATCTATTGAACACTGCTTACTGTATGGCCAATACTGTAAAGTGTTCTTATATTCTTTAGTTCTAGTCCTTCTGTCATTCCTATGAAGTAGGTATACTTCCCATTTTACAGAGTCAGTCATTTAGTGTAACTTTTCCAAGGTCACATAGTAAGTGGCAGATCCAGAATTCATACATGTAAGTGCTTGCTCATTCCACTATGCCACTCTCCTATTTAGAGTGCTGGAACTGGGACAGTTTCTGATCTTCTGAAATATTTGTGGTTTGGAGTTTTAAGTGGAAAATTTTTAAGAGAGTGAAGCAAAGCTTCTTCTAGGAACTTTGTGAATCTTAAAGCTGGTAAATTAGACATTTAAGTATCTTCTAGGAGTACAGAAATAAATGAGGCATGGTGTCATTCTTTAGAAATTGTCTAGCTGATGCCAATCACTAGTACCCTGAAGAAGTGTCTAATGCTCCCCCTTCGTAGAAAATTAGAATTTAGTCCGGCTCTTTATTTTTCATTCCTAGAAACGACTACAGAAATGATCAGCGCAACCGACCATACTGATGACTGTTTTGAATGTTCCTTTGTCTCTGACATGATCCATAGTGAAATTGCCAGAGTTTTGCCTGCTGCTTTCCTCGTGGCCTCTTCTTGGGTAGTGAAATTAAGTGACATTTGGATTTTTATTTGGGTGGGAGGGCTGGGACAGTTTTTCTTCTAGAAATGTCTGTTGAGATTTCCCCCTTTAGTTTCCAACCTTCTCCCCAACCCTTGGAGCTAAATGCGTTGTAAAATATTGCCAAAATGAAAAGTGTTTTGTAATACTGCAATAAAGGCTGCTTGTTTTTGTGGACTTTTGTACATACTAGTGCATTGTTCTGTCACACTCAGGACTCAGTTACATTAGACTCTAATCCTAAAGAATTAGGAAATGAATTATATACTTCAGTAAATTAAAATGTTACTTTAAACAATATTTATTGAGCTCCTACTGTGTTTAGTGGTTCCCAGGAATGACAAGTCAGAATCACCTGAAGTTTGTTAAAATTAGATTCCTAGGTTGTTAAATTTAGATTCCTAGATTCCCAGCCCTCTAGGTCTGCTGGATCAGAGCTCAATGAGGTATGGGGAGTTAGGGCTGGAAATACTTATTTAGCTCAAGTTTACCAGGTGATTTTGATATAGTTATTTAGTATCACTTGACAACGATTTATTTAGGGGAGTGTTTTAGATGCTGGGAATATGAAGTTCCAAGGAAAAGAAAGGATTTACAAGCCAGGGTTAAGATGGCAACATATGTATGTTATTTGCTGTTTATTAGAGAACTATTTATTCTACTCTTAACTATGGGTAAGGCACTGGATCAGATTCTAGATATGTTGCTGACCAAGTAAACAGAAAGCATAGTCGATAAGTGCACCAGTAACAAGTTCAAGGTGCTTAGAGGGCTGATTTGAAGGACACTAAATTTAGTCACATGGGAGTAGGGAAAGGCGAATGTGGAGGGAAGACTAGGAGTTCACTAAGTACAGAGGCTGAGAAAATAGTGTTCACTAAGTACAGAGGCAAGAAGATAGTGTTCCCAGAAGGAAATGACATGAACAAATCAGGAGCTAAGACAGTGGGGAGCAGGATCTGCACTTGAGGAGAATTGTATGTAGTTCTTTGTGACTGAAGGGAAGAGTTCAAGGGTGGTCACGCAAAAGAAAAGATTGGAGAGGTAAACAAGCTCTGTGACAAGGTCCTTGCATTTCACTTTTTACCTCCCTCCAAACAGGGAGTCATTAAAAGATGGTAAATGGGTGTGGCATGATCTGATTTGAGTGGCATCGGATGATGATTATGACTGCCTTGTGGGAAGGCTGGACTGGAGACAGCCAGGTAAGGGATTATATTGGCCTTTGAGGCTCAGATAGTGACTAGAGGGAAGGAGATAACTAGATTTGAAAAATCAAGAGGGAAATTTGACAGGATTTAGTTTGATGTCAGAAATAGCGGAGAAGGAAGAGTCTGGTTTCTGGCCTGCGTGATTGGGTAGATATGTTGTTCATTAGGGAAGGAACAGCTTTGCAGGCAAGATGGGAATTAATTCTGTTTTGAATGTGTTGAGTTCAGAGTGCTCATGAAACTTCTAGGTAGAGACATAATTCTGCAGCTCAGAAAGTAGCATTTAATGCCATGTTCCCCTGATTATCTGCCTTACTGAATTACATGTCTGCCTTCTCAACTTGACCTCTACATGTTGGAAGTTTCTCGGGGCTTTTTCTAAGCCCCTTTCTCTTAATCACTTTTATCCTGGGCAAGCTTATCCAGGATATGGCTTTAAATATCATCTAATATGGTGATGCCTACCAAATTTACATCTCCAGTCCTGAGTTCTCCCCTCCCAGTTGCCTACTTGACCTTTGCAGTTGGATGTAAAATAATTGTGTTTAAAAAAATGTGGACTGAATAGAACTTTTGAGCTTCCCTTCCAAATGTTTCTTCCTAGTGTTCCTAACCTCCAAAACACATCTGTGAATGAGACCTGGGCTTTTTTTTTTTTTTTTTTTTTGAAACACAGTCTTGCACTGTCACCTGGGCTGGAGTGCAGTAGCACGATCTTGGCTCACTGCAACCTCCGCCTCCTGGGTTCAGGTGATTCTCCTGCCTCAGCCTCCCAAGTAACTGGAACTACAGGCACCTACCACCAGGCCCAGCTAATTTTTTGTATTTTTAGCGGTTCCGCTATGTTGGCCAAGCTGGTCTCGAACTCCTGACCTCATGTTCCGCCCGCATCGGCCTCCCAGAGTGCTGGGATTACAGGCGTGAGCCACTGTGCCCGGAGGCTTGGGCATGTTTTAAAAGAGCCCCAGGTGATTCTAGTTTTTGGAGACAATATATGGAAAGAGAAGAGCCTAGGAGGAAACTTGGAGAAATACTGACATTTAACAGATGAGCAGAAGAGGATCCTAAAACAGACTAGAATGGGAATGGCCAGTGAGGCGTGGTCAGTGGAACCCAAAGGAAGAATGAATTTTAGGAAAGGAGAAGCTAATAGTATCAAGTACTTAAGCCAGGCTACCTCATGTAAAGGATAGAAGGCATTCATTACATTGAGCAACATAGTTACACATTATTTTAGCGCAGGGTTTGATACTGTTGATATTTTGGGTTGGAAAATGCCCTGTGGGATGCTGCCCTGTGCGTTGTAGGATGTTTAATAGCATCCCTGGCCTCTACCTACTGGATGCCAGTAGCAGCCCTTACCTCTCCATGTTGTGACAACTAAAAAATGGCTTCAGATGGCCACTAGGGGGCAAAATTGCTCCCTGTTGAGAACCACTGCCTTAGCAAAAGCAATTTGGGCAGACAATTGAATTCTGAACTCAAACTGCAGTGGGATAATAGAAATGCATAATAGAAAGTTAATAAAAATTGGGGAAATGGATACGGGGAATGTGGACAAAGAAATTTGATTATGAAGGGTAGAGGAGGCATGATGTGAGAGGAGGAGGTAGCTAGATGGGGATACTTGGCTTGTGGAAGGTTATTTTTAAGATGGTGAGAATTGAGCATGTTTATACATGAATAATTGATGTTCAAGTCTCTTGAAGGGGTGGCGTCTAGAAGGTCGGTGAAGGATTTGCCTTAGAAGAAGAGAATGCCTCTTGCATTGCAGTTGGAGGTAAGAATAGGTGTGGATGCTGATAGTAGTAAAAACGACTAACATTAATTGGGAGCTTACTGTGTGCCAGGCACTGTTATAAGCAGTCTATGTGTGTTATCTCATTTAACTCACAACAATCCTTTGAAGCTAGGAGATACCGGAAATACTTCACAGAAGAGGTAGATGGTGTAAATGATTTTGAATGCCATTGGGAAGGGGCTTTTTAGGGGGTACAGTAAGGAACAGAGGCACTGAGAGATTGAGCAACTTGCCCAGATCAAATCTTTAGTAAGTGGCAGAGCCAGGATTCTAACCTAGGCATCTGCCTTAGAGCCTGTACTCTTACCTACTCTCGTGCTATAAACAAGGATGCGTATAGCCGAGGTGGCAGGAGGAAGTTGAGGTAATTCCATCTGATGTCTTTTTGTTTTCCTGATGAGAAAGTATAATAGTCTGCAGAGTTTGGGGAAGTAATATAATAGAAGGGTTTTTTTTTTTGTTTTGTTTTATTTTTTTGAGATGGAGTCTTGCTCTGTCGCCCAGGCTGGAGTGCAGTGGCGCGAACTCGGCTCACTGCAAGCTCCGCCTCCCGGGTTCACGCCATTCTCCTGCCTCAACCCCTGAGAAGCTGAGAATATAGGTGCCCGCCACCATGCCCGGCTAGTTTTTTGTATTTTTAGTAGAGACAGGGTTTCACCGTGTTAGCCAGGATGGTCTCAAATCTCCTGACCTTGTGATCTGCCCGCCTCGGCCTCCTAAAATGCTGGGATTACAGGCATGAGCCACCACACCCGGCCGAAAGTTTTAAGAGATTGTAGGATATGTGAGGTTAGGAGAGAAGGCTTGACTTATAACCACTGTGGGGATCAGGGAAGTGTGTGCCTAGGAACCCATAAATCTGCCAGGTGACAATAAGGGCTCAGTTAAAGTAGGAGGTAAGCAGGCCAGGCGCGGTGGCTCACGCCTGTAATCCCAGCACTTTGGGAGGCTGAGGTGGGCTGATCACGAGGTCAGGAGATTGAGACCATCCTGGCTAATACGGTGAAACCCCGTCTCTACTAAAAATACAAAAAATTAGCCAGGCATGGTGGCGGGCGCCTGTGGTCCCAGCTACTCGTGAGGCTGAGGCAAGAGAATGGCGCGAACCCAGGAGGTAGAGCTTGCAGTGAGCCAAGATCGCGCCACTGTACTCTAGCCTGGGCGACAGAGTCAGACTCCTCAAAAAAAAAAAAAAAAAAAAGGCAAGTATTTGGGGGTTCCAGTCTGTATGGATATGTGATTTTTCAACAGCTTTGATAGCAACGTGGTTATAGGGGCAGAGGCAGTTTGATTTAGAGTAGGGGTTTTACTGATCAGAGATGATCAGAGATGACAAAAGTGAGGGTAGTGATTAATGGATGGGATCCAGGTTGAGTAAGAAAAAAAGAGGGAGGATGGAAGGAAGTCAGGAGCTTAGTGTTGGTGATGAGATTCAAAGAACTTGTGTGGATAATAAGAGCTGCACAGATTGAAGGTTGGGTCAGAAAGTGAGAAGTGAACATTTTGGAGATAGAGCAATTCCTAGGGATGACAAAGGTTAGGTGTAACGTTGGAAGTGGGTAGCTGAAGTGAATGGAAGGGAAATGTCTTTGTAATTGAGATGAAGGACTGAGGGGCTGGAGTATTGAATGTTTGTCCAAAGGGATGCCATCAGAGAGGTGACAAAGAGTCAGGCAATGAATGAGAGGAAATGGAGAAATGGACCAGTGGGTAATTGCTGGTTGGTGAGCAGGATCCTCAGAGAAACACTGATTTTCTTTTTCTTTTCTTTTCTTTTTTTTTTTTTAAGATGGAGTCTCTATTGTCCAGGCTGGAGTGCAGTGGCACCTTCTGGGTTCACTGCAACTTCTACCTCCTGGGTTCAAGCGATTCTCCTGCTTCAGCCTCCCAAGTAGCTGGGATTACAAGTGCCTCCCACTGCACCCAGCTAATTTTTGTATTTTTATTAGAGATGGGATTTTGTTATGTTGGCTGGTCTCAAATTCCTGACCTCAGGTGATCCACCCACCTCGGCCTTCCAAAGTGCTGGGATTACAGGTGTGCGCCACCATGCCCAGCAGATTTTTCTTTTTATTTTCTTCATTTTTTATTTTTGAGACAGAGTTTCACTCTCGTCCAGGCTGAAGTGCAATGGCATGATCTTGCCTCACTGCAACCTCCCCCTCCCGGGTTCAAATGATCCTCCTGCCTCAGCCTCCCAAGTAGCTGGGATTACAAATGTGTTCCACCACATCCAGCTAATTTTTGTATTTTTAGTAGAGACGGGGTTTCACCATGTTGGCCAGGCTGGTTTTGAACTCCTCACCTCAAGTGATCCTTCTGCCTCGACCTCTTAAAGTGCTGGGATTACAGGCGTGAGCCACCACGCCTGGCTGAAACACTGATTTTTATATAAATGTGCAAAACAGTGGTGAGCCACCACGCCTGGCTGAAACACTGATTTTTATATAAATGTGCAAAACAGTGGTGATATTGGGAGGGATTTAGGAGAATCAGCAACACCTGAGCGATTTCAGAAAGGGGCCCAGTCAATAGCCAGTTTTCAGTTACAGCCTGAAAGATAGATGAGAAGGTTTGAGGGAGAGAGTGGAGGGTGTGAATGCTTTTTGTTTGCCATCAGAAGAAGCATCCAGAGATCCCATTAGAAAGGTTTGGGTTAGAGGAGAGAAAAGAGAGGGACTTACATTTTGAATAGTGTCTAAGGATCAGTCCCAGTAACTGAGACCAGTGGGTGTCTTTGGACTATGAGAGAAGCCAGCGACTGCTTGGATAAAGTAGACTTCTAAGAGTGTTTGATCTAGGTAGCTTTGGTACTGGGAGGGCTCTCGTACATTGGTGGTGTACCAGATGGTGACTGCTCTGTGAAAACCTTTATGCCCCTCACTGCCATCTTGTCTTCTGGTGGGGACTGGTGAAATTAGGATTGAGGTGCTACTAGGCAGATATTTGTATCTGGTTGAATAATAAGACGTCCTCTGGAAATACCTAAAAATATGGAGGTGGAGTGGTTGGGGATCTGTGGGCAGGATTTTGCAGAAGTTGAGTTTGAATTATGTAGTTAGTAAGGTCATGTTTTGTACTCACAGGCTTTTGAGGCACAGGGAAATTTGGGTTATGTTGCTCATGGACCCAAAGCAGTGGAGTGGGCAAAAGAGGAACATCTTTCCTATCATTGGACTTTGGCATCACAATATTAGAGGGGTCCCCAGGCAGTGCTGCATACACTCAAAATAGTGAAACCACCCTTGGTTTTTACTTACAGCTCGCTCACAGGCAAAACATGAATCTAGAAGTGATGGGGTAGGTTGGGAGATAATTCTGAGTGACACACTATACAGGTTTAGTATCCCTTATCCAAAATGCTTGGAACCAAAAATGTTTTGGATTTCAGATTTTTTTTTCAGAGTTTGGAGTATTTACATTATACTTACAGGTTGAATATCTCTAATCCCCAAATCCAAAATGCTGCAATGAGCATTTTCTTTGAGTGTCATGTTGGTATTGAAAAAGTTTCTAGTTGGAGCATTTTGGATTTTGGGATTAGGAACGCTCAGCCTGCACTGAATTCAGAATAACTGTTGGGATTACTGTAGAACCTGGGGTGCGGGGAAGTAGAAAGGAGCGTCTGTTTTATTTTGACTTTTCTATGCTTGAGGGGAAGAACTTGACCTCCCAGTAAATCAGTAGGATTGGGGGAAGAAGAGGAGGTGAAAGGAGACAGTCGTTTTTAACCTCTGATGGTCAGAGGCTCACATGACAACATTAAAGAGGAAAGGAGAGAAAAGTTCATATTTGATTGTTTACTATGTAATGACAGGCACTGTTAACCTTTATGGTAATCCTCATAGGAGCTTTCTGAGGTAACAGGTATTATTATTTTCATTTTATAGGTGAGGAAACAAAATCACAAAGGTTAAGTATTAACTTTTAATAATAATAACTTGTTCAAAGTTAAAAGTGATTAACTGGCCAGGCGCAGTGGCTCATGCCTGTAATCCCAGCACTTTGGGAGGCCAAGGCAGGCTGATCACGAGGTCAGGAGATCGAGACCATCCTGGCTAACACAGTGAAACCCCGTCTCTACTAAAAATACAAAAAATTAGCCGGGCGTGGTGGTGGGCGCCTGTAGTCCCAGCTATTCTGGAGGCTGAAGCAGGAGAATGGTGTGAACCCGGGAGGCGGAGCTTGCAGTGAGCCAAGATCGCGCCACTGCACTCCAGCCTGGGCAACAGAGCGAGACTCCGTCTCAAAAAAAAAAAAAGTGATGAACCTTAGGATTAGATATCAGATTTGTCTGACTCCAAAGTCTGGGCCTTTCCTTCCTGATAGGGGTTGTAGCTTTTTGGAATTGGTGTGGTAGGTCCTGTTGGCAAAGGGAAACTAAAGCTTCAGTAGAAATAGGGGAGAAATTAAGGCAGTTTTAGAGAATAAGAAGGGTCTTTCAAAGGGAATGACCTAGAGAGTAAATAGGGTCTTTCAAAGGAAAGGATAGAAAGCAGGTACCTAGATTGAAGAGGCAGCAGAGAGGATGGTTGGTTCTGATTAAAGCTTAATTATCTCCTGACCACTGGTAGGAAGGTGGGGGGTGAGGGCAAGTTAGTAAGAGGACATGATCCAAGCTTTCCAGCATTTTCTCCTAGTTTTCTGTCTCTAGGCAGACTCTTCTCTAGCTTTGCCATCAAATTCTGGACACAGATAAGCACTTGATTTAGGGAGGCAGGCTGGCCGTCCAGAGAAGCTTTGGCTCTGTCCTTCCCTCCTTCCTCTGGTAGAAGGGCATGTGGCTGAGTGGAAAGTATACCCAGGTAGGAATGAGGAGACCTGTGTTCCAGTGGAGCTTCTGATGAACAGAAGTGGCAGTAGTGATTCAGAGAAATGTGGTAGGTAGAGTGACACTTGTTTATTCACGGAAGATAAGTATAGATTGTTTTCTCATGGGAGCCTGAGAAGCATCTTCAGGGAGGGAGTCGGGGAGTAGGCCCAAAGAATTGACTTATTTGGCAATTTCAGCAAGGACCCGGAGCTGTTTCTTGATCCTTGGCTGCCAGGGCCCTATGACCTGTGGCCTATGTTTTCGTGGTTTCGAGCAGCACGGTGGGAAAGCAGGCGTTTTCTTTTGGCCTACTTTGGTGATGGACTTTGCAATAAACAAGGGGTTCAGCTTTGCAAGTCGAAAGTCTTGAATAGTTAACTCTTCTGGGTTCTCAGGCTCTTTCTGGAACCTTGTGGGCTCTGCCTTCACATTGGTCTTAGGTGCCTCATATACAGAGAGAACCTTGTTTTTCAGCTTGTTTTGGATCCAGGGATCAATTGAGGCACAAAGGATTAATGTTTCTTGTAGCTGCATTGAAACAAAGGTCCTAGTGCTGGCTCACTTTGGGTTCAGGCTGGGAGGCTCCAGAGAGGGGGCACCCAAAGTAGGGGGGAATTCTAGCCACAGGGCACTGTGGCCCCAAGGAACAAGGTCAAGGGACAGTGTCTAAGGGCTCATGACCCTCTCCTCCTGACAAGGAGCAAATGGTGGTGAGATAGGTGGGAGAAGCTTGAAGGAGGGCTAGAGAAGAGGAAGAAGTGGGCAGGAACGCCTTACTTACACTCTTCTTCACAGCCTGGTGGTTTTCTGCATCTAGTAAGTCCAGGAGCAAGTGGAACACTTGTGGACTGCGGATCCCCAGGACACCCTGGCAGAGGCAGAGTGAGAGTGCCTATGTAGCCAGCCCCAGGAAGACACCTTATACTCTTTCCCATTCTAGCCCCTTTGTGAGACTCTGCAGCATAGAGAGGGGGGAGATAGGGTTTCCCAGCTGAGATACTCCTTTCCTTGCCATTTGGAACCACTGCATGGGACTTTAATGCCCATTATTTGCTAGGAAGACTGAAGACAATTTCTGCAGCATCTAAGCAACACCCCTCACATCAATCTTCTGTCCCTTAGCCCACCTACCCCCAACCCTGAAGAAAAGGTTCGGTAGGGCTGGAATTCTAAAATAAACAACTTCCCCGAAGTTTACAGGCCTTTATTCCCCTCAGTGACTCTGCTCAATCGCCTACTCCCCCTGCCATCAACACAGGAATTGGGTCAGAGAAGCAGAGCCTGCCTTACCAAAGAGATGACTGCTTCCTGGCGTGCAGTGGCATCTGGGTTCATCAGTTGTCTGTGTAGAAGGGAGTGAGTATGTTATAGTTGAATTAAGGAGTAGGGGAAGTGGAAGGGAGGCTGGTTGCTTTTCAGGTCCAGAGCGAATTAGGCAAAGTGATGCTAATTTCATTCATTTCCTTCTCTTGTTTCTTGGATCAGAAAAGGGGCAGGGAGAGGAAAAAGAGGCACCACAGTTTGCCAGGAGGCACTGAATGATGATCAGGACTGTCCAGAAATTTTATCTTTTTAAAAAAAGTTCTTTTCATGTCATAATTTGAGCTTTATAGCAACCTATACCTAACCTTGGTAGGTATTATTACTCTTTCTTTACAGATGAACAAAAGCTCAGGGGTCAAAGAGTTACTTGGTTAGGGGCATGGGCAAGGGAGAACTGAGGACCTGCTGCACTGTAGGTTCTCAGCTCTCACTGACCCTCTGACCCCTTCCCACTGACCCTCTCACTGACCCTCTGCCCCCTTCCCACAGCCTAGGATTTGGCCCTGGCAGCTCCCAGGCCACTCACGCCTCCACCAAGTTCATCATCGTAGGCTTCAACTTGAGCTCTTCCACAGTTTGAGCCACAGCCTGCCTCACAGCCTGCAGAGGGATCAAAATGAGTCAACAGAGAGAGGGAATGCAAGGGTGTACACTTAAGAGCCTCTCAAATCTTTACTGAACATTTCCTTTGTGCTATGTAGAGTCCCTGCCTTAAGGAGCTCATAGTCTGGTGGAGGAAGCAGACAGGTAAATAGGCAATTATAATACTGTGTAGGGGTACACATAGGAGGGTCTCCTAACTCAGTCTTGGGTGCCAGGAAGACTTCCTGGAAGAGGTGATGCCCGAGCTGAATGAAACTTGGAAGGTGAGTGGGAGTTAACCAGGCAGAGGGTTGGGGTTGGTCAGATTTTAAGAGCAGAGGGGAGAGCATATTAAAAAATCTGGAGGCAGGAGAAGGTGCAGAGAGGATGGGGAGCTGAAAATAGTTCAACTCAGAGAGGTGACCAAATGGACTCTTCCAAGCACTCTGAGTGCTCTAATTACCCTGGGACAACAGGTATAAATCAGGACATGGTTGTCGTAAGCATAGTTGGTACATGGTTCTGGTGGGGAGAATGGTGAGAGATGAAGCTAGAGAGGCAAGCAGGCTTGAGCTGTGGAAGCAGCATAAGCCATCCACAGGGCATTGGGAGCCAATAGAAAGTTTTATGCAGAGAAGGCACAATCTGATTTATATTTTTTAAAAATGTCTTTAGAAATATAACACCTAGGGCCGGGCGCAGTGGCTCACGCCTGTAATCCCAGCACTTTGGGAGGCCGAGGTGGGCAGATCACGAGGTCAGGAGATCGAGCCCATCCTGGCTAACACGATGAAACCCCGTCTCTACTAAAAATGCAAAAAATTAGCTAGGCGTGGTTGCGGGCGCCTGTAGTCCCAGCTACTCGGGAGGCTGAGGCAGGAGAATGGCGTGAACCCAGGAGGCAGAGCTTGCAGTGAGCCAAGATCGCGCCACTGCACTCCAGCCTGGGCAACAGAGCAAGACTCCGTCTCAAAAAAAAAGAAAAAAAATATAACACCTAGTTTTATAACAAGCTATAGTAAATATAAAAGCAAGGGAACATAGAGGAAGGTAGGGTTAATGCTGATTGGTGATTTGGGAAAGCTTCCCATAGGAGGTATCGTTGGGATCGGTCTTGAAGGAGCAATACAGTATTTTTAGTAGGCAGAAGGGGAGACGGATTACTTACTGGTGCGAGTGAATAGTATGAGACAGTTTTTTACCTTATAGAAGGAAGGATGACTCAGATCATTTTAACCTGAGTGAACTGCCTGAGCAAAGGCAAGGTGATATAAAAACCTGGGCTGCATTAGTTGAACAGGAGTAGGTCAGGATGAATGTGATACTTCGGTGGAGGCCAGGGGAGGTCTCCAGAACACGGAAAAGAGAAAGGTTTGGGTGTCTCTGGGCTTGGGAGCTTTGGTCTCACTTACAAGGAAGGGTTCATTATGCGTCTTCCTCCTGAGCAGGTTAAATGTGAGTTCCTCTAGCCCCTGTGCCTGGATCTGTTCCAGCCCAATGGTCTTGAGCATTTGGGTGGCTTCAAAGCGGTCCTGAGGTCGGGGGTGAGGGTTAGTGGGGAGGTGTGAAAGATGGATTCCCTTCTTCATCCCCTAACCCTATCCTAGTGCCGGGAAAGGAAGGGTTCAGGCAGTCCAGAGCTTACCTCAAGGACACTGGAAGAACACAGCTGGTCTAGGATGGCCTTGATGACTGGGGCTGAGTGCACGTGCATCACCTTGACCAGCATCCTAAGTGCCTATGAGGGGGCAGGGTAGGGCAGGGTGTACAGGGCCTAGAGGCATCTGTGTGGCCAGGTGGACTTGAGGTCTGAGCCTAGAACTGGTGAGGAACAGCTAAGGTCCTTTTTTCTGCCTCTTCGCCTCTTGACCACAGAAGTTCATGTGTGCATATACATAAATGAACACCCACACCTATCAAATATACACAGACACATGGACGCTTATATGTCCATATGACCCCATACTCATACATGGACATAGTCATAAGCACACAGAGGATCCTGCAGTGCTCCACCACCAGGATGGCAGGATCCAGACCACACACAATTCAGCAGTGGCTTCTGTTTCCCCAGGGATCCCAGCCTCCTGCCCCTCACACCTTCATCCGCTGGGTCTTGAGTCCTTGGCACAGGCACTGCAACAAGAACTCTTGGACCATGTTGCTGCAAGGCCTCAGGAAACCCAGGCACAGGGCTGCCTCCAGAGATGCTTCACTGGACGACTTCTTGATCAGTGTCTGTAGTACAGGCACCAGCTTGCCCTCATCCCCGACTTGAGTCCTCTGTGAGGGAGACAAAATGGCTAAGGGGAGGGGCTATGTACTTTATGCCAGGCTTTGTGCTTCCAGACTATATTCACCTTCCTCCCTAAAATGAATCTTGTGCATCAGATTATTTCAACCAATTAACTTATTCTTGCTGTCACCTACTTGCTTCTAGGTCAGATCTCATTTCTCTATAACTATCTCATGGAT
This sequence comes from Homo sapiens, assembly GCF_000001405.40. Lineage (NCBI taxonomy): Eukaryota > Metazoa > Chordata > Mammalia > Primates > Hominidae > Homo > Homo sapiens. Next base: position 35,859,263 of record NC_000017.11, read on the forward strand.
GGATCACTGTTACTCTCTTCAACACTTCTGCTGTGTTAATTCCTGTCATTTAAAAGAATATACATGTGAGTGATCCCATACCTCTCCTCCAATATCCTTGTCCTCTTCTCTGCCTCAGCCACTAATCCCACTGAGAGACCTGATCATTACCCACAAATGCAGCTTCTCCATAATCTCCATTTCATGGATCCCACTCTCTGACCATCACCTCTTTTTCCAGCTCCCGAGTCCAAGAATTGTTTGACTCCACAAGGGACTAAATAATCCATTGAGCCTGCCACCTTTGCACTCCTCCACACCTCTGTCCCTCTTGACCCAGCTTAAATTCCATGATCCTGCTGTAATCACTCCCCTTCCTCACCCTCAGCTCCCTTACCCACTCTTGCTTCATTCTACTCCCTGGACAGAACTACAGTCCAACTCTCTACTTTGTGCCAGCACTTCCTGGAGAAAAACACTATTGCAGCGAATGATCTTGTTAAAATGTGTGAGCACAGACCTCATATAGACCCTTAATGCTGTCTGGTAATCATACTGTTTTTCCCTGGGCAGTTCTCTTTCTCACTCTTCCAATTCACACCCTTTCTGGAACACTTCTTCCTCTATTCTTACTCTTGGCTAGTGACCTTGCTTTCTACTTCAGTGAGAAAATCAAAGCAACTAGAAAGGAAGTTCCATAGACTCCTATGACTACTTTTGTCCAGCTTCCAACACTTGCACCCATACACCCTTCCTTTCTACTTGTTAACTATAGACTATAACCATCTATCTAAGGCCAGTCTCCACTTGTGTCTTAGACCTTATCTCTTCTCGCCTATTTAAGGACATCATTTAAGAACATTGCTATTTTTCGGCCGGGCACGGTGGCTTACGCCTGTAATCCCAGCACTTTGGGAGGCCAAGGCGGGCGGATCATGAGGTCAGGAGATCGAGACCACAGTGAAACCCCATCTCTACTAAAAATACAAAAAAAAAAAAAATTAGCTGGGCGCAGTGGCAGCCGCCTGTAGTCCCAGCTACTCGGGAGGCTGAAGCAGGAGAATGGCATGAACCTGGGAGGTGGAGCTTGCAGTGAGCCGAGACTGCACCACTGCACTCCAGCCTGGGTGACACAGCAAGACTCCGTCTCAAAAAAAAAAAAAAAACAAGAACTTTGCTATTTTTCACACTCTCTTCAAAGTCCTTATTTTTATTTATTTATTTATTTATTTATTTATTTTATTTATTTATTTATTTATTTATTTTGAGATGGAGTCTCGCTCTGTTGCCCAGGCTGGAGTGCAGTGGCACGATCTCGGCTCACTGCAAGCTCCGTCTCCCGGTTTCACGCCATTCTCCTGCCTCAGCCTGCCAAGTAGCTGGGACTACAGGCGCCCGCCAGCACACCCAGCTAATTTTTTGTATTTTTAGTAGAGACCGGGTTTCACCATGTTAGCCAGGATGGTCTCAATCTCCTGACCTCGTGATCCACTCGCCTCAGCCTCCCAAAGTGCTGGGATTACAGGTGTGAACCACCATGCCCGGCCTATTTATTTATTTTTGGGAGGTCGAGGTGGGTGAATCACAAGATCAGGAGTTCGAGACCAGCCTGGCCAATATGGTGAAACCTCGTCTCTATTAAAAATACAAAAAAATTAGCCGGGCGTGGTGGCACATGCCTGTAATCCCAGCTACCTGGGAGGCTGAGGCAGGAGAATTGCTTGAATCCGGGAGGCCGAGGTTGCAGTGAGCCGAGATCATGCCACTGCACTCCAGCTTGGGTGACAGAGCGAGATTCGGTCTCAAAAAAAAAAAGAAATGGTTACAGAGATTTTAAAGAAGCATCCTCTTGTCCACATCCTCTTGTAACTGTTGTACCATTTTCTCTTCCAACTGCTTCCCTTTGCCTGCAAGAGGGGCTCGGATAAGATGGATGTTTTGCTTGACTTCTTTGATATCCTGAACTTTCTGTAGCTCTTTATTTTTCTACAATCTGTTCGTTATAAATTTAGCTTGACGTTTCTGTTTGATCTCTTCAACTCTCTTCATTGCGTCAATAGTTTTATTCCATAGCTCTTGCTAGTATTTGATAGGTTCATTTCTATGTTTTTAAAATTCAAATGAATTATCCACTGTAAGCTCTTTACCAGCTGCTTTCCGGAATGCTTTGGTCCACCTAACTTTGCGAGGATTGCGCTTCTTTTTAAAGTTTCTATGACACTTAGATTTACAAAATCTGAACACCTTGCAGTCGTTGCGGACAAACATCATGTCATGGCTGGGGTAGATGGGCCTCGAAGAGAAATAACACTTCTTGATACGCATGTTGAACCTGTGTTGGTCCCCTTTGCTTTCTTAACCATGCCAAACATACTCCTCCCTTTGCATTGGTCCTTCTGCCTGGAATGTCTTCTCTCAGATATCTGTAAGGCTAACCCACTCACTTTCTTTATGTCTTTGCTCAAATGTACCTTCTAAATGAGGCCTTCCCTGTCTACTGTATTTAACATTGCAACCCATCCCTACTCCTACTTGTCACACCTGATCACTCTTACCCTGCTATGTAATTGTTTCCATTGTACCTGTCACCTCTAACATACTACATAATTTTCTTTTTCTTGGTTTTTTTTTTTTGAAATGGAGTTTTGCTCTCGTTGCCCAGGCTGGAGTGCAATGGCGCGATCTTGGCTCACTGCAACCTCTGCCTCCTGGGTTCAAGCATTTCTGCCTCAGCCTCCCAAGTAGCTGGGATTACAGGTGTGGGTCACCACACCTGGCTAAGTTTTTATTTATTTATTTATTTTTATTTTTTATTTTTAGTAGAGACAGAGTTTCACCATGTTGGTCAGGCTGGTCTTGAACTCCTGACCTCAAGTGAACATCTGCCTCAGCCTCTCAACGTGCTGGGATTTGTGAGCCACCACGCCTGGCCTAATTTTCTAAAAATAAATTTATTGGTTATTATGTGTCTCCCCCACTAGAATGTAACCTCCTCCATAAGCGCAGAGATCTTTGCCTGTCTGGTTCACTGCTATATCCCAAGGGCCTAGGACAGTGCCTGGCACATGATAGCTGTTTATTATCTATTTGCTGAATAAATGGATGAATGATGGATTTTCTTTTACATAGAGCAATGATGGGGTCAAAGTAAGAGAACACTAAAGGAGAAAAAAACAGTAGGGTCTGAGGACTCTCTTGGGCCCCGTCCCTTCTTGACAGGTTTTACCATAATAAGTTATTTTAGAGATGATGATAATAATGATGGTTACCATTTAAAGAGCATAGGCATTGTACTAGGTGTTTTACATACATTATCTCATTTAGTCCTCTCAACAGTACTATCAGACAATTACAGATGCTCCTCTATTTACAATGACGTCCCATGGATGGGTTTATGAGGTTGTAATGCCATGCCCATAGTAAGTTAAGGAGTGTACTGACTGTGTGTTGTTTTTGCACCATTGTAAAGTCGAAAAATCGTAAGTCAAACCATCTAAATCAGGAACCATCTGTACTGTCTCCATTCTCCATTTTAAATACAAACTGCAGCTCTGAAATTTGGCTTTTCAGAAATGGACTAGTAAGTGGCCAAGCCATATGCTTCTATTCAACTCCCGAGGGAACTCCTCAAGGACAGTGTCTTCCTCTATCAAAGCTGTGCTAGGTTACCTTCTTCCTCACCCAACCCCAAGCTAAACCTATCAATTACCTTGTCCAGCTTTGCCCCCAATTAAAGACTGTCCTCCCAATCACCTTGTCTTTAGAGACAGCAGCCCAGGAGTTAAGAGCCATTCGTAGCCCCGTCAAAGTCTCCATCCTTTGACCCTCATTTTTCTCCTTCAGCTGTTTGATGAGAGCCCGGATCACATGCTTATTCAGGCAACCTGGACAGGGAGGGGCCTCAAGTCAGGGCAGAGCCTCTGGTACTGCCCCTCTCTGCAAGGACCCATTGAACTCCACTGTGCCATCGAGACCTAAGTTCCAAGTCCTAGGTACCACAGTGTTGCTCATCTTCCCAGGATACCAGGGCAGCTGGCTGAATGTGAACACTATTCCAAGAGCCCTCCCTCTCCCTCTTTCTAATCTCTTTTCCCTTTTCACCCCACCTTCCTCTCTTGGTTCAACATAACTGGGATAGTTCTCAGGCCTTGCCAAATGGTAGGTTGGAGCAAGTGTATGCTCCTCACCCATTTGTCCTTACCCAAAGGAGAAAGTGGTTGCACTTTCTCAACTCCCCACCAAGGGAGAAGACATACTCACCCAGGATGGCCAGGGTTCGGTAGGCCTCGTACTTCACTTTCTCTGGACCAGTTTGGGCCTAATTTAAGAGGCGGGTGGTAGGAACATATAATAAGGTGATGGAATGTCAGAGCTTTAGGGATTGTCTCAGCTTAACTTCTCATTTTACAAAAGAGGAAACTGAAGCCTAGAAAGTGACCTATCTATTCTCAAATACAGAATACAGCCAAAATGGTTCAATGGAAGGAACAATACAGTTGGGAGTTAGATGTTTGTTCAAATCTCTATCTGGTATCTTGTAGCCACTTGGCCCTGGGCAAGTCCCTTGGTCTCTCAGAGCTTTCATTTTCTCATTTAGAGAAATACAGATACTAATTCCTGGTGTTGTTGTAAGAGTTAAATGAGATTATGGATATAAAGAATGCATGTTCCCAGTGGTAAGCTGATGTATACATATGCGGTGTTTCCAGTAAAGGCAGAGAATGTACTCTGTTCTGGCTTTCAGACTTTCCTGGCTTTTCAGTCCAATGTCTTTTCGGTTAGACCAGGGAGATCTTCAGATTCTTCCTTCCCTATCTTTTAGATCCAGCTGCTCTTCGAAGAGGCCAAGGACATGGGATGGGTCATGCTGCACAGTGGTGGCTGTGTCCTTACTGGATCTGACCCGCCATCCTAGCACCCCGGGGAGCCTCGTCTGTGCCCACATGCCACACATCTCAGACCCTGTTTCCTTCTTTCCTGAACTCCAGCAGTTCTCAGACTCACCACCTGCTGTAGTGCCTCCATGACAAACTTGTCACTGATGCGTAAGCATCCCAGAGCCTGCAGGAAGAGGGATGGAGGAAAGAGAAGGAAACTTGGACATCATCCCCAGGAGTTACCATTCTCTGGATACAGCTGGAGTTTGTGCTTGGAATACCATCCCCACAACCACCATCACGTCAAGCAGCTTTTTACTTTCCAGCTTGGCCAACTCCTGGCTGTAACCACCCTCCTCTATCCTTGCCTCTTCTCACCTGTGCTGCATAGAACTGCTCATCCTCTCTGGGAGATTCCAGGCTTTTTGTGAGTTCCTGCCCATCCAAGGCAGCCAGTGGAAAGGAAGACAGAGAAAAATAAAGAATTTCAAACTAAAGGGAGCTCATCCAATCCAATCCCTTTTCCTACCCTACCTCTGTTTTTCAGGCAAGGACTGAGGGCTGAAGGATGGTGTGAGCCCAAGGGAAGGGCACCCACAGGGAGGGAGTCCCCCACGTCCTCTCCCACATGGTCCTGACCCTTAATCTTTGCCACTTCAGGGGGTCCTGGGTAGGCTCTAAGGGCCTGGATCGCATCTCAGATTTTATAGTCAGCTTGCTCATTGGGAGATGGAACATTTTGATGTGGGTTTGATGTACCTCTTTGATGTACCTGTGTGAGAAATTGCATAGGCAGCTTTGGTCCCTTTGTACCTTCCCTCCTCAGGTTGCAACCTCACTTCTGCCACAGGGCTACAGCCCAGCTCAGATATGGGACCAGAGGAAGACAGATGAGGACTCAGTGATATCCACCAGAGCCGAGCCGAGCCGAGCCGGCCGAGCCAGATGGAGCTGAGCCAAGCCGAGCCGCCCTAAGCTCCTCTCTGGGACCTGTAGGCTGACTTGCCTTACTCCCTGGCCCACCCCTTCCTTGCCCTTCCTCACTTTCCTAGAAGATGTGGAGGGTGAGAAGAATATGGAGGCCAGCAAAACACACCTACAGTCATCTCTCATTTTCCTCAACATCTTCTCAGCCTCCCTTTCCTCTCGCTGATCATACAGGTCGTGCCAGTGCGTGTAGATCTCAGGTTTCTTGAAGTAGCAGTACGGGACTGAGTTTGGCTTGCTCGGATGCTGCCTCCAGCACTCTGGACTTGGGGGAAACTCTTCCTTTGGCATCTGGGGGTTGCAAGTGGCAGAACAGTCAGAGGGGTCCCCTAGGCCCTTACTTGTGAGGGTATGGGGAGGAGGGGGTAAAGGGAGGGAAGGGCAGGGTGAAACAGATGCCCTCTAGCCTCTCATCTGAGCTGGAGTCACAGCTACCACCTAACCCCTTGCATAACTTGGGCAAGTTACTTCATCCTATCAAAGTCTCAGTCTTCTTATCTGTAAAACAAAGCTAATAATCCTTGTTCTGTGTCCCTACCAAGGTTGTTGTAAAGATCAAAAGAGAGATCCAGATTGTGAAGCCACTGGTGATCTGTAAATCGATTTGAATACATAGTTTGGTTAGTTGAGGATCTCAAAGCACTTTGAAAATGACACTTGAGTAGGGAAATGAAAAGGCAAGGTGTGGGGAGGATGTGGGATAAAGGTGGGGAAAAGACAGACTATTGCTCATTCAGATATTTATTTGAGTACCAACTATGTGCCAGATACTGTGCTGGGTGCTAGGGTTGCAGTTATCCCTGCCCTCATGGAACTTAACAGTTTAGCAGGGAAACAGACTTTCTTAAAATAATCTATCACTTAAACAATTGTGAAACTACCGCTGTCACTGTAATGGAGGATTTTGAGTGGATCAGGGGCTTTCTCTGAAGATTTGGCTAGGATTCATCCCTGTCTCTTCTTAAGCCTTTCTTTCACTCTTTGCAACAGATCTGGGCAACAGGGAAGAGGGGCTTCAGCTGTGGTTCCCAACTTTGTACTGAAGAGATCATAATAAGGGTTCTCAAGTGATTGGCATAAGTTCAAAAAATGGAGCATGACTCACAGTGAGTAGGGTTGCAGATTTAGGAAGAAAAAAAAAAAAGCTCCCCGCTCCCAAACAAAAAAATACAAGGATGTCAAGTTAAATTTGGATTTTAGGTAATGAATGAAATATTTGAGACACATTTGTACTAAAACACCATTTGTTGTTTATCCAAAATTCAAATTTAATTGGGCATTCTGTATTTCATCTGGCAACCCAAACTGTGAGGGTTGCTAACTGTCCCTGTGTTAACTAATAAAAATGACTTCCATTAGTAAGCACTTTCTGCATAGCCAAGGCCTCATAGACTTTGTTTCATAACAACTCTACAAAGGGAGGTGGACAGGGGTTAGCCTGGGACACAGGAAGCTCCTGAGGCTCTGAGGGGGAAAGTGACTGTTCAAGATCACAGTTAATGGCAGCCCCAGGGGTAAATGTCAGGGTTCTGTGAGCTGGCTTTAATGGGAAGGGATAGTTTGCTGCCCCTCCTAACTTTGATACAGCTCCCAGGGTAGCAAAAGTAAGGGGTCTTACCTGGTAGCAGGACAAGGGCAGATGAACAGGAGCCATGGCTTTTCTGAGTTCTGGCAAGAGGGATAAGAGTATGTGTGTGGTTCAAATGAGATAGCAGTTGCAGGCCAGGCTTGGTGGCTTCTGCCTGTAATCCCAGCACTTTGGGAAGCCAAGGCAGGCAGATCACCTGAGGTCAGGAGTTCGAGACCAGCCTAGCCAACATGGTGAAACCCCATCTCTACTAAAAATACAAAAAAAACATTAGCCAGCCAGGCGCAGTGGCTCACGCCTGTAATCCCAGCACTTTGGGAGGCCGAGACGGGCGGATCACGAGGTCAGGAGATTGGGACCATACTGGCTAACATGGTGAAACCCCGTCTCCACTAAAAATACAAAAAAAAAAAAAAATTAGCCATGTGTGGTGGTGGGTGCCTGTAGTCCCAGCTACTCAGGAGGCTGAGGCAGGAGAATGGTGTGAACCCGGGAGGCGGAGCCTGCTGAGATCGCATCACTGCACTCCAGCTTGGGCGACAGAGCGACAGAGCGAGACTCCGTCTCAAAAAATAAATAAATAAAATAAAAATTTGCCAGGGGTGGTGGTGCATGCCTATAGTCCCAGCTACTTGAGAGGCTGAGGCAGGAGAGTCTCTTCAACCTGGGAGGTGAAGGTTGCAGGGAGCCGAGATCATGCCACTGTACTCCAGCCTGGGTAACAGAGCAAGACTCAAAAAAAAAAAAAAAAAAAAAAAAAAAAGAGATAGCAGTTGCAAAGGTAGGTTAAAGAATTAATACATTCAGGCATTCATTTATTCAGCATTTAGTGACTACTAGTACCAGATATTTCACCAGGCACTGGGGAGATAAGTAAGGCCAAAGCGGGCAGATTGCTTGAGCCAAGGAGTTCAAGACCAATCTGGGCAACAAAGTGAGACTGCCCCCTAACCCTCAATTAGGAAAAAAAAAATCACTTGGAGAGTTTGTTAAAACACAGATTTCTGGGACTCATACCCACAGTATCTGATTCACTAGATTAAGGGTGGGGTCTGAGAATTTGCATTTCCTGTTTTTTGTTTTGTTTTGTTTTGTTTTTATTGAGACAGAGTCTTGCTCTCTTGCCTGGGCTGCTGGAGTGCAGTGTCACAATCTTGGCTCAGGTCAACCTCTACCTCCTAGGTTCAAGTGGTTCTCGTACCTCAGCCTCCCAAGTAGCTGGGATTATAGGTGCCCGCCACCACACCCAGCTAATTTTTGTATTTTTAGTAGAGATGGGGTTTCACCATCTTGGCCAGGCTGGTCTGGAATTCCTGGTCTCAAGTGATCCGCCCGCTTTGGCCTCCCAAAGTGCTGGGATTAGAGGCGTGAACCACCGTGCCCAGTCGAGAATTTGCATTTCTAACAAGATGCTGATGCTGCTGGTCATGGGATCACGCTTTGAGGACCACTGTTCTAGCTGGAGAGACAGAAGTGTTTCTTAGTGATTAACAGAGGGAAACAAATGTGAAGATAGATGTAGACACAGGTGGTAAACATGAGGGGTACCTAACCTGGCTGGGAGGATAAGGGAAGGTTTCCTAGAGTAAACTCCACAAGCTGAGTCTTCAATACAAACAGGAACTAGCCAGGTAGATAAGGGGGAAGAGCATTAGACACAGGGAACACCCTATGCAAAGATTTGGAGGTGCAAGAATTGAGGGTAAAGAGCAGGGTACAGGTGTGGGAGCAGAAGCTGGGGAGACACACAGGTGTCCCATCTTAGAGATCCCTGTAGGCCCTGCTGAGGAGCCTGAGACCTTGAGGACTGTGCAGAGCCATCAAAGTGTCCAAGGGCCTGCCCTGATGTTTCCCAAGGGTTTGCTGAACTCACCTAGACCCTTGCCTGGGAGTGAGAGCCAGGTAGCATTTCTTTTTCAGTCCCCTGCTCTTGGCTCCATTTCTGTCCATCCCAGCCTCACCTTTGGTCTTGTCTGGATATTCCAGCCATGGGTACAGGAACATTGACCTGGAGACATCAGAGATATCAGTTGATTTTTCATAGGCCATCTTCTTCTCCTGGTGGGGCCAGAGGGAACCTGCAGGGGGGAATACAAGGCTTTTAGGGGAGTGGGGGCACAGCTGGAGGAGACCTGTCCTCTGTGGTACGAGAGGTACAGGGGAGGTGTCTGGACTTCTGGAGGTAGAAGCTTCCAAGTGCTAAGCGACCAGGTTACTTTGGTAAATAGAACACTCAGGTTTCACTTCTGAGCCCCAGCTGTGGTATCTACTGGCCTGGACTTGAGCTAGTCACTTTATTTTCTGAGCTTCAGTTTGCTCACTGGACGAGTAGGAAAGTCATTCCTGTCTGGCTTAACTAGAGGGCCTGTGGTGAGGCATAAACTGGAGAAGAAAATCAAACCATCTGGTGAACTGTCAAGCTCAAGTAAGCCCATGTTAGGATCAAGACCTGTTCTTAGGATTATTCACTGGGAAAATGGCAGGGATGGGAAAGTCCCTTTATTTATTTATTTGTTTGTTTGTTTGTTTGGGAGGGAGTCTCATTCTGTCGCCCAGGCTGGAGTGCAGTGGCATGATCTTGGCTCACTGCAGTCTCCGCCTCCCAGGTTCAAGCGATTCTCCTGCGTCAGCCTCCCAAGTAGCTGGGACAACAGGTGCATGCCACCATGCCAGGCTAATTTTTGTATTTTTAGAAGAGACGGGGTTTCACCATGTTGGCCAGGCTGTTCTCAAACTTCTGACCTCAGGTAATCTGCCCACCTTGGCCTCCCAAAATGCTGGGATTACAGATGTGAGCCACTGCGCCTGGCCCCAGAAAGTCCCTTTTATACATACCCTCTCCCCGTCTTTGGCAGCAAAAGACTGAACTCTTATCTGTGTGGTAAGGAGCTGCCTTTTTCTTTTATTTTCTTTCAACTTTTTATTTTATTTTACTTTATGTTCCAGGATACATGTGCAGAACGTGCAGGTTTGTTACATAGATAAATGGTAAATGTGTGTCATGGTGGTTTGCTGTACCTCTCAACCCTTCACCTAGGTATTAAGCCCAGCATGCATTCGCTATTTGACCTGATGAAGGAGCTGCCTTTTATACCTCTTGCTTTTGCATATGCTGTTCCCTCTACCTGTCAGTCTTTTACTTGTAAACCTGTTAAACTGGCACTCAGATCTTTCAAAAAGTCCACTCAAATGTTTTCTCATCTCTGAAGTCTTTATTCTCCCTCAGGGTTCCTACCCCCTGCCCATCCACCCACTCAGTGATAGAATTCCCTCTCTCCACAGTGTGACCACAGTTTTTTGTACACTTTGCTTTACTTTAAGTCTTTTTCATATGTATAATCTGCTCACAGGTCTGTCTTCCTTACTGGACTATGAGGAATTTGATTATGGACTGTATATTGTGTCATTGTTAAGTTTCCTGAGTATGGTATGCATGTTGTGGTTATTTATAATGTCCTTGTTATTAGTAGATACATGCTGACACTTTTAAGGATGACATGATATCACATTTGCAACTTACTCTCAAGTGGTTCAGAAACAAAATGTGTATACTGACCACACACTGCCCCCACACACAGATAAAGCAAATTGGTAAAATGTCAATATTTGACTCTAGATGAAGGGTATGTGGTGTATTCTTGCAAATTTCCATAAGTTTGGAATTTTGCAAATTAAGGGTGGAAAAAAAAAAGCATGGATTTTGGCATTAGACCTGATGGGTTTAAACTTAATTGTAAAGCTTTATCACCTGCTTTATTTTTCTTTCTTTCTTTTTTCTTTTTTTTTTTTTTTTTGAGACTGAGTCTCACTCTGTCGCCCAGGCTGGAGTGCAGTGGCGTGATCTCGGCTCACTGCAAGCTCTGCCTCCCAGGTTCACGCCATTCTCCTGCCTCAGCCTCCAGAATAGCTGGGACTACAGGCACCCGCCACCACGCCTGGCAAATTTTTTTTTTTTTTTCATAGAGACGGGGTTTCACCGTGTTAGCCAGGATGGTCTCGATCTCCTGACCTCGTGATCTGCCTGCCTCAGCCTCCCAAAGTGCTGGGATTACAGGTGTGAGCCACCGCGCCCGGCCCACCTGCTTTATTTTTCTTTGAGCTGTGGGGCTTTTGGCAAATCATTTCCCTCTCTTGCTAAGGGTTTTCCTGACTATAAACAGGGCTAATAACTGTACCTAACCCTATAGGGTTATAAGGATGAAAAAGAATGATGAATGTAAGGGGCTAAGCCAATGCCTGGCACATAGTGAGTGCTCAATTAATGTTAACTATTGTTATGGCCATACATATTGTCAATATATGTTTACATAAAGGGACAAGCTTGGGAAAGTTGAAATACCCCACCTTAAAGGAGCTGGTGTACTAGTGGAAAAACACAAAATACCTCATTGTCCTTATTTGAAAGACCTGAGGCATTTGGAATTGCCATTGAATCTCATTCCAGGGGCAAGAGTGGTGTTAAAGAAATCCACTGGGGATAAGGTAGAGGGTAGGCCAGGGAGGAAGGGCCAACCAAGGTCTGAGGAAACAGAGAGATGCTGTGGCAGGCAGTAAGATAAACTTGGGGACTCAAGGGTGGGGACGTAGTGACTATTGTCTCCCCTCCCCCTCCAGAGTGGGTAAGTCACTGATTAGTTTAATTGCTGTGCCTACCCATGCCCCCTTCTCGGAGAGCTTTTGTTTTCAGCCCTGTCATCCCAATCTAGGATGGACATCAGGTGTTTGCAAGCCCTGGACCCCTGTGTGCCTAATGCTCATGGGGAAGGACAGTTCCCCGGGAGGAAATCAAGAGTCAGCTTTATGGTTGCATTGAGAACTTTAATGGTAAGCCGATTTTTCATGTTTGCCAGTAAGCTCCTGTGAGGGGTTGAGACGGCGGAAGCTTAAGAGTGCAGTGTTCCTCCCCTCCTTGCCTCTAGAGGCATGCTGACTTCCTTCCTGGTCACAGAGCCCTGGCAAAGCCAAGGCAAAGCCAGAGCTCAGAACCTAGAGACTTCCTTTTGACAAAGCAGCGCCTCAGAAGCTCTTCTAGGCTTTAGTTGGGGAAGCTTTTTGTTGTTGTTGTTGTGACGGAGTCTCACTTTGTCACCCAGGCTGGAGTGAAGTGGCACAATCTCAGCTCACTGCAGCCTCCACCTCCTGGGTTCAAACAATTTTCCTGCCTTAGCCTCCCGAGTAGCTGGGATTACAGGCGTGGGCCACCACGCCCGGCTAATTTTTGTATTTTTTTTTTTTTTTTTTTTTTTGAGACGGAGTCTCGCTCTGTCGCCCAGGCTGGAGTGCAGTGGCGCGATCTCGGCTCACTGCAAGCTCCGCCTCCCGGGTTCACGCCATTCTCCTGCCTCAGCCTCCCGAGTAGCTGGGACTACAGGCGCCCGCTACCACGCCCGGCTAATTTTTTGTATTTTTAGTAGAGATGGGGTTTCATCATGTTGGCCAGGCTGGTCTCGAACTCCTGACCTCAAGTGATCCACCCACCTTGGCCTCCCAAAGTGCTGGGATTACAGGCGTGAGCCACCACGTCCAGCCTGGGGAAGGTTTTTGTAACTGCTGCTGTGTGGTAGAATCTGGGCCCTTCAAGGAGCGGGTGGGGTAGGATAGTGAGGGGAAGCCTCCCAAGCTAGGACAAGAGCAAGCAGAAACAGGCAAATTTGTGTAAGTTCAGGTTCAAGGACTCTCCATCCTAGCTCATCTCCAAAGAGTTGATGTACTCCCGAACCCATTTCTTCTCTGGGTTGGCACACACTTGGCGGTTCTTTCGGGTGACAAAGCTGTGGGAGAGGAGAAGAAGAGGGAGGATGAGACCTTGTCAGTACCGGGACAGCCAGTTTGGGGGATGAAGTGGATTAAGGTATAAAGGGAAATTATGATGATATCGGGGTAGGGCATATTTGGAGCTCCATAAGATTTTATTTGTGGCTTTTAAGGAGAGAACATTTCCTCATCTGTTGGATCAAAGGGCTCCAAGCCAGAAACAAATTTGTGTGCATTTTAATCGCCTTCACACAAATGCATGTAGCCTGAAAAGCTAAGAGGATACGGAGCCTTGAAGCCCAGGGCTGAGCCTGCCAATCACTAGACTTTTCTCAGCACTTCCTCTGCTCCAGGCCTTGTGCTGGGTGCTTAAGATGCAGAGAGAATAAGGTGTCCCTCAAGAACTGAGTCATGATTGAATAAGTGGGAGACAAGAAGTTCTTTTTTTTTTTATTTTTTGAGATGGAGTCTTGCTCTGTCACCCAGGCTGGAGTGCAAGTGGCACGATCTCAGCTCACTGCAACTTTCGCCTCCCGGGTTCAAGCGGTTCTCCTGCCTTAGTCTCCCAAGTAGTTGAGACTACTGGCGCCCGCCACCATGCCCAGCTAATTTTTGTATTTTTAGTAAAGATGGGGTTTTACCATGTTGGCCAGGATGGTCTCAAACTCCTAACCTCAGGTGATCCACCCACCTTGGCCTCCCAAAGTGTTGGGATTACAGGCGTGAGCCACGGCGCCTGGCCTCTTTTTTTTTTTCCTTTGAGACGGAGTCTCACTGTCACCCAGGCTGGAGTGCAGTGGCACGATCTCAGCTCACTGCAAGTTCCACCTCCCGGGTTCACGCCATTCTCCTGCTTCAGCCTCCTGAGTAGTTGGGACTATAGGCGCCCCCCACCACGCCTGGCTAATTTTTTGTATTTTTAGTAGAGACAGAGTTTCACTGTGTTAGCCAGGATGGTCTCGATCTCCTGACCTCGTGATTCACCCACCTTGGCCTCCCAAAGTGCTGGGATTACAGGCATGAGCCACCGCGCCTGGCCGAGAAGTTCTTAAAAGAACATCTGATTTGGCTTTAGACAACGCAGTGCCTGGCACACTCAACAAGTGAATACATCTGTGCATGGGTGGGTGAACGAAAGATGGGCATGACCTTGAGTCTTCATTTCACCATTTATTAGTTTGATCATTTTGTGCAAATCACTTAAAGCCTCTGCTTCTATTTGCTAAGCTCTGAAATGTAGATAGAAATAATTCTTTGCACAATTACTGTGAAGCTCAAAGGATAATATGTATGAATAAGTTTGGAAAAATACCATTCATGTGTTGTTACTAGAATGCTCTGAAACTTCTCCTTTAGGGTGGATGAGAGCAACATGAGACTAAAAGTCCTGGTACTAGACACTGTGGCTCAGGGGAGTTGAGGGCCATGAGATAATGGCAATGTCAAAGCACTTGCACCAAGTAACCAGCCAGAATGTGGAGGCCTATGAGAATCAGAGGCCTTATCTCTATAGTCATTGATGATAAAGCTGGAAATGTAAAAGTTGGGGGTCATGAGGGTCAGTCCAGCTGCCTGCCTCACCTGTCTGCTGGGAAACTGATTCTACCTGTGCGAGACCTTGGGCCTTGCTAGCAGCGCTGCCAATTAACACATTACTTCAGGGTCAGTCCTGCCTACTTACCCTTTCCCATTTTGGCTTTTCCTTTAGGATTTTTTCCTGCACATTATTCTTATTATTATTTGAAATTTGAACACTGATTTTACTTAAGTTCAAATACTGGATATGTTATTTTAGAGATTCTCATAGGAAGAAAATCAACTATTTATTGTGCAGCCATCCAGAAGTTTATTTATTTATTTTTATTTTTGAGACAGGGTCTCACTGTCACCCAGGCTGAAGTGTAGTGACATGAACACAACTCACTGCAGCCTCAACCTCCTGGGCTCAAGTGATCCTCCCACCTTAGCCTCCTGAGTAGCTGGGACCACAGGTGTATACCACCACACTTGGCTAATTTTTAAAAATTTATTTTTGTAGAGACAAGCTCTTACCACGTTGCCCAGGTTGGTCTCAAATTCCTGGGCTCAAGCCATCCTCCTGCCTCAATCTCCCTAAAATGCTGGTATTACAGGGGTAAGCCACCATGCCTGGCCAGAAGTTTATTTTATTTTTTATTTTTGAGATGGTGTTTTGCTCTTATTGCCCAGGCTGGAGTGCAGTGGCACAATCTTGGCTCACTGCAACCTTCGCCTCCCGGGTTCAAGCGATTCTCCTGCCTCAGCCTCCTGAGTAGCTGGGATTACAGGTGTGCGCCACCACGCCCAGCTAATGTTTTTGTATTTTTAGTAGATACAGGGTTTCATCATGTTGGCCAGGCTGTTCTTGAACTCCTGACCTCAGATGACCACCCGCCTCAGCCTCCCAAAGTACAGGGATCACAGACGTGAGCCACCGCACCCAGATAGAAGTTTATTTTTTAAATCTTATTGACCCATGCAGTATGCCACATGATTACATAGCATAACAAAGGAATTATATGTCTCAAACAACACAGAAATTCCGCCTTTGCTTTTGTGATTACTATCACATTAAAAAAAAAAAGAAATGTATTCCCTAGATGGAAGTATTATTCCCAAATATGTTCTGATGTGCTATGTACCCACCTTATTTAAATATTTCATCACTCATTCATTCTTTGGTTTAATATTTTCATTCTTTCTCTATGCATGTATTGGTGTGTCTGTCAAAGTCATTAAGCTCTTGTGGTTCTCCTGATTCTGTGCCTAACAGCATTAAATTTTTTTTTAATTGTGGTAAAATATTCATAACATAAAATTTACCATCGTAACCATTTTTGGATGTATCCTGCACATTCTTGAGCCTAAATATTTTCAGACAAAGTGAAGCCTTAGATTGTCTGGTGAGAATGAGGATTTCTTGGTTTCTCTTTGTGTTTCCCTTTCCCAGCCTCACTCAGAGCCACTTGACCATCTCTTTTTCTCCCACCCCGGTGTGCAGAGATGAAAAGGGAACGGAAGCAATATTCTGGCCTCTCATACTTTCTAGAGTTTGTGTTCTTATTTAGGGTGGTGTGAGAGTTTCAGACACAGACCTTGCCCTTGTTCAGCCGGGAGTCATACAGGAAATCCTGCCAGACTTGCTGTCCCTCTCTCTTTGGCATCCTTGACCTGTGGCTAGGAAGTCAAAAGGCCAGGAAAACAATACCTGAGATGAGGGTAGCTCAGGCCTCCATTTCCTGCCCCCAACCTCCCCGCAGACTGTGATACCAAAGAACAGCCCCTCCTTGCCAAGTCTTCCCTCCTTACCTCCATTTTTGGCACCCTCTGCTTGCCTGACTTCCTCCTTCTGCCTACCCCTTAAGAGCGGATGTTCTCAAAGCTGCTGCCCTTTTCTCTTCTTTGCGTTTTTTCCTAAGTCTCTGGCCCTGGGCCTGGCACATAGTTGATGCTTAATGGATGTTTATTGAATGATTAAGTGAATGAATGCAATTCACTCATTCATTCCTTAAGTTTCACCTGTTATTTTTGTGTACGCAATAATGCATTTAGATGATAATGATAATAATAAGCTAACATTTATGCACCTACTGTGTACCAGAGCATATTCTAAGTATTTTCATCTTACTGTGACCCAGTGGGGGAAGTACTTCTATTACCCTATTTTGTAGAGGAGGTAATTGGGGTTACGAGAGGTTAATTGAAGGGCCTACACTCACCAAGTGTCATAGCTGGAGTCCTAACAAAGCAAACTAGCTCTAGAGCCAGTACTCACCAAGGCAGGCTGCATTGCCTTTTTAAAATTGGGATACCCCTTTTTCCCACAAAAGAATGTCATATTTTCAGCCCTAACACCCTTTCCTCAGCTACCAACCCTTCATTTCACCATCACCACTGGACATATCCACAGGGTTATCTTGCTGGCACCTTAGCTCTTTCCTCTTTAAACAGCTCTTTCACAAGGCTTAAGATGGTTCTACACTTCTCCAGCCAGAGGTGGAAACCTCAGTGTCATCCTTAACCCCCATTTTTCTCCCTTGCTCTTGAGCTCAAATCACCTGCTAGGGCTTGCAAATTCCACCTTTGAAGGTTTCAAAAGTGTCTGTCTTTGAAACCTCCTGTCTCTCCTTTCCTTCAGGCACTGTTCAGCCTCCAATACTACTCACGTGGATAACAACAGTAGCCGCTAAACTGGACTCCTGTTTTCTCAGCTTTCCCTGTTCTAGCTCATTTTACACTTGACAGCTGCATTTAGCACTTTTGCTGCATTTTCCTGACACTCCGTGCTTTCCTACATGGAGACTGTACATAAACCAAAGTAGAATCCTGGGGGACAGTCCCTTTTCCTGATATATCCCATTCCCTAGGCTTTTCTCTGCCAGGCCAAATCTCTCCTCAGACAGCACCATTTGCAGCAAACCTGTAAATCCCTGAAGCTGAATGTGTTTCCTCTCTCTTTCCCTTGTCATGTTTTTTTTTGCTGTGTACTCTAGTCATTGCTGTGTCTGTCTTGCCCCTCTTATTAGACTATGAGTCCCATAAGGTTGGGCTGGGACAGTGGCTTTAGTAATCTGTGTCTGCCAATAGTATGTGCTCAGGGAAGGATTTTCTTCTTTTGAAAAATATTTGTTTTCAGAAATAAAATTAGTAATTGTTAAATATTACCATTATACTTAAAAGGATTCATCAGATCCAAAGTCTGTCTTTGAGTACCTCTAACTTTGCCAGTGTCATAAATTTTTGGATTAAAAAACTTCACCCTGGCTGGGTACAGTAGCTCACACCTGTAATCCCAGCACTTTAGGAGGCTGAGGCAAGAGAATTGCTTGAACCCGGGAGGCAAAGGATGCAGTGAGCTGAGATTGCACCATTGTACTCCAGCCTGGGCAACAGAGTGAGTGAGACTCTGTCTCAAAACAAAAACAAAAACAAAAACTTCACTCTTATATAAGAAACTTCAGAATTGCACCATTTTCATTTTTTAAGTCTCTACCATAAATTTCTTAAGCAATTGTCACTAATGACTTTGCTATAGTAGAAAGAGGAGGCTCTAGAGATGGACTTCATCCCTCATTTACTGTGCAGCCTTGGCTAAATCAATAAACCTCTCTGAATCTTAGTTTCAATACCTGAAACATGGAGAGAATTATGCATACTTGTCAGAGCTAAGTGTAATTTAAAGATCAGGCACATAAGACATTTGACACATAGTAGGCATTTCCTATATAGTAGGGTTTATTATATTTTTCCAAATATACTAGCTTGCATATTTAAAGGTGAATCTCATTTCCTTATTTCTTCTCTGATGGATGGCTTTTTGTTTTTTTATTTGACTACAGTTATAGATCCCTGACCTCTGACCTCTTCTCCCTAGTTCCTCTGAGGTTTAGGTGGATTTGATTGGGTGTGAAATATGGGGGACTGTGTGAAATATGGGGTTCTTCACTGAAGGGGATGACTGACTTGATCTTCCCCACATAGGAGCATTCCAGACCATGTTTCAAGTAAAGGCCACACTAGTAAAGATTGGAGTCCTAGGCCAGGCACAGTGGCTCATGCCTATAATCCCAGCACTTTGGGAGGCTGAGGCGGGTAGATCACGAGGGCAGGAGATCGAGACCATCCTGGCTAACACGGTGAAACCCCGTCTCTACTAAAAATACAAAAAATTAGCCAGGCATGGTGTGGGCACCTGTAGTCCCAGCTACTCGGGAGGCTGAGGCAGGAGAATGGCATGAACCCAGGAGGTGGAGCTTGCAGTGAGCCGAGATCGTGCCGGTGCACTCCAGCCTGGGCGACAGAGTGAGACTCTGTCTCAAAAAAAAAAAAAAAAAAAAAAAAAAAAAGATTGGAGTCCTGGGAACATAGTCCATTGGAGTGGGCACGATTCTCTAAGGACAGCTTGTCTAGTCTTTTTACATGATAGCAGGGGACTCTGAGGCTAGAGATGGAGGAGCTGTGGCTGCTTGCAGCTGGAGGATAGGTGGAAGTGGGTAGGGCATCCTCTCAGAGGACTCCTCAGGGAACAGGCTCTGGGAGGGCTCCATGGGGCTGAGACTCACACGACTGCTGGGTTGGAGCACTTGCCACTGGTGTAGAAATACTCCTTGATGTGGGCACGGGGCAGTGGGCGGGCAATGTAGGCAAAGCAGCAGGGTGTGGTGTCCGAGGAATCTGGAAGAGGAAAGGAAGGAGGGAGACCCTTTTATTCATTGCTACTGCACACTTGACATTGTGCTGGACACTTTATATGATTTATTTAGAAAGAACTGTTATCTTCCTTGACAGAAACTGAGGCTCAGAGAGGTAAAGTCACTTGGCCATGGATAAACAGTGGCAGAGTGGGGATTCCAATGCCTCATCTAATCCTTGAGCCAAGCTTGTATCCATCCCTCTACACCATAACCTTCTGCCCTGGGCTTTCAGGGCCTCCTCCTGGCTTGTCCTGGGTCCTCTGGCTTCATTCTTGCCCTTCCAGCATCCTCAATGGATTTGGAACTTGGTTTCTTTGAGACCTAGGGCAGGTTGTGGGGAGGCTTCCAAAGCTCAGGCTCCATGACTCAGCCAGGATCCTAAGAAGGGCCTGGAGATGCATATTGTATCTTGGGAGCTCTGGTTGAGCTTCAGTGAGAAGGGCTCTCAACAGAGAACTTCTTGTTGGTCAGTTAATTCAAGATGACGTTGGGAAGCATCAGTTGCCACTTCCCAGCAGAGGAGTAGTTTTTATTTTCCCAGCAAGATGGAACCAGGTTTGAATACCAGTCTCCCCATTTCCTAGCTGTGTGCCTCCATGGACAAGTTACTTAACCTCTCTGTTTTCCCATCTGTACATCAAGGACAGCTACTCAAAGAAGGGTTGTGGGTATTAAATAAGATGTACAAAAATCGGCTGGGCACGGTGGCTCACGCCTGTAATCCCAGCACTTTGGGAGGCCGAGGCGGGCGGATCACGAGGTCAAGAGATCGAGACCATCCTGGCTAACATGGTGAAACCCCGTCTCTACTAAAAAATACAAAACATTAGCAGGGTGTGGTGGCGGGTGCCTGTAGTCCCCGCTACTCCGGAGGCTGAGGCAGGAGAATGGCATGAACCCGGGAGACGGAGCTTGCAGTAAGCCGAGATCGTGCCGCTGCACTCCAGCCTGGGCGACAGAGCGAAGACTCCATCTCAAAAAAAAAAAAAAAAAAAAAAAAGATGTGCCAAAATCAGCACAATGCCTGATCCATAGTAACCATTTAATTAGCTTTTATTATCCTCTCCTTGTTTTTATTTGTTTTTTAAATGTATTCACTCTAATAAAGCCACATACCCTCTCATAAGCCAATTTTTTTTACATTTATGAAATGAGAGAGAATATGGCTGTCTCAGGGTCTCAGGAAGTTTTAGTTTAGTTAAATTTCTTAGAAACCCTGCTGCTGACAGGCATGAGTCAGACGTGTTTCAAAGTCAGTGTGAGCTACTCATGACTACTAATCTCCCCAACATGAGTCCACACTCAGTGAACACCTGTAGGCCTTGAGGGTGTAGACCTTAAAGACAGAAAAACTGATCAGGAGATCCCTGCCATGAAGCAGCATAGAGATCTCTCAAGGACAACAGGACATATGGGTAAGACAATTCATAAGAATGTAAATAATGGGGTTCAGACAGTATTCATGCTACAGTTGAAAAGAGGGCAAGGTGTGGGACAGTCATTGGGATGGGGTAGGCATTCTAGGCAGAGTCTGACTCCAGGGGCTGTGGTGGTCAAGACCAGGACTTACATGGGGAGGCAGATGCAGGAGCGCAGAGGGCAGTAGCAATGAGGATGACAGCGAGGGCTGCCGCGGAGACCTTCATGGTACCTGTGGGAGAGGCTGTGCGAGGTCCACGTGCTGTCTTGATCCTCTGCAGGAATCCTCTGCAGCTCAGGCTGGCCCTTTATAGGGCCAGTTGAGGGGCATCCCCTAAGGGGAGTTTCCAAAATAGCAACCAAGCATTGGCCGGTATCATAAGTGAAATTGCACAAAACGGAAAAGAAAACTGAAATAGCCTCCGGAAATTCGAGTCTCTGTCTCTCCCTCACTGCTCTCTCATCTAGAGTGAGCTCATCAGTTTCCTCTTTGACCAAGCACCAATGGTGGAAAAATTTCTCTGCTGACATCCTTAGTTTTACCTTCCAGGGAAGGGGTCCTCCTCAGAGAGCAGGAAGCCGCTTTCTTGGGGACAACAAGGAGTGGCAGTTAGGACAGGATCAGAAGTCACTGAGTCTTTATTACTCACTGAGTCACTGAGTCTTCAAAGTTCCTGCTTATTCATTACAGATCTTACCTCCTTTCCCTCATCCATGGAAGGATGTTATTTATAAAGTGTTTTATTGAGGAGGGTCCTCTGGATATACAGTCCCCAAAGGAGGTGAGCACACTCACACTGTAAATTGAGGCAGTTGATCTGAGCTGGGCATTGGGAACCTTTTCACAAGATATGAGTTGGAATGAGTCCTCTTGTGGGAATTTCTTGCTTTCATCCTGGTCATAGGGTCTCTCCCATTTACTTGCTAAGCGACCTTTGGGAAAAGTGCTTAATGTCTTTGAGTTCTATTTCCTTGTTTATAAAGTGGAATAATTGATTAGAGACTTGTTGAGAAGCAGAGGGAGAGAAAGATATCTTACAGCATACTCTATCATTATTGGCTACCATTTACCGAGGGCTTATCTGTGCCAGCCACTATTCCACTGTCCTAGCGCGTGTCAACTCATTTACTATTATTATCCCCATTTTATGAATGAGGAAACTCAATAAATACTGGGATCCCATCTCACTGTAAGGCCTTCTTGGGCACAAAAGTTACAGAATATGAAAGCTTCAAAGGACTTTAGGGATCATTTTTTCCATGTTCTTCAGTTGCACAAGAGGAAACCAAGGCCCAGTGAGCAGGAGTGACTTGCTAAGAACACACAGCAAATGAATGACAGAGTTGGGATCAGAACCCAGTTGCCCTCACTCCCACTTCAGTGCTCTGTCCATTAAGTACTGCCCAACATTAAAGGGTTCGTGGTTAGGAGTATCCTCAAAACTGAACCCATGTGGAACTTCTGGATTAGAGCTAGGGTCCTTACTGCATTCCAAAGAACTGGATACAGTAAGTCTTCATCAATTCCTATTTTAGTAGTTCAGAATTAGCAACAATTTGGTCCGGGCTAGGCTGAAATTGGCATCTGAATAATAATAATAATATTATTATTATTATTATTATTATTGAGACAGTCTTGCTGTGTCGCCCAGGTTGGACTGCAGTGGCACAATCTCGGCTCATTGCAAGCTGTGCCTCCCAGGTTCACGCCATTCTCCTGCCTCAGCCTCCCAAGTAGCTGGGACTACAGGAGCTGGCCAGAATGCCTGGCTAATTTTTTTGTATTTTTAGTAGAAATGGAGTTTCACCATGTTAGCCAGGATGGTCTCTATCTCCTGCCCTCGTGATCCGCCCGCCTTGGCTTCCCAAAATGCTGGGATTACAGGCCGTACCCGGCCGGCATCTGAATTATTTAAGAGAAAAGTGTTTATTGAGAGTGACAAAAGCGGCCGGGCGCGGTGGTTCACGCCTGTAATCCCAGCACTTTGGGAGGCCGAGGCGGGCGGATCATGAGGTCAGGAGATCGAGGCCATCCTGGCTAACACAGTGAAACCCCGCCTCTACTAAAAATACAAAAAATTAGCCGGGCGTGGTGGCGGGCGCCTGTAGTCCCAGCTACTCAGGAGGCTGAGGCAGGAGAATGGCGTGAACCCGGGAGGTGGAGCTTGCAGTGAGCCGAGATCGCGCCACTGCACTCCAGCCTGGGCGACAGAGCGAAACTCCGTCTCAAAAAAAAAAAAAAAAAAAAAGAGAGTGACAAAAGCAAAATAAACAAAATGTAACCCCCTACTGAGATCATTTTCTGTTAGCTACTCTCACACTTGTAACATGGTGGTTGACGGTGACTAAATCACCCAGAATGGGAAGACTTTGCCACATTTCTTCCTCACGATGACTTTGAGGCAGAGTGGTTGTTCTTCTCATTTGACCAAAGAGGAAAGTAAGCCTCAGAACAGATAATTAACATCTTCAAGATCACGCAGCTGATAAGTGGGATTTGAAGGCAGGTGTTTCTGATGACCATGCTCAAGCTCTGTCCAGTGAATCACATCAGTAAGTCAGTTAACAGTTATCAAGACCTTTCGGCCAGGCGCGGTGGCTCACACCTGTAATCCCAGGACTTTGAGAGGCCGAGGCGGGCGGATCACGAGGTCAGGAGATCGAGACCATCCTAGCTAACACGGTGAAACCCCGTCTCTACTAAAAATAGAAAAAATTAGCCGGGCGTGGTGGCGGGCGCCTGTAGTCCCAGCTACTCGAGAGGTTGAGGCAGGAGAATGGCGTGAACCCAGGAGGCGGAGCTTGCAGTGAGCTGAGATCGCGCCACTGCACTCCAGCCTGGGCGAAAGAGCAAGACTCCGTCTCAAAAAAAAAAAAAAAAAAAAAAAAGACCTTTCTAGGTTACAGGTGCCATTCCAAGCTTTTTTTTTTTTTTTTTTTTTGAGACAGAGTGTCACTTTTTTGATCAGGCTGAAGTGCAGTGGCACGATCTCGGCTCACTGTACCCTCCACCTCCCAGGTTCAAGCAATTCTTCTGCCTCCTGAGTAGCTGGGATTACAAGCGTCCGCCACCATGCCTGGCTAATTTTTGTATTTTTAGTAGAGACAGGATTTCGCCATGTTGGCCAGGCTGGTCTCGAACTCCTGACCTCAGGCGATCCGCCCACCTCGGCCTCCCAAAGTGCTGGGATTACAGATGCGAGCCACTGCGCCTGGCCTTGTTCCAAGCTCTTTACAACAATCCTCTCATACCCTCCTTACAGCTCAATCAATTAACAATGGAAACGTAATTTTGGAAAGTATGGCCATCTCATTTAAAGAAACAAATTGCAAGCACTTTAGAAACATTCATCCAACCACACAAAAATGTTCTACCAATTGTTTCCTTCACAAAGCCCCGTTAGGTCTAAGGTAAGTTACCAAACATGTGAGAGGTTCTGGAAAAGGCGGTGGGTTAAGAGCAGGGACTCGGCAGTTTCTCCTGTTTATTGTCCAGGTGGCCTCAGGTAAATTATTAATAATCTCTCTGGTCTCAGTTTCCTTACCTATAAATCAGTGATAATAATAATAATAGTTCCTCACACAACTATCGAGACAATTAAGTCCCTATAAATGTTCTCATGCTTGCAAAGCTCTTAGTGCAACGTCTGACGCATGTTAAGTACTTAATAACATTGCCTATTATTATCATGTTATCATTAAGAGTAAGATGTCAGTGCCTTTAAGGATATTCTGTAATTTATGCTTTTCAACAGTCTAAACTAAACCCCCAGTCAATATGTATTCGTATTTGTTACAAAAAAATATTTATTTATTACAAAAAGCCTTTTTTTTTTTTTTTTTAAGACGGAGTCTCTCACTTTCGCCCAGGCTGGAGTGCAGTGGCACAATCTCGGCTCACTGCAAGCTCTGCCTCCCGGGTTCACGCCATTCTCCTGCCTCAGCCGCCCGCGTAGCTGGAACTACAGGCGCCCACCACCTCGCCCAGCTAGATTTTTCTGTTTTTAGTAGAGACAGGGTTTCACCATGTTAGCCAGGATGTTCTCAATCTCCTGACCTCGTAATCTGCCCGCCTTGGCCTCCCAAAGTGCTGGGATTACAGGCGTGAGCCACCGCGCCCGGCCACAAAAAGTCTTTTTTAAAACAGATGGGTAGTTGAGGCTTAGAGTGGTTAAGTGACTTATAGTCTGGGTTCATGGGCTTTCTACCACACTTCATTGTTTCTAGAGAAAATCATAAAACTATTACCAAGGCTCAGTTTTCTTCTGTGAGCTCAATTTCTGTTTTCTTTCCTTGATTTCAGTTTCCCTCTTTAAGGAAGAAAGGAAAGTGTTTTCCTGGATACTAGATATGCTGAGTTGGGACAGGAGCTAAGGATAGAGGTGAGGAAACCCGCAGACAACAGCGACATGCTCCTCATCTTTGAGTCCCAGCGAACCTTTCCACTGTGTGTGTGTGTACGTATATCTGTGTATAAGTGGTGGTGGGACAGAGGTTGGGTGGGTAGGATGGTGGGATGTTGGGATTGCTGAGTGGGAATAGGCAGTGGGAATGTCAAAAGTATTTTTGTTGTTGTTGTTTGAAACAGGATCTCACTCTGTTCCCCAGGCTGGAATGCAGTTAACTGATCACCTGCAGGCTTGAACTCCAGGGTTCAAGCGATCCTCCTACTTCAGCCTCCTGAGCAGCTAAGGACTACAGGTGTGCACCACCATGCTGGGCTAATTTTTTTTTTTTTTTTTTTGAGATGGAGTCTGGCTCTGTCACCCAGGCTGGAGTGCAGTGGCGCGATCTCGGCTCACTGCAAGCTTCGCCTCCCGGGTTCACGCCATTCTCCTGTCTCAGCTTCCCAAATAGCTGGGACTACAGTCTCCCACCACCATGCCCGGCTAATTTTTTGTATTTGTAGTAGAGATGGGGTTTCACTGTGTTAGCCAGGATGGTCTCGATCTCCTGACCTCATGATCTGCCCACCTCGGCCTCCCAAAGTGCTGGGATTACAGGCGTGAGCCACTGCACCATGCTGGGCTAATTTTTAAATTTGTCGTATAGATGGGATCTTGCTATGTTGCCCAGGCTGGTCTCGAACTCCTGGCTTCAAGCAATCCTCCCACCTTGGCCTCCCAAAGTGCTGGGGTTGTAGGCATGAACCGCCACACCCAGCCATGGGAGTATTTTTCTTCCCTTTCAGTGATTCTAATGGATTGTGAGGAGCACAGGAGGGAGGAGAATCTAATTTTTATTTCATGTCTACCATTCATTTTCTCCTGTGCAAAATCAAGGTTTGGGCTTGATGGGCTATCTTCAATTTTTTCTCTGGTGCTAATGAACTGATTCCATAAGCAAATTAGAGAGCCCATGTAAACAGTATGGTGCCTGGTACAGGGTGGGTGTTCAATGAATGGCAACTATCATTATTATTCACCCAGCACATTATGTTCCTGAAAACCAGGAACTGCTTCCTGTCTGACCCACTGCAGTGGTGGAGAGGATCAAGGGAAATAATGATCATGGATGTGCTTAGGAGACGTAAGGTGAGATACACCATCATGGAGCTGTCTCTGCTCTCCCTGTCCCTTCAGTGTGCATGGTCCATACCACTCAGTCATTCCTTACCCACTCTACAGATTTTACTAAGAATTGCTGTGAGCTGGGCACCCTTCTACGCTCTGCAGACACCATGGCTAGTAAGACAGGCAAAGACCTGCCATCTGGAGCTTGTTTGGATATAGGGTAGGGGGACGGGGAGAAGGGAGATAAACAATAAACAAGTAAATTTACACTCTTTTATTGTGAATCATCCTTTCACTGGTCTTGTCTTAACTCCATGAACACAGCGACAGTGTCCTATGTGTTTTCTATTTATTTGTATTCTCTGCCTACTTTCCAATAAATGTCTTAGATAAGCTGCTATATCAATGCAGATTAAGTCATACTAACTTCTTGTAGCATCTTAATTAAATGGGCTCTCTGGAGTCAGACTTCTAGGTTCAAAATCCAGCTTCATGACTTATTATTTATTTATTTTTAATAAAAACTATTTTTAATAAACATCATATTTACAACATGACGTTTTGATATACATATACATAGTGAAATGATTATTCCAGTTAAACAAATTAATATATCCATCTCCTCATACAGTTACCGCTATTTTTGTGTATGTGGTGAGAGCACTTGAAATCTCTTCTCTTAGAAAATTTCCAGTATTCGGCTGGGCGCGGTGGCTCACGCCTGTAATCCCAGCACTTTGGGAGGCTGAGGCGGGTGGATCACCTGAGGTCAGGAGTTCGAGACCAGCCTGGCCAACGTGGTGAAACCCGGTCTCTACAAAAAATACAAAAATTGTCCGGGCATGGTTAGTGGCACACGCCTGTAATCCCAGCTACTCGGGAGGCTGAGGCAGAATTGCTTGAGCCAGGGAGACGGAGGTTGCAGTGAGCCGAGACTGTGCCACTGTACTCCAGCCTGGCCAACAGAGAAAGACTCAGTCTCCAAAAAAAAAAAAAAAAGAAAATTTCCGGTATCCAATACAATATTATTAACTCTACAGTAGCCCTCCCTTATCTGTATTTTGGTTATTCTGGTTTTGCTTACTGAGGTTTCAGTTACTCTTGGTCAACCATGGTCAGAAAATATTAAATGGAAAATTCCAGACATAAACATTTACATAACTTTTATTACAGTATATTGTTATAATTGTTCTATTTTGTTATTATTGTTGTTAATCTCTTACTGAGCCTAATTTATAAACTAAAGTTTATCATAGGTAGTATAGGAAAAAACACATAATAAAATAGTATATAACAGGTACTATCCATGGTTTCAGGCATCCACTGGGGGTCTTGGGACATCCACCACAGATAAATGGGAACTGCTGTAGTCCTCATGCTACACATTCGATTCTACATAACTGCAACTTTTTGCCCTTTGACCAGAATCTCCCAATTTCTCTTACAGCCCTGCCACTGGTAGCCAAAGTTCTATTCTTTGCCTCCATGTATTTGACTTTTTTAGATTCCACATGTAAGATCATGTAGTATTTTCCTTTCTATGTCTGCCTTGCTGTGATTAATGATGACTTTCAACAAGTTGCTTACTTTCTCTGGGCCTAAATTTCTTTGTCTGTAAAGTAAGATATTGGACCTAACCTGTCTGGGGCAATTGAGCCATTAAAGAATCTGATGAGGGCTGGGCACTGTGGCTTACGCCTGTAATCCCAGCACTTTGGGAGTTGGAGGTGGGTGGATTGCTTGAGCTCAGGAGTTGAAGAGCAGCCTGGACAACATGGCGAACCCCATCTCTACTAAAAATACAAAAATTAGCTGGGCATGGTGGCATGCCTGTAGTCCCAGCTACTCAGTGGGGAGGCAGGAGGATCGCTTGAGCCCAGGAGGCAAAGGTTGCAGTGAGCCAAGATTGAGCCACTGCACTCTAGCCTGGGTGACAGAGTGAGACCCTGTCTCAAAAAAAAAAAAAAGAAAAGAAAAGAAAAAAGGGCCGGGCGCGGTGGCTCATGCCTGTAATCCCAGCACTTTGGGAAGCCAAAGCGGGCGGATCACCCGAGGTCAGGAGTTCGATACCAGTCTGGCCAATGTGGTGAAACCCTGTCTCTACTAAAAATGCAAAAATTAGCTGGGCGTGGTGGCGGGTGGCTGTAATCCCAGCTACTCGGGAGGCTGAGGTAGGATAATTTCTGGAACCCAGGAGACGGAGGTTGCAGTGAGCCGAGATCATGCCACTGCACTCCAGCCTGGGCGACAGAGCAAGACTCTGTCTCAAAAAAAAAAAAAAAAAAAAAAAGCCAGTGCTGTGGCTCACACCTGTAATCCCAGCACTTTGGAAAGCCGAGGCAGGAGGATCACTTGAGGTCACGAGTTTGAGACCAGCCTGGCCAACATGGTGAAACCCCGTCTCTACTCAAAGTACAAAAATTTAGCCAGGCGTGGTGGCACATGCCTGTAGTCCCAGCTACTTGGGAGGCCGAGGCAGGCGAATGGCTTGATCCTGGGAGGTGGAGGTTGCGGTGAGCAGAGGTCACGCCATTGCACTCCAGCCTGGGCCACAGAGCGACACTCTGTCTCAAGAAAAAAAAAAAAAAAGCCTGATGAGGATGTGAGGGTGATCTGGCTGCAACATCTGTCACCCTATTGATCACCAGGGTTGGTTCTGTTACCGACCATAGTTTCTTGCGTTCTCCATGCAATAGAAATTGACATGAGGCCGAAAGACTTTTCCCAGACAAGACTTCATTGGAGCTTTTGCCTGGACATAAGGGAGGCAGCACAAGAGAGAATTCCCTGACTGACTCTGTGCAAAGAGCCGGTAGGGCTTTTTAATTAGGCAAAGCATGAGAATTGACATCAGGGGTGGGGTATGCAGGCTGGGCTGGGCAAAGCATGTGAGGGGTAGGGTATGCAGGTTAGCACTATTTGGTTGTAATGGTTACCTTGAGTAATGGGCTACCTGGTGGTCTAGCTGGGGCAACAAGTCTGTAAATCAGTTGTTCAGCATTCCTTCCTGAGGTGGAATACTCCACAACCTTGGTTTGATACTTGGATTTCCTAAGGCCAGTTCCTGGAATTTGTTAAGTAAAAGACATGGTTGAACATGGTGTCAGTGAGATGGTGGTGTGGGGTTTGTGATCAGTGGGAATTCATGAAAGAAAGTTCAGTGCTGGTGAGCTGCAGCCAAGCCCCACTCCCAGTCTGTCTCAATTTGGCTGATCTAGCTGGCTAGGCCTGTGTCCCCTTCTCTCTTTACCGTTCCATGTGCGTCCCTCCTAAAGCTGCGCACTTGGTTTAACCACCCAACGGGTTCTTCTTGCCCGCTGCCCAGATACAGCAAGTTTATCAAGACACAGGAATTGCAATAGACAAAGAGTTTGATACAAGTAGAGCCAGCTAAACAGGAGACAGGGGTTTTATTATTACTCAAATCAGCCTCCCTGAAAATTTGGAGGCTAGGGTTTTTTAAAGGTAGTTTGGCGGGCAGGGGGCTCGGGAAGCGGGAATGCTGATTGGTTGGGTCGGGGATGAAATCATAAGGAGTTGAAGCTATCCTCTTGCACTGAGTTGGTTCCTGGGTGGGGGCCAGAAGACCAGATGAGCCAGTTTACTGGTCTGGGTGGTGCCAGCTGATCCATCAGAAGGCAGGGTCTGAAAAATACCTCAAACACCCATGTTAGGTTTTACAATAATAATATTATCTACAGGAGCAATTGGGGAGGTTCATGATCTCGAGGCCTTTGGCTGCATGACTCCTGAGCCGTCATTTCTAATCTTGTGGCCAATGTGTTAGTTTTACAAAGGCTTTCTGGTCCCCAGGCAAGGAGTGGGTTGGTCTCAGGGAGGGGCTGTTATCATCTTTGTTTCAAAGTTAAACTATAAACTAAATCCTCCCAAAGTTAGTGCTCCCTATGCCCAGGAATGAACAAGGGCAGCTGGGAGGTTAGAAGCAAGATGGAGTCAATTAGGTCAGATTTCTTTCACTGTCATAATTTTCTCACTGCTATAATTTTTGCAAAGGTAGTTTCAGAAGAGGACAACCTTCCCCAATAGAGGAGGACTGTTCTTTGGTCAAGGGTATACGAGTAGCTGCGCTCCCCTGCTAGAACCTCCAAACAAGCTCTCAAGGTCCATTTGTAGGAGAATGTAGGGTAGTCAAACTTCCAAGACTCCAGACACATCCAAATGAGGTGTTGCATGCGGCAGTGTGCCTTTCTTAAAAAAAAAAAAATAATAATCTCATGAAAGCTGTGAACACTTCCACCAATCTGTAGAGACCTACACAGACAGACACATGTAATTTTGCATGTAAGGAGTTCATAGACCCTGCAGGCTCACTGATGGGCCTCTTGATCCACAGGGCTTGTTCCTATCAGCTTTCACGCCTCTGGCACCCCTTTTCCTAGCATAATCCTCTAAAGCCAGGCCCATATCCCCTCCAGCCTAGTGTAGCCCCTCTCCTCCCCTCCCTTCCTGGCACAGTCTTTTTTTTTTTTTTTCCCCATCATTCACTCTTTTCCAAAGCTAAGCTGGCTGCTAGCCAAGGCTCACATTGTGATGTTAGGAAACCAAATGCAGGCAGAGAAAATGAAACCTTACTCCATCTGGATTCCAAAGCTTTTATCTGACATGGAGTTCCCCTCCTGACTTCAGACTGTGGGCAGCAGCTCTGGCTGTTCCAGTGCTCTTAAAAACATGCCCAAAGCAGGGACATTCCCCCCATCCTCTAGAAATCTGGGATCCCAAGAGAAGCCTGAGGCAAAGTCATTTCCTCCTGATGAAACTTAATTTTCCCCATCTGCAAATTGGAGGTTACTTCCTGGTTGTTTCTCTCCTTCTTTGCCCCTGTTCACAAGTCTAAATATTCCCCACCTGAGACTGGAAGCTATCTCACTCTTTGTTTCTGAAGGACCCTGCATGGGGTAGGTGCTTCATTGGTGCTGGTTGGAGGATCTGCCAGAGGCAATAGGGTGCAAGCCAAGACCTTGTAGCAGGCTCAGGGGACTTCCCAGGAGGAGGCAGAATTTGAACCCAAGACTCTACAACATCCTGGCCTCGATTTTTGGTCCAGCTCTGGTTGGTTCTTTCTGTGTTATTCTGTTCTGCTCCTCAATTCCTCTCCCCTCCCCTCCCCCTCCTCTCCCCACCCCTTCCCCCACCCCCTCCCCCTCCCCTCTTCTGTCACCTTGCACTGTGCACTTTAATGCACATTGCACTATGTCAAGGTACTAACTTTGACAACTGCTCTCATAATTCCAACCACATTCAGGCTGAGGGTTGCAGCTTGGCTCCCCCTCACTCTTCTCACCTTCACCACACAGGACATTGGCTGTGCACAGCCACTTGTTTATTGCAGCTGGAGACCACATGCGGTGTGTTTGTTGATCAGAGCAGCGCTCACCTGCCTCTGGTTACTGGAGGAGCCTGTCACAAGATATCTTGGGGGTGGGGTGACCACGGGAACAAGGCCCGTGGAGAAGCATCAGTTCTTCCAAAATGGCTGGGTGCCAGATGACTTCAGACTGTCCTTCTCCTGATACCTTGGGGTCTGTTTTTGTTGTTGTTGTTGTTTTCCTCTGCATGTTGGTGGCTGGTGGCTTCCCCTCTATTGGTGTATACCCCCTCATGAAGTACTCTTCAAGAACTCTTATTGCTGGAGCACTGCTGTCCCCTGCACACCCCACCCCTGCCCTTGGCCCCACTGCCTCCAGGCCCCAGGAGAAAGCCTGGTAAAGCAGGACAAACTTGGGGTTGAAATCAGATAGCGCATACTTTCTGTATGTCGTTTTTTGTTTGATTTTTCTTTAGAGATGTTGCCCAGGTGGGAATGCAGTAGCTGATCATTGCTTACTGTAACCTCAAACTCTTGTGCTCAAGCAATCCTCCCGCCTTGGCCTGCTGTGTAGCTGGGACTACAGGTGCATGCCACCATGCCTAGCTATTTTTTTAAAAAAATGTTTTCTATTGAATGTGGCTTTTGTGGCAGAATTTTTTTTTTTTCCCTAAAGAGGGGATCTCACTATGTTGCCTAGGCTGGTCTCAAACTCCTAGCTTCACGTGATCCTCTCACTTTGGCCTCCCAAAGTGCTGGGATTACAGGTGTGAGCCACCACATCCAACCCTTTCTGTATGACTTTTTTTTTTTTTTTTTAGATGGAGTCTCACTCTGTTGCCCAGGCTGGAGTGCAGTGGCACGATCTTGGCTTACTGCAACTTCCGCCTCCCAGATTCAAGTGATTTCTGGCTAATTTTTGTATTTTTAGTCGAGACAGCATTTCGCCTTGTTGGCCAGGCTGGTCTTGAACTCCTGACCTCAAGTGATCTGCCCGCCTTGGCCTCCCAAAGTGCTAGGATTACAGGCGTGAGCCACCATGCCTGGCACTTTTCCATATGTCTTTGAACAAATTATTAACTCTTTTTCACCTTGGTTTGCTTTCTGGAAATGGGGCTGAGAATACCTAACTCCTAGGATACGTCAAAGGATTAAATGAGGCAATCAGTAAATTGCCCAACACCATTTCTGGCACAAAGTAGATACTTGGAAAACAATTCCTTCCCTTTCTTTCCCCAAATGTCAAGGTGCCAGCATTTCTTCCCTCAATGGCTTCCCCTCCCAGTAGAGATGTTCATCTCACCGAGAGTTAGAAGGCATGGCGGTGGGGGAGGGGAAGTTGGGGATTTTCTGTGAGCTGTCAGGCACCGTGCTAGACACTACACATTATTTCACTTATTAGGAAGAAACACACAGAAAATGGTGATGACTCAGACCTGCCCTGAGCTCTCCTGCCCTCAATGCAGTGGGCTACAGACACTCAGCCCCATGCTCTGTCCTTCACTGGATTTCTGTCTCTCAGAGCCTGGCCACGGAGGGGGATGTGATCCTTCTCCCTTCTGGCTGTCCTTGCAGGCTAGCCCACATACCCCTTTTCAAAGAGTTTCACAGAGAGGCTTAGGAAGGAAGCCTTAGAAAGGAAGTGACAAAGTTTCAGAATCTTACAGGATTCTGTAGTTGTAGTCTGGATCTGCTCTTTTTTAGCTTGTCCTGGGAAGCCCCTTGGCTTCTTGCCTATTACTTCCATTCTCAGGGACGGGGGTCCCAGTCCCCTGCTTCCCCACTATGCTGCTTGCCCTGCTTTCTAGTGTTCAGGTTAGAATATTAGGGCCCTTAGAACCTTCCTAGGCATTCATTGCATTTTTGAGGCTCTCCAGCTTGCATGAAAAAGTCCCCTTGGGGAATTTCCTCAAATTAGGGTTTGGAAATTCTGCACCGTAGTCATTCCTTCTAGTGTCAGCTTTGGGTGGTGAAAAGAGCAAGGAATGGGAATTAAGAGACCTAAGCTCTAGTCCCATTGTAGCTCCAAACCCACTTGTTACATTTTGGCAAACCACTTGCCCTTTGTAGGCCTAAGTTTCCTCATCTGTGAAATGAGGGTCTGACAATGTTATTTATTTCCCTCTTAGTTAAAAGATACAAAAGTAAAGGATTTCTAGTATACTAGAGTGAGATTTGGGGGTAAGTTTCCTGTTTGCTCCTAAAATCAGTTCACATTACTTCTCCTATGGGTAAGGCTGAGGGAGTAACATACCTTCTTTCCCTCGTATCCATCAAAGGCCTAGGACTCACTTTACCATTTAGCTCATGAACTTCTGTGAGCAGCACTGTCCTCCTCCGCTTACCCACTCATTCCTACCTTTTCACACATCCCTTCACTCCATCCTGTCCAGCACGCGTCTATTCATTCATCTATTCCTTCATATCTGCATCTTGTGTCTGTTAAAATTCTTTGTATTCATGGCCAGGCACAGTGGCTCATGCCTGTTATCCCAGGACTTTTGGAGGCTGAGGTGAGAGGATCGCTTCAGAAGTTCAAAACCAGCCTGGGCAACATAGGGAGACCCTGTCTCTACAAAAAATTTAAAAATTAACTGGGTATGGTGGCACACACCTGTGGTCCCAGCTACTTGGGAGGCTGAGGTAGAAGGATCACTTGGACCTGGGAGATTGAAGCTGCAGTGAGCCATGATCACACCACTGCACCCCAGCCTGGATGACAGAGTGAGACCCTGTCTCAGGAAAAACAAAAAAACAAAAAAACAAAAAAACACACACACACATTATTTGTTCATAAGTGGAGAAAACTTTTGTGGACTGGGAGTGTGGAAAAAACAGTCAACATGCATTTTTCCTGTTCTCTTACACCATAATAATACAGAAGACTTCTGTGACAAAATATGTAGGGGTTTCTTCCCACACACCAAGTAAGCAATTAGTTCTGCAGTGGACACAGCCGGGTGTCCACCAGTTAATTCAACTGTGACACCATCTACCTGGAAATAGCCTCAGAAACCACAGGTTGAGGAATCAGTTCCACAGAACTGCTCCCTCCTTCCCACCAGTCACGAGTCTGGGCTTCCAGAATGTCTGACCAGCTGGCTTCAAGTTGGGGTTACCATGACCCACCCTCTTCGGGGTTGATTAATTTGCTGGAGGAGCTCACGGAACTCATGGAAGCACTTACTTACATTTAAAAAGGATGCAAATAAATAGCCAGATGGAAAGATAACACAAGGCAAGATCTGGAGGAGCTTCCGTTCCTGTGGAGTTGGGGTGCACCACTCGCCCAGCGCGTGGATGAGTTCTCCTTCACTGTCCTGTCAGCCTCCATGCGTTCAGCTATCCGGAAGCTCTCTGAACCTTGTCTTCTTGGGCCTTTTATACACTCGTTGGATAAGCATGACTAAAGCATGGACAACCATGTCAAAATGTGATTGGGCAAAAAGGGTATGATTTAATACTAACAGACCGAGGGTGGAATCCATCAGGGCCTGTCTGCTCAGATTCTTTTCGGCCTTTCTGTGCAGCATTCCTTCCCTCCAGGGTATGGGGCAGGGCCCTCTCTGGAATGAGGGTCTTATGACCCACAATTAGATTAGAACCCTGCCTTGGGCAGGTGAAAGGAGGGCAGGAGAGGTCAGAGAGAGAGAAATTCTGCTTCCTGAGGCCTGTTTCTAAGGCCTAAAGTGTCCCAACATTATAACAGATGACTGTAAAAGGGCTATGGGAGTTATAGGCCAGGAACTGTGGATGAAAACTTATATACATATAATTATAGATATATATACACACACACACAATTATATCACACTAACTTAATCAGGAAAGTAATGTATTGGGGGTAATGTTGAGTAGCTCATAGAATGGGTAGGATATTGGAGAACTTGGCTTGGAAAAATGACAAGTGAGAAACCAGAAACACTCTGTGTTTGTGGGCAGCAGGAACTACTTGGCAGTGCCATCAGGGTGCCACTGTTTTTTTTTTTTTTTTTTTTTTTTGAGACGGAGTCTCGCTCTGTCGCCCAGGCCAGACTGCGGACTGCAGTGGCGCAATCTCGGCTCACTGCAAGCTCCGCTTCCCGGGTTCACGCCATTCTCCTGCCTCAGCCTCCCGAGTAGCTGGGACTACAGGCACCCGCCACCGCGCCCGGCTAATTTTTTGTATTTTTAGTAGAGACGGGGTTTCACCGTGTTAGCCAGGATGGTCTCGATCTCCTGACCTCAAGATCCACCCGCCTTGGCCTCCCAAAGTGCTGGGATTACAGGCGTGAGCCACCGCGCCCGGCCAACCACTGTTGATATAGATGTATTCCAGTTAATTTTCCTATCCTCGTCTCACTCTACTAAGGATTCACAGTCCTAGGAGAGGGAGTATGACCAGCTAATCTTGTGTCATTTGCTTGCTTCTTGGCTGGGAGAAGTTAGCGTCCCTGATATGTCGTACTGCTGAGACTGTATACCCTGGAAGGAAGAAGTAATTGCATAAAAAGATGTCAAGGTGATTTTGAAGGGGTAATGGATGCTAGTAGAAAAATAAAAGCAAAACAAGTAAACAAGTGAACCA
Organism: Homo sapiens; assembly: GCF_000001405.40. Lineage (NCBI taxonomy): Eukaryota > Metazoa > Chordata > Mammalia > Primates > Hominidae > Homo > Homo sapiens. The sequence continues at coordinate 35,895,485 of NC_000017.11, forward strand.
ATACTCAACTCACCAGTCACCCACCCACCCACTCATCCATCCATTCATCTGTTCACCTATTCATTCATCCTGTCATCCATATATCATCCATTCTCTCAGCCAGTCAAGCAACACAATTTTATTGAGTACCCATCGTGTTCCAGAGGCCATGCCAGGCACTTAGATACAGTAAAATGACACCACTCAGAAACATCCCAAGAGTATCCTCACAAAGGACGCAGCTATGAAGCTAAAAGATACAGAGAAAGGAATGCATATACGTCCATGTACTGGAGGGTTCAAAACAACATTGCTAGGGACATGGTGACTAATTCTGGATGTGGGCAGATAAGAGCTGATTTTTATGAACATCTCATACTGCCAGGAGATTGCTTAACATGGGGCAGAAATGGGACCAGGATTAAGCACCAGAAAACCTGGGTCGGCCTCTGGTCTCTGCTTCTCTAGAAAAGGCATATTTCCTTTTCCTTATCTGCTCAACAAGAAGAATGAATATAAGAATCCGTGTTTTGTCTAATTCAGAGAACTGTGGAGGTGAAATGAGTTAATGGATGTGAAGGCATTTTCCGATACAAAGAAAGATAATTATTTCACCACGGTGACTTCTGTTTCCTGAGTGGCTGGTAGCTCTGTGGCTAATGTGCTTTGACTTCTTTCACGCCCTCGCTGCCCGCTATCTGGTGGTAACTGTGCAGGGGTCTGTTGTGTTTCAGTTCCTTAGGCTGGTCGATGAATGTCCAGGGTCATCACTGCTACCTGCCTCAGAGAAGTGGACGCTTAAGGTCCTGTGGGCCCCAAGGAAGCTGGAAATAGTAGCTGTGTGAGTGTGTATGTGTGGGACTGGGGCTGGTTTCTTGTATGTGGGAATGAAATAACCAGGGGAAGTTCTGAACCATGTGGTAGGCTCAACTACTTTCAGCCCACAATAGGAAGGAGCTCCAACTTGTAGCCAAGCCAACACAGGAGACCACAGCTTGAGGTCAGAGGGTGAAGCATATACTGTCTAGAGGAATTAGCCCTGAACCTACAGCGTTCCAGGCCACAACCCTGAGTGAGGCAAGTCGGCTCTCTGAGCCCCAGTTTTCTCATGTGTGAAACGGGTGGCTTGCCTGTAGGAAACAGGCTGTTGGTGGTGCTGGCTCATCTTCTTCACTGGTCCTAGGATGAATTTCTGGGCCAGGCATGGGCCTGCCTGTTTACTTCTCAGCTAGTCTCTTCCGGCTTTTTCCTCATCTAAAAAGCACTCCCGGCAGGGCACAGTGGCTCACCCCTGTAATCCCAGCACTTTGGGAGGTCAAGGCAGGCGGATCACTTGAGGCCAGGAGTTCCAGACCAGCCTGGCCAACATGGCGAAATCCCGTCTCTACTAAAAATACAAAAAATTAGCTGCGCATGGTGGCGCGTGCCTGTAATCCCAACTACTTGGGAGGTTGAGGCAGGAGAATCACTTGAACCCAGGAAGCGGAGGTTGCAGTGAGCCAAGATGGTGCCACTGCACTTCAGCCTGGGCAACAGAGCAAGACTCCACCTCAAAAAAAAAAAGCACTCCCTTGACTGCCTTTTATTATTATCACTATTATTTTATATTATTATTATTATTACTATTTTGAGACAGAATTTCACTCTTGTTTCCCAGTCTGGAGTGCAATGACTCGATCTCGGCTCACTGCAGCCTCCGCCTCCTGGGTTCAAGCGATTCTCCTGCCTCAGCCTCCCAACTAGCTGGGATTACAGGCATGTGCCACCACACCCGGCTAATTTTTTCTATTTTTAGTAGAGACAGGGTTTCACCATGTTGGCCAGGCTGGTCTTGAACTCTTGACCTGAGGTGATTTGCCCACCTCTGCCTCCCAAAGTGTTGAGAGTACAGGCATGAGCTACTGCGCCCGGCTGTGCCTTTTATTATTGATGGGCTATACATTGCTACATCCTCTATAAAGTTTGAAAAAATTTAAAAGTACATACTGTATTTAATAAGCACTAGTATTCCTACTTCTAGGAATTTATCTTACAGATGTAGTCACATATGTACAACTTGATCTATACAAAATATTCATGGTTTGTAATAGTGAAGATTGAAGTTTATCAATAAAGGACTAATGAAATAATTCTGGCACTTCCATATAACAGAATGCCAGGCTGCTACTAAAAAAAATGAGGAGGCCGGGCATGGTGGCTCACGCCTGTAATCCCAGCACTTTGGGAGGCCGAGGTGGGCAGATCACGAGGTCAAGAGATCCATCCTGGCCAACATGGTGAAACCCTGTCTCTACTAAAAATACAAAAATTAGTTGGGTGTGGTGGCGCGTGCCTGTAATCCCAGCTACTCAGGAGGCTGAGGCAGGAGAATCGCTTGAACCCAGGAGGTGGAGGTTGCAGTGAGGCGATATCGCGCCACTGCACTCCATGCACTCCAGCCTGGGTGACAGAGTGAGACTCAGTCTCAAAAAAAAAAAAAAAAGGGCAGTCTTCATACTTGCAGAAATGAATAATCCCTAAGACACACTAGATGAAAGAAACAAGGAGGATAGAATGGCTTACATAGTATGCTACAATGTATGTGTGTTTAAAAAGAAGAGAGAGACTCATCTATGTTTGTAAATGCTTTTGGAGGCTGCATAAGAAATTGGCAACAATTCCCTTCCTGTTAGGAAGGGTAATGGGAGAGAGGCCTGGAGGACAGCGGTAGGAGGGAGACCTTCTTTTCCTTGTATACCACTTTGTATCTTTAGAATTTTGTATCATGTGCATATTTGATCTATTTCTAATAAGTCATGTGGTAGGGGGTTACCCAGGTATTGGAGGGAGAATTCCCATGGAGCTTCAGCCCGTCTTAGAGCTTCTTTTACCCCCTCAGGCCAGTAAGAGATTCAGGCTCTCTCAGCAGAGGTTGAGGTGCATGATTCACCCAGTGGCTCATTCCTGCCCCAGCCCCCTCACCCAACCCCTCACCCCACCCTTTACCACATCAGGGAAGTGGGCTTTTAGAATCATATTTTGACACCAAAAACAACCATACGTGCCCTCCCCCAAAAGAAGAAGAGTGATATTTCATCATCTCCGGGGAAGGAGTGGTAGACATTATCTCCTCTGATGGAGGGTATTTCATAGTGGAAACAGGATAGTCTTTGGAGTTGTACAAACTTTGGTTCAAATTCCAGCCTCTGCTGCTTATGCTGTAAAAGCTCAAGAAATTGCTGTGCTCTTGCTGGACTGTTTCCTCATCTATAAAATGAACTGACTTTCTACTGAGCCCACGTGACTGGTAAGGACCAGATAAGGTCATTGCATATGATGCCTGGCACATACTAGGTGCTCAGTAAATGGAAGTAGTTGTGCTCACAGTCACTGAGATCAGCTCAGCCTACTGGAGCCCTTTATCACAAAGGAAGGAGGAAACAGTAGTGGTTGGAATTGGACTCAGTTCAGCAAACACTGATGCCCTCTCTGGGCTTGGCCCCTTGCCCAGTAGAGGTAGAAAGGCACAGTGCCTCCTTGCCAGGGATGCACGTTGATCAGAACAGTCCGGGAGAGCCTCAAGTTTGCAGCTGCCTCTCTATAGTTCTGAGGTCTAGAGACAGTGTGGTCAGCCCAAAGGGGGCTGTTTCCAGGGCAGACTCAGCATTGGTGTTTGCAGTGGGGACTCTCTTGTCAGGGAACAGGCTGAGTTGGGAGTGAGAATCCTGGAGGTTGCTTCGTGAAGATGGTGTGTTGGACCAGTAGGGACCTCAGGAACAAGCTTCCCCAGCGTCGAGGGCTCCTGTCTCCTGGCTTGTCCCCTCCGCAGAGGCCCCTGCAGTACAATGGCCTTTCCTGCCACTTGGGAATTGATTTTGAAGATGGGGTTTGCCTGTCAGCTGCAGACACATATCTCTTTTCTCCCCTGATGGGCAGTGGCGGAGAGCATGGGCATTTAGAGGAAGCAGACCTGGGTCTGGGTTCTTGCTTGGCTGTTGATTCACTCAGTGGCCACGTTCCCTAACTTTGCTAAGCCTCAGTTTCTTTGTGAAATGGGTATAATAATATTACCTACTGCTTCATGTGAGGATTCAAAAAAATACCCCATTACAAAAATGTTTGTAGGCATTACACAACTATTTTAGCAAAGCTGCCTAACATTGAGCTGGCTGATCTAAAATGAGGGCAAAATTATTCTTAGGGAGGGAATTACTCTTAGGATTAGGGGGGAAAATACCTTAATGGGCATGTGTGATTATAAAAAGGGAAATCCCTCCATTCCATCCCGCCCCTACCTCATATTGCCTAGAGAGGGCTAACTCTGCGTAAGAAACAGGATTGGAAGTCATTCATGGTCAGTGTGAGATGGGGTAAGGATATGTGGTGGTGAGAGAGAAGAGGGGAGATGTGCAGGGATCTAGAACACAGTGGGCCAGATCCTGGGAATAAAATCAGGCCAGGGAGAGATTAATTTATTCTGTCAGGGAATGGCCAGTGGTTTTTTAAGGCAGGGATTTTTATGGCTGGTATCCAAATTCAAGTTCTCACCTGAATTATTCTGTGCTATATTCAATACCTATCTTGTGTGCAAATCTCCAGTAAACATGTTACAACCAATAGCCTTACATCGTGGTTGTTTTGGGGGAATGAAGAAATGAGGGCCCTGACCCTCGTGGGGTGAAGCAGCATGTGAAGAAATGGAGAATTCCGTGGAAGCTGGGAATCAGAGGAAGAGGTGCCATGATGTAACAGGAGCCTTCAGTTCTTGGGGATGTAGATGGGGTGAGTCTTGACTACTTGCAGTATCTGAGATGGAGAATGGGAATGACTTTTTGGATATTCTGGTGAGGTTCCGGATGCCCACATAGCAGAGGCTGCCAAATGGGCAGTTTAAAAAGGATAGAGGACATGCTGAGGCTCAGATCAGTGAGAACTGGGTGGGGCCCAGGCAGCAAGTGGCTGTGGGTTCTGGCCTCAGCAAGAGAACAGACCACAGGGTCCGCCAGCTGTGGCACTGGAGCATCAAGAGGGTCCCGGAGCAAGGTGAGATGAGCCATATGTCAACACGTCAGCTGCAGTCAGCAGAATGAGAACCATGCCCCACCCTCTGCATGACGCCCTGCATCCTGAAGCCACCCTGGGAGGTAAGAAACAGTCCTGACAAGGAGTTTGAACTTCACATTGGCCATGAATATTTACCTGAAGTGAAACTGCTTCATTTCAGAGGAGCTCATTTTCCTTAATTACCCTTGTTCAAATGTTTCTTCCACCATTGGTGAGAGTGGGTGCTCCAGTGTGAGCTCAGTTACTGAAAAATAGCAACTCTTTTCTGCACGTCCAAGTTGTAACATGTACATTTTTGACACTGCTACATGATTAATGATGAAGAACTACCCCCAGGGTCACATAAACACACAGTCCTCCAGCCATAAAACTTCCCTCTCATGTTGCAGACACACAGGCTGCTTTCTAGCCCCATCGCTGCAGACACTCTAACCACCCGTTTGTCTCGTCAAAATCCTGTCAGTGCTTCTGAAAACAGGAGAGAAACACTGACAGCTCACACCCTCACTTTTCTGTCCTGCAGCTGCTTTTTGATGGCTCCAACCCCTTAAGAAGGCTTAATTTCCCTGCAGGGACCAGCCAGGATATGCTCAGAAAGTAGGACATGGAATTGTTTTGTTAAAAAAAAAAAAAAAGTAGAAAAAAGAAAAGAAATGGAAAACATAGAGACAGTCTGAGTCACAGTGAGGCAGGGCGTGACCTAGACACACTGGGTATCAGGGTGGCTGGATTTTCTCTTTACTGTTCCATAGAATGTGGCCTTTCCCGTTCTGAAAAGTAAAAGATAATATTAGCTAATGTGTCCCTCGAGCCTTGTTGGGAAGATTAAAGAATTGAACGGTATTTGGCACATTGTAAACTTTCTCTCTCATCGTCTATACTTTTGCTCTTTCTTTTTCTTTCTCCATCTCTTCCACTTTCTCCATCAGTGACAAGTTGAATGATAGTACCATTAAAAATCCCCGCTGTGGCCGGGTGTGGTGGCTCACGCCTGTAATCCCAGCACTTTGGGAGGCCGAGGCGGGTGGATTACCTGAGGTCAGGAGTTTGAGACCAGCCTGGCCAACATGGTGAGATCACTTCTCTACTAAAAATATAAAAGTTAGCTGGGCGTGGTGGTGGGCACCTGTAATCCCAGCTACTTGGGAGGCTGAGACAGAAGAATCGCTTGAACCTGGGAGGCGGAGGTTGCAGTGAGCTGAGATCACGCCACTGCACTCCAGCCTGGGAGACAAAGCGAGACGCCGTCTCAAAAAAAAAAAAAAAATCCCCCTATGAGGAAATAGGAACTTTCCAGTTGGGAGGTGGGGCACATGGAAATAGGAGTTGTCATAACCCCACATTTTGGGCAGCCATGCCAAAAAGCAGTGTGGACTTTCTGCCTCCTTCATCTCCTGTTCTTTACAAATCAGCTCCACCACTTACTAGCTGCCTAATTCTGGGCAGCTGGTTGACGTTTCCAAGGCTGTTTTCTTATCGGAGATATGAGGATGATGCTATACACTACACAATGTGGCTATGATTAGGAATTGGCCTAAAATATGTAACATGGTACTTGGCAGATACTCCATAAATGTGGCTGTTTAAGCTAAAATGATGAAGCTCAACGGGTCAGGCTAACAATCTAGGAGTTGACTTTTCTTTCTTTCCCACCTTTCTTAGGTTGGCTCCTCCAGAAGCCGAACCTGAGAGAGGATTTGAGTGCAAGTATTTTTTTTCTCTTTCTTGAGACAGAGTCTCACTGTTACCTAGGCTGGAGTGCAGTGGTGTGATCTCAGCTCACTGTAACCTCTGTCTCCTGGGTTCAAGCAATTCTCGTGCCTCAGCCTTCTGAGTAGCTGGGATTATAGGCATGCACAACCATGCCCGGCTAATTTTTGTATGTTTAGTAGAGACGGGATTTCACCATGTTGGCCAGGCTGGTCTCGAACTCCCAGCCTCAGGTTATCCACCTGCCTCAGCCTCCCAAAGTGCTGGGATTACAGGCGTGAGCCACTGTGCCCGGCTGAGTGAAAGTAGTTTACTGAGAGGTGATCTCAGGAAGCTCCAGAAGGGAAATGGGGAAATGAAGTATACCTTATCTTATTTTAGCCTCAGATCAACCCTCTCTGGATATTGTTATTATTCTTTATATTCTATAGATGAATTAAGTGGTGGTTTTAAACATGTCCACAATTCTATATTTGTACCATCAAGTGGTGGAAAGTAGGTCCTCTGTTCTTGGATCTTTGCAACATTCTCAATACGTGGATCAGAATGATTCTCAACGCTAGATTAGAAAATGTTGCCCAGATGCTTGCTATTCTTTTTGAAATATTGGCTCAGGAAGCCTTTGAAGTGTAGCTACCCTGAGACTGCCATGCTGGAGAGACCATGTGGAGAGAGACAGAGAGAGAGAATTAATGTCTGACTGTAACTACCTGAGAGACCCCACACCAGAACCTCCCAGCCAACCCTTTCCTGCATTCCTAATCCACAAAAATTGTAAGAGATAAGAAATGGTTATTGTTTTAAGCTTAAAGTTCTGGGGTGATTTTTCTGTACAGAAGTTGATTACTGGAACATGATCTTGATGGGGTATGGAGCATGCTACCCCAAAATGTGGCACCTTGGCCTACTGATTATTTTAAGCTGAAAGAAACTGAGAAAACTACAGAAACAGGGAGGTCACTCTCTGACCTCCTCCCACCTTTCTCCCTTGAAGCAGGCTGTAAAAGAATTCTGATCTACCTCCTCTGAAAATAGGTCATAAGATCCTCATTCCAGAGAGGTCCTCCCCAACCCTGGAGGCCAAGAAGAATCTGAGCAAACAGGCCTTGATAAGTCTTCCCCTCCCTCAGTTTATTACCATTAGAATATACCCTTTTGTCTTCTAATCATACTTCTGCATGACTGTACATAAAAGTAGTTTTTCTTTAGTATTTGGATTTTCATTTCTGAAGTCTCTTGTTTTATGTAAAACTTACCATAAATAAATTTGTATGCTTTCTCTTGTTAATCTGTCTTGTTATAGGGGCCTCAGCCATGAAACTCGCGATGGGTGAGAAAAAGATATTATATTTCCTCCCCTACAATTTGTGCCCAGATTTTTCTGACTGCAGAGATCTCCTTCAATAACTCCTTATTTATTTATTTATTTATTTATTTATTTATTTATTTATTTTTATGTTTTGTGGCAGGGCCTTGCTTGTACCCCCGGCTGGAGTACAGTGGTGCAATCACAGCTCACTGTAGCCTCAACCTCCTGGGCACGAGTGGTCTTCCCACCTCAACTTCCTGAGTAGTTGGGACTACAGGCATGCGACACCATACCCAGCTAATTTTTGTATTTTTTATAGACACAGGGTTTCGTCATGTTGCCCAGACTGGTCTTAAACTCCTGGGCTCAAGCCATCTGCCCACCTCAGCCTCCCAAAGTACTGGGATTACAGGTGTGAGCCATCACACCTGGCCAATAACTCCTTATTTCATAAAAACTAAAATGCAGACTCCTTTGTATGGCATTCAAGTGTTGACAATTTGGCCCCAGACTACTTTTCAACCCAAACCCCAGCCATCCCAGCCTGCGACTTCATTGTGAAACGATAGAGGGGACCAAAAAAGCATGAGCTTTGAAGAGAGTGTGGTATTGTAGAGGAGAAAAAGTAGTTATCTTTTCCTCACCCATTGTTTCATGGATGACACCCTTATAACAAAAGACAGATTAACAAGAATAAAGCATAACAAATTTATTTAATTTTAAAAATCAAAGTCTTGCGTGACACTGGAACCTTCAGAAATGACACAGATACCCAGGGGAAAACTGCTGTTTTTTTATGCTTAGGTTTGATGAAGAATGGGCTGTAAACCAAAAATAAAATTTGAAGCCCTTCAGCCATCTGAATGGGCACCTCCTCTCGGCCAAGGGCATTCTAAAGTTAACCTGAAAAACTAGTTCAGGTCATGATCGGAAGGGGGGAGTCAGACACGCCTTGTTACCATTCACGTCAAAAAGATCTTAAGACTGATAGAACAGACTCTTGAAGTCTGATAAGAAATATTTAAAATCTACTCTCTCTGAAGCCTGATACCTGGAGGCTTCATCTGCATGATAACAGCTTGGTCTCCACAACCCCTTATGGTAACCTAGACATTCCTTTCTAATGATTCCAGGTTTTTAGGTAATAACTCAACCAATTGCCAATCAGAAAATCTTTGAATCCACCTATCTGGCCCTCCATCAAAAAAAAAAAAAAAGTCTTCAGTTATTCAAATAGTTGTTTTCCCATATGTATTGTGCCACTTTTCTCTCCTGCTTTCAAAATTCTCTCTTTTTTTGCTTTCAGCAGTTTGACTTTGATATGCCTAAGTATAGGTTTCTCTGAATCAATCCTATATGGGGTTTGCTGACCTTGAATTTGTAAATTCAAGCCTTTCAGAAAATTTGGGAAGTTTTCTGTAATTATTTCTTTATATTTTTCCCACTTCATTCTCTTTCCTCTGCTTCTTCACTTCAAGTGTCCGTATGTCGATGAAAAGAGTTGAACTGTAAAATATTTGAAGAGATTTATTCTGAGCCAAATATGAGTGACCATGGCCCATGACACAGCCCTCAGGAAGTCCTGAGAACATGTGTCCAGGGTGGTCAGGGCGTAGCTTCGTTTTATACATTTTAGAGAGGCATGAGACATCAATCACATACATTTAAGAAATACATTGGTTTGGTCCAGAAAGGTGGAACAACTCAAAGTGGAGTTGGGGGCTTTCAGGCTATAGGTGAATTTAAACATTTTCTGATTGACAATTAAGGTTGAGTTTGTCTCAAGACCTGGGATAGATAGAAAGGGAATGTTCAGGTTACGATAAAGATTGTGGAGACCAAAGTTCTTTTGAAGTCTTATAGTGGCTGCCCTTAGAGAAATAGGTGACAAATGTTTCCTATTCAGATCTTAGTGAATCTCTTTAGGATTGGGAGGTTCTAGAAGAAAAAGATCTAGCTATGTTAATAGAGATGCTTTACAGATACAAAATTTCTCCCACAAAGAGAAGCTTTGCAGGGCCATTCAAAAATATGGCAAAATAACATGTTTTGGGGTAAAATATTTTGATTTTCTTTGTCTTGCAATGTTATGACACGGTCAGGCTGGAAAGTAAATCATGATATATAGGGTTAAATAAGACCCATCTGATGAGAATTTACGATTTGTAGGGCATGACTCCTCAGACCCCTTAGATAGGAATTCAGGCAAGATAAAAAAATTAGTCCATACTTATGCTAGATCCTTTTTTTTTTTTTGAGATGGAGTCTCCCTCTGTCGCCCAGGCTGGAGTGCAGTGGCGCGATCTCGGCTCACTGCAAGCTCTGCCTCCCGGGTTCATGCCATTCTCCTGCCTCAGCCTCCTGAGTAGCTGGGACTACAGGCGCCTGCGACAACACCTGGCTAATTTTTTGTATTTTTAGTAGAGACGGGGTTTCACCATGTTAGCCAGGATGGTCTGGATCTCCTGACCTCATGATCTGCCTGCCTTGGCCTCCCAAAGTGCTGGGATTACAGGCGTGAGCCGCCATGCCCGGCCAATATTCACATATTTAACTGTGGTATTAGGCAAAGTTGAACTACTTCTGAATACGGAAGACACATCTAGAGATGAAAATACCATCTTACAATTAAACGAACTTACAATGTCTGAGGAGAGCTGAGTTGGAGATGGAGTCATGGGCTCTTGATAGATTTGGCGGAAGTTCATCATTTCCAGGGGTATTTAGCTGCTGAATGATAATCTTTTGCTGGTCTTTCAAATGTTTAAACTGCTCAGGGGATATTAAAGGCTGAGCTGGGGCCCTGTGTTGAGTTAAAACTTCCACCTGATAGGTGAACTCTGGAGTCATGGTAACCATGTGATCCACAGGCTTAACAATGACATGGTGAAATGTTGGAGGCTGAACTTCCTCATGACTTACAGGAGAAACTATTACTCTGTGATGCTCTGGAGGTTGAGCTACAACTTCATTAGGGAGCTCTGAAGGCTGAGCTGGGGCATCTTGCTGGGTTGGAGAAGACTCGACCTACTCAGGGGTCTGTGGATGCTCACCTGCAGCCTCCTACTGTATTGGAGAGGGGTTCTCATCTTTAGTAGGTTCTGGAGATTCAGCTGAAGTCTCCTGTTGAACTGGTAAAGGTCCAGTCTCTTCCGATGACTCTGTAGGCAGAGGCGGGGCCCCATGCTGGATGTCAGAATGTTCCACATCATTAACTGGCCCTGAGAGCTGAGCTGTAGCCTCCTGATGGACTGGCGAAGTTCCCACCTCTGCAGTAGGCTGTGTTGCTATGGTGAGCTGCATATTTGGAGGCTTAACAGTGACATTGGGCAAATCTCAGTGTTGAACTTGATGGTGACCAGGAGGTGGAACTGTTACTTGATGATGTTCTGGAGGCTGGGCTGGGGTCTCCTGCAGGCTAGAGAGGACTCAACTTCTCCAGAAAACCCAGAAGGCAGACCTGGCTGCTCCTGCTCACTGGGGAATGTTCAGCATTCACATGAGGACCTGGAGGCTCAGTTGTGGCCTCCTGTTGGGTTGCAGAAGGTTACACCTGCTCTGGATGCTGGTTTGGGGCCGCCTGCTGGGCTGGAGAAGAGTCAGTGTCCGTGGTAGGCTCTGAAGTTATGCTAATCTCTACATCTGCAGGTTTAACTGTAATGCTCGGCAAGGTATAATGAGCTTGATCCTCACCCTGAGTTTGAACTGTCACTTCATGATTCAGTGGAGTTTGAGCTACACTCTCTATAGAAGACTCTGGAGGCAGAGTTGGGGGTCTCCTGGGTCTGAGAAAATTCCACCTCCCCAGAAAACTCAGAAGGCTGAGCTGGCTGCTCCTGCTGACTGGGGGAAGGTTCAGCCTCCACAGGAGGACCTGGAGGCTCAGCTGGGGTCCCCTGCTGGGGGCAAAATATTTCATCTCCTCAGTGCACTCTGGTGTCTGAGCTGGGCCCTCTAATTGGGTTGAGGAAGAGTCCACCTCCCTGGGGTTCTCTGGAGGCTGAGCTGCAGCCTTGTCTACCAAATTTCAACCATACCTGTAATCATGACTTTGCCTAGACTGTACTCCCATTTGTTTTCTATTTAACAAATTATAGCTACACTTTAAGTCCCAAGTAAGTTTTAGCTTATTGATGTAGCTTTCCCTGATCTCCACACCTCAAGGATCACAGATTCTGGTGAATCCTAGCACCGATGGTCTGCATTATCTTGTAGTATTTCATTATATATACCTCCTTTTCATGCCTAGTCTCTTTCTTCCCTCCTATCATTTTCATTTCTGAAGACAGTATCATACTTGGCCAAGGGTTGACAGAAAACGACTGCTACAGATAGAAAGCCAGGGACAAAGATGCGTTCTGGACATAACTAAAGGACTGAGTAATCATGTTAGCAGCCAACACTCCCACATATGCTAGGCACCGATGTAAGCAATACATGTATGCACTCACTTAAATCTCACAACAATCCTATGGCATGGTAACTAGCATAATCCCCAGTTTAAAGACGAGGAAACTGAGTCACAGAGAAGAATAACTTGCTCAGGGTAACCAAGCTAATAAATGACAGACCTGGGTTCAAACCCAGGCAGCCTGGCTACAGAATCAACTCTTAACCACTTAGAGCATCATCACTGAGATGGGAAGAGGGACAGGCTGCTGTAAAGAGGGTGAAGTGAAAATGGGAGGAGAGCCGCTGTTAAGCAATGATGTGATGGGGCTAAAGGAAAGTGGATAAGAAAAGGGTTAAGAGCAATCACAAGTAAAAGACCAGAGAAGGGGCCTAACAGTAAAGGAGAACCAGGAGAAGGAAGAATTGACAAGAAAGGTGAAAGCAGAAAGTCCGTTGTCAGTTCGGTTTGGTGAGATAAAGGAGGCCCAGGAAGGCCTCCACGAAAAGGCTGTCATGTCAGGCAGGACACAGAACAATTGAGGAAAGACGATTCTCACAGGATGGTGAAGGTGTCATTGCAGGTGCTGGGCTCTGGTACAGGCACTTGGTGGAGCCTCTGCTTTGGGCTGAGATCAATACATGAGAGTGTTTCATCTCTGCAGGTATAGAGATCACATATGTTGGTGCTTGTAGAGGCCTTCGGTTCCTCCTGTGCAGTTAAAGCCTTATTTTGGGCATAACTTTCAGACTGCACCAGTGAATTCTGAGTAGGTTCTAGTTCAGAAGGTGAAATGTGTGACTTCAGTCAGGTTTCAATGCTGAGTCTGAACTTGGTCTGGATGTGGAGCTGTAGTCTTGTCCAGGCCTGTAGAATGTTCAGTCTCTATGGTGAGTTCTGGAACTATGGCAAATCCCAGGTCTGAAGGCTGAGTTGAGGTCTCCTCCATGGTTGGAGAAGTTTTAACCTCTGTAGTAGGTTCTGTAGTTATGGTAAGCTCCAGGTCCAAAGATTGAACTGTGAATTGAGTCAGGTTTGGATGCTGAGCCTGGTTCTTGTCTGGAGGTGGATGTGTCATTTCAGGATGCTTTGGAGGAGGAGCTGTAGTCATCGGGGCTGTAGAAGGGCAGAGCTTGATCTTGGCTTGGTGTTGGAATGGGTATCTGATAATAATACACAGGCGGTTGAGCTACAAACTCCTTAGGTAGCTCTGGAGGCCGAGTTGGGGTCTTCTGCATGGTTGGAGAAGGCTCAACCTCCATAGAGGATTCAACCTCCATAGAGTTAAGGTAAGTTTCAGACCCAAAGGTTGAACTGTGACTTGAATCAGGTTTGAATGTAGAGTCTGAACCTGGTGTGGATGTGGAAGTGTCATCTCAGGGTGCTTTGGAGGAACTGTAGTCTTTTTCAGGGGTGTAGAATGTTCAACCTCTGTAGTGGGTTCTGGAGTTATGGTAAGTCCACCAGGTCCAGAGGTTGAACTGTAACGCTAGGTGACATTGGATGCTGAGCTTGATCCTGACCCGGTGTTGGAACACTCACCTCTTGATATACTGGAGGTTGGGGTACAAATTCCTTAGGAGGCTGAGTTGGGGTCTCCTGCATGGTTGGAGAAAGTTCAATTTCTGTAGTGGATTCTGGAGTGATGATAAACCCCAGGTCCAAAGGTTGAAGTGTGACACTGGCCAGTGTTGAAAGCTGAGCTTGATCCTGACCTTGTGTTGGAATTGTCACCTCATAACGAGGTGGAAGTTGAGCTACAACCTCCGTAGGTGGTTCTGGAAGTTGATTTGAGTTCTCCATGGTTGGAGGAAATATATTCTCTGCAGTAGGTTGTGGAGTTGTGGTAAGTTTCAGATCCAAAGTTTAAACTGTGACCTCAGTTAGGTTTGTGTGCTGAGCCTGCACATGGTCTGGAGTTGCAAGAGTCACTTCAGGGTGTTTTGGAGGAACTGCAGTTTTTCTCAGGGTTGTCGAATGCTCAGCCTCCTTTGTGGATACTGGAGTTATAGTAAGCCCTAGGTCTAAAGGTTGAAATGTGACACTGGGTGACACTGGATACTGAGCCTGGTCCTGCCTTGCTGTTGAAATTATCATCTCATAATGCATTGGATGTTGAGCTGCAACCCGCTTAGGTGGCTCTGGAAGCTGACCTGGGACCATCTGCTGGCTTGAAAGTTCTATATTCTTGGGGGGCTCTGAAGCCTGAACTGTGGCCTCCTGCTGGTTTGGAGAAGGCTCTGCCTCCATAGGGGGTATGGAGTCTGAGCTGGAAAGTTTTGCTGAGTTAGAGAGGGTTCCACTTCCTGAGGGAGCTCTGGAGGCAAAGATGGGCTATCTGCTGGACTGGAGAGGGTTCTACCACAATAGAGGGCTCTGAAGACTGAGCAGGGACTGCCTGCTGGACTGGAGAGCATTCTACCTTTTTAAGTGGCTCTAAAAGCTGAGTTGGGGCCTGCTGTAGGACTGGAGATAGTTCAACCTTCTCAGGTGGCTCTGATGGCTGAGCTGGTATCTCCTGCTTTGGTGGAGGATTGACCTCTTTTGTGGACTTCAGAGGATGACCTGAGGCTTCCTGCTGGGTTGCAGATGGTTCAACCTCCTTAGCAGGCTCTGTTGGCTCAGCTGGAAACTCTTGCTGGACTGGAGAAGGTTCTACCTCCTTAGGGGGATTTGGAGTCTGAGCTGTAGCCTCTTGCTGGGCTGAAGATTCACTCTCTTCAGGAGACTCCAGAGGTAGGGAAGGGGAATCAGGCTGGGCTAGAGAAAAGTCAGCCTGCTCACTGGAAATAGGAGGGTTGTCCTGCTGGACTGGAGAAGGTTCAACCTCTATAGTGACTGCTGTAGGTATGGTAAACTCTATATCCACATTTTTAACTGTGATTTTAGGCAAAGTTGAATTATTTCTGAATATTGAAGACAGATCTTCAGGTGAAAAATTCCATCTCATCATTCAATGGACTTACAATGTCTGAGGAGAGCTGAGCTGGAGACCAAGTTGTGGGCTTTTGAGCAAGTGGAGAAAGTTCATCATTTTCAGGGGTAGTTAACTGCTGAATGATAATCTCTTGTGCATCTTTCAAATGGTTAAACTTCTCAGGGGACATTAAGGACTGAGCTTGATGGTGAGCTGGAGGTGAAACTGTTACCTCATAATGTTTTCAAGGCTGAGCTGGAATCTCCTGCTGGGCTGGAGAAAATTCAACCTCCCAGGAGACTCAGAAGGCTGAGCTGGCTGCTCATGCTCACCGGGAAAAGGATCAGTCTCCACAGGAGAACATGGAGGCTCAGTTGGGGCCTTCTCTTGGGTTGTGGAAGTTTCCACCTCCTCTGGAGGCTAGGTTGGGGCCTCCTGCTGGACTGGAGAAGATTCATTATCCTTGGCTCTCAAGTTATGCTAATCTCTACATCCACAGGCTTAACTGTAATGCTTGGCAAGGTATAATGAGCTCCATCCTCACCCTGACGTTAAATTGTCACCCATGATTCGGTGGAGTTTGAGCTGCACTCTCCATAGAAGACTCTGGAGGCTGAACTGGGGTCTTCTGCTGGGTCTGAGAAGGTTCAACCTCCCCAGGAAACTCAGAAGGCTGAGCTGGCTGCTGCTGCTTACTGGAGGAAGGTTCAGCTGCCACAGGAGGACCTGGAGGCTCAGCCGGAGTCCCTTGGTGGGTTGCTGCAGATTTAATCTCCTCAGGGTGCTCTGGTATCTGAGCTGGGGCCTCTAATTGGGTTGAGGAAGAGTCCACCTCCTTGGGTTTCTCTGGAGGCTGAGCTGTGGGTCGTTCTACTCAATTTCGACCATACCTGTAACCATGCCTTTGCCTAGACCGTACTCCTATTTTTTTCTTATTTAACAAATTATAGCTAATTTTTAAGCCCCAGGTAAAGTGTTAGTTTACTGATGCAGCTTCCCCTGACCTCCATAATTCAAGGATCACAGATTCTGGTGAATTCTAGCACTGATGGTCTGCATTATGTTTTAGTACTTTATTATTTACACCTCCATTTTTATGCTTATTCTTTTTCTTCTATCATTTTCATGTTCCAGAGACAGTGTCATACTTGTCCCTGGGTTGGACACAAAACGGGTGCTACATATAGAAAGTCAGGGACAAAGATGAGTTCTGAACATAACTAAAGAGCTAAGTAATCATGTTAACAGCCACCACTCTTACATATACTAGGCACTGATGCAAGTATTACAGGTATTCACTCACCTAAATTTCACAACAATCCTATGAAATGGTAACTAGAATAATCCCCAGTTTAAAGATGAGGAAATTGAGTCACAGAGAAAAATAACTTGTTCAGGGTAACCAAGCTAACAAATGACAGACCTGGGTTCAAACCCAGTAACCTGGCTTCAGAATCAACTCTTAACCACCTAGAGCACTATCACTGAGATGGAGAGACAGACTGCTGTAAAGAGGATGAAGTGCAAATAGGAGGACAGCAGCAGTGAAGCAAATGATGTGATGGGGCTAAAGAAAAATGGATAAGAAAAGGATTAAGAGCAATCACAAGTAAAAGACCAGGGAAGGGGCCTAACAGTAAAGGAGAATGAGGAGAAGGAAGAAATGACAGGCAAAGGCAGAAGCAGAAAGTCAGTTGTCCATGTGGTTTGGTGAGATAAAGAAGGCCCAGGAAGGCCTCCAGGAAAAAGCTGCTATATCAGGCAGGACACAGAGAACAATTGAGGAAAGGTGATTCTTACAAGATGGTGAAGATGCCATTGTAGGTGCTAGGCTCTGGCACAGGCACTTGGCGGAGCCTCTGCTTTGGGCTGATGTCAATACATGACAGCGTCTCATCTCCGCAGGTACAGAGATCACATATGTTGGTGCTTGTGGAGGCCTTCTGTTCCTCTTGTGCAGTTAAAGCCTTATTTTGGGTGTAACTTTCAGACTGAACCAATGAATCCTGAGTAGGTTCTAGTTGAAAGGTGGACCTCTGACTTCAGTCAGGTTTTGAAGCTGAGTCTGAACCTGGTCTGGACGTGAAGCTGCAGTCTTGTCCAGGGCTGTAGAATGTTCAATGTCTGTATGGGGTCTAGAGTTATGGCAAGCCCCAGGTCTGGAGGCTGAGTTGAGGTCTCCTCTGTGGTTGGAAAAGTTTCACCCCTGTAGTAGGTTCTGTATTTATGGTAAGTTCCAAGTCCAAAAGTTGAACTGTGACTTGGGTCTGGTTTGAATACTGAGCATTGACCTTTGTCTCGTGGTGGAAGTGTCACCTTAGGGTGCTTTGGCAGAGGAGCTGTAGTCATCATGGCTCTAGAAGGTTCAACCTTTGTAGTGAATTGTGGAGTAACGGTAAGCCCCAGATCCAAAGGTTGAACTGTGACACTGGGTGAGGTTGGATGATTAGCTTGATCCTGGCCTTCTGTTGGAAGAGACATCTCATAATAATACCCAGGAGGGTGAACTACAACCTGCTTAGGTAGCTCTGGAGGCTGAGTTGGGGTCTTATGCATGGTTGAAGAAGGCTCAACCTCCATAGAGGATTCTGGAGTTAAGGTAAGTTTCAGATCCAAAGGCTGAAATGTGACTTGAGTCAGGTTTGAATGCTAAGTCTGAACCTGGTGTGGATGTGGAAGTGTCACCTCAGGGTGCTTTGGAGGAACTATAGTCTTCTTCAGGGGTGTAGAATGTTCAACCTCTGAAGTGGGTTCTGGAGTTATGGTAAGTCCCAGGTCCAGAGGTTTAACTATAATGATGGGTGATATTCAATGCTGAGATTGATCCTGACCTGGTGTTGAAATTGTTACCTCTTGAAATACTGGAGGTTAAGGTGTAACTTCCTGAGGATGCTAAGTTGCGGCCTCCTGCATGGCTGGAGAAAGTTCAACCTTTGTAGTGGATTCTGGAGCGATGGTAAGCCCCAGGTCCAAAGGTTGAAGTGTGACACTGGCCAGTATTGAATGCGGAGCTTGATCCTGATCTTGTATTGGAACTGTCACCTCATAATGAGCTGGAGGTTGAGTTACAACCTCCATAGGTGGCTCTGGAAGCTGAGTTGAATTCTCCATGGTTGGAGAAAATATACTCTCTGTAGTAGGTTGTTGATTCGTGGTAAATTTCAGATCCAAAGGTTGCACTGTGGCCTCAGGTTTGTGTGCTGAGCCTGCACATGGTCTGAAGGTGGAAGGGTCACCTCAGGGTGTTTTGGAGGAGCTGTAGTCATCCTCAGCATTATAGAATGCTCAGCCTCCATAGTGGGTTCTGGAGTTATGGTAAGCTCCAGGTGTAAATGTTGAAATGTGACACTGGGTGATACCGGATACTGAGCTTGGTTTTGGCTTGCTGTTGGAATTGTCATCTCATAATGCTGGATACTGAGCTTGGTCCTGGCTTGCTGTTACAATTGTCATCTCATAATGCATTAGAGGTTGAGCTGCAACCCCCTTAGGGGGCTCTGGAAGCTGAGCTGGGACCATCTGCTGACTTGAAGGTTCTGCCTCCTTAGGAGGCTCTGGAGCCTGAACTGTGGCCTCCTGCTGAGCTGGAGAAGGTTCTGTCTCCATAGGGGGCTCTGGAGTCTGAGTTGGAACCTCCTGATGAGTCAGAGATGGTTCCACCTCCTGAGGGAGATTTGGAGGCAAAGATGGGGCCATCTGCTCTGTCGAAGAGGATTCTACCACCATAGGGGGCTCTGAAGACTGAGCAGGCACTGTCTACTGGACTGGAGAGCATTCTACCTCTTCAGGTGGCTCTAAAAGCTGAGTTGAGGCCTGCTGTAGGACTGAAGATGGTTTGACCTTCTCAGGTGGCTGATGGCTGAGCTGGTATCTCCAGCTATGGTGGACTGACCTCTGCAGTGGACTTTGGAGGATGACCTGAGGCTTCCTGCTGGGTTGCAGTGGTTCAACCTCCTTAGGGAGCTCTGGTGCCTCAGCTGGGGACTCTTGCTGGACTGGAGAAAATCCACCCCTTTAGGGGAATCTGGGGTCTGAGCTGTGGCCTCTTGCTGTGATGGAGATTCAATCTTTTCTGGAGAATCCAGAGGTGGGGAAGGGGTATCATGCTGGGTTGGAGAAAAGTCAGCCTACTCAGTGGGAATAGGAGGATTGTCCTGCTGGACTGGGGAAGGTTCAACCTCCATAGTGACTTCTGTAGGTATGGTGAGGTCCATATCCATATTTTTAAATGTGGTATTAGGGAAAGTTGAATTATTTCTGAATATTAAAGATAGATCTAGAGGTGAAAATACCATCTCATCATTCAATGACCTTACAAAGTCTGAGCTGGTGACTGAGTTGTGGGCTCTTGAGGGACTGGAGGAAGTTCATCATTTTCAGGGGTATTTAGCTGCTGAATAATCATTTCTTGCTGGTCTTTCAAATGCTGAAACTGCTAAGGGGACATTGAGGACTGAGCTGGGGCCCTGTGTTTGGTTAAAATTTCAACCTGTTAGGTGAACTCTGGAGTCATGGTTACCATGTGATCCACAGGTTTCACAGTGTCATTGTGCAATGTTGGAGGCTGAACTTGATCATGACTTAGAGAAACTGTTACCTCATGATGCACTGGAGATTAGCTATAACTTCAATAGGGATCTCTGAAGGCTGAGCTGGGGTCTATTGCTGTGTTGGAGAAGACTCAACCTCCTCAGGCATCTGTGGATACTCAGCAGCAGCCTTCTGCTGGGCTGGAGAGAGGTTCTCATCTTTAATAGCTGGAGATTGAACTGAAGTCTCCTGTTGAACTGGTAAAGTCATCTTCTGATGACTATGGAGGCAGAGTTGGGCCCCCGTGCTGGGTCATGGAAGGTTCCACATCATTAACTGCCCCTGAGAGCTAAGCTGTAGCCTCCTGGTGGATTGGAGAAGTTCCCACCTCTGCAGTAGGCTCTGTTGCTATGGTGAGCTGCATAACTGGAGGCTTAACAGTGACAATGGGCAAATCTGAATGCTGAGCTTTATGGTGACCTGGAGGTGAAACTTTTACTTCATGATGTTCTGGAGGCTGAGCTGGGGTCTCGTGCTGGGCTGGAGACGATTCAACCTCCCCTGAAGACTCAGAAGTCTGAGCTGTCTGTTCTTGCTCACTCGGGGGAGATTCATCCTCCACAGGACTTGGAGCCTCAGTTAAATCCTGTTGGTTTGCAGAAGTTTCCACTCCCTCTGGAGGCTGGGTTGGGACCTCCTGCTGGGCTGCAGAATATTTAGTCTCTTTGATAGGCTCTGAAGTTATGGTAATCTCTACATCCACAGGTTTAACTGTCATTTGTATAATGAGCTTGATCCTCACCCTGAGTTTGAACTGTCACCTCATAATTCAGTGCAGTTTGATATGCACTCTCCATAGAGAACTTTGGAGGCTGAGCGGTGGCCTCCTGCTGGGTCTGGGAAGGTTCAACCTCCCCAGGAAACTCAGAAGGCTGAGCTGGCTGTTCCTGCTCACTTGGAGAAGGTCTGGCCTCCATAGGAGGAACTGGAGGCTCAGCTGGGGTCCTGTGCTGGGTTGTAGATTTCATCTCCTCAGGGCACTCTGGTGTCTAAGCTGGGTCCTCTAATTGGGTTGAGGAAGGGTCCATCTTCTCAGGGTGCTCTGGAGGCTGAGTTGTGGCCTGTTCCCGGCTTGATGTAAGTTTCTTATCTGGCTTTGGACTTATTGTAAGCTCCAAATCCACAAGTTTGACTGTTACATTGGGCAAGTGTGAGTGATGAGCTTCACTCCAACTTTTTTTGTTTGTTTGAGATGGAGTCTCACTCTGTCGCCCAGGCTGGAGTGCAATGGTGCAATCTCAGCTCATTGCAACCTCCACCTCCCAGGTTCAAGCGATTCTCCTTCCTCAGCCTCCTGAGTAGCTGGGATTACAGGTGCTCACCACTACACCCAGCAAACTTTTGTATTTTTAGTAGAGACAGGGTTTCACCATGTTGGTCAGGATAGTCTCGAACTCCTGATCTCAGGTTATCCACCCTCTTTGGCCTCCCAAAGTGCTAGGACTACAGGTGTAAGCCACTGCACCTGGCCTCACTCCAACTTTTTAATGCAACATTTACCTGATAACGTATTCATAACTGAGCTACAATCTCTTCAGGGCAGGTAGCAGCTGTGTTGGGGCCTCCTGCTCTGTTGAAGAATGGACCCCCTTAAGGGACTGAGAAGGAAGAGCTGGGGCCTCCTACGGGGTTGAAGAAGTTTCTACGTATTCAGGGACCTGTGGAAGCTGTGCTGGGGCTTCTTGCTGGAGTGAAGATGACTGGATCTCTTGGAGGGTCTGTGGATTTTGAGTTTCGGGCTCTAGATAGAATTGGCAAAAGTCCAACTTGCTCATGGGGCCCTGGAGGCTCATCTTTCACCTGGACTTCTGGAGGAAGGCTGCCCAGATACAGTATATCCATACCTGAATCTAAATACTAAATGCTTGTAAAGTTTGTTTCTGACACTGAGGTTTTGATACAAATCGGTGTGGAGTTCCAACAACAACCTTAGCAAGCCTCCGATGCTTAGGTAGATCTTTCTTCTTCAGGTTTTTGGGTGAAACACTAATCTTCATTGCTTTTGAATTCTGACTATCTAGAGGTGGAACAAGTATTTCATATGCCTAATGATCTGCAGCCTGATCTAGACTTACAGTTTGAACCTTACTTTTGAGGCAAAGAGGCCGAGCTACCGTCTGGTTCTGATCCCAGTCTAGCATTGGAACCAACTCTGGGAGCCTTTCTTGTGAGTCAGCTTATCATTCAGATCCTGGTGTGCAACAGCGAACTTCTCTGGCCCCAGGGGCAGCTCTCCAGCTGAATCTGTGTCCAGAAATGGAACCAAAGTCTCAGTCGGTTCCTGAGGCGAGGCTGACATCTGGGTGGCAGTAGAGGACCTCAGGTTATCAAAGCTCCCGGGTCTGTATGGGGGTGGGGGTGGATAAACGCATAGGGAGGTTCCGGGGGGAGATCGGAGGAGCGCCAAGCCCAGGGCTCAGTTGGCCTCAGGGGGTCGGAGGTCAGCTGGAGTGGGCCCTGGACCCACTCCAGAGGCTGAGCCTCCTGGACTAGTAGTCACAGTAGTTGTCACGTGAGGAGGGGCCATAGGGACCAGAGACGCAGCCGGTACATGACAGAAGTTGGCGTCCCGCACTGAGCAGAAGCCATTATGGCAGCCACCAGATGCCCGCGCCCTTAGCAACCGCGGCCCCGCCTCGTCCGTTATTTACCATATCTTTATCTAGGCAACCTTTATTAAGTTCCGTTCGAGATCCGCTCCTCGTCACCAGGGCGATCTTATCCCACAATCCTACCCAAGCCTCCCTTCCCACTCCACCAGAACACCCCTTCCCTCCCCTTCGCCAGGAAAGATTTGGGCGGCCGACCCAGGTGGTTCCAGGACTCCAGCAGCCTATAGTGGTGGGGCGGCGTGGGGTAGGGGCACGACAGAGCTTCCCAAGGAAGTTACATGACCTCGCCTTGGGATATTCAGAAATGCTAGTCAAGTTCTGGCAGCCTGAACTCTTCCTCCTCCAAGCTGAAATCCGAGAGATACCCTTCCTCCTCTTGGCCATACTGCTTCCAGGGAGAGCAAGGGACCTGCAAAATGTGCGCTAGTTAGGGTGGCAGGCAGAACGCACATTACGGTCATTCATTCCAAAATGTTGCCGTTTTTGCTAAACTTTCCATATCCTTTGTTGCATGTTTGATAATTCACCACTCTATTAGGTAGGGGCTGCCAGGGAATAAGTGAAGACTCCAAATTTTCTGTAGGAGGGGTTTTGGGAGGTGGGCAATTCAGTCTGGGAGAGAAGTTTGAACTGTCATCCTGCCTTGACTTAACACAGCCATTACCCTAGAAATTACAGCGCCACTCTTCAGAGGTCTACCCTGTGTGCACACATGGAGAAGAGGCTTAGGTTGTTAAAGTCAGCTGTTAAATAATTTCCTGAAATGCGACTATAACTGGAACCCAGCTGACTTCCTCCACAGCCATTGTTACCTATTTTATTACTCATTGTCTGGCACAATCACCAGCATGTGAACTCTAAGAACGTGCTTCATCTTATGCCAGTGCCTAGCATAGGTATATGGTGCAGATTAATGGTTTTACAATGGAAGGGATTCCAAGACTTGCCTCATTTAGGGATGGATCTATTGTTATAATCAGATTTCTGAAATCAGTGCTGACTTTCTCTCACATTTCACAGGAAGCTAGACTTCTTAAAGCTTGAAGTTTCCTTGATGGGTTTTATTTAAATTGAATTAAAATAACTATTTTACAGGGAAAAACTTCAAAACAAAACGCTTTGCAACTTTGGGGTGAAAGTTAAATAAAACACTCTAGCCCCAAATTAAGTTCCTACTGAAAAAAAACACTTTTGCTACTTTTTTTAAAGAATTCCATATGTAGTAAATAATGACTGTTTTCTTTCAGAGATTAATTTAGAAACTTAATCCCTATTTAAGAGCTTTCATATACAGTCATGCGTTGCTTGCCATGTGAGGAGAAGCTTGAGAAATATGTCATTAGGTGATTTCACCCTTGTGCTAACATCATAGCATATACTTCCACAAACCTAGGTGGTATAGCCTACAGCACACCTAGGCTATATGGTATGGCCTATGGCTCCTAAGCTATAAACCTGTACTGTATGTTACTATACTGAATACTGAAGGCAATTGTAACATAACGGAAGGTATTTATGTATGTAAAATGGAAAATGTACAGTAAAAATACTGTTTAAAAGATAAAAAATGGTATAGCTGTATAGGGATAGCTCCATTATACTCTTATGGAACCACCATCATATATGTGGTCTATTGTTGACCGAAACATCATTTTGTAGCACATGATTGTAACTGATTTACAGAAAGATCTCAGCAAAATATTCTACCCAAGATATACGTGAGATATTGAGATCCAGGTAATAAACTGTATTTGAAAGGCATTATAGTTTTCGAAAGCTGTAGCACGATCATTCTTAAGGCCAGTTACTTTCTCCCCATATCTCTGGGATTCTGTTTGAAGAAAGTTCTAAAAAGGCCTGTGTTCAAGCAGCCTGGAATCCCTAACTCCTGGGGGAAGACTAATCCCTCTCCTGTGTCCACAACTGTAGTAATACTCTGATAGTCCTCAGTTCTCCTCTCCAAACTTCAAATAAGCGGTCAGAGCCAAAGGTCAAGACTTCAGGAAAAGCCCCAGAAATACTCTGCACTCAAAAGTAGTATCAGTTTCACATTTTCCTAAGAATGAAACAAATTATCCTCCAAATTATGCTGCTTTTTTT
Source organism: Homo sapiens (assembly GCF_000001405.40). Taxonomy (NCBI): domain Eukaryota; kingdom Metazoa; phylum Chordata; class Mammalia; order Primates; family Hominidae; genus Homo; species Homo sapiens. The sequence continues at coordinate 35,920,135 of NC_000017.11, forward strand.
TGAATTATGGTTACACTGGCTATGTTACCCCTGAGTTTTTATCTTCACATACTTGAATTAAACCGTGTAGTTCTTCTTCGCATCTGACACCTACGATGTCTTCACTGGGTCTGTACTCCACAGCTATTTTACCACTTTCTGAAATAAAGTTAGCGAGGATCAATTCAGAATCTTTTTCATTCTAAAACTTCCTGCATATAATGGTAGCACCCCATGATGAAACATTGTTTTGGTTTCTAAAAGCAGAAAATAAGAGCATTTTCCTGGAAGTTTCCTTATCTCCTCATCTCACACTTCAGTTTTTTCTTTCTTTCTTTCTTTCTTTTTTTTTTTTTTTTTAGAAGACAGGGTCTCTCACTCTGTCACCCAGACTGGAGTACAATGGCACTGTCACAGCTCACTGCAGCCTGGAATTCCTGGGATCAAGTGATCCCCCTGGCTCACCCTCCAGAGTAGCAAGGACTACAGGTACACACCACTGTGCCTGCCTAATTTTTTTTTTTAGAGACGTGGTCTTGCTTTGTTGCCCAGGCTGGTCTTGAACCCCTGGCTTTAAGTGGTCTTCCTGCCTTGGCCTCCCAAAATGCTGAGATTACAGGTGTGAGTCACCATGTCTGGCCTCACACCTCAGTTTTTAACATATGTATGAAATATCAACCATATTCGGTACAAAGGACTTTATGATCTTACAGATAGGAACTAAGGAATAACATAAGAAATAAAAAATGTGGAAACCAAAATGCTCAATCATAATATGACTAAATGGTAAGGCATCAGATGGGGGTCAAAGCAAGTTCAAATTTGGAATAGAGACCACTGGGCTAGTAGACACTTCACATTAGAAGCAAGGGCCTTCTTTTGTCTACTCAGGTGTCTACTCCTTTTGAACCAAAATTCATTCCACCAGATACAATGAACAAAGCTTCTGAGAGAGAGAACATTTGAACATTTTATTGGCAGACACAGGCTCACATACCCTTATAGACAATAGAACTACCTTCAAGGCAAACTAGAGCCATCAGGCTTTTGGTCTAAGAAGTTTTCAGTGTGTGCAAGATACCTTTGTATATTAGGGAGAGGTAAACAACACACACACTTCGTTTGGTTCTTAAATGTTGTTACTCAGACTTGACAGTTGATGACCAAGGAAGTAAGACTTTCACTAGAAGGGCTGTTGCCCAGGTTGGAAAGCTGAGAGCAGTCAGGGCCACCTCCTACAAGCAAATAAAGGTCTGTGGTAACTTAATTAGGATCTCTCAGTCTCTAAGCCTTTAGGGCTGTGAAGCAGAAGAGCAACTCTGTTCAGGGACTCTTTGCTAATCATTAGGCTTCCTTTGGGCACAGCCTATAAGATTCGTGCCACTGTAGAACTCAATAGGGAATACAAGCAATAGGGAATATATTCAATAGCATGACCAATTCCAAGGCTCACGGCAAAGCAGCTGATTTTTGTATAAGAATCATACTTGCCCAATGTGTCAGTGCCAGAAATGAAAGCTGAAACTGAATTCTTGATTCAGGAAACATAATCTAATAAACTCTTCAGCAGAGAGCTTATTTATTCAGAGATAAATCAACAATGACAATAATAGTTAATATGTCTGCTTATCTTGTAAGTGTAGCTCCGAGTTTTTACATTTGTCATCTCATTTACTCTTACAATGTCCTCCATAAGGCTGACTGAATTACTAACCCCAGTTTATAGATGAAGAGACTGCAGCTTAGAGATATTAAGTATTTTCAAATCTCTCTGGCTATAAGACCTAAAATTGCATTAAAAAATCTTTTTTTTTTTTTTTTTTTTGAGATGGAGTCTCACTCTGTCACCCAGGCTGGAGAGCAGTGGCACGATCTTGGCTCACTGTAAGCTCCACCTCCCAGGTTCACGCCATTCTCCTGCCTCAGCCTCCCAAGTAGCTGGGACTACAGGAGCCCGCCACTACGCCCAGCTAATTTTTTTGTATTTTTAGTAGAGACGGGGTTTCATCGTGTTAGCCAGGATGGTCTCCATCTCCTGACCTCGTGATCCGCCCATCTCGGCCTCCCAAAGTGCTGGGATTACAGGCGTGAGCCACCGCGCCCGGCCTAATTGCATTAAAAATCTAAGAGACAGAGTTAGGACTCAAATCCATGCGTCCAAAACTTATAATCACTATTCTGTATGATAGGTAAGCAATTAAAGAAGACCTGGCTTAAACATTTTCTGTGGGAACTGAGGCAAGTCTTTTCACATCTGTAAACTGGGGACAATATTTGCTGTCATTTTTTTTCACAAATGTCACACAGAACAAATTTGAGCCTGTTGGTGTGAAATAATTTAGCAAATGAAAGCATACTATAGAGTGCTTTAGATATCAATATTTTTATTCAATTAACTTTTCAAAATGAGTTTATTTGCTTACTGAAACTGAAGTACTTCAAGGATGATCAAGACAGTCTTACCTAGAACAACAATCAACAGTTTCTGGAATGCATCTGACAAAGCCTTCTGAATAGCAAGCTTCTGGGCTGTCTTCCTTTTCATAAGGAATGATAATGGTCCTAAATCCAACCAAAACAAATGGATTTAAGGTGCCTATTTGAATGATAATTGCTATATGTTTAAAAAATAAAAAAGCATCCACGATTCTTAGCTCAAAACCTTCATGACTAAGGGCAGATGGCACAAGCGTATGGTTGAATGGCTCTGTTATAGGTACATCCTGGCAGGGCCCATTTTTACTACCTCCATCTAGTAGGGAAGTTCCTGAGGTACTAGAAGGGAGATAAGAGCCAAGAACCTGGCACATGTCTCACATCACCCAGAGATTTCAAATTGATCAGTTAAGGCTACACTCCTACAGACCCTACCCTCCTATGCATCAAGGGCTGGAATCACTCATCGAAAAAGGTTTGGTTGGCTGGACCTGGTGGCCCATGCCTGTAATCCCAGCACCTGGGGAGGCTGAGGCAGGTGGAGGCCAGGGGCTCAAGAACAGCCTGGTCAATGTGGTGAAACTTGAGGCCAGGAGTTCAAAAACAGCCTGGCGGACATGGTGAAACCCTGTCTCTACTAAAAGTGCAAAAATTAGCCGGGTGTGGTGGCACACATGTGTAATCCCAGCTACCTGGGAGTCTGAGGCACAAGAATAGCTTGAACTGGGAGGCGGAGGTTGCAGTGAGCCGAGATCATGCCACTGCACTCCAGCCTGGGCGACAGAGTGAGATTCTGTCTCAAAAAAAAAAAAAAAAAAAAAAGAGGCTAGGCACAGTGGCTCATGCCTGTAATCCCAGCACTTTGGGAGGCCAAGGTGGGCAGATCACTTGAGGTCAGGAGTTTGAGAGTAGCCTGGGCAACATGGTGAAACCCTGTCTCTAATAAAAATACAACCACAAGAAAATAGCCAGGTGTGGTGGTAGGCACCTGTAACCCCAGCTACTTGGGAGGCTGAGGCAGGAGAATCACTTGAACCTGGGAGATGGAGGTTGCTGTGAGCCGAGATCACGCCAGTGCACTTCAGCCTGGGCGACTGAGTGAGGCTCCATCTCAAAAAAGAAAAAACTTTGGTACAGATAATCTGGCTCCTCCCTGGGCATCACCCCCGGGAGCCTACTCCACTCCATTAGCCTACAGCCCTGCCTCTGACTTCAAACCCTAAGCATGATGGCCATGAATACTAAAAAAATACTCAACATCAGTATCAACTGAGTACCCTTTCTAGGTATCTATATTAGACACTTTTTCTGCTGAAACCCTTTTATGAGTAAAAAAAGGAACTGAATGTTTATACAAAAGTTTATGTAAATCTTTAGATGATGACCTGGCATGGTGGCTCATGCCTATAACCCCAGCAACTTGGGATCCTGAGGCAAGAGGATCACTTGAGGCCAGGAGTTGGAGACCAGGTGGGACAACACAGAAAGACCCCATCTCTAAAAATAATAATAATAATAATAATTAGGCAGGTGTGGTGGTGCACGCCTGTAGTCCTCGCTACTCAAGAGGCTGAGGCAGGAGGATCCCTTGAGCCCAGAAGTTGGAGGTTACAGTGAGCTATGATCATGCTACTGCATTCTAGCCTGGGCAACAGAGCAAGATCCTATCTCTAAAAAATAATAAATAGATAAAAAAAAATCTTTAGATGGTTTTGCTGGGATAACCGAGAGCTACAAGAGACACATATTTGAAGGACTATTTTAGTTCGAAGCAAGTTCTTAACCAAAAACTGTAAAAACATTACTTCCTTCTTCCTCCTAAGCTTCTCGGCAGGAAGTCAGCTGTACGATTTTAAATTTAAAGGTTCAATCAGGTATTGCCTACAGTAAAACCCTATGTTGTAAGACAGAAAAACTCTGCCCAGGACTTCAGTAGCTCAGAGAGGGAGGGGCTTGATATGTATCTGAAAAGATGAGTTTTGGAAAGTAAGAAAAAAAGAAAGATCCTTTCCACTCCAAATCCCTACCCTCCTCCACTCCCAGTGAAAACAGACCTTCCTCCACCTTATCCATAGGCTCCTCCACCAAGCCAATGCCAGGACTCCTGCAATCACAGGATGGCAACACCACTTCTAAAGCACAGAAGAACTTCAGGCTTTGCTTCGGAAGTGGCACCATGCTATCTTCATTTTCCCTTTCTTCAAGGTCAGAAAGCTCCTGAAGCTGTAAGGATATTTAATGTAAGGTCCTTCCTGGGGTCTTAATGTAGGCTTCAAAATGTTTTGTTATTAAAAGTAAAAACTTGGCTGGGCGTGGTGGTTCACGCCTGTAATCCCAGTACTTTGGGAGGCCGAGGTGGGCGGATCACGAGGTCAAGAGATTGAGACCATCCTGGCCAACATGGTGAAACTCCGTCTCTACTAAAAATACAAAAATTAGCTGGGCGTGGTGGTGGGCGCCTGTAGTCCCAGCTACTTGGGAGGCTGAGGCAGGAGAATTGCTTGTACCCAGGAGGCAGATTTTGCAGTGAGCTGAGATAGCGCCACTGCACTCCAGCCTGATGACACAGCGAGCCTCTGTCTCAAAAACAAAACAAAACAAAACAAAAACCCAATAAAAAAAAGAAAACCCAAAAAACAACTACACTCCAGTCATTCAAGCTAACAGTTGAGGTGTCCTATGGCTTCAAAATCAAGTTAGATTTGCAAATGAATTGCTAGATAGAGACAACCATTTTTTATTATATGCCACAAAAACAGTGGAGAAAATTACGGATACCACCATCCAATTGACTGAGATTATTAATTCTAGGTAGCAGGCCAATTCAGACATGTCAATTTATCCTCAATGGTAGAGGCCTCTCACATCTCCTCCCTACAATCCAGTTCAATACTTCTGTCTAAAATCTAGGATTTCAATGTTGAAAGGAGAGTGTGGTAAGTGAAAAAAAATCTACAAGGTTTACCTTGATGATCCTTTTGGAACACCCATTGAAACCAAAGTAGTAATTCGCCAGTTCTTGGCATTTGGAACTGTTCAGGGCAAGGGCTTGATGTTGAACTGCCTTATGTCTGGTGCCAAGACGAACCTAAAATCATAGGAGATAGACCCATAAATATCACAACCGCTAGAGATTTTATTTTGGATAGATCTGAGATTTGTCAATACCAAGTGTGCAATGAAAAATTGTTACTGTCTTCCCATTCAGTAGTTCCTGCTTGAGAATATGACCTGAATATAGATAAGATGAACCCACCACCCATCCCCCTCCCCAAGTTACTAACCCGTTAAAAGATGAAATAACACCAGGTGCAGTGGCTCACCCTTGTAATCCCAGCACTTTGGGAGGCTGAGGCAGGTGGATCACAAAGTCAGGATATCGAGACCATCCTGGCTAACATAGTGAAACCCCGTCTCTACGAAAAATACTAAAAATTAGCCAGGCATGGTGGCACGTGCCTGCAGTCCCAGCTACTCGGGAGGCTGAGGCAGGGGAATCGCTTGAACCTGGGAGGCAGAGGTTGCAGTGAGCCGAGATGGTGCCATGCACTCCACCCTAGGTGACAGAGTGAGACTGTCTCAAAAAAAAAAAAAAAGGAAATACAAATACTTCTATAAATTTTACATGCAACTGAAAGGAGAGGTATATCTGCATTTACGTGCTTCTTTGAGAACGCAAATATCTACTGAGTGTTAATTCTTAAAACATTTTATCCATTTTTGTGGATTTCTTACATCACAAGTTTTCCTATATATTTCATTTTTTAAATGTAGTATATTATATTCATGAAATTCAAATGATACAAATAAAGTCAAATTTATTTGTATTAGAAATTAATAAGAATTAACAGTAAAGTTCTTTTTTTTTTTCTGAGACGGAGTCTCGCTCTGTCACCCAGGCTGGAGTGCAGTGGCGCGATCTTGGCTCACTGCAAGCTCCGCCTGCCAGGTTCACGCCATTCTCCTGCCTCAGCCTCCCGAGTAGTTGGGACTACAGGCACCTGCCACCACGCCCGGCTAATTTTTTGTATTTTTTAGTAGAGATGGGGTTTCACCGTGTTAGCCAGGATGGTCTCGATCTCCTGACCTTGTGATCTGCCCGCCTCGGCCTCCCAAAGTGCTGGGATACAGGTGTGAGCCACTGCGCCTGGCCGTAAAGTTAATTCTTTATTGATTTGTTTATGCACCTTCCTCTATCACTGGTTTATAAGCTCCTTAAGTCCCAGATGAAACCATAGCTTATTCTTTTTTCATTTCCAGAACTAAGCATAGTTCTTGGCATATAATAGAGCACAGATGATCTATCGATTGAATGAATAAAACAATGAGCAAGTAAAAAATGAAATTACTTTCTCCAACTGAAAAGAAGGAGAAATGCCTGTTGGGAAAGAAATAAAGACCAGTTTTTAAACGTTGAGTGCCACTGGCGAGACCGGCCTGTATCGTGAGTCACAGTGGAGCCTTTCCAGACAACCAGGAAGCTTCAGAAAAACTCTGAGCCTCTGGGTGGCACAGACAGCTGTCAGCTTGGATAACTTTGCAGCAACCATTTTCCTTCATTTCACCAAAAAAAAAAAAAAAAAAAAAAAAAGAACCAAAAAACCCTCTTGGCCGGGCACGGTGGCTCACACCTGTAATCCCGGCACTTTGGGAGGCCGAGGCGGCAGATCACTTGAGGTCAGGAGTTCAAGACCAGCCTGGCCAACATGGAGAAATCTTGTTTCTACCAAAAATACAAAAATTAGCTGGGCGTGGTGGTGCACGCCTGTAATCCCAGCTGCTCTGGAGGCTGAGGCAGGAGAATCAATTAAACCCGGGAGGCAGAGGCTGCAGTGAGCTGAGATCATGCCATTGCACTCCAGCCTGGGTGACAGAGCAAGACTCCATCTCAAAAAAACAAAACGAAAAAACCAAACAAAAAAACAAAAACCCAAAAAGCAAAAACAAAACCCTCTCAGGTGCCTTAGGCCTTTCCTTGATTTTATTTTAAAACATTATTCTCTTTTCTGTATTTAGAAAGGCAAAAAAGACAGGAACTAAGTGTACGTGCTAAAGTAGAAAAGAACACTTAAACTAGATTACAGTGGGGGGTGAGTAGTAACTGAAAGCTTTGAGTTTAGTAATAAATCTAGTATGAATGCCCTCTCATCTCACCTATCTATTGAGTTGTAGAACATTTCCTTCATTACTGTCTCAGTGATAGGCTTTATGCTGTGAAATTCTCAAAACCTAAAGCTTATGAAATGGTCTCAATGTCCAAAGAGCACTAAAAACTCATTATTTGCAAAATGATACCAAGTAAATGTTTCATAATCTTAGTTGTACCTTTATAATATTTGAGTGGCTATGTGAAATGGTCACAGGTTAGAAACAGACCATAGTTCAAAAGTTAAATAATATCTCACAGGTAATCATTTCAGTCACAGAAAGTGGAACCAGGATTGAAGAGGGTGTTGAACAGGCTAAGAGGGCATTGAACAGGCTACTGAAGTGGGAGTAGTATACCTGGAGTCATTACTAAGCAGAGTTCTCAGATTTGATCAAGGTTAATTCAATGAGGAATGGAATATAGAGAAGAATAGGCAGCAAGATTAGTAGGAAGCAGTCAGATCAAGTAGCCAATCAGGAATTGAAATGGTCCTTGAAAAGGGAAAGATGACTGAATTGAGGCATACAATGAGATATCATTCTGTGGCTCTGGGAAAGTAAAATTGGTTGGCATGTTAATATGGAATAGGGTTTCTACAATACCGCTTAAAGAATGTTCCCATCCTCTCAGAACTGAAGGGAGTTTCAAACAGGCAGTTTGTGAGCCATGGTGAGTATGATGATGATGATGTGATGATGATGATACAGTCTCCTTTATGTAACAGCTGGCAGAAGACCTGGTCACACCCACACATTTTAAATTCACATAAAACTAAATATATAGGCTGGGCGCGGTGGCTCACGCTTGTAATCCCAGCACTTTGGGAGGCTGAGGCGGGTAGATCACCTGAGTTCAGGAGTTCGAGACCAGCCTGACCAACATGGAGAAACACCATCTCTACCAAAAATACAAAATCAGCCAGGCGTGGTGGTGCATGCCTGTAATCCCTGCTACTTGGGAGGCTGAGGCAGGGGAATCGCTTGAACCCGGGAGGCGGAGGTTGTGGTGAGCTGAGATCACACCATTGCACTCCAGCCTGGGCAACAAGAGCGAAACTCTGTCTTTAAAAAAAAAAAAAGTAAATATATAATATATGGCTGGGCACAGTGGCTCACACCTGTAGTCCCAGCACTTTGGGAGGCTGAGGTGGGTGGATCACTTGAGGTCAGGAATTCGAGACCAGACTGGCCAACATGGTGAAACCCCATCTCTACTAAAATACAAAAATTAGCCAGGTGTGGTGGCAGGCGCCTGTAGTCCCAGCTACTCAGGAGGTTGAGGCAGGAGAATCACTTGAACCCGGAAGGCAGAGGTTGCAGTGAGCCAAGATCATGCCACTGCTCTCCAGCCTGGGTGACAAAATGAGACTCCATCTCAAAAAATAAAAATAAAAAGTAAATATAGCTGGGCATGGTGGCCTGTACCTAGCTACTTAAGAGGCTGAGGCAGGAGGACTGCTTGAGGCCAGGATTTAGAGACCAGCCTGGGCAACACAGGGATACTCTGTCTCTAAAAAAATTAAAAAGTAAATATAAGCAGAAGTCTTCTGGCAAAGATTTCATTCATTCAGTCATTTTTTAGAGATAGGGTTTCACTCTGTGGCCCAGGCAGGAGTGCAGTGATGCAATTATTGCTCACTGCATCCTCAAACTCCTGGGCTCAAGCGATCCTCCCACCTCAGTCTCCCAAGTAGCTGGGACTACAGGTGCATGCCACATCTGGCTGATATTTAATTTTTTATTTTTCTTTCTTTCTTTTTTTGAGATGGAGTCTCACTCTGTCACCCAGGCTAGAGTGCAGTGGCACAATCTCGGGTCACTGCAGCCTCCACCTCCTGGGTTCAAGTAATTCCCATGCTTCAGCCTCCCGAGTAGCTGGGACTACAGGCGCATGCCACCATGCCCGGCTAGTTTTTGTATTTATAGTACAGATGGAGTTTTGCTATGTTGCCCAGGCTGGTCTCAAACTGCTGGCCTCAAGTGATCAGCCCGCCTCGATCTCCCAAAGTGCTGGGATTACAGGCATGAGCCACGGTGCCCAGCCTTATCTTTACAATTTTTTTTATAGAGATGGGGTCTCATTTTGTTGCCCAAGCTGAGATTTCTTAAAAAGGGACAGCATAAAATGACATGAGGTTTAGCATCAGTAGGTTTTAGTTCAATCTCGAGTTTCCATAATTCTTGTCAGGAACCTTAAACAAGTCGCTCAACCACCTTGAGTTTGAGTTTCTTCATGTAAAAAACCCAGAGAACTGGAAGATTAGTGTGGCAATGCATCTGAAAATATTCTGTAAACCAGCGTGCTGGACAAATGCTAACCTATTATTGAATTCAGCACTTCATTTCAGCGGAGCTAGGAATTCCATATTTGGACCCACCTTGACTGGAGATTTCTGAAAAAGCTGCTTCCGGTCGCATGCCTTTTGGGCTCTGTGGGCAGCCCTTGCAGAATAAAACTTAATGACGGCATAGAAACCAGGATGGGCCACTGCAGCATTTGGGAAGACCCGGACTGAATACAGAAGGCCAAACTGAGAAAATGCTGTGAACAGAGAATGCTGTGGGGGTGGGACAAGTAAATGCATGAAATCTCACGCCCAGAAAACAAAACCGCACATGCCCTCATATTCCCCAAACCTCTCTTCGCGAAGGATGCGATTCAAAACACTTCCCACTTAATCAACAGGTTTTCCTCTTAAAATCCTAAACTTTAAGAAGCACTGGAAGGTAAAACGTTCTGAAGGTGGAGAGATACCTCTCCGGGACTCTAAAAATCTGTTGGGGGTCGTCAGTTGTCAGTTGGGATCCCCTTTATAATTAAGAGTCCTTCAGCGGAGGCTCAGGCAGGTGAGGGTCTGAGGCAGGACTCCGGAACTCCCAGTCAGCGGGTGGGCAGCTTTCTCCATCCCTCCCTCCATCCTGGCCCCGGCTCACATGCAAAGCCTCGGCCGTGGGTCCGGAGCTCAGCTCCCACACTAGCAAGGTTTTGTCACTCTCGATGGGAACCGCAAAAGGTACCAACTCCGCCATCCTCCCTTCACCGCACCTGCGCGGCTAACCCTCGCCCCAGCATTGCGCCTGCGCAAGGCACGCCCGCGCTTTTTTAAAAAGAGGCGCATGCGAGGGGCGGGGACGGGGCTCGGATCGCTCCCTTGCCCCTCCTACCTAGGGCCAGCCTCTGAGTCTGTTCCCCTCCTCCAGTCACAGCCACAAGATCCCTGAGTTTAGAGCTTCCGTTCAATGCATGTTTAGGGTAAAGTCCCAAAATAGGCTGACAGGATGGAAGGGTAGGGACGTGTTTATAGAAGCCAGCTTCATCTTCACTCCTGAAGGAGATTAGGGTACTAAGTATTAGCACTTGTGGGAAATAACCACGAAAGATGCAATCTTTTGACTTAAGAGGTTTTTTTAAGAGTTTAAAATTGCAAATAAAAGTATAACTCACTAAACCATTAACAGTCTCGCATGAAATCCTTAAAAAGAATTCCCTGATTGTCCTACGTCATTCTGGTGAATCGTGTATGTGTACTTGTGGGGGTCAGATGATGTGAGAGGTTGGAGGTACGAGTGAGAAGGAGAGATTAATTTTGAAAAAAGAAAAACAAACAAACAAACAAACAAACCCACAAAGAATAAGTCCAAATAAGGCACCAACATTGGAGCTGATGGTGTCTGAGAAGGGTAGGTGTCATAATCAGCTACGTGGTGGAGGAGTGTAATCAACTGGTGGGTTCATCATACCCACTGCCCAGAAAAGCTGATTTACTGAGACAGTGTTATTGAAATAGGCAAAGAGTTTCATAAGCACAGAACCAGCTAAATAGAAGACTGGAGTTTTACTATTACTCAACTTAGCCTCCCTGAAAATTTGGAAGCTGGTGTTTTTTAAAGGGTAATTTGGCAGTCAGGGGGCCAGGGAATAGGAAATGCTGACTGGTTGGGTCAAGGATGAAATCATAGAGAGTCAGAGCTTGTGTTCTTGTGCTGAGTGAATTCCTGGTTGGGGGCCGCAAGACCAGATGAGCCAGTTTGCCCATGTGAGTGGTGCCAGCTGGTCCATCAGAATGAAGGGTCTGAAAAATACCTAGAACCCCAATATTAGGTTTTACAATAGTAATGTTGAAAGCAGTTAGTTAGCTTGGACACAAAGCAAGGGAAGGGTCCCCGGAGAGATCCCGGCTCACAGGGTCAGTGCCTTACCCCCACATAACATAAAAAGCAGCCTGGGAAAAAATTCAAGCTACCAGCACCCATAAGAGAACTAGCATAGGGTGTTGTGCCTGGAGACATGCCCACGGCTGCACAGATGGAAAAACCTCTGGCCCATTTGGATAAAAGCTTGCACAAAACTTCAGCTCACTCAGACAAAAGAACAAGGCCTGGCATAGAAATGCCTTTGTCCTTTGTATAGTCAGTGGGCTCCCAGGATGAAGTTGCTTCTACTTTTGTGGGCATGGGCATAGTGGGCTCCGGTGAGTTCCAGTGGGCACTCTACTTTCCTTTTTGGACCTGTAAGTCCAGCCTCTATGAATCATCACTTCAGCCCCTGATAGGTCTTGGGCCAAGCTAAGCAGCATCTAAGAATCATTTCAGCTCCTGATTGGTCCTGGGCCAAGGCTCCTTGCCAAGCTGAGTTCTCCAAGACAGCTGTCGGACTAAGCACATTGCTTCCCCTTCCCAGTCCATAAAGACCCCAGCCTCACAGGGGACACCCGTTCTGGCCCCCACGCTCTGCTGGCAGAGAGCTTTCTTCTTTCGCTTATTAAACTTTTGCTGTAACCCCACCTTTGTGTCCACGCTCCTTAATCATCTTGGAGGTAGGACAAAGAACTCCGGGGGTTATATCAGACAACTACAGAGTGTTATATCTTGGTGCATTGCTGAGACTACAACAGTGTTTTGTATAGGAGCAACTGGAGAGGTTAGGAATCTTGTGGCCTCTGTCTACATAATTTCTGAGCCATAATTTCTAATCTTGTGGCTAATTTGTTAGTTTTACAGAGGAGATCTGATTCCCAAGCAGGGAGGTGGTTTGTTTCAGGAAGGGACTATTATCTTTGTTTCAAAGTTAAGCAGCAAAAATTCCTCTCATAGTTAGCTTGGCCTGTGCCCAGGAATGAGCAAGGGCAGCTTGGAGGTTAGAAGCAAAATGGAATCAGTTAGGTCAGATTTGTCATAATTTTTATAAAGGCAGTTTCAGTAACACAAGAAGTAAAGTGAGTCCTACTACTGTTTATTTTAATCCTAGAATGTCAGAGCCAGAAGAGACCCTACAGGACAAGTCTCTTGTGATTTCTGAATAATGATCCTCAGACTCATGCTGTGATAAAGTTTTCACCCCTACTCTACAAAATGAGGACCATATGGAAAATATAATCAGGTTTTTTATAATTTCATAAAATAAAGTAGATTCCACTCCATTCTTCTACAAGTATGACCTCCCTATAATGTTGATACTAAAAATTTTTCTATGAAAAGATGCTAATAGAGGATAGTTGCTTTAATGCTCTTACTTGGACATTAAAATTAAAAATTAGAAACCTCGGCCGGGCCTGGTGCCTGACATCCATAATCCCAGCACTTGGGAGGCCGAGGCAGATGGATTACTTGAGGTCAGGAGTTTGAGACCAGGCTGGCCAACGTGGTAAAACCCTGTCTCTACTAAAAATACAAAATAGCTGGGCACGGTGGCTCATGCCTGTAATTCCAGCACTTTGGGAGGCTGAGGTGGGTGGATCACCTGAGGTCAAGAGTTCGAGACCAGCCTAGCCAACACCGTGAAACCCCGTCTCTACTAAAAATACAAAAATTAGCCGGGTGTGGTCGGGGGGCGCCTGTAATCCCAGCTACTGGGGAGGCTGAGGCAGGATAATTGCTTGAACCCAGGAGGCGGAGGTTGCAGTGAGTGGAGATCATGCCACTGCACTCCAGCCTGGGTGACAGAGTGAGACTCCATTTCAAAAAAAAAAAAAAAAAAGATTAGCTGGGTGTAGTAGCACACACTTGTAGTCCCACCTACTTGAGAAGCTGAGGTAGGAGAATTGCTTGAGCTTGGGAGTTGGAGGTTGCAGTGAGCCAAGATCCTGCCATTGCATTCCAGCCTGGGCTACGCAGTGAGACTCTGTCTCAAAAAAAAAAAAAAAAGAAAGAAATCTCAGGTTTAATTATTTTTTACATTTTATCACCTGTGAAATACAAAAGTCTGGCAACTACTGAATAGTCAAATCCCTCCTTCTATAGTAGAAACAGCTAAGGCTCAGTGGTAGAGAAATAAGTGGTCCAAGATAAAACCCCAGATTGGTCAGACACTACTGACGGTGGCTATGTGTAGGACATTCCTTCAACTGTCACTTTTCTGATTTTGCCTTTTCTTTAAGCATGTTCTACTCCACCTCAGCACCCTCCAGGCAAACCAGATCCTGTCCAGAGCACCTTTTTTTAATCATCTAGATCCTAGCTTATTCTCCCAAAGCACCCCCAAATTATTGGTATCTGCCACTATTTCTCCATCCCATCACTACTTTCTCCACATCAATACCAGACCCCACCCATTGCCTACTTCTGAGTTTTCTCTTTTACTTCAAAAATTGTTCTTTGGAGGAATTACTTGGATGCTGATACTGTTTCAAAGCAATAATTATGGATTTTACTATACATTTAATTACCTATTGTAATGTTTGTGGATGTCTCTGCTTCTCCACCTAGATTATGAACACCTAAACAACAATAGCTGTGTTTTGTCTTCCTTCTACTACCTAGTACACTCCCACTGTCTTAGGTACTCAAATATATGTAGACTAATGAATAAATGGACACAGTCTTTGCAGAGCGAGTGCTTTAATATTTCGATAAATATAAAGATTTCTTTATTGTGGTCCTCAGTTTACAAATAACAGACAGGAACCAGGGGACTGGGTCCAGATGGGAGTAAGGAGGAAGCCAAGAAAACCATTTATTCCTGGGGCTCTGGTCAGTTTTAGTTGTAAATGGGAAGGGAAGAAAATAACATGAAGTGGAGGCAGTAGGAAGAAGAAATGAAGAATCCCTGAGTGAGGACAGGAGTCTTGGAATGACTCCACGGTGCACCCGCACCCTGTTTCATCTCAGGCGGCATCCTGTCAGCCAGTAGAAGAGTGGCCGGCCTGAACAGTGCAACCTCCATTCTACCCTGCGGAGAAAAAAGACATGGTTCTTGCCTCACACTCAGTAACTCTTCCACACACATGACCCAGTTCTTGGTGAGTCTCGCATATGGAGCAACGCCCAGAATCCCCGTCATTGCTAGCTAGCCCTCTGGTCTGTCCTCCACTGTCCCCTCTGACGAATCCTGTAAAACTCTCTCATCTCTGGTGTTTGCCTGCTTCCCTGGATCAACGTTTCCACATTTTAAAATCCTCATATCTCCCTGAAGGGGTGAGCACTGTTTTACAGGGCTGAGAGTTACTTATTAAAAAAAAAAAAAAAGTCCCAGGTACAACCATTGATTCTCCCTCCAGAAAGGATCAGCATAATCATCGCTGTCAATTCTTTTCTGTGGTGTTTTGAGTATGCAGGGGATTTGACTCCTTCCACAGTTGCCTGTAGAGGCAGCCATTTGTGTTACTTATATATCTAGTTTGAAGCTCAGAAAAGGTGACTATCTGAATGTCCACCGTTGGTGAGCTCACAGCTATGTGGGTGTCTGCCCAGCTGATGAATGCCACATTTTTTTGTTGTCGTTTTTTGTTTCTTTTTTTGAGACGGATTCTTTCTCTGTCACCCAGGCTGGAGTGCAGTGGCGCGATCTCAGCTCACTGCAACCTCTGGCTCCCGGGTTCAAGCGATTCTCCTGCCTCAGCCTCCCATGCAGCTTGCCTTAAGGAGCATGGACAGAAAGCAAGGGAAAGGTCCCCAGAGAGATCCCGGCCCACAGGGTCAGTGCCTCATCCCCACATAACACAAAAAGCAGCCTGGGACAGGCACCCACCACAACGCCTGGCTAATTTTTGTATTTTTTAGTAGAGACAAAGTTTCACCATATTGGCCAGGCTGGTCTCGAACTCCTGACTTTGTGACCCACCCACCTCAGCCTCCCAAAGGGCTGGGATTACAGGAGTGAGCCACTGCGCCCAGCCGCCACATTTTTTTTTTTTTTTAAACAGAGTCTCATTCTGCCGCCCAGGCTGGAGTGCAGTGGCGCGATCTCGGCTCACTGCAGCCTCCACCTCCCAGGTTCAAGCGATTCTTCTGCCTCAGCCTCCTGAGTAGCTGGGACTACAGGCAGGCGCCACCATGACCAGCTAATTTTTTGTATTTTTAACAGAGACGGGGCTTCACCATGTTGACCAGGCTGGTCTCGAACTCCTGACCTCAAGTGATCCACCTGCCTCAGCCTCCCAAGGTGCTGGGATTACAGGCGTGAGCCACCATGCCCGGTCCACATTTTTAAATAAAAAAATATTGTCAATTATGGCCACAGGGCCCGAGCGGCAGCCATAATTGTATTGCTTAACTCCTCCCATCCCTACAGTTGATTGGACCAAGGGGGCACACATGGTCCAAGTGGAACCAATCAGATTCTCTATCCCAGGAACTTGGACTGGGACTGAGCCTAGCCAGTCCCTATGGTTGCTTAGGACTTTAGCTTATTAACTTTGCAGCACCCTTTGTCCTTTAGACTGTGGAGCAGAGAAAGTCTGCGGAGAGAGAAGTGAAGCAAATGCACCAAGAGAAGCTGAAACCTGCCATGGACAGTGTGCTGACAATTTCCAGCCCTGGTTCCATGCTCTTCCTGAGGCCCAGCTGCAGCCCTTGAGTGGGCTCAGTGAGACATCTGGGCCTCTCAGAATAAATTTCCCCCAGCTAGCTCAAGTTGTTTTCTGTTACTGCAACCAGAAGAGTTTTGTTTAATACAATATCATAGAAGAACCAGATCTCAGAGTTCCAAGCCCGTCCGCTATCCCACATCTTTCTAGACACTGCAAGGGCGTGCCCGTGAGTCCTTGCCTACTGCCCTTTTCTCTGTCACGTCCTCCTTCGTGGGGCTCTGCCCGCTGAGTCCCACCGTGTCCTCCTCACCAGTTGTTCATCCCCCGTGCTCCGGACACAATCCTTTTTGCGCAGTGGATGCCTGCAAGAAGGTTGGGATTCAGCAGATCTGAAAGGGAGGAAGAGAAAACCTGTGAGGGCACAGAAGACAGCCCCAAAGATGGAGGCAGACACCAGCCCTCCCTGGACAGCCCTATGCCACCTAGAGGCTTCCAGTTGAGGCAAAGGCTGTCTCCCAGGGGGCCCATTTAGACATCCCTACAATGGCTGCTAGAGGTTCGAGGTGAAAGGGGGTGTGGGCAGAAGGGGCAAGAGGCCTGAGATTTGGGCCTGTTCACTACTATTCTTCCTAACCAGGGTAGATAGTGGTTCACTCAAAGTTTGTGGGAGGTTTCCAGGGAGAGGAAATGCCAAAACACCACAGAGGTATGTCCCGCCTAGTGAGCGGGGGTCTTCAGGCGAGGAGCCGAGGGACATCGGTCAGTGTGCGAAGGCAGAGGTGAGGGGCAGAGTCATGGGCCCTGTCGAGCCTCCTGGATCAGCTCTGAGGTAGGGAGTTTGCACTTGGTCTTTGGTCAGATCATTAGCTAAAGAGGGTACTCCGGAATGGTTAAGAGCCTGTGAGGCCATTAGTCTGGCATTCAATGCTGGTTCTCTTTTTGAGCCTCAGTTTGCTGTTTTGTAAAGTAGGGATCATAAATGGTTTCTACTGCATGAAAGTTGGATGAAATAAGCCAAGTATGTAAAGCACTTAGTGTATAATATTCTCTCAATAAACATTGGCTGCTGCAACTGTTCTACTACTACCAGCTGTATACGGAGCCTTCCTGGATCCTACTCAGGGACTCTATAGAATCTCCTAACTGGATGGGCATTAGGGACACTACTCCAGCCCTCTGCTCAGTAAAGGGATTCCCTGATTTTTTGAACCATATTTCTGGGGCCATTCCCAGGCTGTGGGTGGGAAGAGAAGTTCTGTGAGCAGAGCCTGGTTGCTGCTCTCATCTCTCCCACCCTGGGGCCCTGGCCAGACCTTGACAGTCTACGTGGCAAAGGTTTTCCGAGTAACTCTTATAATCGTTGCACCAGTAGTGGCTGTTGATCTGGAAGAGGCCATAGTCAAAGCTTCCGTCTGCATTTTCATTTATCTTTGATATGTTGAACTTGCTTTCCACAAAAGCCAGGCACAGCCCTTAGAGTAGGGAGAAGAAGGTCAGGATTTAGAGGGGACCAAGCTGAGTGAGAAGGGAGATGGAGGAGAAAGGGAGGCAAGGTTTCAGACAAAAGGAACAAGGCCTGGGAGGCAAGATAGGACTAGAGGGCTTGAAATCTCCATTGACTTGCCCTCTTATCCTGTGGTCCATCCACCCACTCATAAGTACAATTACTCATCTGTCCATCTATTCATGTGTTTTGCACTTACTGAGCACCTACTGTGTGCCAGGAACTGTGCAAAGCCTAGTGAGGGACATTTCAGTTGGGTCAAACACAGATGCTGCCTTCAAGGGGCCTGTATTACAAGCTTAAAAATATGTACCTAAGCTTGTAATACAGGCCTTGTAATAAGCTTGTATGTACAAGCTTAAAAATATGTACAAGCTTAAAAATATGTATGCCGGGCGCGGTGGCTTATGCCTGTAATCCCAGCACTTTGGGAGGCTGAGGCGGGCGGATCACGAGGTCAGGAGATCGAGACCATCCTGGCTAACACGGTGAAACCCTGTCTCTACTAAAAATACAAAAATTAGCTGGGCATGGTGGTGGGTGCCTGTAGTTCCAGCTACTGGGGAGGCTGAGGCAGGAGAATGGTGTGAACCCAGGAGGCAGAGCTTGCAGTGAGCCAAGATCGCGCCACTACACTCCAGCCTGGGTGACAGAGCGAGACTCTGTCTAAAAAAAAAAAAAAAAGGTACCTAAAAAACCCACAAAGCAAGATTAAAGGACAAAAGTGTTGCAAGACAGGTGCACACAACTCCTGGGCAAAAGGGAGATATCCCTTCCATGCAGGAGGAGAAAGCCTTTGTACTAGCTGTCCCCTCTGCCTAGAGTGTTCTTCCCCCAGACATTTGGGTGACCAGGTCCTTCATTTAATTCAGTGCTGCTTAATGTCATCTCCTCAGAGAGGCCTTCCCTGACTTCCCCATCTAAAGAATTCACCATTGCTCCCCCTGCTTTATTCTTCTTCATAGCATTGGTCACCACCAGGCAGTACGTTATGAGTGTGTTTGTTGCTGCTCTCTTCCCCTAGGATGTGAACATTATAAGGGAAGGGAATTTGTTTATCTCTACAGCCCCAGTGCCTAAAACAGTTGTTGGTACATAATAAGTGCTCAGACAATAACTTGAGTGAATACAGCGTGTTGGGAAAGGCTTTTTTGAAGGGGGCTGCTTTTTGAACTTGGCTTTGAAAGATGAACAGGAGAGAAAGAAGCTGGCCATATAGGACATGACTAGCAGAGGAGAAATGGCTGGGGAGGGGCGGATGGTACTCACAGTCACTCAGGGAGTAACCCTCAAACCCATCCAAGTCCTCCAGCTGCAGCACCTGGGCCAAGTCACAGCGACTGATGAGGCTGGCCTGATTTAGGGCAAGAAAGCTGCTGACCAAATAGATGAGTAGCGCCTTTGTCATCCTTGGAGGGGAGGAGGTGCAGCTGAGGGCTGATGGTTCTTAGGGTCTTGCAGACTTTCTGCTGATCTTCTCTGAGAGCCTGGGGAATCTGGAGAGGGCAGCCAGGTTTCCTTACTCACTCACTGCTCCAACCTGGCTGTTTCCAATCTCTTTTCTCTTGTTTATTATTTTATAGATTTTTATTTATCATGGAAAATTAAACCTTTAAAAAAGGAAAGAGAATAGTATCATGAACCTCCATATACCCACTTCTGAGCTTCAACATTCAAAAACCAAGGCCAATCTTTCTTTGTTGTTGTTTGTTTTTTATTTTTTTATTTTTTAGAGATGGGGGTCTCACTCTGTTGACCAGGCTGGTCTTGAACTCCTGGCCTCAAGTGATCCTCCCATCTCAGCCTCCCAAAGTGCTGGGATTACAGGTGTGAGCCACCACACCTGGCCAATCTCATTTCATCCATAGGTCCTCTTATATGGGCACCCAGCTATGGGTAGTATTTGGGTATTGGGATGGGGAGTGAGGTTGGCAAAGGAGATTACTGAAGACTATCTTCACCAGCATATGTGTGTGTGTATCTGAGCATGTGCTTTTAGAAAGAGGGCCAGGACACTGGGTGCTAATCTCCCCACAACCCCACTCCCCCAGACACATGACACATGATTTTTCCCAAGGGCATACCCTGCCTGGTACAATTCTTGGTGGGCTGGCTGTAGACGTAACCTTCACTTTCACATTGTGTATGTGTGTGTGCGCGTGTGTGTGTGTTGAATAGCAAGGGCCCTAGATTCACACTGCCTGCTTTCAAATCCTGGGGTGCTATGTGACTTTGGGCAACATACTCAACCTTTCTGGGCCTCATTTGTAAAATGAAGATATGCTAATACCTACCTAAAAGGGTTGTTTTGATGATTAAATGAAATAATGCCCAGATCTTGGTTCACATTCCACACAAAAGGGAACCAGGACTCTAGGAAATATGGCTGATTCCCAGGCTGGAGCAGGAAAGGGTTATGAGATGTCTGGATTATCTTGCTGTACAAGAAATTTAAAAAGTGCTCGAAATATGTATTGGGGCATGTCAAATGGACACAAGAGCTAGCTCAAAGGGGCACCGACTGGCCAGATCTGAAACGATGTTTTTTGGTAACAGCATTATTGAGATATAATTCATGTATCATACAATTAATTCAGTTAAAGTGTACAATTCAGTGGTTTTCAGTATGTTTGCAGAGTTGTACAACTACTACCTCACTTGATTTTAGAATATTTTCATCAATCCAAAACAAAACCCTGCACCCATTTAGCAGTCACTGCCCATCCCCCACCTCCCAACCCCTGGCAACCACTAATCTACTTTCTGTCTCTATGGATTTGCCTCTTCTGGACATTTCATACACACGGAGTTACAGAAAATATGGCATTTTGTATCTGGCTTCTTTCACTTAGCATAATGTTTTGAAGTTTCATTCAGGTTGGAGCATGTAATGATACTTCATTCCTTTCTATGGTTGAATAATATTTCATTGTATGAATACACCATACTTCGTCTATCCATTCATTAGTTGATGGACATTTGGGTTGTTTCTATTTTTGGCTATCATGAATAATCCTACTATGAACATTAACATACTAGTTTTTGTGTGGATATATGTTTTTATTTCTTTGGAGTAGAGTTGCTGGGTCATGGGGTAACCCTAGGCTTAAGCTTATGAGGCCTACCAGATTTCCAAAGTGGCTGCACCATTTTGCATTCCCATCAGCAGTGTATGAAGGTTCCAATTTCTCTACATCCTCACCAACACTTGTTATTATCTGTCTTCTTGACAAAAGGTATCCTAGTGGGTATGAACTGGTATCACCCTGTTGTTTTAATTTGCGTTTCCCAGATGGCTACGGATGTTGATCATCTTTTTATGTGCTTATTGGCCACTGTATATCTTTGGGAAAATGTCTATTCAGAACCTTTGGCCAGTTTCAAATTGAGTTGTCTTTTTATTACTGAGTGGGAAGAGTTCTTTATATATTCTGTATACTAGACCAGCATCAGATATATGGCAGATATTTTTTTCCCATTCTGTGGGTTGCCTTTCACTTTCTTGGTGGTGTTCTTTGAAGCCCCAAAGTTTTTAATTTTGATGATGTGCAAGTTATCTATTTGTCCTTTTGTTGGGTGTGCTTTTGGTGTCATATCTAAGAAACCATTGCATAATGGTTTCCAACCCAATCTGGGACAATTAGACCATCAGAATAAATGACAGTAACAGATTATACATTAAATGCAATAGGAATCCATGAGCCCATAATAATAATAAATTGACAAAAAGATACATTGTGTGGAGCTGAAGCAGAGACCTCTTCCTGACAATAAAAGGCCAACCGATAAGTGTGGAGGAAGTCATGGAGTTGAAAAATAATCACCATTTTGCAACTATCATAGATTGGTTTGAGAACAAATCATCATTGCATGCTAAATCTGAGGTGGTGGGAAGAATGCTGAAGAACTGGATATATCATGATCTTATAGGGTCTCCCCACAGATTGCTTATTAGTTGCACAGAAAGAAAAAACAAAACAGTATACAGTGGATAACCAGACAGTATTTTGACCTTGCAATCAAAATTAACATCTCCAAAGACGGACAGAGGGACATTGTGTGCCTCCAGATGTGATTCCCAAGGAGGACACATCGCTTATGCAATATTCCGTCCAGGGATGCATAGGCTATGTCTAATCCTGAGGAAACATCAAAGCCAAACTCACTGAAAATCTGTAAGATAACTGGCCTGTATTCTTCAAAATGGCCAATGCCATGAAAACTGAAAGACTGGCCAGGCATGGTGGCTCATGCCTGTAATCCGAGCACTTTGGGAGGCTGAGGTGAGAGAATTGCTTAGGCCAGGAGTTTGAGACCAACCTGGGAAACAGCAAGACCTCATCTCTACACTAAAAAGAAATAATACTTCCAATAAATCTGAAAACCTGGGACTATTTCTGTCACTGAGGGAAGGTGTGTTTTTCCCCTTAACTTAGGTATATGCTGCTGAGGGGGCAGAAGCCTGAGTTCTTCCACCCGCCGCCTTCAAGTGTCAGGCGGCTTCTGCTTGGACAAGATGGCTACCCTGGTGGGCTTGTTTCTTCTCTGGTCTTGTTATAGGAGGCAGAAAGAAACTACTTAGGTAGACAGTTAGGGTAAAGTGAATCCCCAGCAGAAAACTTTCCTTTTAACGCAAAGCAGCTCAAAGATAGCTCCCTTTCTAACCTCACGCAGTTCAAGGAAATCACTTTTCTTCTAACAACAACCAGCCTGAAAGAGCAAAGGGTAAAAACAGATAAGAGCTCAGGCACAGAAGGATGGGGGAAGTCTCCTGGGTAATCACCAAACTTCACACTTATACAATGGGCCCCAGTAAAACAGTGGGCCTTAATAACTACATTCCTTTCTCTTTAGGCGCGCTAAGATAGGGAAGCTAAAAGCAGAATCGATGGGTATGCCTACAGCTGCAAGATGTGTGGGAATAGACACAGAAACTCTCGCTCCCAGATAAGCAAGACAAAGAGACACAGACTAAAAGTTGATGTGGTCGGGAATGGGGTGAGAGCCTATTAAAAACTCTGCTCTATACAGATAGCACACCTGGTCCCAACTGAACCATCGGGCTCTAGGAGGATAAGACATCCCCTCCTCATGAATGCCCCTCTCTAGCCCATTTATAAAACCCTGACGTTTTTACTACCACCTGGCAACCTGCCTGGGACCTCTGTCTGTGACAGAGAGCTGTTCTTTCCTTTTGCCTATTAAACTCCTGCTCCAAACTCACTCTGTGTGCGTGTGTGTCTGCGACCTCGATCTCCTTAAACGTGAGACCACGAACCTTGGTATTTACTTCAGACAATGAGGCTGCTTCTGTCTCTTGTTCTATCTGAGACTCGTTCCACACCAGCCTGAGCTTCGGGCCATTCTTTTGCTTCTCCCATCATTCTACCCCCAGAGCTGACAGATTTGGCAAATAAAATTTACAAGATGCCCTGTTAAATTAGAATTTCAGACAAACAACCTACTCCACACTGACTCAGGAGGGTCCCTCAGAGATAGATGTCACTGAGCCTCGGGAAGCAGGAAGCTCCATCCCTGCCCATTAAGCCCCCTCTCAGGGTCCCCTCAAGGAAGACAGTGGCTCCAGAAGGTATGTTCCCACCCCTTCCACAGCTTACCTCTCTCCCATCCCTCTCTGACCCTGGGTTCCACCTGGCCCAGAGATTTCTGGGAGGATCTGTAGAACAAGGCTGTCTACAGTAGGAGCCTCTTCTTCCTCACCACATACACTTCAGCCCTGCCCAACTAACAGCTCTCCATGTTCTAAAGAAGGCTTCTGGAACCCCAGTTCTGTGACGTCATCCATCTCCTGGAAATACACTGGTTTTAACCAGGCAAATTGGCCAAGCATCAGGCAGAAGTAGCAGCTGGGCCTGGGAGGACAGGTGACATCTGTGAGGAAAATGGCCGGGTGGGATAGGGTGGAGAGCACTGGCTGTTTCCTTCATTTTTGGGAACAGCACCACCTTTGGGGGGACTCCTTCCCTCATGGGGTTTTAGTGGGGGCTGCCAGTCCTGGGGTCCTGCCCCCCACCACCCCCCATAAGCATAGGAATGCTTGTGTGCCAGTCACTATATTTGTAAACGGAAGCTGGTGGAGCTGCTCAGCTTCCAACAGGAAGCCCATGTGTGCAGGGCCAGAGGACATAGCCCATCTAAGGTGCTAAGCCTCCGTGAAGAGGGAGCGGAGTCTGGACGGGATTCCAGCCCCAGGGTCCACCCTTTCTGGGACCCAAACACACCCTTCCCCTCCCTTCAATTCTGAGATTCAATAAATGTCCCCACTCACAGAACAAGTTTGAGTTGGGTTTCTGTCACTTGCAGCCAAAAGAGCCAGTTGTAGTCGGCATGGGGTCAACCATCTGTGATATGGTGACCTGACACCCTGTCCCCTCCCTGTGAAGGCCACAACATCCCAACATCATTAGTCACCGAGGAAGTCTGGGAGAAATTTCTACCAACTGTAGCAAAAAAGAGGCAAGGGAGAAAACATCTTGTTACTGACGGCCCACTCTTCCCTCTGAAACAGGGAGGCAGGATCTGACAGAAAAATAGGACAAGGGGCTTCTGAGTGGGCAGTGCTGCCCCGTGCCCCTCCAGACTTCTCTTCCCAGCAGGGCAGCAGTGCATGGCACCCTGGGATAGAAGGCCTGCAGGGGCAGAGGGGAGGCTGAACATGCTGGGGGCACCACTTTATGAGAAACCATTTGTGGCCAAAAATCTACATGGGCTTCAGATGACCTGAATGAACTCGTCTCTGTAGAGTGAGAGTCCTGGGCAGGAGGAAAGGTTTCCATAGCCAAGGACCACATGCTTGGAAATTTGATCTCTGAAACTTAAGATCTGAGAGAGGATGGTCTCCCAAGGAAGTCACATGAGCCTCAGTTTAATCCTGTTGGTTTGCAGAAGTTTCCACTCCCTCTGGAGGCTGGGTTGGGACCTCCTGCTGGGCTGCAGAATATTTAGTCTCTTTGATAGGCTCTGAAGTTATGGTCATTCAAAGGGGGTCCAGAGGGACCCTCCACCTCCAGCCCCCTAGCTGTGGCAAACATGGGTAGATTCCTACCCATTCAAACAACTGGAAAACCCAAGCTGGGACCCATGAGTCAAGTCAGCTCAGGGCAAGAGGACAGATGGATACCATAGGCCATCTGTCTCAATATTTGCAAGTTATAAATTAAACTAACAGACTGTTAAAGTATGTCCTACCCTCATACTCTGACAAATATTCCTTTAAAAGGATAAAATTTTAAAATGTGTATGAAGCTATGATTTGTATTTTTTTTTTTTTAGAGATGGAGTCTCACTCTGGAGTGATCTCGGCTCACTGCAACCTCTGCCTCCTGGGTTCAAGCAATTCTGCCTCAGCCTCCCGAGTAGCTGGGACTACAGGTGCATGCCACCATGCCTGGCTAATTTTTTTTTGTATTTTAGTAGCGACAGGGTTTCACCTTGTTGCCCAGGCTGGTCTTGAGCTCCTGAGCTCAGGCAATCTGCCTGCCTCGGCCTCCCAAAGTGCTAGGATTACAGGCGTGAGCCACCACGCCCGGCCGATTATGTTATGTTATGTATGTTAAAGTATGTCCTATCCTCATCCTCTGACAAATATGCCTTTAAAAGGATAAAATTTTAAAATATATATGAAGCTATGATTTGTATATGACAGAAAGTTAGCAAAATGTCAAAGATCATGAAATTTCATGTTTATTGCGCATGTCTGGGTGCTCTGTTGATGGGCTGACAATATTGGGATGAGTAATAAAGATGTGGAATTTATAAATTACTGAAACTATTCCATGAAATGTATTTTTCTTATCTTTCAGCAAAATCGGTAATTATGTTATTATTATCAAGATTTGAAAATACATGTAAGGATTAAAACAATCATATTCAAAGTACAAATATCTTAATATTTTCATCAAAATTATGTTTATGTAAAAAATTTAATTTTATCAGGAATATTTTCCCAAAAGTTAGTTTTCTTTTCAACTATTGAAAAGTATCCATTAAACCAAAAGGCAACATACAAATTAGAATTAGTCAAATTTTTACGTCAAAATGATTGAAATAAATCCATTTTATTTTGATTTTTGAAAACTTGATTAATTTTTATTAATTTTAAATTCATAATTCTAGCATTCAGTGACCACCAATGTAAAGAACAGGCATCATGGTTTGTCTGAGGGCTAGACATAGATACAAATTTTAGAGTAATGTGTAATGTGATTTGTTTAACCCTTTTTCTGTTTGCCCAGAGAATACTCACTGGTGGCACCTGCAGCTGCAGTGTTTACCCCAAGATAACTTTGCCATGAAATATTTAACACAAAGGGTAAATGCTTGAGGGGATGGATACCCCATTCTCCATGATGTCTTTATTATGTATTGTATGCCTGTATCAAAACATCTCAGGTGCCCCATAAATATATACACTTACTATGTACCCACAAAAACTACAACTAAAATTTTAAAAAGTAATGAACTATTGCCACACAAAACAACATGGATAAAACTCAAAATAATTATACTGAGTGAAAGAAGCTTGACAAAAAAGAGTACACACTGTATGATTCCATTTCTAGAAAGCACTAGAAAATATAAACTAACCTATGATGATAGAAAGCAGATCAGGGCAGGGTACAGTGGCTCACACCTGTAATCCCAGCACTTTAGGAGGCTGAGGTGGGCGAATCACTTGAGGTGAGGAGTTCGAGACCAGCCTGGTCAACAAAGTGAAACCCTGTCTCTACTAAAAATATAAAAATTAGCCAGGCCTGTTGGCACGCACCTGTAATCCCAGCTACTCGGGAGGCTGAGGCACAAAAATCACTCGAACCCAGGAGGTGGAGGTTGCAGTGAGCCAAGATCATGCCACTGCACTCCAGCCTGGGAGACAGAGCAAGACTCCATCTTAAAAAAATAAATAAATAAAATAAAAACGAAAGAAAAGAAAAAAAGAGAGCAGATCAGTAGTTGCTTGGGGGTGGGGAGGTAGAAAGAGCAGGAAGCAGGATCACCAAGGGCAACAAGGAAACTTTTTGTGGGAACGGATATCTTCACTATCTTGATTGTGATAATGATTTCAGGTGTATACCAAGGGTCAGATGTTACCAAATTGTAATCTCTATATATGCACAGTTTATTATATGTCAATACCTCAATACATCTGCCTAAAATGTTTAAAAATTACTGTAATTATACAAAATATATTTTATGAAAAGGAAGTTATGGGTGGGCATGGTTGAGAACCACAGCATCAGATAGATTCAGAAGTGGGGGAAAAGCATCTCCCACTTCCCCTTCTTCAGGCCAGCGTGCTGTGCAATTTATCCAGTGGACACTAGAGGACAGCAGCGACTCAGGTAGAGGAAGTGGGCGTTTCAGGGCTTGAATGCTTAGAATTCTCTGCTCTGTGCTCCCTATCCTGGGCGGTGGGCGGTGGGCGTTAATACCCCCATAATACTCAGTTACCGCTGGGACTTGGGCCCTGGTCTGTGGCTCTTGATTCCACCTTGTTGGTCCCCCAACACCAGGAGAGCTCTCTGTGCTCCCAGATTTTTTTTTTTTTTTTTTTTTGAGATGGAGTTTCGCTCTTGTTCCCTAGGCTGGAGTGCATTGGCGCGATCTCGGCTCACCGCAACTTTCGCCCCCGGGTTCAAGCGATTCTCCTGCCTCAGCCTCCTGAGTAGCTGGGATTACAGGCATGCACCACCACGCCTGGTTAATTTTGTGTTTTTAGTAGAGACGGGGTTTCTCCATGTAGGTCAGGCTGGTCTCGAACTCCCGACCTCAGGTGATCCACCCACCTCGGCCTCCCGAAGTGCTGGGATTACAGGCGTGAGCCATGGCGCCTGGCACTCCCATTTCTTTTTAAAAGGATATCCTGACTCCAGTGAGACAGCAGCCATAGTTCCCTGTCTGTTATCTGCAGGGCTGATATGGAGGATTGCAGATGTCACCAAAGAGTTGTGGTTCTCAGGCTGGGCACAGTGGCTCACGCCTGTAATCCCAACACTTGGGGAGACCCAGGCCGGTGGATCACATGAGGTCAGGAGTTCGAGATCAGCCTGGCCAACATGGCAAAACCCATCTCTCCTAAGAATACAAAAAATTAGCTGGGCCTGGTGGCACACGCCTGTAGTCCCAGCTACTCAGGAGGCTGAGGCAGGAGATTTGCTTGAGCCCAGGAGGTGAAGGTTGCAGTGAGCTGAGATTGCACCGCTGCACTCCAGCCTGGGCAACAAGAGTGAGACTTGGTTTCAAAAAAAAAAAAAAAAAAAGTTGTGGTTCTCAAGGGCCTTTGGAAGGCCTCCCAGCTTGCCTGAAATCCACGATTATAAAGCCCGTCAAAGTTGCATCATCAGACGCTGCAACATCACAGGTTAGCATGTCCCTGAGAAAACGACACACTGAAAGGTAATTTTTATAAGAAATAGGGAAAAGAGAGAAGGTTCAATTGAGGGGTAGGAAAATATGATGGTGGAGCCCCCTTACGGTGCTGCAATAGAAGCTTCCCCCCAAAAAGCAATAGTGGTCTGGGCGCTGTGGCTCAGTCCTGTAATCCAGCACTTTGGGAGGCTGAGGCGGGTGGATCACTTGAGCTCAGGAGTTCGAGACCAGCCTGACCAACATGGCAAAACCCCGTCCCTACTGAAAATACAAAAATTAGCTGGGTGTGGTGGTGTGTGCCTGTAATCCCAGCTACTCGGGAGGCTGAGGCAGGAGAATCACTTAAACCTGGGAGGCAGAGGTTGCAGTGGGCCCAGATCATGCCACTGCACTCCAGCCTGGGTGACAGATAGAAACTCCATCTCAAAGAAAAAAAAAAAAAGAAAGAAAGAAAAAGAAAAAAAAGCAAATTGTGAGCATACATTGAGCCATCCCAGTGTGTGAGGCATGATGCGGAACACTCTATGCAGGCAGTCATCTCATCTTCACAGCACTCTTACTAAATAAACTGCAGAGAGGTGGCGGGGTGCAGTGGCTCACGCCTGTAGTCCCAGCACTTTGGGAGGCCGAGGCGAGTGGATCATGAGGTCAGGAGATCGAGACCATCCTGGCTAACACGGTGAAACCCCGTCTCTACTAAAAATACAAAAAATTAGCCGGGCGTGGTAGCGGGCGCCTGTAGTCCCAGCTACTCCTGAGGCTGAGGCAGGAGAATGGCGTGAACCCAGGAGACGGAGCTTGCAGTGAGCCAAGATCACGCCACTGCACTCCAGCCTGGGAGACAGAGCGAGACTCGTCTCAAAAACAAAACAAAACAAAATAAACCACAGAGAGGTTAAAAAATGCCTAAAGGTCCAGGCGCAGCTCACATCTGTAATCCCAACACTTTGGGAGGCCAAGGTGGGTGGATCACTTGAGCCCAGGAATTCAAGACCAGCCTGCGCAACATGGCGAGGCCCCATCTCTACAAAAAATTACAAAAATTAGCCAGGTGTGGTGGCCTGTAGTCGCAGCTACTCCTGAGGTTGAGGGAAGAGGATCCCTTGAGCCTGGGAGTTTGAGGCTGCAGTGAGCTATGATTGCACTACAGCCTGGGTGTGAGAGTAACACAGTCTCAAAAAAAAAAAAAAAAGAAAAGAAAAAGAAAAGCAGTTGTGGACACACATTGAGCCCTCCCAGTGGGTGAGGCACAATGCCAAACACTGTATGAAGGAAATAATCTCATCTTCACAGCATTCTTACTGAATAAGCTGCAGAGAAGTTAAGAAACGCCCAAAGTCACAGAGCTGATAGGAGGCAGTGCAGGATTTGAATCCAGATTTGACACTAACGTATGGATCTAGCTACTGCTCTGCAGTACCCACTTAAAGGGAAGTGTTTTTCTTTCTTGGTTATTTAGTTCATGTGTTAAACTGGTTGGTGTTGGTAGCAGATGGTGAGTATTATAGTTCAGCCTTCTGGAGAAAGCTTGTCAGGCTTCAAGAGAATGTTAAGCATCTATGATGGTCCTAGAGGGAGGTTCCCCTCTCCACCCCTTCACTGCTTTACATGGAGCACTTATAGTGTGTGAGGTTCTGTGTTAAGGATGATACTTTCATAATGACGGTATCTGAAAGGCAGGTGGGCAGAGGCCAGCAACAAGGAATTGAAGGGTCAGTGATGTAGCAATCCAGTGACATTGTTCATTTGCACACACATGGGTCTGTCACATGCAGCCCAACTCACCTGGAGTCCTGAGAAGGTAACCAGACCAGGATGGAGGCCCAGGGAACTCACCAGAAGTTCTCAAGCATCAGAACACGGTGAAAGCATCCTGGTAGGCAGATAACACATGCCCACGGTTTGTGAGAGAAAGTCCTCCAGCAGTTTCTCTCCTTCCCCTTGGCTTTGACCTGGCATACCTGGGATCAGGCAGTTGATTCTCCAGGCCAGGTGCCTCAGGGAGGTGACCCTTCCTGTTCTGGGTTCTGCAGAAGCCAACAGCTCTGGGCTTGTGCCCATCAAGCACTCTTCTGCCCATTTTACTCTCTCGTGGATGCATGGTGGTGTTGATACAGGCCCTGAGTTAAAGGCTCCATGGCCGCCCATGACAGGAGGACAAAGCAAAAGAAAGCCAGAGTTAAACAGGCCCCTTGGGTCCCCTCCTTCACTTCATAGATGGGAAAACCAAGGTCTGGGCAGGGAAAGGGATTCAGCCAAGGCCACAGCGCACTGATGGCCACGCCAGGGTTAGGATTCCCAGCACAGTCTGTTTCTCTCATACTCCGCAGCCTTCTCTAATAATAGATTTTGGGTTGGGTTCTTCTTTATCAAGCGCTGGTCACACATTATCTCTATCTTTCTTAAAACAATTGTTCTTTAATATCATTATATATTCAGTCAGTGTTCAAATTTTCAACTGTTTTATGTCAAAAAGCCTTTTCTAAAGTTGATTAAATCAGGATTGAAATAAGATGCACACATTATGATTAGTCGATGTCTTTTAAATCTTTTAATCCATGGATTCCTCTTTCCTCTTTCTCTTTTTCCTTTTATTCTTGAATAAGCCACATCATGCCTAAACACCTGAAATCCTTCTCATTAAAGAGAAAAAAAAACACCACAGGAAACGTTACTACATATATAAAGATGAAGATAGGAATTGCTTGTGAGTGAAGCAATGAAGTCTGAGCACAATGTGGAAACTGGAAATCAGAGGTTGCATTTTAAAAATCTCCACTCTCTTCTTTAGATAGATTGGTGATTATTTTACCTATTTCATTTTAACTATCTTAAACACAACGTAAGGAACCTAAAGAGAAAACTTGTCAGCAATTGATCTGTCCTTTCAATGAACAGTGAATGCCACGGCGTATGTCTACCTGGGTACAAATCTCCTTTGCTAATAAGCAAACAGTGAACCTCTAAATCAATGTAAACTTTCATCATGTTTCACTTCAGTTGATTCCACACGTTGAGGCTAAGCACAGCTGAGCAAATCAGCTGTAAAATCCTAAAGTAAGAAGATATCATTTTAAAGATAAAAATTGTGATATTTAGGCCAGGCACGGTGGCTCATGCCTGTAATCCCAGCACTTGGGAGGCAGAGACGGGCGGATCACGAGGTCAGGAGATCAAGACCATCCTGGCTAACATGGTGAAACCCCATCGTCTCTACTAGAAATACAAAAAAAAAAAAAAAAAATTAGCCGGGCGTAGTGGCGGGCACCTGTAGTCCCAGCTACTAGGGAGGCTGAGCCAGGAGAATGGCGTGAACCCGGGAGGCGGAGTTTGCAGTGAGCCGAGATCATGCCACTGCACTCCAGCCTGGGTGACAGAGCAAGACTCCATCTCAAAAAAAAAAAAAATTGTGATATTTAGACAAAGCATTCTTTTACTGATTTCATTTAAAAAACCATCTGTGCTCTTGGCTGAACGTTGTGTGAATTTGATCCTGTCATCACAATGCTAGCTGATTATTTTACACACTAGTTGATGCAGTTTCTTCATAGTGTCACTAGTCTTTATATTTTGGTGTATTTTTGCAGTGGCTGGTACTGGTTTTTCCTTTCCGTATTTGGTGCTTCATTCAGGAGCTCCTGCAAGGCAGGCCTGGTGGTGATGAAATCCCTTAGCATTTGCTTGTCTGGAAAGGATTTTATTTCTCCTCTGCTTCTGAAGCTTAGTTGGGATGGATATGAAAATCTGGGTGGAAAATTCTTTTCTTTAAGAATTTCTTTCTTTTTTTTTTTTTTTTTGAGGTGGAGTCTCACTCTGTCACCCAGGCTGGAGTGCAGTGGCGCCATGTTGGCTCACTGCAACGTCTGTCTCCTGGGTTCAAGCAATTCTCATGTTTCAGCCTCCAAGTAGCTGGGACTACAGGCACAAGTCACCATGCCTGGCTAGTTTTTGTATTTTTAGTAGAGACGGGGTTTCACCATGTTGACCAGGCTGGTCTTGAACTCCTGACCTCAGGTGACCCCAAAGTGCTGGGATTACAGGTGTGAGCCACCATACCTGGCCTCTTTAAGAATGTTGAATATTGGCCCCCACTCTCTTCTGGCTTGTAGAGTTTCTGCTGAGAGATCTGCTGTCAGTGTGATGGACTTCCCTTTGTAGGTGACCTGACCTTTCTCTCTGGCTGCCCTTAACATTTTTCCTTCATTTCAACGTTGGAGAATCTGACGATTATGTGTCTTGGGGTTGCTCTTCTCAGGGAGTATCTTTGTAGTGTTCTCTGTATTTCCTGAATTTGAACGTTGGCCTGTCTTTCTAGGTTGGGGAAGTTCTCCTGGATAATATCCTGAAGTGTGTTTTCCAACTTGGTTGCATTCTCCTTGTCACTTTCAGGTACACCAATCAATTGTACATTTGGTCTTTTCACATAGTCCCATACTTCTTGGAAGTTTTGTTCATTCCTTTTCACTCTTTTTTTCTCTAATCTTTTCTGCATGCCTTATTTCAGCAAGATGGTCTTCAATCTCTGATATCCTTTCTTCCACTTGATCACTTTGGCTATTGATACTTGTGTATGCTTCACGAAGTTCTCGTGCTATGTTTTATGTTCCTTTCTAAACTGGCTATTCTAGTTGGCAGTTCCTGTAACCGTTTATCAAGGTTCTTAGCTTCCTTGCATTGGGTTAGAACATGCTCTTTTAGCTCAGAGGAGTTTGTTATTACCCACCTTCTGAAGCCTACTTCTGTCAATTTGTCAATCTCATTCTCCATCCAGTTTTGTGCCCTTGCTGGAGCGGTGTTGCGATCATTTGGAGGAGAAGAGGCATTCTGGTTTTTGGAATTTTCAGCGTTTTTGCATTGGTTTTTCCTCATCTTTGTGGATTTATGATCTTTGAGGCTGATGACCTTTGGATGGGGTTTTGTTGGGGGGTTGTTTTTGTTGATGTTGTTGTTGTTGCCGCTTTCTCTTTGTTAGTTTTTCTTCTAACAGTTAGATCCCTCTTCTGCAGGTCTGCTGCAGTTTGCTGGATGTCCACTCCAGACCCTGTTCACCCGGGTATCACCAGTGGAGGCTGCAGAACAGCAAAGATTGCTGCCTGTTCCTTCCTCTGGAAGCTTCATCCCAGAGGGGCACCGGCCTGATACCAGCCGGAGCGCTCCTGTATGAGGTGTCTGTCAACCCCTGTTGGGAGGTCTCTCCCAGTCTGGAGGCACGGGGGTCAGGGACTCGCTCGAAGAGGCAGTCTGTCCCTTAGCAGAGTTGGTGTGCTGTGCTGGGAGAATCCTCCTTGTGAGGATCAGCCACTCTCTTTAGAGCCGTCAGGCAGGAAAGATTCAGTCCACTGAAGCTGTGACTGCAGCCGCCCCTTCCCCCAGGTACTCTGTCCCAGGGAGATGAGAGTTTTATCTGTAAGCCCCTGACTGGAGCTGCCACGTTTCCTGCAGAGATGCCCTGCCTAGTGAGGAGGAATCTAGAGAAGCAGTCTGGCCACAGCCGCTTTGCTGCACTGTGGTGAATTCCACCCAGTCCAAACCTCCCAGTCTCAGCACTGTCAGGTGAAAACTGCCTACTGAAGCCTTGGTTATGGCGACCGCCCCTCCCCCAACCAAGTTCCATTGTCCCAGGTCGACTTCTGACTGCTGTGCTGGCAGTGAGAATTTCAAGCCAGTGGTTCTCATCTAGTTGGGCTCCGTGGGAGTGGGACCCGCTGAGCAACACCACTTGGCTCCCTGGCTTCAGCCCCCTTTCCAGGGGATATGTAATATTCTAAAGCCTTTATTGTTATTTTTACAATGCTCACAGCATCTTCACTAAGTATAGACTCCATCTTAAGAAGCCACTTCCTTTGCTCTTCCATAGGAAGCAACTCCACATCTATTCAAGTTTTATCATGAGATTATAACAATTCAGTCACATCTTCAGGCTCCACTTGTAATTCTAGTTCTCTTACTATTTCTGCCACATCTCCAGTTACTTCTTCCACTGAAGTCTTGAACCTCTCAAGGTCATCCATGATGGTTGAAATCAATTTCTTCCAAATTCCTAGTAATGTTGATATTGACCTCCTATGAATCACATCTTCTTAATGGCATTTAGAATGGTAAATCCTTTCCAGATGAAAATCTTGGAAATCCTTTTCAGGCCGGGCACGGTGGCTCACGCCTGTAATCTCAGCGCTTTGGGAGGCTGAGGCAGGCGGATCACGACGTCAGGAGATCGAGACCATCCTGGCTGACATGGTGAACCCCCGTCTCTACTAAAAATACAAAAAAAAAAAAAAATTAGCCAGAGGTGGTGGCGGGTGTCTGTGGTCCCAGCTACTTGGGAGGCTGAGGCAAGAGAATGGCATGAACCCGGGAGGTGGAGGTTGCAGTGAGCTGAGATTGTGCCACTGCACTCCAGCCTGGGAGACAGAGCAAGACTGAGTCTCAAAAAAAAAAAAAAAAAAAAAAGAAACTCCTTTTCAATTTACTTTGCCTAGATCCATCAAAACAATCACTATCTATGGCAGCTCTAGCCTTATGAAATGTGTTTCTTAAATTACAAGACTTGAAAGTAAAGTTACTCCTTGATCCATGGGCTAAAGAACGGATGTTGTGTTAGCAGGCATGACAACAACAATAATCTCCTTGCACGTCACCATCAGAGCTCTTAGGTGACTAGATGTACAGTCCATGAGGAGTAGTATTCTGAAAGTTATGTTTTTTCTGAATAGATCTCAACAGTGGGCTTAAAATACTCAGTAATCCATGCTGTAAATGGATGTGCTGTTACTCTGGCTTTGTCGTTTCATTTATAGAGCACAGGTAGAGTAGATTTAGCATCATTCTTAAGGGCCCTAGAATTTTTGGAGTGGTAAATGAACACTGGCTTTAACTGAAAGTCACCAGCTACATTAGCCCCTAACAAGAGAGTCAGCCTGTCTTTTGAAGCTTTGAAGGCAGACATTGACTTCTCTATAGCTATAAAAGTCCTAGACAGCACCATCTTCCCATAGAAGGCTGTTTTGTCTACACTGAAAATCTATTGTTGCTCTCGAATGGCCCTGGCCAGGAAGATGAGTTGCGTGTGTCACTTCAACTGGCCATAGTGGTGGGAATGGAGGCAGTGGGGCCTGTGTGGCCGCCTGGGTTTGTGAAATGGCTGCTGGCATTTCTGAATTCAGTGGGGCTGATTGCAAAGGAGACCCAAGAAACAGTGCCAAGTTAGATGCTGATTACTCACTTTGAGTCCTTTATTGTGGAGTCTGTTCATTACTAACACACACACAGACACACACGCACACACATAACATATCCATACACATATCACATTTTAAAATTCTGTTTATTTTTTCTTCCAACTTTTATTTTAGGTTCAGGGAGTGCATGGGCAGGTTTGTCACATGGATACATTGTGTGGGGTTTGGTGTACCAATGACTGTCATCCATGTAGTGAGCATAGTACCTGATAGGTAGTTTCTTTTTACCTTCTTTCTTTTTTTTTTTTTTTGAGATGGAGTCTCGCCCCATCCCTCAGGCTGGAGTGCAATGGCGCCATCTTGGCTCACTGCAACCTCTGCCTCCCAGGTTCAAGAGATTCTCCTGCCTCAACCTCCTGACTAGCTGGGATTACAGGCCCCTGCCGCCATGGCCAGCTAATTTTTGTATTTTTAGTAGAGATGGAGTTTCATCATGCTGGCTAGGCTGGTCTCAAACTCCTGACTTCAGATGATCCACCCACCTGGGCCTCCCAAAGTGCTGGGATTACAGGCATGAGCCACGGTGCCCGGCCCCTGATAGGTAGTTTCTTGATCCTCACCCTCTTCCTACTCTCCACCCTTAAGTGAGCCCCAGTGTCTGTTGTTCTCTTCTTTGTGTCCATGGGTACTCTATGTTTAGCCCCCATTTCTTAGTGAGAACATGCAATATTTAGTTTTCTGTTCCTGTTTTAATTTGCTAAGGATGATGGCCTCTAGCTGCATCCATGTTGCTGCAAAGGACATGAATGATTTCATTCCTTTTTTATGGCTGCACAATATTCCATAGTGTATATGTACCACATTTTCTTTATCCAGGCCACCACTGTTGGGCATCTAGGTTGATTCCATGGCTTTGCTATTGTGAAAAGTGCTGTGATGAACACGTGCACACATGTATTTATGGTAGAACAAATTATATTCCTTTGGGTATACACCCAGTAATGGGATTGCTGGGTTGAATGGTAGCTCTGTTTTAAGTTCTTTGAGAAATTTCCAAACTGCTTTTTAAAAAATAATACATTTAAAAAATCCATTCAGCTTGGTTGGTTCAAGTTGGTTCCACAGCTTGGCTACTGTGAATAATGCTGTCATGAACATGGGAGTGCAGGTATCCCTTTGACATTGATTTCCGTTTCTTTGGATATATACTTAGAAGCAGGATTACTGGATTATGTGATAGTTCTTTTTTCAGTTTTTTGAGGAATGTCCATGCTGTTTTCGATAATGGCTGCACTAATTTACATTCCCACCAACAAAGTAAAGAGTTCCCTTTTCTCCACATTCTTGCCAACACTTATCTTTCATCTTTTTGGTAAAAGTCATTCTAATTGGTGTGCGATTATATCTCGTTGTGGTTTAATTTGCATTTCCCTAATGATTAGTTATGCTAAGCATTTTTTTCACGTACCTATTGGCCATTCGTATGCCTTCTTTGGAGAAATGTCTGTTTAGGTCATTTGCCCATTTTTTAATCAAGTTGTTTTCTTGCTGTTGAATTGTTTGAGTTCCTTTTACATTCTGGATATTAACTCCTTACTAGACGTATGGTTTGCAAACATTTTCTCCCATTCGGTGGATTGTCTCCTCACTTTGTTAATTGTTTCCTTTGCTGTGCAGAAGATTTTTAGTTTAGATGTCATCCCATTTGTCTGTATTTCCTTTTGTTGCCTGTACTTTTGAGGTATTTTGTCAATATTTTATCTCAGTTTATCAGTTGTCTTTGTCTTTTGACTTTGTGGTATTTTTTTGGTCATGCAACATTAAAAGTTTTATTTTTTATTTTTTGAGACAGAGTCTCACTCTATCACCCAGGCTGGAGTGCAGTGGCATGATCTTGGCTCATTGCAGCCCCGACCTCTTGGGCTCAAACAATCCTTCCACCTCAGCCTCCCTAGTAGCTGGGACTATAGGCATGCACCATTACGCTTGGCTAGTTGTTTTCTTTTTTTTTTTTTTTTGTAGAAACAGGGTCTTACTATGTTGTCCAGGCTGGTAAATTTTTTTCATGTGGCCAAATTTGTCAATCTTTTCTTCTGTTCCTCTAGATTTAGATCTTAGAAAGCCTTTCTCTTCACCAAGGTTAAATAAAAAGTTACTAAGTTTTCTTCCATTAGTTGCATGGTTTTATCTTTAGATATTCAGACCCTTTAGATCCTTAATCCATTTGTGTATTCTTGAGCATGGTGTGAGATACGAGTTATCTATATGGTTACTTAGTTGTCTCAGCTCATTTAATTAAAAAGCCCACCTTTATCCCAATGATCTGAATGCCACCTTTGTCATACACTAAGTGTTGCATGCCCTTGGGTCTAATTCTGAACTTTTTGTTCTATTCCACTTGTTTATTGTCTATTTGTGTACTAGTAACACACTGTTTTGATTTAGGCTTTATAGTAAGCTTCAATGGGTGGTAGTAAGAGCCCTGTTGTTTAATTAACTATAGCAGAGTTGAGGGTAATGCTTAGCTTTGTTATAATTCTAGATCTAAATAGCTGTATCTTGTAGATTGTTACTATTCAATTATAGATTACTGATTACTTGAGCCAAAGGAGGTTAGGGCCAATACCAAATACAAATTTTAAAGAAAAGTGGCTAATTTATTTAGTTCATCTGGCATTCCTAGAGAAACAGATCTGGCACAATATAAACAGTCTATGTACATTCAATCCCCAGTTTATGAAACTCTCTCAGAGGATTGGTGGAATTCCATATTCTCTAACAAGATTCATTCCTGGGGCACATGAATCTGATTCTGATTTGACTTATACATTCGTCGAGAACCACTATTATGTATAAGCACCCAGCTGAATGCTGCAAGATTTCCTAATGGAAAATACTGGCATTTTCACTCATTTGCAAATATTAATTGAACATTGTATGCCAGGCATTGTGCTAGGTTCTGGAGCTATAATAATGAATAATATAGTTATGACCCTTGTCTACCCTCCACAGTTTAGCAGGAAACAGAGGCAATTAAACAAGTAATAATAATAGTGTGATAAGTACTAGAAGAGAGGAAATATAGTGTGCTGGGGCAACACACAGCTGGGGCACCTTAAGGTAATTTAGGAGAGTCAGAAAAAGCTTCTTAGAAGAAGCAATATTTAAGCTGAGACATGAAGGAGGACAAGGAGTGAACCAAGGTGTGGTAGTTTTCCAGGCAGAGGAAAACAGTGTGTGCAAAGGCCCTAAGGCAAGACATAGCTTTTTACTTTCAAGGAACTAAAATCAATTTCTGTGTGGTTAGAGTATAAGTGAGTGGGGAATGATGGAAGATAGGGCATGGTAGGGGTTTTCCACCTGCACTGGTTTTGCTCCCCAGGAAACATTTGGCAATTTCTGGAGACATTTCTTGTTGTCTTAACTAGGGGTTGAGACAGTGCTATTGGTAGTAGACAGAGATCAAGGATAGTTCTTCTAAATATCCTACAGTAGACAGGACAACATCTGCCTTGCCCTTGCCCCCCTCACCCCCGCCCCCACACACAAAGAATTATGTGGTCTAAAATATCTGGTCCTGGCGAAAGCAAAGGTCCTTTCATTACAATTCATATAATATTTTAAGAAGAGAGTTTGGATTTCATTCAAGGGCAAGGAGGAGCTATTTGCTGGCTTTAAGTAGCAAAAGCAAATGTTTTAGAAAGATTACTCAGTACAGAGAATTGACTAGAGTTTCTTCATTCAAATATTTATGTGCCATGCATTGTGTAGGAGCTGGGGATACAGTGGTGAACATTTAATCACTGACCCATTCCAGTGGAAGAGGTAGAAAATAAAAATAATATGGAAATTAACGATGAACAACAAGGCTGTTTTCCCATATTCAGTATCCCAAATGTAGATGAAATCTGGGTCTGAAAATAAAACTTCAGTATTAATTTTTAGAGAAAAGCCCTAGACAAATTTTATAAAACATCATCTATGGGGTATTTGTTGTTTAGTTTGGATCTCATTTCTCCTAAATGTAAATATTTAAAAAAAAATCGCCACAACACAAATAAAATCTTGTTCTTCATTATTGTTCTTCATTTTCTGTGTATGTATGTGTGTGTGTTTCTGGCTTACTTTTCCACATTATGTTTAAAATGCTTAATATTATAGGATTACTGAAATGATTACTTCTTTGGCTGACAGCTTTAATAGTGACAGCAACAATTTTGGGAACCATGATCATTTGACACCCCCCAGTATAGTACAGAACTTGTCTCTTGGCAAGGATGACATTTAATTTTTTCTTACATAGGTTTCCTTGGGGGAAAATAAAAACCTTTGCTTTTTGTATCTCTGTGACTCTTCTTAAAATTAGCTATTTTCTAGAATGAGCTCATTTCGATATATTAGCTTCTTAATCTAAGCAGTAAATCAGTGACAACTTGTTTAATGTGTTGGGAACTTCTAGTTGCATAAAAACCTTTTTTAAAGAACTTTAGGTCAGCAAAATGACTGAAAGGTACACCTTCATTATAACTTTCTTGCTTCGAAGCCACAATCAATGATGGATGGATTTTCCAGAATAGCACTAAACAAAAATCCTTCCTGCCACACTAGAGAGGCAGCATCGCGTAGTGGTTAAAAGTATAGACTTGGAGGCTGCCTGCCTCAGTTTAAATCTTGACTCAGTCATGTACTAGTTTATGGTCTCAAGCAAGTTATTTAATCTCAGAGCCTCTGTTTCCTCATTTGTAAAATGGGGATAACAATAGTATTCACCTTATAGGGGAGAATACTGACTCTGAATCCTAGCTTTGACATTTATTAACAGTATGACGTTGAAAAAATTAATCACTGAAGCCACTGTTTCTTCCCCTGTAAAATGAGATAATAATGTACCTCATAGGGTTAAGGTAAAAATGAAGAAATGATATAACAAATATAATGTAAGTAGCACTAAGCCACAATACACATTAATTCTTCTGTAGACAGAAGCCAAGTTCTCCTTGTCTTGTGAATTCTGTGTGTATTCCCACAGGGTAGCAACAGATTCAAAACCTAGAGAAACCACTCGGATCACTGCAGCCTCCGCCTCCCAGGTTCAAACGATTCTCCTGCCTCAGCCTCCTGAGAAGCTGGGACTACAGGCGCCTGCCACTGCGCCTGGCTAATTTTTGTATTTTTTTGGAGACAGGGTTTTGCCATGTTGGTCAGACTGCTCTCAAACTCCTGACCTCAGAAGATCCACCAACCTTGGCCTCTCAAACTGCTGGGATTACAAGCATGAGCCACCGTGCCCAGCCAGAAATCTAATTTTTGACTAATACGAGTTGTAGAAGGAGAGAATAGAGGAAAGGGTGGTGAGGAAATTATCATAAATAATACAAAAGCATTACTCAGAATTAAAGAATATCCTCAGGGCTTGCTACGTACCAACAGAATAAATGAAAAAAGACCCAAGAACAATGGTGATAAAAATAAGATTCTAGGCCGGGAGCGGTGGCTCACGCCTGTAATCACAGCACTTTGGGAGGCTGGGGGTGGGGGCGGATCACGAGGTCAGGAGATCGAGACCATCCTGGCCAACACGGTGAAACCCCCGTCTCTACTAAAAATACAAAAAAAATTAGCCGGGCGTGGTGGCGGGCGCCTGTAGTCCCAGCTACTTAGGAGGCTGAGGCAGGAGAATGGTGTGAACCTGGGAGGCGGAGCTTGCAGTGAGCCAAGATCGCGCCACTGCACTCCAGCCTGGGTGACGGAGCAAGACTCCGTCTCAAAAAAAAAAAAAAAAAAAAAAAAATTCTAAAAGCTTCTGGAGAGAAAACAAGGTATATATAAAAGATTGGGAATAAGAATAGTACCAGAGTATTTAATAGCAATATTGGAAGCTCAAGACAATGGAACAATGCCTTCAAAATTGAGAAAAAATAATTTTTACCCTAGAATGATATACTGTGTCAAACAAATAAGCAAGTATGAACATAGAAAAAAGATGCTTTTAGAAACAGTAAGTCTCAAAAAACTTACGTCCTATGCATTTTTTTATTAGGAAGCTACTGGAGGATATGTTCCACCAAAATGAAGAATCAAATCGAGAAACAATATGACATAGATGAAACACAGAAGAGAACTGACAGGAACTTCCAGGAGAACAAGGTGGAAAGCCCTCAGAGTGTCCTAGGCCCAGACTAAGCTCGACGGAGGGCTCTAAGACGGATGACTCATGAAACCCCATCTCTACTAAAAAGACAAAAAAAAAAATTAGCTGGGCGTGATAGTCCCAGCTACTTGGGAGGCTGAGGCAGGAGCATCGCTTGAACCCAGGAGGTGGAGTTTGCAGTGAGCCGAGATCGCACTACTGCATTCCAGCCTGGCGACAAAGCCGGACTCCTTGTCAAAAAAAGAAAAAAAAAAAAAAAGAAAAAAGAAAAAAAAGATGGATGCCTGCCAGGTTAAAAAGAAAAAACGTAACTGGTAATGTGGAAAATTGTATTGAGAGACATTTTACAAAACTACATTAGGGTTATGAAATGACTTAGCCAATGATGTGAAGAAAAATAAGCAAATTTTAAAACGAGGCATTTCATAAACCCCTAGGAAAAACAAAGTCGTTCAAGAAGGAAATGTTACCCTTGGCTCCAGGGAGAACTATATTTGCATAGTATTAATACTGAAAATACTATAATATGGTTCAGCCAAAAATCATGAAATAATTGTGTTGGGATGGTGGTAGGAAGAAGGAAGGTAAAAGAGCTGTAATTTCCATCATCTATAATAAGAAGCAATAGTTAATATGTAAAATAATAAAAGTTTTAGCAGTATACAAGTAGAATTTAGAAATATCGAGGTGAAAATCAGAGAAACTTCCTTAAGAGTTGAAAGTGGCTGCCTTTGGGGAGAAGATGGGTGGGGTAGAGGAAGAGAATTGCTGGTTTTGAGCATTATTTGGTTTTCTATGTGCTTATGTTATTTTGAGAAAAATATGAATTTCAAACCCAAATGTATAAAAGATATTATGGACAGTGTAGTATAGCAGGAAGAGTTTTAAGTTAGGAATGAAAATTAAAAACTGTTGATTACTTATACCCTGATGTTGGGTAAAACATATCCCTTTTGGCCAGGCGCGGTGGCTCATGCCTGTAATCCCAGCACTCTGGGAGGCCGAGGCGGGCAGATCACCTGTGGTAAGGGGTTTGAGACCACCCTGGCCGACATGGCAAAACCCCGTCTCTACTAAAAATACAAAAATTAGTCTGGGATGGGGCCAGGCGCTGTGGCTCACGCCTGTAATCCCAGCATGTTGGGAGGCCGAGGCGGATGGATCACGAGGTCAGGAGATCGAGACCATCCTGGCTAACACGGTGGAACCCCGTCTCTACTAAAAAATACAAACAAAATTAGCCGGCTGTGGTGGCAGGCTCCTGTAGTCCCAGCTACTCAGGAGGCTAAGGCAGGAGAATGGCAGGAACCCGGGAGGCAAAGCTTGCAGTGAGCCGAGATCGTGCCACTGCACTCCAGCCTGGGCAACAAAGCGAGACTCCGTCTCAAAAAAAAA
Source organism: Homo sapiens (assembly GCF_000001405.40). Taxonomy (NCBI): domain Eukaryota; kingdom Metazoa; phylum Chordata; class Mammalia; order Primates; family Hominidae; genus Homo; species Homo sapiens. The sequence goes on from NC_000017.11 coordinate 35,963,062, forward strand.
AAAAAAAATTAGTCTGGCATGGTAGCACGCACCTGTAGTTCCATCTACAGCTACTAGGGAAGCTGAGGAACGAGAATCATTTGAACCTGGGAAACAGAGGTTGCAGTGAACCGAGATTGCACCACTGCACTCCAGCCTGGGCAATAGAGCAAGACTCCGTCTCAAAACCAACCAACCCACTTCTTTGGGTCTCAACTTCTTTATTTATTCACCAGAAGATTTTATTTCTAAGGGTCTTTCCAACTCTAAGGTTCTGATCCCAACATAATATTTTTCTAGGAATAGTAAAGAAAGAGAAACTTTCCTCCACGCTTTCATGGTGTACCTTTATGTATTTTTGTTCACTTTGGCAAAGGTCTCCCTATCTTTGCTTCCTTAATGTTAAAATGGAACTACCATGTCCCCAACATGGGAATCCCATCATACTTGTGAGGCTAGTCTTCGCATAGCCTCCTGCGCATTTCCAGAGTTCCTGGGCAGCTTCCGCTGGTGATAGATGAGTGGGCTGAAGGTGGCTGTGTGAGTGGCAGCTCTCTGTTGGCATCCACATCTGGATCAAAAAGATTTAGATGGTTGCATCAGATAATCATAAAACTTTAAAGGAAAAATGACTAAATTCCATTTGTTCTATGATCCAGCAATACTGCTCCTAAGACTATACCTACGAGAAATAAAAACACGTGTCCACCCAAAAACGTGTACACAAATGTTCTTAGAAGAATGATTCATAATAGCCAAAAGTGGAAACAACCTAAATGCCCACCAACTGATGACTAGATAAAACACAGTATACCCACTCAATAACTATTACTCAGCAATAAAAAGAAATAAGATACCGATACATGCTAGAACGGGGATAACCCTTGAAAATGTTATGCTAAGTCAAAGAAGCTAGTAACAAAACAAAACAAAACATATCTTGTATGATTCTATTTATATGAAATGTCCAGAATAGGAAAATCCGTAGAGACAGAAAGTAAATTAGTGGTTACCTAGGGCTAGAAATAGAGGGTTAAGAGGAGAATGGGCATTGGCTGCTAACAGGCATGAGTTTCTTTTAGGGGGATGAAAATGGTCTAAAGCTGGATTACGGTGATTGCTGTACAACCCTGTGAGTTATACTAAAAATGCTGAATTGAATACTTTAAATGGGTGAATTACATGGTATGTGAATTATAGCTCAATAAAACTGTTGAAGATTTTTTTGAAAAAAATTCAATTTGTTCTTGTTATTTAGAAAATGTATTCTTACTAGTAGAAATTATAGACTATATTTATGAATAAGATCATACTTTAAAAATGGATACCAAAGTAAATATTAGAAGTTGTTATTTGATGGCCAATAGCTATTGAAAAGAAGGAGGAATAGGAAAAAGTAGTCCTCATTTAACTCCCTACCAGTAGGAGTGAATTTAGACTTCTTTCATTCAACTGGTACATTAAATTCCTTGGTCACTGAATAGAGTTCTGGATAACTGCAGGGGGGTGGATATGGGAGATGGCAGGAACAAAAGCCTAAAGTAATGTGTGACATTTTGAGTTGAGGTGAAGTTCAGTGATCGTATGTCATGTATTATTTCTGCTCTTCCCTTCCTCCTCCTACTGTATTCCCCTTTATCTGGTATTTGATTTTGTGGGTAATTACTGTCTTCACCTCTGAATTAATAGTCCTCACATGGGCTGGGTGCGGTGTCTCACGCCTGTAATCCCAGCACTTTGGGAGGTTGAGGCCAGCAGATCGTGAGGTCAGGAGATTGAGACCATCCTGGCTAACACAGTGAAACCCCATCTCTACTAAAAATACAAAAAAAAAAAATTAGCCAGGCATGGTGGCGGGCGCCTGTAGTCCCAGCTACTCGGGAGGCTGAGGCAGGAGAATGGCATGAACCTAGGAGGTGGAGCTTGCAGTGAGCCGAGATCGCGCCACTGCACTCCAGCCTGGGCGAAAGAGCGAGACTCCGTTTCAAAAAAAAAAAAAAAAAAACAAAAAAACAAAAAACACAAAAGGTCCTCACGTGGAAGTCAGGTTTTACAGATCAGGAAATAAAAGGATGTATGACTTAATATAAATATGTCAGAAAAACTTCAGTGCCAATGAAGCAGGGAGTTATTTAAAAAGGAAATATACATTTGGGGGAGGCACGTGGGCTGTCTGAGGTGATCTGTCTCATCTTTGTACCATGGCAGCTGAGGGCCACCAGTCTGGAGATGGTGGCAGTTTTGCAGAATCCAGCGTTTCCCACAATCACTACTCCGTGGTTCACGCTGGCATTTGAACGTTGAAGTTGAGCATCTATTTCGTGGAAAACCCAATCTTGGCCGACAGACACTGACTCTGTAGTGATGCTGGTACTTCAAAGAGAAGAGGCTTCAAGGAGATATCTGGAGGCCTATGAGGTGCAAAGCGAACTGAGAGGAACAAGAGAATACAGAACTTAGGTCACACTGTCAACATTGAGAGAAATAGAGAAAAAAATGCAGTGTGGTTTAGGAGACTGAGTTACAGTATGATGGCATCCTGGGCTTATTCAGAAATAATGCAACTCTGAATGTTGATTCTATACAGATAAGTAACACAGGTGAGCTAGAGCTATTTGATACTCTAGATTGCAGAACACAAACATTGATAAGATAGTAACGATTTACTCTATTAGTCAGAAAGTCAGGGTGATATTCAAAATTGTTACATGGAAGGGATGACCCAAGCACCAGCAATCAGTATGGATGCAAGCCTAGTGAAGAAGAAGGGTCCTAAAGGCCTCCTGCTATGCCTCGGGATAACCTTTTAATTATTGGATTGTGGGGAGGTACAGCAATGAAGTGCCTGTTGGAAAGGCGAGGCTGTGGCGGGCATGCAGAGAGCTTACAACGGCGGCTCTTTACCAACCAGTAAGAACATATTTCGGTATTTAGCAACCAATATGGCTACACCCGTATATATCAGTTGAAAATCAGTTCTGAAGAAAGCAGTATAGAGAGGCTTGTTTGTTTCTTTAAAAACACCAATGAGAATAGTAATTCCTTTAAGTTCATGGATGGTATTTTTAAAAATCTAGTAGGTGTATTGTTAAGAGAAGCAGACTTTAAAAGCTCGGATGGTTTAAAAGATCTTAAACATGTTAAGCAGTCGGGCAGAAAGCAGGCCTTCACTCACTGTCTTTGCACCTGTACTGCTTATATTGTTTGCAAAAGAGCATCACTAAGAAGCTTAATAAGGATTAATGACATACATGACCCTGGACCATGGACAGAGGATAAAAATCAAGCTTTGATAGCAATAAACATAGTCTCTTTTTATCTCTAAACAGACAGAAATACTATGCAGGTATCCCTTCTTTGGTAACAGGGCTGGTTACCAAGTTAGTTATTTTGTAATTAGTGAAGAGTTGGGGCATTTCTGATATGTGCTTACTTAGTGTAAACATTTCTAGCTCTACCACTTAACCATCATTTTAAACATCTGTTTTAATATAACAATTCCTGAAATGAAATCCTCAATACCAGTCTATTCTCTTGGTAGCGTTAATATTATTTATGTATTTCAGCTGCTTAATCTTCAATATTTATTTATTTATTTTATTATTATTATATTTTGCGACACAGTCTCACTCTGTTGTCCAGGCTGGAGTGCAGTGGCACGATCTTAGCTCACTACAACCTCCGCCTCCCAAATTCAAGCAATTCTCCTGCCTCAACTTCCTGAGTAGCTGGGATTATAGGCACGCACCACCATACCTGGCTAATTTTTGTATTTTTAGTAGAGATGGGGTTTCACCATGTTGGCCAGGCTGGTCTCCAACTCTTGACCTCTGATCCACCTGCCTTGGCTCCAAAAGTGCTGGGATTATAGGCATGAGCCACTGGGACTGGCCTATTTAATATTTAAATGTTAATTTAATTCAGATTAAATTACCAAAAAATTCTGGATTAATGATGTTGAAATTAATGTGGGTGGTCTGTATTTTCTTCTCCTTTAGGCAACAATCCGGAGTTAACTTTAATTCCTTTCATTTTACTAAACCAACTTTTTCAAATCTTTTTTTGGGAAGGTCAGATAGTAAATATTTTAGGCTTTGTGGGCCACATGTGGTCTCTGTTGCTTATTTCTTTTTGTTTCTTTGCTTTTTCTATCACAGTTCTTCAAAAATGTAAAAACCATTCTTAATGGGCTATTTAAAAATAGACCATAAATTAGATTTGCTCTATTGGTTGTAGAGTGAATATAAGAAGATGGTACGTGAACACTTTTTATAAAACAAGGTTCATATGGGTGTCAGTCACTGCTCAGATCTTATTACCATGTGAAATATTTCTCCGTATTTTGTCTATATAGTTTAAAAATTGAAAATGCATAGGAGGTAGTTAATGCTAGAGATGGGTGGAGACCCTGTAGAAACTTACAGAATTGCAGAATTTTATTGCTGGAAGAAATCTTAGAGATTATTTAATATAAATCCCTTATTAATTTTACAGATAATATGACTAAAGGCCGGGCGCCGTGGCTCACGCCTGTAATCTCAGCACTTTGGGAGGCTGAGGCAGGCGGATCACGAGGTCAGAAGATCGAGACCATGCTGACTAACATGGTGAAACCCCGTCTCTACTAAAAATACAAAAAATTAGCTGGGCGTGGTGGCGGGCGCCTATAGTCCCAGCTACTCGGGAGGTTGAGGCAGGAGAATGGCGTGAACCTGGAAGACGGAGCTTGTAGTGAGCTGAGATCGCGTCACTGCACTCCAGACTGGGCGACAGAGCGAGACTCCGTCTCAAAAAAAAATAATAATAATAATAATATGACTAAAAGCTTGTAAACTCGTAAATATGATTAACTAACTAACTTACAAATCCTGGAGGGATAGCAGGCCTTCAAATGAATTCTTACGTAATTCAAAGAATTTTCACTGAGAATTCTGAAAAATGAAACAGTTATGGCTAGATCAAAATGCAAACTACAACTATTTGCTACACAGGACTAACTCCTGTATGTGGAGGAAAGCCGGGTAATGGTAATTTCTTTTTTTCTTTCTTTCCTTCCTTCCGTCTTTCTTTCTTTCTCTCTCTCTCTTTCTTTCTTTTCTTTCTCTCTTTCTTTCTTTTTTTTTTCTGAGACAGAGTTTCCCTCCATTGCACTCCATCACCCAGGCTAGAGTGCAATGGTGCAATCTTGGCTCACTGCAGCCTCTGCCTCCCAGGTTCAAATGATTCTCATCTCTCAGCTTCCTGGGTAGCTGGGATTGCAGGTATGCACCACCAGGCCCAATTAATTCTGTATTTTTAGTAGAGACATCACACCTGGCTAATTTTTTCTTTTTTCTTTTTTTTTGAGATGGAGTCTCGCTCTGTCGCCAGGCTGGAGTACAGTGGCATGATCTCCGCTCACTGCAACCTCCGCCTCCTGGGTTCAAGTGATTCTCCTGCCTCAGCCTCCTGAGTAGCTGGGATTACAGGCATATGCCACCACGCCTAGCTAATTTTTGTGTTTTTTTTTTTAGTAGAGACGGGGTTTCAACATGTTGGCCAGGATGGTTTCTATCTCCTGACCTCATGATCTGCCCGCCTCAGCCTTCCAAAGTGCTGGGATTACAGGCGTGAGCCACTGCGCCCGGCCTAATGTTTGTATTTTTAGTAGACACGGGGTTTTACCATATTGGCCAGACTGGTCACAAACTCCTGACCTCAGGTGATCCTCCCACCTCGGTCTTTCAAAGTGTTGGGATTTCAGGTATGAGCCACTGTGCCCAGCCCACAAACTTTCTGTTAGGTTTAGCCAACCCTTAGGCCAAGGCCACAAAAAATAGGAACTCCCTAAATGCCTGTTGCTGGTTCCAGTTTTCAGTGTGCCTCTGACATCTGTCCATTTTTGTGTAGTCACCCAAGTTCTCAGTTATATTTTAAATTTTTGTCTAGAGTTGATGGCTTTGACTTGCAGAATGGTCCGTTTGTTAAGTGTGTGAGGGGCTCAGTTTCCCATGCTGGAAGCGACAAGTTTAATATGAACTTTAATCATCAGATTCTTATTAATTTTTTTTTCCAGAGGGAGTCTTGTTCTGTTGCCCAGGATGGAGTGCAATGGCACGATCTCGGCTCACTGCAACCTCTGCCTCCCAGGCTCAAGCGATTCTCCTGCCTCAGCCTCCCAAGTAGCTAGGATTACAGGCACCCACCACCATGCCCAGCTAATTTTTGTATTTTTAGTGGAGACAGGGTTTCACCATGTTGTATACATGTTGGTCAGGCTGGTCTCAAACTCCTGACCTCAGATGAACCACCCACCTCTGCCTCCCAAAGAAAATTGTTCTTCTTGGTGGGTCCTATCAAACAGTACAAAGGTGTTTTGTGTACTCCTCGCCATCACTTTTACTCTGCTCTATTCTTCGTTATAGAACCTGATGATGTGTATGTTTGTGCGTGGTCTCTCTTCCCACTTTTAGTGGGAAGGAAAGCTCCTTGAAAGCACTGTGCCCTCACTGTGTACTGAATACCTCAGCTCTCTTCAAAAGGGGAGAATACAAGGAGAGGTGGGAAGGTGGAAGGTGTGCACACCAGGAAGGGGCTATCTCAGCAACTAGGCTTATGTACGAGCCAGCCCAATGAGCTCACAGAGAGATAAGTCATTGTGGCTTTTAACCACTGGGTGGCGCTGCTCACTAATTTTCCTAAAATCATGTCAAGACAGCAATTGCTTTTCAGCAACTCAATCCAGAACTCCAAGACCTAAATCCACACTCCAGGACCTGGCTTAAACTGCCATCTCGGTGGAGACACATCCCTGCACTGATCCCCTCACTCACAGCCAAGGGGCCCTATCACATTGACTTCCAACCCCTGCCCCCATGCCTAAGTGTGAAATTCATGATTAGACATTTAGTGAGGCCCCCCAGGTACAAAGGGCCCTGGATGGGAACAGGGTAAATTCGAAGACGTGGCCCCTGCCCTGAGACAGGCTTTTTGAACTGGCTTAAGATAAGCAGTAGATGTAATGGGTTAACCTCCCTCCTGTGCATCCAGAGTGGTGTTGGTTATGCATCATCCTAGGAGAACTGAGAAAGCAGTCACAAGTTGTCTGTGTTCTGTGGCTCGGATGAGAAACCTCACGCATATGATCTGGAGGGGACAGGGAGGATTCCTTGTTTTTTTTTTTTCTTTGGAGACAGAGTTTCAAGTGCAGTGGTGCAATCTTGGCTCACGGCAAGCTCCACCTCCTGGCTAAATAGAGATGGAGAACTTAAGAGACTTCATAGGAAGATTACATTTGCTGTAGCAAGTTGACTGAAACTGATGTTAAGAGTCCTGACCAGTTAGACATTAACCATATTTATGACTACCTTCTCATGGTAATTAGTTATCTGCAGTCTCCTGGAATTCCCTGCAAAAGACAATTCTGCCAACATTGAAGAGGTGCCACATTATGAAAAAAAATGTATCTTTGAAAACTGCAGTAAAGCAAAAAATTACTATGGTTTTTTACTATCTCTTTGAACTTTTTTTTTTTTTTTTTTGAGACAGAGTTTCACTCTTGTTGCCCAGGCTACTGGAGTGCAATGGTGCGACCGTGGCTCACCGCAACCTCCACCTCCCGGGTTCAAGCAATTCTTCTGCCTCAGCCTCCTGAGTAGCTGGGATTAGAGGCATGTGCCACCATGCCTGGCTAATTTTGTATTTTTAGTAGAGAGAGGTTTTCTCCATGTTGGTCAGGCTGGTCTTGAACTCCTGACCTCAGGTGATCTGCCCACTTCGGCTTCCCAAAGCTCTGGAATTACAGGTGTGAACCACTGCGCCCGGCTAAGACTCATTTTTTGATCAGAATGCAAGGGAGGAGCGAGGGGGAAGTTCTGAGTGTGTGCTAGGGGTGGAAATAACTGTTTCTTGATTCAAGTGATTTCTTGATTCTTTTGCTCATTACATGATTCCTTTTCCATCAGCATTTGTGTTGTAGTTGTGGGAACCGATAAGTGTCACCTGACTCTGTCTTGCCTCTTCCAGCAAGAACTTGCAAGACAGAAGCAGCGTTTCTCTGGCAAGGGAACCCATAAGCACCCAATCTCTGCTGTGAGCCAGGTCCAATACTAGGCACTTTACTTATGTTAACCAGTGTAATTCTCCCAATAACCTGTAATTGTTGGTGTTTCCATCTCCATTTTTTTTTTTTTTCGAGATGGAGTCTCGGTCTGTCACCCAGGCTGGAGTGCAGTGACATGATCTCGGCTTGCTGCAAGCTCCAGCACCTGGGTTCAAGGGATTCTCCTGCCTCAGCCTCCTGAGTAGCTGGAATTACAGGCATGCACCACCACGCCCAGCTAATTTTTGTATTTTTAGTAGAGATGGGGTTTCACCATGTTGGCCAGGATGGTCTCAAGCTCCTGACCTCAGGTGATCCTCCCACCTCGGCCTCTCAAAGTGCTGGGGTTACAAACAAGAGCCACTGCGCCGGCCAGGAAGCAAAATAATTGATGGCACTTTTGAGGACTCCAGGAAGGAGGGCAGTCCTGCCGCTCATTGCACAGCCTCTATCCCCTTCTCCAGCCCTCTGTCTCCCTCCCCTCTGGCTCTCAGGGGCAAAGCTGTTTCTCCTGGTTTGCTTGGAACAACTTCAGCCCTTCCTGTGAAGTCTCAGCTCCATGTCCTGGGGGAGTGTCCTTCCTTAACCAGGGTTGCCAATTCATTTTCTTAACAAAGGTTATTTCCTCCATGATAGGAATTCCTGCTTTAGCTGCTAAGAGATTAATACTGTTTTCCATTTTATTATGATGTTTGTTCCAGATCCTGTACCAGAAGCTGGCAGTTGTCACAGCAGCCCTGTAAGGTATCAGCGCCATTTTGCAGAAGAGGAAACTGGGCTCATAAATACCAGGCTCTGGAGAGATTTGAGGTCCCTTTCTGCATTTGCCCATTCCTTCTTCAAAGTCTCCTTGGCGAGAATCAAAGATACATGAATGGAGGCCAGGCTCTCCAGGGAGACCAGGTCATGCAAAAGGAGGTCTCAGGCTTTGAACTATTGCTTCTTTAGTCAGATGACCCCAATCTTTCATATATTCATACCAGCCTCAGGCTTGTGTAGATCAGAGGTTTCTTCTTTTTAAAGTATAGCCTCCAGTTCTAGTGCCAGATCTTCTGTAATTTGTAGCATGACCTTTGCTAAATCGCTTTCCATCTCTGGCCTTTAATTCCCTTATCTTCATAATGACAGAAAGCTCCTTTCTGTCTTATGTTCTGTGGTCCTAGAAAAAAGTCAGATTCTGGAACAATAAGGCCTATTGAGCACTTATCTGCTAAGCACTCTCTCACATTGCCTTTTCATCCTTTCAACACTGGGGGGTAGGTATCATAATTGATCTATTTTACAGATGAGGAAACCAAGGCTTAGGAGGATTAGTAGTTACCCAAGACCTCACAGTGAGTGACAGAGTTGGGACTCAAACATAGATGGTCTGTCAGAGTCTGAGTGTGGAGATAATACTCTTTTTGTTTTTAAATAAAAGATATGGGGTCTTCTTGCTATGTCGCCCAGGCTGGAGTGCAGTGGCTATTCACAGGCATAATCATGGCACATGACAGCCTCGAACTCCTGGGCTCAAGTGATCCTCCTGCCTCAGCCTCCTGAGTTACTGGGACTATAGGCATGCACCACTGCACCTGGCTTGGAGACAGTGCTTTTAAACCATTGCATCAGCTGTGTCCCCAAGTGCCAGCTCAGGCTGCTGATGACTCTCAATAGTTGCTCTCACACGTGCAAGCACATGTATGCTCTCATGGGAAGAAAATATGTGTTCATGCGGCCCATCCGAGAAAGACTAATAATATTTCAAACAGGCCTGCTGAAACCAGCCGCAGGACATCTGGTCATCTGCTTCAAGGATTCATGGTGTCTAAGACGGCTGTGTAGAAAGAGGACATGCGAGCCGTCCTCTGTGACTCCCAGTAAAATGCTCTTTGTAGTATCCAGAGTTGTTCTCTCATTTTCTTCCCTTCCTGTTCCAGTTGGTTCCCCCATGTACCCAGCCACCTGTATTCTACAAGGCAAAAGGTCAGTCATACAAGTTGTTCAAGAAAAGGTTTATTTGCTTTAGGATGACCACAGCTGGAAAACTCTGTATATCAGAATGACCGAAGTCCTTTCTGTATTTGTGTGTGTTTAAGGTCAGCCATCTATCTGCCTGCCTTGAAAAGACTGGGAATATCCTTCTTGAAAAGCAACTGAATGCACGTGAGAAAAGCTCTTCCAGTTCTGAACCATCAGAAGTTTCTGGCAGGCTTTTTATTATGTGCTAGGGTGGGGATTTGACTTTGTGTATATAGACTCTCGATTACTCAGGTTTTCAGACTGACACCTCAGTGCTCCTGAATTTAAAAACAAAACAAAACAAAACACAAGACAACGACATTCTGTTCCAGCTTGCCAGAACCCCGGCCCTGAGCTTCCTGTTTTTAGCCTTGTCCTGTTTTTTAGGCCTTTGAACTCTGACTCCCTGGCTTTGACCCTGGTGCTGGCTAAGGACTTTGAAACTTCTTGCCGCATCTGATGTTGTCCTGACTTTTCTGTCAACCTAGGCCCTGCCGGCCTCACTCCCACCCCCATGTTTGCTTTGGCCTCTGCAAGCAAAGGTCTGGGCCTGACTACATTGTATGTTATTGATTCTGTCATCCCCAGGCTGGGAGCTCCTGGAGGAAGGAGTTTGATCATATTTAGCTGTAACCCCTGATAGCAAGGAGGGTGGAGAGAAATTCCTGGATCAAGGAGCAGGGACTCACAGTCCAGGGAGGGACCAAAGCAGGTAGCACTGCCTCTGTGGAGGAGCAAGAGCAGCAAGCACATGGGGCTCCTCTGAGTCAATGCCCGGGTGATTGATGGGTTGTTGCCCAAGTTCAGGTGCTTTTGGTGCAAGTGACAGAAACCAAGATCTGCAAACTCTGGCTAGCAAGAAAAGAGAGATACCCACACGTCCATCAGCAGATTAGCTGGATAAACGAAATGTGGCAGATACATACAATGGAATGTTAGCCTAATGACTAACAGGAATAACGTTCTGAAGCATGCTACAACTTGGATGAACCTTGACGACACTATGCTGGTGAAATAAGCTAGTCACAAAAGGACAAATGCTATGTGATTCCCCTTACATGAAATACCTAGAGCTGTCAAATTCATAGTGACAGAAAGAAGAATAGTGGTTACCAGAGGCTGGGGGAGGAGAGAATGGTGAGTTAGCATTTAATGGGTACAGAGTCTCAGGTTGGGACAATGAGAAAAGTCTGGAGATGGATAGTGGTGATGTTTGCCTAACAAAGTGAATGTAGGATTGTACACATAAAAATGTTTAGAATGGTAAATTTTGTCTATATATATATATATATATATACACACACACATACACACATACACACACACACACACACCTATATATATATATGTATTTTTAGGCAGAGTCTTGCTCTGTCATCCAGCCTGGAGTGCAGTGGTGATATTATGGCTCACTGCAGTGCAGTCTCAACCTCCTGGGCTCAAGCAATCCTCCTACCTCAGCCTTCTGAGTACCTGTGACCACAGGCACACACCACCGTGCCCAGTTAATTGTTTTTTTTTTGTAGAGATTAAAAAATATGTAAGATCTCACCATACCGCCCAGGCTGATCTCAAATTCCTGGACTCAAATGATCCTCCTGCTTCAGCCTCCCAAAGTGCTGGGTTTATAGGCATAAGCCACTGTGCATGGCCTTGTTATGTGTGTACACACACACACACACACACACACACACACACACACATGTTTTTTGAGACAGGGTCTCATTCTGTCACCCAGGCTGGAGTGCAGTGGCACGATTTCAGCTGACTCCCCAGCTCAAGGGATCCTCCTGCCTCAGCCTCCTGAGCAGCTGGGACCATAGGCCCAGGCCACCATGCTCGGCTAATTTTTTTTTTTTTTTTGTATTTTTGGTAGAAGTGGGGTTTCGCCATGCTGCCCAGGCTGGTCTCGAACTCCTGGCCTCAAGTGATCCGCCCACCTCAGACTCTGGAAGTGCTGGGATTACAGGCGTTAGCCACCTTGCCCAGCCCCTGTTATGTCTATTTTAACACACATACATCCATCATCCCCCGCCAAGAACTGACCTAAACCAATAAGTTATTCCTGAGGTGCTAAATTGCCACCATGGCCCTTTAGGAATTTTTTTTTTAAATTGAGATGGAGTCTCGCTCTGTTGCCCAGGCTGGAGTGTAGTGGCATGATCTCAGCTCACTGCAACCTCTGCCTCCTGGGTTCAAGCGATTCTCATGCCTCAGCCATCTGAGTGGTTGGGATTACAGGCGACCACCACCATGCTCAGCTAATTTTTGTATTTTTAGTAGAGATGGGCCATGTTGTCCAGGCTGGTCTCAAGACTCCTGGCCTCAAGTGATCTGCCCGCCTTGGCCTCCCAAAGAACTGGGATTACAAGTGTGAGCCATCGCGCCTGGCCTAGAAATTTTTTTAAAGGAAAGATGCTGGGACATCTCATGGAACTGAAAGACCAGCTGAAGCTCCCAGCCTGGAGCTGGGGCAGGAAGTGAGGCAGTTCCAGGGACCTCAGGACAGAAGTTCATAGACCTCTTTCCTTGGGACACTGCCAGAAACTCACTTCTGCTCTAGCAGCAACCAGACTGAGTTTCTCAGGTCCAAATTTCAAATCTCTCTGAGAGTCTGATTGGCCAGCTAGATGAGATGGCCATCCTGGGAAGATGAGCTTGGGCTGGGGAGGCAGCTCGTTTTTTTTTTTTTTTTTTTTTTGAGACAAGAGTCTCTCTCTGTCGCCCAGGCTGGAGTGCAGTGGCACGAACTCGGCTCACTGCAAGCTCCGCCTCCTGGGTTCATGCCATTCTCCTGCCTCAGCCTCCCGAGTAGCTGGGACTACAGGCGCCCGCCACCACGCCCGGCTAATTTTTTTGTATTTTTAGTAGAGACAGGGTTTCACCGTGTTAGCCAGGATGGGCTCGATCTCCTGAGCTCGTGATCTGCCCCCCTCGGCCTCCCAAAGTGCTGGGATTACAGGCGTGAGCCACCGCGCCGGCCAAGGGAGGAGGCTCGGGTTTTAACAACATGGCCACTGGGGGGCAGTTATGAGTCAGTTTACCAGAATCCAATTCATTGGCCCGTTTTCAGCTTGACACTTCACTGCATTTATTTGTTTCTCTTAACCATCCGGTCTTAATTACCTGTCTTAACCATCCGGTCTTAATTACCTGGCTTTTGTTTTGTCTTCACAACAGCGTTTTGGGAGAATGTTGAATCCAAGCGAGCTGAGTCAGCTGTCTGCTGTTAAGCTGGAGACAGAGGGGAAGATTGAATATAAATGGCCCCCAACCTTGACAAAAGTCTCAAGAAATGTGGAGAAGCCCCTGAAAAAAACTGAGATTAAGCTTCTTTCACCCTAGCAGAAAAAAAAGCAGGAGGTTAGGAATCAAGCTGTCAAATAAGGGAGTTTTATTTATTGCATGTTTGGGTTTTGGACTAAGAGTTTACCCCTAGCCGTGTCTCATACCCTTTCTTTCCCTGTCCTGCAAAGCTTAACATGGGAGGTAGAGATTTGTGTCTCTTCTTCTTCTTCTTCTCTCTCTCTCTCTTTTTTTTTTTTTTCCAATCAGGCACTCTCTGTACCCCTGCCACCCTGAGGAAGACAAAATATGAGAGGATCTAGCAAAGTCTCTGCAAAAATGATTAATGTGAATATTCCCATCCGGACTTCCTATGAAAAAGTTGCATTATAAAATGAAAGAATAATTGAAGAAAATATAGATCCAGAAAAATCCATAAAGATGGACAGGAAAAATCAAGAGTTCTATGGGGCTCTTAATGGGTCAAGACCCAGAGGGCAAAGATCATCTGGAAGGCTGGAAACTGGCTAAGTATTTAGAATGGCTTGTGTACTGGTGTGAAGTGAGGAATTGAAAGAGAGCAGGAGAAGGATGTGAAATATATTTTTCTGTGTATTAAGAGTGCACTGGCCGGATGTGGTGGCTCACGCCTGTAATCCCAGCACTTTTGGAAGGCTGAGGCAGGTGGATTGCTTGGGCACACGAGTTTGAGACCAGCCTGGGCAACATGGTAGAATCCCGTCTCTACCAAAAATACAAAAATTAGCCAGGTGTGGTGGCGCAAGCCTGTAGTCCCAGCTACTCGGGAGGCTGGGGTGGGAGGATCACTTGAGCCTGGGAGGTGGAGGTTACAGTGAGCCAAGATCAAGTGAGCCAAGATCACACCACTGCACTCCAGCCTGGGTGACAGAGTAAGACCCTATCTCAAAAAAATAAAAATATAAATATAAAAATAAAAGAGCGTACCTCTGCCCACGTCCCTTAACTTTGGTATTTCCTCCTAAGATTGAGAAAATATTCGAAATACTTCTCCTTTATTTTGATCATTGTTCTGCTTCTCTCAATGTGACTGGCTAGTTTCAGCCTAATAAGGCTTCCCCTGTTTTCATAGGTTTACCCCTCTCTTCTGTAAACAAGGGCTTCCACTAAAGCCTGGTCATCACTGGGAGTTGAGGAGCTGGGGTTGACCATTCTTTGCTGTAATAATTTTAACCGTGGACAAGTTCCTGGTAGGCAGCAAAGGTAGGTTGGGATCCTTGATGTACTCTTGGACCCAGTCGTCATTGGGGTTGGTGCAGACTTCTCGGTTCCTCTTGGTGACGAAGCTGCAGAGGCAGAATTAGACCGTCATGGGCTGCAGACTCGGGCAGGAGTCCGGTGCCCACCCCCACCTCTGGTTCACATGGAGCTCACCTTATGTTCTTTAAAGCTTCCCTGGGCCTGTCCTGGCTGGGTTCCCTCAGACAGCCTCTCTCTCTGGCCTCAGAACCTTACCATCCCTTCTCTCAGTCCCTTCTCCACTCAGCCTAGACCCTCAAGCTTGGGTTTCATAATGAACCACATAGCTAAAAGTGGCAAAATTAGGAATTAATCCCAGGCCCCTGAGAGCCAAAGGCCAAACCCTTAGCCACTGCTCCACTGCTTCTAGCATGGAGACCTCTTGATCCCATGTATCTCATTCCTGCCCCTGGGCTCCCTGTCCCTCTCCACAGAAATATCTAAAAGGACGTGCTTACATGATTGCTGGCAGGTGACAGTTGAGGGCCTTTCTGTATCCCACCACTAGTCTCCTTGGCAACACTTTCTCATAATACTTCAGGCAGCAGGTGGATGGGGTGTTCACCCACTCAGGAACTTCTGAAGGAATCACATTGCAAGCTGAGCCAGGGAAGCAGAGGGGAGACCACAGCTGCCCACCTCTGTCTCCCACCATTTGTGTTTCACTCCTCTGATAGCAAAGCCGTCTGTTAGAGGAGACCAATGATAGCTTGACTGGTAATGAAGTGCATAAGATGAATCCCTTTGGGGGACATACATTTAGAACCCTCAGCCTCTGAGCTGAGTGTCAACTACAAATGACTTAGTTATTCACACTTGCCAAGGAACCGGGAGGAAGCTGGCTCATTCTTTTGTTTATTGGTGACTTGATCGGGCAAACATGTGTTGAGCTAGTATTATATGCTGGGCTCTATGGGGGTAAAAACATGAGGAAGATACAGTCACTACCCTTAAGTAACTTACAGACTAGTCAGGGTTGAAAGAGAAATTGAAAAGTTAAACAAACACTACCACAGAATGTGGTCCAGGATAGAACAGACTTTGGCATAAGGTGCTATGGGAACAGAATGAAGGGCCCCTAACCCATCCTTGGTGGTTGAGGAAGAAGTCTCAAAGCAAGTGAGGCCTGCATTGATTCGTAAAGGATGAGTAGGATTTAGACACACGGCTGGGTGTGGTGGCTCATGCCTGTAATCCCAGCACTTTGGGAGGCCGAGGCGGGCGGATCACCTGAGGTCAGAAGTTTGAGACCAGCCTGGCCAACATGGTGAAACCCCGTCTCTACTAACAAAAATTAGCCAGGCATGGTGGCACATGCCTGTAATCCCAGCTATTCGGGAGGCTGAGGCAGGAGAATCACTTAAACCCGGGAGTCAGAGGTTGCAATGAGCCAAGATTGCGCCACTGCACCCCAGCCTGGGCGAAAGAGTGACTCCATCTCAAAAGAAAAAAAAAAAAGGATTTAGACACACAAAGGACTTGTAGAATCTGGAAGAAAGAAATGCAGGAAAGCCTGAAGGTAGGGGAAGCTCAGTGTGTCTTGGGAGTGCTGGGCAGTTTGGGTGGCTGGCATGCAAGGTAGGAAGAAATGAATGGGCAGAGATGAAACTGGAGAGAGGAGGAGGGTCTGGTCACATACCTGCTGAGCTACTGAGGAATTTGGACTCTATCTTAGAGGTATTGGAGAGGCGGAGGTTAGGGGGAAGGGTGAGAGAGTAGAGCCTTTAGAGACAGAAGTTAGAGCAGGAGGAAAAAGTATATGATTTAGGCTTTGGGGTCAGACAGCTTGGGTTGGAATTTTGACTTGATTTGAATTTTGACTTGAATCATGGGCAAATTTCTTAATCTCCCTAGGTTTCAGTTTCCTCATCTATTAAGTGGGGGTAAATGATACTTACTTGTATCCTAGGATCATGGTTAGAATTCGGTGAGAAAATGATTGGAAAGCCCTTAACTCAGAGCCTGGCACACAGAAAGGCTCAATCAGTGCTTATTATAATTAAGAGCCAATGGTAGTAATGACTGCTCTTCTTGCCTTGGAAATGGCGCTTCCCCCCATCTCTTTGATGTATGCAGGATACTGGACTTGATTGGTTATTGTCACTGTGTTTCCTTTGAGCTGTCCTGACTACCCATCAATTGGGGATACTACACAAGAGGTCAGTCCAGAGATCTCTCCCAGCCCCCAAACCTTCAGAGTGCAAATCTTTTTGTAGCTTGACCCCTTTGCCTCCAGTGAGTGGCAAAGCTTGGGACATCTTGAGAGCACCATCTTGCTGATCCATGCTTTGGGTGGGCCATTTTCTCTTTCTTGAAGCCTGAACCCACTGCACTGGCCTGATTGACTCTCCCAAAGAGCACTGTTCCCCCCTCCCACACAGTCCCTCTGTAAGTGATGCTCATATCACTGGTTCTCAAAGCAAAGTTTACAAAGACCAGGGTCATCCTGAGAGTATGTGGGCAGATTACATGGTGCACTTGACCCTTGCTCCTTTGTGTTTACACAGGCAGAGTCAGGCCAGACTACATGCCAGGGTGACCTTAAGAGAGAAAAGAGGCCAGGCATGGTGGCTCATACCTGTAATCCTAGCACTTTGGGAGGCCGAGGTGGGCAGATCACGAGGTCAGGAGTTTGAGACCAGCCTGACCAACATGGTGAAACCCCGTCTCTACTAAAAATACAAAAATTAGCTGGGCGTGGTGGTGTGTGCCTGTGATCCCAGCTACTCAGGAGGCTGAGGCAGGAGAATCACTTGAACTCGGGAGGCGGAGGTTGTGGTGAGCCGAGATCGCGACACTGCGCTCCAACCTGGGCAACAAGAGCGAAACTCCATCACAAACAAAACAAAACAAAACAAAACACAACAAGCAAACAAACAAAAAAACAAAAGCGAAAAGAATGGCTGGGGCAGCCTAGGGCAGGTACACGTCTTTGTCCTCCCCACCCCCGTCACCAGGTCCTCGTAAACAATGATAGAGGGAGGAGATACGGAGGGGCAAAACAAACCCCCTCCTCCATAGGCCCCAATTCTCCCTTTCCCCACAGCTCCAAAACCTTTCAACCCCTTTCCTCTTTTCTGCAGATTTTATTTAGTCATAGGCTGGGGGATGGAGAAGGGGACCATAGATTCCCAAGCAGCCATTCCACTGGGACTCATTTTGGTTGTCTGATAGTCCCAGCAACCTGTGCCAGCCATGTTGAGGAAGGGCTCTCTCGGTTCAGACTCCCAATTCCTGGACTTAGACCCACATGATTGTTTGAACCTTCCTTCCTCTCGCCACTCATTCTTCCAGGGCACCTGCCACTTTTCTTTCTCATCCGCGTGCCTCCCCCTCCCTTTCATTGCATGCACTTCTTGTTGCATTTTCTGCTGCTTTCTTGGCCTCTCCTCCTGAATGATCATTCCTGCTCACCACGCTTGGGACTCCTGAGGAAATGGTGACCCAGTTTCCTGGAACTACTTACCCCAGAAAGATCCGGACCAACCCCAGCTCTACTTACAAAGGGGAGAATTGGAGGTCAGAAGCTATGCATGAAGGTGGGGAGAGCCCACAGGGTCTTATGAGGCCAGAGACCCGACAGCGCCCTTGGCACTACCTCCCTGCCAGCTGCTCCATCCCCCTTTCTCGTTCCTGCCCTACAGAGACAAGTGGACTCACTTGGCTGGCTGCGAGAAGCCGAAGTAATGATAAGGATGAGGACAAGGAGAGACAGGGCAGCCTCGGAGACCTTCATCCTCTCAGCGAGGCAGTACAGCTTCAGGGAGAGCCGAATGAAGATGTTGTCTGTTGCTGGTGGTCCGCTTGCCAACTACTCAGCTCTCTGGACCTTGACCGCATCAGAGCCGGTAGAGGAGGAGAAACAACAGGCCTCAGTGTTTGCTGAAACAGAGGGCAGCAGAGGATGGGACTTGGTGCAGAGCTGAATTCAGTAGAATCTGAATTCACGTGAAGAAATGGGCGAATGTGTGTCAGCTACCTTACATGCCCTATCTTATATAATCCTTAAAATAGTGAATAGCGATTATTACTTCCCTGGGACTACTGAGGCCTAGAGGCTAAATAAATTGTCCAAGGTCACCTGGGTGGATAGGCGGATGAAAAACCAGATCTGTTTGATTTCACCATGTTACCTGCCACCATCTGTATGTTGGGGAAGGGCAGGCAGGGTTGAACCACCCCAGCTTCCCCCAGGTGATCAGTCTTGGGGAGATGAGCACAAAGCAGGATTACAGAGCCCAGACTGAGGCAAAGGTAGGGCTTAGTTGCCTCTGAGAAGGAAATGCCCTCTCCCAGTCCAAGGCCACATGATTGAGCTCACACTCTTTCCTGTCACAGTGTATGCTAATACTCCAAAAAAAAAAAAAAACAATGTGCCTGATCCTTGGGTCCCCATTTGTTGCTGGACCGTTTGACTTATTTGTCAATGTTTTTATTTATCTCTTTGGACCTCGGACTTTGGACTGATTTTTAGGTGTAGCCAGCTCGCTGATCCCTCCTGGGTGCCCCCATGGCCAACCATGACCAGCAGGGGACCCTCCAACTCTGTGCACCTGACAACCTGCGTCTGTGCTCCAGGACTCCAGCTTCTGCCCCTCTGGCCTGGGCTCTGGCTGGACCTGTCCCACAGCTTCCTCTCTCTTCAGGTGCCTCAGGACCCTTTTCCATGTTGAAAGCTGCATTTAGAGAAGAGATCAAAGATATAAGGGATTTTGCTGTTGATGGACAGCAAGCTTTAGAGGCATAGGTGATGTGTTTCAGGTGTTGAGGGCAGTGGGAGGCAGGGGCAGAAACAGGGACTGTGCAGATCCTTATGGGGCTTTCTGCTTGGCATGACTGCTCATAGATAGGTAAACCGTATAATGCAGTTACTCCTGGTGGGTTCAAGGCTTCACCTGGTGGTGAAGCTGTGGCTTTTTGTGAGGGCAGGGAGGGTACGTATGTGGGGCATCCTCTTGACCTCTGTTTATGGAGGTGACAAGGCCTGAGAAGCCTGGTTGTGACTTTGGCATGCAGGCCCCCATATGGCCCTTAATGTGGCCCACAAGCCCTTCCTTATCTGTGGAAGGCTGGAGGCCAGGAAAGGGTGGTCATAATCCCTACTCTGGGCAAGCTCTTATTCCAAGTACACAGAGCTCCTCCTTGGGCCCTGAAGATAGGTTTGAGAGCTTATTCTTGGAGCATAGTCCTCCTCTTGATTTCTGTCTTATTCCATCTGTCCCTCTATCCCTCCCTCCCTCTTTCTCTCCATCCATCCATCCATCCCTCCCTCCCTTCCTCCCTCCCTTCCTCCCTTCCTCCCTCCCTTCATCCCTCCCTGCTTCCCTCCCTCCATCCATTCCTCCTTCCCTTCATCCTTCCATCCACACATTCTTCCCTTCCTTCATCCATCCATCCATCCATCCATTTCCTGAACACCTGGTATGGGCTAGGCTTTCTGCTAAGCCTTCTAGGGGATAAAAAAGTTAGTAAAACAATATAGTATAATCTGATGTGTGTAAGCGAAGGGGAGGGGTTGGATAAAATGTCTTCATGCATCATTCCTATTCCAGACAGCAGTGAAGAAAGGCCTTGAAAACAGCACAGAAAAAAGGACTATGGAGTTTGACTGCTATAGAGAGCCCTTTATGAAGTGTTACCTAAAAAATCAAATGATGATTTGTAGCTTTTACACTTGTCATGAAGCTTAAATAAGATAATGCATACAGACTGCCTAGCAGAGTGCTTGGAGTATAGAAAGCATTAAGAAAACGGGGTCTGCTACTGTTGTTGCTGAGGAGGAGACGGTCTTTACACTGCTTTTCTTTCTCACTTTCTGCTTCTCACTACCTGCATTGCAGGCCTGACCTATTTTTTGTACCAGGCTCCAGCAAAACTTCTGCAGAGCGAGGCTTGATGCCGAGGGTGCCACACCCTGGTGTCCTCAGTGCATGGCCAATGAGTAAATCCCGTAGAAAGGAATGAGGCCAGGGAAGAGCATGAGTGGTCTTTAATTCAAAGCAGGGAAGCTCCAAGAGGGTGACTGGGGCTGAGAGTTAGCGGTGGGTGGAGGAGGGGGCCTTGGCATCTTCTCTTTATGTCTCTGAGCTGTGCCTTCGCCACCCCTTCTGGGTCACTCAGTTCTCCTTCATGTCCTTGATATAGTCCTGGACCCACTTGTCACTGGGGTTGGTACAGACGGAATGGCCCCTTTTGGTGATGAAGCTGTGGAGCAAGAGGGAGAAGGATCACAAACCGAGGGGCCCAGTGGCCGGAAGAGACAGCCCATCTTCCCTCCCTCCTAAATTCCCCACCTGACCTATACTGCTTTTCCTTTCTTCCACAGAGGCAGCTTAGAGCCAGTCTCCTCTCTGAGACATACTCTTCGGTTCCTAGGACCCCTAGACCCATCTAGTCTCTGTGTCCCCCTGAGGAAGTGCCCTCTTGCCTTCTTCTCCCTTCTCTGTCATCTCCCCATCCATGGGGTCAGTTTCCCCATGGCTCCTGCAGGCTCCAGCCAGAAAGCGCTCAGATTGCCCCTCAGCTGCCTCTCCCCATGTAGTCACACCTGGGAGGTACGCTGGGGGTCCCCATTCCACCACCACTCCCTGCTTCCCTCCAGGAGGCCCTGCTGGCTCCCTCTCCCCCCAGTGTGATGTGTGTGTACCACCTACACAATTCCGGGCTTGGAGCACTGGCTGTTGGTCTCATAGTAATCCATAATCCGCTGACGCGGGATCTTGTAGGTAGTGTAGGTGAAGCAGCACTCTGAGGGGTGGTAAGGTCCCCCTGAGGAGAGAGCATCAGATGCTGAGGAGGGGCCCCTTGTTAAAGGCCATACCATTGGCTGCTCCTGCAAGCTGAGGGCATGGAGGAGGGAAGGAAGGAGGAGACAGCCCCTCAGAACTTGGAGGGGAGAGTAGGCTTTCCTCATCTTCTCTTCTCCTTCTCCATGGTACTCCTGGGCTCTTCTTTTTCTCCTCCCTCATCATCAATCACCCTTCCTCCTTTTCTTCAACCCCTCTTGGAAAGACTGGTGGATGACTTTCAACTCCAGGATTGAAGAGCAGCACACTCAGATCTTCTTACACCATCTCTGGGGGCCGACTGGCAGAGAAGGCTAGGGACTTGGCCAATATCATGCAGCCTTCATGCCTTATTCGGGAAAGGTGCTCCAAATAGGAGGAATATTTGGAAGAAATCCCAATAGGGATTTGGAGACATGCCATTTGGGAATGCAAACCCAGCCCCTCCTAGTGCTCCACCCTGCCCATGTCCCCATTGAACCGACAACCTGCAGAGAGAGCAGGATGCCCACAGCAAGCCCCAAGGACAAAGGCCACAGAGTCAGGGCACCCAAATCCTAACCTAACCTTGCCTGTGCTTCCTGTGTACTGTGGCCATTTTACTTTCCCCCTGTTCCCTCCTCTGTAAATGAGGCCCTTGGACTGCATCAGTGGTTTTTACACTGAGCTCCCTGGAGCTCTGGGGGCCTCAGGGACTATTGTGGAGGCCTTGCTGCATTTGAGAGTGGTGTCTTGTACCCTACTCAACCCATTTTTTCTGTTTTACATATTGGGCCTCTGTGGAAGATATTGCTTGAAGAAAAGGTTTTGTGGTCTAAAAAGTTTTAAAAATCACTGGATTGGGTGATTTTTTCATCTATTTTCTGATTGAGAAGTTTCATGGCTTTTATAGGAGAAGCAAGGTGACAGCAGCCACCCCAAGCTTGAATTATAGAGGTAGCAGGAAGGACATTGTAGGCCAAGAGCCCTGTACAAACAGGCACATGTTGTGGTTATGGAGTGGAGAAATCAGGTGTGTGCATGTTATGTGACCCTGCTTCATAGAATCATGGATGTGCATCACAATGGCCTCAGAGGTCACTGAGGGTGGCCAGATGTCTGGGTGGAAGGGTCTCATCCTGTTTTCCAGCTCCATTCCAGGCAGCATCCTCACGATCCAAAGAACGGCATAAGGGGCCCCTGTTTCCTGAGACCCAGTCAGAGCTCCTATACTCTCCCACCTTGTTCCTCTGAGCTGACAAATGACATCGGAGAGGGCAAGTCAAACTGTGCACATACCCACCAACTTTAGCTGTATTTTAACAACCTTCGGTTTCCCCCCAGTTTCTGAAAAGGAGAGTAGGTAAAATGGAAGAGTGATAAATAGTTTTGGTTATCTCTAAAGGCAGCTTATTCTAAGAAATCAGCTGAGAAAAGGGGGCCTAGGATGGACCCCACACTGTCGTGTTTCCCCCCAGCCCATACCCAAGCAATGCTGCACTCACTGGGCACAGGTGACGCTGGAAGCAGGCTGGGCCCAAACCTCAGGAGGCCAATAGAAAAATGCCCTTGAGGGGCTCAAGACACTGCTCCTAATCTCCCTGAGGAAATATACCCCAAATGGGGTGGGCCACTCTTTTGCTTAGCGGCAAAGAGAGAGAAATTGAGGGAGTAGAGAGGCAGGCTGGTCTCACTCCATGTCCTTGAGGGCAAGGGGGGACTGGTCCTGGGGGGCAATGATAAGAGATCAAGGCCATGTGAGGCCTGGAGATTCAGGATCTGTTTATTTGGAGACTAGAGGGCATTTGGGGTAGTGGAATGAAGCCTGGAGTCTCCCAAGTCAAGTCTCATTGGTCAAGGCTGGAAGATCCCAACTTAAACTCTTAAGCAGAACCTACAGTCCTAAGTCTCATCTCCATCCTGCTCACCACACCATGGGGTGAAGTGCTGTGGTGCTCAGTAGATAATTCATTTATATAATGTTGCTATACACACAATTTCAAGAAGATACCAGCCCTCCTTTCTGAGTCCCTGCTCCTGGTCTTCCCCTGAGCCCCAACCTCACTCCTGCTTATTTCCCTGCAGGCTCTAGGTTGGAAGGAAGACAAGGCATTGCACTCACGTGAGGAGGATTCAGTCTTGGTCCCTAGGGCGATGGTGATGAGGAGGAAGAAGGGAATGGCAGCCACGGAGATCTTCATGCTGTGGGAAGCTGTTGTGGGAGGAGAGCTGGCCTGGTGGGAGCTTCAGAGGCTCCTGCGGTGAGGAATTGTTGAGAAATGATCATTGAGGCCAAATATTTTTTAAAATAAGGGAGCTGAGACTTGGAAGGGAAGTAGGAAAGCAGTGATGCCTCAGCAATTTCATATCCTGCACATGTGTTGTTGGTGGCCTGAAGGAAGCAGGGAGAGCCAAGGTTTAAGGGAGGAAATGGTCTTCCATCCCCAGTGGGAAGAAGTTCAACTCTTTTGATAGAAGCCTTTCCCTAGGCATGAACATGAGCACAGGGCTGGGGGCACTGTGTCACACTTAGCAAAAGATCTCAAGGCTGGATGTGTCCTGTATCCAATTCCATCTCAGGCCTTAGAACAGGCCACGTGGGGCCTGGACATTCAGGATCTGTTCATCTAGAGACTAGAGGGTGTTTGGGGTAATGGAATGAGGCCAGGACTCCTCCAAGTCAGGTCTCATTGGTCAAGGGAAATCCTAACTTAAACTCGAAGCAGAACCTGCAGTTCTCTGTCTCATCTCCATTCTGGTCACCACACCATGGAGTGAAGAAGTGCTGTGGTGCTCAGTAGATAATTCACTTATATAATGGTTGCTATACACACAAGCCACTGTCCCAGTTGCCTTATGAATATTAGCCTATTTAATCTTTAGAACAGCAGTTGAGGAAACAGGCTCAGAATCAAAGCCTAAGCTTTTGACAGTTGGTAAATGGAACTGGGGTTCAAATTCAGGTGGTTTGGCTTCCAAGTCTGTGTTCTCACCCATTATGCCATAAAGAAACATGGGACTCCCAACGGAGCTCTGTAAAAGCTTATGGGTTTTCTATAAAGCCTTTAGTCTTAGTCCTTTCTGAAATCAGATAGTGGATCTCTTTGGGACCTTCTCCTGGTTTCTCTGACTTTTGCTGCAAAGAAGCTTGGTGGGAACCCTAGAAAATGTCTAATTCAGGGATAGCTAGTAGGTTTCATTGATTAGTGGTGGACTGGAGCTCTGTGTTGGAAATGATTCTGAGGCCATATCCAGGCACATTGGGAAGATACGCTGTGACCAACGTGCAGTTTCTGTTGCAGTGCAGCTTGCATGCTATGTATCTGCCATTTGATTTGTCTAAACTGGCCATTTACTGAATGGAAGCTGGGAATCAGAAAGGACCAGTGACTTTCTCATGTGCACACAGTGATTTGGATGCAGGACAGATCTCATCTCCGCAGGCTCTCAGCTTAGTGCCCTCACCATGCTGTTCTTGGAGGTACATCCCCCATTCTGCTTGCTGATGTGGTTAGATGGTTATTTAATCTCCTCTCCTCATCTGAATCATCAGGATGGAGAACATCTATTATTTATCTTTGCCCATTCACGCAGAACCTAGTGTATACCAGGTGCTTTATGAATATACATTTTAAAAGAAGGATGAATAAACAAATTGAGCCAGGTCTACATATGTGTATCTTATAGGAAATGGCTGAAATCTCATGGTTAGTTGTGGAGACAGTCATCAATTAAAAATTTTCTATATTTCTTATCATCAATAACAACATTATGTAAACCCTTCAAGTTAAATGATAATAATTGTTATCAGGAACAATCTCAGGAAACAAGTTGTTTATAGGAAAAGTGAGTTGGAAAGAAATAATGCTTACTTCTTGTTTTTGTGGAAACTAGCCAACCTGCCAAGTTGTTTCTAGGAGACTTACAGGAAGTTCCTGTACTTTTCCAGCAAGTATTGAGTTCCTACCTACATTAGTCTGTGTGTGCCAACTGCTATCATAAACAATCCAGCAGACTAATTAAATAAAAGTTTATTTCTTGCTCATGTTACAGTCCAGTGTGGGTCAGTAGTGGGATGATGGTGTGTGTGTTGGGATCCTCCATGTACTCATTCAGGAACCAGGCCTTTTTCTACCTTGGATGCCACCATTTTCAGCACAAGGCCTCCAAGCTTGATACAAAAAGGGAGAAGCAGAGGAGGATTGGGAGATTTTTGTGGATCAGTTCTGAAAATGGTACAAATTACTTTCACCCACATTCCATGGCCAGCATCAAGTAACCTGGCTCCAACATAATGACAAAGGGATGGAAAATATACATCATCTGTATGCTTAGGAAGAAAAAGGAATAGGTTTTGTGACCACATCACTTCTTTGACACAGTATCATATGCCAAGTCCTGGGCTAGGCTTGGAGGGAGGGATTGAAGATGACCCTGATCCCAGAGGTCTCAGAACTCAAAGAGGGACTAAAAAAAGTAAAGGAGAATTGCAATACAACCAGATGAATGAAATTTGATGGCAACATAATTAGAGACCTTAAATGTCCTCCTGTTGCCCCCTGTTGAGTATGAAGAGCCTATTTTAAAAATATTTAAAATGTTTTTCAAAGCAACACATACATATATTGGTTTAAAAAACTGAATAGTACAGGAAGGATCTGTAGGACATAAACCTTCTGAGTTCATGCTTGCCTGAAGAAGTCATTATTTAGCCTTCATACTTGATTGATATTTTTGTTGGGTATAGAATTCTACAATGGAATATAAGAATATGTTTCTTCTGAAACTCATTTGTGGTGATCTGGTGTTTCCCCTCTCTAGAAAATTTTAGGGTTTATTCTTTAATCTTGTTTTCTTACTTTTTGGCACAAATAGATGTTCCAGACTCATCTTGTACTTTCCTTGGCCCAGCTCTGGAATTAGCCATTTCTTCCATGAGTCTCAGTTTCTTTTACTGAAAAATGATTTTGAGAAACCAAAATCTGAGTGCTTGGTGTGTTCATTGCTATGGGAATGGCATCACTTTTAGATCTGAGCTTTTAGTGGCTAGAACCTGGAAATATATGTAAGCATATGTGTATAAGTATGTATTTAAATTTATGTCTATTTCAAGTATATCTATTTCATATATTATTAGCAATTTGTTTTTGTTTTTGTTTTTGTTTTTGAGATGGAGTCTCACTCTGTCACCCAGGAGTGAGGTGGTGCATTCTCAGCTCACTGAAACCTCTACCTCCGGGGTTCAAGTGATCTTCCTGCCTCACCCTCTGGAGTAGCTGGGACTGCAGGTACAGGTCACCTTGCCCAGGTAATTTTTGTATTTTTAGAGATGGGGTTTCACCATGTTGGCCAGGCTGGTCTTGAACTTCTGACCTCAGGTGATCCACCCGCCTTGGCCTCCCAAAGTGCTGGGATTACAGGCGTGAGCCACTGCGCTCGTCCTATTATTAGCAATTTCTATGTCCTCTTTCTAGCTATATGAAAAAACAAAAGTTTATACCACTATGTCCAATTCCAAGTAAACACCACAGAGTTATTTCAGTCTTTCCTGTTTCTATGTTTCCCTCCCTCCTCTAACAATGGGGACTCCTGCTCCCATTAACCTCAATGTATGTACTTATTTGCTGAGTTCCCTGTATGTAACA
This sequence comes from Homo sapiens, assembly GCF_000001405.40. Taxonomy (NCBI): domain Eukaryota; kingdom Metazoa; phylum Chordata; class Mammalia; order Primates; family Hominidae; genus Homo; species Homo sapiens. The sequence goes on from NC_000017.11 coordinate 35,990,094, forward strand.
AATCTCCTGGCCACACTGGCTGTATTCTGGCCTCTGGTCCCACTGGCCTCAACCATGTGCATCATCTTCTCTGCCCTGGCCCTGGTTGAGCCCTCAGTTGAGGGGATGAGTTATATTACTTTTAAATCTTGTCTCTGGTTCTAAAAAGAATAAAAATATGAATGTTTCTATTTCCTATTTTATGTCTTGATGATTTCTGTGAAGCTCTGTTTAGATTTTTTTTTTTTCTTTGAGACGGAGTTTTGCTTTGTTGCCCAGACTGGAGTACAGTGGTATGATCTCAGCTCACCGCAACCTCCACCTTCCACGTTCAAGTGATTCTTCTGCCTCAGCCTCCCGAGTAGCTGGGATTACAGGCGCCTGCCACCACACCTGGCTAATTTTTGTATTTTAGTAGAGACGGGGTTTCACCCTGTTGGCCAGGCTGGTCTTGAACTCCTGGCTTCCCAAACTGCTGGGATTACAGGCATGAGCCACTGTGCCCAGCCCTCTATTTAGATTTTTAAGATGACTTTTATGCACTTTTTTTTCTAGCTATTTTGTACAATTTCCAATTTTTTTTTTTTTTTTTTTGAGACAGGGTCTCACTCTGTCACTGTCACTCCAGGCTGGAGTACAGTGGTGCGATCTTGCCTCACTGCAGCCTTGACCTCTCGGGCTCAAGTGATCCTTCCACCTCAGCCTTCCAAGTAACTGGGACTACAAGTGCGCACCATCACACCTGGCTTATTTTTGTATTTTTAGTAGAGAGGAAGTTTTTGCCATGTTGGCCAGGCTGGTCTCAAACTCCTGGCCTCAAGGGATCTGCCCACTTTGGCCTCCCAAAGTGCTGGGATTATAGGCATGAGCCACTGCACCCAGCTCAAGATTTTTACTTTTAAAAATTCCAAATTGATCGTCAGACTATTTAACCATGTGTAAAACTTTTTCCAACTCCATATTTCTTTTATAATTAAACAGCTTTGATGAGCTTCATCATAAAAAAATCAGATATCAACACAAGTGAAGAGCTGGCCCATTTTGTTACACATCCTTGAAAAGACAATTAAGACGCATTTTTCAACTCTTTTATTTTTTGATTACTAAAGAAATATGTGCCTTTCAGAATACTGCAAACAATGGTGAAGTTACAAAGTCCTCTTCAAATTTCCACTGCATTCTGCAGCATCAGCGTTACCTGGAAACTTGTTAAACATGCTGACACTTTGGCCCTACCCCTGTCCTACTGAACCAGATTTCTAGGGGTGGGAGCCCACAATCTGTGTTTTCACAAGCCTTCCTGGTGGCTTTTATGCATGCTAAAGTTTCAGAAGCCCTATCTATCACACAGCTTTCTAAATGCTGTGGTTCAATCTTATGTTGGTCCCTTCAGTCACTGGCCAGTCCAACTAGGGCCTGGGGATACTTGAGTCCCAGGTTGGTTGCCTCTAGTATAAATGTCCTCCTCTTTTTGCTCCGATGTTGCATAAAAATGTGGAGACTTAGCAATGAATTAGATATGACTTTTTGCACCCAAGCATCATTCTTATTCCTATTTTCAGTCTTCTCTATAAACTGACATATTCTTTTTTATTTTTTATTTTTTTTGAGACAGAGTCTCACTCTGTCACCCAGGCTGGAGTGCAGTGGCATGATCTCGGCTCACTGCAACCTCTGCCTTCCAGTTTCAAGCAAGTTTCCTGCCTCAGCCTCCCGAGTAGCTGGGATTACAGGTGCACACCACCACGTCTGGCTAATTTTTGTGTTTTTAGTACAGACGGCGTTTCACCATGTTGGCCAGGCTGGTCTTGAACTCCTGACCTCAGGAGATCTGCCCACCTTGGCCTCCCAAAGTGCTGGGATTACAGGCGTGAGCTACCGTGCCCGGCCCTGGACTGACATATTCTTGAAGGGCAATAGTCTACTTTGTTTGGTTTTCATGGTTTTCCTAATGCCTAGCACAATGCATAACCTAAAGCAGCCACTCAATAAAAATCTTTTTGAGTGGCAATAAATACATGTTTCAAGATTCCAGAGAAATGGAGGTGGGTCCTTCTGGCTGGGATGAAGGGGGAAGGTTTTATGGTAGCATTTAATCTAAGCCATTGAGGTTGGGTTGAGTTTTGCTGGGCAGAGTTGAGAGGAGGGCATGCCTGGCAGAGGGCACCACACAAAGCAAGGAAGCAAAAAAGAACATGCTGTTTCTGAGGAACTGCGAGAACAGAGTATGTATTATGCAATTAACCTGCACATAGCATGTTTTTTTCCCCTTCAAGACCTCAAAGACCTTCTGTGAGTGGCTAGATGCTTGGTTAGAATGGAAAATCTTGGGCTGGGTCTGGTGGGTGGCTCACGCCTATAATCCCAGAACTTTGGGAGGCTGAGGCAGGCAGATCATTTGAGGCCAGGAGTTTGAGACGAGCCCAGCCAACATGGAAAAACCCCGTCTCTGCTAAAAATACAAAAATCTGCTGGGCGTGGTGGTGGGTCCCTGTAATCCCAGCTACTCAGGAGGCTGAGGCAGGAGAATCACTTGAACCCAGGAGGTGGAGGTTGTAGTGAGCCAAGATGGCACCCCTGCACTCCAGCCTGGGTGACAGAGTGAGACTCCATCTAAAAAAAAAAAAAAAAAAAGAATGGAAAGTCTTGGTTTTCATCCCTCATTTCTGTTGAGTTGCCATGACCCAACACCTTCATAAGTGGCCCTTTGGCATCCACACTGCCCAGACGCTCTCCCTCCTCATTTCATCCTTCTAAGCTAAAAACCTGACCTGTCAGAGAGAACCCAGTGAAACCACATGAATCCTACTTAGGTCTAGGACAATTTTAATTGAATAACCATTTAAATTTTTTTCTAAGGCTCTGAGACAAAATCTCCATGGAGAATCCAGAAGCTTCCGGATTGCCATCCCCTAGTCATATATTTAGGTACCAGTGAGCTGCTTTCAACTCAAAGCTTCTGAATTCAACAGCATTCAGTGGAGCAGTGAGAGAGACATAAAAGGTCATAACTGGATCAAAATGTATGCCAGACGCCAGGTGTGGTGGCTCACACCTGTAATCTCAACATTTTGGGAAGCCGAGGCAGGAGGATTACTTGAGCCCAGGAGTTCAAGACCAGCCTGGGCAACAAGTGAGACCATGTCTCTAAAAAAATAAACAAAATTAGCTGGGTGTGGAGTGGTGCACGCCTGTAGTCCCAGCTACTCAAGGGCCTGAGGTGGGAGAATCACTTGAGCCCAGGAGGTTGAGCCAAGGTGAATGAGCCAAGATTGTGCCACTGCACTCCAGACTGGGTGACAGAGTGACAGCCTGTCTCAATAAACAAAACAAAGTAAGCCAGAACTCTGAGCATCTGTGTTTGTCTTTTTCATCTCTGTAAATCTTGTTGAAATGACAGAAGAAATATAAAAATAAATAGAACTCATAGTAGCAGTAAGGAGTCAGAAAATATGACATTGGTCTACCATAAGGTGAGACATTTCTGTTTTATATAAAGAACATGGGGCCAGGTGCAGTGACTCACACCTGTAATCCCAGAACTTTGGGAGGCCGAGGCAGGTAGATCACTTGAGGTCGGGAGTTTGAGACCAGACTGGCCAACATGGTGAAACCCCATCTCTATAAAAACTACAGAAATTAACCGGGAATGGTGGCAGGCACCTGTAATCCCAGCTACTCAGGAGGCTGAGGCAGGAGAATTGCTTGAACCCGGGAGGTGGAGGTTACAGTGAACCAAGATCACGCCACTACACTTCAGCCTGGGCAACAGAGCAAGACTCCATCTCAAAAAAAAGAAAGAACAAAAAAAGAACATGGGTCAGCTTGATGGCAGATCACAAGAAGGCTGAAAAAACATGTATCCTCATATAGGTCAAGGAGAAGATCATAGAAAAAGAGGATTTTCCCAGCAGAACCCTGGATAATGTGAAGATCAGAGTCAGTGGGTACTGGGAGAAGACATTTGCATTGAGTGAATAAGCTATGACCTTGCTAGTTCCCATTCAGGATAGTCAGGTAGGGCATTTGCCCCAGGATAAAGCTACAAGCACAGTTTTCAAAATAAAAAAGGATATTTGCTGTGGGAACCTCTTGGAGGGGACAGTGGACCAGAGAGAGAATTGGGCAGTGCCCTGGATAACTTCTGGTCAAGGACAAGAAAACTACTCCCATCCCTATCCCCTTACTCTGTCTGCCAGACATTAAGCTGACAACCTCACCAATGATATGAAAGTCCTAAAGCCTCTGCCAAAAGTCTCCTGGAACTGATAAACAACTTCAGTAAAGTTTCAGGACACAAAATCAATGTGCAAAAACCAGTAGCATTTTTATACACCAATAGCATTCAAGCTGAGTGCCAAATCAAGAATGCAATCTCATTTACAATAGCCACACACACACACACACACACACACAAACGTAGTAATACATGTAACCAAGGAGGTGAAAGATCTCTACAATGAAAATTACAAAACACTGCTGAAAGAAATCATAGATGACATGAACAAATGGAAAAACATTCCATGCTCATGGACTGGAAGAATCAATATCATTATAATGGCTGTATTGTCCAGGCAATCTACAGATTCAATGCTGTTTCTATCAAACTACCAATGTCATTTTTCATAGAACTAGAAAAACTATTCTAAAATTCATATGGAACCAATAAAAAGAGTCCAAATGGTCAAATCAATCCTAAACAAAAAGCAAAGCTAGAGGAATCATATTACCAGACTTCAAAGTATACTATAAGGCTACAGTAAACAAAACAGCATGGTATTGGTACAAAAACAGATACATAGACCAGTAGAACAGAATAGAAAATCCAGAAATAAAGCTGCACACCTACAGTCATCTGATCTTTGACAGAGTCAACAAAAATAAGCAAAGGGGTAAGGATTCCCTGTTCAATAAATGGTGCTGGGATAGCTGGCTAGCCATGTGCATAAGAATGAAACTGGACCCCTATTTTTCACCATATACATAAAATAACTCAAGATGGATTCAAAATTCAAATATAAGACCTTAAACTATAAGAACCTTAGAAGAAAACCTAGGAAACACCATTCTGGACATTGGCCTTGGCAAATAATTTATGACTAAATCCCCACAAGCAATTGCAATAAAAACAAAAATTGACAAGTGCTCAAGTAAACTCAAGAGCTTCTGTACAGCAAAAGAAACTCATCAACAGAGTAAACAGAAAACCTACAGAATGGGAAAAAATATTTGCAAACTATGCATCCAGCAAAGGTCTAATATCCAGAATCTGTAAGTGCCTTAAACAGTTGAACAGCCAAAAACAACCCCATTAAAAAATAGGCAAAAGACATGAACATACGTTCCTCAAAAGAAGACATATAAGCAGCCAACAAACACATGAAAAAATGCTCAATATCACTAATCATCAGAGAAATGCAAATCAAACCCAAAATGAGTTACTGTCTCACACCAGTCAGAATGGCTATTAGTAAAAAGTCAAAAAAATAACATGCTGGTGACGCTGTAGAGAAAAAGGGAACAGATATACACTGTTGGTGGGAATGTAAATTAGTTCAGCCACTGTGAAAAGCAGTTTGGTGATTTCTCAAATAACTTAAAACAGAACTACCATTCAACCCAGCAATCCCATTACTGGATATATATTAATAAAAATCATTGTACAGAAAAAGACACAAGCCCTCGTATGTTCATCAGAGCACTATTCACAATAGCAAAGACATGGAATCAACCTAGGCGCCCATCAGTGTCGACTGGATAAGAAAATGTGGTACAGATACACCATGAGCTACTTCTTATGTAGCCATAAAAAGAATGAAATCATGTCCTTTGGAGCAACATGGATAAAGTTGGAGGCCATTATCTTAACTGAATTAATGCAGGAACAGAAAACCAAATACCACATGTTTTCACTTGTAAGTGGGAGCTAAACATTGGTTACACATGGACATAAAGATGGCAACAATAGGCGCTGGGGACTACTACAGGAGGGAGGGAGGGAAGGGGGCAACGGTTGAAAAACTATTGGGTGCTATGCTCAGTACCTGGGTGATGGGATCAGTTGTACCCCAAACTTCATGCAATATGCCCAGGCAACAAACCTGCACGCGTAACCCCTGAATCCAAAATAAAAGTTGAAATTATAAAAATAAAGACAATAGAAAAAGAAAAAAATTCTAAAAATTCCCAGAGGGTCTAAAAATTTTTTTTCTTACTAAGGAATAAGAAATCAATTGGCTTTGGAATTTTGGCCCTGTCTGAGATGCTAGAAGACAATTGAAGAATGTCTACATTATTCTGAGAGAAAATTATTTTCAACATGAACTTTCATATTCAGTTGAACCATTTTCACACTTAAAGACCAAAGTTTTTAGACCTTCAAAGTCCCAGAAAGTTTATTGTTCATATCAGTTGGAGTTTTTTGTTGGAAAGCTATACAAACTGACTCTGGTTGATTAAGCAAAAAGGACTTTACTGCAAAGATTTTAGGTAGTATCAGGAAGGCTTGAAAAGTAGGTAGAGGCTGAGTGCAGTGGCTCATGCCGTTAATTCCAGTACTTTGGGAGGCCGAGGTGGGTGGATCATCTGAGGTTAGGAGTTTGAGACCAGCCTGACCAACAAGGCGAAACCCTGTCTCTACTAAAAATACAGAAATTAGTCAGGTCTGGTGGCAGGCACGTAATCCCAGCTAGTAGGGAGGCTGAGGCAGGAGAATTGCTTGAACCTGGGAGGCCGAGGTAGAATCCTAGAGAGACCAGCTCCAATGCCACATCCAAAATCATGCCACAAGAGTCAACTGGTGTGAGTCCTCTCTTTTTCTGCTTCTCTGCAACACCTGTTCCAGGCTCAGATCTCTGAAAGGGAGCATAGGTTGGCCAAGCCTGAGTTGGGGATGCCTGCCCTGGCACCCATGGAGCAAAGGAGAGTGTTTGCTTTTGTCATCTTTTAAAGCAGAAGGCAGTTCAAAGATATTCTAGCAAAATGAAAAATAAACCCTTTTAGGAAGGAAGGAAGAGGAAGAGGAAGTTTTGGGCTACGTGTCATGGTGGAATGAACTCAGGTGTGTGATGAGAAGAAATCCCAGTATGACTTATTATTATTATTATTATTATTATTATTTTGGCAGGTCCAGAAAGCATTTCTGCAAGTTGGAATAGGAAGTTAGAAGGTCCTTGAAGACTGTCTCGAAGAATGAAGTAGTTACCATGAAACCGATGGTGTAAATATGCAAGTGCAAATGTGGAATGATAAGGAAACAAAAAGTATTTCTCTTTGGGTTAATAGAAAAATATCAAAAGGAAATTATGAGAAAAATAAGAATTGTTATGGGATTATAATGGATCAAATGTTAAGTAAAGTAGAAAATGGTGTGAACTGGGTAAATGATGGAGTAAAAGAAACTTTCTTGAAATTGTAGCCAACCCTTTGAAGATTAGCTATTTCAGTAGAAGGGAGAAGATGAGATATAAGGTGAATTTGTATTTAATCATGTTGGGGCTCAGCAGTTGCTTCAGTTTTATATTAGTTTATTTCCTCTTAAAACTCAAGCAAAGTTAAAAAATTGAATACTCTTTATTAGATGCATTACTTTCATTACCAGACACAACAATATATATATTTTTTAAGTATTTCAGACCAAGAAACTCACAGGAGGTGTTGGAGGTGGGTGGCTGGCCTCTTTTGTCTCTTTATTATTATATTGAGTAGGGCTTCAGCTTTTTCATGCAATCCTGAACTCCCGGACCACTGGGTTTGGCACAGACTTGCCGCCCCTTCTTGGTGAGGAATCTGGGGAACAAGGGAGAGAAAGATTACAAACTGAGGTGTGGGCAGATGGAGACAGGGGGCCCCATCCTCCCTGCTCCTCAGATTTCCCAGTCAACACAGCCTGTTTTTTCCTTTCTCTGCTGATGGCAGCTCAGGGACAGTGTCCTTTTGAGACCCTCTCAGCCTGTGGGACTCCTTAATGACTCATGGAAGTGTCCTTGGGAAGCCTTGTGCTTGCTTTCTTCTTCCTTCCCTATCTCCTCTCCACTGGGAGTGTCTCATCCCTGATGCCCTGCAGAATCCTCGTAAGGACACAGCTGCCCTGTATCTGGCAGGATCCAGAGGGTGGAACCCGATGGACGCCCATCCGTCGTGTCCTCCCTGCAAGATGCTGTGGGCTGCTTCTTCCCCAACACATGGTTGGTGAGCTTGGCACTTACATGACACCTGGCTTGGAGCACTCGCTGCTCGTTTCAAAATAACTTTTCATGAGTGAACACGGGATGCTTTGTGAGATGTAGGAGGTGCAGCAGTCAGCAGCAAAGTGAAAGCCTGCAGCAAGAGAAAGCGTCATCTGAGGGCAAATCTTTCTCCTCGAAAGCACAGTGGAGGGTGAGAAGGCACAAGCCTCTGAAGACATGTTTCTCCTCCTCGGCTAGCACTTGCTGGCCTCTCCCTGCTTCAGACCCTCCCCAGGGTTTTGCCATGTGTCTGAGGGCACTCAGGGTGGGCCACAGCAGGACCAAGAAAATTTCCCCCAGAAGGGGAAGGCATCTGCAGACACCTGCAGGCATCAGAGAGCACCTTCTTCTCCAAAGGAGCAGGCTCTTGGGGCAGCCAGAGGGGAACAGAGAAGGCATCTATGGAGGGGGTCCCCCTACCCTGTCCTGATCTCCCTTGGAGATATTCACCACCCTCAGGACCCTCTCATTCTCCTCCCATTCTGTAAACAGGGACAATGGATCCCATAGTGCAGACCTGCACCTGCTGGCTGCTTTTAAATGTATGCCGTATCTGATCACTTACTGTTCAGAACTACTGGATTTTCCAGTGGAAGCTTTGACATCATTAACTCTGTCTCTGCATCTGAAAGAAACAGTACAGGGAAGGAAATCACTGGGTGGCAGCAGTATGTTTCAACATCTCCACCCACCCCATTGCTCATCCTCCTCCTGAGGCAGAGAGGCTCTGAAGCTGGACCACCACCACCTGTCTGGGTTCTAGGCCTGCCTCCTGGCCCATTTATTCCATTAGGGCCCTGAGACTTTTCAGAGACCTTTTGAAAATGTAGACATGAAAACTTTGTATTGACTCTGAAATACTAAAAGCAACTGAACCTCACACGGTTCAGTTAATGGAATGTCTACATGATGTGACACAGTCTACAAGTTTTTCTACACATTTCTGGAATAATTTTTTATTATAGGGCTCTGGAAACAGAGAGGTTTTATCAGCGTTTATGGTGGCACAGTATCCCCTTAAGTGAAGTGAGTCTATTATGGTATTTATTCATCCCAGTTAGCAGAAATATTCATGTGTTTGCTACAGAAAAATTGCTGTGTTTGATTGAAATAGTCTTCCTTGGCCCCACCAAGGATAAGTACCATCTAGGTATGTATTACTTTTTTTTTTTTTTTTAATTGAGACAGGGTCTTTTTCTGTCACCCAGGCTGGGGCGCAGTGGTATGATCATAACTCACTGCAGCCTTGAGGTCCTGGGCTCAAGTGATCCTCCTGCCTCAGCCTCCTGAGAAGCTGGAACTACAGGTGCGAGCCACAATGCCTAGCTAATAGTTTACCTTTTTGTAGTGATGAGGTCTTGCTATGATGCCCAGGCTGGTCTTGAACTCCTGTGGTCAAGCAATTCTCCTAGCTCAGCCTCCCAAAGTGCTGGGATTATAGGTGAGCCACCATGCCTAGCGTGTATTACCTTTTAAAAACCAGAGAAATTCTGTATTCCAAAATACATCTAGCCTGATAGGATTTTGATAAGGGATTGCATACCTGTATTATGCTAAATAGAAAAATGCAGCCAGGCGTGGTGGCTCAGGCCTGTAATCCCAGCACTTTGGGAGGCCGAGGTGGGCAGATAACGAGATCAGGAGATTGAGACCATCCTGGCTAACATGGTGAAACCCCATCTCTACTAAAAATACAAAAAATTAGCCGGGCGTGGTGGCAGGCGCCTGTAGTCCCAGCTACTCGGGAGGCTGAGGCAGGAGAATGGCGTGAACCGGGGAGGCGGAGCTTGCAGTGAGCTGAGATCGTGCCACTGCACTCCAGCCTGGGCGACAGAGTGAGACTCCATCTCAAAAAAAAAAAAAAAAAAATCTTTACAGTGGCCAGGCGCGGTGGCTCACACCTGTAATCCCAACACTTTGGGAGGCCGAGGTGGGCGGATCACCTGAGGCCAGGAGTTGGAGACTAGTCTGGCCAACATGGTGAAACCCCGCCTCTACTAAAAAGACACAAAAATCAGCTGGGCTTGGTGGCGCATGCCTTAATCCCAACTACTCTGGAGGCTGAGGAAGGATAATTCATTGAACCTGGTAGGCAGAGCTTTCAGTGATCCGAGATCGCACCACTGCACTCCAGCCTGGGAGACAGAGTGAAACTCCATCTCAAAAAAAAAAAAAAAAAAAAAAATCTTGACAGCTCGGGAGAGACTGCCCATTGCAGGGCTAACCAATTCATAGAGATAGCTAAGGGTTTAGACCTTTCATATACAAATCAAAAAATCCTGAGCCCATATGCCCATCCACCTCCTTTGCTAACTCACACACACCAAGCCAGTATTTCCACTGCTCTAAATCATCCTAAGGATGAGTACTAGACAGCTAGAGACTATCCCTATACCCCAAAGCCTGAAAGGCTTATTCAGACTACCCAGCCCTAAAGTGTATGCTCTGTGCTGCCTTGCTTTCCCCCGAGAAACCCCAATAAAGGTTCTGGCATAGGTTGTCCCTTCCCTCCTGTTTGTGACTCCTGCCCGTGACTCCTGCCCGTGACTCCTGCCCTGGATGCTTCCCTTGGGGCCCCGTGTGTCACGGTGTACCTCCTTCTCTTGGGAAATGTAAATAATACATTCTTTTTTCAATGTCATTGACCTCTTTGCGTTGACATTCACCTCCACAAATTAAGATTCCACAGGAACAAGTGAGACAGTGATCTTGGGTGAGTCACTTACCTGGCTGGTTCCTTTTCCTCTCACAAATCATAATTTTACACCAGATGGTAGATAGCAGTTCTAGCACCATAAAATTGTATGATTCTTTTTACAAATTTACAATTTAATTACAGTTCTTTTGTTCCAGCTAAAATATCAGCTAAGGGAAAAAATCAGATAATTTTTGCTGTGAAAAGGGAAATAATTGGCCCCAAATGGGACCAGTCATCTGTGTACCTTTCCCCGCCAGGGTCCAAAGGCTGCAGACAGAGCCAGGTCTATACCCTGCTGGTGCTTTTTAAATAAGTTCCATAACCATGTCTGGGCTGGAGAGTAGTCACAACATGTCTCCGTCCCAGAGCTTGAGTTACCATGGACCTGGTCACCTGGGAGAAAGCTCACTGGACTCACCATTTGTGAACTGGGCCTGGGATCCAAGGACAGCAACAAGCATGAGGCAGGAGAGGGCAGCCACGGAGACCTTCATCCTCCTGGTGGGCAGGCAGGGCTGGCCGAGGACTCCTGGGCTCACTGCTTCCTGGCTCCCCGGGATACCAGCTCTGCCCTTGTATTTATAAGAAGAGGAGGATCCAGGAAGTCCCAGGGCAGAGGTCAGAATGCTCTTCTTTAGCTATATAATAGTTACCATGCAGTTTCTAAAAAGAGAACAAGGCTGAGAGTGCAACAGAAAGTAGAGGACAAAGATGACTTGAACTGTCCCTGTGGATTTCCCGAATTATCCCAATAGCTACAGGCAGATAAAAAAAAATGTTTCAAGGAAGAGTCTTCCCTCCAGGAGATTAATCTAATCCTCTAAGCCTGAGATAGGAGTGGGGGACTATCTTAGACTCTTGGATTCAGGATTGGGATGTGGTGAATGCTGCCTTTTTTCCCTTTCCAGTTCTATTCCTGTAGTTCCAACCAGGAGGTGTTAGCAGTGGTGAATCCATATCAGTCTGCAGCAGCCTCAGTTCTTGCCTCCTCAGAAGAAATAATTCAACTGAGGGGTATAAGGCAGAGTGAGAGACCGAGACAAGATTTAGAGCAGGAATGAAAGTAAAGAACACTTGGAAAAGTGCCAAGCAGGTGACTGGAGAGATTCAAGTGCCTGGTTTGACCTTTGGATTGGGGTTTTATATGCTGGCATTCCGCATGCGCAGTGGTCTGCCAGCACTAGGGAGGGGCTGCATGCACAGTGTGCTTACTGGAGTTGTACGCATGCTCACTTGAGGCATTCCTTCTTGACCAGTCAAGTGTTCCTAGGTCACATACCAGTTGAACTCTGCCATTTTGCCTCTTAGTGCACATACTTGAGCCTACTTGCCTGACTCCTGAGATCTTAATGGGAAACTGTTGATCACCAGTTTGAGATATTTCTATCTATTGGGAGACTGTCTTTGCTGGTGCTGGCTTTGACCAATTACTGTTTTAGAGAGACAGTGTAACAACTGCCTGACCATCATCTGATGGTTGTCTGACATTCATGGTGGGGCAGGGGGCTCTCCCGCCCTGCTCATGTCTGAATAACTACCTACTATGAAACAGGGATTTTTTTTTTTTTTGAGACGGAGTTTTGCTCTTGTTGCCCAGGCTGGAGTGCAGTGGTGCATTCTCACTCACTGCAAACTCCACCTTCTGGGTTCAAGCGATTCTCCTGCCTCAGCCTCCTGAGTAGATGGGATTACAGGCATGTGCCACCACACTCAGCTAATTTTGTATGTTTAGTAGAGACGGGGGTGTTCACCATATTAGTCAGGTTGGTCTCGAACTACTGACCTCAGGTGATCCACCTGCCTCGGCCTCCCAAACAAAGGGACTTCAAAGGTAAGAATGAGTCAAGCTGGCCACGAAAATGGAGAACTGGAAAATCTCAAGATTAGAGGCTAGAAGACCTTCCCAGGCACTGATGATGCCACGTCAAGTTCTAACCACCCCATCTTGGACCTTCAAGTGCCTCCAAAGCCTATGATAAAGGGTGGCCACCAGAGGGAATTCTCTAATCTGCGAACTTGGCTGTGATTTTTCAAACAGAATCTGCCAGTGGCTTCTCATGGACTTGAGTCAACTCCAAGGTTTGTGTATGAGTGTAGAAAGTCCTTCAGAATAGGGTTCTCCTTATATGCACAACTCCTCTAGTTTCTAATGTAATGGCATTTAAATGCATATTAAGTTTAAATAGTGATGCACCTATTAATTTAGATTTTATACTTTTTTCTTTTGGAGTTAATTTTTTTTTTCAGGACCCCAATACTAAATGCCTAATGGGTAAATTGGCCCTGTGCAATACTAATTCCTAGCAACCCATTAACTCTACTCAGCAGTCAGCTCTGCCAGAAAGACTTCTTGGCTGTCGCTCCCACGAGGCTGGGCCAGGTGTCCCTTTTCAGTGTTTCTGGTACAGCATCTATCTGGTACTTAAATCTACGATAGCACCAGTCACATTCTATTTTAAGTGCTTATTTATTTAATGGCTCTCCTCATTCCCCCGCCCCCATACAACAGGCTGTGTGTGTGTGTGTGTGTGTGTGTGTGAGACATTAAAAAAAAACATGGCCAGGTACAGTGGCTCATGCCTGTAATCCCAGCACTTAAGCTTGAGCTCAGGAGTTCCAGACCATCCTAAGCAACAAAGCGAGACCTCATTTCTACAAAAAAAAAAAAACAGGCTTGGTGGCACGGGCCTGCAGTCCCAGTTACTTGAGAGGCTGAGGCAGGAGGATTTCTTGTGCTTGGGCGTGCTGCAGGCTGCAGTGACCTATGATCACACCACTGTACTCCAGCCTGGGTGACAGAGTGAGACCCTGTGTCAAAACAAAACAAATCAGCCACATAACATGAGATTTACCCCCTTAACAAACTTCCAAGTGTGCAGTTACAAGGTCCTTGAAGAATGTCTCCAACGGTGAGATAGATACCGTACCTGCTGCACAAAAACCATCGCATTGCAGTAAAGAGTTATTACTCAGATCAATCTCATCGAAGGCTCACAGGTTAAAAGTTTTTGAAAGGTAGTTTGGGGGAGGAGATGAATGTGGCTAGGCAAAGGGAGCTTGCTGCTGACTGCTTGGGGGGTGCAATCATAGAGGTGTGGGAAATTCACCTCCTGTAGGCTGAATGGCTTCTGGGTGGTGCCGCAGGAGCTGTTGGTGGGTCCAGGTGGAACCATCATCAGTATCTCAATGCAAAAAAAAACCTGAAAAGGTATCTCAGAAGGCCAAACTTAGGTTCTACAGTAGTGATGTTATCTGCAGGAGAAATTGGGAAGTTGCATATCTTGTGACCTCCACAATAATGGCTGGCAATCATTTATGTCTGCACTTTCACCTTAGCAAAATTCAGGCTCCTCTATCCTCCTAGCCTGGTAGTCTCTCATTAGCTTTACAAAAGTGGTTGAGTTTTGGGGAAGGGCTAATCATCTAAACTATAAACTAAATGTCTGGCAGCTTGAAAGCTAAAGGCAAGAAGAGAGTGGGCTAGATCAGATCTTCCCATTGTCATGGTTTTCTCACTGTTATAATTTTTGCAAAGTTGGTTTCATTAGTATAAAACAAATGGTGTGAGTCTGCAAGTACAAATGCAGAATGATGATAATGAAAGGAAGACAAGTATTACTCTCTTGGTTAATAAGAAAAAAGGTTGCTAAAAACCTTAGCCAAATTAAATTTAACAGAGTTTAACTGAGCAAAGAACAATTTGCGAATAAGGAAGCCTCTTGAGCCAGAGTAGGTTCATAGAGACTCCAGCACAGCCACGTGGTAGAAGATTTATAGACAGAAAAAGAAAAGTGATCACAGGAAATGGAAGTGAGGTACAGCAACAGCTGAATTTATTACAGCTGGGTGTTTACCTTATTCAAACATGGTTTGAATAGGTGGTCCCCTTTGACTGGACAAAACTCAGTGATTGGCACGAGAGTAGGTTACAGCCTGTTTACACCTCGATTCAGGTTACAGTTCACTATGTACAGATTAGGCTGAACTTAAAATAAGTGAGAAGGCAGCTTTAGGCTAAAGTTGATTTAACAAGGTCAATTAAAAATTGCTGGAAAATAAGAATCTACATGAGGTTATCATGGGTTAAATATTAAGTAAATGACAATGTTGTGTCATCTGGGCAAATGATAAAAGACAGTTTTTATTTTTGTTTTTTAATTTTTTTCTTGAGCTAGGTCTTGCTCTGTCACCCAGACTGGGATGCAGTGGCTTGATCATAGCTCACTGTAACCTCCAACTCCTGGGCTCAAGTGATCCTCCCACCTCAGCCTCCCAAAGTACTGGGATTACAGATGTGAGCCACCACACCCAGCCAAAACACCGTTTCCTAAACTGTAGTTAAAACTTCAAGATTAGCTCTTTTAGTAGGGAGGATATAAGATGTAATATGAATTTGTGTTTACTTTCTTAAGGGTTATAATAATTTCAAGCTTTTATCACCTTCTCAGGGCATTTTTCTAACACAGTTGTGATTTAGTGTTATAAAAGTTATTTGGTTATTGATCAGTTTTCTCCTGTTGATTTCTTAGACAAATCACACTAAAAGTAAGCATAGAGCTTAAACTTTTTTTTAAATAAAAAATGTTTTGTTGTTTGGAATTGTTTAGAATTCAGTGCTGTCTTTTGAATTTTATGAGACAGTTTTCCAAGGTGTACTAATTATACATATAAATTTATATACTTTAATAGAGATGTATATAAAATTAATATTAACTATATCTTTAAATGTTTTTCTTAATGTTCTTTAAGTTTAGAGGCGAAATCTCTTAGAAATTGTTACTGTAGGTAGCTAGTCATACATAAACAGGGCAGGAGAGGCTCCTCCCAACCAGGAATGTCAGGTGACCATCAGGTGATGGTCAGGAGGTTGTTAACTGTCTCTCTAGAATAATAATTGGTTGCAGCCAGCACCAGGGAAAGGCAATGTGCCTATAGATAGAAAAAACCTGAAAATGGTCATCAGCATCTTCCTGGTAAGATCCCAGGAGTTGGGCGAGTGAGCTCATGCATGCGCGTCAAGAGGCAAAATGGTGGAGTTTAACTCATCTAGGACCTTCTGGGGGCATTCCATCAGTAAAGGGAAGAACACCTCAAGTGAGCATGCGTACAGCTCCAGTAAACACACTGCATATGCTCCCCTCCCAAGTAGGGCATTGTGCTAGTGCTTCCTACCCCAAGGGAAGAATCAGGGGAGAAGGGACCCAAGACCCCAGAAGTATGCCAACATGTAAAACCCTGATTCAAAAGGTCAAACCCCACACCTGACCTCCAAAATGTCTGCTTGGCCTGCTTCCAAACGTACTTTACTTTCTTTTTATTCCTGCTCTAAATCTTCTCTCTCTCTCTCTTTTTTTTGAGATGGAGTCTCACTCTGTCACCCAGGCTGGAGTGTAGTGGCGTGGTCTCAGCTCACTGCAACCTCTGCCTCCTGGGCTCAAGCAATTCTCCTGTCTCAGCCTCCCGAGTAGCTTGGGTTACAGGCACCTGCCACTACACCCAGCTAATTTTTATTAGAGATGGTGTTTCACCATGTTGAACAGGCTGGTCTCAAACTCCTGACTTCAAGTGATTCTCCCACCTAGGCCTCACAAAGTGCTGGGATTACAGGTATGAGCCACCACGCCCGGCCTGTACAGCTTCTTAATAAACTTTCACTCCTGCTCTAACACTTGCCTCAGTCTCTTCTCACTTAGGCCCCTCATTTGAATTCTTTTTCCTGAGGAGGGAAGAATTGAGGTTGCTGCAGACCTGTACAGATTTGCCACCCGTAACTCGAATAACTTCCTCTGCTAACTAAATTTATATCTAATAAAAAACTTAGAAATAGATAAAAGGGTCCAGGCGCAGTGGCTCCCACCTGTAATCCTAGCACTTTGGGAGGCCGAGGCGGGCGGATCACAAGGTCAGGAGTTTGAGACCAGCCTGGCCAACATGGTGAAACCCTGTCTCTACTAAAAATACGAAAATTATCTGGGCATGGCGGCATGCGCCTGTAATCCCAGCTACTAGAGAGGCTGAGGCAGGAGAATTGCTTGAACCCGGGAGGCGGAGGTTGTAGTGAGCTGAGACTGCACCGCTGCACTCCAGCCTGGGTGACAGAGCAAGACTCTGTCTCAAAAAAAAAAAAAAAAAAAAAAACAGGTAAAAGGATGACTGCATGGTTTTCAAGGTCATATTACAATGTTGACTAACAGGCCCAACCCGGCATTCCTTAAATCTGTAGGGGAATGAACTTTTGATTGATTTCTGTTTACCATTGATCAGGCCCTAGATTCTGAGAAAGTACATGTTAAATTTTAAACTTGTGTGTAGCCAGATGCAAATGATTTCTGTCTATTAAAAAAGATAATCCCAGAGGTTACAGGTTTTTTTATTGCCCTATCCACAGGATATTAATGTGTGCTCTAATTTAACAAACTTATTTCAGAACGTCATCCCCAGTAAACTATACAAATCTCTGTTACTCAAATGATCTTTGAATTATTTTAATAGTTCTCTCACTAATGAGTTAAATACATCTTTGATGCATATTCAATCTAAATTGGATGAGTAATATTTTTAGTTTTGTAAAAATTGTATTATGATGTCCCTTGTTTTGAAGATAATGATTATCCAAAGTTCAGTAATTCCTTTAGTTTCTTTTTCCTCTTAAAATTCAAGTAAAGGCTGGGCATGGTGGCTCACACCTGTAATACCAGTACTTTGGGAGGCTGAGGCAGGAGGATCGCTTGAGCCTAAGAGATCAAGACCAGCCTGGGCAACATAATCAGATCCTGTCTCTTCAACAAATAAGAATTAGTGGAGTATGGTGGCATGTACCTGTAGTCCCAGTTGATATGGACGGGAGGCAGAGAAACACTGGGTAGAAGAGGGCAGTTCCCTGGCAAATGCCCCACCCTCAAGCCTGGGAACCCACGCCCCTAAATTGGAACAGGCATTCCTGTTTTTGCACCCAAATGTTGCCTTTTCCAAGACTACTCTGGCCTGCCACGCCCCTATCCTGTGTCCATATGACAGCTAGGCCTCCATGAAGGGAAAGAGAGCCCATATTACTTTTACCCAAAGGAAAGAGAGAGGCGGCAGGATCTTGGAAAAGAGACAGATCCAATAGTTCTGCCTCTTTACCTCTTAAACCCCAAACTCCATGAGCAGAGGAACAGAACGGCAGTGGCAGAGAAGGAGAGACGAGAAGGAGCGTCTGAATGTCAGGAGAAGTTCGGCTGGGGACAGTTGAAGAGGAGATCAGCCGCGGGATGGCTGAACTCCAAGGGAAGATCATCTTCCCACTCCATCCATTCTCCAGCTCCCCATTCATCCCATAAGAGCCACATCCATAACTCATTAAAATCTCCACATTCACCATCGTTCAAGTCTTCTTGAACGATGACCTGATTCTTCCAGGATGTCAGACAAGGACCTGGGTACCAAGAGGGCAGGGTATAAAAGGCTGTCACCCTGACTCTCCACTGAGACGAAGTAGCCGTCTGCAGATAGCAACTGCTAAAAGAGTATTAATTGTAACACACCTTTGGATGCTACCATGGGGCCAGAGCCCAAAAGTGCTTGCCCCAGCTCCTGCACCTTCCCATCTGTGTGTTCCCCCTCCTATAAGGGGTAAAGTGTGTGACAGTGGAGCAAATGAGCCACACCCCTGTCGCAAGTCCCGTGAGGGGGTCAGGGAACTCTCCCATTTCATCTGGGGGCTCGTCTGGGATACAGCACAAGGATGAGTACAGATTTAGAACTGTCGGATCTGCCTCTTTTCCAAGATTCTGCCACCTCTCTTTTTCCTTTGGGTAAAAGGAATATTGGCTCTGTTTCTCTTCATGGAGGTCTAGCTGTTGCACGGGATGGAATAAAGTCCTGGGGCAACAGAAGCCATCTTTTGTTGCTGGAAGGCTCCAAGACTGAACTCTGTAGGCCAAGAACCCCAGACTTTGCTGTGGTATCTTCTTTCATGGCTTGAAATGGCTCCTATCTCTTCTTTTATAGTATTAAGGGCTTTGCTGCAACTACCGAGATGTTACTAAGTACAAGGTATGCTTGGTTCAGCCATCAGATGTGCAATTCACAACAATGTAGTTTCTGTTTCTTCTTAGAGGTGCCATCCCCAGCCGCAGGTGTGCGCAGTGCATGAGTGACTCCCCTCCTTCTCCCTTCCCCTCCTTTTCCCCTCCCCGCCTTCTCCCCTCTCCTCCCAGCTCTGCACATGAGCTGCACCCAGTGGCCACGAGGGGCGGGAGAAAACCTTGGCTGCCGCTGGGGCCCTAGTGCAGCTGGCTGGCCGGTGCCTCCCACTCACTGCACCAGCAGAGCCTCTCCTCCCATGGTTGAGGGGTCCTTACTGGTCTGAACCAGGGGCGGAATACAATAAAGGAACCCATTTGCACAGAGCAAGAAGTTCCTTCCCTCTTTTTTAGTAGTATAAGCGGTTTCCTTTTTCTTTTCTAAGTGAGAGGGTTCCTTTCCCCGGCACGCTGCTTTTAATAGGGAAAATAACAGAGGAGCGACCCCTGCTGGCCAATAGCTGCAAATTCGGCAGGGCCCCTTTGAGACTTGATCTAAACAGATTCATGCAGCCCCTGAAATACCTTTTTTGTCTGAAACTCAATTCCAGCCTTCAGGTTGAGGCCCTAGAAAGGAAAACCAGATCTGAGGGATCCAAAGCCTGGCAACAGGCACAATGTAAATGGGAAGGGCCAATTCCTGCTGACTAAAACCTTGCTTCATGAAAGGAGGCCATGCTCCATGACATAGATGAGGCCCAGGGAACTCAAAGGTTGTTGGCAGCAAGGGAAATAGGGCATAATGTGTAAGAGTGGATACTCTCACCCCCCCAGGCCCCCCTGTTAACATGAGTAAAAGCCGCTTCAGCACCCATGGGTGGCATCTGCCAAGGTCACTGGTACATGGGGACAAAAAGACAGAAAACGGGGATGCCTGCTTTCTCTCCATCAAACCCTGAGTTATCACTAAAAGAAGGGAAGGAAATGAGGGTCACCTCTATTTCTTGTCTTTCAGAATGGGCGATCAGCTGTCTTCACCACCCCCAGCTTATACTCCTCTAGAGTGTATCCTGAACCACTGGGACTGCTTTGACCCTCAGACTCTGGAGGAAAATGGCTCATAGCCCTCTGCACAAAGGTTTGGGCAAATTATGAAGGACTGGCTTGGCCTCAGGAAGAAACCATTCATTTCGATATCATCCAGCAGTTGGAGCTTTTCTGTAAACGTGAGGGCAAATGCTCTGAGGCCCATATGTGCAGGCTTTCTATACCGTGCAGGGCAATCCAGACCTTAGCTGACAATGTAGAATTAATCCAGACCGGTTTGCCATCTCGGGAGAGGCTGCAAGGGGCAATCCCAGGGAACCAAAAAAACAAATCCCAGAGGCATCCCCAGCAGAGGAGCCAGCTCCCTCCAGCCCTGCTCCGCCAGGTCCACCCCATCCCCCCTATCCAGCTTCAGTCTCTCACTTGCCCCCTCCTAGAAATTCTCACCCTAGACAAGCCCCAGTCTCATTCTTTCCCCTCCAACAGATGCCTGGTGAATTTACCCCATAAGGTCCAGGTACTCTTCTCTCTACAGAACTTGAAGCAAATTGAGGGGGATCTTGGCAAGTTTTCAGATGACCCTGAGAGATATATAGAGGCTTTTCAGAACTTAACCCAAGTATTTGAGCTCTCCTAGGAAGACGTCATGTTACTTTGAACCAAACCCTGACTAACACTGAGAAGCAGGCCACTCTGCAAGTGACAGAGAGATCTGGGGATGAGGTTTGTATCATACGTAGCACCCAGGAAAGGGGGTGAATATTATCCAACTGGAAGAGAAGGAGTATCAATGAATGTCCCTAAATGGGATCCCAATGACAAGATGGGAGAATGCAAGAGGAGAGTTTCAGGTGTGCATAATAGAGGGCTTTTGTAGGATTAGAACTAAGCCTCTCTACTATATCAAGATATCCATGAGAGACCAGGGATTTAATGAAAATCCCACTGCCTTCTTGGGGAGGCTAAGAGGGACCTTTGTAAAGCATAGGTCTCTGTGTCCCGATTCCATCATGGGACAACTAATCCTAAATGATAAATGTATTACTCAGGCAGCCCCTGATATCAGAGGGAAGTTGCAGAAATGGGCCCTGGCGTCGGGGAGTACTTTAGGAGACCTCCTGAAAGAGGCCACCTTGGTCTTTTACAGTACAGATAGGGAGACACAAGAAAGAGGCAGAAGCTTTAAGGGTCACCATGCAAACCCACAAACCCCAGAATTCCTAAGGTGCATCTGTTAACTCCTACAGATGTGGCAAGAACAGTTATCTCTCTTCTAAAATTTAACCACACCCATGCAAGTCTTAATTTCTTTCACTAAGGTGAAACAGCTCAGGGTACAATGTTGTTAGTATATTACACTTCCTATTTCGGTAATCTTTGGTGGCAAGAACAGTTATCTCTCTTCTAAAATTTAACCACACCCATACAAGTCTTAATTTCTTTCACCAGGGTGAAACAGCTCAGGGTACAATGTTGTGAGTATGTTACATTTCCTATTTCTGTAATCTTTGGCACTAGATTATTTCTTTGTATAATACACGTTTAACCCATGCATACTTAACACCTTATAAAACTTGTTTTTTTCTCTCAAATTTGAGGTCATGAAAATCCAAATGGTCAGGCAACCGGAGCCTTGGATGATGACTCCCTTTCCCCAGGGATCCTTAGATAGACCTCTGGGAGGAATCTGACTTCTGTTTTCCCCAAAAACAATGTCCTCTGTCAGCAGGAAGTAGCTAAGATAGGTCATTGTCCATATTCTAATGGCAATTAGATGGGCCTCTTAGAGGGTGGAAATGATACAGATACAGGCAAGGAAATACTGGGTAGAAGAGGGCAGTTCCCCAACAAAGGCCCACCCTGAAGCCTGGAAATCCATGGCCCTAAATGGGAGCAAGCATTCCCATTTTCATGCCCAAATGTTGCCTTTTCCAAGACCACTCTGGCCTGCCACACCCCTATCCTGTGCCCATATAAACCCCAAGCTCTACAAGCAGAGGAACAGAAGAGCAGCAGAGTAGCAAAATGGCATGGCAGAGGAGAGAAGAGAAGGAGCATCTGAATGTCAGGAGGAGTTCGGCTGAGGACGGTTGGAAAGCAGATAAGCCGGGGATGGCTGAACTCCAGGGGAAGATCATCTTCCCACTCCATCCCCTTTCCAGCTCCACATCCATTCCTCTGAGAGCCAACTCCATCACTCAGTAAAATCCCCACCTTCACTATCCTTCAGGTTGATGTGACCTGATTCTTCCTAGATGCCAGACAAAGACGGATACCAAGAGAGCAGAATATAAAAGGCTGTCACCCTGACTCTCCACTGAGTGGAATAGCCATCCACGAAAAGCAACTGCTAAAGAGCACTAATTGTAACACACCCCTAGATGCTACCATGGGGATGGAGCCCAAAAGCGCTCGCCCTGGCTCCTGCACCTGCCTGTCTGCATGTTCCCCCTCCCACAGGGGATTTGAACGTGCAGCAGCCTTGCAAATGAGCCACACCCCGTCACAAGTCCTGTGAGGAAGTCAGGGAACTCTCCTCTGTTAGCCCAAGTGGCGCCATCAAGTAAACCCCTGCCATTTTGTACACCCTGATCAGGGAGGAAACTTCCATAGGGGCTCAGGCCATGAAAAGCATTTTGCCAAGCAGATCCCAGGCCACACTGCCTGACTGCAGGAAATGGCTCCCTTATTACATCCTGCCAGGCAGCTAGCCACACTGCCCCACCTCCCCTGTCCAGACCTATAATTGCCCCAGTCTGTACGCAGGACGGGGGCTCCAGCACTCGCTGGTGTTCCCCTTCCACAGGTTTCTCTGTCCAATAAACCTATGTTGCTGTCGAGCTTCCCCACCTTGTATGTCTCTTTTCTCTGTCCTAACACCCTGTTTCACAGCTACTTGTGGGGCTGAGGTAGGTGGGTTACTTGAGCCCAGGAGATTAGGCTGCAGTGAGCCAAGATGTACCAGTGCACTCCAGCCTGGGTGACAGAGACCCTATCACACAAAAAAAGTGAGAAACTGTTTATTAGATGAATTGCTCTAAATCCAGAACACAAGAATAAATGCTTCTTAAAAAAATAATTCAGGAAGGTAGTTGAGGCAAGAAAGTTGGTGGCTGGCAACTTGTGTCCCTTCACCTTGACAAGTTCAATTCTTCCTGGTCTTGATCCGTGTGTCCAGCTTCAGCATTCTCATGCAAACCTGAACTTGCTTATCACTGGGGTTGGCACAGAAACGTCGCCCCTTCTTGGTGAGGAAGCTAGGGAACAAGGGGGAGAAAAGTTACAAACTGAGGTGTGTCCAGCACATGGGGACAGGGGGCCCCATTCTCCCTGCCCCTCAGATTTCCCAGTCAATATAGCCAGTTTTTTTTTCTTTTTTTTTTCATTCTCTGCTGATGGCAGCTCAGGGCCATTGTGCTCTTGAGACCCCCTCAGCCTGTGGGACTCCCTAGTGACTCATGGGAGCATCCTTGGGCAGACTTGTGCCTGCTTTCTTCTTCCTTCCCCACCCTTTTCCCCCTGGGAGTGTCTCATCCCCGATGCCCTGCAGGATCTTCCTAAGGACACAGCTGCCCCATACCTGGCAGGATCCAGAGGGTGGGCCCTGATGGACACCAGTCTATCAGGTCCTCCCTGCAAGATGCTACAGAGTCCTTCTCCCTCAACACATGTTTGGTGAGCTTGGCACCTACATGACACCCGGCTTGGAGCACTCGCTGTTCGTTTCAAAGTAACTCTCCAGGAGTGAACACGGGATGCTTCGTGGGGTGTAGGAGATGCAGCAGTCAGCACTAGTAGCATGGAATCCTGCAGCATGAGAAAGGGTCATCTGAGGACCAATCTTTCTCCTCCAGAGCACTGTGGAGGGTGAGAAGGCACATGGCTCAGAAGAGATGTTTCCTCCTCCGTGACCAGCACTTGCTGGCATCTCCCTGCTTCAGACCCTCATCAGAGTTGAGCTGTGTGTCTGAGGGCACTCAGGGTGGGCCAGAGCAGGACCAGGAAAATTTCCCCTAGAAGGGGAAGGCATCTGCAGACACCTGCAGGCATCAGAGAGCACCTTCTGCCCCAAAGGAGCAGACTCTTGGGGCAGCCAGAGGGGAACAGAGAAGGCATCTATGGAGGGGGTTCCCATAGCCCGTCCTGATCTTCCTTGGAGATGTTCACCACCCTCAGGACCCTCTCATTCTCCTCCCATTCTGTAAACAGGGACAATGGATCCCATAGTGCAGACCTGCACCTGCTGGCTGCTTTTAAATATATGCCGTATCTGATCACTTACTGTCCAGAAGTACTGGATTTTCCAATGGAAGCTTTGACATCATGAACTCTGTCTCTGCATCTGGAAGAAGCAGACAGGACAGGGAAGGAAATCACTGGGCGGCAGCATTGTTTCAGCATCTCCACCCACCCCATTGCTCATCCTCCTCCTGAGGCAGAAAGGTCCCTGAAGCTGGACCACCACCACCTGTCTGGGCTCTAGGCCTGACTCCTGGCCCATTTATTCCTTTAGGGCCCTGAGATTTTTCAGGGACCTTTTGAAAATGTAGACATGAAAACACTGTGTTGACTCTGAAATACTAAAAGAAACCTCAAAATCTAACATGGTTCAGTTAATGGAATGTCTACATGATGTGACACAGTCTACAAGTCTCTCTACACATTTCTGGAATCCACAGGGCTCTGGAAACAGAGAGGTGTTCATCAGCTCATATGGTGGCACAGTATCCCTTTAAGTGAAGTGCAGCTATTATGGTCATTATTTATCCCAGTTAGTAGAAATATTCATGTGTTTGTTACAGGAGGTTGCTGTGTTTGATTAAAATACTGTTCCCAGGCCTCATCAGGGATAAGTACCATCAATATATGTTTAAGTTTTTTACTAAATCATTTTTAAATCGTGGTTATATATATATATATATAACGTAAAATTTGCCATTTGAACTATTTTAAGTATACAGTTCAATAGCATCAAATACACTCAAATAACTATGCAGTTTTCACGGCCGTTCATTCATTTTGTGAAACTGAAACTCTGTATTCATTAAACAACAACTCCTCATGCTTCCTCCCCTTAATCCCTGACAATCACTATCTGTGTCGTGTCTCTGTGGATTTGACTAAGTACCTCATGTGAGTGGAATCATACACTATTTGTCCTTTTGTGACTGGTTTATTTCACTTAGCATAATGTCCTTGATGTTTATCCATGTTGTAGCATGTGTCAGAATCTCCTTACTTAAATTTTTATTTTTTCTTACTTCAACATTCAAGGGAATCTCCTTACTTTTTGAGGCCAAATAGATTCCATTGTATGTATGAACCACACTTTGTTTATCTACTAACCTTTTGATGGGCACTTAGTTTGCTTCTACTTTTTGGCTACCGTCATCAATAATGCTGCTATGAATATGGGTGTATAAAAATCAATTCATGTACCTGCTTTGAATTATTTTGGATATATACCCAGAAATAGAATTGCTGCATCATATCATATTAACTTTTTAAAACCTGAGAAATTCTGCATTCCAAAATTCATCTAGCGCCAAGTGCTTTGGAAATGGGATTGTGGAGCTGCCTTATGCTTGTTAGGCAAATGAAACTAAGCTTTAAACATTTTTCCTTTCTTTTAAATTTTAATCCTTAAAGTTAGTTTATTTCCACAATTGACTGTCTCACAGAATAAAGCTAGCCTTAAAATTTGGCCGGGTGCGGTGGCTCACGCCTGTAATCCCAGCACTTTGGGAGGCCAAGGCGGGCGGATCACTTGAGGTCAGGAGTTTGAGACCAGCCTGGCCAACATGTTGAAATCCCGTCTCTACTAAAAAAAAAAAATACAAAAATTAGCTAGGCATGGTGGCATGTGCCTGTAATCGCAGCTACTAGGGAGGCTGAGGCAGGAGAATCGTTTGAACCCAGGAGGTAGAGGTTGCAGTGAGCCAAGATGGTGCCACTGTACTCCAGCCTGGGCCACAGAATGAGACTCCAACTCAAAATAAAATAAAATATAATAAATATTTACTTTTAATATAATTTAATAACTATTAAATATATTTTAAATATAATGTAATAACTATTAAATAGACTTTTTCTTTTTTTAAAGTTAAATTAAATTAAATTTTATTTGACTTTAAGTTCTGGTATACCTGTGCTGAACGCGCAGGTTCATTACATAGGTATACATGTGCCATGGTGGTTTGCTGTACCTATCAACCCATCATCTAGGGCTGCTGCATGCACCAGGTATTTGTCCTAATGCTCTCCCTCCTTTTACCCTCCACTCCCCGATAGGCCCCAGTGTGTGATGTTCCCCTCCCTGTGTCCATGCATTCTCAGTGTTCAACTCCCACTTACGAGTGAGAACATGTGGTGTTTGGCTTTCTGTTTCTGTGTTAGTTTGCTGAGGATGATGGTTTCCGGCTTTATCCATGTCCCTGCAAAGGACATGAATTCATTTCTTTTTATGGCTGCATAGTATTCCATGGTGTATATGTGCCACATTGTCTTTATCCAGTCTATCATTGATGGGCATTTGGGTTGGTTTCAAGTCTTTGCTATTGTGATTAGTGCTGCAATAAAGATACATGTGCATGTGTCTTTTAATATAATATATGTGTACTTTTCATATATTTAAAAATAAATATACTTTTAATATAATTTAATGACTATATTAAATATCTTTTAATATAATTTAATAAGGATATTAAATATACTTTTAATATAATTTAATGACTATGCATTTAATATAATTTAACAATTATATTAAATATACTATTAATAATTTTAAAGCTGGCTTTAAAGTTGATATTTACTTAACATTTTGAAACATAAAGACTTGGCAATAACGATTCAGCTGCCGAATTAGTCCCCCAATTGCTTTCCAGTGTTTTCAACTTATTTCTTATATGGTTACATTAAATGAATTATATGTAATGAGACATGTGGGTATATTTTAATATGCTCAATATGGTTTGGGTAAGGTAAAAAAAAGATCTTAAATGGCCTTGTCGTTCCATAACTACTTCCTAATTAGCTCATATTTTAATTCCACCGCTTAATAGTTGTGTGATCTACCAAGTTATCTAAGGTTCTGTGCCTCAGTTTTCTCATTTGTAAAATGTCAATAATAATAATATGAAAAACCATATAAAAGTTGATGTTTTGTTTCTTCCCTACAAAAGTAAAAAATTTGCATTTTTTAAAATCTAATACATATCCCACAGGGTTGTTAGGTGGAACTGATGTGTTAATATCTGTAAGACACTTAGAACAGTGCCTGCCCTGTACATAGGAAGTACTAGAAGTGCATTTGTTAAACAAAAAAATACGATGGTTAGGTGACCTTGGTTGAGTCATTTGTGTGGCTTGTTCCATTTCTTCTCCAAAATGATATGATAGATACTACTAGATGGTATGTAACAGTTTTAGCATCATACAATTCTATGCTTCTTTCTACAAATTTGTAATTTTACTACACTTCTTTTAATCTAGCACTTAATAGTCCTATGTCTGCTAAGGGAAGGTATCAAATAATTTTTGCTGTGAAAAGGGAAATGATTGGCCCCACATTGGACCAGCCATATGTGTATATTCCCCTCCCAGGGTCCAAAGCCTGCAGACAGAACCAGGTCTATACTCTGGTGCTGCTTTTAAATGAGTACCATGACCACGTCTGGGATGGAGAGTAGTTACAGGAGGGCAATGTGTCTCTGCCACAGAGCTTGAGTTACCATGAACCTGGTCATCTGAGAGAAAGCTCACTGGACTCACCTTTTGTGACCCGGGCCTGGGATCCAAGGGCAGTAACAAGCATGAGGCAGGAGAGGGCAGCCACGGAGACCTTCATCCTCCTGGTGGGCAGGCAGGGCTGGCCGAGGACTCCTGGGCTCACTGCTTCCTGGCTTCTCGGGATGCCAGTTCTGCCCTTGTATTTATAAGAAGAAGAGGAAGTTACAGGGCAGAGGTCAGAATGCTGTTTTTTGACTTATGATAGTTAACAGGCTCTTTCTAAAAAGGAAACAAGGCTGAGAATGCAATAGGAAGTAGACGACAAAGATGACTTGGACTGTCCTTGTGGACTTCCCGAGTTGTTCCAATAAGTACAGGCAGAGAGAGCAAATACTTTATGATGGATACTTCCCTCTGGGAGATTCATTCATCCTCTAAACAGTGGAGTTTTTTTTCCTCAGGAGCTAACCACCTTCAGATGCTCAAATAGCCTGTACACATGGGGACCACCAGAGAGAACACTTCAACTTGTAGAGCTGTGATCTCTGCTGGTAAACACAGCTCATACGACATCCCGTAATGTACAGCCCATGATGTGTACTCACACAGCATGATTGTCTAGCATAAGCTGAGCTACTCTAGAATATAATGGGGAGAGTGTAGGGCAAGGATGAGCACATGGGAGCTAAAATGTCGCCTTGTTGGGGTAGCCTGCCTTCCTTCTCAGCCCTGCGCTTAGTCTCTGGGAAAGGAATAGTCCTCGTCCAGTGTCTGGAGATATCCTTGACTCCTCTGTTTATCTCATACCCCATATCTAATTCATTAATAAGTATTTTTGGCCCTAATTCCAAAAATATAGCCAGAATCTTATTATTCCTTCAAAAGAAAACTCCCATTTATTCTCTACTACTATTCTCAATGCTTCACTTCTGAGACTACCTGGTGTTAGCATAGACCACACAGGTTAAGGGCTCGGTCCCGTGAGGCTGGCAACACTTCAGATGCCAATCTCAAATAGTGGGTCCCCAGGTTACCCACAACTTCTGTTTGACTTGGCTACACATCAGAATTTCCCAAGACCCCCTCCTCAGATTCCATAATTACTAAAGTAGCTCTCAGAACTCAGAAGAACAGTTTACTTACAGGGTTATATTATAAAGCATACAACTCAGGAACAGCCAGGTCAATGAGATGCATAGGGAAAGGCATGGGGAGTGGGTTTGGAGCTTCTGTGTCCTCTCCAGGTGTACCATCCTCTCAGTGCCTCCACTGAACACTGTTCCAAGTTCACCAACCTGGAAACTCTCTAAACCCCATTCTGTTAGGTTTTTATGGAAGATTTATTACATAAGCATGATTGATTAAATCATTAACCATTAGTAATCAGATCAATCTCCAGCCTCTCTCCCCTCCCTGGAGTTTAGGGGTAGAGGCTGAAATTTCCAATCCTTTCATGGTTGGCTCCCATGGCAACCAGTTCTCATCCCTAAGGCTTTCCAAAAGTCACTTCATTGACATAAACTCAGGTGTGGTAGGAACTACTTGTCCAGACTTCCAGGTTGTACGTGCCTGAGTAATGAGCTGATCCTTCTTATACCTCAGCATCAGAGAATCCCCGGTGCAGGAAAAGTGGGGTGTGCATGATGGACAAGGTGAGGTGCTGTCAGATTATACCGTCTTGAGCTGGGCAGAGCCTGGGTGCAACTGGCTGCTGTAGTGGTGGCTAGAGTCAGAGATAAAGCTGATAGAATGGAAGTGGTGTACAGAGGAGCCTGACACAGTATTAGATGCATATTTTTTTAGTGAAAGAATATAAGGAATAGATTTCACAATATTCACCAATCAGTATGTTGATTACACAACATATTGTCATTTCTTGACAGGGATTGCTTTCAGCTTTTGCTCATTCAGTATGATTTTGGCTGTGGGTTTGTCATAAACAGCTCTTATTATTTTGAGATATGTTCCATCAATGCTAGTTTATTGAGTGTTTTTAGCATGAAGTGTTGTTGAATTTTATCGAAGACCTTTTCTGCATCTATTGAGATAATCATGTGGTTTTTGTCATTGGTTCTGTTTATGTGATGGATTACATTTATTGACTTGCATATGTTGAATCAGCCTTGCATCCCAGGGATGAAGCCATGGATAAGCTTTTTAATGTGCTGCTGGATTTGGTTTGCCAGTATTTTATTGAGGATTTTTGCAATGATGTTCATCAGGGATATTGGCCAGAAATTTCCTTTGTTGTTGTTGTTGTTTTGTCTTTGCCAGGTTTTGGTATCAGGATGATGCTGGCCTCATAAAATGAGTTAGGGAGGAGTCCCTCTTTTTCTGTTGATTGGAATAATTTCAGAAGGAATGGTACCAGCTCCTCTTTGTACCTCTGGTAGAATTCGGCTGTGAATCCATCTGGTCCTGTGCTTTTTTTGGTTGGTAGGCTATCAATTACTGCCTCAATTTCAGAACTCGTTATTGGTCTATTCAGGGATTCAACTTCTTCCTGGTTTAGTCTTGGGAGGGTGTATGTGTCTAGGAATTTATCCATTTCTTCTAGATTTTCTGGTTTATTTGCATAGAGGTGTTTATCGTATTCTCTGATGGCAGTTTGTATTTCTGTGGGATCAGTGGTGATATCCCCTTTATCATTTTTTATTGTGT
The DNA here is from genome assembly GCF_000001405.40 of Homo sapiens. Lineage (NCBI taxonomy): Eukaryota > Metazoa > Chordata > Mammalia > Primates > Hominidae > Homo > Homo sapiens. The sequence continues at coordinate 36,020,441 of NC_000017.11, forward strand.
CTATTTGATTCTTCTCTCTTTTCTTTTTTATTAGTCTGGCTAGCAGTCTATCTATTTTGTTAATCTTTTCAAAAAACCAGCACCTGGATTCATTGATTTTTTGCAGGGTTTTTTGTGTCTCTATCTCCTTCAGTTCTGCTCTGATCTTAGTTATTTCTTGTCTTCTGTTAGCTTTCGAATTTGTTTGCTCTTGCTTCTCTAGTTCTTTTAATTGTGATGTTAGGGTGTCAATTTTGGATCTTTCCCACTTTCTAATGTGGACATTTAGTGCTATAAATTTCCCTCTAAACACTACTTTTGCCGTGTCCCAGAGATTCTGGTACGTTGTGTCTTTGTTCCCATTGGTTTCAAAGAACTTATTTATTTCTGCCTTAACTTTGTTGTTTACCCAGTAGTCATTCAGGAGCAGGTTGTTCAGTTTCCATGTAGTTGTGCAGTTTTGAGTGAGTTTCTTAATCCTGAGTTCTAATTTGATTGCACTGTGGTCTGAGAGACTGTTATGATTTCTGTTCTTTTGCACTTGCTGAGGAGTGTTTTACTTCCAATTATGTGTTCTATTTTAGAATAAGTGCTATGTGGTGCTGAGAAGAATGTATATTCTGTCAGGGTGGAGAGTTCTGTAGATATTTATTAGGTCCGCTTGGCCCAGAGCTGAGTTCAAGTCCTTAATATCCTTATTAATTTTCTGTCAAGTTGATCTGTCTAATATTGACAGTGAGGTGTTTAAGTCTTCCACTATTATTGTGTGGGAGTCTATGTCTCTTTGTAGGTCTCTAAGAACTTGCTTTATAAATCTGGGTGCTCCTGTTTTGGGTGCATATATATTTAGGATAGTTAGCTCTTCTTGTTGCAGTGATCCCTTTACCATTATGTAATGTCTTTCTTTGTCATTTTTTATCTTTGTTGGTTTAAAGTCTATTTATCAGAGACTAGGATTGCAACCCCTGCTTTTCTTTGCTTTCTATTTGCTTGGTAAGTATCCCTCCATCCCTTTATTTTGAGCCTATGTGTGTCTTTGCACGTGAGATGGATCTCCTGAATACAGCACACTGATGGGTCTTGACTCTTTTATCCAATTTGCCAGTCTGTGTCTTTTAATTGGGGCATTTAGCCTGTTTACATTTAAGGCTAATATTGTTATGTGTGAATTTGATTCTGTCATTATGTTGTTAGCTGGTTATTTTGCCCATTCATTGATGCAGTTTCTTCATAGTGTCAATCATCTTTACATTTTGGTATGTTTCTGCAGTGACTGGTACAGGTTTTTCCTTTCCATATTTAGTGCTTCCTTCGGGACCTCTTGTAAGGCAGGCTCTCTTGTCTGTAAAGGATTTTATTTCTCCTTCACTTATGAAGCTTAGTTTGGCTGGATATGAAATTCTGGGTTGAAAATTCTTTTCTTTAAGAATGTTGAATTGGCCCCCACTCTCTTCTGGCTTGTAGGGTTTCTTCAGAGAGATCCACTGTTAGTCTGATGGGCTTCCCTTTGTGGGTAACCAGACCTTTCTCTCTGGCTTCCCTTAACATTTTTTTCTTCCATTTCAACCTTGGAGAATCTGATGATTTTGTGTCTTGGGGTTGCTCTTCTCGAGGAGTATCTTTGTGGTGTTCTCTGTATTTCCTGAATTTGAATGTTGGCCTGTCTTGCTAGGTTGGGGAAGTTCTCCTGGCTTCCTGAAGTGTATTTTCCAACTTGGTTCCATTCTCCCCGTCACTTTCAGGTACACAAATCAAATGTAGGTTTGGTCTTTTCACATAGTCCCATATTTCTTGGAGGCTTTGTTCATTCCTTTTCATTCTTTTTTCTCTAATCTTGTCTTCATGCTTTATTTCATTAAGGTGATCTTCAGTCTCTGATATCCTTTCTTCTGCTTGATCAATTCGGCTATTGATACTTGTGTATGCTTCACGAAGTTCTCGTGCTGTGTTTTTCAGCTCTATCAGATCATTTATGCTCTTCTCTAAACTGGCTATTCTAGTTAGCAGTTCCTGTAACCTTTTATCAAGGTTCTTAGCTTCCTTGCATTGGGTTACAACATGCTCCTTTAGCTTGGAGGAGTTTGTTAGTACCCACCTTCTGAAGCCTACTTCTGTCGATTCATCAAACTCATTCTCCATCCAGTTTTGTTCCCTTGCTGGCGAGGAGTTGTGATCCTTTGGAGGAGAAGAGGCATTCTGGTTTTTGGAATTTTCAGCCTTTTTGCAAAGGTTTTCCTTCATTTTCGTGGATTTATCTACCTTTGGTCTTTGACGTTGGTGACCTTCAGATGGGGTTTTTGTGTGGGCATCTTTTTTGTTGATGTTGATGCTATTGCTTTCTGTTTGTTAGTTTTCCTTCTAACAGTCAGGCCATTCTTCTGCAGGTCTGCTGGAGTTTGCTTTAGGTCCCCTCCAGACTCTGTTTGCCTGGGTATCACTGATGGAGGCTGCAGAACAGCAAAGATTGCTGCCTGCTCCCTCCTCTGAAAGCTTCATCCAAGAGGGGTACCCGCCAGATGCCAGCCGGAGCTCTCCTGTATGAGGTGTCTGTTGACCCCTGCTAGGAGGTGTCTTCCAGTCAGGAGGCATGGGGGCAGGGACCCACTTGAGGAGGCAGTCTGTCCCTTAGCAGAGCTTGAGTGCTGTGCTGGGAGATCTGCTGCTCTCTTCAGAGCTGGCAGGCAGGAATGTTTAAGTTTGCTGAAGCTGCGCCCACAGCCACCCCTTCCCCCAGGTGCTCTGTCCTAGGGAGATGGGACTTTTATCTGTAAGTCCCTGACTGTGGCTGCTGCCTTTTTTTCAGAAACGCCCTGCCCAGAGAGGAGGAATCTAGAGAGGCAGTCTGACTGCAGCGGCTTTGCCGCACTGAGGTGGGTTCTGCATCCAGTTCGAACTTCCAGGTGGCTTTGTTTACACTGTGAGGGGAAACTGCCTACTCAAGCCTCAGTAATGGTGGGCACCCCTCCCCCCATCAAGCTTGCATGTCCCAGGTAGACTTCAGACTGCTGTGCTGGCAGCGAGAATTTCAAGCCAGTGGATCTTAGCTTGTTGGGCTCAGTGGGTGTGGGATTTGCTGAGCAAGACCACTTGGCTCTTTGGCTTCAGCCTCCTTTCTAGGGGAGCGAACTGTTCTGTCTTGCTGGTGTTCCAGGTGCCACTGGGGTACAAAAAGACTCCTGCAGCTTGCTCAGTGTCTACCCAAATGGCCGCCCAGTTTTGTGCTTGAAACCCAGGGCCCTGGTGGTGTAGGCACCCGTGAGAATCTCCTGGTCTGTGGGTTGCGAAGACCATGGGAAAAGCATAGTATCTGGGCCGGATAGCACTGTCCCTCACAGCACAGTCCCTCATGGCTTCCCTTGGCTAGGGGAGGGAGTTCCCTGACCCCTTGTGTAATTTATACAGACCTAGGGGGACTGAACAAAGGGGGTGAACGTGGGAATAAAAGACAAGAGACAAAAGAATATATTTAGTCAGGGGCCACTTTGCCTCTAGTGGACAAGGGCCCTGAGCTTTACATAGCCCTCCATCTTTATTAGGCAAAAGAGATAGTGAGAAGGGGGTTGGAAGAAGGGGTCAGCCGCTTGGTCCAGAGTAGGCTTGTAAGACTGTGTTGTGCTTCCAGGGTGAGGCAATGCCCCACCCTGCTCCTGCTCACCCTCCATGGGCTACACCCACCGTCCAACCAGTCCCAATGAGCTGAACTGGGTACCTCAGTTGGAAATGCAGAAATCACCTGCCTTCTGGGTTGGTCTCACTGGGAGCTGCAGACCAGAGCTGTTCCTATTCAGGCATCTTGCCTGGGAATCCTTGTGCATGATCTTAAATGGCCTATTACACGAGAAAAACTTTCTTCTTAAGTGATAAGGGGAATAACAGAGCCTGCCAACTCATCTTCTTGTTTCTTGTGTAAGACTGGGCCCAGGTCCTTTTTAGAGAAACAAAACCAATCCAAACAATGTCTCCTTAAAGAGGCCTGTAGCTAAAGTCTGCGCTATGCCATGCAATTGAAACTGCTCTAGGGTTGCACAGAGATGGAGTCCCTTAAATATCTTCTGACCATTCCTGTATACCAGCCACTGTATGTGTATTTGGTGATACCAAGTCAAATGAATTGGTTTCAGTTTTGCGCCAAATGTTTCTCCTAACTCACACTGGTTATCTGAAATTAGATCTTGGTTTAAATATTTAACTAATTCCTTCCTTTGATAGACTGTTTGCAAAAATGGGTGCAGTAATTCCTACCACCCAGTGTGCCTACCCTTGGGAAGTCCCTTCGCCTACTGAATCTGGTCTTTGCTATGTGACTGTCTTTGGACAATGAGACAATAGAAAATGTGATGAAAACAGAGGCCGGAAAAGTGCTGGTGCATTGATACTTGCATTATTAATATTTCACTGCTGAGAACTTTTATACCACCGCATGTGCCAGCCTATGCTAGCCTACCAAAGGAGGAGAGACCACAAGGAGAGAAAGGTCCCCAGACATCCCAGCTGTCCCAGCTGAGAGGTTATCCTAGGCCTTCAAACCCTGGCTGAGCTGGCTCAGACCGGGAGAACTACCCCTCCAACCTACAGAATTGTGAGAATAGCTGTTTGCTGTTTTAAGTCACTACATTTTGTGGTGATTTATGATGTAGCAAAAGCTAACTGATAATCCTCCTTTTGGGCCATAAGGATAGATTTATCTTTTTTATAAATTTGCTGAACGCAAAAGTAATAGTTCCTTATTCAAGAGGAGGCTTGTTGCTTTATTTTTAAAATTTTTTTGAAACAGGTTCTTCCTTTGTTCACCAGGGTGGAGTGCAGTGGCACAATCACGGCTCACTGCAGCCTTGACCTCCCAGGCTCAAGTGGTCCTCCCACCTTAGCCTCCCAAGTGGCCCGTACTGCAGGCATGCACCACCATGCTTGGCTAACTTAAAAATTTTTTTTTTTAGAAATGGGGTCCTGCTATGTTGCCCCCGGCTGGTTTTGAACTCCTGGGCTGAAGTGATCCTCCCACCTCCACCTCCCAAAGTGCTAGGATAACAGGTGTGAGCCACTGTGCCCGGCTGAGGCTTGTTGCTTTTAATTAAACTAGGTACTTGTTAGAGAAGGACTACATAAATCTTAGTAAAGATGCTTTATTCTAGTTAGGGTAGAGATAGAGGATTGAGGAAGTTTCTGCCATCCAGAGCTGTGGAGCCTTTGTGCCCATTGGAGATTTCAAGGGAGGTCCAGATGCATCCCTTTGGACTGGGATGAAGAGAAACATTTCTGAAAGGGATAGCATTTGATGCAGGTCTCAGAAATAGGACAGAGACTGTATACTGCTTCAAAAGGCAGGGAAGGGAGGAAGAAGATCCTAGTCAGCTGTAACTGCCAATAAGGATAGTAAATAGTTGCAATGAGATATGGGCTACTTACTGTTTTATGTTTTACAATTATTATATAATTAAATCTTAACTACAATCTTGTGAAATAGGCACAGTCATTAGCTCTTTTTCCAGATGAGGCTATGGAGACATACAGCAATAGAGTAATTTGCTAATATTTGCTATATGCCCACATGGGTAGTAAAGGGCAAAGCTGGCATTTGAACCAAGGTCTCTCTAATACTAGACCTCACTATTTAAGACAAAGGCATGGACATGATCAAATTGAGGCACATTTTGGATGTGTCTATAGTATACAAATAATGTACACATAAGCATGATCATTAATGTTTTTAAATTGGACTTTTTTATTTTGAGGTAATTGTAGATTCACATGCAATTGTAAGAAATAATACAGAGAGATCCTGGGTAGTGTACTCTTTACACAGTGTAAAAGTTGACCATACAATTGGGTCATTCTTGTCATACCCAACTAAAACAGAGTTGAGATGCCAGGGGGAGAAAACACTGAGGGCATATAACATTGGTCTAGGCCGGGCACAGTGGCCCACGCCTGTAATCCCAGCACTTTGGGAGGCCAAGGAGGGTGGATCACGAGGTCAGGAATTTCAGACCAGCCCAATAGACATGGTGAAACCCCGTCTCTACTAAAAATACAAAAATTAGCTGGGCATGGTGGCGGGTACCTGTAATCCCAGCTACTCAGGAGGCTGAGGCAGGAGAACTGCTTGAATCTGGGAGGCGGAGGTTGCAGTGAGCCGAGATCACGCCACTGCACTCCAGCCTGAGCGACAGAGCGAGACTGTCTCAAAAAAAAAAAAACAAAAACAAAAACAAAAAACCAACACTGGTCTAATAATGTAATTCTCTGCATGCAAGCCTGTCTGGGACATATAACATTGCTCCAAGAATGTAGTCCTCTGCAAGCCTGGCTGCTGAAGTTTCAGCCTGTGCTATCCTGAAACCCATTTTATCTAATAGTTACTGAAACAACCTGCTGTGGTTCTAAGACTAGTCTTACCCACTGCTATCACTCACCAATCACAACTTGCCAGTTTCCTAAAACTTTACTAGTGCCAATGAACTTTCTTGCAAAACAATATGTAACTTTTCTCTTTTTAATAAAACCTCTAGCTTACTCTTTGGTCTTTGGACATACTAAAGACTACCCAGACAGTATGTATGTCTTGAATTGTAATTCTTGCGTCCCAAATAAGACATTTTAAATTTAGAGATTCATCTCTATATTTTGTTTGACTTTGACACCAGTTTCTCCCAAAAGTGACATGTTGCAAAACGATAGTACAATATAGTAGAGGATATTGACATTGATATCATCAATATACAGAAAAGTTCCTTCACCACAAGGCTCCCTCATGTAACCCTTGTATAGCTACACTTATCTCCCTCCCACCCATCCCACCCCTTCCTCAATTCTTGGCAACCACGAATCTGTTCTCCATGTTTATAATCTTGTCATTTTATGAATGTTATGTAAATGGAATCATATGGTATGTCACCTCTTGGGATTGGCTTTATTCACTCAGCTGAATTCTCTGGAGATTCATTCAGGTTGTTGCATGTGCCAATAGTTCATTCTTTTTATTGCTGAATAGTATTCCATGATATGGTTGAACCACAGTTTGTTTAATCATTTATCCACTGAAGGACATCTGGGTGTTTCCAGTTTTGGGCTATTATAAATAATGCTGCAATAAACATTCATGTACTGCTTTGTTTATGTGAATGTAAGTCTTCATTCTCCAGGATAAATGCTCAAGGGTACGATTAACATTTAGCATGGCTATCAATACTTTAAGACAAGTTCTGTGATCAAGTATTTTCTTTTTAAGTAAAGTAGGGGGCATGTGTTTGTTTTTTTCAGCACCTTCCTTTCTTCTGGAAAGATGCCCTCTTCTTGGAGGAACTGCCCATGTAGCTATTAGGTTCTGTGAGGCTCTTGCCCATCACGGTACCTCCTCCTTTGCAATAGATGTGCACCTACCTCCCCAGTCAGACAACTGGGGTCCTTCCCAGGGATTTTTCAGATTTTAATGACAGAAAAGCAGCAGCTCCTTCAGGAAGTGGAGGTCCTGTGGTCTGCCTTCAGAAGAGCAATGCCATTGATACCAGGATCCTGTGGAACTGCATGCCCTGGGGCTGGTTTTCCCTGAGCTGTACGCCTGCCATCCACTCTGAATTTATGAGCTAATAAACTATTTCTGGTTTTGCTCGAGGAAATTTTGAGAGAGCTTTCTGTCACATAAGACTCAAAGTATAAAGAATCTTTCATTCCCCACTCCTGGGCTCTTTCTGGCTTCGTGCTCATGGTTCTGACTCTCCTCTCCTTCAGTTCTGAGGTCCCAACTGTCAGGGCCCAAAGAAACCGCTCAAGTTCTTGCTGTGTCCAGCACAATTTTCATGGAACAGCCCTTGGTGTTTTCTCCAAGGCTCTGATACCAAATCTACACTGAGACCTGGAGCCTATGGCTTCCTTGGGCCCCCAGAGGGCTGGGAGTCATAATTTGGCACAATGAGTGAGAGCTGAGAGAAAGTGGGCCTGGGATTAAATCCTGGGCAGAGAAATTCCCAAGGGCTGGCAGAGGTGAGGGGATGGGGTAGGAGCCTTGGGCTCTGCTCCTGCTGCATCCTGAACTGGGATACCTCAACTGCAGTGTGGCGACTGTGCTGTGAGCTCTAGATCACGGCTGGCATCATGGGCGTGTGACCTGTGCAATTACACAGGTCCTTGCTCTTGGTTTCAGGCTCTGCTGCCGTTGTTGTTTAGGAGTTAGTAGTTTTTTAACAAGGGGCCTAACACTTTCATTTTTCACTGGGTCTTGTGTAGTCATGGCTTCAGGCACTGTGGAGTTGTCACTAATGTACTGCACCCTTTGGATGATGAAGATGAGGCACAAGAGGCTGAGGAGTTGAGACTCTGTACAAGTTCCTACCTTCCCCATGGAATCCTGGAGACTTCTGGCTTTGGGCAAGTCTCCTTTCCGAGGGGTTGCTCCCTATTCCCCAGGACCCTATACACACCTGAGCCAGTGTCCTCCACGGTGATTCATGCGATCCTTTCAGGCAGTTCCCTCTTTCTTCTTCTTTGTCCCAGACTTGGCCCCTCTCTACCCACTGGGACCACCTCCTCCATCTCTTTGAAGGCTCAGCCCAGGCCAAAAGGTGCTCAGCTTCTCTCTGTGTCTGCACACCTGATAGGTGTCCAGAAGTCTTCCTCTCCCTTGGGAAGTACCCAGCCTTCCTCCTCTTTTCAGGCCCTGCTAGCTTTTTTCACCCCTGAGGTCAGCAGTTGGAACCCAAGTTCCCCAAGGTCAGTGGTTGGAGCCCAAGTTTGCCTGACTCTAAAGCCTGTGATTGTCTTATTATATCTTGCTCTTCTTGTTACAACAGTGATTATTTTAACAATCATTATCATTTATTAAGTGCTTACTATGGGCAGGTCAGGACCAGATGGTGGTAAATGAGGCACTAGCCTTGCGCTTGTGTTGAAAACCCAAGGGGACACCAAAAAGTTCAGTAGTAAAAATAAGTAATATTTTAGTGAACTATTTAAAAAATCAAAATTACTACTGAAAAAATCACAATGAACAAAACACAAAAACACTTAAATAAAGACAGGATCGGTAACAGTGCTGTGCCGAGCCATATTGGAACTTGAGGAAAAAGGTAAAATCAATGGGAGCTTCCTGTTAGAATATCCACCCATCCATCTGTCCATTCATCAATATGTCCATCCATCTATCCATACATCTGTCCATCCATCCATCCATCTCCCATCCATCCATCCATCCATCTGTCCCTCTGTCCATCTGTTCATCCACCCATCCACCTCTCATCCATCCATCTGTCCATCCATCCATCCATCCATCCATCCATCCATCCGTCCATCCATTTAATATAAATTTACTGAGCATCTACCACGTGCTGGGCATTCTGCTCAGCACCAAGAGTATCACACAAAGAGCCAAAAAGATTATGTTCCTTTCCTCCTGGAGACAAAATTAAATAATCACACAAATAAACATGTACTTATACACTGTGATAAGCAACACCATGGAAAAGAATATATTGGGGGCCCAGAGAATGCCTCTCTGAGAAAGTAGCATTTAAGCTGAGAATTATAAAATGAGCAATGTTTGCTAAGTTGACAAGTGAGGAAAAGGGAGACAAAGGTAAGGGAAGTAGTTTGTGCAAAAGTCTTGAGGCAGGAGGTACTAGCACATATCAGGGACTGGTTGGTATTAGTTGAGAGCAACTAGAAAAATCATGGGTCCTGCCTTGAGTTTTATACAAGGGCAGAGGAAGAACCAGCCCTCAAAATTAAAGACACAACGGGAGACCAAAATGAAAGCTGCTATATAGTTTCCCCCCAAAGTTGTCCTCGTTCAAGCTATCAGTGACACATACGCAGGGGCTGTTGATTTATGCCTATCATGAGGCATCTGCCTCTCTTCCTGGGAGTGTGAGACTCATGCCAAAAGCTTAGCGGTGGTCTGCAGTGGCCTCATCTAGGGCTGCTCCTGGGAATGCACTGGAAAGAGAAGCCCCCTTCGAGGCTTCTCTGGGTTCATTTCCTTTAAATCCAAAGCCCTTCTTTGGGTTCATTTCCTTTAAAGCATGGCCAGGTCAGCTTCAGGCTATAAGATATGATGAAGTTTCTCTTCAAATAGCCTAATCAATCCTTTATTCTTTAATAGTACCTCCCCACCCCTTTTTCCTTTTTGTCTTTTTTTCTTCCTTTCTGCCTTTGTTACATGCCCAGACACGCCACAATACCAGGTGTTAGCAGTACCAGCTCACATTCCTTTCCTTATTAAAAAAAAAAAGACTAACTCTCTAGCTCATTACAGACACCCCTTCCCCTTTCCCCTCTCTCTCTTACATGCCCACCTTATCTGAAACAAAAAAGTTCAAATATTTAGCCAAACAGAATTAGTTTAAAGCGTACAACCCAATCCTGGCCAATGAAAAAAAAAAATACAAAAGCAAGACTTGCGTCAGAAATAAAGGCTTTCATGCCCCTTTATTCAAGTGTGCTCCCATGGCGACTGGCCAAGGAGAAACACCCCTCTGCGCAAAAGTAAAATTGCTTTGCTAAAAATCCTTTGTTTAAGTGTTCAATTTCCTTAGAATTTTAAATATTATTCCCAAAAAGGCCTTAGCATCATCTTAAGCAGTCACAAACAGACCTGTCAAATTCCTACCAACCTTTTCTTTCCTCTTCTTTTCTTTGCCCTGACATTTCCTGTATTTGGGCCTCTGAAGATTCAAAGAATAGAGTCCCTAACTTACCCAGCCCATCCCTGCCTTGAGTTGGTCTTTGACCCTTTAATAACTGCGCCCTTCCATTTAAAAGTAAAATATTTCCTTGTTAAGAAGACATGTGGTTGGATTATTGCTTCTGCTTTTCACAAAGCCATAGAGTAAAAGCCAAGCCTCAGGATCTGGAGAGGAGGGATGAGGTTGAATTTTATGATCTATACTTCTCTCTTGGCAGCCAGGCAGGATTTGAGGGAGCAGGACCCTGTTAGAGATGAGGCAACCCAGGGAGCTGGAAAGAATATGGTGACTGCCTGGACACATGGAAAGGAATACTGCATAGGCTCTGCCACTGGGTTAACTGTAGTTGGGATTGAAATTTACAAAATAGCCCTGAGTGTCTGCCATACCAGGCAATGAGGGACAGAGGACAAGTGAGCAGCATCCCTCTGCCCCCTGCACTCATGCGTCCATCAATAAGTTGGTTCTTTCTAAAGAATATCTGCAATCTGTTGCCTCCTCTCCATTCTCAGTGCCCCTGCCTTAGTTCAGTCTTTTACCTGGACTATTGCAATGGTCTCCTAATTGGTCCCCCTGCTTCCCTTCTTGCTCCCCTCAAACCCGTTCTCTGTCCTGAAGCCAGAGTACTCTTTCTAAAACCCAAATCAGGCCATGCCCATCTACTGACAACCTTTGGCTTACAAGGCTCTGACAGGTCTACTGTTCTCGCTGAACTTCCAGTCCCACTGGCCTTCTTTTCATTAGGCAAACACAATCACCCCAGGGCCTTTGCCTTTTCTGGTTTCTCTGCCTGGATGCTTTCCTACCTCTGGCTTGTTTTATGGCTGAATCTTCCTCATCTTGTAGGGCTCAGATTAATTGTCACCTTCTTAGAGAGGCCTCCTCTGACCTTTCCTAAAGAACCCACACACCATAGCCTGTTTTAGGTCTTTCAAAGCATTGGTTACCATTGGAAATTACTTTGTATACTTGTTCGCTTGAGGATCATTTCCCCCTTTCCCATTCCACCCCCTAGAATGTAAGCTCCTGAGGGCTGGGATGGTACATGTCTAGGTTACCCCAGTATCTGGCACTGGGAGCAGTGCCCAATAAATGTGGAATGAGGGTGTCACAGGCTGTGGTGTGTCAGAGGAGGTGGAGATGGGCCACTTTGGTCTGGGAGGATCGGAGAAGATGTAGCATTTGACAGAAATCTTGAAAAGCAGACAGAGAAAGCAGGAGAGAGAAAGCAGAAGAGAAAGTGGAGTTTGCAAACTCCATGGATAGAAAGAACCATGAGAGACAAATGCCTAGAAGTAAGAAATCCATATTTGGGTTTGCGGTTTGGCCATACAATCTAACTTTCAAGGAGCAGATCTATATCTAATATGCTGCATATTATTTCAAGGCCACCCAAAGTCCATATATAGGGGCCCTAGTCCCCACCTCATGGGTCCTTCTAAGCTTTTTGCTTCACGTGCCAACTCCCTCCTCTCCAGCCTGACTTGCTGGAGTCCAGTGATCCAGCTGGGTCCAATACAGCTTTCTTCCAATATCCTTCTTTACTTTCTCCAAAGCTCAAGTAACATGTTCACAAGTCAATGTCTAATATTGCTACCAACAGCTCACTGGGTCCCTGAGCCTCCACATACCCCAAAGAGGGTGTCAGAGCCAAGCTTCAGAATAGAATGGAATTCAGCACAGTGGAGGAGATCAGGAAAAAACTGTCATTGGGGATTAATCTCAGGGCAGGACAGCTACCATGCAGTGGCGGGGGCTGTGGGATTAGCGGTTGGCCATGACTAGATCCTTTCTCTCCATGCTCAGAGTGTTTCAGCTCATCCAATTAACCCTGAACTAATGTTTACCTCAAACCCAAGCAGGCGAGACATTTACTTGTGTCTAAATTATGAGTCAAGGGGTAGAAGGATCAAAAATGGAGGAATGCAAAAGCTGAGGAGGGATCATCCCATCTTTCTTCCATTCTCTGGTAAATTTGGGGGCTTTTGTCTCCTTCCCGAAGGATGAGCTCCAACCAGGGTCAGAGCAAGACCTGAGTGGTCCTAGGCTCTAAAAAGGTTATTCTGTGTTTCAGCATGTAATTTCAAATACCCAATACTAACTGAAAAGTAATGATAAGACTGTATAAGGGACTTTTGATTTTTTTAAATAATAGCCACTTTGATCACTGTGTACATGCATGAAGTTGCAAATATTGTATTCTTTCAAAAGCATTATTTGTTGATTTCCTAAGCACCTGCCGGTTGCCTATTGGGCAATGCAGCACTGATTCCATTCACTTGGACTCCCAAGTCCACCCCACCCCACTTCTAGCAGCCTCCTTTCAGCCTTCTCCTTCCCTTCCCCACCATGCTGCTCCATTTACTGGGAACTGCTTCCACCTGGAAGACTCCAGCCCAGGCCAGAAAGCCCCCAGGCTGGCCCTCTACTGCCTCTCCCTGTGTCTGCAACACCTGGCAGGTGCTCTGACGGTTGGTGCTTCTCTCAACAGTCTCCATCCCACTGAGTCTGATTAATGGAGTGAGACTCACAGGGTGGTGGGTTTGGGACACACTTCATGAATTAGACAGATAATAATGTATCACATACTTGCATGGGATCCTCCAGGTGATGTAGCAGCACTTACTGATGTTGTCATTCATATCTGGAAAGAAGCAGGTGGAAGTAGGGCTAAGCCATGCTCTAGGAGACTCAGACATGCTACTCCGTGCACCAAGAATGGGAGGCAATGCCTTTCACTCAGACAAGAAACACACCTAAAGCCAAAATACTAAATTACCTACAGCCACTGGAATCTGCCATTTCTCTTGTGTAAGTTGTTCATCATCATTGAATAATAAACCCACTCACACTTTATCCCTACCAGGAACCTCACTCTCGCTTGACCAAATCCACTATCCTTTTTTTTGTGTAGGAGAAAAAATAAGGATCTTTATTTGTGAAGGAGTTAAGAATATGCCGCCCAAAATTCACTGTTCTGGCATATTTTAAATTAAAGGCATGTAAAAAAAGAACCCAGCAGGTGCAAGAAGATCCTTCTTTATTTTGACCTTTATTGTCTTTATCAAAGGCAGGAAATGAAATGCCCATGTGAAAGATGTCCTCCTTATACCGAAAGAAAAATAATATTCTTATTAAGGATGGGAAGCTGAAGCCGAGAGAAGTCTACACAAACAAACCTTATCACCTTAGTCATTTCTGTACCCAATTAATCACCCAGCGCAGCCCCTTTGCCTTATCACATTTCACAACTTCCTATTTTTTGTCCAATTCAGTGTATAAGTAACTGACCCTAACTGCTTCTTTGAGTTTCTGTTCCTTATGAGGGATCTTGTGTCATGTAAAACTTGTATTAACTAAATTTGTGTACTTTTCTCCTATTAATCTATCATATGTCAATTTAATTCTTGAGTCCAGGTGGGATCTTAAGAAAATGGAGATGGATTTTTGCCTCTCCTAAGTTTGGTAGGTGCTTTCTATATAATGTGTTATTTAATTCTCCCCTAAACTCTAAGAGGTTGATGTTCTTGTTCCATTAGGAACATAAACTTGGCAAGCCTTGGTAAGGTTAAGGAACTTGTTGGCGTTAACCCATTGTTAAGTGGCTGAGACCTGAAACCGGGATGTCAATTCCAAGTCCCAAGACTTAACTTCTTCACCAACATTACTAACTCGTTTGGCTGCAAGTGTCATTTACCCTCTGAATGAGTTTCCACACCTGTGAAGAGGAGATTGATGCTTTCTCTCTGGCAGGGTAGTTGTGAGATTAGAAATAATGTATGTAAAGCACAAACCTGGCATGACTACCATTTTTATTAAGCATTTATTCTGTGCCAGGTGGTGTTCTATGAGCTTAAATGTATGTATTAATTAATTTAACCATCACAACAAACTTGCATTGTAGATGTTATTATCATCTCCATTTTATAGAGAAGCAAACCAAGGCATAGAGAAATTAGGTAACCTGTGAAAGCCACATGGGAGAATAAGTGATAGCTATTATTTTCAAAATTGTGATTTCCCATGCATCAAGCCCTTTCTTTGTCCTTCCTTGAGAGCCTCTCTCCTTAATTTAAGCTACCAGGGAAGGAGCAGCCCAAGAACTAGCCCATTCTGGCTCTTGCTTTTTTCACGGGAGGTTTTACTTTGCTTTTTTTTTTTTTTTTTTTTTTTTTTTAGGTAGGGCCTTGTTCTGTCATTCAGGCTGGAGTGCAGTGGCACAATTATGGCTCACTCCAGCCTAGACCACCTGGGCTCAAGCAATCCTCCCACCTCAGCCTCCTGAGTAGCTGAGACTACAGGAGTGCACCAGTATGTCTGGCTAATTTTTAAAATTTTGTAGTAGAGATGAGGTGTTACTATGTTTCCCAGGCTGGTTGTGAACTCCTAGGCTCGAGTGATCCTCCTGCCTCGGCCTCCCAAAGTGCTGGGATTACAGGCATAAGCCACCACGCCCAGACCTGTTCCACCTTGATTATTCTGTTTCTAGCCCAGTCTCAGGGCACCCTCATGAATCTCACATAGAGTTAATGTTTAGAAATTACCCGATATTGAATTACAACTTTATGACTCCAAATATTGATTTTGAAGATAATAAAACTGTTTAAGTTACAATAATGATGAGGAAATAATTTTTTCAGGTCATAAAGAATCTTTTGTTTTTATGGTAACTTTTTATTTTAAAATAACTTTACACTGACATAGAAATTGCAGAAATAGTACATAAAGTTTCTGTGCAATCTTGACTCAGCTTCCCCCAATGGGAAGCTTATAAAACTTCATATACAACCGTATAAAAAATGCATTATGATCATCAAAACTAGAAAATTGACAGTTCTACAATATCATTATCATTATTATTTTTTGAGACAGAGTCTTGCTCTGTCACCCAGGCTGGAGTGCAGTGGCACCATCTTGGCTCACTGCAACCTCCGTCTCCTGGGTTCAAGTGATTCTTCTGCTTCAGCCTCCTGAGTAGCTGGGATTACAGGTGCTCACCGCCATGCTTGGCTAATTTTTGTATTTTTAGTAGATATGGGGTTTCTCCATGTTGACCAGGCTGGTCTTGAACCCCTGACCTCAAGTGATCCGCCTGCCTCAGCCTCCCAAAGTGCTGGGATTACAGGCATGAGCCACTGCGCCCAACCAGCCATCGTGCCCGGCCTCTACAATATTATCAACAAAACAGATCTTATTAAAATTTTACCAATTTTT
The DNA here is from genome assembly GCF_000001405.40 of Homo sapiens. Taxonomy (NCBI): domain Eukaryota; kingdom Metazoa; phylum Chordata; class Mammalia; order Primates; family Hominidae; genus Homo; species Homo sapiens. Next base: position 36,036,310 of record NC_000017.11, read on the forward strand.
ACATGCAGTCATTTTTCGTTGGTGTATAGTTGAATCATATGATCCCTTGGGTGTCTATGCCAACTTCTGGCCTCCCACATCTAAGTTACTGAATCATCTGCCTCCCATGTTTTGGTAAATAACATTCACCCTCCTCCCAGAGCTGCGGTCTTGCTTGACTGGCCCCACTTCCCCTATTCAAAGGAGAAAGGCTGGAGTTGCAGAAGGAGGCATGGGGAGAATTATGGCTTTATTTTTTATTAGACTATTCTTATTTTAGTAAAGTTGTTTTTGCACACTGGCTCATGCAGCAGTGTATATAGTTATGTGCCACATAATGATGTTTTTATCAATGACAGACTACATATATGACACTTAACAACATGCATATGTTCTGAGAAATGCTTTGTTAGGCAATTTCATCATTATACAGACATCATGTACTTACACAAACCTAGATGGTGTAGCCTACTACACATCTTATTATAAGATTATAATACCATAATTTGTTCAGCAGCAATACATTAAACAAAAATTATGCTACCTTATTTTTACTGTACCTTTTCTATGTTTAGGTATGTTTAGGTACACAAATACTCACCACTGTGTTACAACTGCCTACAGTATTCTGTACAGTAGCATGCTGCACAGGTTTGTAGCCTAGGAGCAATTGCTGTACCATATAGGTGTGTGGCAGGCTCCACCATCTAGGTTTGTGTAAGTATGTGATGTCTGTACAATGAAATTGTCTAATGAAGCATTTCTCAAAACCTATGCCCATCGTTAAGCAACATACGACTGTATCTGTTTCCTGAATTTAATTGTTTCCCCGGCTGATTCCAGAGTATTTTCTATTGACCATTGACTATGAGGCCCTCTGTCTACACCCTTCCCCAGATGTTCATTGCTTCCAGAGAAGGAAATGGGGTTGGTCCAGCTTGATTCGGCCTAACTGCACCATGCTGACTTGCAGTGACTACTTCCTTTCTGAAGTGCCAACAAGAGGTTTTTTAAAATAAGAATTATAGGCCGGGCATGGTGGCTCACACCTGTAATCCCAGCACTTTGGGAGGCCGAGGCAGGCGGATCACGAGGTCAGGAAATCAAGACCATCCTGGCTAACAGAGTGAAACCCCGTCTCTATTAAAAATACAAAAAAATTAGCTGGGCATGGTGGCGGGCGCCTATAGTCCCAGCTACTGGGGAGGCTGAGGCAGGAGAATGGCGTGAACCCGGGAGGCGGAGCTTGCAGTGAGCCGAGATCGCACCACTGCACTCCAGCCTGGGCGACAGAGTGAGACTCCGTTTCAAAAAAAAAAAAAAAAAAAGAATTGTATAGGTATATGTAGAATCTTGACTAGTCTAGAGGCAGCTGACCACTCTGAAGTTGATGGAGTCTATCGTCTATTTTCTTTCTCCCTCCTTTTTTGGAAAGCTGGGTGCTATTTTCTCATCTTCAATATTCCACAACCTGTCTGCCTCCCAAGAATCTGCAAAGATCATCAATCTCTACCATGTGTTTTCTCAGCTGATAGAGAGGACTTCATCCAAGTCAAGGGACTGAGAAGCCACCCATCTTGGGCTTCGATTTCTTCGTATCTTTGGGAATTATCCCCATTCTAGCCTATAATGGACAGAGAATGAATGAATAAAAATTGGAGACCACATGTTCTGCTTTATCCCTTCCATCTGTTCAGTTAACACTCTTTATTCATTTACTCATTCATTTATTCTGTAAATATGTATTGAATACATACCATGAGCAGAGCACTGGAGATTCAGCTGCAAACAAGATGCATAGGGCCTTCTGTGAGTTTAAGCAAACAGTAAGCCTCTGGCACCTTCTTCCTAAAGTAAAACAAAGCAAACACTTTTACCATCATTCACTATTAAAAAAGCAACACTATGGAAAAATTTTGAAAATATTTAAGCAAAAAGAAGTCAGCAAAAATCCCCTGTGATCCCACAATAACATTCTTAGATGTGTCTTCATCTTTTTTCCCTGTTTGCTTTCTCCCTACGTGGGATCATACCAAAAAAAGTCATATTCCATGTTTTCACAAGTTGTGTACAATTTCAATTTCATTGTAAAATTCTTATATGCAATTTAAAATAATTTTTAACAAAAAAGATGCCTGCTTTTTAACAGAATTTTTAAGAAAATCAAATAAATGAAAAAAATCTCTTTACTATCAATATTTTGATGTGTAAGTTTCAAGTCATGTTTTTGTATGTAGTCATTATGTATAATACAGATATACAGTTAAACAAAAATGAGGTAATAATAACTGTTCTTTTCTACAGCCTGATTTTTACAGGTTTTTTTTTTTTGAGACGGAGTTTCACTCTTGTTGCCCAGGCTGGAGTGCAATGGCGCGATCTTGGCTCACCACAACCTCCGCCTACCGGGTTCAAGTGATTCTCCTGCCTCAGCTTCCTGAGTAGCTGGGATTACAGGCATGCATCACCACACCTGGCTAATTTTGTATTTTTAGTAGAGACGGGGTTTCTTCATGTTGGTCAGGCTGGTCTCGAACTCTCGACCTCAGGTCATCCGCCCTCCTCGGCCTCCCAAAGTGCTGGGATTACAGGTGTGAGCCACTGCGTCTGGCTAGCTTTTTTTTTTAATTATTTTTTTTGAGATGGAGTTTCGCTCTTGTTGCCCAGGCTGGAGTGCAATGGCACGATCTCGGCTCACTGCAATCTCTGCCTCCTGGGTTCAAGTGATTCCCCTGCCTCAGCCTCCCGAGGAGCTGGGATTACAGGCATCTCACACCACGCCTGCTAATTTTTATATTTTTAGTAGAGATAGGGTTTCACCATGTTGGCCAGGCTGCTCTCAAATCCCTGACCTCAGGTGATCTGCCCACCTTGGCCTCCCAAAGTGCTGAGATTATAGGTGTGAGCCACCATGCCTCGCCCATAGTTTTATTTATATATTTGTTTATATATATATATAAATATTATTTATATATTTGTTTATATATATATAAATATTATTTATATATTTGTTTATATATATATAAATATTGTTTATATATATATTTATATATAATATATATTTTTATTTATATATTATATATAAATATATATAGAATATATATATAATATTTATTTATATATAATATATATGTATTTTAAATTATATATAATATATATTTTGATATTAACTAGGCATAAAATATGGACTGAGAATAAAGAGTAGCAATACAACAAGCATCCCTGTACCCGATGCCTGGGATGGTCCCTGAGTGGTCATTTCCACAGAGTGATCTCTCTCCTGAATAATGTTTATAATATACTCTTGCCTTTCTGATCATTTCACCATATAGATTTGAATATTAATATATTTAACTTTGTATGTTTTTAAACTTCATTTCATTTTTTTGAGACAGGATCTCACTCTGTCACCCAGGCCGAGGGCAGTGGCACGATCATGGCTCACTGCAGCCTCGACCTCCCTGAAATCAAGAGATCCTCCCACCTCATCCTCGCAAGTAGCTGGGACTACAAGTATGTGCCACCATGCCTGGCTGGTTTTTGTATTATTTTTGTAGAGATGGGTTTTCATCATGTTGTCCAGGCTGGTCTTGAACTCCTGGGCTCAAGCGATTCGCCCACCTCGGCCTCCCAACGTGTTCGAACTGCAGGTGTGAGCCACTGCTCTGGGCTGTTTTCAAACTTACATAAATGGAATTATTATATGTTTTATTCCATAGCTTTTTTTCCCTCTCAACATTATGCTCCTGAGATTCACACTATTTACTATATGTAGCTGTAATGTGCTTGCTTTCGTTCCTGGTAATATTTTGGTTTATGAACATACCGTGATTTATTTTCCATTTGCCCCTTTTATTTTTGCTAGTGCCAACAGCACTGATTGGAGTATTCTTGTGTATGTTTCCTGCTGTGAACGTGCAAGGGTAACTGTGGCTCTCTCTAGGAGTGTGACTGCTAGGTCATCGGCCATGCACACCTTTGCTGCAACAAGATGACAATGGTATTTTCCAAGGTGGGAGGACAAATTCACACTCCCTGCAGCAGTGTGTGCATGTCAGTTGCTCCACATCTTCACTAATATGAATACTTTTCAAACTAGTGTTTATTAAATTTGGAGCTAGAGAGACAGGGAGACAAGGAGACAGGGAGGGAGGAAGTTAGGAAGGGAGGAAGTGAGGAAGCAAGGAAGAAAGAAAGAGAGGAATATTTTATTCTTTCAAAGCCTGAACCCAGCACTGGCTACTCATAGTCAATAAATATGTGCTGGTTTGATGAATTTCTTACAATGTCTGCCTAGATAGCTCATTGCAGCCATGAAATGGAGTCAATCCCTTTGTGACTGAAGGGGAAAGGTGGAGGGAGACAAGAGAAGGCCATCTGACTTCCCAGAACATTTAGTAAACAACACAATTCACAATCAAAAAGGGATTATAAGTAAAATAGCATACGTACATTTAAAATGAAGTTAGACCCCCAGATCTGGAATCAGTTTCTGAGGTTGCAGAGACTTTTGCCTGTTTTGGGTCCCTGTGCCCAATCTGTTCACATCTCTAGCACTTTTCTTGCTGGGTCCAGACCTTGCCGGGGTTTAATTCCAGTTGCTGATGTATTCCTGGACCCACACCTTGCTGGAGTTGGCATAGACCTTTCCAGTCTCCTCTGTGGAGGAAGCAATGGTAAGAGAGAGAAGTGAATAAAGAAGAGACAATCCTGCAGCAGAATGCCTGTAACCTCCCCATGTTTCTCTACCCTGGGGATCTCAGAGACAGTTTATTTTCAGAGCCAGGAGCATCCCGCAAATCCCAAGACCTAGACGATGATGATGATGATGATGATGATGATGATGATGATGATGATGATGATATTATTATTTTTGAGAAGGAGTCTTGCTCTGTCGCCCAGGCTGGAGTGCAGTGGCGCTATCTCGGCTCACTGCAAGCTCTGCCTCCCGGGTTCACGCCATTCTGTCTCAGCCTCCGGGGTAGCTGGGACTACAGGCGCCCGCCACCATGTCCGGCTAATTTTTTGTATTTTTTTAGTAGAGACGGGGTTTCACCGTGTTAGCCAGGATGGTCTCGATCTCCTGACCTCGTGATCCGCCCGCCTCGGCCTCCCAAAGTGCTGGGATTACAGGCGTGAGCCACCGCGCCCAGCCCCAAGACCTAGATTTTTTAAAAAATTGTTCATGAGTTTCTTCTCGGGTTGACTTCCCTCTGCTATCCTTTCCTTTCCTCTTCTCTGCATGAAGGTGGCTCTTCCTTGGCTCCCTACAGGCTGTGGGTCCATGCAGAAAACACCACAGGGACCTATCCCTATGTCCTGCATGTCTAATGAGTTCCTGGAGGTCTGGGTGTCCCAGGTTCCCCCTCCATCTCTTGAGTCTTGGGGGCTGTGTGTCCCTCCATGTCTCTCCCCTACGAGTGGCAAGAGGGCTACACCTACATGCTGAGAGCATCCACTGCTGGTCTCTAATGCAAATTTGTGAATAACCTACTGGAAAATGTTTGAGAAGCAGCAAGAGTTTATTAATTTTATCAATCTTTCCAATGACTCATTTTGACTTTGATGATTTTCTTTTTCTTAGTCTGTTTTCTGTTTCAGTGAATAACAATCTTATTATTTTCTTTCTTCTGTTTCCTTTGGGTTCAGTTTCCTCAACTCTTCCTAGCTTCTTAAGGTGGAAGCTTCATTCTTTTATTTTACACCTTTCTTCTTTTTGAATAGAAGCATTGAACGCTACAGATTCTCTTCTAAGTGCTGCTTCAGCTTCATAATGCCGTAGTTTTTCATGTGACAGGTTTTCATCATTCAGTTATTTTCTAATTTCCCTTGTGATTTCATCTTTGTCCCACAGATTATTTAGAATTACATTCTTTATTTGCAAATATTTGGGGGGGGGTTAAATATCTTCTTGTTATTGATTTCTAATCAAATTCCATTATAGTCAGAGAATATACTCGGTATTATTTTGATTCTTGAACATTTACTGAGACTTGTTTCTTGGGCCAGCATACAGTGTGTCTTGGTGAATTTTCCATGTGTATATGAAAAAGTATGTATTTTTCACTTGTTGGATGTAATAACCTATAAATGTCGGTTAGGTCCATTTGGTTCATTGTGTTAAGATTTACATATCCTTATTGATTTCTGTTTATTTAGCAGTTACTAAGAGTTGGGTACTAAAATCTCCAGATATGATTGGGAAGTTTTTGTTTCTCCCTTTAGTTCTTTCAATATTTGCTTCATGTATTTTGAAGTTCTTATACTCATTAAGACTCATATCTTCTCGATGAGTTGATCCTTTTATTAGGAAATCTCTCTCTTCTTCTTTAGTAATATTCTTTTTCTTGAGGTATACTTCGTCTGATATTAATACAATTTTCTGATGCTTACCATTTGCATGGTGTACCTTTTTCTTTCTTTCTTTCTTTCTTTTTGTTTTTTTTTTTTTTTTTGAGACAGAATCTCGCTCTGTCCCCCAGGCTGGAGTGTAGTGGCGTGATCTCCGCTCACTGCAAGCTCCATCACCCGGGTTCACGCCATTCTCCTGCCTCAACCTCCCGAGTAGCTGGGACTACAGGTGCCCGCCACCACACCTGGCTAATTTTTTATATTTTTAGTAGAGACAGGGTTTCACCGTGTTAGCCAGGATGGTCTCGATCTCCTGACCTCATGATCCACTTGCCTCTGCCTCCCAAAATGCTGGGATTACAGGCGTGAGCCGCCATGCCTGGCCTGGTGTACATTTTCCAATCCTTTTCTTTTCAACCTTTGTGTGTCTTTAGATTTAAAATTCGTTTTTTAATAAACAAAATATAGTTGGGTCTTGCTTTTTTTGAAAACTAGTCTGGTGAGATTAATCCAGTCATGTTTAATGTAATTATTGATACGGTTGGGTTTAACTCTAACATTTTGGCATATAAGATGTATGTATATGTGTGTATATATCTTTATTGAGGTATATAATTGACACAAAATAAACTGCCTAAATTTAGAGAGTATAATTTGATAAGCTTTACCATATGTGTATACCTGTGAGACCATCTCTGCAATCAAAATAATGAACATGGCCATGACCCTAGAGAGTTTCCTCATGCCCGTTTATAATTCCTGTCTTCTACCAACTCCTCCTGAGTGAACAACTGATCTACTTTCTGTCACTGTAGATTATTTTGCATTTCCCAGAAATTTATATAAATGGGATCCCACAGTACATATTTTTTTTGATCTGGCTTCTTGTACTTAGCATGATTATTTTGAGATTTTTCTATATTTTTGCCTTTAAAATTTTACTTTATTTGTTCCTTTTCTTTTCTTATTTTTTTGTGACTCAAATATCTTTTAGTATCTCTTTTTATTTTTTGCTTGATTTTATACTACCTTATAAATAATAAGAGGCTCTTACCACAGTATTCAACAATTTTCCCCATCCCATGATTTGCACTTTTGTCTTATAAACCAAAATAACACTAATGCTATTTTTGCTGAAATGGTTGATATTATTATATAATATTATTATTTTATGTAAAGATGCTAAAATAGAATCTTTAATATTTACCTAGATATTTCCTTTTCTTAGTTCTCTTTATTACTTTTGCATGTCTTACATTCTATCTGATATTATTTCCCTTCGGACTTAAGACCTTCTTTTAACAGTATTTGTGGTCTAAAAATGTCTTTATTCTGTCTTCATTTTTTTTTTTTTTTTTGAGACAGGGTCTCCTTCTGTCACCCAGGCTAAAGTGCAGTGGCATGTTCAAGACTTATTGCAGCCTTGAACTCCTGGGCTTCTAGTCATCTCTCCACCTCAGCCTCCCAAATAGCTGGGACCACAGGCATGCACCACCATGCCCAGCTAATTTTAATTTTTTTGTAGAGACGTAGTCTCCCTAGGTTGCCCAGGCTGGTCTTAAACTCAAGCAATCCACTCACCTCAAACTCCTGAAGTATTGGGATTACAGGAGTAAGCCACTATGCCCAGCCCCTACCTTCATTTTTGAAGGCTATTTTAGTTGGACATAGAAATTCTAACTTGACTTTAAAGATGTTCTCTTGTCTCTGCTCCCATCATTTGTGGTGAAATGTCAGACATCATTTGTATTATTGTTTCCCTATATGTAATGTATCTTTTCTCTCTGGCTACTTTTAAGGTTTACTCTTTTTCTTTCCTTTTCAGCCATTGCTTATGTTGTGCCTAACTGTCATTTTATTTGATTTATCTTGCTCGAGGTTTCCAAGGTTTTGGGATCTGTAGTCTGATGTATGTCTTTTGTCAATTATGATTTCCAATATTTTTTTCTTTCCATTCTCTCACTCCTCTCTGCCTAGTATTCTAAGTACATGTATGGTACTTTATTTTATATTTTCCTATGTGTCTTGGATGTGCTCTTTTTTATTTTCAGCATGTTTTTGTGTGTGATTCACTTTAGAGTCTTTCTATTGAACCATCTTCAAGTCTACCAATTTTTTTCTCTGCCCGGTCTCGTCTGCTGTTAGCCTAGCTAATGCAACCATTTATCAGATATTATTTTGCATTTCCAGCTTTCCTTTTTTGGGTTCTTTTGAAAGATTTCAGTGTCTGCGGTGAAATTCTCATCCCTTCGTTCACATTGGCCACCTGTTCTACCAAATCTTTTATCATTTTTACCATATATATATATATATTTTAAAGTCCCCATTCGATCATTTTAACATCCAGGACATCTCTGTCTCTGCTTCTATTAGCTATTTCTTCTCCTGATCACAGGTTACATTTTCTTATTTCTTTGCATGTCTCATAATTTATTGTATTGGGCATTTTATATATAAAAACAATTAGGATTGAAGCAAATAATACACCCAAAATAGGCATACCTCTTCTTTTAGGCTGCTAGAGTAAGGGACTGATTCAGTCTAATCTGTAGTTGAGCTAAATCTGGGCTTTAGTTTGACTCAATTTGCACTGGGCTTTAAACGTTTTGAGGACAGGCTCAAGACTTTCCCTTCAGCAGGGCTTGGGACCTGAGTATTAGCAAGATTCTTAAGATCTCTTTGTGTTGCCAGATTTCTGAACCATAGGAAATTAAAAAAAATTTACTGTCTATTTGCCCATCAGGGTCACTGGTAATTTCTCTTTATAGTCCTGTTCCTAGCTTTCTGCACCTCAAGAGATTTTGCTTTGCTTTTACCACGGATTTTGGAAGGCAGCTACTTTAAATTTTTCAAAGGGCTGGAATGCCCCCAGAGGGATTTCTTTAAACTCTCCTGCACCTGACTTCAGTAGCTGAAGGCCCAAGTGTTCCAGAATGATTCCTCTTAGCTTTCCTGTCCCCTATTTTCAGTAGCCTAGAGTGCCTTGGATGGATTTATCTCAGATTTCCTGCCATGCCCTCTACCTTCAGTAGCTGAAAATTTGGTGAACCTTGAATAGACAAAACTCCTTTCTATTTTCTGTTCCCTGCCTCTGGAATGTAGTTGTTTTGAACTTAGTGGAGGCCCAACACAACTCAAGGGTTTCTCTCTCAGCTCTGTTGCCCCCAGCCCTTAGTATGCTAATGATGCTCTTGGTGGGGACTTGTAGGAAAGAGTTGGCAGATGGGTACAGTCTTGCTCTGCATTTGGGGCTCCTTGGAATTCTAATCTGTCATGTTAACTCAGACATAGCTATTGAAAGTTAAAGTTCAGTGCATCACTTTTTGGAGTTTAGTTCAATTTGCTTTACCCACCCCCCGGCCCATATCTGCAGTCCTCTGATTTTGTGTGTGTGTGTGTGTGTGTGTGTGTGTGTGTGTGTGTGTTGGGGGAGTGGCAGGGAGTCAGGTTTATTGACATATAATTTAAATACAGATATAGTTAATCATTTTTATGTATACAACTTGATGAGTTTTGACAGATGGACAGTCATGTAACCACCACTACCATCAAAATTGATAACATTCCCATCACTCCATAAAGTCCCTTTGTGTTCCTTTTGTAGTCACTTTCTCCTATCCCCAGTCCTTGGAAACCAGATCTGACTTTTGTCTCTATAGTTTTGCCTTATACATTCTATTATGTAAATGGAATAATACTGTTTGTAGCTTTTTCCCAGTCTGGACTCATTTGTTTATCATTCTGCTTTTGAGATTTATCCATACTTTTGTATGTATTAGATCATTCTCACGTTGTTATCAAGAAATATCAGACACTAGGTAATTTATAAGGAAAAGAGGTTTAATTGGCTCATGGTTCTGCAGGCTATACAGGTAGCATGAAGCTGGTATCTACTTGGCTTCTGGGGAGGCTTCAGGAAACTTACAATCATTGTGGAAGGTGAGAGGAGATCAGGCATATCACAGGGCCAGAGCAGGAGCAAGAGAGAGAGGGGGGAAGTGCTACACAGTTTTAAATGACTAGATCTCATGATAATTAACTCACTATTGTGAGGAAAGTATCAAAGAGAATAATGCTAAATCATTCATGAGAAATCTGCACCCATGATCCAACCACCTCCCACCAGGCCCCAGGTCCAACACTAGGGATCACATTTCAATATGAGATTTGGTTGAAGACACACATTCAAAACATATCATTGTATGTATCAGTAGTTGGGTCCTTTTTCTTGCTGAGTAGTACTCCATTGTATAGATGTATAGTCAGTTCTGCTATCATGCATATTTATAAAATGCAAATTATTTTCAATTTAATTTAAAAAAAAAGGCTGACTAGGAATGTTGGATGCGAGTTCTTTTCAGAAAGAAGATCGAAGTTACCTGTTAATGGTCATGATCCAAATGGAAAACTGAGGGAAGACAGCCAGGACCTGTCAGAGAACCCATGGGAAGAAGCTGGGGCACAAGAAAGGAAAGCAGCAAGAGTCTGGCAGACATTGACCTATGAGGAACTTGGGGTCCCATGGAAAAGGTCAGTGGGAATGCTTCTCTGCTCCCTTCATCCCTGCAATAAACTGCTGACCACTAAGCTGTTGGGGAGCCCCTCTGCCCTCACAACCACAGACAATTCTGTTGGTGGCAATTTGGTAACTTTCCAGGGTGAGAGAATTGGCTGGCCAGCTTGTGCTGGTGGATCTGCACTCCACTCAGGTCCTACCTGAAACAGCAGATGCCATACTTGTTGTTCACCCATTATGGGCCACTGCCCTGCCAGGGAACCTCGGCCCTTACGTTGCATTACCAGATCCCCTGCAAACATACTCCAGAACTCACTCTGAATTTGGCACCCACAGGGGATCAGTGGGTCCCTGGAGAGCTGTGAGTTCCCCTGAGATCTAGCCCTCAGTGTGGGCATCCCTAGGGGAGGATGCAGTGCAGCCTGTCAAAGCCTCCCTTGGGACAAAGGAAATGTGGAAATGGTGTTGATCACTGAAGGGGGAGGCACTGGTGGCCGAGAATAGGTGTGGAGAGGGATCATTTCCTTCTCCCTCATCCACTGTTGCAGACACAGCAGAGGCTTTCCCCACTGGAGGCTGGTGCAAGCACACGTGGAGACAGCCTTTCCAGGTGCCACTTGCAGAAGCTGCACCCCCACTGAAAATAAGCCTGTGCTACCTGGACATGCACAAAAGTCAGGGCCCATCTCCCTCTTCCTACACTGAGAAGCAGGCAATGGAGGGCAGACAAGTCACAGAGCTGGACCGGGGGAAGAGGCTTTGCCCTGAGCCCCTTTCAGTGGTAGCCACCAGAGGGGTTTTTCTGCAGAACTCAGTCACACTGCAGCCAGGAGCCAAAGGACAATGTCTGTATGAACTGAATATTGCAGGCCCTGTGGCAGGGGCATGATAGGGAAGCAGATTGTGTTCCTGCCTGCCCAGGGTGATGAGTTGGTGCTGTGACTCTCTCAACCTCACCTGTCCCTACCCCAAGACTTCAGCATATCCCAACACGAACTCCCCAACCACCCTCCATCTGGCAGGTGCCTCTCCTTATCACTTGGCTACTGAGGGTGAGTTGGCTCTTATTAAGTGCCACTTACTAGACTGGAGACTGAACTGCTCCACCAAATAAAAACCCGCTATCAGAAGGGCATAGTGCTAGTGTATGAGATAAGCTTCCTGAGACTTCCACACTCAGCCCCACAGAAGATAGTGAGTCAGCTCATACTCCCAATACATTGCTAAAACAAGCAACATTTTAGAAAAACACTGCACAAAAGCTGTCTATAACCAAGGAACCTATACAGAGCCTTGGCCCCCTGAAAGCACCAAGAAATGAAGCAAATAATCACAGCATACATGACAGTCATACCCTCAAGGGAAAAAAAAGATAAAATTCCCATCCAAATAATAGCACATTCAAAAATAAAAAGCAACAGTACTTTCAGATGAGGAGGAATCGGTTCAAGAACTCTGGTGGTAGAAACAGACAGAATGTTTTGACAGCCCCAAAGGCTCTCACTAGCTTTCTAACAATGGATCTCAACCAAAATGAGGATTCTGAAATAACAGATAAAGAATGCAAAATATGGATTGTAAGGAAGCTCAATGATATCCAAGAGAAAGTTGAAACTCAACAGAAAGAAACCAGGAAAACCATTCAGGATATGAAAGACAGCTATATTAAAACAAACAAACAGAACTTCTGGAAATGAAAAAATTTAGTAAAGGAATTTCAAAATATAGTGGAAAGCTTTAGCAATAGACTAGACCAAGAAGAAGAAAGAATTTTGGAGCTTGAAGACTGATCTTTTGAGTTAATCCAGTCAGAAAAATATAAAAGATAATTTTAAAAAAGGAACAAAGCCTTCAAGAAATATGGGATTAGGTAGAGCAACCACACCTACAACTTATAGGCATTCCTGAGTGAGAAAGAGAAAAAGTAAGCAATTTGGAAAACATACTCAAGGGAATAATTCAGGAACATTTCTCTTATTGCTAGAAAGTTAGACATCAAGATACAAGAAATTCAGAGAAAAACTGTGAGATTCTATACAAGATGAACATCAACAAGGCACATAGTCATGAGACTATCCAAATACAGTGCTAAAGAAAAACGCTTGAAGGTAGCTAGAAAGAAGGATCAAGTCACCTATAAAGGAAGTCCAATCAGACTAACAGCAGACTTCTCAGCAGAACCTTATAAACCAGAAGAGATTGGGATCTTATTTTTAGCCTTCTGTTGTCCAGGCTGGAGTGCAGTGGCATGATCTCAGCTCACTGCAAGCTCCGCCTTCTGGGTTCACACCATTCTCCTGCCTCAGCCTCCCAAGCAGCTGGGACTACAGGCGCCCACCACCATGCCCAGCTAATTTTTTTTAATTTTTTTTTTATTTTTAGTAGAGACAGGGTTTCACTGTGCTAGCCAGGATGGTCTCAATCTCCTGACCTTGTGATCCACCCGCCTCGGCCTCCCAAAGTGCTGGGATTACAGGTGTGAGCCACCGCACCCAGCCTTTTATCCTTCTTAAAGAGAAGAAAAGCCAACCAAGTATATTATATCCTGCAAAACTAAATTTCATAAACAGGGGAGAAATAAAGTCTTTTCCCTAAAGGAAAAAAAGTCAGCCAAGTATATTATATTCTGCCAAATTAAATTTCATAAACAAAGGAGAAATAAAGTTTTTTCCGGACAAACAAACACTAAGGGAATTTGTCACCACTAGACCAACTGTGCAAGAAATACTCAGAGGAGTTCTAAACATGGAGACAAAAGGATGATACTTGCTACAGTAAAAGGACACATAAGTACAAAATTCACAGATCTTATAAAGTGATTACAAAACAACTAGTTAACAATACTATTACAGGAACAAAACCTCACATGTCAATATTAATCTTGAATGTAAAAGGCCTAAAAGATATAGATTGGCAAATTGTACCCTACAAGAGACTCATTGAACATGTAAATACACCAATAGGCTCAAAGTAAAGGAGAGGAAAAAGAAACATCATGCAAATGGAAAACAAAAAAGAGCAGAGGTTGCTATTCTTATATCAGATAAAACAGACTTTAAATCAACAACAATAAAAAAGACAAAGAAGGGCATCATATAATGATAAAGGGTTCAATTCAACAAGAAGATTTAATTATCCTAGATATACACATACCCAACACTGGGTTCCCAGAGGTATAAAACAAATACTACTAGACCGAAGAAAAGAGATAGACTGTCATACAATACTGACGGGGAATTCAACACCCCACTGACAGCACTAGACAGATCATCAAGGCAAAAAACTAACAAAGAAACTCTGGACTTAAACTGAACACTTGACCAAATGGACCTATTAGACATTGAAAGAACATTCCACCCAACAACTGCAGAATATAATTTTTTTCATCTGTGCATGGAACATTCTCTAAAATTGACCATATACTTGGCTATAAAGCAAATCTCAATATATTAACAAAGTGAAATCATATCCAGTATTTTGTTGGACCACAGTGAATAAAATTAGAAATCAATACCAAGAGGAACTCTCAAAACCACGTAAGTACATGGGGCCGGGCGCGGTGGCTCAAGCCTGTAATCCCAGCACTTTGGGAGGCCGAGGCGGGTGGATCACGAGGTCAGGAGATCGAGACCATCCTGGCGAACACGGTGAAACCCTGTCTCTACTAAAAATACCAAAAAAAAAAAAAATTAGCTGGGCGTGGTTGGCCTGCAGTCCCTGCTACTCGGGAGGCTGAGGCAGGAGAATGGCGTGAACCAGGGAGGCAGAGCTTGCGGTGAGCTGAGATCGCACCACTGCACTCTAGCCTGGGCGACAGAGTGAAACTCGGTTTCAAAACAAACAAACAAACAAAAACAAACAAACAAAAAACAAAACCACATAAGTACATGGAAGCTAAACAACTTGCTCCTGAATGACTTTTGGGTAAGCAATGAAATTAAGGCAGAAATTAAAAAATTGAAGCTAATGGAAATAGAGACTGAACATACCAAAACCTCTGGGATACAGCAACAGTAGTGTTAAGAGGAAAAATTATATCATTACATGCCCACATCTAAAAGATAGAAAAAAAATCTCAGATTAACAACCTAACGTCATACTTCAAGGAACTAGGAAAACAAGAACAAGCCAAACCCAAAGCTAGAAGAAGAAAAAAATTAACAAAGATCATAGATGAACTAAATGAAATTAGTTCCAAAATAATCATACAAAGGATCAATGAAAGGAAAAGTTGGTTCTTTGAAAGTATAAACAAAAATTGATAGAACTCTAGCTAGATTAACCAAGAAAAGAAAAGATTCAAACAAACACAATCAGAAATGATAAAGGTGACATTACAATTGATACCACAGAAATACAAAAGATCACCAGAGACTACTAGGAACACCTCTGTGTTCCTAGAGAACTTAGAGGAAATGGATAAATTCCTGGAAACATACAAACTTCCCAGGTTGAACCAGGAAGAAATAGAATCCTGAATAGACCAATAAGGAGTAATGAAATTGAATCAGTAATGATTAAAAAAAATCTACCAAGAAAAACAAAGTTCAGAACCAGATGGATTCATAGCTGAATGTTACCAATTGTACAAAGGAGAGCTGGTATGAATCTTATTGAAACTATTCCAAAAAATCGAGGAGGAGAGATTCCTCCTTAATTCATTCTATGAGATCACCATCATCCTGATATCAAAATCTGGCAAAGAAATAACAAAAAAAGAAAACTATAGGCCAATATCCCTGATGAACATAGATGCAAAAATTCTCAACAAAATACTAGCAAACCAAATCCAAAAGCACATCGAAAAGATAATTCACCATAGTACAGTGGATTTTATTCCAGGGATGCAAGGATAGTTCAACATATGCAAATCAATAAATGTGATTCACCACATAAATAGAATTAAAAATAAAAACAATATGATCATCTGAATAGATTTAAAAAAGCATTAGATAAAATCCAACATCTCTTCATGATAAAATCCCTAAACAAAATAGGCATTAAAAGAACATATTTCCAAATAATAAGCACCATACATGACAAACCCACGGCCAACATTATACTAAATGGGGAAAAATTGAAAGCATTCCTCTTAAGAACTGGAACAAGACAAGGATGTCCACTCTCACCACTTCTATTCAACATAGTACTGGAAGTCCTAGCCAAAGTAATCAGGTAAGAAAAAGAAATAAAAGTCATCTGAATTAAAAAAGAGGAAGGCAAATTATTTCTGTTCAGTGATGACATGATCTTATACCTAGAAAACCCTAAAGACTCTGCCAAAATACTCCTAGACTTGATAAATGACTTCAGTAGTTTCAGATATAAAATTAATGTACAGAAATGGTTGCATTTCTATACACCAACAGTGCTTAATCGGAGAACCAAATAAAGAACTCAATCCCATTTACAATAGCCACAAAATAAAAATGTATTCCTATACCTAGGAATACATTTAACCAAGAAGGTGAAAAACCACCATAAGGAAAACAGCAAAACACTGATGAAAGAAACTGTAGATGACACAAACAAATGGAAAAGCATCCCATGCTCATGAATAGGAAGAATCAATATTATTAAACTAACTATATTGCCCAAAGCAGTCTACAAATTCAACACAATTTGTATCAAATTGCCAATGTCATTTTTCACAGAACTAGAAAAAACAGTTTTTTTCCTATGGAGCCAAATTTATATGGAGCCAAAAAGGGCTCAAATAGCCAAAGCAATCCTAAAGCAAAAAGAACAAAATCAGAGGCATCACATTGCCTGACCGCAAACTATACTACAAGTCTGTAGTAACCAAAATAGCATAATGGTACAAAAGTGGACACATAGATCTATGGAACAGACCAGAGAACCCAAAGGTAAAGCCACAGACTTAAACAATAACTGATTTTCAACAAAGTCAACAAAAATAGAAAATAGGGAAAGAACACCTTAATCAATAAATGGTGCTTGGAAAACTGGCCAGCCTCACGCAGAAGAATGAAACTGGACCCCTATCTTTCACCATATACAAAAATTATAATAATACTAAAGATGGATTAAAAACTTGAATGTAAGACATGAAACTATTAAAATCCTGGAAGAAAACCTAGGAAAAATTCTTCTGAACATTGACCTAGGCAAAGAATTCATGACTAAGACCTCAAAAGCAAATGCAACAAAAACAAAAATAGACAAATGGGACTTAATTAAACTAAAAAGCTTCTGCATAGCAAAAGAAATGATTAACAGAATAAACAGATAACCTACCAAATGAGAGATATAATTGCAAACTATGCATCCAACAAAGTACTAATATCCATAATCTATAAGGAACTCAAACAAATCAACAAAATCCCTCAGGTAGCCCTACTAAAGAGTGGACAAAGGACATGAACAGACACTACTCAAAAGAAGACATACAAGTGGCCAACAAATATACGAAAAATGCTCACATCACTAATCATCAGAGAAATGCAAATTAGAACCACCATAGGATACCACCTCACACTGTCAGAATGGCTATTATTAAAAAGTAAGAAAATAACTGATGTTGGTGAGGATGCAGAGAAAAAGAACACTTAGACACTGTTAGTGGGAAGATAAATTAGTTCAGCTTCTGTGGTAAATAGTATGGAGATTTCTCAAGGAATTGAAAATAGAACTACCATTTGCCCAGCAATCCCACTACTGGGCATCTATCCAGAGGAATCATTTTATCAAAAAGACACCTGCACTCATATGTTATTGCAGCACTATTCACAATAGCAAAGTCATGGAATCAACCTAAGTGTCCATCAATGGTTGATTGGATAAAGAAAATGTGGTACATATACACACCATGGGAAACTATGCAGCTGTAAAAAGAATGAAATCATGTCCTTCGCAGCAACATGGATAGAGAGAAAGACCATTATCCTAAGTGAAATAACTCAGAAACAGAAAATCAAATACCACATGTTCTCACTTTTAAGTGGGAGCTGAACCATGGATACATGTGGATATAAAGATTGAAATAATAGAGAGTGAGGACTCCAAAAGCAGGGAGTGTGGGAGGGGGTGAGGGCTGACAAATAACCTTTTGGGTAAAGTGTGCACTATTTGGGTGATGGGGTCACTAGAAGCCCAAACCTCACCATTATGCAATATATCCATGTAACAAACCTGCACGTGTACCCTTCCTGCATCTAAAATAAAATAAAATAACAAAAAAAGGAAATGTGAATTTGTTACAATATGACTGAGATGTTAGAAAAAAATTGAGCATAACACAAGTTTTTCCATTTGCTTACAAGTGATTTTATCCATGAAAAACACTAAGTGAATAAGCCATATAAGAATACACAAAATGGGCTGGGCACAGTGGTTCGTGCCTGTAATCCCAGAACTTTGGGAGGCCGAGGCGGGTGGATCATAAGATCATGAGTTCAAGACCAGCCTGGCCAACATGGTAAAACCCCGTCTCTACTAAAAATAGAAAAATTAGCTGGGCATTGTGGCATGCACCTGTAGTCCCAGCTACTCGGAAGGCTGAGGCAGGAGAATGGTGTGAACCCAGGAGGCAGAGCTTGCAGTGAGCTGAGATCGCACCACTGCATTCCAGCCTGGGCAACAGAGCGAGACTCTGTCTCAACAAACAAAAACAAAAACAAAAACAAAAACAAAAACAAAACAAAACAAAAAAAACAGGAATGTATGTGTCATGTTATAGAACTGACTGTACCACAATTGGTTCACCTATCAACCACTTGACAGACATCTGGGTAATATCTTGAATAAAGTTTGGGGCTATTTTGAATAAAGCTTTATAAACATTTGTGTTGGAAAGGCAGAGGAAGCACACTTAAAGGTCCCAGTGTGGGTGGAGCCTGGACCATGTCTGCATAGAGGAGGACGTGGCATTGAGCTCGCTCTTCATTTGTACCCCAAGACCCCTGGCTTCCTCTTGGATTCAGTGCCACCAAGACCTCCTCTGGATGGCCATTTTCAACTCTATAGTGAGGAGGGAATAATGGGAAAGGGAAAACGTTAATTTCATTTAGAAGCAAAATTACAGTGTTCAATACAATTAAGTATGTAATATGTTTTGTTATATTCTTATGAATTTGTTCTTAGTATATGAAGAATATTAACTCTGACATAAGTTGCGTATATCTTTAAAAATTCGGGGAAGTAGAAGTGGATTTTCTATCAAAGTTGCAAAGTTCTGGAGTAATTTGATGAGTAATTATTTTCTTTCATTTTTCAGCATTAGGCAGTTTCACTGCCCTCTCTCTCTTCCCAGAATTTTCTGTGTAATTTAACAAGATGCTGAATGGGATTTATCTTGCTGCAAAAAGCTATTTTCTTATTCTAAAAAGACCATAACATACTACCTCCAGGGATAATATTCTCTGGAGATGGCAGGACTAGCCCTAAGTTTCTCCCCATCCTTCCTATCTATAGACGTAAAGAAAAAAAAAAGAGAGAGAAAAGGGAGGGAGAGGAGAGAATCATAGCCAA
The DNA here is from genome assembly GCF_000001405.40 of Homo sapiens. Lineage (NCBI taxonomy): Eukaryota > Metazoa > Chordata > Mammalia > Primates > Hominidae > Homo > Homo sapiens. The sequence goes on from NC_000017.11 coordinate 36,055,646, forward strand.
GGGCAGGGAGTACTATAGTGCTATAGTAGTCCCAGCTACTTGGGAGAGTGAGTTGGGAGGATTGCTTGAGCCTGGGTGATTGGGGCTGCAGTGAGAGCCATGATCATAAAATGGTAATGGTATTGGATCACAGCAGAGCTGTGATCTGTGCTGCTCCCATAAAGGCAAATGAGAGAACTCCAAGGGAAAAGTCTGTAGAGATTGGAGGTGCCATCAAAGAAAGAAGGAGTGTTCTCATCATCTGGTTACATTTTACGTAGGCTACTTATTTGTTGATGTGCCTCAGTAGTACCTGGATAGGGGGAAGAAGAAGGGAGAGAGATGGCAAGCAGAGAGTCTTGGCCTGCACTCTGACCTTTGGCTTGATAAGCAGGAGAAAAGTGAAGATGTGGTAATAGATAGAGGGATTTGAGTCATTTTACTTTGCCCACCCAAGAGGATGACCTGGCTGATTGGAACCAGAATGCTCACATCATGGAACAGGAAATGTCAGGTTAAATCTGTTCTAGGTGTAATAACACGTTGAGAGGCAGAGATCTGATGGTTAAGAGCATAGGGTATGGACCCAGGTTTAAATCCCACCACTGCTAATTATAGAGTTATGGGAAATTCTGTAAACTCTCCAGACTCCTGTTTCCCCATCTGCCAATTGGGTAACAATGGTATATGCGTCATAGTGATATTTTCAGGAATAAAATGAGCCAATACACGAAAGTTCTTAACTCATATTAACTTCTCTATAAATTTAAGTCATTTTTTATTTTTTTTCTTGTTTTTTTTTTCCTACTCTGTCACTGAAGCTAGAGTGCAGTAACATGATCACAGCTTACTGCAGTCTTGACCACCTGGGCTCAAGCGATCCTCCCATCTCAGTCTCTCAAGTAGCTGGGAGTACAGGTGTCCGCCACCATGCCAAGCTAATTTTTAAATTCTTTTATTGAAATGGGATCCCACTATGTTCCCGGGCTGGTCTTGATGTCCTGGGCTCAAGTGATCCTACTATCTCAGTCTCCCAGAGGGCTGGGATTATAGGCCTGAGACACTGCGCCCAGCTTCGTTTTTCTTAAGAAAGCTTGACTTATTTTTTAAAAAAGTAAAGATGCATATGAAGGAAGGTCTTCCTTTTTGGTTCATATAAAGTGCTGATTTTATTTTAGGGAATATAAATTATAGTTTAATTTATAACATCATTACTTCAGTTTTGGCTTTCTAGGCTGCTATCTCCATTGTAAGGCCTGACAACATTACCAGGTAGCATGTCTTCTCTTTTTTCTGTTGTTTCTTACATTTCCAGTTTTCCTCAACTTCCCCCCTCATCCCACCAAACCAATATTCCTAATGTTCAAGACAGCAATCAACATAATAGCTAGAATTCCATGGCTTACTTTTAAATAAAGGAAAGTATTTTTATTATATTAGAAACATTACAACATAGTGCAAAGATCAAATATTCATTGAAAAATGCATATCCAGAAATTCTGTGGTTGATGAATTTGGTCGAATATCTAGAGAGAGGATTTAGCACAAACATTCAGCACCATCTAGAATCACTGTGTACTATGTGGTTTCTTAGAGAAAACATTCAATAAAAACAATTTAAAATTGGAAATACACAATAAAAGTGAAATAAATTAAAATTTAAGTTTGGTTTGGTTATGGGGGGACTAGACCATAAAGGAGGTAGCTTCTGGGGTTGTAAGTGCTATTCTTCTGGCTCAGCTCCCTGTTCCCCAATCTACTGATGGATTTAATTTTTTTTTCTGGGCTATTCAGATTTAGCTCTGGGTTTTGATGTATTCCTGGACTCAGCATCTCTGGGGTTGACACAGACCAGCTGACCTCTTTTAGTCTGAAAGCTATGGGGAAAGGCAGAAGATTAAGAAGAATCTAGCCAGCTGGGAAATTTCTGGACCCATTGTGGCCCCTCCATCCCTCTTTCTGACTTGTCCTCTCAGAGTCTCTCTCTTTCTCAGCAATCAGCTCCCATGCCTTAGGGTTCCAGTTTCCCAGAGTATCTCATGAGAATCTCTTCAGTCAGCACCCTCCTGCCATCATGTCCTCCCTCTCTCTTCCTCTGCCCCTGGCCAGCCTCTCCTGTCTCCCTGATGACCCTGGACTGTTCAGAAAATACCTCAGAGACTCTTCTGTGCCTGTGAGGGGCCCAGAGAGCTGGGTATTCCCAGGATGGTGTCCAATCCACCTCCTTACACCCATGGGGGCTGCTCCAGTGTCTCCCCCAGGAATGGGAAGGAGGAATGGCCCTTATACAACACTGGGCTTAGAGCACAGGCTGCAGGTTTTATAACAGTCTGCTGCAAAATCTTGAGGGATCTTCTAGGGGGTATAAGGGAAGCAGCAGGAGGCTGTGGAGTCAACACCAGCTGTAGGAGAAGGCACAGCAAGAGACTGAGTTATTGAGAAGCCATAGAAAACCAACTTCCCCTCTCCATGCCCCCTGCTCTCCCTTTAACCCAAAAAAGATCAGAAGGAACTAGAAGGAACTAGAAGGACACAGCATTTCTTAAGTTGGGGAATTCAGATGAACTGGGACACACATGTCTTTCCTACAAATTACTTTGCCTTTGTCTATATCACTCCATTTTTATTTTTATTTTTACTCTTTTAGGGATTTAGCTCACTAAAATGTCTCATCTTCCAGTTCATCTCTTTTGGGAGGGAAATTTGTCTGTCCTGTGATATCGCAATACTAAAGAGATGAAGCTGGGATATGTCACATATCACCAATAGGACAGGCCTCTACGGAATAGCTGACATGAATTTAGGCTTACATGCACCAGTGGGAAATAAATAGAGCTGCCAGTTACTCTGTGAATTGGGCCTCAATTATCTTATCAGGAAAGTGGAAATTAGCATCTCCTGCTCCCACTCTCTGAACCACTTGGTGGAATGTGATAGCCTGGACCCTTTTGAAAAAAAGACTTTTTGAAGAGAATGGCCAGGGCGATTTGAATTCCTGTTTTGAGTGCTCCATTTTCAACTCTGGTGATCTTTATTTTCAGGGCATGTTTGGTGTGGTCTCACCTGGGGCCAAAAAGGGTAACATCTGAATAAGGCAGAAGAGATGACACTCTCCCACAGTACCAAGGAGGTCTGGGAGCAGAGGACCACAATAGGGGGAGGAGAATGGTGGAGACAGTTGAAAATGCCTGTGTGATGCTGGGCAGGCAAGGGATTCTGGGCTTGAGTGTCAGCATAGTTAAGACAAGCAAGCTTGCGTATTTGAAGCTGGCACCTCCTTCTTGGGTTCAAGCCATTGCCCCTTCTCTTTATAGAGAGTTCCATTTTGTGGGAAGATAGAAACTGGGGATGATTGGAGGAAAATATTTTAATCAGAATGTTAGTGTCATGTTGGGAGTTACATAATTCAGGGGTTGCCAACACCCTTTGGTCAACACAGAAGTTCCAAGTATATGCAAGAATAGCTTACCTTCAGCCGGGCGCGGTGGCTCACGCCTGTAATCCCAGCACTTTGGGAGACCAAGGCAGGCAGATCACGAGGTCAGGAGATTTAGACCAGCCTGGCCAACATGATGAAATCCCGTCTCTACTAAAAACACAAAAATTAGCCGGGTGTGGTGGTGCGTGCCTGTAGTCCCAGCTACTCAGGAGGCTAAGGCAGGAGAATCTCTTGAATCCGGAAGATGGAGGTTGCAGTGAGCTGAGATCGCGCCACTGTACTCCAGCCTGGTGACAGAGCAAGACTCTGTCTCAAAAAAAAAAAAAAAAAAAAAAAAAAAAAAGAGAGAATAGCTCAGCTTCTCCATCGAATGGGGACACTTCTGAGAAAATTGCTTGCTCAGTCCATTCAAGTTGTTCTGAAGAAATAATTTCCTCAGTGAGTGGGTGATCGGGACTTGGTATGGCCACAGGCTCCCTCACAAAAATGGATATATCTGTGAACCATGGGCTGCCTATTTCTCTCCTGTAGAGTGGAAGGTGCTGATGCTCTTTCACAACTGCTCTAACTATACGGATGTGATATAACTGATGATGTCACAATAGCCTGTCATAAGTAACCTTCACTATCTGGATTGTAAGATCCTCTTCTAAGACGATATCCTCATTCACACGTCTGGCGCCTGGACTGGGATGTTTGAAGGACAAGCTCTGCTGGAGCTGTCAACTAGAGCCGTCAACATGCCCTTTCAAGATGGCAGCCTTGAGACTCAAAGATGAGTGTTCCTAGTAAACTAGGGTCATACTTATGGCCTTTTATGACCTAGCCACAGAAGTCACAGCATGTCTCTTCCACTACAGTCTGTCGGTGAAAACAGCCACAAGCCTGTCCAGATTCAAGGAGAGAGAACCTAGATCTCATCTATCAATGAGAGGAGTGTCACAGAAATATGGCCGTCTTTAAAAACCACTACAACATTATTTTATCTGTAAATATTTATTTTAGTTTCTATTGCTTCTGTAACAAATTACCACAAATGTAGAGGCTTAAAACCACTTGAATTATTCTCTTACAGTTCTGGAGGTCAAAAGTCTGAAATGGGCCTCACTAGGCTAAAACCAAGCTGTTAGTGGGGTGGCAATTGTTTTTGGAGGCTGTAGGAGAGATTCCAATTTCTTGCCTTTATTGGCTTCTAGAGGCTGCCCACATGGATTGGCTATAGTGGGCAATGGATGGTCCAGTTCTTCTCACATTGTGTCAGTCTGATACTGACACTCCCTTATAAGGATCCTTGTGATTATGCTGGGCTTACTCAGATACTCCAGGATATTCTCCCTATCTCAAAGTCAGGATTAGCAACCTTAATTCCTTCTGGCTGTGTACAGGTCTCAGGGATTAGGATGTGGATATTCTTTTGGGGGAAATGTTATTCTGACTACCACAATATTTCAGTATGTATCTTTAAAATAAGGATTTTAAAACCCGACACAATCAAAATACCATTACTTATTTGCCATCTGTGTATTCTCCTCAGTCTATTCATGTTTTTTGTCCATTTTCTAACTGGATGGTACATTTGCTTACTTTCGAGTTTTGAGAATTATTTATATATTCTGAATACAAGTCCTTTGTCAATTAAGTGGTTTGCAATTACTTTTTCCCAGTCTGTAGTTTGTCTTTTCATTCTCTTGACAAGGGCTTTTTGAAGAGCAAGATTTTAAAATTTTGATGAAATCTAATTTGTTGCTTTTTTCTTTTATGGATTATGCATGCTTTTGGTATCAAATGTGAATTTTTTTTTACCTAGTCCTAGGTCCTAAAATTATTTTTTCTATTTATTTTATTGTTATTTTACTTTATTTTTTAAGACAGAGTCTGGTTTTCTCACCCAGGCTGGAGTGCCCTGGCGCAATCTTAGCTCATAGCAACCTCCACCTCCTGGGCTCAATTCTTATTTTTTTCTAAATGTCATGTCTTACATAACACACATGTCCCAGTTTATTTGACTTCCCCAACTTTAATGGGAGTTTGAATCACCCTGATCATGAAGTCTATGATCCATTTTGAGTAATTTTTGTGGAAGGTGTGAAGTTTACGTTGAGATTTGTTTTTTGGTCTTTGATGTCCAATTGTTCAGGTACTATTTGTTAAAAAGGCTGTCTTTCCATTATTTTTTCCATAAATGTTTGGTAGAACTTGCTTATGAAACCAGCTAGGTATGAAGATGTTTTCTAACCATGGTTTTTAATTATTGATTTAATTCCTTAGTGGAAATGAAACCATTCATATTTTCCATATCTTCTGGTAACACATTCTTGTGTCAATAAATTATATTCCTAATAAGGGAGAAAAGGGACTATACTCTAAAGCACTAGCAGAATTTAGCAAGCATGTGTCAGCCTGAGCAGGGGAAGTAGACTTGGGTTTGGATTTTGAGGTGCTTGATAAAAGGAGTTGGAATATAAGCCTCGATAAGAGACAACTTACTGACTTGGGAGTATTCTTTCCGGATATAGGCTGTAACCTCTTGAGAAGGACCCCAGGGGTTGGTACAGATTTGTTGTCAGAAAGGCTCCAGAAGCCTGAGAAAGCAATGGCTCATGCCGAGTGAAGTTAAAATACCCGAATTGCCATGACAGATGGAGAAGGAAGGGATTAAAAGAGTCATGGAAGTGGTCATGCTGGAGTGGATACATTACATGAGGCCAGAAGACTCACCAGATTATGTTCCATGGGAATGCACTATTCACCAAAGCCACCAGGACTCCCTGGTGAGAGGAGCACCAGCATTTCTAAGAAGTTAGTGGTCCCGCCTTCTTTATAGGCTAGGGCTGATGGTAAGAGTGGCTGTCACAAAACTTGGCCCATTGATAGCTCTTCCTCCTTGAAGCAGTGGGGCCCTCTCTCCTTGAAGCAGTGGAGCTTTCTTGCCTTGAAACAGTGGAGGCTAGGTAGCAGCATTTAACAAACAGAAGCCAAGGGGTTCTAAATATCGTTATAGCCAGCAAGGTTGGAGTGACAATCAAGGGGTCTTGACCCATGGAGAGTTGTGGCAATGGTTAATAGAACAAGCATCTCTAGAGGGAAGGTGAAGTGGAAATCTCTGAAACTGCCCCCTTCTCCCAGGAAAAAAGAGTAGATTAGAAACAATATTGCAATCTAGTGGAGGGGATGGTGGAGACTAATGCCACCCTTAAGGATACAAAAAATGCAAGGAAAATGGTTATTATCATATCTATTTAATTTGCAAGTCTGGCTTCTGCAGAAACTGGATGGATCCTAGAGAATGACTGTAGAACACTGTGAGCTCAACCAGGTAGTAACCTGATTGCAGCTTCTATAACCAGGTACTGACACATGCCAGGTATTAAGTACATGTTATGTACCTATTGATTTGGCAAATGCATTCTGTCCCATAACAAGTAGGAAAGAGGATAAGAAAAAGTTCCCATTCATAAGAATGGAAAATATTCACTTACAGTTTTCCTGTAGACTATTAACTCTCATCTTCTGCATACTGTAGTCTGAAGAGATCTGAATTTTCATGTATCTCTCAAAACAACACATTGATCCATTACATTGGTGACATCATGTTGATAGGGCATGATAGACAAGAAGTGGCCATATGTTGGACACTCTGTAAGACATATGTATTCCAGCTGGGTGCGGTGGCTCATGCCTGTAATTCCAGCACTTTGGGAGGCTGAGGCGGGTGGATCACCTGAGGTCGGGAGTTCAAGACCAGCCTGACCAACATGGAGAAACCCCATCTCTACTAAAAATACAAAATTAGCCAGGCATGGTGGCACATGCCTGTAATCCCAGCTACACAGGAGGCTGAGGCAGGAGAATCGCTTAAACCCAGGAGGTGGAGGTTGCGGTGAGCCGAGATTGCGCCATTGCACTCCAACCTAGATGACAAGAGCGAAACTCCATCTCAAAAACAAAAAGAAAGAAAGAAAGAAAAATACAAAGAAAAAAACGTATGTATTCCATGAGGTGGGAGATAAATCTTTTAACTATTTATGGACTTGTCATTTCAGGAAAGGTTTTATGAGTCCAGTTGTCAGGGGCATACAGGGATATCTCCTTCAAAGTGAAAAACAAATTAACATAATGTATTAGCACAAGGATAGGAAAATAAACCATTGGAACAGAACAGAAATTCCAAAAGCAGACCACAAAATCATTGAAATCAATAAACCGAGTAAAGCAGATTGCCCTCTCTAATGTGGTGGGCTTCATTCAATTAGTTGAAGTTCTGAATACAACAAAAAGCCTGACCCTCCTGCCTGTAAGAGGGAATTCCTCTTGCCTGATTGCCTTCACACTGGGACATAGGTTTTTCTCCTGCCTTTGAACTTAAACTGAAACATCATCTCTTCCTGGGCCTTAAGCCTGCCCATTCTCAGGTCTTTGAACTCAAACTGGGACTACACTAGCAGCTCTCCTGGGTCTCCAGCTTGCCAGCTCACCCTGCAGATCTTGGAACTTGTCAGCCTTCATAATTAAATGAGCCAATTCTCTAATTTCTTATTTTTTATACACACACCATTGGTTCTGTGTCTCTGGGGAATCCTGACTTATACAATGGTCTTACCAATGAGTTGCCAAGGTCCATTGGGTATTCATGTGGCAAAAAATAAATCTTGAATCCTTCTTCACACCAAACATAAAAATCAACTCCAGATGGATTGTAATTTAAATATTAATGCTAAAACAATAAAGCTTCTACAAGTTAACATAGGAGGATATCTTTATTGCCTTAGGATAGGGGAAGATTTCTCATTAGATCACGAAAGGCCTAACTGTATATAAAAGATTGAAGCATGTGACTCTCTTAAAAGGAAAAACAATTGTGAAAATCCATTAAAGCATTCTGCTCTATCAAAGGAGGCTGTGACCACTCATTTCTGAGAAATATCTGTCATGTGAAAACATAATCACATGATTATGCATAATCCTAAGCATAATCCCTGGGTGCTTCCAACTCCTGGTCACCCATCTGGAGATACAACTTCTCCATAAGCCCCTCAATCAACAAGTGAACCACTCGTTTGTGTACCCTAAACCTTTCAAGTAACCATAGGCAACCCTGGGCTGAGAACTCACATGACACCACCATAGTTAAAATGTCTTGCATCAGCACCTCCAATGTTCCCATGGTCCAGTCTGCCTATAAAAAGGAGAGACAACAGCTCATACCCCAGAAGGAGGCCAGGAGTTGTGAGTTTCCAAGCCCCAGCTCACTCTGACCACTTCTCTGCCTGCCCAGCATCATGAAGGGCCTTGCAGCTGCCCTCCTTGTCCTCGTCTGCACCATGGCCCTCTGCTCCTGTGCACAAGGTGAGTCTGTCATCCATGTGCTTTGATGGCTCCCTGGGCAGAAGTCAGGCGACATCTTCCAAGTGCTGTGGCCTGAAAACCCTCGTGTGAAATTAGGGATCCTCAAATGGGGTTTCAAAGTGACATCATTGTTTTCTTCAAGAAGGTTGAAAAGCAGTCTATTGATCTGGGCAGCAGGATGGGAGTCAGAGAAGTTTTATCCTACTGAGATAAATGAGATGGTTGAAGTCTAATTCATTGGGTTATTAGCGTGAGGTAGAATCTAGGTCTATTTAGTTCTCACTGGTGCTGGTAAGTTTTACAATGACCTCAGCAGTCTCCTAGAGTTCAACCCCTTGGGTAACATAAAAGATGTCTATACTTTTCTCAGCTATCTTGTGATTTAATCTATTAGAAAAAAAATTCCCCAAGGAGAGTTAGGAGAAGGGCATAGACTATTCAGGGAGCTTGATTCCCTGTAGCGTAAAATAAAGACTAAAATGGAGAGACAAGACTAGGGAAATTAAGGAGAAACAAACAAAAAGCCAGATTATTTCCAGCTTTCTTTTCCTGCAGGCCTCAACTCTGAGCTATGCTGTCTCCCTTTGCTCCTTTGTGACCCGCCTGGGCTTCTTCTCCTGAGCAACTCCTGTTGTCTTTGTTCCCTCAGATAAGATTCACACCCCATGCATCTGCTGCTTCTCCTACACCTCCCAGTAGATGCACTGCAAATTTTCGGTTGCCTATTATAAAACCAGTGGTGAGCGGTCTTAAAATTAAAATCCTATGATATATTTTAATTACTTTATACAGTCAATATTCATTTAGTTTTCATCACATATTTGCTCTTCCTGTCCTCTTAAATTCTTCTGCATCTCTGAGCTCCATCTGCAATCACTTTTCTTCTGCCTAAAGGAATCCTCTTAGTATTTTCATTACTGTGGGTCTTCTGATAGTGAAGTCTCCATTTTTTGCTTGCTTGGAAATGTCTTCATTTTACCTTCATTTTACCTTCACACTGGATATGAAAGTCCATAGTAGCTCCCACCTCCTACTTGTGCTTACGTGCTCCTTGTCCCTTGTCCCATGGGTTGTCTCCTCCATATGCCCTATTTGCAGACAGAAGGACTGATGCTGACATTACGCCAGGGTAAGAGCACCAGCTGCTGGAGTCAGCAAATTTGCAGTGGATATGGAGAAACATAAGAGAGGCAGGAGACAATGGGGTGCCTTAACCGTGAGGGAACCAGCATCCAGAACCTGAGAAAAACCAAGTAAATTTCTTCCACTCTTGAAAAGGGACCAGCAAGAAGTTGATGAAGACCTCACTGCTCAGGACTGTGAAGTAGGGCACAAAAGGAACTAAGGAAGTCAGGCATTCATCCTTGACTTTGAGTGTTTCTTTTAAATCTCTGCCTCTGTCTTACTCTCACTCCCTTGCTCCCTCTTCAGGGAGTATAGCTCTTGGAATGGCTGGCCTTTGTTCCATCTCTTTTGGGTAGGAACTTCATTCAGTCTACAGAGACTTTTCCCAGCAAGAGACCATCGTCTCTAAATCGCTGTAGGAGTAGAGCTTCTCAGGAGAACTGAAGGAACTCTGCCACTTCCTCACCCTAGGAACCAACTAGACCCAGAGTTTGCATCTTGTGAATGACTGAGTTAGGCCCCAGTTTTCCCAACTAACAATGGGTCCTAGCCCTCTCCTGCCTTTCAGATCTAGGTTAGATATCTAAGTCCTCAGAAAATAGCCCAGAACATTTTGAAACCTTTTGTGAAGTTCTTTGATTTTACTTAGAGAATCTTAATCCACAAGAATTAAGTGATATGGCTTAAATGTCTGTCCAGAGCATAGGGAAACAACTCTAAAATGAAGAAAGGACAAGGGTCAAGAGAGTCTCACGGGACAGATGAGACTTGTGAGCTGAGGGCCATGGAGAGGAGATGGAGGGCACCAAAGAAGACCTGTTCAGTGTTGGGCAGGCAGAGGAGTGTAGGCAATGCCAAAACAGGACTGGGCACTCACTGCCACCTACATCGTTCTGGGGTCCAAGCCATGTCCTCAACCCTTTACAGGCAACTCTAAACCATGAGGAGCTGGAGACTGGGGATGACCAGAGGGGAAGATGTTAAGTGCATGGTGTCTTGCTCTGAGTTGTACATGTTGGGGTACCTTGGGTCCCCCAGGGGTTCAGGATGTACAAGAGCAACTCAACTGCTCACTTGTTGGGGCTGAATGTGCAGAAATGTTTTTGACAGTGAGAGAGGGTGAGATGTTAGTGTTGAAGTCATACGTACAAGGAGAGATCTTCAGATTAACACTTCCACCACAGAGCAGCTCTCTAATGCTGTGCTGCAGCTCCTCTGACCACATGGTGTGATGTAAATGGTCATGCCACAGCGTTCTGGGCAGCACAAGTCACATTTAAACCACACCCTGGGTGAAAAGGACCATTACATCGTGTTAATCGGAGTGCTTCTAAGAAATGCTTAACTCATGAGGAGGACGTCAAGAATTGGTGTTACCAAGAAGCCAAGCTTAGCTGGTACCTTCTATCAAGAACAGATCTATTTGTGAATGGCACCATGGTCATTTCCTCCTATGGAACAGATATTTCTAGTGTTGTGTTTCCATTGCACAGAAGTGACATGTAAGATGATACCCCAGAATCTTAAGTAGTTCGAGTTGTGTTTGATCCAGACCCAAATGGACAGAATGGAATAGGGAAAGTCTGGACTATGGGAATGACAAGAATGATGGGGCCAGGCTTTTAACTGCTGTTTGATTCATTGAACATTCATAGCTCCCTACAATATGCCATCATTGGGTTTGACTCTGGGTAATAGACATGAATATGCATGACATATGGGGTGTCTATATAGATCAGGAGCCTTAGATGCCCTTATTTTTTCACCCAGGAAGCCCACAGCTAGGAAAATATCCTACAGAAATAACCTCACTTATGGAGAAAGTTTTTTGCATACAGATGTTTGGCACAACTTATAACAATGAAAAATTGGCCAGGTGCAGTGGCTTACACCTGTAATCCTAGCACTTTGGGAGGCCGAGGCAAGCAGATCACCTGAGGTCAGGAGTTCGAGACCAGCCTGGCCAACATGGTGAAACCTCATCTTCACTAAAAATACAAAAATTAGCTGGGCATAGTGGTGCACGCCTGTAGTTCCAGCTACTCAGGAGGCTGAGGTAGGAGAATCGCTTGAACCTGGGAAGTGGGGGTTGCATTGACCTGGGATCACACCACTGTACTCCATCCTGGGCAACAGAGTGAGACTCCATCTAAAAAAAAAGGAAAAATTGAAACCAACCCACATATGTTACAGTAGTGCATGACAATATTAATGCACTAGGCTTAAGTAAATTAGGCAGTTCTTAAAAATACTGGAATGATTTGGAAAAGTCTTTTAATATTAAGCACAGTCATATGCTGCATAACAATGCTTTGGTCAATGACAAACTGCATATATTATACAGTGGTGGTCCCATAAGATTATAATTCTGTATTTGTACTATACCTTTTCTATGTTTAGATATGTTTAGATATGCAAATACTTAACATTGCATTGCAGTTGCCTACAGTATTCAGTACAGTGGCATGCTGTACAACTTTGTAGCCTAGGAGCTACAGGCTGTACCATACAGTGAAGGTGTACGGTAGACTACACCATCTAGGTTTGTGTAAGTCTATGATATTCCCACAATAACAAAACAGACTAATGACAAGTTCCTCAGATGTATTTTTGTCATTAAGTGATGCATGGCTGTATAAATAAAAAAATACAAAATTAAAACCTGTATCATGACAACAGTAATGTCTTCCCCCACCAGACACAGTAAGAAGAAGGAAAAAAGCAAATGAGCAAACAGTACTATCATAAGCCTAGAAAAAAACTGCACTGGAAAGAAATATACCAAACTGTTTTTTAAAAAAAAAAAGTGGCTAGGTTTGGGTACTAGAATTTTTCCTACCTTCAATGAAATTTTTTTTTCAGGTTTTGCATCAGAATGCACATATGCCACAATAGGGAATGTAGAAAAAAACTCTCACATTCCTGCCTCCGTTTGCCTGCTGCCTACCCAGCTTTGAGATTCTAAATGAGTTTTTATTCTTTTCTGTATTTTATGTGTTTTCAAAATTAGCTTTACTGCTTTTTGGTGTAATCTATAGTTCACATAACAAATCATATAAAAAGCTATTTGAACTAAAAACACTAGTAACATTGCTCTTCCTGTACTCCTATGAGACTCCCTCGTATGCTTGTGGATGAGACATTATGAGGATGTGATGACTGAGAAAGCAGCGGCCATTTTGGGACCACGAGGTGACAAGCTCAAATAAGAAAAGCCAACAAAATGGTGGGGGAAGGGGAGATGTTTTAAGAAGCCTGAGTTCTTGATGACACAACTGAGCTGTTAAACAAACTCAGGGAGGACCACCTGTTTAAATTTATTTATTTACCTAATTATTTATTTGAGACAAAGTCTTACTCTGTTGCCCAGGCTGGAGTGCAGTGGCATGATCAGAGCTCACTGTAGGCTTGACTTTCCGGGCTGAAGCAATCCTCCTGCCTCAGCGTCCAAAGAAGCTGAAACTACAGGCATGCCCAGCTACTTTAAAAAAAAAAAAATTTATAGAGACAGGGTCTCACTATGTTGCTCAGGTTGGTCTCACACTCTTGGCTTCAAGCAATCCTCCCACCTTGGCCTCTCCAAATGCTGGGATTACAGGCATGAGCCACCATGCCTGGCTCTGATGTCCATGGTACATCTATGCTGTTGGAACAGCTGGGGAGGCTATCAGAAGGTTCTGCTCAATGGGAGAAAGGCTTTATCTAAAGACCTGCCCTTGTGAGAAGGCACCAGCTAACCCAGTCTCAGGGTGACACCAGCATCTCACCTCCTTTCACTGTGGAAACCATTTCCCCACCAAGGGATCAACTGAAGCATTCTTGCAAATAGCCTGAATCTTTGTGGTGAGCTGAAGCTCTCCTGGTTTGTGCAATGCACAGCATGACACCAGTATCATGATTAAAAAATTTTCCCCTTCAGAGAGGATCAGGAAAAACTAATGGGTACTAGGCTTAATATCTGGGTGATGAAATAATCTGTATAACAAACTCCCATGACATGAGTTTACCTATGTAACAAGTCTGCACATGTACCCCGAACTTAAAAGTTTAAAAAATGAAAAAAGAAACAAAATTCCTCCTCAGTCTCCCCAAGTTTATATCTTCTAATACCCCAAGGCTGCCTGTAAAGAGAAGAGATGGCTGAGACCCCAGAAGGAGGCAGCGGCTACAAGTCCTGAGTTCAGCTCTTCCCGGCAGCCATGGGAGCTCACACTCTGCCCAGCATCCTGGGGACCCCTGCAGTTGCCCTTGCTGTCCTTTTCTTCACTGAGGCCCTCTGCCCCCAGGCCCGCTGTCCCTTGTGTGAATTTGTCTTTTGCTCTTGTGCCCCTACTGTCTGGCCATGGCTTGGACCCCACTGCCCGAGTCTATCTCTAAGACCTCCAAATACAGAACATCAGAGGGATTTCAGGGACTATTTCCCGAGGAGGATTTTTCTTCCTAAGAGGTTTCAGCAACTCTGTTCTCCACCTCTGGGAGACAGAGGGAGAGTGAGTCCCATTCTATGGATGAGAAAATGGAGGCCCACGGGGATTTTGACAAGAGGTAGGATCTGGGTCCAATTGGTTCTCAGTGGTGTGGCCTTGGCTGTCCTTATGAATTCAGATGGAACTCCCCAAGGAGAGATGGGATGGGAAATAGTTTGCTCAGAAAACTAAATTTCCAGTAAAGAGACATAGAGACCCAGAACCAAGACAGCCAGAGAATGAGAAACACCAAGAGAAAGATGCAGAAATTAAAATGTCAGGGAAAAGAAGAAATGCCAGCTTCCTTCTGGATCTCTTTGTCCCTATATCCCCACCCCAAGCGGTGATATCTCCCAGTTCTTCCTGACTCTCAAGGAAAGGGACCAGGAGCAGCTGGCTTGCCTTGTGAACAATGACTTGGGATCTTTCTGTCCTGTCTCTTGCAGTTGGTACCAACAAAGAGCTCTGCTGCCTCGTCTATACCTCCTGGCAGATTCCACAAAAGTTCATAGTTGACTATTCTGAAACCAGCCCCCAGTGCCCCAAGCCAGGTGTCATGTAAGTGCCAGTGCTCCTGCCCACCCCTCGGGAGGGAGGATGGGAGGTTTGGGGTGAGGTCCCCTCAGAGTACTCAGCTCTCTAAGGCCCATCAAGGTAAAGGACTCCAGGGGAGGCCCCTGCAGTGTTTTGTGACCTGGCCTGGGGCCTGCAGAGTCCTGAAGGGCCTGCCCCTGGGCAGAGGGAAGAGAGCAGACATGACAACAGGAAGTTTGCTTCCTGAGGAACCCCATCTGAGACATTTGGGGAAGGCCTGTGAACCCCGAAGTTAAGGGGAAATTTTACGGGCACGAGGACAGGCCCTGAGATGCCTGGGACAGAGAAGGACGCAGGGGCCACAGGATTCCCCTGATGAATTCGTCAGTTCTTAACTCTTCCTCCCTTCTCCACAGCCTCCTAACCAAGAGAGGCCGGCAGATCTGTGCTGACCCCAATAAGAAGTGGGTCCAGAAATACATCAGCGACCTGAAGCTGAATGCCTGAGGGGCCTGGAAGCTGCGAGGGCCCAGTGAACTTGGTGGGCCCAGGAGGGAACAGGAGCCTGAGCCAGGGCAATGGCCCTGCCACCCTGGAGGCTACCTCTTCTAAGAGTCCCATCTGCTATGCCCAGCCACATTAACTAACTTTAATCTTAGTTTATGCATCATATTTCATTTTGAAATTGATTTCTATTGTTGAGCTGCATTATGAAATTAGTATTTTCTCTGACATCTCATGACATTGTCTTTATCATCCTTTCCCCTTTCCCTTCAACTCTTCGTACATTCAATGCATGGATCAATCAGTGTGATTAGCTTTCTCAGCAGACATTGTGCCATATGTATCAAATGACAAATCTTTATTGAATGGTTTTGCTCAGCACCACCTTTTAATATATTGGCAGTACTTATTATATAAAAGGTAAACCAGCATTCTCACTGTGACGACTCTGTTGATTTTGTTTCACTAATCGGAATCACAGACTGAGAGGAATTCTGGGGGAGGAGTAGGGAAATATGAAAAGGGGCAGAAACAGCAAGATAGGGACCAAGTACTTCTACAGTCATACCAGACATTTCCCTGGAGATACTTTCCTGAAAAGTTGAAACAGACACCATTAGTTTATAAACCATATTGTAACTGAAATGTGATAGAAAAATTTTCTACTTAAATGAATATCAAGATGACGCTGCAATGCATATTTACGCACACAAGCTCATTTTCATAAATGAAGCTTTCCTCAGAATGATGGCTAACATCTGTTGAGGTCTTACCAAGTGCTGGGTTTTGGGCTAAGTACTTATATTAGTAAAAGTCTAGCAAATACTGCCCATAGTCTAGCAAGGACTCCTTACCTGGAAGTTGCTGAAAGCCTTGGTAATGTTATCTTTGTTCTCCACTCTGCTTTTGGGGAGGATGTTTTCCATGACTATACGAGATGAGGCTTGGGGCTGGGTGGCCAGAGTTAGCAAATAAAAATACAGAATGGATACTATTTTAGTGTAAGTATATCCCATGCAATATTTGGGACCTACTTGTACCAAAAATGATTTGTTCTTTTTCTGAAACTCGAATTTAACAGGGTATCCTAAATTGTATCTGGCAACCCTCTGAAGAAGGAATACTGCTTATAGAGGTGTCTGTTTCCTGTTGGAGATGTCTGTTGATTTTGGCTTAAGTGTAGAACAGGGCTTTGGCTTAAGTGTAGAACAGGGCTTTGGCTTAAGTGTGGAACACGGCTTCTCAACCTTGAATTCACATTAGAATCACTTAGGAGAGCTTTTAAAAATTCTAATGCCAGGTCCTCACCTCCAAAGTTATGAATTTAATTGGATTGATGTGGGGGCCTGGCATCAGTAATTTAAAAACTCCCCAGGGGATGTTAATGCACAGCCAAGTTTGAGAACCACTGTTGGTGTGGGGTCACAGGCTGTTTTTAACCAGCATTAAGGTTTCAGAGGCACTGCAACTCCGTTCTAATTTTTGAAGGCATCTGATCTAGTTATTTTTGGTTCATTCCATTGGATGGTTAATCATAAGCAGAAAATCTATCAGATACAGTTATTTCTAGAACTGGGTTTTTAACACGTCTCTTCCAGCACAGCACTGGGAGCTCTGTGGTCATCCCTTCCGCCGCCCACCGGCTCCCCCATTGTATTGACTCCACATTGCCCCCTGCTGGTGAAACAAGTGCGAAGGTCAGCGTCTTTAGCTCCCTGCCTCTGATGAATACAGCTGCACCTTCACAAAGAGCACAGCTGTTCATTGTGATGGTTAATGTTACGCGTCAACTGGACTAAGCTAAGGGATACCCAGGTAGCTGATAAACATCATTTCTGAGTGTGTCTGTGTGGTGTTCCAGAAGAGATTAGCATCAGAAGACTAAAGAAGATCTGCCCTCACCAATGCAGGCAGGCATCATCCAATTCACTGAGGTCCCAAATAGAACAAAAAGGCTGAGGAAGGGTGACTTTGCTGTCTGCGTTTGAGCTGGGACATCCATCTTCTCCTGCCCTCTGACATCCACGCTTCCGATTCTTGAGCCTTCAGACTCAGACAGGGACTTGTACCATCACCTACCCTTCTTGACCCCTTCTCAGGTCTGTGAACTTGGACCAGGACTGACAACTTTGGCTGCCCTGGTTCTCAGGCCTTCAGACCAAATCACACCACTGGCTTTCCTGGTTCTCCAGCTTGCAGATGGCAGGACTTCTTGGCTTCCGTAATTGTGGGAGCCAATTCCCCTAATAAATATCTCGGTATTTATATCTATATCAACATTGGTATCCAATCTATATCTATAGAGAGAAATAGCCTACTGTTTCTGTTTTTCTGGATAACTGACTAATACATTCATTTTATCATCAAGATAAATATTTACAATGTGGGATCTGAGAAGGAGGTGGATTTGGCTGCTTCGGGACCTGCTTTCCTGTCCTGCCTAATCTCTCACCTCCTCATTTTTGCTTATATTAACATTAGCTTGGACTGGAAAATTCTGCTCTTCTAGTCCTGCAAGCTCCAGATCACAGGATTCTTAATTAGCTTGGTTTTCAGGCAGCAAGCAGAAAGTACATTTCTTTAAAAAACTACTTTTTTTCCCCTTCTCTGCTATCAGAAGAATCAGTTTCAAAGTAAGTTAATTTCTTTCTTAGTGGGCCTTACTAAGACTGATGCAAGAAATAGTCTCCAATACCCTGAATTTTCGTTTTTGATAAAACTTTGGCTCGAAGATGGACTTAGAATATATAACAGGCCATGGGGGTAACCGGCAATTTTGGTAACTAGAGGTATCCCCACTGACTTTGACCTTAGCTACTGCCTTCAGCCAGTTCCACGTTTGGGGACCCATACTTACAACATTGCAGTCTATGTTAGTTAGGGATGGTTTAAGTCACAGTGTCAGAAAAATAACTCAATCTGGCTTAAATGATAAAGGGAACTTATTAGTTCACATAACTGAAGCTTCAAGAAATAGAATTAGTTTCAGGCAAAACTTGATTCAGTGGTCCTTGTTTCGCTATGGACTATACATGTCTTTCTGAATTTCTGATCTCCCTGCATTTGAGAGCTTCATCCTAGAAAGAAGTTACTATATTCATCCTAGTTACTCTATTGGCAGAATAGCTTCCAGAAACTTCCAGAGCAAATTGGGAAGACAATGTCTGTATCCTCGTATTTTGAGCCAAGAGCCTGAGTTCCACTTTTATTGGTCTGGCTGGCTTGGATTAAGAGCCCATCTCTTAACCCAGGGGCCAGCAAACTATGGCCATTGGGCCCAATTTGACCTACTACCTGTTTTTGTATGGCCTGCGAGCTAAGATGTTTTTACATTTTAAGTCATTGAAAACATCCAAAAGAAGATTATTTTGAGAAATATGAAAATTGTATGAAATTGGAGTTTTAGTGTCCATAAAAAAGTTTTATTGGAATGCAGTTGGGTTTATTTGTTTCTGTATTGTTTACAGCCCACAGTCTAGCAAGGACTCCTTACCTGGAATGAATCATATTTTCATACGACAAAGCAGAGCTGAGTAGTTGTGAAAGACACTGTATGACCCACAAAACCTGAAGTAGTTTCCATTTGGTCCTTTACAGAGCAAGTTTGCCAACCTGTATCTTAATTCATCTTTGTGGCCAGAGAAGTGGATTTACTGATTTGTTTCAGCTGATCAATGTCTATAACAAGCAATGTTGATGGGCTGAAAACCACACAGACTACCAGAGGGGTTGCTTTTCCGAAGAATCATGTAAGGATAAAAGAGAAAGAAAGAGAGAAAGACCTTGGAACCCAACTAGTATCTACCAAATGTATGTAACTTTCTCATATTAATTCTGTCTTTATATGTGAAGATGACCAATCCCCTGCCTGTGATTACATCACATCAAGCATGTTCTTCCCAAATTGGGGGTTCAATTCAGACTCTCCTGTTATATGCCAGTTGTCTTAGGGATTTTCTCACTTTATTCAACACTATACTCAATTTTTACATTAATAATGCAGTAATAATATACCCCTTTGCCATTCTGTATTTTCCTGTATAATAATAATTATTATTGTTATTATTATTATTTTTTGAGACAGTTTTTGTTCTTGTCGCCCAGGCTGGAGTGCAATGGCATGATCGCAGCTCACTGCCACCTCTGCCTCCTGGGTTCAAGTGATTCTTGTGCCTCAGCCTCCTGAGTAGCTGGGATTACAGGCACGCACCACCACGCCCAGCTAATTTTTGTATTTTTAGTAGAGATGGGGTTTCACCATGTTGGCCAGGCTGGTCTCGAACTCCTGATCTCAGGTGATCTGCCCGCCTTGGCCTCCCAAAGTGCTGGGATTACAGGCGTGAGCCACTGTGCCTGGTCTTTCCTGAATTATTTTACCGGTTTTGTAAAAAGATTTTGATCGGGATATACCCTGTTGCCCCACAAATGATGGCTAGTTCCCAAATCTGAGACTAAGTTTTCATTATAGACTTTATATTCTAAACTAAGTCACTAACAACTGGGGCCAGACAATCCTTCCAGGGCATTGTAGACATAGGAAAAGGAAAGAAAGTGGCCAGCCTAGTGGGTTCCACCTTTGTGAAGGAGAGGTCTTTACTTCTAACTGCTCTTGAAGCCCAGTGAAGGGGTCTCCAGAGGGTAACTTGTACAAACTGGAAGTACCTGCAAACAAGGCAACTCATTTTCCAGTTGGATGTCAGCTTACATGGTGAACCTCATGATTTGCCTGAGCCAAAATGAGCAGGGGAGAAGAAAACAGAAGATAGGAACCAAAGCAGGGAAAAGGATTGCTGGAGGCTGCTCTCCCACCACATGGAATGAGCTTTCCATTGGCCGAGTGATCCTGTGGAAGGGAGCTGGGCTCGAGCCATCCTCCCAGTGACACTCCGCAAAGGTTGGGGGAATCACATGTCCCATTTTGTCTGGGAAATGACCCAGTTTATGCCAGTTGTGCCAGCATAGTTATTAATAGTAACCCCTTTGAGTCTTAAAGTGCTCATCCTACCAATAGGAGATCCACTGCTTAGCTTACAAGGATCTTAACAGCAGTAGCTGATGGGGTGGTCTCAGGGCCGCTGTCTACAAAGGCCCCTGGATGTGTGGGCAAGAGGGTGCTGAAAGCCAGTCTGCCCATCACCTGTAAGGTCTTGCACTCACACAGGGCTAGGTGTGCTCCATGGTGCTTTTTTGTAACATGCTCAATGGTGTCTTCCAGGCTAGCAAAGGCCCAGGGTATGCTGCCAGTGGTGTGAGCAGAAGAGAGAGGTGAAAGATGTTGGGCAAGGGTGGGATCTCTCACCTAAGAAACTATGCAGAGAGAGGACCCTCAGGAATGCCCATCTATCCGAGGGAAATATACATGCATTGCCCATAACTTCAATATTTTTTTAAAAGATGCAGGGATAACCTAGCAGTGGGGGCAGGGACTACATCTGTAGGCAGTTAAAAGAATTCTTTCCCCTCTCTCTTTTAAACATTTAAATTAAAAAAAATTCTTTTAGAGACAGGGTCTTGCTCTGTCACCCAGGCTGGAGTACAGTGGTGTGATCACAGCTCACTGCAGACTAGAACTTCTGGGCTCAAGCGATCCTCCTGCCTCAGCCTCCTGAGTAGCTAGGACTATAGCTGCACACTACAATGCCTGCTAATTAAATTTTTTTTTTTTTTGTAGAGACAGGATCTCACTGTGTTGCCCAGGCTGGTCGCCAACTCCTGGCCTCAAGTGTTCCTCTGGCCCTGGCCTCCCAAAGCACTGGGATTACAGGTACAAACCACCACAACCAGCAAAATTTTCTCTTTATATTACCCCACACAGACAACCCCTCTTTCCAACATGCCAGAGGAGTTAAAAAGAGAAGGAGAGAGGGTATCTCAGAACCAAACTAAAGCTTCATCACACTCCAACTACCAGAGCCTGTTTTGCTCTGGTGAAGGGCGAGGAGAAAGGAAGAAGTAGAAATGTTAGTTAAGTCAAATTTAAGATTAGGGTTCTAAACTGAAGGAATTTTAATAACTGGATGTGACCAAAACGTGATAGGATCTCCCCAAGATGTTAAGGTGGAGCTGATGATTGGAGAACAGTTAAGCATTTTATGTTTATAGTCTATATATAAGTAAGGATAGAATAGGTTGTACCTAGATAACAAACAAACTCCCAGTGGTCTAACAAGGTAAAAGTTTTCCACTCATACAAAATCTGATGTGGGCTAGATCACTGGATCTCACAATTTAGTTGCATCAGAATCCACTGGTGGGCTTGTCTAAACACAGATTCCTGGGTTCCACCTGAGACTCTGATTCTACAGGTCTTGGTAAGACTCAAGATTCTGCCTTTCTAATGAGGTTTCAGGTGATCCTGATGCTGCTGACCCATGAACTACACTCTGAGCAGTATTGATCCTAGAGCAGCTCTCCTCCAGGTGGTGACTCAGGAATTCAGGCTGCTTCCATCCTGTAGCTGTAGATTCTGGAATGAGAAAGAAGACAGAAAAGGCATACTGCTTTTAACTGTCTTGGTCCAGAAGTGACATGCTTCACTTAATCTTACAATTCATTGGCCAAAATTAGCCACAAGAGCCCAATGCAAATGCCATGAAGGGGAACATGTGGACTATTTAGTGAACCCTACTTTGTCTGCCACTTACTCTTAAAAAAGAGGTTAACCAAGGAAAGAGACCTAGCCAATGTGAACTTGCAGTCTATTAGAATCTTTTGCTTTTCCTTTCCCCCGATTATAATAGGCTGTCAGTTTAGTATTCATCTAATATATGAAGGATTTATGCAATATTCATGTTGTTGAGATGTGAAATAAATCCTAGATCTATTTGAAATATTTTAAAGTTCATGGGCCAATGGTGCCAGTCATCAGATGTTGAGAGGCCTTAGGGGAAGAAAGAATGAGACTCTATGGCTTCATCAAGGCAGAGATGGCTACTATCATGATTCCGGATAATGCCCCCACACTTGCCCTAGCTGGTTTGCTATGACGGGCTAGAGGAGGAATATCTCAAAATTGGAAGGGAATATAAAATGTTGCATGAGAGAAGCTATTTATGCAGGTGTGTTTGTGTGTGTGTGTGTGTGTGTGTGTGTGTAGAGAGAGAGAGAGAGTCAAAATGTACTCTTTGGGTCTAGACAGGACATGTTTGTTGCCTTGATCTCTTCATAGAATGGGTAACATAACAGCAGCGAGCATTCCTGAAGTTCTCTGAACTAGACTGAAATCTGCAAAGCTTGTCCCCTCAATGAGGGACCCAGAGCAAGTGGTTCAAGAGGACTAAGAGAGAACCAGTTTTTAGTGCAAGGCCCCAGCTTCTCAAATCTTGGTTTTTGAGTTAAAAATCACATACTCATACTTATGAAAATCAAAGCACAAAGAATGGAAAATGAAAAGTGGAGATCCTCATTTCTTAAAAGTTATGGTTGCCAGGGAAATCACATTTAATAGATTGGGATATATCACACACATCAAATGTCCTTCTTATGTTTATGTAAATATATATAGCTTTTACCAAAGCAAAATATTATTATATGTACAGTTATATAATAAATATGTGGTAATATAGATATTGGTATAGAGATACACATATGGAATGTATATTCTATATACATAGTTTTACATTAATATCTTAGATACCTTTCATTTCACTATGTATATCCACTTCATTCTTTTCAGTAATTTTGTGTTTATTATGTGGTTATACCACAATGGTTTAAACTATTCATCTTTTAAAGAATTTATTTCTATTGGTTGTTTTACAAACAGAGCTGCAAACAACAGCAATGTGCCAACACTTTGTGTCTTTTTTTTTGAGACAGAGTCTCACTCTGCCACCCAGGCTGGAGTGCGGTGGTGCCATCTCGGCTTACTGAAACCTCTGCCTCCTGGGTTCAAGCAGTTCTTCTGCCTCAGCCTCCCAAGTAGCTGAGATTACAGGCGCCTTCCACCATGCCCGGCTAATTTTTGTATTTTAGTAGAGATGAGGTTTCACCGTGTTGGCCAGTCTGGTCTCCAACTCCTGACCTCAAGCTATCCACCTGCCTTGGCCTCCCAAAGAGCAGGGATTATAGGAGTGAACCACTGCACCTGGCCCTCCTTTGTTTCTTTAGATAGTGTTTCTTGAAATAGATTCCTAGAAATAAGATTGAAGAGTATGTAAATTTTAAATTTTTCTACAGACTGTGTAATTTCTCTTCAAAAATGCCGATTATCAAAATGTCACTTTTTGATACTAAAAAATAGATTGTTTTAAACACACAAAGTAAGTAGGGCTTATCAAAAAGTTAATATATCTTGCATTTCTCACAAGTATGTTGAATTTCTCCCACTTGCATTTTACAGCAGGAATCCTGACTCAGTCTAACTTTCTTATACTTAAAAACATAACAGGCCAGAAGTTAGCACACATTTTCTATAGAAGGCCAGATAGTAAATACTGGTGTCTTTGTGGGTTATATCATTTCTGTTAGAACAATGTGACTCCACCTTTGTCTTGGGAAAGCTGCAATAAATAATATGTAAAAGGGCAGGAGTGGCTGTGTTTCAACCAAACTTTATTTACAAAACAGGGTCATGCTAGATTTGTTCTGAGGACCATAGTTTCTTAACCTCAATCTAGGCAATCCGTCAAATAATTCTGCATTCACAATAGAAGTCTTGTTGTATATATTGGCTGACTGTCTTTCCTTTCTCTAATGTTAACCACTGATTTTGTGGAGCATGGATTCTAGGGAAATAATACCCAGGTAAGATGTCTATTACCATGTGTGTCTTATTTTTAAAAGAGTGGTTAAATTCTTATTGAGGCCGGGCACAGTGGCTTATGCCTGTAATCCCAGCACTTTGGGAGCCTGAGGCAGGCGGATCTCTCCGGTCAGGAGTTCAAGACCTGCCTGGCCAACATGGTGAAGACCCGTCTCTATTAAAAATACAAAAATTAGCCGGGTGTAGTGCCATGCACCTGTAATCCCAGCTACTTGGGAGGCTGAGGCAGGAGGGTCACTGGAACCTGGGAGGTGGAGGTTGCAGTGAGCCGACATCACACCACTGCACTCCAGCCTGGGTGACCAAGTAAGACTCCATCTCAAAAACACAAACAAACAAACAAACAAAAAAACAAAAACCAGTTTTATTGAGAAATTCAGTAGTTTTTGGTCTTTGGTCTGTATGTATATCACATAGGGGTTTGGTAAAAGTCTAGATTCCCACATCCAAACCCAATTCTCTTGTGAGCATTTTAAACGACCATCCCAGGTGGTTCTGGAATGCTCATAGGTTTGCATATTAGTTACACTATTTATTTGCTGCATGGCCTTGGACAAGTTGTTTTAACCCTCTGAGCCAACATTTCCTCTTCTATCAAATGGGAATATTAATAATACTTAGCCCTTGGAGACATTGTTAGAATTTGAAGGACAATGAATAATTTTTAAGAGAGCTTGACCCATGAGAAAAATAAACTTAAATGCATGAATATATATATCAAGCATGAATTTACCTAGTGCATATGCATTATACACTGGGTGCATAATATTTTATAAAATAATCCTTGTTTTATAAAGTAGTGTTTCATTATTTGGGGAGAGGCATTACCGTCATTTCCTTTCTGTTGACTTCCCCTCTTCAGAGTTTTCTACTCTTCCCCTCCCATCCCACCACCTTGCTTTGTCACAAAACAAAGCCAATAGGATCACCAACAGTTTAAGACTGGTTTACTCAAAACAAATTCATTATTTTACATAGCTGAACATAGAAATGGTAAATAATGTTCTATAAATATTTGTTGGTTGACAGCTTTGGAACAATGTCCTCTAGAAAAAGCTGAACGTAGCCACCCACCTTGTATGAGAGCCACAAAGAATAGCCATGTGCCTGAATATGTGTCAGCCGCTGTGTGACTGGAGGGGCTGAGGAAGGGGCGTAGAGGGTGTTGTGAAGTCCCTTCTGACAAGCAGTCAAGAACGCATAGAAATACATTACAAAAATTAAATAGTCTAGATAAGTTGAAATGCATGTTAAGAAGAGTCCCAGAGTGTGGTTGCTTGGGTAGGGGTAGGTTCAGGAATTGAAGGGACGTCCCTAGGGCCTGGGTCCCTGCTTCCTAATCTGCCACAAACGTAACAGTGTCTTGTTGCTTCCAGGTCACTCAGGGATTTGACTCTGAGATCAATGATGCACTTGGCACCAGAACTTGGTGGGGTTGGCACAGACATGCCAGCCTCAGCCACTTTCATTCTGGAAGCTGTTAAAAGAGACAGTTATAAAAATTGAGGAATCAGCAAGGGAATTCCTGGTCCCATGCTGCCTTCCCATCTCTGTCTTGGCAAGCATAGGGCCTATCCACTTGTTCAAGATTCTTTGCCCAACCTCAGCTCCCTAGACTTTACCTCAGTGGCTCAGGCGGTCTCCTCAGGCAGCCTCCTCCTGCTAACACTTCCTCCTCTCTTCCCTCTGCCAGGGGCAGCTCTTCCCTGGTTCCCTGCAGACCCCAGGTCAGGCCAGAAAACACCTCTATGGCCCTTCCCTGTGTCCCACCACCAGATAGGACCTCAAAGGCCTGGGGTCCCCAGGATGGCCCTCAAACCGACTGGTGCCCTTGCAGGCTGCCACCCTCCAAGTCCTGCTTCTCTCCAGAGATGGGCAGAAGCACCAGCCCTCGCCTGGCACCAGCAGTGAGTCTCATAATTGCCATTTACCATTTTGCTAGGGGGGCTTCTGGGGGTCCTAGGAAAAGCAGCAGATGCCTGGGTGCTTGGGGACCTGGGCATTCTGAGGGAAGGAGCAGCGTGACCCTGAGTCATTTTTCACTGGGGACAAGTGAGCCAACTCCTTCTACCCAGTGATAAAATCAGAAGGAAGTAGATGGAGACAGCACTGTTCAGGGGATGATTTGGGGATGAGAAGAACTGGCAGGAAGTTGGAGATTTGGGGGTGAGAAGAACCAGCAGGAAGTTGGGGATTTCTTGTTTCCCCACTTTTCCCTTCCATTTCTGTTTGAGCCTTAGGTTTGGCCTCCATCTCCCTCTGTAGAAATTGCAGCTAGTTAGATAGTCTGCCTCTTATTCCAGCTCTACTGGGGGAACATAATATGGTCTAAGAAGAAATTTTTCCAGCAAGAGGCCATCTCTGCAAATCACCTGTGAGGCAGACCTGTGGCAATTTTATGACTCAGCTGGCCACCAGGAAGCGATTGTAGCTGGGTTCTGCCCCTTATTGAAACCTACTCAATGTTCTCCTTCACTAAGTAGGACAAGACCGTACCCTGCCTTTAAGGTTTATAGAATAGAAAGTGAAAACACTTTGGGGAAGAAAATCTTCCTGAACAGATAGCCCAGGGCATTTTGAAAATCCCTTAGGAAGTTCTCTGTTTCACTTGGGTACCTCTGTCCCTGGACTTTGGCGATGTGGTTTGACCCCAGCCAGAGAGTGCAGGGAACAACAGCAAAAGGCAGGACAAAGACTGACTCGTGAGAGGAGGCCCAGGAACAGGGGGGCATCGTGAGAGAGGAGGACGTGAGGGCCCAAGAGTGTGAGCAGAAGAGGATAGGACTTGGGCACTCAGTCACCAGCTGTGGGGTCTGAGCTGTGTCCCCTTCTCTAAAGAGGTAAGCCCTGAGTCATGGGAAGATGGAAACCGGGGCTCATGAGACAGGATGTTTTTTAAGCACCGTGGTGTCTTGTTGACTTGCACATGCAAGGGGGTCTTGGGTAACCACAGGGCTCAGGGTATTTGCAGGAACAGTTCAAGTGCTCACTTGTCTTGGGGCTGTTTGTGGGGAAGTGGTTTCCACAGCAACAGGAGGTGAGATATTGGTGTTACCCCAGACCACACTTAGCTACTTCCTTCTCACTAAAGCTCTGTAGTCATATTTTCCCTGGCAGAGCAGAAACTTCTCTGTTATCCCACAGCTGTTCTAACGGTGTAGACTTGACTTATGCAATGATGCCAGGAGTCCTGAGCAGCACAGCCCAACTTCAATCACACACAGATGGACAGAGCTGTATTAGCAAAGCCTGAGCTACTGAGCGATGAGAGTACAGCCAGGCTTTCAGACATCTGTTCATTCAAGAGAGATATGCGCTAAGCCAAGGACCTAAAGATGTGTTTAATATGGGTGCTAATATGCATAAGGAACCTTGAAATAAATGTTCTTAGCCTTTGGCCAAGAGGGTCCATGTCTAGGAATCTATTCTCCATAGAAATAAATTCAAATATGGAAAAAATGAACAATGCATAAGTGTATTTGGTCCCCAGCATATTTATAGCAACTTAAAATTGGACCCAATTTAAATTGCCTATGATATGGAAATGGCTAAGAAAATTATGGGATCTTCCCTTGATTGGCTATTAGGCAGCCTTTACAAACAATGCAGTGACATGAGAAATGCTTATGTTATGGTAAGCTTAAAAAACTCAAGATGCAAATCAGCTTATTTTAATCAGGAGCCACCTAGCATTTGGGATGTGGTCAATCCCACATAATGTATTTTTGTGGGTGCAGTTCCCAGGAAAGAGGAGGAATAAAAACGGCAAGTATGAAGTGTCTCCTTCGCTTGCAGTCTCCTTGTCTACCCCTTTGTCCATCCACTATGAAAGGACTCCCTTCTGTTCCTTAATATGGACAATTTCTATTGAGGACTCATTGTTCTAAGAATTGTCTCATCTCCTCCTGCATCCTCAGTGCCCGATCTTTGGCTTCTATGAAGGAAGGTGGGTAGTGCTTATGGCAGGGCCAGTTCTACCTTTCTCAGTATGTTCTGGAGTGGGTATGTAGCCCCATTTTCTAGTGGTTACCTTGACATCATGAAGAGTTTATGTCTCTTTTGCCCTAGATTTGGGCAATAGTCATTCATTGGGCAACTGGAAATAACACAAGTCAGCATCTCATTAAAAATAAAGTCATTCAGGAAAGTGGACGACTAATAGTTTCTAATCTAGAGAGCATAGGAGAAGAAATGTTTACCACACACAAAGTATTAGTGCCTTTTATATCATCAAGACAAAAATAACAGGAAAAAGACAAACACATTATAGTGAAAACTTGTTTTTCCTGACCAGCATCTATTCTGCATGTTCCCTGATGCCAGAAACTCACATTTCTTCAGGGCAAACCCCCTTCCCCACCATTCTCAGGCTTTAAGTTTATGTAAAATTCAGTAAACCCAAAGATTCAAGTTATGTGCCTTGATTAACTTAAGCAAATCAATGAAACCCATCCCCATAACCACAGCGACTGGTTAGGAATTCGGTTCCTAAGTCAGTCAAATCCAAAAGGGCCTAGTGATGTTTTTTCCAATGGGAACACAGACTCACTCTTCCCTGCAGAAAATGAACAAGGATTCATGTACACTGGCAGGTACTGGCAGCCACCCAGGGCCTCTCACAGGAAAGGGAGATCAGAAAGAGAAGCAAAGAGGACTCATGAGATACCACAGGGCCGCTGCGTCCAGCCTTGCCTGGAGCTAGGGCCACCTCGATGCCCTATAGTCTTGGAGCCACAAGGTGCATTTACTCAAAGCCTCTTTGAGTTTGGTTTGCTTGTTTGCTTTCTGCCTGGAAACTGCCAGCATCCTGAGAGATACGAGATCTGCATCTGTGCAGAGACACAGGGTTTGTTAAAAGTCACAGGCCCTGACTGAAGTGTGGAACTGGCTGAAATGAGAAAGTAGGAGGTAATTTGGTGAGGACCTTGTGAAATGGAAGTGAGTTTTAAACCTTACATGCATCAGAATTACCTGGAGCCTTGTGAAAACACAGGTTGCTGGGCCCTAGTCTATTAAGAAAGGAAGTGGGGCTCAGAATATGCCTTTCTCCCAAGTTCCCAGGTGATATTCACCATGCTGTCCTGTCTGGGCACTACCTTTTGCCATACCCATTACAAGGTATTGCACGTGCTGGTTGAACTATGGTCTGTCTTATTTTGGTGCTAAAAGCCTGTGCCAAATACCAAGGCTGCAGCATTAAGGAATTTGTTAGAAAAGATTCTGAATATTGGAATTTAGTTGCTGTGTATTATATCAGTAAGGTCCTTTAAGAAAGAGTTTAGGCTACTTTGAAATGGGCTCATCTGAAATTGAAAAAGAAGAAATGCGACTTGCTAAAAAGGCCCTTCCAGCCTGTTGACTGAGAATCCAGTAATCTGAAGACTGAAAGGGCTGTAAATGCAGGATTTTCTACTCTAAGATAAAGTTAGCATGAGCAGAGACAGGAAGATGAGAGACATAATGAGGCCAAGCGTCAAATATTCATCACCTCCACATGGGCCAAGATGCAGGCAGAGGTCTCTCACCAGGGGCTGGGAGGTCGGGGTGACAATGGTAGTGCAGTCTGTGCTAGAAAGTGCACATCCCCAGCTGGGCGCAGTGGCTCACGCCTGTAAGCTCAGCACTTTGGGAGGCCAATGCTGGCGGATCATGAGGTCAGGAGTTAGAGGCCAGCCTGGCCAACATGGTGAAACCCTATCTCTACTAAAAATATAAAAACTTAGCTGGGTGTGGTGGCGGGCACCTGTAATTCAGCTACTTGGGAGGCTGAGGCAGGAGAATCGCTTGAACCCGGAAGGCGGAGGTTACAGTGAGCCGCGATCACGCCACTGCACTCTAGCCTGGGTGATAGTGGGAGACTCCATCTCAAAAAAAAAAAAAAAAAAAGAAAAAAGAAAATGCACATCCCCAACCCCAGTTAAAATGCAAATGCAAACTATGTAACTGACAACCTGTCTGCTTCTGGCTACCTGGCCCATGGAATTGATCAGAAGCAAATAGTAGCCTACAGACATTAGAAGGGAGTCACATTGCCAAAGAAACCATAAGACTGGTTCCAAAAAGTTGCTGATTGCACAATACCTAAGGCAACCTCAGGCTAACTCACACAGACAGGAAGTCAGCAGCCTCCAGAAAGCAGATCCTCCACATTGCACATCTCAGATTGTCCATAGAGGACATTCTCCCAGGGAGGAGAGCTAGGGACTGCCAGATCAGCTGAACTGCTTAAAAATGCAGTACCCATTCTCCAGTTCCCTATCAGGGGTCTTTGTTCAACTTACTGTTTGTTCATAACACTTGTATTTAGGGAATGTTGGGCATGATTAAACTTCGTTTAGCTTTGGGTTTCTAGACCTTGAGAAACAATTCAGTGCAGGCAAATATTGTATGCCCCTATATTTTTTCCTGAAAGCCAATAAAGAAGGAATGATGACACCTTCACTGCGTCTATGGGGACAAAAGCTGCTTGTGTGTGTGTGTGTGTGTGTGTGTGTGTGTGTGTGCGTGTGTGTGTGTGAGAGAGAGAGAGAGAGAGAGAAACAGCCTTGTCAAAAAGACGTGTTTGTTGCTGTACCCTCATTATATGAAAGCCATCATGGCATCAAAACAGTATAAGCCAGGTTGAGCTCTATCCTCTCTGCATCAACTCAGAATCCCTACCAGAAAGTGGTTGTGATGGATGGAATATCACCCATCAAAGAATAGGGTAAGATGAGACCAGAGAGGTAAGCTATGCAAGCTAATCAGAAAATAACTCAAAGTTTTAAAAGTGCAGAATATAAAAAGGAAAAACCCTCATTCCTAAAAAAAAAAAAAAGCCTCATTTCCTCAAAGAAATCAGTTAGCTATTTGATGTGTATCTTTCCAAATATTTGCCTATGTAAATATATATGTATATATGGCATTTAAAAATAAAACAAAATAATATACTTTACAGATAGTTCCATAGCATATGTAGAGAATATATATGCATATACTGAATGTAATTAGGTCTGCCTTTTACATATAATATTATGGACACTTTCCACAGTTATAGATGTGTGCTACTTTTTTTTTACTGACTTCAGAATATTCCACTGATGGACATCTTAATCCTCTACTGATTAATCCCCTACTGATGACTGTTTGCATTTCTTTGCTGTTTGCCAACCACACTGCAAAGAATATCCTCATGTCTACATATCTTATCTTTTGGCAGTGTTTCTATGAAGCAGATTCCTAGAAATGGGATCAGGTCAAATGGGATGTAGTTCACATAGTATATGCATTTTAATATTTGCTAAGTAGTAGTGTTTATGCTTTAAAGAGTTGGAACACTACAATTCTAAACATGTTTGGACACAAAAAATAGATTATTTGAAACAAAATGAAATAAGCATAGCTCGTAAAAATTAACACGTTTGGTTTTCACACAAATATTTTGAATTTCTCTTTCTTCTGCAAAAAGGACCCTAGCTTAGTATGGATTTCTTGTACAGATAATGCAAACAATCCATCTATTAAATAACTTACCTTTCACAGTAAACCTATAGACAGCATCCTGCTCCACACAGAAGCTGATTGTCTTTTCCTTCTCTAACATTAGCTATTTATTTTGTAGAGTGTAGATTCTAGAGAAATAATGTATAATACACCTGTTGCCATATGCAGAGACTTACCACATTTAGAAAACAGTGGTGAATTCTATTGACAGTGGCTCTCAGTCATTAACATGCTATGGAACACCTCATGAGCTTGATAAAAATATCAGTTCCCAGGTCTACACTTAAAGATCCTATTTAAGTGGCTTCAACAATCACTGCTCAAACACTCTATGTCAACTCAGAATCCTGACAGGAAGTGGTTGCAATGGATAAAGTATCATCTGTTAAAGAATGGGGTAAGATTTGAGTATAGGCGGGTCATACTTTGGGAAATAACTTGGTCAATGGTTAACAGCATAGTCTGTAGTTCAATAAAAGTCCAGTTTTGGAACACAATTGACCGTTTACGTGCTGTGTAACCTCAGCCAAGTTGTCTAACCTTTCTGAGCCCTGGGTTACTTTTCTGTCAAGTGGAGGTATTAATAGTACCTAAGCTGTACTATTGCATT
Source organism: Homo sapiens (assembly GCF_000001405.40). Taxonomy (NCBI): domain Eukaryota; kingdom Metazoa; phylum Chordata; class Mammalia; order Primates; family Hominidae; genus Homo; species Homo sapiens. The sequence goes on from NC_000017.11 coordinate 36,087,895, forward strand.
GGTAAGATTAAATGAGCAATGTATAAAAAGCGCTCAGTAGGAGGAGTAAGCCTCAACAATGTAAATAATTGCTATTAAGAGCTTGATTCATCATGAATATGCCCTACAGAATACTATGCTTAATGGTGGCCATTCGAGTAGTGAATTCTCCTAGAGCATGCATGTTATGATTTGAGTTATAACATATTCGTAGTTTCAATGTTCCAGAACTGTGTCTCCGTTGTAAAGTGGATAACTCTGTGGTAGCCCTCCCCATCTCTCCCAATTTCCCTCCATTTCACCTCTTCCTAATCTTTGCCTATGATTCCTCTTAACCAGTGATTTTGATTTGCCAGAAAAACAAAACCAAACTCAATACTGGTTTACCTTTTAAAAGAGCATCTTTATTATTTCCCCAGGCCGATCACAGCCCTGAACAAAAGCATCCGATACACATTTGTCAGTCTGGTGGCTTTGGTGCCATGACTGCCTACACAGGCTGATGACAGCCACTCGGTTGTCACCAGACGCGGTGTGAGGGAAGGGGGAGGGGACAGGGGAACTCTCAGAGCAAACAATCACAAACACACTGTGAAATCGAAAATAAATTACAAAAACTAAATAGTATAAATAAATTAAAATTTAAGTTAAGAAGAGTCCCACAGTGTGGCTGTTTGGCAACAACCAGTCCATAGAAGAGGTAGCTGTGGAGGTCACACGCATGTTCCCAAGGCTCAGGCTCCTGCTCCTCCCCACTGGGCCCACCGAGGTCGCTGGGCCTCGAAGCTTCTGGACCCCTCAGGCACTCAGCTCCAGGTCGCTGACATATTTCTGGACCCACTCCTCACTGGGGTCAGCACAGACCTGCCGGCTTCGCTTGGTTAGGAAGCTGTGGAGAAGGGAGGAAGAGTTAAGCACTGGGGAATCCAGCAGGGGAATCCTGGGCCCACCATGGCCCCACCATTCTGCTCTCTGTCCTGGGCAGCTCAGGGCTTGCTCCTCTTTCAGGGGCCCCCTGCCTATCTCTGTCTAGAGAGCTTCTCTCAGTGACTCAGTAGGGGTGGCCCTCAGAGTGTCCCGCTGCCTCCTTCTTCCTGTCCCTTTCCTCTGGGCTGGGGCAGCCCTTCCTGACTCTGTAACACATGCCTCACTCCAGCTCCAAGTCAGGTCACACCTCGGAGCCCTGCGTCCTGTATCCCCGATAGGCTCCTGAAGGCTGGGCCTTTCCAGGATAGCCTTCTGGCCTGTCTCTGCCCCAACCCTGACCCTCCCTACCTCCATAGAGGTGAGCAGGAAGACTGGCACTTACATGACACCGGGCTTGGAGCACTGGCTGCTCGTCTCAAAGTAGTCAGCTATGAAATTCTGTGGAATCTGCCGGGAGGTGTAGCTGAAGCAGCAGGCGGTCGGCGTGTCAGCAGCAACTGTGGAGAAAGGAAGAGAATGAGCCCGAGTCACAGCTCAGAAGAAAAGGCCAGGCAGCTTCTGATCCCCGAGCAGTTGAGGAAGGCAGGCTTGCTCAGACCAAGTGACTGGAAGGCATTTGGGCATTTTTGCTGAGAAATGTCTCTTTGTTTCTGTCTGTATCCTTCTTTCTCCTTGACTCTTCATAGTGGGTTCTCTGTTTCTCTGTGTGATCCAGATACCTGAACGGACTGTTCTCTTATCTCAGTTCTCTTCAGGGAATTTTGTCTGGTTCAAGAAGTCATACCCCAACCCAAGAGAAGCCTTGGACATCTCTCATAAGACATCCAAGGGACAGAGCTCCTGGGAGACCTAGAGTGAGCTGGAGAGTGAACAACATACCCCACTGGGAAGTAAGCAGCCCTGGATTCTGCCTCTTGCTAACTGATTCGTTTCGAACCCTGTTTTTCTATCTGTAAAAGGGACTGTAACTCCCCTGCCCCTGCCTAGATTCTCATACCTGGAGACTAGGGGGCTAAGACCCCTTCTAGAGATAAAAATAAAAGTCTTAAAGAGAAAGACCAAGATGTTTGGCAGCCCTTTAAGAAGTTCTCTTTTCTCTTGGGGGCTTTTAGGCCACAAGAAAAGATTGATGTGGTCTAACCATGGCCAGAGAGTGGTGATACCCACAACGAAACTCAGACTCACGTGATGCAGAGAACTGGTTGCAGAGAGCCATGGTGCAGAGGAGGACAGCAAGGGCAGCAGTGGAGACCTGCATGATTCTGAGCAGGTGACGGAATGTGGGCTCGAGTGTCAGCAGAGCCAAGAAAGGACTGACCACTGTCTGCTGCCCGTGTCCTTCTGAAGTCTGAAACCAGCTCTCCTCTTTATAGGCAGCCCTGGCGGATGGGGAAATGGAATCTGGGGGTGAGGAGGGAAATTTTTAAGCGTAGTGATGCTGTCATGCTAAGTTGCACAACTCAGGGTCCCTGGTGACCACAGGGGCTCAGGATATCCAAGAATAGCATCTTTGAGCTATTCTCTAACTCTCAGCTCTCAACTCATGACTTGTTATAGTTTCATAGGGAAATGGTTTCTCCTGTGAGTGTGAAGAGGGGTATATGTCAACCCAAGGCTATTCTTAGTCAGTCCCTTCTCATAAGAACTGGTCTGTGCATGAACTCTCCAGCCCCATTCCTTCCCACAGAGCTGCAATTCTGCTTCCTCAGCTGCTATAACCACAGGGATAGGGTTGATGGGCTGATGCTGTGGAGGGCTGCACAACCCTTCCTCCTCCCAGAGGCAAAGAACTGAATGAAAGCTGGAGGAATAGAAAGCATGAGGTCATGTTTCAGTCATTTGTCTATTTATTAGTCATGTAGTGACTAGGGCGCTGTGTTAAACGCTAGTTGTGGATCATAAAAATACTTTAGAGGTGGGTGTCAATATGTCAGGTGCCTAGAAATATCTGTAGCCATTAACCTAGAAAAAGCATTTCTAGGAAAGAGTTCTGTGGAAACAACCCAAATATGGAGCCATCTTCAAACATAAAGATACCTGACCCAGCATCGTTTATAACTCTAAAATAAACAAAGCTAAATTTTTCTCCATCAGGGAATGATAAATTATCCACTAGATCATTTATTATTAAGTCTCTAAAATGAATGAAGTGGCATAAATATGCTTATAACATCAGTGGTTAAAAAAAGCAAGATACGACATTATACAAATTCTACAAAGTCTGAAGAATTGTACAAATATATATATATATTTGTACTATATATACATGTATTTGTACATATACACATATATATTTGTACAAATATATATATATTCCTTGCCAACCCTAAGCATGGAAAAAAATACAAAGGCTTGGAAATACATGCCTTAAAGAATGAATAGTTCTTATATTTGTGTGATAGGTCCCTGGGTGATTTATTTTCTTATTTTTTTCTTTTTCTGAATTTTTCTCATTTTACTTAGTTAGACTTTATTACCTTCTTGGTCAGCCCACAAATTTATAAACTAATTTTTAAAAAAACATTTCCAACATCACTGGTTGAAAAATAGGTTGTTGTCAGTTGTTTAATCTGAAAGAAATTATTGATAAATATGCTGAAGTTTCTGTTCAATGGTTTTGGCCAAAATGAAGTCTTGATTTCCCATTTCTTTGAACCATTTTAAGGATCCTATACTATACTTACATAAATCATGCCAAATTGAAGCAGTTTTTTACTTATTCTTTTCAATACATAATTTCAGTGGTGTGGAAGGGTCTCTACCTTCTCAGCCAGATTATATGCTTTTTTTTCTTTTCCATACTTTGTTATTTTATTCTTTCACAATCAATCAGCATACCTCATTTTATAATGAGAAATAGATTTAGTTGGTTTTAATGATCTTTGTTTCTGAGATGCCCCTGATCTCGTGGGGGCAGGTAGAGTGTATGAACAGGTAATTGTAGCATTTAGCCGAAAGTGCTAGGACTCCTAGTAGAAAAAGAAATGAAAGCTCAGAATCCCACGAGGGGAAGAAGTGACCTTCCACCAGAGGGTTGGGGAAGGCTTCATGGAAGGGATGGAACTTTAGTTGTGTCTGGATAACTGCCCGGGATTTAGGCATCTATAGATGAGTGCCCAGCTGAGGCAGAGTCCTGAGTGTGACATTGTGGGTTCAGAGGAAAGAGGGGGTGCTTCAGTGGAGCTGCAGAGCAGTGGGGGTGAATATGGATGATAAAGCTAAATTGGGACCAAACCAGGACAGGCCTTGTATTCCCCCCAAAGGGGTTAGAGTTGATACATTTGATGCTGGAGAATAACAGAGGACAGAAGCCAAGTGCGACCATGCCTTTGGAATTCTGTCCTTTCTAAGTGTCTGTAGACTTAGGTCTTTTAATACACATGGGCTCTGTTTCCTTCCCACCCCAATGATGGCTAGTGCCAGTCTTGAGGGAGGAGAAGCAGAAGCAAGATCAGGGGCCGTGGTAGGTTTCACCGGAGCTTTGGCATCCATGTATCTTCCCCTATTGCTACCAATTCCAAATAAAGGTATCTCTGCCACTTGTATCATTAGAAACCTACATCACAGGCAATGCCTCCTTCTCACCCCACCCTCTGCCTCCCAGCTCTCAGTGATACCCAGAATTGCATTCCCTCACTCACTTCTTAGGGGAACCCCCTCCATACTCGTGATTCCATTTCTGAGAGCTGGCTTCTGTGAGTTGTGGAGAGTGAGAAAAGGAAATGGAAACTGCTGAATCAGTCAGTGTTCTGATAAGGGACATCTTCTATCTCTGTCATTACAGCACCGTGTGTTATAATTAGTTATCTATGTAATTTGCTCTTCAAAAATCTAGACCATGCCCTGTTGATTTTATTTTAGTTTCTTTTTCTCAAGAAATTTATAGTTTAATAAAGGCAATGTGGGAGTTTGGAAACAAATTTTTATTTCACGCTAATGATAGATTAGCAACTACACAAATTTTAGTTCACAATATGTAATTTTTATTGAGTGATCACCATGTGCTGATTTCCATAATAGGGATTCACGTTTGAACTGTCTTCAAAACAACCCTATGATTTAGTTACCAGTATACTTTCTCAGTTGAATAGGTGAAGAAACCAAAGTAAATAGAGGTTAAGCAATTTTCCGAAGGCCGTAAAGCTGATGACTAGCAGAGCAGGGATTCAAATCCAGGTAGTCTGACTCTAGGTACCACACGCTACACGTCCTGTACCACAACTTATTATATTTGATCCTCACAACACTCCTATAATGGTAGATTTTTTAGAGTGTCTTCTCAGATTGTAAACCAACTCCAGACCATGTCTTGTTGGTTGATTTAAACCAAATCCTAGCACATGATGATTATAACATGATGAGCCTCGTGACCTAGTCTCTATCTCTTATTATTGTGTTCTTTATAATAAAGATGATTTATTGAATATATAATTCTATCTCAGTGTTTATATATTTGTAAGACTTTCTCTATCAATCCCCAAACCAGGAACTATCCCTTTGCCATGTGTTTTGCTTGGATTGAAATATAGTTACATGCACAGCATGTGCTTAATTTATATACATTGAATGAATAATATAAGGGAGATGTAGGACGGGGTTGAGTTGGGAGGGTCTTAGACATTTCCTAGGTGGTAAATTGATGTTCCCAGTTGAAATGACGTACCCATGGTCATGTGGATGGAATTGGTCAGTTTTATATTCCACTATCTGTGTTAGCTACCAGTGTATCTCCAGTGATAATCACAATGCTTGACATATAGTGAAGCATAATAGCTATTTGATGAATAAATAAATCACTGATTTGACTAACAATATGTGTTATGCCTGAACTCTCACTATGGAGTTGAAATACTAATGGGAAAGGTAGGATAAGAAAGGCCATGGTGAGTGGAAACGGGGAGAGAATCAGGAAAAATAACTAATGGGTACTAGACTTAATACCTGGGTGATGAAATCACTTGTACACCAAACCCCCATGACACAAGTTTACGTATGTAACAAACCTGCATGTGCATCCCTGAACTTAAAATAAAACAAACACACACATACACACACACACACACACAGAATCAGGAGAGAGAGTCAGAAGTGTGATGGGTCTCCATAGCCAAGGAAGAATCTTTAAATAAAATGAGAATTGAAGTGGGGCATGGTGGTTCACGCCTGCAATCCCAGCACTTTTGGAGGCCGAGGTGGGTGGATCACCTGAGGCCAGGAGTTTGAGACCAGCCTGGCCAACGTGGTGAAACCCATCTCTACTAAAAATACAAAAAATTAGCCAGGCGTGTTGGCACATGCTTGTAGTCCCAGGTACTTGGGAGGCTGAGGCAGGAGAATCACCAGAACCTGGGAGGTTGTAGTGAGCCAAGATCGCACCACTGCGACCAGCCTGGGTGATAGAGCGAGACTCTGTTTCAAAAAAAAAAAAAAAAAAAAAAAAAAAATAGAATTGAGTGTCGTGATAAAGATGCAATTAGAAAGAGAAATGTAAACTTATATAAAGAAGTTTTCAGTAACTTGATCTAAAAGGTTATGATTTGCTTTAAAAAGAAAGGAAGGAAGGAAAGAAAGAAAGAGAAAGAAAGGAGAAAGAGAAAGAAAGAAGAAAGAAAGAGAGAGAAAGAAAGAAGAAAGAGAGAAAGGAAGAAAAAAGAAAGAAAGCAAAAGAAAGAAAGAGAGAGAAAAAGAAAAAAGAAAGAAAGAGAGAAAGAAAGACCATGGTGTCACAGTCTTGATCTTTGGGAAACTGACCACCCAAGATTCCTTAGGTGGTGGTGACAGAAAGTAGCCAGCAGTCAACACCATGGACCCTTCAGCATGGAGGGATTTGATTTGTGTCCCAGCGTTCTGGCTCATTTCAGCCTCTGCGAGGCCCCACCTCAGTCCAGCAGAGCGTCCCAGTCCGCAGTGCGGGGAATCCTGGCTGGGCAGTTTGTCCTCTGCGGCGTCTTTGCCTTGCACTGCTCAGCTTGCCTCCCCACTGCGTGCTGCTGCCCATGCTCTCTAGTGCGGCGCATTGCTTTCCTTCAGATTCTGGCCCCGAGGCCCCACTTCCCCAAGTGTCACCCTCTGCTATCTCCTTTGGCAGCAGGCACCCCAGGGATGCGTTCACTGATGATGACACCCTCTTTGGCCCAGCTTTGGCCTCCTTTCCTCATATGTGGTCTGCGTGGTCAGGTTGCAGCAGGTGTGGGCCCCACCTTTCATGCAGGCAGAAGCAGCAGCCTGGAGTCCCCTGTCTAGTATCTTAGACAGACAATGTCTCATTGACACAGCCCCTTCTTTCTGCAGCCAGCCCTTTGTTTCCTGTCCTGAGTCCTTGTTATTTTCTCTAGCCATTTCTTGCATGTGTGCAGTAGGTCAGGGCGTATGTCTTGGTACTGGATCTGATCCCTCTCCCGGTCCCTTGCCCCTTCTTCCATATTCTCTATGCAATAAAAAGTGCCTCTTCCTATCAATATTCCAAGCCGGAAAGTTGAGAGTCACCCTTGTCTCCTCTTTCTCTATCATTTCCTATACCTATTCAATCACCAACTCTAGTCTACATTCAATTTTACGTGCATCTGTCTCTCACCATTCCCACTGCCTCTGTCTTAGGTCAGGTTCTTATGGTTTCTCACCATGACAACTAGAAGATGGTCTTAGCAACTCCCTTCCCTCCCTCCTTCCCTCCCTCCCTCCCTCCTTCCTTTCTCTCTCTTTCTTTCTTTTTCTTTCTTTCTTTCTTTCTTTCCTTTCTTTCTCTCTTTCTCTCTCTCTCCCTTCCTTCCTTCCTTCCTTCCTTCCTTCCTTCCTTCCTTCCTTCCTTCCTTCCTTCCTTCCTTCCTTCCTTCCTTCCTTCCTTCTTTCTTTCTTTCTTTCTTTCTTTCTTTCTTTCTTTCTTTCTTTCTTTCTTTCTTTCTTTCTTTTCTTCCAAGACAAGGTCTCATTCTGTGGCCCAGGCTGGAGTGCAGTGACTCGATCTTGGCTCACCGCAACCTTGGCCTCCCAGGCTCAAGCAATTCTTGTGCCTCAGCCTTCCTAGCAGCTGTGATTACAGGCATGTGCCACCATGCCCTGCTAATTTTTTTGTATTTTTCGTGGAGATGGGGTTTCACCATGTTGGCCAGGCTGGTCTTGAACTCCTGGCCTCAAGTGATCTGCCTGCTTCGGCCTCCCAAAGTGCTGGGATTGATTATAGGAGTGAGTCACCACGCCTGGCCTAGTTTTGTCTCTTTTTAATCTATCCCACCACACAGCATCCAACATAATTTTGCTAAAGCTCAAATCAGTCTCTGTTTCTCTCCTTTTAAAATCTTGCAAACATTCTACATTGCTTCTGGCATGAAATGGAAGCTTCTCTGTAACCTGACCCCTGTCTACCTCTTTGGCCTTGTGGCTTGCCAAGTTGAGACTTCCTGAAAACCAAGACAGCCTATTTGCACTACCTGTGGTTCCTTAAATGTGCAGCTTTCTTCCCTGCTTTTAATGAAGGAGGTGTTGACTTGGTAGAGCACAGTTTCCCCTTCTTGTAAGCCACAAGGCAGAGTGTAATACTACAAAAGTGGGCACATCCCATGACAGCTGCAGGGATTAATATTTAGAACAATTAAGGAAAAACACTACATCATTCCCCAAATTTTCTTTACTTTTTCTTTTTCTTTTTTTTTGGATGGAGTCTCACTGTGTCGCCCAGGCTGCAGTGCAGTGGCTCAATCTCGGTTCACTGCAACCTCCGATCCCACCTACCCCTCTCCCCGGGTTCAAGTGATTCTCCCACCTCAGCCTCCTGAGTAGCTGGGATTACAGGCGTGCACCACCACGCCTGGCTAATTTTTATATTTTTTGTAGAGACAGGGTTTCACCATGTTGGCCAGGCTGGTCTTGAACTCGTGACCTCAAGTGATCCGCCTGCCTTGGCCTCCCAAAGTGCTGGGATTATAGGTGTGAGCCACCAAGCCTGGCCTGTAATTCCCCACATTTTCTAAGGAAAAGAGGAAATCCATGGATCTTGCTGTTCAAAGACATGCAAAATGCAAAACAGAAAAGACATTTTACATTAGAATAACAGAAACTTTGGCTGTTGTGCTTTTAACATAAATTTATAATACAGCACACTTCCCTTTTGTGATTTATTCATGCTCTAGAGCCAGACTTCTTGGCTTCAGCTTCAAATCTGTTGTATGTCAGCTGTGTGTTTTTCCATAGGTTACGTACCTCTCTGTGCTTCAGTTTCTTCGTGTGTGAAAGGGGATAGTTACAGCACTTACCTCAGAGGGCCACTGTGAGGATTAAATGCATTAATATCTATGAAAGGCAGAGAACATTACTGGTTCATAAAAAGTGCTGTGTTAAGTGCTATCTACTATTATTACTATTACTATTTTATTATTATTGCAATATTTCAATATATCCATTTTACATCAAAAACAAGTGCAGGTCTCTTGTTCTTTGCCTGGATACCCCTGTGCCTGTCTTTGCCTGGCTAATCTCAGTTCAACCTACAATAGAGAAAAGTTAGAGCAACATAAATGGACAGATGTGAATAGCAGAGTGATTAAATACAACTTTTGGTATATCTATGCAATAAAATACCATGCATATATTCATGCCATTTTTGAGTAATATTTAAGTTTGTAATGACACAGAAGAAGATTAAGTAACAATAATAAGATACACTGGTTCATAAAAGACTATTAAGTACCAATAATAAAATATAAAACTAGGTACAGAATGATAGGGCAATTTTAATTTTCTTATTTATGCCTCCCTATATTTTCTCAATTTTGTACAATGACCATGTATATTTTCTATAAAAGAAAACCAAACTAATATAATTTTTTTTTTTTTTTGAGACAGTGTCTCACTCTGTCACCCAGGCTGGAGTGCAGTGGCGCGATCTCGGCTCACTGGAATCTCCACCTCCCAGATTCAAGAGATTCTCTTGCTTCAGCCTCCTGAGTAGCTGGGACTACAGGCATGTGCCACCATGCCAAGCTAAGTTTTTGTATTTTTAGTAGAGATGGGGTTTCACTATGTTGGCCAGGCTGTTCTCAAACTCCTGACCTCAGATGATCTACCCACCTCGGCCTCCCAAAGTGCTGAGATTATAGGCATGAGCCACCATGCCTGGCCTATAAATTTTTTTCAAAAAAAAAAATTCAGGTCTCACATTTTTTGGAGGCCTTCCTTAACACTACACTACCACCATCTAAAGTGCATACCCTCACCCTCAGACACAATGCCTGTCACACAGTAGTTACTCAATAAAGCTTTACTGAATTATGTTCATCTCTTGCTGGAGTATTCCCTATGACCTGCATGGAAAGAGGCCAGAAACAATTTGAAGGAAGATGCTTCACAAGGAATACTGAAAGTTTTCTTGACCTCATGAATGCTGGTGAGGCTTTATCCCTCTCTCAGGAATTTAGCATTGCCTGAAGTTCCTGACCTCTGCCTTTCACAAGCAAGAGCAGGTTGTGGCAGGCGACGAAGGTCCATTTCCATGGTAAGAAGCGTGGGGCTGGCCAGCTCCGTAGTCAGAGTGTGACAGTCACTGATGAGCTGCTCCAACCAGCTCATTGTCCTACAGATTTCATCCTGAAGAATTCTGCACTCTGGATAATTGTGTATTTGTTTCTTCAATTCACAATCCAGCTTCTGCTCCCATTTCCTCCAAAGTGACTTGGACACCATATTGGCAAAACTACAGGATTTGCCTCTTCTTGGTTTATTATCTTGGCAAAATGACCCTATGTTCCAGCTCCCCTTGGGTTTCCAGTCTCCACATTTGCCCTCCAGGGGTTCTCTAGTTCTATGCATCCCACCTCCTAGAGGCTACCTCTTGGCCCCAACACCCAGTGGTCTCCTCAACACTCTAGGAGAAGCCAGGATGTCCAGATTGACTGAGTGTGTTATGATCAGAGATTGCCTCTATGTGTAATCTCAGAGGCTCATACCTGTAGAGGGACTCTGGTCATCACTGAACTGGGAGTTGAAGACCCTGGGTCTTGACATGCATCCTGTGTGACCTTGATCGGGTCTTTTCACTTCTCTAGGTTTTGCTTTCCTCTTCTGTACCGTGGCAAAACAGATTGGGATCAGGTAAAACCACAGGCCATGGATATACTGAGGAAAATGAAAAAATACCAGGACATTTTCAAGGTCATGTTACTGCTGTGGCTGCTGGGCCTGTCTGCAGCCTGGGAGGTTGAGGACAACATGACAAGACAAATGTAAAAATGCCCAGAATGGAGTTATGAATATAGTGGTGGTCAAGGATGTGGAGGGGGAACCTCTAAATGACCACAAGTGAGGGGGAAAGAAGGGCTTCCCTGCTCAGGGTGAGGGGGTGGACCTCTGAATGGAGCTCCCTGGAACCAAGGATGACCCTTGCTGTCACTTCTTGCAACCCTGAGCTAAAAACAGTTGAGTCCAAGAATAGTATCCATTGTGATAAAACTACTGGATGCGTGGGTTGAGGGTGGGGGAGAAGGGGAAGTACCACACTATCAGGGCTGAGGAATCACCTTTTGGGTGGAATGTCAGAACACCCAGTTCATTCATACTTGGTTTACTCATTTGGCTATATAGGGGTCCACATCTTGAGTCCATGTTACTCATCACATTCCCTCCATGGAGATAAGCATAAACAGTTTCTGCATCAAGGAGCTCACTTTCTAGTTGGGGAGGCAACCACAGGAATAGATAAATATGTCATAGGTGGTAAGAAGAAATAGTTCAGGAGACTGTAGGAGCACAGTGAAGGATACAGAGTTTACTTGGGAAAGAGGTCAGGAAAGTTTCTCTAGGGAAGATGGGAATCTTTTTCGTCATGTATCTGAGAGTCATTTGTTATCATTGATTATTGGCTCTCCTTGGCTTTCCAGTCTCCACATTTGCCCTCCAGGAGTTCTAAATGGCACCAGTGCCTAAATCTTGGGGTGGGGGAAGTTAATATGGCTAAACGAAATGATACAAGTCCTTTTTACTCTCAGTGTGGACTTCCACTGGTGCAGACATAGTATTGTTGTTAGGATCTTCATGAAGATCTCTCAAAACCTTTTACCCCCATGAGCCAAAGATCAGATCAAGGCGAGGAAACAAAAGTCAACAGACAAACTCATTGTATGGCTCAGTGATGACTAATCACCCATTTTATCAATCATTATTCTCCTGAAGCCCCAGAACAGGCTTCCTCCTAACCCCTCCACCCTGCTCATTCAGACAGCTGCTTTAGTGGGGATTGAGACTTAACTTGAAACTACTCATCTACAGCTAATAGACAGCCTTCTCCATCCTTCAGCCTTCCTGACACTTTGTTTCTTCCTCTGACATGACACTTAGCTTATTCCTCCTCATGGGATAGTTATTTCTGTCACTGTCAATGCCATCACTAGACATGGAACTCTTCGAGGGCAGGGATGGGGCTTCATTCAGCTCTGTCTGCCCTGGCAAAGAGCAGATGGTTAGTACATTGGGTTGAATAAAAATGTCATAGATAACGAAGTCTGTGTTAATCCAGAGGACATGAGACACATTCTGCTTCCCTTAAAGTGAGGTCCTCGATGCATGAAGATGAAACTGCACCAACTAGGAAAGGCCAGGAGAGGTACTAACACATCTGCTATCAGGGAACTCGGAACATTACAGCTGGGGGCGAGGGTCTTGGAGAAGATCAGAACATTTGAAAAAAGAGCTGTACAAAGAAAAGGGGGAGAGAACAGATGAGAGAAGTGCAGCTTGTGTGTGCGGGTGGGGAGTGAGGGAGAGTGCTGAGGCAGGATGACCTTGTACTTTATTTAATGACCCTGAAGTACCCCAGGATGCTGCTCCAACCTCTCCTATGGCTCCCAGATGCTGTGGGTCCCTTTTTTTCTTAACTTGTATTTTAGGTTCAGGGGTACATGTGCAGGTTTGTTATATAGGTAAGTTGTGTGTTGCGGGGGGTTTGGTGTACAGATTATTTCATCACCCAGGTAATAAGCATAGTACCCAATAGGTAGTTTTTTTTATCCTCACCCTCCTCCCACCCTTCACCCTTAAGTAGGCCCTGGTGCCTGCTGTTCCCTTCTTTGTGTCCATGTGTACTCAATGTTTAGCTTCCACTTATAAGTGAGAACATGCAGTATTTGGTTTTCTGTTCCTGTGTTAGTTCGCTTAAGATAATGGCCTCCAGCTCCATCCATGTTGCTGCAAAGGGCATGATCTTGTTCTTTTTTTTTTTTTATGACTGAGAAGTATTCCATGATATATATATATATATATCCCAAATTTTTTTTATCCAGTCTACCATCAGTGGGCATTTAGGTTGATTCCATGTCTTTGCTATTGTGAATACTGTTGCGATGAACATACATGTGCACATGTCTTTATGGTAGAATGATTTATATTCCTTTGGGTATATACCCAATAATGGGATTGCTGGGTTGAATGGTAATTCTGTTTTAAGTTCTTTGAGAAATCGCCAAACTGCTTCCCACAATGGCTGAACTAATTTACATTCCCACCAGCAGTGTATAAGTGTTCCTTTTCTCCACAGCCTCACCAACATCTGTTATTTTTTGACTTTTTAAAAATAGCCATCCTGACTGGTTTGAGATGGTATCTCATTGTGGTTTTAATTTGCATTTCTCTAATGATTAGTGGTGCTGAGCATTTTTTGTATGTTTCTTGGCCGCGTGTATGTCTTCTTTTGAAATGTGTCTGTTTATGTTCAATGCCCACGTTTTAACGGAGTTGTTTGTTTTTTGCTTGTACATGTGTTTAAATTCCCTATAGATTCTGGATATTAGACCTTTGTGAGATACATAGTTTGTAAATATTTTCTCCCATTCTGTAGGTTATCTCTTTACTCTGCTGATAATTTCTTTTGCTGTGCAGAAGCTCTTTAGTTTAATTAGATCCCATTTGTCAGTTTTTGGTTTTGTTGTGATTTGTTTTTGGCATCTTCATCATGAAATATCTGCCAGATCCTATGCCCAGAATCATATTGTCTAGGTTATCTTACAGGTATCATATTTTTATAGTTTTATATTTTAGGTTTTACATTTAAGTCTTCAACCCATTGTGAGTTGATTTTTACAGATGGTGTAAGGAAGGGGTCCAGTTTCAATCTTTTGCATACAGCTAGCCAGTTATCCCAGTACCATTTATTGACTGGGAAGTCCTTTCCCTGTTGCTTGTTTTTGTTAACTTTGTCAAAGTTCGGATGGTTGCAGGTATGCAGCATTATTTCTGAGCTCTCTATTTTGTTCTATTGGTCTATGAGTCTGTTTTTGTACCAAAGCCATGCTGTTTTGGTTACTGCAGCCCTGTGGTATAGTTTGAAGTCATGGCTCCCTTTTTTTACTCTTCTTTTTTCTTTCTCAGAGAAGAGCAGGTAACAATGTGGGGTTAAAGGTGAGCAGGTGGGTTAGAGTAGTGGAGCTAAAGGCAGATAGAGGTCTTGATCCAATTATCCTCATTCCCTTCATTTGTCCAACCTTGCACATTCCTGTATGCAGGGCCTTTGTAAGCTTCACCTTCTGTACAGGTGCCCAGCAACTGTCAAACCAGCCAGGGCTTAACATGAGCATGGGCATTCCCTATGGACTGGCTGGGACACACCCACATCCTTAGATTACACATTTTGCCTGTAACATAGATAAACTAATTACTAGGTATATAATTCTGTTTCGTTTTGTTTTGCTTTGTTTTGTTTTTGGGACAGGGTCTCATTCTGTCAAACAAGCGGGAGTGCAGTGGCACAATCACCACTCACTGCAGCCTGGACTTTTCTGGGCTCAGGTGATCTTCCCACCTCAGCCTACTGAGCAGCTGGGACTACAGGTGTGTATCACCACTCCCAGCCAAAATATTTTTTTATAGAGACAGTGTTTCACCATGTTGCCCAGTCTGGTATCGAACTTCTGGGCTCAAGCTATCTGCCTGCCTTGACCTCCCAAAGTGCTGGGATTACAGGTGTGAGGCCCTGTACCCAGCTCAATCCTGTTTTTATACTAGAAGAACATTCTCTATCTGGGTCTTCCAAACTTGATTCTTACTGGTTAATTTGTCCTGTTCTTTTGCTGGTCCAAGAAAATATCCTGAAATCTTTATTTCTTCTCCGTTTCCTCCTTGTCCTAGGACAGACTAGCCCTATCCCCTTCCTGAATTAAGTCCGAATATAGTCAGTCTTTGAGTGTGGAATAGCTCCTAGCAGTCTATCAGTCAACGGGTTCTCTTTGTGGTCACATTCTATGTTTATTCAGGAGACTACAGCATGGAAAGAAAATGGACTTTGGAGTCAGGTGAATCTTGATTCAAATCTTGGCAGTGCCATTCATCAGCTCTGTGGCATTGAGCGCATCAGTGGACCACTCTCTGATCCCCAATTGCCTTGTCTGTAAAATGAGATTAGACACCCCTGCTCAAGATTATGGTAGGATTATATATAATGTGTGTAACACAGCTTTTCCAGTGCCTGGTACAAGGTAAGTGTCCAATAAGAAGTTACAAATGTTCCTGAGCCACCCTACTGGGTCCCTCCTCACATCCAATGCTGGACTCTTCATGCCCAAGGAAACATATAAGGCACAAAAGTCAGTGGCACTCAGCTCAGCAGAAGAAGGCACAGGAAGGGGATGGGGGAGTCCTGGCTCCCACTTTGTTCTTGGGGTCAGGCTTGTGGCCAGCCTGGAAAGACTGACATGAACCCTCCAGCATCTGAGGGTGCCAACCACCAAGAGCAGCACAGTTCTTGTCTACAAGCCACTTGTAGCAGGTGTGAACATTTCATCTTTTCCTCTGGGGTTTGCAACTCTCTCCCCAGTCTCGGTCACTGCCTTTGGCTGTACCACTTCCCTTTTCTTCTCGCCTGCACCTCCCTCATCTTTCCTCTATGATGACATCGCCCTGGGGAAGAGAAGCTGAGAGGAACTCCTCACTCAGCTAGCTTCAGGAGCATGACGTCATCTCTACCATGGAAATTCCACTCACTCTCCTGTGCCCCCACATTTGTCCTAGGCCTCAGAGTCCCTATAAAGAGAGATTCCCAAGTCAGTATCAGCACAGGACACAGCTGGGTTCTGAAGCTTCTGAGTTCTGCAGCCTCACCTCTGAGAAAACCTCTTTTCCACCAATACCATGAAGCTCTGCGTGACTGTCCTGTCTCTCCTCATGCTAGTAGCTGCCTTCTGCTCTCCAGCGCTCTCAGCACCAAGTAAGTCTACTTTTGCAGCTGCTATTTCGAGTCAAGGTGTAGGCAGAGTCCTTTTTTCTAGTCATGGCTGGCAAACAGTGGGATCTGGGGATGGGACAAAAGGCAGCTAGGAAGATTGCCATGTAGTCTGCTGCTAAATGTAGAGTCTAGTAGATATTCAATAACATTCAAGTTCCTATTTTCTTAAGAATTAGCAACCAGCAGAGGAAAACGATGGGCTGGAAGTCAGACTGTTGAATTGGCTCTGCCTTTAATTATTTGTTCAAGCAAGCCCCTGTCCCTCTCTGTGCCTTGGTTTCCCCATCTGTCATATGAAGGGAGTGCGATGTGTTCTGAGACTGAATCCAGTTCCAATCTTCTAGATTTCTTTCTCGTTCTTCTCTGAAGATCCACTATTCAAAATAAGACTCCTGCTCATGTTAGGTGGGAATGGATATTTGGGGTTCTGGTAGCTCCACAGGGATGCTCAATGAAGATACAAAATTAGAAGTCAAAATAAACAGCTCCCACGGGCAGTGTTGATCTCACCCTGGCCTTTCCTTTCAGTGGGCTCAGACCCTCCCACCGCCTGCTGCTTTTCTTACACCGCGAGGAAGCTTCCTCGCAACTTTGTGGTAGATTACTATGAGACCAGCAGCCTCTGCTCCCAGCCAGCTGTGGTGTGAGTATCAACCCCTGGGCTGCCCTGGGAGGCAAGGGTGAGGGCTGGATTTTAAAAGAGGGCCTGTTTTGGGGAGGGGGTGATTGAGCATTGGGGAGGCAGCTCCCAGGGCTGAAGCCTTCCCTGAGAGCAGTGAGGACACAGGTCATGAACTCACTTTTCAAGTGCTGAAGGCGGCAGAGTGGGAGCCGAGAGAGAAGGGGGTTGCTGGGGAGGAAGTTATTCAGAGGACAGGGAAGCAGGGGAAGGCAGACAGGTCCCATGAGATATGGACCGATTCCTTAAACCGTGCTAGAAAGACATGTGGAAAAGTCACTGCCAGGCTGGCAGGGAATGGGGAGATCTATTCATATTGATTGCAATGCCCCTTGGTTCCTAATCTGGGCAACTCCTGGGGCCCACAGCTAAATCCAGTGGGTGGAAGTTACAGGGAGTCTGCTTCCAGTGCTGCTCCAGGAAGGATCCCATCCACCAGAGCTGCCCCACATGGACCATGGTCAGGCAGAGGAAGATGCAAAGGATAAAGCCAGATGACCTCAAAGGTCTCATGAGATTCTAATCTGTCCGCTCCTTGTTCTACAGATTCCAAACCAAAAGAAGCAAGCAAGTCTGTGCTGATCCCAGTGAATCCTGGGTCCAGGAGTACGTGTATGACCTGGAACTGAACTGAGCTGCTCAGAGACAGGAAGTCTTCAGGGAAGGTCACCTGAGCCCGGATGCTTCTCCATGAGACACATCTCCTCCATACTCAGGACTCCTCTCCGCAGTTCCTGTCCCTTCTCTTAATTTAATCTTTTTTATGTGCCGTGTTATTGTATTAGGTGTCATTTCCATTATTTATATTAGTTTAGCCAAAGGATAAGTGTCCCCTATGGGGATGGTCCACTGTCACTGTTTCTCTGCTGTTGCAAATACATGGATAACACATTTGATTCTGTGTGTTTTCATAATAAAACTTTAAAATAAAATGCAGACAGTTTCTTTGTGATTTTAATTTGATTTGGGGGTAAAAGGAATTGCCTGGTACCATTGGGAGGGACAAACTACAGTTTCCCAAAACAGTAAGAATGAGCAATTGCTGAGTCCTTAATATGAGCTCTGGGCTGAACACTCTTAATACACGATCTCACTGCGTACTTTCAACAAGGGTTTTAACACCCTTATGAACTAGGGACTGTTGCACCGAGTTTCACAGTTAAGGAAACAGAGGCACAGAGAGGTGAAGTGACTTGCTGAAGCTTGTAGGCCTGCTTGGGGAGTGTCATGAAAGAATGCCCCAGAAAAGGAGGTTATCATTTCAACATCTTGTGGGGGGAGTTGTAAAGAGGGGAAGCAGCACAGCAAAGGCGGAAGAAGAGTGAGAAGAGTGACTTCATCATCTTATTATTATTATAACATTGGGAAAGTCATCTTGCCTTATTAGACCTCGGTGTTCACAAGTGTGAAATGGGGATAATATTAACCACTTCGAAGGGCTGTTATAAGGTGATGTATAAAGCACCCATCATAGGACCAGGCACCTGGAAGTTTCTCTCCTTCCCTCTCTGAGCTTCAGCCTTTTCACTTAAAATGGACCTAGCAATTGTCAGGATCATCATGAGGATTAGATTAGTTAGTTGACAGATCAGCACTCTAAATCCCAATCTACTGTGAAGTGTTGTCATGAGGACAGCAGGATGGAGGTTTTGTTTGGAAGTGTTGCAGGAGTAACCTAAAGCCACTTCTACTTAATTATCCTTCAATCAGAACTGCCTATTCCATGGGTCAGACACAACACAACTCTGAAGTAGAATTACATGCACAATAAAGCCTGATCCATGGGACACAGACTCGTAGTCTACTAAAGCTAAAAGGAAAGTTTAGACCATCTGGTCCAACCCTCTCATTTTATGGAAACTGAGGGCCAAGGCCTGGGAAGTAACTTGCCACGTGCCACTCAGCGAGTGCATAGCAGAGCAGGAGCCTGGCCAATGCCAGCTCCCAGGCTCGGGCCCTTTCCTGCACACCTTCCCTAGTGACGCATCTCTGTGGTCCTCAAAAGGGAGACCGGTTGAGTAAGAACAAGGCGGAGACTATCTTGAAAATCATTTGAGTGTTCTTAGTCCTATGCAAAAGCAGAATTGGGGCCCTGCACTTCTCTGGGGTCAACAGACACAATTCCCTTCCTTGTCCTGCCCTTAGTCACCCTCATCATTCCAGAGCCCCAGTGGAAACTTCTTTCAGATTCTGCGGGGACTGAGAGAAGGAGGTTAGGGGGCAGAGCTGATCCAAAACAGGTGTAGGAAGAGGCTAGCAGCAAAGAATGTGCCTGGCCATAGTTTCTGCTTTCATTTGCCTAGATCTGAGCTGTCTAATATGTTAGCCACTGGCCAAAGTGGCTATTTACGTTTTCATTACATTTAATTAAAATGAAATAAAATTTAAAATTCAGTTCCTGAGTCACACTAGTCACATTTCAAGTGCTCAGTAGCTCCATGTGGCTAGCTCCCATGTTAGACAGCACGGATTACGGGCTTTCTGTCCATCATTGCAGAAAGTTCTGTTGGAGAGCAGTCTCCTAGAATGTTCTCAGAGCCTAAAGAAAGTGAAGGGAAGGGGAGTTGGGATGGCCTGTAAGATTAGAGTGTGGATTTTGAGAAAGATATGCAATTCTATTCTGAGGCGACGGGATGGGAGAGAGAATGGATGACTCCAGGCCAGAGACAAGGTATAGATCACTACGGTAGCTGAATAATGGCCCCCGAGGTGCACACATCCTATTCCTCAGAACCTGTGAATGTCACTTTTATAGCAAAATGGACTTTGGAGATATGATCAAGTTAAGAATCTTGAGATGAGTGATTACCTTGAATTATTTGGTCAGGCCCTAAATGCAGTTGTAAGTGTCCTTATAAGGGGGAGGAAGAGAAGAATTTGGTAATAGAGGAGAAGATAGCAATGTGACAACAGAAGCAAGATGCTATGCTGCTGGCTTGGAAGATGGAGGAAGAGGCCAGGAGCCAAGAAGTGTTAGGATGCAGCTCTAGAAGCTGCAAATGGCAAGGAAATTTTTCCTCCCCTAGAGCCTCCAAAGGGAGTGTGGCTTAGTGAAACTAATTTCAGACTTCTCACCTCCAGAACTTTAAGAGAATAAATATGTGGTTATAAGATGTTAAGTGTGTGGTAATTTTTTACAGCAGCAATAGGAACAAATACAACCACCAACTGACGCGTCACTGATAGCGGCCCCCAATAGCTCAGTGTGGCAGGAAAGGGAGCATTCTAGAGGGTGAGCCAAACCTCCCTGCAGGAGGAACCCAGGGTGAGAGGGACACACCTCAAGGAGATGAACTATAATGAGGAGAGGCATCCCAAGAGGAGATCTGCTTCAGCAACTGAGTTCTGGGGCTGAGGCTTGATCCAGGGTCCAAGACCCTTAGGAAGCATGCCTCTTCTTGAGACATCTAGGGTGCTCTGAGGGGTCCTGGATTCCTGTCCGGGAAAGAATCCATCCTCTCATCTGTCAGATGCAGCCCAGAGCAGAGCCATGACCTGTCTCTGGTTCATTGTTGAGCAGGCAAGGTCAGGGCCAGAATCTGGGTCTTCTCCCTCACGATGGAGTCCCTTTCCCAATCCTCCCTGCCCCTCAGCTAATGGAAAGGGAGGAGCTCAGCTCCACAGAGGCAAGACCACCAGGGAAGGCTGCAGGAGGCCTGGGCAGCCTCATGAAGAAATGCTTCACCAGCAATTACAAACAGCAGAATGGAATCCTCGAAGTGGGGCAATGTGGGACTTCACCTGTTGCACAATATGAGACTGTTTTTTTCCTTTCTCCTCTTTTCATACAACTTCCTTTTCTCACCCTGGGCCCAGAGAGCTGGAATCTGCTTACTTGACGTTCCATTTGAGGTTTCTCCAGGTTTCCGGGTGGGGACAGAAGCCAGAACAGATGAAGCAGGACACTCGAAAGGAACTATGGATTATGGAGCAACTTCTAGGCATCCGGCCTGTTTTCCTACTCCTTGCAGTGCCCACCTCCCCCAGCTCACTCTCCAGATGGGAGTCCATTTCCTTATGTACATGTTCCTTTAGGACATGTTCATGCAAACATGTCCTCATCCCCCTATCCCACCTCAACCTGGAACCCTCCATCATGCTCCCATTGACACAGGCATTTTCCTCCAAGGAGGCCAGGAGCCGAGCAAGCAGAGGCAGGGATCAAGGGAGCAAGATGAGCTGAGGATGGTGACATAGCCACAGCTCTTCCTCGAGGCTGAGACCAGAGACCAGGTGGCAGTCCTGTACTGCAGTCTGCATTCACCCTTTACAGACTTGAGGGTCTTGGCGCCCTCTCTTTCCCACTTATCTCTACCTGTTCTCCCTTCTAAACTCCTTCTCTCTTGGGTTCCCACTGAGTCTAGCATACAGGAAAATGGAAGAAAAGAATTGAGAGACAAAATCATGGCACATTTTTCTACCTTTTAATAAGTTTCATTTTTGGATACAGCCAATGCCTCGTATATGTGGGTTCCACATCTGTGGATTCAGTCAACAATGGATGGAAAATATTTGGGAAAGAAAGCACAACAGGCCAGATGTGATGGCTCACACCTGTAATCCCAGCACTTTGGGAGGCTAAGGTGGATCATTTGAGCTCAGGAATTCGAGACCAGTCTGGGCAAACATAACAAGAACCTGATCCTACAAAAAATATCAAAATTAGTGGGGTGAGGTGGCACATGCCTGTAGTCCCAGCTACTTGGGAGGCTGAGGCAGGAGGATTGCTTGAGCCCCGGAGGCAGAAGTTACAGACAGCTGAGATGACGTGACTGCACTCCAGCCTGGGCGCTAGAGCAAAATCCTGTCTCAAAAACTAAATAATAATAATAACAAAATACAAATAAAAAACAATGCAGTATAACAATGATTTACATTTACATTTATTAACAGCACTTACATTGTTTAGGTATTCTAAGTAATCTGGAGATGAAAGTATACGGGAGGATGTGCATAGGTTATGGGCAAATAATATGCTATTTTATATCAGAGATATTTGTGCATCTGTAGATTTTGGAAGCCATGGGAATTCCTAGAAACAATCCCCTGTGGATATCAAGAGATGGCTCTATACGATAAGTGTGTAAAATATATATATTCAGAAGGAATCAGAAAATCAAAATTAATGTCTCTCAGGGAAGATGGGCTTGATGGGACTTGATGGAGGATGGTCTGGGAGACTATCCCCTTCTACGGAAACATTCCCTACTAGGAGACCAGCACAGCTGCAGGGAAATAATTTCTTCAGGCAGTGTTAGCAGCTTCTAAATCTCGGGACCCTATGTCCCTGGGCTCCTCAAGGAGATGTTGGTTATTTACAGTGACTCCTGATTCATTTCCTTAGGGGGTCCTCTCTTCCTTCAGCTAGGGACTTGAAGGGGAAAAGTGCCAGCATTTACCAAGCTCCTTAAAGCGCCAGGTGCTATACTGCTATGAGTTTCATATATAGTCTTTTTTAATCCTTGCAAAATCTCAGGTATGGTGGCATGTGCCTGTAGTCCCAGCTACATGGGAGGCTGAGGCAGGAAGATTGCTTGAGCCCAGGAGTTCTGGGCTACAGTGCACTATGCCAATTGGTGTCCACACTAAGCTCGGCATTAACATTGTGATCTCCTGGTAGCAGGGGACTACCAGGTTGCCTTAAGAGGGGTGATCCGGCCCAGGTCAGAAATGGAGCAGGTCAAAACTCGCATGCTGATTAGTAGTGGGATCGTGCCTGTGAATAGCCACCGCATTTCCACCTGGGAAACATAGTGAGACCCTGTCTCTGGGGAAAACAAAAAACAAAAAACAAAAACAACAACAACTACAACGACAAAAAACCTAAGGTAGATATTATTATTCCCATTTTAAAGATGAGAAAACCAAGGCTCTGAAAGGTCTAGAGGTAGATCCACAGTGTGAGGACACTGGTATGTGTAATCTTTGCAGACCTATTTGATTTATATTAGCTCTTCTTTTCTGTAACCTGCCTAAACAGGTCTACCTTGGCATAGTAAACCTCTTTGCCTTCCATCCTACCTTTCTATATCTCCTTGATTTGGAAGGTTGGAAGGGCTTGTCTTGTTCTCCCCCTTCATTTCTTGAAAAGAGTGAATCCCTGAATCTTTCAAGCTGTCTGTAGAGGAAGTTATTATATCTGTGACTCCAGATGAAGTCTGCAGATTCAAGGCCCTACCCACCCATTAGAACTTCTGACAGATGAGCGCCCACCAAGGAGTTTGATATCATGCACTTAATGGTTTTTAAATTAATAATTTTTGAATAGATAACAGTAGACATTATATACAATTCAAAAGGCATAAAAAGATACCCAACCAGAAAGTAAATCTCCCTCCTAGCTCTGTCACCAAAATATCTGTTACCCAGGGTAATGTCTATGTGACCTAGGTAAATTTCTACGCCACTTTAACTCTGCTTATCTTCAGAAAACAGGATGCCTGAGGTCCAAAGTTCCCCCTCGGGACCAACAGACTAAGACTGCTGGGGTCTAAGATGGCAGCTCACTTGACCTCCGATGAACTTGTAACTTCATTATAATCTAATGTCCATGCTAAATGACACTCCCACCAGCACCATGACAATTGACAATCTCCATGACAACAACTGAAGAAACCATAAGAGGACCAAAAGAAAGGCAAGAACTCCAATTCCAAGAAGCTCTCCACCCATTCTCAGAAAATACATGAATATTCCTCCCCCTGCTTTTAATGCCCAACCCCTTCATTAAATATATCCTATTATCTGTGATTTCCCGGCTCTCTGAGCTAAGAAGTTGATTTGTGAGCCAGGCTCCTGCTTCTCAGTTCCCTGGCTGTGATGTTAATCAATGTCAACTTGATTGGATTGAGGGATACAAAGTATTAATCCTGGTTGTGTCTGTGTGGGTGTTGCCAAAAGAGATTAACATTTGAGTCAGTGGGCTGGGGGAGGCAGATCCACTCTTAATCTGGTGGACACAATCTAATCAGCTTCCAGCTAATATAAAGCAGCCAGAAAAACATGAAAAGGAGAGCTGGGCCTAGCCTCCCAGCCTACATCTTTCTCCCATGCTGGATGTTTCCTTGTGATCGTGTAAGTTAACACTTAATAAATCTCCCCTCTCTCTCTCTATATATATCCTATGAGTTCTGTCCCTCTAAGAGAACCCTGACTAATACAGATTTTGGTACCAGGAGTGGTTCTAGAGAAACAGAATATTAAGGATTGAGTTCTTTCGTTGGTTTTGGGGTTTCTGGAATTGGCTGCTTAATATGGTTAGACCCCAAAATGCTAAGGACTGTATGTCTAATAGTATGGAGAAGACTGATAGTCCTTGGTGTGAACGGTTTAGATAGTTAGGCAAAATAAATGCATTTGACACTCCTGATTTCACTGCTCATGAGAGGCAAGGAGTTTAGTGACTCTATACATAATACCTTTGACCATATGCGGAGAACCAAGGAACATAATGAAGCTGGTTGGTTGCTCTTAAGTTCAGTATACAAAGTGTTGAAAGAAAATGATGAACTCAGGGATTGTCTCCCGGCTTCAGAAATAGATACTAAGCTTCAAATCTGCTAAGATTGCCCTGAGTGAGAACCTTATCTCCTGTACAGAAAGAGCTGAAATTGTAGAAAAACAGACACAAGCTTTTATCATGCAAGTGGCTGACCTGCAACAAAAGGGGCATGCACAGCCTCACCAGGTGTCTATTGTTAAAGTGGGGGCATTGATTGGAAAAGAATAGGACCCTGCAACTTGGAATGGGGAAATGTGGGAGCACCCAGATGAAGCTGGGGACACTGAGTTTGTAAACTCTGATGAACCTTTTTTGCCAGAAGGAACAGCTTCCCAATCCCCAGTAGTGGCAACATCCGCTCCCTGACCCATGCTGCCATCAGCCTTTCCACCTTTGTCCACAGATAAACCCTGTGCTGCCTGAGGCAACAGTGATGGCCTCCCCTGAGGCAGTTGCCAGGCAAAGTAATGTTGATTCCCCTCAGGAGCCACACCCAACACCCCTGTTTGCTGGCCCACTACATTGATGACAGTCTAGACATGTAACTACACTAAATTCTGGTCCATTACACTGATGACAGTCTAGACCTGTAACTAAAGTCCCAGTGGGCCCCTGGAAGTGAGATTGAGAGTGTGACCCATGAGGAGGTGCATGGCACTTCAAAAGAACTGTTTGAGTTCTCTAATTTATAAAAACAGCAATCTGGAGAACAGGCATGGGAATGGATGTTAAGGGTATGGGGTAATGGTGGAAGGAACATAGAGTTGGATCAGGCTGAATTTATTGATTTGGGCCCACTAAGTAGGGATTCTGCATTTAATGTTGCAGATTGGGGAGTTACAAAAGATTCTAATAGTTTATTTGCTTGGTTAGCTGAAATATGGAATAAAAGATGGCCCACTGTGAGCCAGCTGGAAATGCCTGATCTCTCCTGGTTTAATGTAGAGGAAGGGATCCAAAGGCTTAGGGAGATTGGGATGGTGGAGTGGATTAGTCACTTTAGACCTAATCATCCCAGTGGGAAGGGTCCAGAAATTAACATGTCTCCTGGTGCCTGGTATGCACCAATTGACTTGGCAAATGCTTTTTCTCCATTCCTGTCCATAAGGCCCACCAGAAGCAATTTGCTTTCAACTGGCAAGGCCAGCAATATACCTTTACTGTCCTACCTCAGGGGTATATCAACTCTCCGGTTTTGTGTCATAATCTTATTCAGAGAGACCTTGAACACTTTTTGCTTCTGCAAGATATCACACTGGTCCATTACAATGATGACATTATGATGACTAGATCCAGTGAACAAGAAGTAGCAAACACACTGGACTTATTGGTGAGACATTTGCATGCCAGAGGATGGGAAATAAATCTGACTAAAATTCAGGGAACTTCTACCTCAGTAAAATTTCTAGGGGTCCAGTGGTGTGGGGCCTGTCGAGATATTCCTTCTAAGGTAAAGGATAAGTTGCTGCATTTGGCCCCTCCTACAACCGAGAAAGAGGCACAAAGCCTAGTGGGCCTGTTTGGATTTTGGAGGCAACACATTTGGGAGTGTTACTCTGGCCCATTTATTGAGTGACCCGAAAGGCTGCCAGTTCTGAGTGGGATCCAGAACAGGAGAAGGCTCTGCAATAGGTCCAGGCTGCTGTGCAAGCTGCTCTGCCACTTGGACCATATGACACAGCAAATCCAATGGTGCTTGAGGTGTCAGTGGTAGATAAGGATGCTGTTTGGAGCCTTTGGCAGGTTCCCATAGGTGAATCACAGCAGAGGCCTCCAGGATTTTGGAGCAAGTCCCTGCCATCTTGTTCAGATAACTACTCTCCTTTTGAGAGACAGCTCTTGGCCTGTTACTGGGCTTTGGTGGAAACTGAACGTTTGACTATGGGTCATCAAGTCACCATGTGACCTGAACTACCTGTCATGAACTGGGTGTTTTCCAACCCATCTAGCCACAAAGTGGGTCATGCACAGCAGCATTCCATCATCAAATGGAAGTGGTATATATGTGATCGGGCTTGAGCAGGTCCTGAAGGCCAAGTAAGTTACATGAGGACATGGCTCAAATGCCCATGGTCTCCACTCCTGCCACTCTGCCTTCTCTCCCCCAGCCTGCACCGATGGGCCTATGATCAGTTGACAGAGTAAGAGAAGACTAGGGCCAGGTTCACAGATGGTTCCACACGATATGCAGGCGCCACCAGAAAGTGGACAGCTGCAGCACTACAGCCCCTTTCTAGGACATCCCTGAAGGAGAGCAGTGAAGGGAAATGTTCCCAGTGGGCAGAACTTCGAGCAGTGCACTTTACATGAAATGAGAAATGGTCAGGTGTGCGATTATATACTGATTCATGGGCTGTAGCCAATGACTTGGCTGGATGGTCAGGGACTTGGAAGAAGAATGATTGGAAAATTGGTGACAAAGAAATTTGAGGAAGAAGTACGTAGATGGACCTCTCCGAGTGGTCAAAAACTGTGAAGATATTTGTATCCCCTGTGAGTGCTCACCAACAGGTGACCTCAGTGGAGGAGGAGTTTAATAATCAAGTGGATAGGATGACCCATTCTGTGGACACTACTCAGCCTCTTTCCCCAGCCACCCCTGTCATCGCCCAATAGACCCATGAACAAAGTGGCCATGGTGGCAGGGATGGAGGTTATACATGGGCTCAGCAAGATGGACTTCCACTCACCAAGACTGACCCGGCTATGGCCACTGCTGAGTGCCCAATTTGCCAACAGAAGAGACCAACACTGAGCCCTCGATATGGCACCATTCCTCAGGGTGATCAGCCAGCCACCTGGTGGCAAGTTGATTATATTGGACCTTTTCCATCATGGAAAGGGCAGAGGTTTGTTCTCACTAGAATGGCACTTACTCCTGATATGGGTTTGCCTATCCTGTATGCAATGCTTCTGCCAAGACTACCATCCACGGACTCACAAAATGCATTACCCACCGTCATGGCATGCCAAACAGCATTGTCTCTGACCAAGGCACTCACTTTGCGGTTAAGGAAGTGGGGCAGTGGGCTCATGCTCATGGAATTCACTGGTCTTACCATGTTCCCCATCATCCTGAAGCAGCTGGATTGATAGAATGGTGGAATGGCCTTTTGGAGTCACAATTACAATGCCAAATAAGTGACAATAGTTTGCAGGGTTGGGGCAACAGCCAATCCAGGCAGGACTACAAATGACTCAGACCCTTCAGGAATGAAGGTTTGGGTCACTCCACTGGAAAAAAAAGCAAAAACAAAAACACGACCTACTGAGGTGCTTGCTGAAGGCAAAGGGAATGCAGAATGGGTAGTAGAGGAAGGTAGTCATCAATACCAGCTATGATCACAAGACCAGCTGCAGAAATGAGCACTGTAACTGTCATGAGCATTTCCTCCTTCTTTTGTTAAAAACATGTTTGTGCATGTATAGACTTGTACGAAGAAAATATCTTAATTTTATTTCCTTTTCCTTTATTATGTGACATAATATTTATTGGCTTCATATCAGCATTTAAGTATTGTTCACTTTATGTAATAGTATTTGGGTTGGTATTGGTGCCTTTCCAGTTGTACAATGGATAGTTGTATTATGTTACATGTAATTATGACCTCATTATTGTCTTTATTTGAAGATTATGTATGATCTCAGGAGATGTGTATGGGTTCAGGTTGACAAGGGGTGGACTTGTGATGGTTAATACTGAGTGTCAACTTGATTGGATTGAGGGTTACAAAGTATTAATCCTGGGTGTGCCTGTGGGTGTTGCCAAAAGAAATTAACACTTGAGTCAGTGCACTGGGGAAGGCAGATCCACCCTTAATCTGGTGGGTACAATCTAATCAGCTGCCAGTGAATATAAAGCAGGCAGAAAAACGTGAAAAGGAGAGATGGACCTAGCCTCACAGCCTACATCTTTCTCCCATGCTGGATGCTTCCTGCCTTTGAACATCGGACTCCAAGTTCTTCAGTCTGGGGACTTGGACTGGCCCTTCTTGCTCCTCAGCTTGCAGACAGCCTATTGTGGGACCTCGTGATCATGTAAGTTGATACTTAATAAATTCCCTTTATATCTGTCTATCTCTCTATCTATCTATCTCTCTATCTATCATCTATCTATCATCTATCCTATTAGTTCTGTCCCTCTAAGAGAACCCTGACTAATACAGTGGCCATGGAATAAAGCCTGCACTACTTGACACTCACTTTTGGTTTTGTATATTGGCTTCACAGCACTAAACGGGGAAAGACTCCATTTGTATGGGGACTGGCTTTGTTGGTAACATATCCATTTCCCTTTCCTAGAAGCAATGAATAATTGCTACCACTATTTTATGAACACATCTGGAGATTCCACAGCCTTTTAGAAGTGTCAGAGAATGGAACAACAAATGCAATAACAAGGATTGCCCAAATGATCAGGGCCTTAGGCTTCTAGCCTTTATCCTGAAAGTGCTTTAGCCCTCTCCTCCTAGAGGCCTAGATTTACAAAGCTCTTGACAGCTGTGCTCTGGGACAAATTGAATTCTGACATAAAACACTTTCTTGAGATTTGAAAATGCTACCTTTTCTCCCCTTTACTCTGTTCCCTAAACAAGGGGTTGCTGGAAACATCCTTGGTAAGTTTCATAAGATTGTCTGTTTCATATGATGCTTATAAATTTCATAGTCAATGACTTTGTTGTGCAAAAAAAAATGTAACTTTATTTTCTCCATAATTAAACTTAGCTTTTCAATCTCGATTTCTTTTGGTGGCAGAAATTTAATCTGACCAACAAGGTAAACAAAGTTTCTTGCTGCTGTTTTTTTTTCCAACTGAGAATCTTCCGTCTCCCATCCTTCTTCCTCTTCTCTTCTCCAGCTCTTCCCAGGGTCCCTCTGCATTCTGGAAGGCTGGAGAGTGATTGAGCAGTCAGGAGATGCAGGATTCTCACTCATGATTGACCCTGACCCCTGCTAGCCACTGATGAGGTGCATTTCAACTTTCTGGTCACTGCCGGCTCACTTGTCCTGCCATGTCCTCCTGGGTCAGGGCTGTGACTCTGTCCCCTTTGTCCCACCCTAAGCTTCTCTGAGCCTTCCAGGCCAGGGGCTACTTGGAAAGACTGGTGGTGTTCCCAGGCACACCTCCCTCCTGCTCCCCTGCACCTACAGTCCTCCCTCTTCCCAGGCAGGATGGACGCCCTATTGGGGTCATTCTCAGATGTCTAGCTTTCTGGCTCACATCTTTCACTTTATTCTCCCATGAATGTCTATCTGATTTTCTCTCAGTATGTGGGAAGCTAGTTCTTAAAAATTATCATTAATTCAAAAAATGCATATATTACTAATGGTATCATCCTTATCCCCATTGTCTTTGGGGGTTTAACCTTAGGAGCACCTTCTCCCTCCCACACTCAGATCCTTTCCTCTCAAAAAGTCCAGATCCTGAAATGCACTTTCAGAATGATTATGTCTGTTATGAGTTAAAAAAAAAAAAAAAAAAAAAAAGAGTACTGAGGAACTCAACTGACTTGTTTGTTTAAACTCTATTCACCCTCCCCTGCAGGCAGTGAGCATGGATGATGATGATTGCTGGCAAAACAGGGGAGTGGTAGTGAAGGTTAGAAAGCCAGGGACTGGGGACACTTGTGCTGCCAGGGTGTTCTCTGAGCAATGATGCTGCTTGTGGTGAATTCCCATTCACCTCCAGAATGGGTTTCTGGCTTTGCTGAGAAAGGCTTTTATTGGGTGTCATTAGTAATTCTGTCAAAGGTGGTGGGGAGGCGGGGAAACTTCCCATGCTAAGAATCAAATCAAGAAACCCTTTCTGGGGAATAATGAGAGCCACGTTCTTTCTAATGTGATATGAAAGCACTGAATATTTGTTACTGCTTTTACAGAAATGATTAATTCTCAATCTATGTCAGAGAGATTCTCAGTGCTGATTTTCAGATGATGGCATTGGGAAATAGGCATCACTGCATGAAGTTGCTACCCCTTGTGCAGGCCTCCCTGGTGGCCTGTGTCATTGTCGTGGGCTTCAACTGCTAGATTGTGAACTGCCCCCCACCGCCCCCACCCCCAGGGGTGGATCAGGTGCTGGAAGGCAGGGTCTGCAGGGTGGCCGTGGAGAGGGGTGTGGTGCAGCTGAAAAGGAATAAGCTCCAGGGAGGGCAGGAAAAGCAATGAGATCAGCTCAGCCAAATCTAGTCCAGCCACAGCTTTTAGCTGGAGAGCATTGACAAGCTGTCCCAGGATTAAAAGGGGGTTTTGTGAAGAACATCACTTGGGTGAGAGGCTCATAGGCATCCTGCAAGACCAGCTAAAGGCTACATAGGAATTACAGCAAGCTGCAGCAGGATGGCCTCCAGTTTCAGAAGGGCCACGCCAACTTGGAGAGCGATGCATCTGACCCAGTACATTGACTGAACGAAGGAGGCAAAGGAGCTATGTGAGGAGCCCACAGAAGAGGTCACCAAAAAGGGAAATGAAGCTGTAGCTTCCAGACACCTGAGTGGAAAAAAAGACCAGAGTCAGCAGCTCCAAGCCAAAAATAGAACACAAGCTCTCTTTCAAGTAAGGTGACAGTGGTGCTTGTTTATTCTTGAGTATAATTTTGTGTGAAAAAAAGCAGCCTGTAGGAAGAGTCCCTCTTCCACTGTGAAGGAGAGGCTGGTTGCAGGTAGAGAACTCTGTCTGGGTTCCCTCTGGAGTTCTCCTCTTCTCCACACATGGGGTAGAGCGCTGTTTCCAGCCTGTTATTCCTATTCTCACTGGTACCCACTGAATGACTATGTACTGTGCACTCCCGATTCTGACAATCAATGGTCTAGAACAGCAGTCCCCAGGCCCAGGCCACAGATTGGTACTGGTCCATGACCTGTTACGAACCGAGCCACACAGCAGAAGGTGAGTGGTGGGCGAGTGAGAAGCTTCATCTGTATTTACAGCCACTCCCCATTGCTGACATTACCACCTGAGCTCCGCCTCCTGTCAGGTCAGCCACAGCATTAGATTCTCATACAAGTGCAAACCCTATTGTGAACTGCGCATGCCAGGGATCCAGGTTGCACGCTCCTTATGAGAACCTAATGCCTGATGATCTGTCACTGTCTCCCATCACTCACAGATGGGACCATCAAGTTGCAGGAAAACAAGCTCAGGGCTCCCACTGATTCTACATTATGGTGAGTCGTATAATTATTTCATTATATATTACAATGTAACAATAATAGAAATAAAGTGCACAATAAATGTAATGCACTTGAATCATCCTGACACAATCCCCCATCCCTTAATCAGTGGATAAATTGTCTTCCATGAACCCTGTCCCTAGTGCCAAAAAGGTTGGAACCATTGGCCAAGAGCACTGACTTTTTTTTCTTTTATTTCAGTAGCTTTTGGGATACCAGTGGTTTTTGTTACATGGATGAATTATAAAGTGGCAAAATCTGAGATTTTAGTGCGCCTGTCACCTGAGTAGTGTATCTTGTACCTAATGTGTAGTTTTTTTTCCCTAGCCCCCCTCTCATCCTTCACCTTTTGAGTCTCTAAAGTGCATTATATCACCCGTTTGCCTTTGCATACTCAAAGCTTAGCTCTCACTTATAAGTGAGAACATACGGTTTTTGGCTTTCTGCTCCTGTGTTAATTCATTTAGAATAATGGCCTTCAGCTACACCCAACTTGCTGCAAAAGACATTATTTTGTTCTTTTTTATGGCTGAGTAGTATTCCATGGTGTATATATACCACGTTTTCTTTATCCACTCATTGGTCGATGGGCACTTAGGTTGGTTCTACATGTTAGCAATTGTGAATTACAGAGCACTGTTAACACAGACATTATTAGCAAGAGTTTTAAACAAGTCTAAATACAAAGCTGTTTGTGCAAGATTTTTTTAAAAGGCTACGTGTATAATAACCCTGTCATTTTAGTGTACTATTAAGTTATTTAGTATAATAGTGCAATATTAAGTTATTTGTAATTTGAAGATTTCTGATCTATACATACTTTGCTTCCTATGTGTGGGCAAAGCAAAATATGCTCTATTAAGTACATATTGCCAAGAAAAGCCATGAGTGTATTAGGCTTTTGATAAAAATGGGCCAAAAATGGGAATGCTTGCCACAGAGCACAGTGAGGGAGGGAGAGCATTGTGAGATGGATTTGTTGTGGAGAGATCTATGCCTACTTTACTAATAGAATAAAAGAAAGTTAATTTCTATTGATGGATTTATACAGTGTTACAAATCGGGAATGTTTAGAAAGGCAAGAGGAATACAATGATTGTTTTTGCCATGGTTTACACATTTAGCTTGTGGTAAATGACTCACAAAACTGATTTAAAAATCAAAGGTTGATGTTAATTTTGAAAATGACTATTTACGACACGGGCAAAGACTTCATGACTAAAACACCAAAAGCAGTTGCAACAAAAACCAAAATTGACAAATGGAATCTAATTAAACTAAAGAGCTTCTGCACAGCAAAGGAAACTATCATTAGAGTGAAAAGGCAACCTACAGAATGGGAGAAAATTTTTGCAATCTATCTCTCTGACAAAGTTCTAATATTCAGAATCTACAAAGAACTCAAACAAATTTACAAGAAAAAAACAAAAAACCCCATCAAAAAGTGGGTGAAGGATATGAACAAACACTTCTCAAAAGAAGACATTTATGAAGCCAACAAACATATGAAAAAAGCTCATCATCAGTGCTCATTAGAGAAATGCAAATCAAAACCACAATGAGATACCATCTCACACCAGTTAGAATGGTGATCATTAAAAAGTCAAGAAACAATAGATGCTGGCGAGGCTGTGGAGAAATAGGAACACTTTTACACTGCTGGTGGGAGTGTAAATCAGTTCAACCATTGTGGAAGACAGTGTGGCGATTCCTCAAGGGTCTAGAACCAGAAATACCATTTGACCCAGCAATTCCATTACTGGGTACATGCCCGAAGGATTATAAATCATTCTACTATAAAGACACATGCACACATATGTTTGTTGCAGCACTATGTACAATAGCAAAGACATGGAACCAACCCAAATTGCCATCAACGATAGAAGGGATAAAGAAAATGTGGCATATAAACACCCTGGAATACTACGCAGCCATAAAAAATGAGTTCATGTCCTTTACAGGGACGTGGATGAAGCTGGAAACCATCATCCTCAGCAAACTAACACAGGAACAGAAAACCAAACACCTCATGTTCTCACTTGTACGTGGGAGTTGAACAGTGAGAACACATGGACACAGGGAGGGGAACATCACACACCAGGGCCTGTTAGTCGGTGGGAGGCAAGGGGAGAGAGCATTAGGACAAGTATCTAATGCATGCTGGGCTTAAAACCTAGTGGATGGGTTGATAGATGCAGCAAACCAAACCACCATGGCACATGTATACTTGTGTAACAAACCTGGACATTCTGCACATGTATCCCAGAACTTAAAGTAAAATAATAATAATTTAAAAAAAAAAAGAAAATGACTATTTAATCATAGTTCCCAATGAAAACAATGACATTTGGTTTGACTTGAGTTGGTTTCGAAGATTTACAGTAAATAGGCTCTTACCACTTGTGAATGACTGGCAAGTTTGCACTAATGACTTTCTTCCAATGAGGCTCTCTACAGGAAAAGTGGAAGGATCCACGCAGTTTGAGATGCAGGGGCCTCTCTGGGCTTCAGAGAGGAAATGGAGCCCAGAGAAGTTATGGAGCATCCAGTTGGTGAGCTGTAGCACCGGGATTCACAGCAGGCTGTGCCACCTCCCTGTGCCCTGTGACCACTGAGAGCAGGCCCTGTTTGCACGCATGTGGCGATCTCCAATTTCAGTGTTCTCCCCGTGATATCTCTTTACCCAGTCACTAGGATTTAATGTTTCCACTCAGAAAAGGCAACTGAAGAAGAGTGTATTAGTGAGGGTTCTCTAGAGGGACAGAACTAATGGAATAGCTATATATATAAAGAAGAGTATATTCAATATTAACTCAAATGATCACAAGGTCCCACAATAGGCCATCTGCAGGCTGAGAAGCAAGGAGAGACAGTCTGAGTTCTGAAACTGAAGAACTTGGAGTCTGATGTTCAAGGGCAGGAAGCATCCAGCATGGGAGAAAGATGTAGGCTGGGAGGCTAGGCCAGTCTCTCTTTTCACATTTTCTGCCTGCTCATATTCTAGCCATGCTGGCAGCTGATTAGATTGTGCCCACCCAGGTTAAGGGTGGGTCTGCCTTTCCCAGCCTACTGACTCAAATCTTTATCTCCTTTGGCAACACCCTCCCAGACACACCCAGGATCGATACTTTGTATCCTTCAATCCAATCAAGTTGACCCTCAGTATTAACCGTCACAAAGAGTACGAATGCAGCTCTATAAAATTTTCTCTAAATCCTTTTCCAGCCTCCTTTTGTGTCCCAGTCTTGGGGATGATATGAATTCTGTCTTGCTTTCCAATTAATAATGTCTCTATTCATCTCATGTTTAATTAGTGCACATGGAGTTACTGAGAAATAAAATACGCTGTTAGTTCAACTAAAAAAAAAAAAAAGAAAGTAGGAGAGTGAGAGAAATATTACCTGGCACATGCTTTAAGTAACACAGAAAGGCAAACAGCCCCACCTGTGTTAAAGGACTTCCTTGGGCAGATCTTTGCCATCTGACTTTTTAAATTTCACTGTCTCTGACCTTTCAAAGTCTCATGCTGGGTGACACTATATCTTGGTGCCCATCCTCACTTTCTCATGAAACAGGACAAAGATGTAATCTGATCAACATCTGGGGCTGGTGTGCAGTTAGGCGTTGGAAGGATTTGACAGGAATAGGAAGTGATTATCTGCAATATAAAATTCCAGGAAAAATAGAATTCCAGCATATTCAGGAGTCTAAACACAGAAGCCATTGCATGCCTAAGGTCCCACAAGCCAGCCTGAAAAAAAAGCAATGAAACTTTGATGGCTCCAGATATGAAGGATGAGGTTTGTGGACTGAGGACATCCAGGGATTCCCAACGTCTGCTCAGTCTTCTCTTAATTTTTTATACATGTGTGACGGCTGCTGTGGATACCTAGCCCTTTCAAATGATATGTTATAAGACCTTGCCAAATGCCCAAATTTGTGATTGTCAGCAGAGCTCTGGAAATCTTTTAATGGGAACACTGTTTTGTTTTTCACAAAGAAATAGAGCTTTTATGAAGTCGGTAGAGCGTCTGCTCATTCCCGCATGCAGGAACAGCATCTGGGAGCTTTACCCAAACCCCAGCCTTGGAGATTCCACATCAGTGGGCCTGAGGTGGGCTTGAAGCATTTGTAAGGTGTGGACTTCCTTTGAGCTTCAGTTTCTTCATTTGTGACATGGGGATTCCAATGGAAATGACCCCACAGGCTAGCAGGGCTTCAGGGAGATGACAGGTATAAAATGCAAGCCGGGGGCCTAACCTACAAGTGCATACTTAACAAAAGTCAACTGTTGTCATTATCATTCCCTCCTTAGCAATACTGCAGCTAAGTGATTGAAATGCATGCCTCAGCAAAACTATCACAGGCCATGAATACCCTATGCTGCATATTGGAAACTGCAAATGCTGGAGAAGCAAACGCCAGGTGCTATTGTCTTACACAGTTTCTGCTAATTAATTTCTTTATCTAATTGTTGTGAGAGTTATTTGCTCGATATTCGCAATTGGGGTAGGTCTTAAGCCTACTCCCTTTTCCAGGGGGAAAAGGGAAGTAGCTTTCAAGAATACAAAGCAAGAAATAGTCCACTAAAAATTTAACTTGGGAAAGCAAGGTAATAAATATATTGGGCTAATGTGTGAGAAATCGGTGTCTCCTTCACTGTGGGTGGAAGTGTAAGTTGATGTAGTCTTTCTGGAGAACAACTTGGCAATATCTTCCCACTGTACAGTAGGTACATCCTTTCTATTTTCACATATAGGCATTCTGGGGAAATACTGATGTATATAGACAAAGAAGCATGCATGAAATCATCAGTATAGTATTGTTTGTGATAGCAAAAAGACTAGAAGCCACCTAAATGTGCAAGAATTGGAGCTTGGATAAATAAAATATGAGCCATTCATATGATGGGATTTTTAGATAACAGGGTTTTTTTGAGATGGGGTCTTGCTCTGTTGTTGCTCAGACTGGAGTGCAGTGGCATGATCATGGCTCACATAGCCTCGACCTCCCAGGCTCAAATGATCTTCCCATTTCAGCCTCTCAAGTAGCTGGGACAGGCGTGCCACCATGCCCAGCTAATTTTTAAATTTTTTGTAGAGATGGTGTCTCACTATGTTGCCCTCATGGCTGGTTTTGAACTCCTGGGCTCAGGCAGTCCTCCTGCTTCATCTTCCCAAAATGCTGGGATGATAGGCATGAGTCACCACACTGAGCTGGCACTTATTTTTTTAAAAAGGAAAAAAAAGACACTACCCTGGAAAGTTCTCCAAGATATAACATTAAGTAAATAAAGCAAAATAATACATATAACTTCATTTATGCAAAAAAAGTAAATTTTGTATACACACATGTGTGCATGTAAAAGCATAGGAAAAGGCCTTAGAAAAACACACAGCAAACTGCTAATACTGATAATATTAACGACCTCCCAGTAGGTCATTCTGCATGTCTATATTGTTTGAATTGTTCATCACACGAGTTCATTGATGTGTTTCTTGTATAAAAATTAACTTTTAAAGATTATGTTACCTAAGTTAACATGATCCTATTTAGGTCACTTTTAGAGAGGGGCATGGGAGCCCTCCCCTGGCTGACAGTGCTCCAGAGGGTCCTCCTGCAGGCTCTTTGGGGCTGTTCTGCCTGGCCCCACTCCCTCACCAAGGCCAGGCTACTCATCAGCCTAGAATCCAGGCAGCCACTTTGCAGTTGGATTTGGGCTTGCCCTTTGCTGTCCTCTGTGCTGTCTGGGGACATTGCCCTCCGTCCTGTACTGCGTTGCTGACACAGGATTTTTCAGAGCTGCGTAGCCAGCTGGAGACCTCCATGGCTGGTGATACCCCTGCCTGGGCCTCACTTGGCCCCGGGCTCACCACAGGAGCTACCTCACCCACTCGGCCCAGCGGGCTGTGCTTGGCTTGTGCTCCTGCTTGGATCCTGTGCTCACCGCAGGATCCACACTAAGCCTGCAGGTGGGCTTGGCTTGCCACAACCTGCTTCCACCTTGGGCACCAATGTCTGGCTGAGAGGAATGCAATGGTGCATGAATGGGGATGCGAGCAACCCTAAAGCCCCAGAGGGAGTGTTACAGCAGGCTAACAGCTCTTTTAGTCCCATTGTCCCACTCCAATCCATGGCTCCAGGGCTGGCCTGGCTCCAGCACTGCTTCCTGTCACATGGGGCGGTTGCCTTCCACCAGCAGAGGGCAGAGAACCACAGTGTTATAGCCTTTGTTGTACTTGCATTTGGCAGGTCCCAAGTTCTTGTCCCACATCCAAGAAGAATGAGGTTATGCTGACAACCAAAGGATGAGGAGAGTTTTATTGAGTGACAGCTCTCAGCAAAGAGAGGACCTAAGAGGGCAGTCCCCTCTCCAAAGTTGGATGGTCTCTTCCTGACTGAAGGTGGGCAGTCCCCCAGTGTGGCTGAGTCCAAGGCTTTTATGGGCTCAGAATGGGGTAGTGTGTGCTGATTGGTTTGTGAGTATGCAAGAAAGGCTAAAACAAAGGCACCACTCAAAGGTGGGCACA
The DNA here is from genome assembly GCF_000001405.40 of Homo sapiens. NCBI lineage: Eukaryota > Metazoa > Chordata > Mammalia > Primates > Hominidae > Homo > Homo sapiens. The sequence continues at coordinate 36,125,882 of NC_000017.11, forward strand.
GCAGTGTAAAAAATCAATTAGGGAAGTGTAGGTATATGTAAAATAGGTGAAGGGTGGGGATCAATTAGAGGAAAGTGTGCCAAATGGGAAGAGAGGTTCCCAGTCTGGTCTATGGATTTATCTAAGACTCGTAGCTTGGCTTTCAGGCTTTAAACCGTCTCTGGTTTGAAGACGGGGTTTCACTGGGGACCCACCCCTGTCTGCCTAGGGATTTGTCTGCCTCCTGTAGCTATCACTGCTCCATCTCCAGGTGCCCTGGTCCCTTCTTCAGACTGAGTCATCCTTCCTGGGTGCTTGCAAATTTAGCACCTCCAAAGATTCTGAGATGCCAATGTGAACTAACTACCAGGGGTGTTCAGTCTGAGCCCTTCTCTTGGCTTGCCTAGTATTTCTTTGCTGCTAGGGTATATTGTCTTGTCCAGGCCCCCCATAGATGGTCATGAGTGCTTGTCACAGCTCCAACCACCAATGACAAAGCAGGCTTTGTATTCGTCTCCTTCTTCTTCTTCTTTTTTTTCTTTTTCTGAGACAGAGTCTTGCTCTGTTGCCCAGGCTGGAGTGCAATGGTGCGATCTTGGCTCACCACAACCTCTGCCTCCCGGGTTCAAGCAATTCTCCTGCCTCAGCCTCCCAAGTAGCTGGGACTACAGGCGTGTGCCACCATGCCCAGTTAATTTTTGTATTTTTAGTAGAGACAGGGTTTCTCTATGTTGGCCAGGCTGGTCTCGAAATCCTGACCTCATGATTCACCTGCCTTGGCCTCCCAAAGTGCTGGGATTACAGACGTGAGCCACCGTGTCTGGCCTCACCTCCTTTGACTGTCATTGGGGTTTTACCTCCACATCTCTTTCACTGAGATTCTGTAATTTGGGGAGGAGAGAGGGCAGGCATCCTACTCAGGCTTGTGTGGAACATTTAGTGTTCTTCTCTTGTTATTTTGTTCACTCTTTAGCTCACTGAAGCAGCATTTCCTCTAGGAACCTCTGAGTACAAAGCAGAGGTCAGAGACCACCAGGCATCAGGGTAGACTCTGTCTCTCAACCTTCTAGGCCCTCAGCCAGCTTGCAACCTTTGAACACCCATCTTCTCAGGGAGTGACTTCACTACCCACCTGTTACTGCCCCTGCAGTTAAGCGGCAGCCCGAATTTCATACCTGCATAGGGATCTCAGCTGGGGGGTTGGTCAGCGGCTTCCAAGCACACTTTCAACATCTCTCCCAGAAGCTCTTCAAATCCTCTTGTCACTGAACCTCCAGGAGGCCCCAGATGGCCCCCAGCACACTACACCTGGCTTCATAGCTTACGCATTCACTCTGATTTTCTAAATGACACAGAGACGATTCATTTCTTTGGCCACTTTTCCTAAAGGTACCAGGAACATCCATGCCTTGTTGGGATTAGCAAAGTGCTAAAAAGTGTTCTTAAATGTCTCATGTTTGGCGATTACATCTCCAAGAAACCACTACTGTAATTAGAGAGAAACCAGCTGTGAGATAGAACAGGAACTGGCTCACCTGGGGGCACTCCCTGGAGACCTCGTATTTGTGTATACTTCCTGCCCTACTGTTTCTGCTCTGCCTTCCTTTCTGGTGACATTGAGGGTACAAATTGTTCCAGGTGTGTGCAGCACATCAAAGCCTAACTGGAAGAAGGCACAGTCTTCATTTTGGTGGCTTTTATCACCATGAGGATGAGGTGACCTGTGCTCACAGTCCTCCTTTCAGGATCGAGGGGAGCAGAGAAGTTTCCAGGCCGAGCCGTAGGCCTGGGGATCATCTGACACAGAGGCAGGCTGTGTCCCCACTGCATTCATCAGACCCACTTCCTTTGACCTACAAGAGGGATCACCCTGCATTTTCCATCCTTCTCATCAGATTGGGTTGGGTCTGACCGAAGTTGGATGTGGAGAGTAGGGTCACTCCTCTAGGTGGGGGATGTGCCCTCCATGTGGGAATCCAAGAGGGAGCAGCTCTGAGGTGAACACAAGGTATGTGCAGGGTGGGAAGATGGCTTGCTCTGAGCAGAGATTTTATAATATCTTCTTATGAGATGGAAAGAAGGGGGTTATGACAACGCAAATTTCATTCCTGCCAAGACTCTACAGACTTCAGAGCAGAGAGAATATTCTCCCAAGGGCCAGACTGTGAAAATGGGGAACTTAGAGTGAGAGTGGAATTGAAGAAGCTGAGGGAAGAACACAGAAGCGTGAAGGAAGAAATGGGACTCCTGCTGACAGTGAGGGCTCCTCATTGGCCAGCAGATCAGCATGCTGGTATTGCTGGTCTCTCCAGCCCACCATGACGTTATCGCATCATTCTGACTCTGCAGGACAGGCACAGCTGCTGTCTTCCTTACAGCCGAAGTCTTCCTCGGACTTAGTGAGGAAGGAACAGAGCACAACCAAAAAGCTTTCCATCTTATAGCCCAATGTCCTATGTCTTGCTCTATTTGGTTCATTAAATCTGATTCATCCAGACTATCTTGTGAAGTTTGTATCTTTCTTTGACATCAGTTATGATCCTCAGATGTCTTGGAAGCCCCCAGGAGCTCATGCTCCCCTGGAGATAGCAGCTTCTGTGGCTACTCAAATGTAATTTAGGGGAAAGGCTAAAATAAGTGAAGTCCTTACTTGTGCCCTTCCTGGCAATTTTGATGGGGGATGGGGCATACCACAGAACAGCCCAGCCTCTGTCTGTGGTACCCTGAGGCTTTCCTGCTCCAGGCTTTAGTGCCCCTTCCTATGCCAAAACAAACATGCCAGGATTTCTCCCCAGGATTGCTCACAATCTTTATAGCCACTGTTCGGGGTTCCAGGGAATATCCAAAGAAGCTATGAGTAACCTCATGACGATGGAAGTAGAGTGGCCTTGCTAACTGCTGACCTCCTTCTCCAGGAGGAACGGTTACACCTGCAGTTGACTCTAGCTTTAACGGCTGAGAGAATAAACACAGGCACACCTCATTTTATTGCTACCTCACTTTGTTGCACTTCACAGATACTGCACTTTTTTACAAATTGAAGGTTTGTGGCAACCTTGCATTGAGCAAGTCCATCAGTACTATTTTTTCCCAACAGCATGTGTTTACTCTGTGTCTCCAGTAATTCTCTCAATATTTCAAATTTTTCATTACTATTATGTGTTATGGTGGTCTGGGGTTAGTGATCTTTGATGTTATTATTGTAATTGTTTTGGGGTATCACAAACCATGCTCATGTAAGACAGTGTACTTAACCCATAAATGCTGTGTGTGTTCGGACTGCTCCACACACCAGCTGTTCTCCCATCTCTCCCCTTCTCCTCAGACCTCCTTATTCCCTTAAACACAAAAATATTGAAATGAGGCCAATGAATAACCCTACAATGACCTCTAAGTGTTCAAGTGAAAGGAAGAGTCTCACATCTCTTACTTTAAATCAAAAGTTAGAAATGCATAAGCTTACTGAAGAAGGCATGTTGAAAGCTGAGACAGGCTGAAAGCTAAGCCTCTTGCACCTGAGAGTCAAGTTGTGAATGCAAAGGAAAAGTTCCTGAAGGAAATTAAAAGTGTTACTCCAGTGAATATACAAATGATACAAAAGCAAAGCAGTCTTAACTGCTGATATGGAGGAAGTTCGAGTGTCCTGGATAGAAGATCAAACCAGCCACAACATTCCCTTAAGCCAAAACCTAATCAAAGCCCTACCTGTCTTCAACTCTGTCAAGGCTGAGAGAAGTAAGGAGGCTGCAGAAGATAAGTTTGAAGCCAGCAGAGATTGGCTCATGAGGTTTAAGGGAAGAAGATAGAGATGTACAAGTCGTCTCCATAACATAAAAGTGCAAGGTGAAACAGTAAGTGCTGATGGAGAAGCTGCAGCAAGTTATTCAGAACATCTGGCTAAGATCATTGATGAAGGTGGCTATACTAAAGAACAGATTTTCAGTGAAGACAAAAGAGCCTTCTGTTGGAAGAAGATGCAATCTAGGAATATTTTATTGCTAGAAAGAACTCAATGCCTGGCCTCAAAACTTCAAAGAATAGGCTGACTCTTGCTAAGAGCTAATGCAGCTGGTGACTTTAAGTTAAAGCCAGTGCTCATTTAGCATTTCACAAATCCTAGGAGCCTTAAGAATTATCCTAAATCTACTCTGCCCATGCTCTAAAAATGGAAAAATAAAGCCTAAACTACATCACATCTGTTGACATCATGATTCACTGAATATTTTAAGCCCACTATTGAAACCCACTACTCAGAAAGAAAGATTCCTTTCAAAATATTACTGCTCATTGACAATGCACCTGGTCACCCAAAAGCTCTGATAGAGGTGTACAAGGAGATGAATGCTCTTTTCATGCCTGCTAACACAACATCCATTCTGTAGTCCATGGATCAAGGAGTAATTTTGACTTCCTAGTCTTATTATTTAAGAAATCCACTTTGTAAGGCCAGAGCTGCCATAGATAGTGATTCCTCTGATGGGTCTGGGCTGTAAATTAAAAACCTTCTGGAAAGGATTCACCATTCCAGGTGCCATTAAGAACATTTGTGATTCACGGGATGAGGTCAAAATATCAACTTTAAGAGGAGTTTGGAAGTTTATTCCAGCCCTAGTGGATGACTTCAGTGGAGGAAGTCACCGCATATGTGGTAAAAATAGAAAGAGAACTAGAATTAGAAGTGGAGCCTGGAGATGTGACTGAATTGTTGCAATCTCCTGATAAAACTCGAATGAATGAGAAGTTGCTTCTTATGGATGAGCAAAGAAAGTTTTTTTTTTTTTTTTTGAGATGGAATCTACTCCTGTTACAGACGCTGCGACATTATTGGAATGACAACAAAAGACTGAGAATATTACACAAGCTTAGTTGATAAAGCAGCAGCAGGGTCTGTGAGAGGATTGATTCCAGTTTTGAAAGAAGTTCTGCTGGAGGCAAAATGCTATCAAGCAGCAGTGTATGCTACAGATAAATCTTTCATTAAAGGAAGGGTCAATCAATGTGGCAAACTTTATTGTTGTCCCACTTTAAGAAATCATCGGTGGGGCCTGGTGGCTCATGCCTGGAATCCCAGTATTTGTGGGGGCCAAGGTGGGCCAATCACTTGAGGCCAGGAGTTCAAGACCAGCCTGGCCAACATGGTAAAACCTCGTCTCTACCAAAAATACAAAAATTAGCCAGACGTGGTGGCACGTGCCTCTAATCCCAGCTACTCAGGAGGGTGAGGCGGGAGAATCGCTTGAATCTGGGAGGGGGAGGTTGCAGTGAGCTGAGATTAAGCCACTGCACTCTAGCCTGGGTGACAGAGTGAGACTTCATCAAAAAAAAGAAAAGAAAGAAAGAAAGAAAAAAAAAAAAAGAAATCACCACAGCCACCCCAACCTTTAGCAACCACCACCCTGATCAGTCAGCAACCATCAACATGGAGGCAAGACCCCCCAGCAGCAAAAAAAAAAAAAAAAAAAAAAAAAAAAAGAATTGCTGAAGGCTCAGATAATTGTTAGCAGTTTTAGCACTAAAGTATTTTTTAGATATAATACTATTGCACACTTAATAGTCTATAATGTAGTGTGAACATAACTTTTATATGTAAAGGGAAACTAAAAAAAAAAAACGTGTGACTCAATTTATTGTGATATTTGCTTTGTTGCAGTGGTATGGAACTGAATCTGCAATTTCTCCAAGATATGGCTGCAGTTGGATAACTTCCCTCCCTACGTACTCTTCCTATAACATACATAATTGTAAATTACATAAGCCCCTTTCCTTCCCCTGCCACTTGGTGGCTGGCTGACCACAAGAGCACCCATTATTCCCTTCTCTTTCTCAATGAACAGGATCCTGCCTTAGTCTAACACTGCTGAATGAGATTGTCTGTTTAATTCTGATTCTTAATATTTGTAATCTAAATTTTCTAAAGGTATTAGCTATGTCCTTCAAGTGAGATTTTTTATCAATGATAAAGGTAATATTTTGTCCCTCCTCTGCTGACTCCTTTGTAGGCTTCTCATTTGGTTCAAAACTCAGGCAGTGATAAAATGGTGTTATTATTGGGCCCTCTCAAAAACTGAAAGAGTGATGTTAATTGGTTTGTAATTTTAATGACGGCTGCCCTTTAAGGTGGGTTCTCTTTACTAGAGCCAATAAATTGATCTCCTGGTATCTGGAATGTTGCCAGCTATACATCTGGATATTTGCAATTCTAAGCCTAAATATCAGAAGCAAAAAGTTAAGTGTTTTCACCTTGCAGGGCTATCAGTATACTTTCGCTATCTTGCTTCATGGTCAGTTACTTCTGTGGCTCAATGACGGAATCTAGATTACAGTGATGTTAACCACTTCACCATCCCATTGAATATCCATCTGATCTAGTACATTTATGGCATTGTGCTGACAGGGCCTGGAGACAGATGAGGCAGATACCCTAGATGTTTTGGCAGGTCACATTAATTTCTTGGGATGAAACATAAATTTTATAAAAATTCAGGAAATTACTATCTCATGGAGGTTCCCCATGGGAGATGAAGTATCCCTGTGATCTAAACTTAACAAAATATTAGCTTTGAGTTATGTCAAGAAAAACCAATGTCTCTCTGGTTGACTCAAACTGAAATTTGTGTAGCTCTGACTCTTGGCCCTCATAAACCAATAGGTCTTTGATACACAAAATGTCTGGAGTTGCTCAGGAATGCTGTATAGAACCGGAAAACCCTGACAGAAGAATCACAGTGAAAGCCCCTAGGGTTTTGGAGCAAGTTCCTGTTCTCTGTGGAAAGTACCTACTCTTTTTTGTAGAACTAGCTAAAACTCTGAAAAGACTGAATGCCCAACCATTCATGTGTGACATTACCACCCATGTGAGCTGGGTGTTATCTGATCCACTTAGCCATCAAGTAGGGCATGTCCAGCAACACCCCGTCAAATGGAAAAGCTAAAAGTGTGACTGGGCCTGAGCAGACCCCAAGGCAGAAATGATCTGTGTGAATAGGTTGCTCACAGTCTCTGTGTATTTACTCCTGCCTCAATGTTATCTCTTCCTCAACCCATACTAAGTCCTGTGGTGAGAGGAGAACTCTCTCCAATTACTCCCAGTATTAGTTGATTCTGGGGCAGGGAGGACTGTGAGAACATAGCACCCTTTGAGCATTTGTAGGAGTTCACAGTTCTGGGAGCTAACCAGGCAAAAGGTTTTTATGCAAATAACTGAAACTGACCCTACTTATTGGAATGTTAAGAGTAGCATGGAAAATTGATAGGAAGGTGTGATAGGCAGCAAACAAAGGCGTCGGGCAATACAGAATATAGCTATGTACATGTCCATACAGCAAGAAGACTCTGACATGTGCCAATGCTGTATTAATACCCTGAATACTCACCACCACTGCTGGACTCCTGGCTGCATCAGCACTGCTGGGAATATTCCCAAACTCTGCCTGCATATTCGTACATTCCCTTGGATTCAAACCCTACCTAATATAATGCAGGTACTGCTGCATATGCCCCTGTACTACTGAAAATCCACTCATCTTGTCCCCAAAGACAGCCCAATACTTGCTATTTTCATTCAGCTCCAAGTTCAGGATCTCCTGATAGTGCCCACTTCATCTCTTGTTCTTTTGTGATCCTGTACTGATATTTCATATCCTATGAAATATACTAAAAGTCAACCACCACTAACTCACCTAGTTATAATAGTGAGAAAATGGGAGAAGAAAGAGAAAAGAAGATTAAATACAGAAACATATACCCAACAATAAAAAATGAAATATGGGTAGATGGAGAGTATTTCTGAAACTGGTTGTGAGGCTGTAGCTTATTGTAACAAATTCCTGCCTCCGCTTATCCAATCCATGTTCCCTTTGCCTTCAGCCACCCCCTCGATTGATTGGTGCAATTTTTTCTGGTGGAATGACTCAGATTTTTATTCTGGAGGAGATCTGAGCCCTTGATGACCCAACCTGTACAGAGTTATAGACATCTTTCATGAGCTTATACACACTGACACAGTAAAGCAAGGAGAGACCCCAGGAATAATCTGAGTTCCATTCATACTGTTTTTTCCACACTGTCTACATTGTACAGCAGTAGTGCTATTTCCTTTTATAGCTGGGAATAGTTGCTAAGTCAACAGAACATCCACTTTTTAGACTGCTGGCAATTTTCCAGGCTTTAGGCATGCTCTGGTGAAATCGTAAGCAAAGACTGCTCTTTTGTACTGGTCATGGCTACCTTTTACAAGTCCATCAGCTGTTTTTCAATTAACTTCGGTCTTCCTCTCAGGGGAATCAGATGATTAAGTTGATCCTCCCATGATACTCTGTGCTCATGGAAAATCAGAGAGCTGCCTCTGCCCTGCTCATGTTTAGGCATACTGCACCTCCAGTTTTGATATAGGGATGCCTCCTCTCCATGGTTACACTGTGGAACTTATCTATAAGACTTTCTATCATTGAGGGTCCTGCCTAAATAAATAAAAAAAAAAAACCTGGAATCTTCTACTCCAAGACCCCCAAACATGAAGGCAGGGTCTAGTTATACCCCATCCCAGGACTCTGGCCAGTGGGGCAAGAGTCAGGAGACAGCACTCTTACAATTACTTCTCACTCTCTTGCTCCCGATTGCATCTTCTCCCAAAATATTTGTATCTTAAATTTGGATTTTTACACCAGGCGAGGTGGCTCATGCCTGTAATCCCAGCACTTCGGGAGGCCAGGGTGGGTGGATCAGCTGAGGTCAGGAGCTCAAGACTAGCCTGGCCAACATAGTGAAACCCTGTCTTTACTAACAATACAAAAATATTAGCTGGGCATAGTGGTACATGCCTGTAATCCCAGCTACCCGGGAGGCTGAGGCAGGAGAATCGCTTGAACCCGGGAGGCAGAGGTTGCAGTGAGCTGAGATTGCACCACAGCACTCCAGCCTGGGTGACAGAGTGAGATTGCATCTCAAAAAAAAAAAAAAAAAAAAAACTTTTTTTTTTTTTTTGAAATTTTAGGAGCTACACATTTGCCAACCTTATTCTTCGGTCCCATCCTAACCATATTCACCTCCACCAGGGAACATATGGTAGCCACATATCTTATAGCCTGAATGGAGCCCTGGCACAGAGGAAAAAGAATGTTTGAAGAAAGAATTATTTGAATGTTTGAATGTTTGAAAAAGAATTATTACACCTCCACAACAGGCCCCATAGTATTTGTGTCCTTGCAAAACATATTATCTCTGTTCTGGGGTTCTAACATCCCTCTTCATGGTCAGAGAGATACATATTTGTCTTGAATCTGTGTCTTCAGAAGATCTTCCCAGTACATTGCTGTGTGAGTGTTGTGTCTGCAGCCCCAACTGCCTGCCCAAGGAAAAGGTGAGTACAATTGAGTCCCCATTCACTAGGGGCTCCTATTTAATCTCACAGCCTCTATATCCTAGGAAGTTGAATTAACCTGGAGGGAAGATTCTCCACCCACCTGGCATAGGTTGCAGATGGATTTTACACAATGGGAATTGGGGCAGGCAGGGTTGGAACATGGCCCAAAGTGTTGGGGGATCACTCTCCTGTGACCTGACACAGGTTCTATGCTCTGTCTCACAGCCTGAGAGAGAGAAAGCAAATTTTAGTCCACTTTAGCCCTACTGCATTGTCATCAAAGGAGACTTCACTCAGCAACTTGACATTGGGAGGGTGGACGTCCTCTTCCTTTCAGCCCTCCCCACCCCCAGCATACAGCTACAGGCTGCCGGGCTATCCTCTCACAACTCTCAAGGTGGTTGGCGAGTTTAGGCAGCAACTGCCAGTTAATAGCAGAAAGAGAAGCTAGGAAGAGGGAAGTCAGGGGCCCAGTGTATGCATGTGTGTGGGTTGGAGAAGGGTGCAAAGGTGATAAGAGAAGAGAAGAGTGGCATAAGGGCTTATGTTTGGCACCGTTAAGACTTACTGTGAACCTGACATGCAGAGATGGAGGGCCTCAAGAGGGTCTTTCTCTTGGTGGGATGGTTCTCTGATCACCTGTCCACTCCATCAGTGAAGGACGGGTCCCCCACTTTAAATAGTGTGAGATGGCTGAACCCATGACACCTGACACTGAAGAGATGAGATGAATAGCACATAGAATTAGTGTCACCTATACTCACAGCCTGAGGGAGGAGGATACTGCATGCCATGCAGTGACCCACAGAGGTTCCACTTGGGAGCAGGGTGAACCAGCAGAGGCTGTGGAAGGCAGGCTTTGCATTAGGATGGTGCAAGGGTAATCGTGGTTTTTGCCATTAAAAGTACTCCTGCAGGAAGATGTGATTAGCTTTTTTTGTGGGCTGACAGGGACTTGAGACTCATAGGTTAAGAACTGGGTGGGTGCAGCTGATCTGATAATAGAGGAACTAGCCAGGTGGGGAGCCTCTCCCACTGGGTGGTGGAGGGGGGAGCACATTCAAAGAGCAGGAGAACTCAGGGTTAGACCTTTGGACCCTGTGAGAACTTGAAAGCACTTTAAGGCAGCTCTTGAAGTTTTAGGCCTTACAATACAAATGGACCAAATGCCTTTGCCTAGTCTCTTTCTGTGGGAATCCAGCTTTCCCTTGTTGTAGGGATCCCTTTGTTCATAGAAATTATAGGGCAGCTGGCAGATTTTCATGCCTAATAGCTGCCCATGGTACACATTGAAGGCTGATTTGCTTCTAAACAATACTCCAACCAACACTCGTGTGGCAGGGCAATCATGAGTGCAGGGAGAGTTCACATGTGAGGACCTGGTAGGTGGGTAGTAGTGGATGAGGTCACAATGTGGTTGGAACTTGAACAGTATCCAGTTTCATTCCTAAAACAACCTTTTGAAATAGGTAGGCACCTGGACCTGCCAAAAGGAACCTATGGTATTTGTGTCAACATGTGCCCAGGAAACAAATCCTGTCTAGGGGAAAGAGATGCCAAAGCAATGGCTGTGGTCATGTGTGCAAAGTTGTTCCTGAAACAAGTAAAAGCCAGCCCCTGAGATGCTCCCAGGGGAAAATGACACATTGGTCTTCCTTAGGATAACCACAGGGAAGCAGGAATTGTTTTGACTATTCCAGGACTTTTGGCCACCTTATCTGAACTCTTCTGTTGTCCTGGCTTCCCTGAACCATGCTTAGAAGCATGCTAAGCAGTTAAGAAGAGATAGCTTGATCCTGGACATAGCTCAGTTGTCAATACAGCTGTCCAACTTCCATGGACTTTTGGGCTTATTTCAGTCTGACAACAGGGTGGGTGGTTGGCGAGGAGAGAAAGAAAAGGGACCAGCAATCATGGGGCAGCTGCTATGTGTTAAGTGCCCAAATAACAAAAAGACTATGAAAAGGTCACCATCCTCAAGTGCTTTCAGTCTAGTTAGGGAGATAGAGCCATAAAACAAATTAAAAAGCACGTAACAAGTGCACAAAGATCTGAGGAAGCAGTGCAGAGCGAGCAACTTTACCAAGAAGAGTCTTCAGAGAGGAAATAATAATCTGAGCTAGATCTTGACAAAGAGCAGGAGTTAACAGAGAGAAGAGGACAAGCCAGGCAGAGGAAGCAACAGTCACATCACCCTGGATGAGCCAAAGCCATAGAGATTTAGAGCATGGAGGATGTGGCAAGAGACTCCCCATAGGGTAGTGGCAGGGAGTAATCTGCAAGAGGAGGATCAAGACAGAGTCTGAAGCACCTTAAACACCCTGCTTGGATTCGAATGGGGCACCATAGTAGGTGTTTAAGCAGGGAATGGCTCATGATAAATTCTGTATTTTATGTCAACAGCAGTGATGACCGTGCAGGCGGAAGCACAGACCTTTATAAGAGTAGCCAGGTCACTTCTTCAGAAGATTCTTCACCCATCCCCAAGCCCTGGTTGTTCTTCATCCTTGGAGTTACAAGCCTGGAAGAAATAGCCTTATTTTAATTATTCAATTTTGGAAATTTCCACAGGCTAACTTTTAACCAGAAGATCTTGATCCTAAAAACTCTTATCCAGAATAAACTGTTCTGGCATTATCCAATCTGAGTCTTTATACTATGTAAGGTCTCTAAGGGGCCCTTTCTGGACTAGCAGCATCATAAATAGCATAAAAATAATAAGGCCCATGCATGTAGAAGCAATTCTGGGGATTCTAAGAAGACAAAGTCCCTCAAGTCCCTTCCTACATCCTTAGTGGCCTCTGAATTACTGCCCTCTGTCTAAGGGTGAGTGGGGCTTACCCTCTGCTTAGCCTCCACGGGAAGAGAAAGATTGTATTTGTGTTTTCACGCTGCTAATAAAGACATACCTGAGACTGGGTGAATTATTTTAAAAAGGATTAATGGACTCAGTTCCACATGGCTGGGGAGGCCTCACAATTATGGCAGAAGGCGAAAGAGGAGCAAAGGCACATCTTACATGGTGGGAGGCAAGAGAGAATGAGAGCCAAGTGAAAGGGGTTTCCCCTTATAAAACCATCAGATCTCATGAGATATATTCACTAACAGTATGGGGGAAACCACCTCCATGATTCAATTATCTCCCCCTGGGTCCCTCTTACAACATGTGGGAATTATGGGAGCTACAATTCAAGATGAGCTTTGGGTGGGACACAGCCAAACCATATCAAAGATGTAGGGTAGGCTGTAGGGCAGACTGAGGGAGCACCAAAAAGTGGGGGTCAGAGCTGGGTCATAGAGAAGGAATGAAGAAGTCGGCCGGGTGCGGTGGCTCACACCTGTAATCCCAGCACTTTGGGAGGCTGAGGCAAGCAGATCACTTGAGGTCAGGAGTTCCAGACCAGCCTGGCCAACATGGTGAAACCACATCTCTACTAAAAATACAAAAATTAGCCGGGCATGATTGTGCATGCCTGTAGTCCCAGCTACTCAGGAGGCTGAGGCAGGAGAATTGCTTGAACCCAGGAGCAGTAGGTTGCAGTGAGCCAAGATCGCACCACTGTACGCCAGCCTGGGTAACAGGCTGCCACTGCACTCAGCCTGAATACTGATTTTTATTAGTTTTCAGATAGCCCGGGGATCAGCAAACTACAGCCCACAGGCCAAATCCAAGCCACCTCCTGGTTCTGCACATCCCATGAGTTAAACTGATCTTTGCATTTTAAAATGTTTAAAATACAAAGAGACACATATACTAATAATATTTAGTGATATGTAAGATAATATGGAATTCAAATTTTAGTGCTCATAAAGTTTCATTTGAACATAACTACACTCATTAGTTTCCATATTGTCCATGGCTGCTTTCAAGTCACAATGTCAGAGTTAAGGGGTCACAACAAAGACTGAATGGCCTGCAAAGCCATATCTACTTCCTGCCCTTCACAGAAAAAGTTTGCTGACCCCTAGTCTAGATCCAGAAAATGAAAAAAAGATATAATTTCAGAAAACTACATTGTATGATATAACACAAATGGATAAATAGGTTTTCTATCTCCAGTAGCATTTTTTAATCCTTCCCTTCCTCCCACAAAAAAATTTATAATTAAAAAATATAAAAAGTCACTCTGGAAACAAAACAAACAAAAAGTCAGTCAGAGATCAGAAAACAGCCCAAATATGTATCCTGACTTTAATTCAAATATGTCTCAGCCCAAATATACATTCCAAATGATCTTGACCTTAACCCAAGCATCAGATTGAAATATTTTCAGAATATTATCAGGACAAACACACATATACAAAAATGCATATCACTATTGATCAGATGATAGATAGATAGATAGATATACAATATCTCTAGAAGAGAACCCAAGAAATTATAATAGTGGTTCTTCCTGGAAAGATAATGGGGTGGGAGGTATTGGAAGTCAAAATGGGGAGGAAAATTTCTTTTCTTTTCTTTCTTTCTTTCTTTTCTTTTTTTTTTTTTTTTTGAGACCACGTATCACCCTGTTTGCCCAGGCTGGAGTGCAAAGGCACGATCTTGGCTCACTGCTGCCTCCATCTCCTGGGCTCAAGTGATTCTCCCACCTCAGCCTCCTGAGTAGCTGGGACAATAGGCATGCACTACCAAGCCCAGCTAATTTTTTGTATTTTTAGTAGAGATGGGATTTCACCATGTTGCCCAGGCTGGTCTTGAACTCCTGTACTCAAGCAATCTGCCCACCTTGGCCTCCCAAAATGCTGGGATTACAGATGTGAGCCACTGCACCCAGCCAGAAAATTATTACTTTTCATTGTAAACTTTTATTTATATTTAAATTCATACTGTGGGGAAAAGCAAGAGAGATCAGATTGTTACTGTGTCTGTGTAGAAAGAAGTAGACATAGGAGACTCCATTTTGTTCTGTACTAAGAAAAATTCTTCTGCCTTGAGATGCTGTTAATCTATGACCTTACCCCCAACCCCGTGCTCTCTGAAACATGTGCTGTGTCAACTCAGGGTTAAATGGATTAAGGGTGGTGCAAGATGTGCTTTGTTAAACAGATGCTTGAAGGCAGCATGCTCCTTAAGAGTCATCACCACTCCCTAATCTCAAGTACCCAGGGACACAAACACTGCGGAAGGCCGCAGGGACCTCTGCCTAGGAAAGCCAGGTATTGTCCAAGGTTTCTCCCCATGTGATAGTCTGAAATATGGCCTCGTGGGAAGGGAAAGACCTGACCGTCCCCCAGCCGGACACCCGTAAAGGGTCAGTGCTGAGGAGGATTAGTATAAGAGGAAGGCATGCCTCTTGCAGTTGAGACAAGAGGAAGGCATCTGTCTCCTGCCCGTCCCTGGGCAATGGAATGTCTCGGTATAAAACCCGATTGTACGTTCCATCTACTGAGACAGGGAAAAACCGCCTTAGGGCTGGAGGTGGGACATGCGGGCAGCAATACTGCTTTGTAAAGCATTGAGATGTTTGTGTGTATGCATATCTAAAAGCACAGCACTTAATCCTTTACCTTGTCTATGATGCAAAGACCTTTGTTCACATGTTTGTCTGCTGACCCTCTCCCCACTATTGTCTTGTGACCATGACACATCCCCCTCTCGGAGAAACACCCACCCACGAATGATCAATAAATACTAAGGGAACTCAGAGGCTGGCGGGATCCTCCATATGCTGAACGCTGGTTCCCCGGGTCCCCTTATTTCTTTCTCTATACTTTGTCTCTGTGTCTTTTTCTTTTCCAAGTCTCTCGTTCCACCTCACGAGAAACACCCACAGGTGTGGAGGGGCAACCCATCCCTTCACATACATTTTCATTTTTTAAAATCACAAATAGAATCTATAGAGGTCCAAATCCACTTACATCAGGAAGGTCATTATCAAGACAGATTGTGCATGGTACTTTTAAACCAGACAGAATAGTTGTTGTATTTGTATTCCATGTTGTGCAGAGATCTAAAATGGCATGTAAACATCAATTAAATCAATTAAATCTCAACCGAGATTCAAGATGAATCTCAGCTTCGCCACCTTGTTCAGAGATAGCTGAACAAGATGCAACAGCCCCTTCTATACTGATGATCAAGAGAAATCACAGCACCTTCAAAAATTAGACATCTCACAGAAATGGCCCCTTTGCTCTTGGAATGAAAGACGTGAGGGCTGGAAAGGAAGAGGGTGGCCTGGAGGAGTAGGGATCACATTCATTTTACGAAACCCACATGGCTGATGGAACGATGGTTAGGAGGTCACCCCACACCCAACCTCCCATCTCCCAGCCGTGGTCAAAGTTGAGGTCATACATTCCACAAAGTCAGCCTCACAAGATATGAATGCTCCCATCAACACCTGTGCAAAAGGAAAAAAAAGTCCTTACATAAGAGGTGGCTGAAAAATACTGTAAAGAACCAAAAGTAATTATGAAATATGAATTTTCAAGTTTAAAAATGTCCCTCCTATGAGTTAGTAACATGAATTGGGTGAGGATAACCTTCCAGGAAGTCTGGGGTACCCATGTCAGAGACAGAGGCAGGAGGAATGGAGGAAGTGGCTTTCTACCTGTCTTCTCCAGCCAATATCTCACAGGACTTCTGAGCCCTGTGAGGAGAGAAGCAGTCTCCCCATTGCTGTCCAGAACATGATGTGACCAATGGAGTAAATGCTAGTGGGAACACAGCACCATCCTGTCACTTAGACTCTCAGCTTTGGGCTGGAGAGAATGTCCTGCTGCACAGGGCGGCATTCCTATGAGGACACTGGCAAAGGTGAAGTGGGGGCAGTGATGGGTCTCTGGGCTCAAGTGGCTTTGCAGAGAGGCCATATGAGAAGGACTTGAGTGGACTTGTTTGTAAGCACATAAATAAAACCTAAATAAATGGAGATTTATACCACAATGACAGACAGAAAGATTCAATAGTATTAAATGTTCATTTTCCCCAAATTAATCTATAGATTCAACTTATCTCTATCAAAATTATAGTAATCTTCTTTTAAAGATTGAGACTTATTCTAAAATGTATATGGAAATGAAAATGATCTAGACTAGCTAAAACAATCTTAAAAAAGGAAGAACAAACTTAGAGGATTCACATTATCTAATTTCAAGATCTACTATAAAGCTACACTACTCAAGATACTGTGGTATTGTCATAAAGTGTGTAGAGTTATTTCCTTTGTCCAGTGCCAAGTCCAAGGATGGGCCTCTAGCTTCCTGATAATACAAGGCTTTCCACAGGGTTTCCTGGCTGTTCTCTGCACCCTGGAACTACAACACTAGAAGGAAAAGTTCCACAATGGGTCTAGGCTAAAGTCTGATTTCTGAAGATTTCAAGGGGAATACTAGAGTGGCTGATTTCTAGAATATTTTTCCTGAATGAGCCCTTGATGTATCTTTACAAAGTCTGGGTCCTTCTTACTATTAAATGTGCGTGCTGCAATTCTTTTTTTTTTTTTGGAGCCATAGTCTTGCTCTGTCGCCCAGACTGGAGTGCAGTGGCACGATCTCGGCTCACTGAAAGCTCTGCCTCCCGGGTTCACGCCATTCTCCTGCTTCAGCCTCCTGAGTAGCTGGGACTACAGGCACCCGCCACCCAGCCCGGCTAATTTTTTTTTTGTATTTTTAGTACAGACTGGATTTCACCATGTCAGCCAGGATAGTCTTGATCTTCTGACCTCGTGATCCGCCCGCCTTGGCCTCCCAAAGTGCTGCGATTACAGGCGTGAGCCACTGCGCCTGGCCTGCAATTCTTAAAAATCAGCATCCTCCCAACCAGCACCAATTCACTGACAATACAGAGACCTGGCTCTGGACCAGTGCAGGTGCTGTAGACAGAGAACAAGATTCCAGGAAACCACACCTTAAAGATGGAAATCTGGGATTGGTTATCTCTGCAGGTTGTGTTTAAAGGCAGTAACGGCCACATTGCTGGTGGAAAGTAGGATCCCAGGAGTCCAGGTCACAGATTGGCAAGATAGATACTGAAATTATCACCTATAGTTGCTTCGATGAAATGCCTTTTAAAGGGAAGTCTTTAGAATACCCAAGGAGCTCTTAAAATAGAACATTATGGTGGTTACATGGAGTGGGATGCCACCTTCTAACTGCACTGGAGAGTTTACAGAAAACATAAGCTCAGGGCTTTCAATCCTTAGTTGAAGACAAGGTCAGAGAAACAGCTAACATGTATTCTGCCCTAAGGAAGTCTGTTTCCATTTTATCTGAGATGAGAACCAAATTTGACAGGTTGACTATGAATTACAAAGCAAGTTGAATCTCAGCTTTGCCAGGTCTCTCATATTTAAACTAAGGCATGAAGAGGGGAAAGTAGGGCCTTACAGATTGCAATGATTCTGACAAATATGAGCACCTTAACTTCCCAGAGCTGCGCTGACTCTCTCTACCAGCAGTCACAGCCCCAGCTCCCCTGAGGAAGCTGCCACCCCCTTGCCTGAAGTTTCTATAATAATTTCTACTGAATGTCTTGGAGAGCTATAGTCCATTGCCTCTCATTGCCTCAGAATACTGGGAGGACAAGAGTCATAATCCAGCTGCACTCCAAAGGTGAAGTCCAAAATCTGACCTGGGAGGAGATAGAATACATGCTCAAATACTAAAATATTTTGCCAAGTTATATCAGCACTAATCTAAGGAATATGTGTATGTTTTTGGCAATGGCTAACTAGGCATGGTGTTCTTAGGATGGAAGATATGGGCAAACTACTGAGGCCTTTGTGGATCTATACGAGAGAAGGAGAGACAGAGGAAGAAAGAGATGAGGAGGGGAAGGAGGGGAGAGAGAGAGAGACAGAAAGAGAGAAAGCGAGAGAGCAAGAGAGTGCACACAACTTCTTGGCCTAGGGAACAGACATATGTTAGGAACACCATACTGGAAAGGAATGGCTTCTCCTCCCAAAACCAAAACCAACCAGTTTACAGACCAGAACCCTTTGAGTTAGGAGGAAGTCAGCTCCCACTAAGAGAGGACCATGGGACATTGCCACAAGTGAGTACTGTAAAGTTTCCTTCTATGCTTATCTAATGGGACTTGCAATCATTCACTGGTGACATAGCATTGGAGAGAGGGAACTACCCAGGCTCTGAGGCAATGACTGGACAGTGCTCTGATCTGACACTGATATTTGGGAACTAAAATATCCCTGCATTGATCAGAGTGCAGGCTTTTCGAAGTCAGGTGTTGAATGGAGTTTTGGCTTCTGCCCATTTCACAGTGAGCCCAGTGGTTCCACAAACTCTTCCTGTGGTCACTTTCTCAGGTCTTGAGTGCTTAGTTGTAATTGTTATCTTAAACACTGGGAAAAACTTCACATTTGCTCCCTGATGGATGGGGTGAGGGCTATTATGATAGAATACGTCAAGAGGAACCCCCTTGGAACTATCCCACCACTATGACCAAAAGAGTAATTTAAAAGTAATTTAATAGTATTTAATAGTAATTTAAATAGTAATTTAAAAGTAATGCTGCTGTCTTAATCTATTTAGGCTGCTGTAATAAAATACCATAAACTGGGTCATTTATAAACAACAGAAATTTATTTCTCACAGTTCTGGAGGCTGGGAAGTCCAAGATCAAGGTGGCAGCAGATTCAGTATCTGGTGAGGGCCTGATTCCTCATTCATAGATGGCAGTTTCTTGCTGTGTCTTCATGTGGTGAAAGGATCAAACAACCTCCCTAGGGTTTCTTTTATAAAGGCACTAATCCCATTCATGAGGTCTCTGCCCCTAATTCCTAATCACCTCCCAAAGGGCCCAGCTTGCAACACCACTATCCTGGGGGTTAGGATTTCATCTTATGGATTTGGGAAGGACACAAACATTCACCTCATAGTAACCAATCCCGGGGAATCACTGAAATTTCTGTTACCATCAAGTTTGCACTTGCATCTGATTAGCTGTGCAGAAGAGATAACATGGCCGGCCTGAGAATATAGTCCTTAGAAAGGCCTGCTTGCAAAGTTGGCCCTTGGCTGACATCTGGGAGCTTGAATGTTAAACAGTTCTCTACACTGATACAAAATTTTCCCTAAATGACAAGAGTGCCTCACTGTGCCTAAACTTTTTGTGCAAACAGTATGCTTTATGCTGAATACATGTTTTACTTCTGGGAGTCTGGAATTTTGGCACATGCTGGGTAGAAGGAGTGCCTATACGACAGGCCTCCAGTAAAAATCTTCAACTCCTAGGCTCAGGCAAACTTTCCTGGTGAACAATATTTCACATGGGCTGTCACAACTCGATGCATAAGAAATTAAGTTATTACTGTGTGACTGTACAGGGAGGGGACTTTTGGAAGCTTACACCTAGTTTCCTCCAGACTTTGCCCATATACCTTTTCCCTTCGTGGATTTTGTTTTGTATCCTTCACTGTAATAAATCAGAACCATGAATATGACTATATGCTGAGTCCTGTGAGTCCTCCTAGCAAAACTTTGAGCCTAAAAATGTCTTGGGAACCTTTAACACAGTAGGTATTTCATCCTGCTGCCTGTCTGCAGAAATATGAGGGCCAACAGTTTTCTAAAGATTTTGTCTTAGTCCCTCATAGTGTGAGCAGTAGTGCTTTTAACAATACAATTCTTTTAAGAACCTCAAAGGTTTCCTGTGAAACTGGTTCAGATCTCCATGACCCAAAAGTCTCTAGCACAATTCTTTTGTGAACAGGTCTTTCTCTTCTTTGAGAGTTGCAGGCATCTGTTGGACAAGAACCCTAAAATTTTTAGGAGCCATTTTGTCTAGCTCAAAGTATCTACTAAGCACGACTTTCAATCTTACAGAGCTCTTAACAGAGTGTCCTACAGCCATACCTTTTATTAGACTTTTACCACTGAGACTATATATTACTTTGAGTTTCCTTTAATGGCTTGAGAGACTACAGGTGAGAAATAATTTAATTTTCCCACTTAGAAATCCCCAGCTTTTCTATAATCTAATTTCTGCTTGAAAATGGAGCCACCTTTCTCTAACTCATTTATTTCTGTCTTAGTTCATTCTGGCTTTTATAACAAAATACCATAGCTTATAAATAACAGGAATTTATTTCTCACCATTCTGGAGAATGGAAAGTCCAAGATCAGGGTGTCAGCATGGCCAGGTTCTGGTGAAGGCCCTCCTCTGAGTTGCAGAATCCCAACTTGTTGCTGCAACCTCACATGGTAGAACTGGTGAACTAGCTCCCTTGGGCCTATTTTATAAGGACACTAATTCCATTCATAAGGGCTGCATTATCATGATCTATTCACCTCCACAACCCCTCCATCATCTCCTAATACAATCACATTGGTGATTTGGTTTCAACATATGAATTTGGGGGGAACACAAACATGCAATGGACATAGCATGTGGAATGATAGACAGTAGAGACTTGGGACAGTGGTGGAGGGTAGGGTAGGACAAGGTAGATGATGAGGAATTACTTAATGGGTACAATGTACATTATCCAGGTACCCTGACTTCACCACTACACAATCTATGCATGTAACTAAATTACACTTGTACCCCATACATTCATACGAAAAAAGGAGAATAAGGCCAACCCAGCTCATTTTCTCCAGCCTAGGTGACAAGGGCAAAACTCTGTCTCAAAAAAAAAAAAAAAAAAAAAAAAAAAAAAAACAAGAAGAAGAAGAAATCTTTGCCTATCCCAAGATCATGAAACTATTTCTACAATATCTTCTAAAAGCTTTATTGTTTCTTCTTTCACATTAAGTCCATGATCCATTTGGAAGAGATTTCTGTGTGTGGTGTGGGGTAGGAGTCAAGGTTCCTTTTTGTTTACATGAATAAGCCAATCAAGCCAGCTACCTTTACTGAAAAAGCATTCTTTCCCTCTTTGAACTACAGCGGCTCCTTTGTCATAAATTATGAGATGGTGTGTTTTTGTTACACTGATCTATTTGGTATCTTGCACTGCTGTTCCATTTACTGCCACATTATAATAAATCCTGATAAATGGTAGCTTAAGTCCCTCAACTTTGTTTAAGACTGTCTTGATTATTCTTGCCTTTTGGAATTTTCATATAAGTTTTAGAATCAGTTTATCAATTTTCATGAAAAATCCTTCTAAGATTTTGACTGAGATTGTATTAAATTTATTGTTGAATTTGGGGAAAACTGACAGCTTTATAATAATGAATCTTCTAATCCACAAACACGGCACATCCCTCCATTTATTAAGGTACCTACAAATTTTTGTTTGTAATATCGTGTAATTTTCTGCACAAGATTTGTTAGATTTATCTCTAGGTAATTGATGGTTTTGACGATATCTTAAAGGGCATTTGAAAATGTTATTTTCTATATGTAATACTTGAAAGCTGTTAATTGGGTCTCTCCTCTGGTCAGGCATCTGTGTGCACCAATGCAGAAAAGACGGGGACTACAAGGAAGGAAAATGTTGCATCAGGAAGGGCTGCTGGCACATCTTTGTTCCCCCTCCCCAAAACCTCATCCCCAAGCAGGTGAGTCCTGACTCTCCCCACCTGGCCTGACCGAGACTGATTAAAGATTTGGTGATACCTGGATTTTCACAGTAGTGCGGTCACCCACAAATGTGACAGAAATGTCCCCAAAGGCCTGAGGGCTCCTTCTGCTCTCACCCTTCCTGAGGGAAGGGCTGATCCTAAGACCCATTACCCCCACATTTTCAAGTATGAGAATCCTGAAAAGAAAAATCATTTCATATTTCCCAAGGAATAGATATTCATTATAGTGAAGTCAGATATATAGAACAAAGAGATGGTAAAACTTGCTCATAATCTCATTACCAGCAGATAAATATAGTTACATGTTTTGTCACGTCCTTTCATACTTTGATCCATGGGGTGTGTGTGCAAAATAATCAAGGCATCACACTCTACATAATTTTGGACCTCTTCTTTTTTTTTTCACTCACCAATATACAGTAAACAGCTTTCCCTGTCAGTGGATGTATTTCTACAATTTCATTTTCCCCCCAAGGTTTCACATCATTCTCACCATGTAGATATACCATATTTTATTTACTAATTCTTGACCAATAGATATTTAGACTTCAAAAGATTCCTTAGAATGAAATCTTTCCATGCACAGTTGATTGTTTCATCAGGAAATATTCTTTGAAGTGTTTCTAGGTGAAAATGCATGCATTTTTTACATTTTAATTTTATTTAATTTTTTAGAGATCCCTAAAAAATTAGGAATCCCTGTTGCCTAGGCTGGTCTCAAATTCCTGGGCTGAAGCTATCCTCCCACCTCAGCCTCCTAAGTAGCTGGGATTGCAGACACATGCCACTGTGCCTGGCCAGCATGCACGCTTTTTAAACTCCAAAAATACATTGCCAAATTGCTGTTACGAGGGTACATTTTTTTATGCCAAAAAGTTTTGATCAACCTCAAAATACTGGCTATAGTTTAATTTTTCACTATTTGACAGTAGGTGTAATTTCATCTGAGTTTACAATTTTAAGTCACATACATTAAAAAAAAAAAAAAACCTCAGTTACGTTTGTGAAATATTTACTTGTTTGGAGGAATGTTTCAGCAATCTTTTGTAATAAGTTGGAATCCCCCAGAGTGGGAAAAGGATGAATGAAACACATATTTAGCACCCGCTTTGTTTCAGATCTTTTCAAATACATTTTTTTTTAATCTTGAGAGCTTTTTATGATGTGTGGATTTATAGCACCCACATTTTACAGATGAGGAAACTGAGAAATAAACAAAATGTCTTTTTCTTTTGCTTACCTTACCATGATTCCTCTCCACTCTCTCCTTTAAGTCACTGGGCTTATATTGCAAATGGTGATCCCAGGAGGCCACTGTAGCTAATGGTGTCCCCCAGTTTGCAATAAAGATTTCTGTCATCTCCCTCTCCCGCTGGGTTCAGAAACAAAGCCTGGGATGGCGGCAGGCCCATTGCGCCATCTACTGGCAATCACTGTGCAGTGCATGACCTTCCCACTGCAGTACTGGCTGGAGCAGATGAGGTGGAAATATCTGTAAATTTCACATCTGCATTTACTCTTCATAACAGCTTTCTGAAGTAAATATTGTATCCTTATTTCAAATGCATGGAAACTGGGTCTTTGAGAGATGAAATGTGTCCCACATCAAGCAGTTGGTAAATGGCAAAGCTGATCTCTTTGCCACCAAAGCCAGAACACTTTTCAGCACAGCATGCTGCCTCCCCGAATGAAGTAATCATGAGGAGCTGCTGTCCACATGCTTCTGCCTTTTCCTCCAAACCACTCAAACTATAAGATAACAGCAAAAGAAATACCCAGCGTCTTTGCACAGAGCGGCCACAAATGCTTTCTGCTGTGGCAGCTGCTGACTCATCCACAGGACCGTTTCTTCCACCTCAGACCCATGCGTTCCTGCTCTCTGCCAAGTCCGAACTGGAGAAAACAAATTCTGTCCCAGTGGGGTTTCCCATCTTTGGCTGGCTGGCTGGACTTCCTCCACAACCACTCTCTCGCCTTCTAAGCAGGAGCTGGGTGAGACATGAGATCATGGGGGCATCCGACAGCGACAGCCATTTCTGGGGCCGTCATCATAGTCCAAGCCCCACCGAGACTGGCAGCAGTATAGCATTGTGAGGGGGGCTGAAGTCAGATAGACTCGATTCAAACCCTGCACCCTCCTTTTCCTAGTTCTGTGGCTTTGTGCAAGTGAATCAAACTCCCAGAGCCTCTTTCATTCTAAAATGGAGACAATAGTTTCTACTTGTAGGGTTGTTCTGAGACTTGAATAAGGTTGTACAATCACCTAGCTCTTAGTGCTTATTTATTGAGTACATAGCAAGTGCTCGATAAATGGTAGTGTGAAGTTGGCACTAGGTATGTACCTTCTCTGAACCTCCCTTGGTCAGTAAGGAACATTAGCATCGTGTGGGGGTTAAGATCCTGAGGTCTGGAGTCAGACAGACATCCTTTGGATCTGGACTCTGCCACTTGCTAGCCATGGGACCATCTTGTGGCCTTGTGTCTCCTCTCTGTGGACCTCAAAACGAGTCTTTATTCAAAGCCCAGGGCCCTGCCTAATATTAAGGCTTTAGATACATATTTTCAAATTGCCTCATGAGGGCCCTTTTAAAACATCAGAAATGTTAAATTACTCATAGGATAGCTAAATTTGTAGTAATAAAGTATCTGCATACATGCCTAATGGATTCAGTAATGCCACTAAATAGGAGTTTGTGTTATTTACAGCAGTCTCTACTTATATTTGAAAAGAATAAAACATCACTTATTAATTTTACAGACAATGTGTGGGTTACATATGGACTTGTGAATCTCATGCATTACCCGTGTTGTCCCCCAGATACATACAGTCACTGTGGGAACAAACACCACCCTGAGTACCTGCTGCTTGCTAGGGATTTTCATGGAGGTTATGGCATTTAAACCTGAAACAGGGCCAGGCATGGTGGCTCATGCCTGTAATCCCAGCATTTTGGGAGGCTAAGGTGGGTGGACCAGTTGAGCCCAGGAGTTCAAGCCCAGGCTGGCCAACATGGTGAAACTCTATCTCTACCAAAAATACAAAAATTAGCTGGGTGTGGTGGCATATGCCTGTAATCCCAGCTACCCGGGAGGCTGAGGAATGATAATCGCTTCAACTCAGGAGGCAGAGGCTGCAGTGAGCTGAGATCACACCACTGCACTCCAGCCTGGGCAACAGAGCTACACTCCATCTCAAAACAAAGCAAAGCAAAACAAGAAAAGACAAGAAAAGAAAACCTAAAACAACTCTGCAGAATAATTGTTATTATCACCATTTTATACACGTGGAAACAGGCTCCGAGGGGCTCAATGAATTTCCCAGAGTTCTACAGATAATAAGGGGCAGAGCCAAGATCCTGACCCTCATCTGTCTGTGTAGCATGAGAGAAATATCCACCGTGGACTGTATTTGAAAATATTCACAGATACTAGGTTAATGCTATATAAAGTATATTATACCTAACCTTTTATAACATATTTTTTCATTTAACAATAATTGTGAATAGATACTTCTATCAACCTACAAATCTACCTACTTTATCCTTTTAAAGGACTATGTCATACTCCATTAAATGAATTTACTATAATCTATTTAACCAACATTCCTTTAGTGAACATTTTAATGGTTTGCAATTTTTTGTCCTTGCATATAATGCTGAAATGAACTGGATCATATGCAAGTATTTTTGTACACCTCTAGAAGTGATTTTTTAAAATTCCTAAGAGTGAGATGATAAAATTAGTTACAAACATTTACTAACACATACTACCAAATCAGGCAGCATAATAAAAGATCATCAAATTTTTATTCATTCACTTAGCAAATACTTATGTCATGCTTGTGCTGTGCTAGGTACTGCTCCCAGAGCTTGACTCCTCATGACATCCTGAGATGAGAACTTTAATGATTCTGTTTTATACATAAGAAGACTGTGGCTCAGAGAGACAAAGTAACTTGGCAGAAGTTAGACAGAAAATAGCTGGTTTGGAAACCAGGGTCTGCAGCACCCAGGCACTTGATGACTATGTTGTCCTTCCTGATTTATTAAGGCTTTATTCCCAGAATTACTCAAATCCTAAAGAATAAATCTTATTTGATGGGAGTATCAAATGAGATTTTAAGGGGGAAAATATTAACATTAACATTATATGTTTTAAAATAAGATTTTTTATTTTTCCAGAAAAAAATCTTAAAAATTAAATCATTTGTTTCATTTTTTTAAAAGGAAACTATAAACCCAATATTTTAAGAAACGATTTCATTCACTCAACACTTTTGAGCTGAGTCTCTCCTCTCATCAGTTCTGTGTGAGCAGAAAAGAGGGAGGCTTAGGGGCTTAGGGGATTAGGGGTCATGGTCGCTGGGAAATGCAACAGAAACCTGTCAGGGCTGCTAGAACCTAGAAGAGTTAGCCACAGTAAACCGGCTGGTGCATATCCTTACAGAACTTTTATTTTGTAAGTGTGTATGCAAACTAGCTACTACATTACATTTTACATACATTAATAATCTCCCTTTATTTTTTTACCTAATGTATATTTTTCCATGACCATGAATGTATTTTTATAACTTTTTGTTTTAGGTTTTAAGGCATTTCATTGCTAAGTTGCATCTCCTAGATTTGGGAAAGAATCTAAAAAACACATATTTGGTGCATTCTGTGTGCTCTGCCCAGTCACACACATTATTCTATTTAACCTTCTGATGACCTAGGTATCTTCACCACTCTTCTAGATTGTTGCTCCCAGCAGTCATGTGACTCGTCTAAGGCCATGTTGCTACAGGTGGCTTGCAATCCAGGTTGGCTGAACTTCCAACTACATTCTCTTTGCTGTGCACTGTCCAAAAGTAGGGAGAGTTTCCTGCCTCTGGAATTCTCTATGTACAGGTGCCACCAGTTGTTTTCTTTGTGCACAGAAGAAAGTAAAACCCAGAGGCCACCATTAGTGATGGAGATGCATTGTCAGGAGAGGACAGAAGATGGGTAGAAGTTGACAGAGCTCTCATTTCTCCCACATGGGCTTGTACCATATGCAAATGGTTTCATAAGCATCTGGTAACAGTGTGTTCAGCCACAAGAGGGAGACCAAATTGGAGCTGGAGATCCTTCTTCTCATGCCTCACCGTACTTTTGACTTCCCGAAAAAGAGGATTCGAGTGGCTCATTTTGGCATCTTGCAGTATAGTGTATTTCCACTGGGCAGGGAGTCGCAGTCTCTCTTATGCTCAGGCTGGCCACAGCGGCTTTCCTGGATATGTCTTTGTCCTGGTTCAATCCTGGGGCGGGGGAGCAGTGTTGCCCGCACCTTCCTAACAGAGCCAGCCTCCCAAGTAGAGCAGCTGAAGAGGGAAAACAGTCACTGCGGGCTGCAAAACTCATTGTCTGGAGCAACATCTGGGGGCTGGGGCAGGTCCTCGGCCCACCATGGTGATGAAAAGTGCTCAAATCATCAAAGAGTAAAAATTCTACACCAAAACCCACACTTTCCACAATAGTCATGTGGGTTTCTCCTCCTAGCCTGAGGGCATTTCTTGGGTCCTCCTTTCTGTGCATGATTCTCCAGCTCCAGGACAGCCCATCTCCAGCACACTCTGGACAGGTTATGCCTGATTCTGCCTGACATGCTCCAGGCTTAAGAAACTGGCTCCTGTGAGCCTGGGCTGCCACCCATCTCCCTGGCTCTGGGTTCCAACCCTGGCTTCCTGGGGTGCTTGTGGCATGGGATGGAGTTAATGGTCAGCCTGGGAGTTGGAACTTCCACATTGTGTTAGCCTTTAAAACATCAGTGTCAGCCAGGAACTCAGAAAAGATAAAGACCCCAGATTGCCAAAAGCCCCTTCTCTTAAAGGGATGAGTCAAAGGCTTTCTTCCTTTCCCACATCCCAGGCAGGATTCATCTCTACCCTATTCCCAGAATAAACAGAGTCCCATTAGGTTTTCATGCCTACAATTGTCCCCAGTTTGTACTAAAGAGTAGTTGGTTCCAGACAGGAAAACCATAGCCTCAGCTCCATAGAGGGTGAGAAATGTGTGTATAAACAGCCTGCATTCGAATGCAGAAAGTCATGGCAGTCTGCATGAAGACCACCACTAGTTCAAATGATGCTTGTGTGAGAATTAGAGAAAGGCCCCCTTCCAGTAGACAGAGTCCCATGGGTAAACAGACAGCACCTTTATCCTATTTAGGAAAAGTGTCCCTCCCTCTAGGTGCAGGCAGTGCCAGGGTGGAGCACTTCAGAAATGACACTGGAGATGGATGATGGTCCCACTCATCCTGGCCACCAGACATAGTTGTTCAGTGCACAACCTGGAAAATCATACGTGTCAGCCCTGGTTAGAGTGGATGAGGTGAAAGTATGGGGACTTCTTACACTTGTGCTTTCATTTCCTGTTACATCTTAGTTATAATGTTATTCTCATTGCACAGACATGGAAATTACGGCCCAGAAGGTGAAGTGATCTGTTACAAAATAAACGGCAAGGCTGGTCTCTTCAACTCAAATCCAGACCACTTTCCACCATGCCATAAATGCCTCCTTGCCTGAAGCACTTTTAAAGAGCCACCTTCTGCCCACGTCTGCATCCTTTAGTTTTCTCAAGGCACAAAACCTTTAAGAACCACCCACCCAGCATCTTTGCATATCGTGTGTCCTGGTATGGCAGCTGCTGACCACGCCCTGAGTCATGCTCATGGCCAAGCTCCCCACTCGGGACCATTTCTGTCCGTGCAGACTCATCTTTTCCTGTTCTTTGCAAAGCCCAGCTAGAGCAAGCAAATTCTTCCCAATGGGTTTTTCCCATCTCTGGTTGCTTGGCTGGCTGGGCTTCCTCTACAAACCCCCTTCCTTTCCCCTAAGCAGGGCCCGGTGTCCCCATCCTGCGGAGTTGAGGTCATGAGGGCATCTGACCAGGAGTAGCTATTCCTGGTGCTATTGTCATTGGTCATTGTCCTGTTTCATGTGTGAACATGGCTGCTGGCTCTACAGAGATTTGGCAGGTAGCAAGGACGTTTCTTTTCAAATCTTCCTTTGGAAGTCAGACTTGGTGAGGATCGTATGCCCACCTTTTCCTAGCTCTGTGGTGCCAGGCAAAGTCTCAGTTTCTGCAAATTGGGGTTAAGAATTCCTACCTCACAGTGGTCTTTTGATAAATAAATAAGATCTTAAGTGAAAATTATTCCACTAGAAATTGCACAGTCACTTTGGTCTTCATCCTGGAGGTCCACTGACAAGCCTCATGCAAACCTGTGGCCCTGTTCATCTTAAGGTGTTTTTATTCATACTTTCAAATGGCCTCAGGAAGACCTTTTATAAAGTAAAAATGTTAGGCAGCCACATGATATCCATTGACCCAGTGAGGCTGTTTTACTGGATATGAGGGGTTTGACCCAGCACTTTGGGGGGCTGAGACAGGCGGATCACTTGAGGCCAGGAGCTGGAGACCCGCCTGGCCAACATGGTGAAACCCCATCTCTATTAAAAACACCAAAAAAATTACCTGGGCATGGTGGCACATGCCTGTAATCCCAGCTACTTGGGAGACTGAGGCACAAGAATCGCTTGAACCCGGGAGTCAGAGGTTGCAGTGAGCCAAGCCGAGATGGCGCCACTGCACTCCAGCCTGGGCAACAGAGTGAGACTCTGTCTCAGGGGAAAAAAAAGGGTGGGGGGAGGGTTTGAAAAAATAGTAGCATGTAGTTATGTTTCTACAATATTTGATATATATAAGGATTTACCAACCTCATGCATTAGCTGCTATCCCCTACAGCAGTTGCTGTAGGAAAAAAAATCAAGTTCTGAGCTCCTACTGTTTGCCAGGCATATTCTGAGATGATCACGTTGAAATCTCAGAGTTACCCTGCAGAGTAGTCAGGGTATCACTGCCTGACAGATGAAGAAGCTGAGGCTTCCAGCAGTTAAATGACTTACCCCAGGCCACATAGATAATGAGTGGGAGAGCCCAGGTCTGTCTGTGAGGTATAATGAAATTAGCATAAACCCTCCACATTGGCGCCACTTGCATAAATTAACATATTCTCTCACAGAAAGTATTTTATTGGGCATAACATTTTATATGTTTTACCATTTAACATTAGTTATGGATCTTCCCACGTCACATAAATATGTCTCATTCTTTTTCGATAATGTGATTACTAATGAATGGATTTACTATCATTCATTTAATCAATACTCCTTTTGATGGCTATTTTAATTGTCTGTTTATTCGTTTTGCACAGATTGATGTAATGAACATGAATTTATAGGAATATTTTTGTCTGCCTGTGAAAATGTTTGCTGGACAATAAATTCCTAGGAGTAAAATAAGGTCAAAGATTATAAATACAGTATTTATTTTCATAAATATTGCCAAGTCCGCCACAAATGTTTAAATCACTAATGGTTTCAGATTATTGTATTTAATGAGTAAACACTTTTATAGGGTTTACTTTTATAAACAATTTTATTTGCCAGATATTATTCTAAGTGCTTTACAAAATTAACTTTTTCAATTTTTAATATAACCCTGAGATGTATATTATGATTATCCCCATTCTACAGATAAGAACACTGAGAAGTTAATTAACTTACCACATATCTAGGAAATGACAAGGCTAGTTGCACAGCCAGGCAGTCTGGCTCCTGAGTCCACATTTTAGACAACACTATTCCTCCTGGTTCTTTTGAGGCATTACTACTGGAACTATCCTAATACTCATAAATAAACATTTCTTTTGGGGAGGGTCAAATAAAATTTTAAACAGAAAAGTGTTTCACCAACTGTCAAGCTCATAAAGTTGTACGTTATACACTTTTTTCATGATGCCCACAGATAATTTATTAATGATATCATCTATTTTAAAAGACATATATAAAACTCAACCCTTAAGAAAGGACTCCTATTAGTGTTCCCCACAGGCACCCTCCTCAGTCTTACACCTTTCCACCCCCCAAAACAAATCATTCAGCATATTTATTTCATACTGTAATATAGGATATAGCTACTTTTTAGATTTTCTTATATTATTAACATTGATCATACAAACATGGAATAGAAATTCTTTACGTTTTATCTGGATTTAAGGTGCTACATAATGGAATATATTTCTATCAAGCCATACACTTTGGAGATAATGAAATCAATTGTGTTCTAGCTTAAACATTATGGGAATTTCAGAACTGCAACATAACAGATAATCCTCAGATGAAAACTAAATCTCTCCTCTGGTCAGGCTTCTGTGTGCATCAGTGAAGAGAAGACGGGGACTGTGGAAGGGAAAACAGTGAGTCAGGAAGGACTGTGGCCACATCTGTTCCCCGGACCCTCAGGTAGTTAAATCCTGACCTCCTCTACCCCAGACTGTCCTGGGGAATGGCCAACACTGGCCTTTCACAACTGTGTGTTACTAGAAATGCAACAGAAACCCAGCTGAATCCCCAGGGTTTCCCTTCTGCCCTTCTCAATGGAAAGATCTGTCCCAGGACCATTTATTCCAACATTTTCAATTATGAGAAATCTGGGAAGATAAAGTTATTTTCACATTTCTCAAGAAATACATATTTATTCATACTCATTACAGGAAAGTCAGAATCTACAGAAAACCAAGAAGATTTTTAAAAATCCATGATACCACCATCAAAAGAGCCACACTTAGTATGTTGGTCCACAGGTTTCCTAGCACCCTTTTCTGTTGGTGTATGCACAAAATACACAATCACATTCTGTCTACATTTTACAGTTTGCCATTTTTTGATTAACACTATATATTGAACAATTTTTAAGACCTGCAACGTATGTCGACAACATTATTTCAAAATAATATATTTACAAATAAACGCACACACAAACTGTCTGTCTTATATACAACATGTCTTACTTTCTAATTCTCCACTCTGGAAGATTTAGGTTTTTCTAACTTTTTCTTAATATACTCACCAGGAGTCAGTAAACTTTTTTTATAAAAGGCCAAAGGGTAGATATTTTAAACTCTGCAGGCCATAGATTTCTGGTGCAACACTTAACTCTGCTGTTGCAGGGAAAGAAGCCATACACAATTTGTAAATGAATGGGCATGACTGTGTTCTGATAAACTTTACAAAAACAGGTGGTGGACTAGATGCAGCCTGCTCCTCTGGACATGGTTTGCCAGCCCCTGACATATACCACTACAGAGGATGCTGTTAGAATGAAATCTCTTTACACATCTCTGATCATCTCCTTAGGACTAATTGCTGGACATGACATGATGGTAGCTGTGGGTCAAAGGGCATGCACGCTCTGGGATGTACATTGCCAGATTGCTCATGATCAGCCTTTCTCATGTCAAAATGTTTTGTGACCACCAGAAGGCTGGTTCTGCTTTTATTATCCATTGACTGAGGAATAGAAATGACATGGCATGTATGCAGGATATTTAACTATCGTATAGATAATCCTTGTGCACAAGTGCATTCTATATTCTTTCCCAATAAGTCTACATCTGCCAGAGTTGAAATAAAAGAAAACAAAACAAACCTATTTAGCACCTTCTGTGTAGCAGGTCCATTCGTGTATGTTGTATTTCATTCTCAGAATTCTTATGACCTAGGCATTTTAAAATTTTTTTTAAAAATAGTTGACAAGGATTGTATATATTTAATGCATACAATGTGATGATTTCATATATGTATATATTGTGTACTAATTATCACAATCAAATTTATTACATCCATTACCACCTATGCTGTACATTAAATCTCCAGAATTTGTTCATCTTATAACTGAAAGTTTACACCCTTTGATTAATAGCTTCCCATTTTCCCCACCTCCAGCCCTTGGCAACCACCATTCTACTATCTGTTTTTATGAGTTTGACTCTCTTAGATCCCACATATAAGTGAGATCATACAAAACTTGTCTTTCGGTGTCTGGCTTATTTCACTTAGCGTAATGTCCTCCAGGTTTATCCAGGACAGGAGTTTCTTCTTTTGAATGGCTAAGAGTCCATTGTTTATATATATTTTATTTATCCATTCATCTGTTGCTGGACACTTGGGCTGTTTCCATATCTTGGGTATTGTGAATAGTGTTGTAATAAACATGGGGCGCAGATCTCTCTTCAAGGTTCTAACCTGATTGCTGAATGGTATGCTTAGTTCTGCTTCTAATTTTTTGAGGAACCTCCATACTGTTTTCTGTAAAGGTTATACCACTTTACATTCCAACCAACAGTGTACAAGGGTTCTCTTTCCTCTATGCTTTCGCCAACACTTGTTATCTCTTGTCGTTTTTTTATAAGAGCCGTCCTATCCTATGAGGCAATATCTCACTGTGGTTTTGATTTGCATTTCTGTGATGATTAGTGGTGTTGAACACCTTTTCATATGCTGTCTGGCCATTTGTATATCTTCTTTGGGGAAAAAAGTCCATTGGGGTCCTTTGCCTATTTTTAATTGGGTTATTCATGTATTTATTAATTTTTGCTATTGAGTTGTGTGAATTCCTTATATTTTTTCAAATAACCCCTTATCAAATATATGGGTCGCAAATATTTTCTTCCATCCCGTAGGTTGCCTTTTCATTTTGTCATGGTTTCCTTTGCTGTGTAAAACCTTTTAAGATTGATGTAGTCCCATTTATTTATTTTCACTTTTGTTGCCTGTGCTTTGGTGTTACATCAAAAAAAAATTGCCAATTATGACCAATGTCGAGGAGATTTTTCCCTATGTGTACTTCCAGGATTTACATGGTTTCAGATATTACATTTAAATCTTTAATCCGTTTTGAGCTAATTTTCTGTATATGATGTAAAACAAGTGTGCAATTTCATTCTTTTTCACGCACTTTCCCCAACACTATTCATTGAAGACAGTTTTCTTTCTACATTGTGCTTTTTTTTTTTTTTTTACAGTACAGTGAAAGCAAGTCTATTAAGAAAGTAAAGGAATAAAAGAATCTACATTGCATATCCTTGATGGCCTTGTCAAAGATCTGTTGACCATATATGCACGGGGTTATTTCTGGGTGAGCTTGGCATTTTTATCTACCTCATTCTACCGATGAGGAGGCCGAGTCTCAAAGAGTTCACAGACCTGCCTAAGGTCACTCAGCTAGAGGTGATACAACCAGGGTTTGAACTGAGATCTGCCAAGCTTCTGAGTTTATTCTTTTTCCCCCACACCAAGGATCCTCAATTCTGCCTTACTGACATCAGGATCCGGTCAATTCTTTGTGATGGGGGCTGTCCTGCACCTGGCAGGATGTTTAGCAGCTTCTCTGGCCTCCACCCACTGGATGCCAGGGGAATGCAGAAGAGGCTTGTTCATTCTCCCATTTAATCCTCAGGACAATATCTGACATAAATGTTATGTCTTTTATTTTATAAATGAAGAAAATGAGACTCAGAAAGGTTTAAGTGAGTTACTTAAGAACACACAGACAGCAAGAGGTAGAACTGGAAACCGAACACAGGTGTCCACATGGGACAACAAAAAAGTTCACGTTCCATCTTCTTTTGAGTCTCTCATTTCAATAATTACCATTGTGTGGATATGAGCTGAAGTACAGGAAACCTGGGGCTGAACTCTCCTCCCATCAGGCCTAGGAGCCCCAGACCAGAACCCCAGCCCAAGGTCTCCCAGTCAGGCCCGCTGGCGTGAGCTGGCATCTACACTAGCATGGTTTCCCAAAGCTGCAGGGATGCCAGTCTCGCCGCTGATGAAGGAAATGAAGGGCATTTGCTTCTCCTGCAGGCTCTCGGGATTTAACACAGATTCCTTTTCTTGCTGTCTTCTCCCATAGCACAAAACAGGGTGGTCCATCCCCCTCCCAGTGTCCCAAGGCTTTGTTGCGTGTTCTCTTTAATTTCTCCCACTCTTGCGGTGTAACCTACCCTCATCTCCCTGGCAACCTTTCTGCTGTATCCTCTCGACACCTGGATCACAAGAACACTTGTGAGACCCCTTAACAAGCTACATCCCAAATTATCATTCCCCTTTGTCCTCAGCCAGTGCTCAGGTCCAACTTGCTCTCCTGGGGTGACTTTCTTTCCTGCCCAATATGGTTTCATCATCTGTAAATTGGGGATAATTAAAGTCTTGATCCTGATATTTGACTCTCACAGCAGAAGTAGCAAGCTCAGCCAAGTCACTTCAACAAGAGGAGACGTTCCTTGTGAACCAAAAGGACACTGGTCACAAGGGCCGCTCCTTCTTCTGTCAGGCCTCTCCAGCACGCCCTTGGCTCAGCCGAAGAAGAGACTCAGGCTGTGCTTCTGCACTGTTGGGATAACATAGGCCTCTTCCATGTGGTTCCACACCAGGAACATGGGGACAATCAGACCTCTCCCAGTGTGGGCATAAGGATACAAGATCATGTCAATATTGACATTCATAATGGCTGGGCGCAGTGGCACACGCCTGTAATGCCAGCACTTTGGGAGGCTGAGGTGGGCAGATTGCTTGAACCCCAGAGTTCGAAACCAGCCTGGGCGACTTGGCAAAACCAGTCTCTACTGAAAATACAAACAATTGGCTGGGCTTGGTGGCGCACACCTGTAGTCTCAGCTACTTGGGAGGCTGAGGTGGGAGGATTGCTCAAACCCAGGGAGGTTGAGGCTTCAGTGAGCTATGATGGCATTGCTGTACTCCAACCTGGGCAACAGAGTGAGGCCCTGTCTCAAAACAAAAACAAAGACAAAACAACATTCATAATAGTAGCAATAGCTACTATGTGCCAAGCCCAGGCACCTCTTCGAGTCTTTGCTGTCACCCTATCAGGTAAGCGTGCTTAGAAGTTACACGAAGCCCACGGCTCAGTGTTTGGCCCACGGTAAGGGCCTAAAAAGGGATAGCCCCAGTGGTGGGGATGCTGCTGCTGCTGACCATTAACCCCAGTCTGCTCCACCTTCTTCCAGGCAGTCTGTGAGATGTTTCATGTCCGAGGCAAACAGCACATTCAGATCCCCAAGCTCTCCACCTCCAGTGTGACCAGGCACCTGCACCACTTCAGGCTCATGCAGGACTCACAGCCTTTGGACCTCAGCTAAAGGACTTGCTTCTCTTCAGCACACGGGGCTTGTTTGTGTTGGGGTCTGAGCCCTGAGCCCATGGTCAAGGAGACCCCCAGGTCTTTCTGAACAGAGACAGCTGGCCTGGGGGCCTCCCTCTCACTGCGTGCAAGAGGCTGTTAGGATGCAAGACTCAAGGCGCTGAGGGAGGCTGTTTCAGGAGGGAGCCCCAGGAGGGTGGTGGAGACAGAAGGGGGCAGCATCTGCCGAGGCCCTACTGTGTGCCTGGCACCGTGTGGGGTTTCTGGCCCATATGGGCTAAGTGACCCTGCACACTCCTCTTAGGAGAAAGGCTCAGATGGAGAAATTGCAGTTCAGGAAGGTGAAGCAAGCTGCTAGCCTGTGGCCATGTTGGGATCTGGGCCTCAGCCTTCCAGCCACGAAGGCAGCCAAGTGTCATGAAGAAGGCATCACAGAGGCAATTCCAGGCTGTAGTGGTGAACTTTCCACTCTGCATCCCCGGGTGCTGTGCCCTGTGCCCTGTCTAAGGTAGCCCTGTGGGTTTCTATATGTTTAAATTGTCCCCAGCATCAATGATGCTCTCCTGTGGATCCCAAGCCATGGAGATGTCCTGGGACTTTTCATTTTTAGGTACCTAAATTGAATTTCCCAACACACAGAAGCAAGACAGCCGCCCTAACAGACTCTTGCATGCAGTGAGAGGGAGGCCGCCAGGCCAGCTGTCTCTGTTCAGAAAGACCTGGGGGTCTCCTTGACCATGCGCTCAGGGCTCAGACCCCAACACAAACAAGCCCCGTGTGCTGAAGAGAAGCAGGTCCCTTAGCTGAGGTCCAAAGGCTGTGGGTCCTGCATGAGCCTGAAGTGGTGCACGTCCCTGGTCACATTGGAGGTGGAGAGCTTGGGGATCTGAATGTGCTGTTTGCCTTGGATCTTTATTTGTGATTCAGAAACAGTGGAATAAAAGGAAAGGAAAGAAAACCGGAATGGCCACCTCAGCAGGATGCTCCAAGGGTAGTGTCCAGGTGGCACTGACTCAGACATGTGGGGGCTTCCCCCACCCATGCTCAAGAGTCACTTTGCCATTTCACCATCTCTCTGTCCTCCACACCCCTCAGCAGCAAGCACACCAAGAATGTGTTCACCATGAAGCTCAAATCTCAGCCGAATCTAGAGTCTGAAATCCAAGTAAGGGAAAGTGTAGAGCTTCTCGGATGATGCCCTGTCAATTTTATTTTAACGAATGAAAGACCAGAAGAAGTCAGTCTTTGAAAGGAGAGGACAGGAGCATCTGCTGGCATTAGCAGCCATGCCATCGTAGGACCGGCTCACCTGGACCCGTGGCCACCTGTGCTTTTACATCTAGTCTTGGTTAACCATGGGCCACTTTTCCAGCTTGGAAACTAAGCATATGCTCCACTTCCTCTCCTTCCTCATTGAACTCTTTCACTAAAAGAACAGTGCGAGAGAGACTTAAACTGTTTGCCTCATTCTTAAGAACTTTCAGGAAAAGTGTTGGCAGGGAAGGAAATCTCCCAGCTCTGGGAAACAGTCTTGTGGATTATCTGCTGGTTTCATTGATCTGTGCTGTCCTCCCTGCATTCATTAGGAAACCTGGCCTTGGTTCAAGTAAGAACAGGATTTGTCCTGGTGACAGAGAAAGGTTTCTTCTGATGTCCATATATCTCCGAGGGGGATGCTTTCTCCAGGCAGAGGCTGTGGCCAAGCGATCGGGGGGCTCAGAGGGCTGCTGGGAAGGGGTGGGCCCCTCTCTCCCCAGAGGGAAACTCCTGGGGACCTCTCGAGCACCCCTGCCCATCCTTTAAACATAAATTCATAAATACAAACAAGTAGGCCATTCACAGAAATATATAAAATATGTCATAGGACGGGTGGCACTCTCATATGGCAATAATTATGACAGGGGCCGGCAAATGACCTGAGTGACCCGGAGTGGCCTGAGCACTGACTCCCAAATGCCCTCCATAGGATGTTCTGCATCCCCGAGACCCTTTCCTGGGTCCTCCTGGGCCCTACCACCCCCTAGACCATCCAGACCTCAGGTCATCCCCCTGTCTGTTGACAGAGTAGTCTCCGTTCCTGAATGTGCTGGTCACCAGCAACAGCAGCTGCTCCTCCTCCAGGAAGCTCAGCCTATACTTCTACACGCAGAGAACCTGGACGGCACCCAGGTGGACCTAAGCCTTCAGCTCCCAGTAGACGCTCTGGGTTTCCTACCCTGCCCAGACACTCTGGGCTTCCCCCCACACCTCCCCTCGTCCGGGGCTCCTGTGTGCATCTGTCTCTCCCAGTGCCCAGCACAGGCGTGGAACGGAAGAGGTGAATGGACCGATTTGAACACATCATCCTGGATTCTCCGTTCCCTCTCAAGCCCTGCAGCTAACCCATCGGCAAGCCCTGGAGGCTCTTCCTCCAAAATCCTGCCTATCCCATGTGCAAACGCCTCTCACCATGTCCACTGCTATTTGCAGTTCTGTGTGTGTGGAAATACTTCCACCAATTTGGAATGAACAGGTCACAGCTGTGCCTGGAGGGAATGCCCAGGGAAATGTGCCCTCGCCTTGCTGTTCTATCCAGGCCCACCCAGCTGAGGATGGGGGACCTGCCACCACTCTCCTGGCAGTTCCGGACTCCTGGGAACCGGCAGGTGAGGACCCAAGAGTGTTTTCAGTGACCCGGCTGACCTGGTCATCCGTCAGTCCCACCTTGGCCTAGGCCTCTATACAGCACAGATCACAGCTCATTCCATCCTGGCATTACACTGGCCTGTGCCCTGTCCTCAGGGTCACATCCGTCTCCCAGAAGCCGTGCAACCCTGGAAAACCCAGGTCTAACAGTCAGGTTCCTCCTCCGTGCATTAACAATGGCGTTGACGCCTGCTTTGCGGCACGCTGGGAGGGGAGAGGGAGGTGTATGCTGGAGAGCTCCCCAGGGGCAAGGCCTGGCTCTGCGTCACCCACTGTCAGATCCTGAGAGCCTGGGGCTGGCCCAGCACGTGGCCACCGTTCCCTAAGAGTTGGATTTCATCCCTCAGTGCTGAAGGCAGGGGATAGAGCTTAGACAGACCCCCTGCATCCTGTCTTCTTTATCTACAGCTTTCTCATCCTTGTCCCTTTCACGTGCACCCGGCAGAGCAGGTGTTCACTGAGCTTGAGCAAAATTCAAGCTAGAGCAGCTGATGGATCTTGAGGCCTAGATTCACTGTCAAAGTGTTTCTCAAACGGTGCTCTCCAGAACACCAAGGAAAACTCATTTACTCTATAAGTCTGAAAATCCCTGCCCACCGGTCTACCTTTGTGTATGAGCAATCAGCTCTACCATTCAGCCCAGGTGTGTGTTTGCTGGACCATGTGGAGGAAGCTGAAGAGACATGAGCTGAAGGCAGAGGGTG
Organism: Homo sapiens; assembly: GCF_000001405.40. Taxonomy (NCBI): domain Eukaryota; kingdom Metazoa; phylum Chordata; class Mammalia; order Primates; family Hominidae; genus Homo; species Homo sapiens. The sequence goes on from NC_000017.11 coordinate 36,165,136, forward strand.
AGTCCAAGGTGGGATCTTGGGACAGGTACGAGAAGTTAGGCAAAAATGGGATAATTCTAGCCTTCATAACCTTAGATAATAGTTCACATTATTATTTAGTTAATAGAATTGTACCCACATTAAATTTCTCAAATTTTTTTAAGAGGTAAAGTCTCACTCTGTCACCCAGGCTGGAGTGCAGTGGTGCAATCATGGCTCACTGCTTCCTGGAACTCGTGGGCTCCAGCAATCCTCCTGCCTCAGCCTCCTGACTAGGTGGGACTATAGGCACACGCCACCATGCCTGGCTAATTTCTTTGACTTTTCTCTAGAGACCGGGTCCACCTAGGTTTCCCAGGCTGGTCTCAGACTTCTAGACTCAAGTGAACCTGAACCTCCCACCTCGACCTCTCAAATTGCTGGGATTACAGGTGTGAGCCACCACACCCGGCCTAAATTTCTTATGTGCCATGGGACTGCAAAACATCATTATTAGGGGCAGCTGGATGGAAGGTATAGGAGGACACTATAGTGCCTTTTCAATATTTCTGTCTAAAATCTAAAAGCATTTCAACAGGAAACATTTATTTCAAAACGTGAAGGTAGTTATCCTTCCATGAGTTTAAAGTACAAAGGCAGGCTCACGGTGTCGTCAGAATTCAGAACGATGGTCGTGGGGCTTGGGGTGCTGGGAGGGGCTGGGCATGGTTGGCTTTGTGATCTGGGGTCTGGTGTGTTCCATCTCTGAATGTCTCTCAAGCTGCACTCTTTCTTAATACATATTCATAAGTTTAACCAAAAATAAAACGAGGACGCGAAGCTTGCTTGGGTTGTTAAGCCTAGGGAAATTATCCAGCCATGAGCCCTGGCCCAGATGCTTCTAGAAGCCTGGAGGGAACTGAGAACTTTCCAAGTGGAGGCCGCAGAGGCAAGGCCCTGAGGTGGGAGCACACTGCTGTTCGTCCCTAGCTCTGAAGGGGGTGCCCTGGTCGGAATCAGTGCTGGGTGCAGCGAAAGCCGATCTCACCCGCTCCGCAGGGTGTTCAGCCTGCCAGCAGGGGGCCAGCTGGTCCTCCTGGGATATGGCACGGACCCAGCAGCTCTGTCTGAAATCATAATGGCGGAACCAAGGCCCCTCTACGTCCAGGTCCGTTGGGAGGCGGGGCATGGAGTTCCACTGCAGGAATCTCCAGGAACCCTGAGGTCCTCCCTGAGCCAGGGCCGGGCTGGGCACACCCTGAGTGCCCACAGGGTAGGTGTCTTCCCGGACAGCCCCACCAGGACAGGGTGTGGAAGAACGAGGTGCCCGTGGCGGGGAAGCTGACCAAATGGGCCGCGGGAACCGGGCTGGTGGGCCTGGAGGGGCCTGCCTGTCCCCCTTGCAGAGGGTCTTCCTGCCACGTGAAGCCGGCACAGGCCTGGATGCCGACGACCCTTGCTCGGGTTTGGCTGAAAGGAAAACAGACGCGGTCAGCATCTCCAGTGAGCCCACGCAGGCCTTTCCGGGCTGGGCCCCACCTGCCTGCATCTCGGAGTCCTCGGGGTCTCTGTGTGGCCCCCGTGGCCTGACACCGAGGACACGCCTGTAGTCTGCTGATCCCAGAGGGAGGGGTGCATGCTGCCTGGCGTGGGGAAGCTGTCGTGGCATGGCGGGTGGCTCCTGGGACTGCCCCCAGGGTTCAGACTGGCTGGGGGCTTCCTGCCACACACCTTCGTCCCAGGGCTGTTGGGCCTGGGATACGGCCCCCAGTCAGAACTCAGGTGGGAGGGGCCTTGGATGTCACCCAGCCCCTTGTCACCTCACGTGGGGACCCGTCTCCGCAGTGGGTGATTGGGCCCGGACGTGGGTCACCCTCTGCCCTCCTGGGCTGCCCAGTCCATGCCAGGACTGACCGTTCCCACTTCTGGCTGAACTCTTGGCTCTGGCTCTGGGCCCGGGGTCCCGCCTGTGCCCTCTCCCTGAATGCTCTGTGGGTCAGGGACACCGATTCCCTTGACTCCCTGGCTCCAGGCTTCTTGTCCTGGCAACCTTGGAGGAGCGTGCAGGAGTGAGGGGCCTCTGCTGCTCTCTGAGGCTGTGGGTGCTTGCAGGGAGGGGCGGGGTCTCCCACAAATGGGTCTGGGCTCGTCTAGTAACTTGGAGGGCCCTGCGAGGGGGAGAGGGAGACACCGTGGAAAGTGGGAGGGGGCTTGTTGGAGGGTCTTGCCCACATCCCCCTCCTGCGTGCACAGCATGTCCAGTATACACGCACTGAGCGCCTGCCCTGAGGACCGGTGGGCCTCCTGTACTTTCTTAGAGTCCAGGAGGAAGAGGAGGAAGAAAAGGTGAAGAGGAAGGCCCAGGTAGTAGGGTTGCGGGTCCCGGGCACTCCCCTACTACTGACTACCCCAGAGGGTGACATGGGAGGGGACATGGCACTGGAGCCCACCTGGGGGTGGCAGGTCCCCCTGCTTTCTTGTTAGTTTCTTCATAGAGGCCCTAAGATGCTTGAGCACAGTGTCCTCATCCCTGGCCCAGGTATCAACGAACCGGTTGCAAAAACGTGCCCACGGGCCACACCTGGACGTCTTCGTGAGGCGCTCTAGGGACAGGGTGGATATCAGGCCAGGGGAGTTACCTGGGAATGGTCACAGCTCATACCCCGTGGCCACTTCAGTCTCCTACTGGGCGGTGCCGGATCCTTTTGTGGCCACCCCAGGTGTCCAGATATACACAGGAGACTGTGGCTGGGGGGCGATCCGGACAGGGAAGTGCTCACCACACTCTCGACTTTCATCTGGGTCATGTGAGGGATGGGCTCGGTGTCACAGTGTCCTGCCCAGCCCACCTGGCCGGACCTCCCTCTGGGCCAGAACAGCGGATCATGAGGACAGTGTGAGGAAGCTGCCCTCGGGCCAGTCGGGGTCTGACCCCAGGGCTCCCCAGGCCCCGCTGGGCACACGTAGACTTACTCTGCTGAACCTTAAAGGCGATTCTTGTTATCGGCATCAACGCCTGTTCGCCTTCTACCAGATACACGTCCCACAGGCGCAGGGTGAGCCCGAGAGAGATCTGTGGGGACAGCAGGTGTGAAAGAACCTGGTCCTTCCAGGCTGGGGCTGGTGGCTCGAGCTGCACACACTGGGGCTTCAGTCTCCAGAGTCAGTGACCTTCCCCATGAGGGTCGGCTGAGCCCTCCAGGACGCTGGGTCAGACAAGGTCTTGAAGCTCCTCATGGGGGGCACTCATTTGAGTGGGGATGTGGCTCCTGGAGAGAGGGGCTTGCCCAGGGCTTGAGGCTTCCCTGAGCCCTCTCAAGTTGGGTCCTGGCCCAGTCTGCCCATGAGGCTGGGCCTGAGCCCCAGCCATTGCCCTGGGATGACTCCTCTTGGGCAGAGGGTTTTGCTTGTGTGTCCTTTGGGGACCCGCCTGAGCCTCCTGTGGGCTGGGAGTGAGCCAGACCCCCGGGCTGGGGAAGCAGGGCACTGCAGGGCAAGGAAGGTCCCTGAGCCAGGGTCTCCCTATGCCTCCTTACCCCGTCAATCAATATCCGGATGAGGCAGCCTAACGGGGAACACTGCCCACATAGATCTTTCTTGTCCTGATGGAAGCAACAGAGGTGCTCAGGCCACTGGGCTACCCTAAAAACCTCCCTCTTCCAGGGCCTCTGAAGACCCTTCCCCTAGTGCAGAACACTGGGCGGTGTCCAGAGCTCCCCACAACACTGTCACCTTCCCACACTCCCGGTGGACACACTGCCCTTTGCCCTGCTCTGCGGGAGCTGGGCCCCCATCCCTGTGCCTCTGTCTCCTCCAGGGCAGGAAAGGAAACCAACTCCCAGCCCATGGAGAACCCAACGTCCCAGGTCAGGCCCTGGCTGGGACTCAGCCAGTCACCAGCCCCACGAGGGGCCCCAGCCCCCCTGCTCCTACAGCCCCACGGGAGGCAGGGCCTCTGGGAAGAGCTGAGGGGACCATAAACTCACCTGATGCCCCATGGTCTTGGATTGTGACGTGGCTACCACATGCTCCTGTTGGTCTTGGAGCCCCTGGACGGTCCCGCCATTTGGGCTGTGAAATCCTGAGAAGCCCCCAGCCCATCATGAAATCAGAGCCTTCCCCCAAGATGTGGAGCCATCAGCTGCAAGAGCTGGGCAGCTGGAGAGGCCCCCAAACCCCAAGGCTACTCCCACCCTCCCATCTGGTGACCCCAACATGCGGCCTTTACCCTGGGGAGGTGGGGCGGGAACATTCCCTGGAGCCTGGCTGGAGGTTCCCCTGGAGGCCTCCTGGGCCAGGGTGCAAAAAGGGCAAGCCTGACTTTCAGGCCACGACAGGGTGGCCGGAACTGGGTGGGCGCTGGGCTTCCCGGTCATCTCCTGGTAGTGGGGTCGGGCCAGGGGAACAGGGGATGGGGAGATGCTGCCACCTGGGCTTGGTCGGCCCATTCGTGGGCACCGATGGCAGCAGGAGCCCGGGCAGCTGGAGGGCAGGAGGACTCTCAGGGAGGGGAGAGTCAGCTGCACAGAATCAGAGCCGGAGGGCGTGGCTCCAGGACACAGAGGGTGGCCACGGGGAGGATGAGATGCCCTCTGCTGATGGGGATGACAGGCGTCTGATTTGGGCTTTGGGGGTCAGCCGTGGACTCCTGTGGGACCCTCAGCAGAGACATCCTAAAGTCTCCCAACAAGCTGGCGACACAAGGAGGGTGCCTTGGCTGAAAGCTGTGATCACCCGGCCAGGGTGGCCATCCCCAGGTCTGGCTGCAGGAGGTCCCCGGGGCAGCTGTTCACTTACCCTGCAGGGAGTGCCTCTCACTGGCCAGCAGCTGCACCAGTGCCCAGAATGCATCCTCCTCAGGAAGATAGAGGAGGAACAAGGCGGCGATGTGGCTCAGGTCCCTGCAGTAGCCCACCTCCTGCAAGAGCCAGAGTCACCATGGAAGGACATCACCTGGGAGGGCTGAGGTCACCTGGGAGGACTCATGTCATTGGAGAGGGCAGAGGTGACTGGAGAGGCTTCCTCTGAAGGAGAGGCTTCCTCTGAAAAAGAGGCTTCCTCAGGATGCACATTCATTTCATGACAAGAGCCAAGTCCATCAGGCACTTCAGCACCTTGTCCAAAATGTCTGCTGATAGCACCATCCTGTGTGCGATGCTGCCAAGCTCCTGGGCTTTGGGGCAGCCCCAGGAGGAGGGCGTCATTTCTTGTTCTGAGAAGTGGTGGTCAGGCCCAGGTGACACCAGGAGTCCGGGCCCTGACTCCTTTGTGTCTCAGCTTGACCCCTTGAGACCACCCCCTTCCTTGGAGGTTTATGCCAGCGGTGAGCTGACATCCTACCTCCTATATCCTGGTGGGTCACAAATACTAACTTTAAAAGAAGCAACGACACCCCCACCAGACACCCACTCCTGTCAATATGGAAATATGGCCCGGGAACCTCACTGCCGGGAATACTCACCGGGTTATACTCCTCATATGCCAGGAGGATGTGGAGTAGTTCCCGCTGCCTAGGAAACAGAGAAAGGGGGCTTTGGTTTGTTTTGTGCAGATGTTGTTAATTTCACTTTGTCTACAAAGCCTAACAGCAAATCCCATTTCAGGTTCAGATGTTTCACCAGATAAGCAGTGAGCTCTTCAGGGCCTGAGACTCTTGAAGAAATGTTTCAGTAAAATCCACATCTGTGACATGCAAATAGCCCAGTTGTACAGTGACTTGCCTGATCCTTTTCACTCTGAATGATTTTTTTTTTTTTTCAGTTTGCACACACGCCAGTTCAGTCTGTGGGTGTACAGTTCCTCCACGGTTCCAAACCAATGTGCAGAGTCTCCCGGCCACCGCTCCAGCCCCTCCTGGGGCGACTCCTTCATCCTCCAAGTCTCCAGGGTGGCCCCTATGCACCCAGCCTCTCCCTGATCCGTCAGCCCCTGGCCACCCAGACTGCTTCTCAGTCCCTGTGGTTTGGCCTTTTCCAGAATGGCCTAGGAATGGGAATCCTACGGTGGTAGCTTATTGGGTCTGGCTTCTGTCCCTCAGCAAAATGCATCTAGGATCCACCCACGTTCGTGCGGGCATCACCGGCTCGTTCCCTTTTCTCACTGGGTCTTCCGTTTGAAGGGAGGACCAGCCTTGCTCTCCCCATTCCCGTGTTGAAGGCCGTCCCCGAAGGCTCCGTGTGTGAGTGACGAGGAGTCAAGCAGTGAACCTGGCATGCTGGTTTCATGTGGATGTCAGTTTCCAAATCAGTGGGTTCAATATCTGTGACACTTTGGGGATGTGTGGTTCAAGTCCATCGAGCTTTGTGAGCCACTGCCCAACTGGCTGCCAACGTGGCTGTGCCATGTCATGTTCCCAGCGGACCTGGATGAGAGTTTCCAGGACCCCTAATTCTCCCAGCATTTGGTGCTGTCACTGTTGCCTGGGGGGGCTCATGGGCCCTCTATCCTGCCACCCTCCCGTGGGTCCTACCATGGGTCCCCATGGGTCAGGGAGAGCACCCTTCACCATTGTGCATGATTTTGTTTGCTGCCTTCCATCTCCTCAGGATCCTCCTGGGTTCTGGCCCCACATGTTCCAGTCTGGCCCAGGGCTTGGAACCAGGGAGGTGCTCGGTTCATGGTGCCGGCTGCTCCCTGGGCCGGGAGAGCTCTTGGCAGCTGTGTCATCCCTCCTGGGTGACCCTGGCTTCTGCTCCGGGGAAGCCCCCATCCCTCTCATTCACCCCATCTCTGCTGGGACCCTGTGGCTCCCGTAGGCTTACTTGGTTCCGTATCGATCCCTGAAGAACATATGCTTCCTTAATGTCCCGCTTATGTCCCGGTCGATGCGCTGGATGTGCTCAGATGACCTCTTGCCCTTCTCCTTCATGATCTGTAGGGCAGGGCCAAGCGGAGGAAGCAGTCTCAGAACAGATGGAAGACTCCCTGCCCCCAGTGGCAGTCAGCCCACAGTCAGCACTTCGGGAAGGAAGGACAGAAGGAAGGTTTCCTTCTGCAGAAAGCTGCATTTTGGCTTGTTACTGAAGCCAGGGAGGGTCACCAGAGCTGAGTTTGTCTGTGGTGACTGTGTCACCATCTGTGCCCAGGGTGTTCATCTGACCTTCACCCCCAGCTCCCCAGGGTGGTCTTGACGTTCCCTCCAGCTGGAGACCTGGGCCCCGACACGGCCTGTCCTGTTTGTTGTGCTCTGGCTGAGCGTACCTGGTATCTTCCGGGGTTTTTCAACTTCATTTCCTCAATGTTCAGGAGGACTGACCACATCGGGCCCCGGATGTTCATGGGCATTCCCTTGTACGCTCGATCTATGAGCTGTGGGCAGAAAACAATCTGGTGTCACAGGCCACGGGGTGACCCCAGTGAGGACCAGAGCCCGGGGATTCTGGAAATTGTCGGTTTTGGCCCCATGATTCCTCAGTAGAGGTGAGATCAAGCTGGGACAGGGTCTCCCTTCCCAGGACTGAAAGAGTGGATGGACACTGAGAGTCGAAACTCTGATCTGAACCTTTTCCTTCCTTCAGGTCACCAGGGCATCCCTAGCCTTGAGCTCCGGGTAGTCCCAGCCCTAGATTCAGATTCCCTCCCTGCAAGGTGACGCTTGCACGAATAGGCAGGAAATCTGGCGACCAGGCCTGCAGTCCTCTGGGCGAGGACAGTGTGCCGCCCACCCTCTGAGAGGCTGATGGTGCCAGGCCACAGCCATGGGTGCCTGTCCCCTGTCTCTGCAGAGAGTGCTTCCTCCCTCCACACGTTACCTTTCTGCTGCTTTTGTATTTCTCCCAGTCTCCCAGCATATCCACCCACTTGCTCTTTCGGCTGATCTCCCGCCGAATTTGCTGTCAAATGAGGCATGTTGGAGTTAGCGGAGCTGCCAGGCTTCCCAGAGCCGCCCGCGGATGCTGGGTCTTGGGCTCTGGAGCCCTGGTGGGAGCCAGCTGGAAGGAGCCAGGGAAGGGCAGACCTCAAGGGCTGAGAGCCTTTGAGCAAATGAGCACCAGTGGGCTGGCTTTGGGACCCCGGGATGTACCATCCTCAGGCCACAGACACACCAGTCTTAGGTCCCAGCCTCTAGGTGGGGTCCTGACACAAGCGCGCAGCCACCCCCAAGCCAGGACTGTGGTTCTCCTTTTGGAATTTTATCAAACTGCCAAAGTGAACAGCAACCTGGGGTCAGGTCCAGCAGGGACTGCTGCCCCTCCCAGTGACAGCGTGTTGCCCTCACCCGCCACCGCTCAGGCCAGCTGCTTCCTCTGCCTCACTGACCACCCGCCCAGTCCCTACGTCCCTGGACCAGCCCCTCCACGCATCAGGCTCTTACCTTCGCCTCCCGCGCAGTCAGAGGAGGCAGCTCCGTCTCACTGTAAGGCAACCCAGGCAGAGCTGAGGAACTGCACGGGGCCTGGAGCGGCCCCAGCCTGGGTGCCGACCCCCAGAAAGGACTGGCTCTGTCCCTTTCCAGCTCAGGGCTCAGCCCAGGAGAAGGCACAGGGAAGGGAGGACAAGGGCCTTCCTGTGGGGCTGACTCCCAGGAGGGGCAGGACCTGGGAGAAGAAGGAGTGTAGGGACAGCCTGGCCGGGGTTACTGGGGCCCCTGGCGTGGGGGGCGGTCAGGCTGCCCAGTGGGGCTGCCCGTCCTGGACTCGAGGTGGTGCTTTCTGCTGGAGCTGAGAAAGGTTAGCCCTGAGATGGGATGGGGGCCGCCCAGGGTGGGCGACCGGGCCCTGACAGGAGTCCCTCAGGGAGTGACCACATCCCCCCGCCAGGGTCAAGGGAGCCTGCCCTGAGACCTGCCCGGTGTACTCTGGCTGCACCAGGGGCCCACCCCACTTGACAGCCCCAAGGCCCTTGCAGGTTCTGACCTCCCAGCATCCACCTGCCTCTCCCTGCACCCGAGCCACACACCCTGCGTTTCAGAAGTGGCACGGCTCGTCAGCTCCCTCCCGCCCTACCTCCCCAGGGATCCTCTGTCTCTCCATCCTGTGATCCCTGAGGGATGGGCTCCTGGCTGGGCTCCTCTTACCCGGCCCCAGATCCCTTCCCAGCACCAGACCCAGGTCTTTAGCCGCGAGCCCTGCTGCCTCCCTGGCCTCACCGTGAGATGCCCAGAACGGGGCCCTGCCCATCTTCTCCCCCGTTCTCCTAGGGCTACAGCCCCCATTGTCACCATGCCTTTTCCCCTCACGGGACAGTGAGGGCTGTAGCTCTAGGGGAATGGGGGAGAACAGGGGCAGGTGGGCCCTCAGAGACCTGCTGGACAACAGCCCTGAGGCTGGGCCAGGCGTCCCCTCACCCTGTGGCCATAACCCTTGCATCTCACCGGGGTTGTCTCCAAGTAGACAGGGCCAGACCCTCAGGCTGCCCCGCTCCTCTTGTGCTCACTTGCCGACAGAACTGCTGAGCGCCCAGGGGCCTGACCTAGCCCAGTCTCCATTCCCACCGGCTCCCTAGATGGGCCCCACACCTCTGGCCTAACAACCTCGGGCTGGACCTGCAGGGGAGTCAGGGAGGAGTTCTGTCCCTGGAAAGGAGGTTGACCCGACCTGGTGAGACATGTCCTGCGTCAGAAAGGCCTTTCTAAAAGCAAACCCATCCCTGAGCTGAGACAGGTGCTTTAGGGGTGAGGGGAGTGCAGAGGACTCACTGTACAATCCCCAAATGATCGACGTTGTTGTTGTAGCTTCGAAAAGGCTTAGGCCCCTTGTCCTCTGGCAGCCCAGCTCGGTGTCCCTGTAGCCCAGAGGGAGCCTTGGTGAGGGGTCCAAGGTAAAGGGTGCAAGGGCCTGGGGGCATTGGCCACCCGTCCCTGCCCTGTGCTCCTAGGGAGCCCAAGACCCTTTGACCAGGGCACACTGGAAGAGGCCTCCCTCCAAGAAGCAGACCGACTTGTACCTTTTCGTATTTCATAATGATGTCCTCTCGCTCTTGTGCCCACCAACTACCCGCGACCTCTACCACGTCCATCCTGTGAGACAAAATTGTCTAAAGGTCACACTGTACGCGGCGGCTTCGGAGAACACCTGAACTGCTCTCGCCGGGCTCCCAGATGCTGGCTGGCTGCGTAACCCCCATTCCACCGCCGCCCCCAGGGAAAAAGGGGCCAGACCCAGTGGCCCACAGCTGCTCCAGTCTCTGGAGTCTCAAGTCCCAAGCAGGGGTGGGCATCTTCCCAAGGACTTGAGTACAGTGGGACCTAGACAGAGAATCCTGTTGTCCCCCAATGCCATGAAATGGGGACACACCGGCCCCAGCAGGTTGAATGGTTTCCACCTGCCAAGGGTGAAGGGCCCATGATGGGCTATTCCAGGGATGTGGAGGCAGACTGGGGTCAGCGACCAGAGGTCTCTGTGCAATCGGCCTCCTGGGATGCTCAGGGCCTCAGAGATGCCCAGTTTCCTACAGGGAACAAGATCTCTCCCGACTGCTCGGTTCTACTCCGCTCATCACTTTGGCTACCGTGGCTCTTCAGTCTGAACAGTGAAGCCACTTTAGGAATAACGCCTGTTGAGCAGGAGGGTGTTGGGTTTGGGGGATGAGGAAGATCTATTGTACGCATGGAAACCACGTCTCTCGCGGAGGGACTGTGGAGTCCACCATTCTGAGCCGTCCCAACAGGAGGAGGCTTCATTTTCCTGGGTCACTGAGGAAGAACAGTGGGTCCTTGGTCCTGGAGAACAGCTGGATGGACCGTCCCTCCTGGGAATACTCGAGGCAAAAGGAGGGCGAGGCTTCAAGAGGACCACGCAGAGCAAGAAATACCTGGGGAGAACCCTAGTGCCCGGACCCCTTTGAACACAAGGGAAGATAGTCTCCCCTCAGCCAGCCCTCCAGGGCTCCTTCATTTTCCACAGCTGCCCAAGGGCAGCAGGCTCCCCCGGACAAGGCACCATGTGTGTTCAGTGGGGCCCACAGCGACCATCAGGACCCAGCTTAGGGCACAGAGGTGTTCTGAGGACCGTCAGTGGATCTGTACCAGTGGCTCTATACCAGTGGCTCTGCCAGGACCAGGCTCTGCCCCATCGGGATGGGAAACCTGGGCAGATTTGGGATCTAGGGCAGGGAGGTCACAGGGTTCAGGCCTGAATTCCAGCACAGCACACGGCAGGGCTGAGAGCAAAACTCAGGGTCATGTCCGGATTCCCAGGCCGGTTACTGCCTCTCTGACCCCAGACGTCTCATCTGTCGAATGGGGACATTTGGGAACAGCACCCACTCTACGAAGCCACCATGGAGACGAAAGAGCCAATCGTCTACACGGGCAGTGTAGAACGGGCGCCTGGTGAGTGCTCAGGGATGACCCTCCTCGGTAGCTGCCCCACAGAGGCCAACACCGCCCGCACCGTAGCCACTGTCCCCAAGTCCGCCTGGAGGGAAGAGAGCAGGTCACGCTCACCTGATTCTGATGAATCAGCTGGCCTGGGTCATGCCTCTCAGGGAGAAAACCTTTGAGTCCACAGAGCTGCTCACAGATACCACTGCCTGTGTGTAACTGCTGTAGACCACTGAGGCAGGCCAGAGAGCAGATAGGTGCTAAGCACCAGTGACATTCTGAGGTCATGGCACGAATCACAGTGGGGCCTTGCCCGGGTCAGCAGCACCCAGAGTCAGGGTCCTCCGCTGCCTGAGGCGTCAACATGCCTGCCTGCAACGTGTTTGTGCACGTGCGTGCACACGTGTATGTGGGTAAACATGTCTGTGCACATGTGTGTTGCTTCTCTGGCCAGGCCCGGCTGCCCCACTCATGTGTGCACCCAGTTCCTCATCACTGTCACCCCCGAGGCCCAGGGCCAGCATCAGAGCATCCATGGCTGCTCCCTAACCTCAGCCCTCCCCGCCCAGGGTGGTCCTGGGATACACATAGGGGTGGAGGGAAGTGACTGCTGCTGTTGGATCTCAGAATACAAAAGCTAATACTATTACCTAATGGTCTTTTTAGTGTATCTAATGGTATCGCTTTTTCATTTCTGATATTTTAACTGGGTATTTCTCTCCATGACCCTTGGATATTCTAGCTAGAGGATCCTGTGGGGAAAGTGCCGAGCACACAGTAGGGGCTCACTCTTCTAGACATGTTATCTAAAACCTGGTTCATCTGTCCTTCCACGCAGGGCCTAGGGGATGCCAAATTCCAGGGTCCAGAAAGAGCTTGGGATAAAATGAAACTTCAAGGGGACGGCTTTGACCTGGGCTGAGTCTGTCTGTGCCATCCAACTGGAGTCTCAAGTCCTGAGGCAGGACGTCCAGATGCCCCAGTGCAGGGCCCTCCTGATCAACACCTGCTCCCCTGTACTCATTAGCAACCTCACCCACCCTACTCTCAAAGCACACTTGGCTCTCGTATCCAGGAGCTCTGCATCTATAGATTCAGCAACAGCAGATGGAAAATATTCAGAAAATAAATTGGATGGTTATGTTTCTATTGAACATGTGCAGACTTTGTTCTTGTCATCATTCCCTAAAGAATACAGTATCACGACCATTTATGTAGCATCTGCATTGTATTACACATCATAATCTAGTAACGGTCTAACGTATACGGGAGGATGCGCATAGCTTATACGTAAATACTAGGCCATGTTCTATCAGAGACTTGAGCATCCATGGATTTTGGCATTCCCGGGGACCCTAGAACTAATCCTCCATGGATACCAAGGGATGACTGTATATACTCACTCAGGAAGGCTTCTCATTGGAGGAAGGGCCCGGTTCAGGACAGACAGGGACATCATCCCTGGACTACTGTCCATCCATCCATTCATCCATTGGCACCACCCTCTAGGACTGTCCCAATGACAGCCCTAGCAAGTGGAGATAAGAAAAAAGACTGGCTCAAATGGTACAGCTTTGAGGTCTTGGAAGATGTTGCACCAGTATGAGAATAGGGGGTCAGTTTCCTCCAGGATCCAGAAAGCATATCAGGCAGGCTCGGGGAGAGGAAAGGAACACGGCCTCTCCAGCAGCCACACAGGCCTGCAGTAGGATGGGGCTGGGGCTGGGGCTGGGGCTGGGACTGGGGCTGGCCCCGTTTATCACTTGGGCCTCATGAGGGGAAAAGAAAGGACAGGGGGCAGAGGAGGAGCATGGGGGCAGCGGGTTGCCTAAGGAGAAGGCGCCTCAGGGAAGGGGTATTAGTTTGTTTTCACACTGCTATAAAGAAATACTTGAGCCTAGGTAATTTATAAAGGAAAGAGGTTTAATCGACTCCCAGTTCAGGGAACTTACAGTCATGGCAGAAGGCGAAGGGGAAGCAGGCACCTTCTCCACAAGGCGGCAGGAGGGAGTGAGCGGAGAAGCAGGAAGTGCCACACTTTCAAACCATCAGCTCTCCTGAGAACTCCCTCACTATCAGGGGAGCAGCAGGGGGGAAACTGTCCCCAGATCCCATCCCCTCCCACCAGGTTCCTCCCTTGACAAAGGAGGATTACAATTCCAGATGAGATTTCGGTGGGGACACAGAGCCCAACCTGTGAGGGTCTCAATCTATCTTGTAGCTCCCCTGGGGCTGGGGCTGAGTACAGTTCTGCTGGCCCTGCTCTACAGCACGTGGGGACTCTTCCTGTGTGCCCCCATCTGCTCTTCCTGGGGATGGTGGCTGCTTCCTCAAGAGGAGGGTGGATCTGCTCTCCTGCCCACCCCTCTCCAGGGCCTTTTGGAGCCCTGGCCACGTCCTCCCTGGGTAAGGGCAGGAAACCGGGCTCCTTGCCCTTCTTGCTGCTTGGGTGACAATCCTGGGGTCATCCATAGGCCCCATCACTGTTCCCGCTTCTAAATGGAGGGTATTTTGGCACATCTTCCTGGCGGGGTCCGGGGCCTCATCCCTGTTATTTATTCTATCTTGGTAAAGCCAGGTTAAGACATCTGGGCAAGGAGATAGTAGAGTGGCCCCCAGGAAGGGTGGGTGGAGGGCCTGGCCTTTGGGCTTGCCTGGAGCAGGGTGGGAGGGGGCAAGGTTACCAGGAAGCAGGGCTGTCAGGGCCAAAATCAGGAGGCGGTGATAATGCTGGTGGGGGGACAGGGCTGTGTGCTTGGCTTGGGGTGGGGCATGAGAGCCAAGGTTTGTCAGCACGCAGAGGGGTGGCTGACTCATGGACTAGGGGCTATGGAACCCAATGGCTGCCCTTAGTTCCTGGATCCTGGGAGACTTCTGGAGCCTGGGTGTGGGGCAGCCTAGGGGTGGAGGTGGGGCAGACAGGGGTAGGGGTAGGAGAGGAGGACTTGCATGGCAGGGTGCAGGGTAGGAAACCAGCCAGGGGCCAGTTTGCATTGGCGGCTCCCATCCCCATCCCCACCCCCAAGCCCACCCCTACCCCCACCCTGCTGCAGAGATGGGCCTGGGCTGCTGTCCTCTGCTTTGGCCTCAGCAGATCACACGATGGAAGCTGGCAGCCCCGTGGGCACCACTCGAGCCAGCTGTGACCTGCAGTTTCTGCTTCCTGGAGTGTGGGGCGCCCACTCAGGAGAGCACGGCACACCCCACACCCCTCATTTTGAGGATGCTGGGAGGTGGGGACCAAGGTCCTGCAGCCCTCTGCTTGCGCTATGAAAGGTAGCCTAGGAGTCCTGTGTCCGCCCATCCACGTGGGGCCCCAGGAGCCTGAACAGTGGCAGGCAGAGAGATGAGGAGGGTGAGAGAAGTGGAAAAGAAGGAGAGAGAAAGAGAGATGGGGAGAAGGGAGTGAGATAGAGAGAGGATGAGAGATAAGGAGAGAGACAGAGGAGGCTGAGAGGAAAAGGAGCGAGAGAGACAGGCAGAGAGACACAAAAGGCAAAGAGAGAGACAGGGAGAGACGAGCATGAGTAGGAGGTCGGGTCACTCTCGATCCCAGTCCCCAGTGAAAACCGTAGGTCGCCATCACCTAACTACGCGTGCAATAAAGTCTTCTGCCTGCTGCTTACAGCCCGAGAACCCTTTTCCGAGAGAATAAAATCTTTGACCGTTGCCCTTTCTCGCCGGAGTTTGCTCGTGTCTTCTGATGAACTGTGATGTCTCACCTATCGCCTTCCTGGGCTCAAGGATCCACGAAAAGCCGACGACTCTTTTGGGGAGGCTCTGCAGTGCCTTCATCTCACTAGGCTCCCCAGGAAGCTTGCGAACTTGGCTTGAGCCCTAAGCAGCCGAGTATGTGCTGGGCCTCTGCTTCTCTCTTTCAGTAAGAGGGAGAACCAAGAAAGAGGCTGAAGCATGGTCTGCAGAGAAGGCACTTGTGCAAACACCAGGAGAATGAGGGGCCTGAGTTGTCTTCATTTCTCCTAAAAACACGCATTTCCTCCCAGGCCACCCTAGTGAGGGCATGAAGCACAGCGTGTGTGTGTGTGTGTGTGTGTGTTCGCAGGAATATGCATGTGTGTGTGCATGTGTGTGTGTGCAGGTATATACATGTGAATGTATTTATGTATGTGCATCTGTGTGCATGTGTGTATGCAAGCATATGCATGTGTATGTATGTGCATGTGTGCGTGTGTGTGTGTGTGTGCGTGTATGTGTGTGTTGCAGGGCTTTACAGTGGACAGGATGTGGGAGGGCAGCTGCAGCTCCAAGCTGCAAGTCTTTCTGATAGAATGGTTAAGATTCCCTGGACCACAGAAAGAGTGTTTTCATTTGCACCTATTTTTATTAGCATTTAAAGCTGTATTCTTCGTAGCATGTGAAGCTTAAGTTGCTTAACTATTCTTAGAAACATTTACACCAGCGGTCCCCAAACTTTTTGGCACCAGAGAGCAGTTTTCTTGAAGACAACTCTTCCACGGACCTGGGAGAAGGGGAAGGGATGGTGCAGAGATGATTCGAGCCCATTACATTTATTGTGTGCTTTATTTCTATGATTATTTCACTGTAATATATAATGAAATAATTACACAACTCACCATAACATAGAATCAGTGGGAGCCCTGAGCTTGTTTTCCTGTAATTACGTGGTCCCACTTGGGGGTGATGGGAGACAGTCAGAGATCATCAGGCATTAGGTTCTCATAAGGAGCACGCAATCTAGATCCCTGGCATGCGCAGTTCACAGTAGGGTTCATGCTCCTATGAGAATCTAATGGCACCACTCATCTGACAGGTGGCAGGGCTCATGCAGTAATGTGAGGGATGGGAAGTGGCTGTTTCTACAGATGAAGCTTTGCTCACTGGCTGGCTGCTCACCTCCTGCTGTGTTGCCTGGTTCCTAACAGGTGGGGATCCGATTTACCCAGCAAGATAAATATATTATTATGTCAATTTAAATTATTCACCTTGAACCACCCAAAATTACCTTGCATACCTCACCCACCCAAGGGTCCCGTAGCACACTTTGGGAGCTGCAGACAGTAAACCTGGAGCTCCATAGAGCATTCCATCTCTCCACCGTCTGTGGGCTAACAGGCTGTGTTAGTTTCCTAGGGCTGTTTTACAGTACCACAGACTGGGCACCTTCAACAACAGAATGTTACTGTCTCGCAGTACTGGAGGCCATGAGTCCAAGATCAAGGTGTCAGCAGGGTGGGTCCCTTCTGAGGCTGTGCAGGAAGGCTCTGTTCCAGGCCTGTCTCCTCATGCGTGGGTGGACATCTTCTCCCTGTGACTCTTCATTAAGGGTGATTCTGGTGAGGGCTCCAAAGAGGAGACTTGGACAGAATGTTGGTAGATAAATGTGTCAGTGGAAACCAGAGGGTAGACAGGACTCCATCCATGCCCAGGGCTTTCTGGGGACAGACCTGTCCAAGCAGCAACCATTCCCAACCGAGTTCTGTTTCTGGAAAGCCAGGCAACAGGTGGGGCTGGGCCCTCTGGGATTTGTTTAGTGACCCGATTATGTGGGAGGCCTGCAGTGGGTGGTTGGGTGGGGGGTGGTACCAATGCCATCATGCCCAACCTCATTGCATCACTCACTTCCCAGGCCCTGCCCTCAACCCCTCCTGACCAGGCCCTGTCCTGGTTCTCAGCCACCTTGTCCCAGTGGGTGCTTCAGCCCACTCACTGACCAAGTGAGGGACTGACTCCAGGTTACAAAGTGCTGTGTTCATGTGACCTGAGAATACGTGTGCGCAGAGTGTGCCCACAGTGTCCTTGTAAAGTTGAGCATGTACATGTCCTGCCAGTGTGTAGGCAGCCTGTCCACACATGCCTAGGAGTGTGACTCCATGTCCTGGTAGATGGGGAAGGAGAGAGGGAGTTGTGCCCAGGGTCCCCCGATTACTTCTATGGGTGCATGTTTGTGCTTCTTGTTAGGGGTGCTTGGGGAAGATTCTGCCCTGGGTGCCCTGGATCACCTGTGTGTGTGTGTGTGCACGCGGGGACGCGCACGTGCATTAGGGGGTGTACTGTGTTACAGCATCCTCAACCAACTCTGTATGTGTGCATATGTTTGTGTGTGTGTGTCCTACAGGTGTGAGCGAGTGGATGCTTCCACTACGTGTCTGCACATGTGTGTGTGCACTTGCATTGTCCTTGCACACCTGCGTGTGTCCCGTGAGAGCGGAGCCCAGCATGTGCTGGCACCTGCAGGAACATGTGAGTGTGCGTTCTGTGGGTCCCTGTCCTGATGGCTCTCCACTTGTCCCGAGTGTCACGACGACGAGGATGGGGACCATATCTTCGGAGCCTGAGGATCCAACACAGGTCCAGCCCTGTGCAGCCGCCCGCCAAGCCGCCAGAGGACGAGCCGGACGCCGAAGGCTACGAGTGGACGATTGCAGTTAGTTTCCAACTCGCCGACTTCGCGCCCCTCCACTGGCTCCGGCTTGATGG
The DNA here is from genome assembly GCF_000001405.40 of Homo sapiens. Taxonomy (NCBI): domain Eukaryota; kingdom Metazoa; phylum Chordata; class Mammalia; order Primates; family Hominidae; genus Homo; species Homo sapiens. The sequence continues at coordinate 36,182,816 of NC_000017.11, forward strand.
TCCCGGCTTCGGGGTGCTCTCGGTCCCTCCCCATCGCGTCGTCGCTTTCTCCCTTGGCATAACCCCCAGCCGCGGGGCCGCAGACCCTAAGAGCTCCATGAGCTCTCCGCGCCCTGCCCACCGGCCCCGGCCCCGACCCCTCCCCAGACCGGACCAGAGAGGTGGGAAGTTTGGGGGCACCCGCTGTGGGTGTCCCGTTTCCGGGGCTGGGCTCCGGGGAGCCGGCGCGGCGCCCGCTCCCTGCCCGCCAGCCCTTTGGGAGCTCAGGCGCGGGCAGCCGCTTGTGTTCCTGGGAAGGGCGGAGCTGCGTCCCGGGGAGACACGCCTTGCAGCCGGCAGCCTAGTCGCTCCCCGCTGGCCGGCCGCTCCGTGAGGGCCCCGCAGCGGAGGGTCGGGGCTGGGGCGGGCTGGAGAGGGGGCCCCGGGCTGGGGCCGGTTCGGCCTCCCGGGTGGCGCGCGGGCCGAAGAACTAGGAGGACCGCCGGGCCGGGCCGCTTGTCCTTTGGAAAAACCTTGGCGGTTCCTCCTCTGGTGTCCGTGGACCCCGCCGTGGCGTTCTCCAGGGCCGCGGACCTTTGCCCACCGGTCGCGCCAGCTGTCCTGGAGCAGAAAGGACCCCCCTCCTCCCGGACCGAGCCCCGAGCCCCGAGCCCCATGGAGCAGGCAAGCGCCGGAGTCCCGAGGCTAAGGCCCGGCCGGCGGGCGCTCTGGCACCTTTTCCCGCCCCCGAGGGTGCCTGTCCGGCCCGGCCGGGACTGGCTGGGAAACCGAGGCCGGAAGAGGTCGCAGTCCAGCAAGGAATCGGTTTGTGTGGGGTGGGGGTGGGATGGGAGACCCCTCCCCAACCCCACCAGCCCCAGCCCAGCTGTGGCCCCCGCCGTGTCACTCAGAAAACCAGCGTCAAACCCCAGCCCTGCCTGGGATGTGGACCTTGCCTGGGGAGAGTCCCGTTCAGGCTTTTCCAGGGCCTCTCCCCTGAGCAACAGGGGTGTCTGCGCTGGGCCTGGGCACTCACCAGGGCCTGCAGGCTGCCAGTCTGGAGTTTCCCTAGCATCAAATGTGCCACCGGAAGCTGAAGGTGGGGATGACCAGTGCCCCCCGGAGCGAAGACCCCCCCATCTCTCCAGGATTGGGGGTCTGCTTAGGGGTCCACTTAGGGGTGTATCCCTCAGGCATTGGAAGTGCAGATGGGAGGCCCTGAGCCATGGTGGCTCCCCCAGTCCCCAGTTCTTTCTCTGTGTAAATCCAGCTTTGCAGGGACGGGGATGTGGTGCCTTTCCCGGAAGAGCCGGGGTCCTGGGGCGTGGGGAGGCTGGGGCTGGGTCGTGGGGAGCTGGGACTGGGGTGTGGGGAGGGGCCCAGGGTGAGCAAGCTGAAGCAGGACTGGCACAGGCCTCTGGAGGGCCTGGGGGAGGCTGGACGCCCCGGGGTGCACCCTTGCTTGTGCACTCTTCTAAGGGTCAGTCTCAGTTTGCCCATCTGTAAATAGGGTTGATTGTCCCTGCCCTACGTGGCTGTTGTGAGCATTCAATGAGCACTACCAGTCCTGGGAGACTCTTGGTGTTTTTTATTGTGCTAAAATACACAAATATAAATTTCCCATTTCAACCATTTCTTTTTGCTCCTTCACTCCCCACCCACCCACCCACCCATTTTTACCGTATAGTTCAGTCGTGCTCAGTACCTTCTACCTTCACGCTGTGTGCAACCCATCTCCAGAAGCCTCTTCATCCTGCAAAATTGAAACTGGACCCATTAAACAACACCTCCCCATTCCTCCTCCCCCGGCCCCTGGCAACTGCCATTCTGCTTCTTTCTCCACATATGGAATATATTCTATATACCTAGTTTTACATTAATATCATAGATAGCTTTGTTTTCAGTATGTATATCTACTTTATTCTTTTCAGTAATTTCATGTTTATTATGTGGCTGTACCATCATGGTTTAAACTATCCATATTTTAAAGAGTTGATTTATATTGGTTGTTTTTACAAACAGAGCTGCAAACAACAGCGGTGTGCCAACAATTTTTGTGTGTGTGGGGGGGGGTTCTTTTTTGTTTTTGTTTTTGTTTTTGAGACAGAGTCTCACTCTGTCGCCCAGGCTGGAGTGCAGTGGCAAGATCTCGGCTCACTGCAACCTCTGCCTCCCAGGTTCAAGCAATTCTCTTGCCTCAGCCTCCCAGGTAGCTGGGATTATAGGCGCCTGCCACCATGCCCGGCTAATTTTTGTATTTTAGTAGAGATGAGATTTTCCCGTGTTGGCCAGGCTGGTCTCGAACTCCTGACCTCAAGCTATCCACCTGCCTTGGCCTCCCAAAGTGCAGGGATTACAGGGGTGAGCCACCGTGCTTGGCCCTCCTTTGTTTCCTTAGATAGTGTTTCTTGAAATAGATTCCTAGAAATAAGATAGACTGAAGAGTATGTAAATTTTAAATTTTTTTACAGACTGTGTCATTGCTTTTTAAAAATGCTGATTACCAAAATGTCACTTTTTGATACTAAAAAATAGATTGTTTTAAACACACAAAGTAAGTAGGGCTTATCAAAAAGTTAATATATTTTGCATTTCTCACAAGTGTGTTGAATTTCTCCCCCTTGCATTGTACAGCAGGAATCCTGACTCAGTCTAACTTTCTTATACTTAAAAAAGTATATACTAAAACATAGGCCAGGAGTTAGCAAACGTTTTCTATAAAAGACCAGATAGTAAATATTGTTCTTTGTGGGCTATATAATCTCTGTTGCAACAATGTGACTCCACCTTTGTCTTGGAAAGCTGGGATAGATAATATATAAAAGAGTGGGAGTGGCTGTGTTTCAACAAAACTTTGTTTACAAAACAGGGGTCATACTAGATTTGTTCTGAGGACCATAGTTTCTTAACCTCAGTCTAGGCAATCCATCAAGTAATTCTGCATTCACGATAGAAGTCTTATTGTATATATTGGCTGACTGTCTTTCCTTTCTCTAATGTTAACCACTGATTTTGTGGAGCATGGATTCTAGGGAAATAATACCCAGGTAAGATGTCTATTACCATGTGTGTCTTATTTTTGAAAGAGTGGTTAAATTCTTATTGAGGCCGGGTGCAGTGGCTTATGCCTGTAATCCCAGCACTTTGAGAGGTCGAGGCAGGCAGCTCTCTCAAGTTCAGGAGTTCAAGACCAGCCTGGCCAACATGGTGAAGCCCCGTCTCTACTAAAAATACAAAAATTAGCTGGGTGTGATGGCATGCACCTGTAATCCCAGCTACTTGGGAGGCTGAGGCAGGAAGATCACTGGAACCCGGGAGGCAGAAGTTACAGTGAGCCGGCATGGCACCACTACACTCCAGCCTGGGCAACAGAGCAAGACTCCATCTCAGAACAAGTCAAAACAAAACAAAACAAACACACAAACAAAAAACTGGGAGACCGAGGTGGTCAGATCACAAAGTCAGAAGATTGAGACCAGCCTGGCCAATATGGTGAAAACCCGTCTCTACTAAAAATACAAAAATTAGCCGGGTGTGGTGGCAGGCACCTGTTCTCCCAGCTACTTGGGAGGCTGAGGCAGAAGAATTGCTTGAACCTGGGAGGCAGAGATTGCAGTGAGCCAAGATTATGCCACTGCACTCCAGCCTGGGCGACAGAGCAAGACTCAGTCTCAAAAAAAAAAAAAAAAAAAGTCTTATTGACAAGTTCAGTAGTTTCTTGTCTTTAGTCTGCATGTGTATCACTTGGGGGTTTGGTAAAAATCTAGATTCCCGCATCCAAACCCAGTTCTCTTGTGAGCATTTTAAATGACCATCCCAGGTGGTTCTGGAATGCTCATAGGATTGCATATTAGTTACACTATTTATTCGCTGCATGGCCATGGACAAGTTGTTTTAACTCTCTGAGCCAACATTTCCTCTTCTGTTAAATGGGAATATTAATAATACTTAGCCCTTGGAGACACTGTTAGAATTTGAAGCACAATGAATAATTTTTAAGAGAGCTTGACTCATGAGAAAAATAAGCTTAAATGCATGAATATATATATCAAGCATGAATTTACCTAGTGCATATGCATTATACACTGGGTGCATAATACTTTATAAAATAATCATTGTTTTAAAAAATAGAGTTTCATTATTTGGGGAGAGGCATTACCGTCATTTCCTTTCTGCTGACTTCCCCTCTTCAGAGTTTTCTGCTCTTCCCCTCCCATCCCACCACCTTGCTTTGTCACAAAACAAAGCCAATAGGATCACCAACAGTTTAAGACTGGTTTACTCAAAACGAATTCATTGTTTTACATAGCTGAACACAGAAATGATAAATAATGTTCTATAAATATTTGTTGGTTGACAGCTTTGGAACAATGTCCTCTAGAAAAAGCTGAACGTAGCCACCCACCTTGTACGAGAGCCGCAAAGAATAGCCATGTGCCTGAATATGTGTCAGCCGCTGTGTGACTGGAGGGGCTGAGGAAGGGGCGTAGAGGGTGTTGTGAGGTCCCTTCCGACAAGCAGTCAAGAACGCATAGAAATACATTACAAAAATTAAATAGATAAGTTGAAATGCATGTTAAGAAGAGCCCCAGAGTGTGGTTGCTTGGGTAGGGGTAGGTTCAGGAATTGAAGGGACGTCCCTAGGGCCTGGGTCCCTGCCTCCTAATTTGCCACAAATGTAACAGTGTCTTGTTGCTTCCAGGTCACTCAGGGATTCGACTCTGAGGTCAGTGATGCACTTGGCACCAGAACTCGATGGGGTTGGCACAGACCTGCCAGCCTCAGCCACTTTCATTCTGGAAGCTGTTAAAAGAGACAGTTATAAAAATTGAGGAATCAGCAAGAGAATTCCTGGTTCCGTGCTACCTTCTTCTCTCTGTCTTGGCAAGTGTAGGGCCTGTCCACTTGCTCAGGACTCTTTGTCCAACCTCAGCTCCCTAGACCTTTCATCAGTGGCTCAGGGGGTCTCTTCAGGCAGCCTCTTCCGGCTAACACTTCCTCCTGTCTTCCCTCTGTCAGGGGCAGCTCTTCCGTGGTTCCTTGCAGACCCCAGGTCAGGCCAGAAAACACCTCTATGGCCCTTCCCTGTGTCCCACCACCAGATAGGACCTCAAAGGCCTGGGGTCCCCAGGATGGCCCTCAAACCGACTGGTGCCCTTGCAGGCTGCCACCCTCCAAGTCCTGCTTCTCTCTAGAGATGGGCAGGAGCACCAGCCCTCACCTGGCACCAGCAGTGAGTCTCATAATTGCCATCTACCATTTTGCTAGGGGGCTTCTGGGGATCCTAGGAAAAGCAGCAGATGCCTGGGTGCTTGGGGACCTGGGCATTCTGAGGGAAGGAGCAGCGTGACCCTGAGTCATTTTTCACTGGGGACAAATGAGCCAACTCCTTCTACCCAGTGATAAAATCAGAAGGAAGCAGATGGAGACAGCACTGTTCAGGGGATGATTTGGGGATGAGAAGAACTGGCAGGAAGTTGGGGATGTGGGGGTGAGAAGAACCAGCAGGAAGTTGGGGATTTCTTGTTTCCCCACTTTTCCCTTCCATTTCTGTTTGAGCCTTAGGTTTGGCCTCCGTCTCCCTCTGTAGGAATTGCAGCTAATTAAATATTCTGCCTCTTATTCCAGCTTTACTGGTGGAACATAATATGGTCTAAGAAGAGATTTTTCCAGCAAGAGGCCATCTCTGCAAATCACCTGTGAGGCAGACCTGTGGCAATTTTATGACTCAGCTGGCCACCGGGATTGTAGCTGGGTTCTGCCGCTTGTTGAAACCTACTCAGTGTTCTCCTTCCCTAAGTAGGACAAGACCGTATCCTGCCTTTAAGATTTATAGAATAAAAACTGAAAACTCTTTGGGGAAGAAAATCTTCCCGAACAGATAGCCCAGGGCATTTTGAAAATCCCTTAGGAAGTTCTCTGTTTCACTTGGGTACCTTTGTCCTTGGACTTTGGTGATGTGGTTTGACCCCAGCCAGAGAGTGCAGGGAACAACAGCAAAAGGCAGGACAAAGACTGACTCGTGAGAGGAGGCCCAGGAACAGGGGGGCATCGTGAATGAGGAGGACGTGGGGGCCCAAGAAAGTGAGCTCTTGCGCACTCAGTCACCAGCCCCCTTCTGGGGTCCAAGCTGTGTCCCCTTCTCTAAAGAGGTAAGCCCTGAGTCATGGGAAGATGGAAACCGGGGCTGATGAGACAGGATGTTTTTTAAGCACCGTGGTATCTTGTTGACTTGCACATGCACGGGGGTCTTGGGTAACCACAGGGCTCAGGGTATTTGCAGGAACAGTTCAAGTGCTCACTTGTCTTGGGGCTGTTTATGGGGAAGTGGTTTCCACAGTGAGAGGACGTGAGATATTGTTGTCACCCCGGACCACACTTAGCTAGTTCCTTCTCACTAAAGCTCTGTAGTCATATTTTCCCTGGCAGAGCAGAAACTTCTATGTTATCCCACAGCTGTTCTAACGGCGTAGACTTGACTTATGCAATGATGCCAGGAGTCCTGAGCAGCACAGCCCAACTTCAATCACACACAGATGGACAGAGCTGTATTAGCAAAGCCTGAGCTACTGAGCGATGAGAGTACAGCCAGGCTTTCAGACATCTGTTCATTCAAGAGAGATATGCGCTAAGCCAAGGACCTAAAGATGTGTTTAATGTGGGTGCTAATATGCATAAGGAACCTTGAAATAAATGTTCTTAGCCTTTGGCCAAGAGGGTCCATGTCTAGGAATCTATTCTCCATAGAAATAAATTCAAATATGGAAAAAATGAACAATGCATAAGTGTATTTGGTCCCCAGCATATTTATAGCAACTTAAAATTGGACCCAATTTAAATGCCTATGATATGGAAATTGCTGAGAAAATTATGGGCTCTTCCCTTAATTGGCTATTAGGCAGCCTTTACAAACAATGCAGTGACATGAGAAATGCTTATGTTATGGTAAGTTTAAAAAACTCAAGATGCAAATCAGCTTATTTTAATCAGGAGCCACCTAGCATTTGGGATGTGGTCAATCCCACATAATGTATTTTTGTGGGTGCAGTTCCCAGGAAAGAAGAGGAATAAAAACGGCAAGTATGAAGTGTCTCCTTCGCTTGCAGTCTCCTTGTCTACCCCTTTGTCCATCCACTATGAAAGGACTCCCTTCTGTTCCTTAATATGGACAATTTCTATTGAGGACTCATTGTTCTAAGAATTGTCTCATCTCCTCCTGCATCCTCAGTGCCCGATCTTTGGCTTCTATGAAGGAAGGTGGGCAGTGCCTATGGCAGGTCCAGTTCTACCTTTCTCAGTATGTTCTGGCGTGGGTATGTAGCCCCATTTTCTAGTGGTTACCTTGACATCATGAAGAGTTTATGTCTCTTTTGCCCTAGGTTTGGGCAATAGTCATTCACTGTGCAACAGGAAATACACGAGTCAGCATCTTATTAAAAATAAAGTCATTCAGGAAAGTGGACGACTAATAGTTTCTAATCTAGAGAGCATAGGAGAAGAAATGTTTACCACACACAAAGTATTAGTGCCTTTTATATCACGAAGACAAAAATAACAGGAAAAAGACAAACACATTATAGTGAAAACTTGTTTTTCCTAACCAGCATCTATTCTGCATGTTTCCTGATGCCCGAAACTCACATTTCCTCAGGAAAATCTCCCTTCTGCACCATTCTCAGGCTTTAAGTTTATGTAAAATTCAGTAAACCCAAAGATTCAAGTTATGTGCCTTGATTAACTTAAGCAAATCAATGAAACCCATCCCCATAACCACAGCGACAGGTTAGGAAATTCGGTTCCTAAGTCAGTCACATCCGAAAGGGCCTAGTGATGTTTTTTTCCAGTGGGATCACAGACTCACTCTTCCTTGCAGAAAATGAACAAAGGATTCATGTAACACTGGCAGGTACTGGCAGCCACCCAGGGCCTCTCACAGGAAAGGGAGATCAGAAAGAGAAGCAAAGAGGACTCATGAGATACCATAGGGCTGCTGCGTCCAGCCTTGCCTGGAGCTAGGGCCACCTCGATGCCCTATAGTCTTGGAGCCACAACGTGCATTTACTCAAAGCCTCTTTGAGTTTGGTTTGCTTGTTTGCTTTCTGCCTGGAAACTGCCAGCATCCTGAGAGATACGAGATCTGCATCTGTGCAGAGACACAGGGTTTGTTAAAAGTCACAGGCCCTGACTGAAGTGTGGAACTGGCTGAAATGAGAAAGTGGTAATTTGGGGAGGACCTTGTGAAATGGAAGGAGTTTTAAACCTTACATGCATCAGAATTACCTGGAGCCTTGTGAAAACACAGGTTGCTGGGCCCTAGTCCATTAAGAAAGGAAGTGGGGCTTAGAATGTTCATTTCTCCCATGTTCCCAGGTGATATTCACCATGCTGTCCTGTCTGGGCACTACCTTTTGCCATACCCATTACAAGGTATTGCACGTGCTGGTTGAACTATGGTCTGTCTTATTTTGGTGCTAAAAGCCTGTGCCAAATACCAACGCTGCAGCATTAAGGAATGTGATAGAAAAGATTCTGAATATAGGCCAGGCGCAGTGGCTCACGCCTGTAATCCCAGCACTTTGGGAGGCCGAGGCAGGCAGATCACGAGGTCAGGAGATCAAGACCATCCTGGCTAACATGGTGAAACCCCGTCTCTACTAAAAATACAAAAAATTAGCCGGGCGTAGTGGTGGGCACCTGTAGTCCCAGCTACTTGGGAGGCTGAGGCAGGAGAATGGCGTGAACCTGGGAGGCGGAACTTGCACTGGGCTGAGATCGCGCTACTGCACTCCACTCCAGCCTGGGCGACAGAGCAAGACTTCGTCTCAAAAAAGAAAAAAAAAAAAGAAGATTCTGAATATTGGAACTTAGTAGCTATGTATTACATCAGTAAGGTCCTTTAAGAAAGAGTTTAGGCTGCTTTGAAATGGGCTCATCTGAAATTGAAAAAGGAAGAAATTGAACTTGCTAAAAAAGGCCCTTCCAACTTATTGACTGAGAACCCAGTAATCTGGAGACTTGAAGGGCTGTAATGGCAGAATTTTCTACTCTAAGATAAAGTTAGCATGAGCAGAGACAGGAAGATGAGAGACCTAATGAGGCCAAGGGTCAAATATTCATCACCTCCACATGGGCCAAGATGCAGGCAGAGGTCTCTCACCAGGGACTTGGTGGTAGAGGTGACACTGGTAGTGAGGTCTGTGCTAGAAAGTGCACATCCCTGGCTGGGCGCGGTGGCTCACACCTGTAATCCCAGCACTTTGGGAGGCTGAGGCAGGTGGATCACGAGGTCATGAGTTCAAGACCAGCCTGGCCAACATAGTGAAACCCCGTCTCTACTAAAAATCCAAAAATTTAGCCAGATTTGGTGGCAGGCACCTGTAATCTCAGCTACTTGGGAAGCTGAGGCAGGAGAATCTCTTGAACCCAGGAGGCTGAGGTTGCAGTGAGCCAAGATCACACCATTGCACTCCAGCCCAGGAGACAGTACAAGACTCCATCTCAAAAAAAAAAAAAAAAAGAAAAGAAAAAAGAAAGTGCCTATCCCCAACCCCATTTAAAATGCAAATTCGAGCTTTGTAACTGAAAACATCTCTGCTTCTGGCTACCTGGCCCATGGAATTGATCAGAAGCAAATAGTAGCCTATGGACATTAGAAGGGAGTCACATTGCCAAAGAAACCACAAGACTGGTTCCAAACAGTCGCTGATTACACAATACCTAAGGCAACCTCAGGCTAACTCACACAGACAGGAAGTCAGCAGCCTCCAGAAAGCAGATCCTCCACATTGCACATCTCAGATTGTCCGTGGAGGACATTCCCCCAGGGAGGAGAGCTAGGGACTGCCAGATCAGCTGAACTGCTTAAAAATGCAATTCCCATTCTCCAGTTCCCTAACAGGAGTCTGTGTTTAACTTACTCTGTTTGTTCATAACACTTGTATTTAGGGAATATTGGGCATGATTAAACTTTGTTTAGCTTTGGGTTTCTGGACCTTGTGAAACAATTCAGTGCAGGCAAATATTGTATTCCCCTATATTTTTTTCCTGAAAGTCAATAAAGAAGGAATGATGACACCTTCACTGCATCTATGGGGACAAAAGCTGCTCGTGTGTGTGTGTGTGTGTGTGTGTGTGTGTGTGTGTGTGTAAGAGAGAGACAGAGAACAGCCTTGTCAAAAGGATGTGTTTGTTGCTGTACCCTCATTATACGAAAGCCATCATGGCATCAAAATGCTGTAAGCCAGGCTGAGCTCTATTCTCTCTGCATCAACTCAGAATCCCTACCAGAAAGTGGTTGTGATGGATGGAATATCACCCATCAAAGAACAGGGTAAGATGAGACCAGAGAGGTAAGCTATGCAAGCTAATCAGAAAATAACTCAAAGTTTTAAAAGTGCAGAATATAAAAAGGAAAAACCCTCATTCCTAAAAAAATTTAAAAAAAGCCTCATTTCCTCAAAGAAACGACAGTTAGCTATTTGATGTGTGTCTTTCCAAATATTTGCCTATGTAAATATATGTGTGTATATGGCTTTTAAAAATAAAAACAAAATAATATCCTTTACAGACAGTTTTGTAGCATATGTAGAGAATATATATGCATATACTGAATGTAAATAGATATGCATTTTACCTAGAATATTGAGGACACTTTCCACAGTTATAGATGTGTGCTGCTTTTGTTTACTGACTGCAGAATATTCCATTGATGGACATCTTAATCCTCTACTTATTAATCCCCTACTGATGACTGTTTGCATTTCTTTGCTCTTTACCAACCATACTTGAAAGAATATCCTCATGTCTACATATTCTTATCTTTTGGCAGTGTTTCTATGAAGCAGATTCCTAGAAATGGGATCAGGTCAAATGGGATGTAGGTCACATAGTATGTGCATTTTAATATCTGCTAAGTAGTAGTGTTTAATTATGCTTTAAAGAGTTTGAGCCCTACAATTCTAAACATGTTTGGACACAGAAATTAGATTATTTTAAACAAAATGAAATAAGCATAGCTCATAAAAATTAACACGTTTGGTTTTCACACAAATATTTTGAATTTCCCTTTCTTCTGCAAAAAGGACCCTAGCTTAGTATGCATTTCTTGTACATATAATGCAAGCAATCCATCTATTAAATAACTTACCTTTCAAACCTATAGACAGCATCCTGCTCCACACAGAAGCTGGTTGTCTTTTCATTCTCTAACATTAGCTATTTATTTTGTAGAGTGTAGATTCTAGAGAAATAATGTATAATACACCTGTTGCCATATGCAGAGACTTACCACATTTAGAAAACAGTGGTGAATTCTATTGACAGTGGCTCTCAGTCATTAACATGCTATGGAACACCTCATGAGCTTGATAAAAATATCAGTTCCCAGGTCTACACCTAAAGATCCTGATGTAATTGGCTTAAATAATCACTGCTGAAACACTCTATGTCAACTCAGAATCCTGACAGGAAGTGGTTGCAATGGATAAAGTATCATCTGTTAAAGAATGGGGTAAGATTTGAGTATAGGCGGGTCATACTTTGGGAAATAACTTGGTCAATGGTTAACAGCATAGTCTGTAGTTCAATAAAAGTCCAGTTTTGGAACACAATTGACCGTTTACGTGCTGTGTAACCTCAGCCAAGTTGTCTAACCTTTCTGAGCCCTGGGTTACTTTTCTGTCAAGTGGAGGTATTAATAGTACCTAAGCTGTACTATTGCATTGGTAAGATTAAATGAACAATGTATAAAAAGCACTCAGTAGGAGGAGTAAGCCTCAACAATGTAAATAATTGCTATTAAGAGCTTGATTCATCATGAATATGCCCTACAGAATACTCTGCTTAATGGTGGCCATTCAAGTAGTTAATTCTCCTAGAGCGTGCATATTACGATTTGAGTTATAACATATTCGTAGTTTCAATGTTCCAGAATTTTGTGAAGTGGATAACTCTGTCGCAGCGCTCCCCATCTCTCCCAATTTCCCTCCATTTCACCTCTTCCTAATCTTTGCCTATGATTCCTCTTAACCAGTGATTTTGATTTGCCAGAAAAACAAAACCAAACTCAATACTGGTTTACCGTTTAAAAGAACATCTTTATTATTTCCCCAGGCCGATCACAGCCCTGAACAAAAGCATCTGATACACATTTGTCAGTCTGGTGGCTTTGGTGCCATGACTGCCTACACAGGCCGATGACAGCCACTCGGTTGTCACCAGACACACTGTGAGGGAAGGTGGAGGGGACAGGGGGAACTCTCAGAGCAAACAATCACAAACACACTGTGAAATCAAAAATAAATTATAAAAACTAAATAGTATAAATAAATTAAAATTTAAGTTAAGAAGAGTCCCACAGTGTGGCTGTTTGGCAATAACCAGTCCATAGAAGAGGTAGCTGTGGAGGTCACACGCATGTTCCCAAGGCTCAGGCTCCTGCTCCTCCCCACTGGGCCCACTGAGGTCGCTGGGCCTCGAAGCTTCTGGACCCCTCAGGCACTCAGCTCCAGGTCACTGACGTATTTCTGGACCCACTCCTCACTGGGGTCAGCACAGACCTGCCGGCCTCTCTTGGTTAGGAAGCTGTGGAGAAGGGAGGAAGAGTTAAGCACTGGGGAATCCAGCCGGGGAATCCTGGGCCCACCATGGCCCTGACATCCTGCTCTCTGTCCTGGGCAGCTCAAGGCCTGCTCCTCTCTCAGGGGCCCCCTGCCTATCTCCGTCTAGAGAGCTTCTCTCAGTGACTCCAGGCAAGGGGGCCCTCAGAGTGTCCTGCTGCCTCCTTCTTCCTGTCCCTTTCCTCTGGCCTGGGGCAGCCCTTCCTGACTCTGTAACACCCACCTCACTCCAGCCCCAAGTCAGGTCACACCTCAGTGCCCTGCGTCCTGTATCCCCGATAGGCTCCTGAAGGCTGGGCCTTTCCAGGATGGCCTTCTGGCCTGTTTCTGCCCCCACCCTGACACTCCCTACCTCCCTAGAGGTGAGCAGGAAGACTGGCACTTACATGACACTGGGCTTGGAGCACTGGCTGCTCGTCTCAAAGTAGTCAGCTATGAAATTCTGTGGAATCTGTCGGGAGGTGTAGCTGAAGCAGCAGGCGGTCGGCGTGTCAGCAGCAACTGCGGAGAAAGGAGAGAATAAGCCCGAGTCACAGCTCAGAAGAAAAGGCCAGGCAGCTTCTGATCCCTGAGTGGTTGAGGAGGGCAGGCTTGCTCAGACCAAGTGACTGCAAGGCATTTGGGGGGTTTTGCAGAGAAATGTCTCTTTGTTTCTGTCTATATTCCTCTTTCCCCTTGACTCTTCATAGTGGGTTCTCTGTTTCTCTATGTGATCCAGATACCTGAATGGACTGTTCTCTTAGCTCTCTTCATGGAATTTTGTCGGTTCAAGAAGTCATACCCCAGCCCAAGAGAAGCCCTGGACATCTCTCATAAGACATCCAAGGGACAGGGCTCCTGGGAGACCTAGGGTGAGCTGGAGAGTGAAGAACAGACCCCACTGGGAAGTAAGCAGCCCTGGATTCTGCCTCTTGCAAACTGATTCGTTTTGAACCCTGTTTTTCTATCTGTACAAGGGACTGTAACTCCCCTGCCCCTGCCTAGATTCTCATACCTGGAGACTAGGAGGGCTAAGACCCCTTCTAGAGATAAAAATAAAAGTTGTGAAGAAAAAGACCAAGGTGTTTGGCAGCGCTTTAAGAACTTCCTTCTTTTCTCTTCGGGGCTCTCAGGCCACAAAAAAAGACTGATGTGGTCTAACCATGGCCAGAGAGTGGTGATACCCACAACAACAACATGGACTCACGTGGTGCAGAGAGGACCTGGTTGCAGAGAGCCATGGTGCAGAGGAGGACGGCAAGGGCAGCAGTGGAGACCTGCATGATTGGGAGCAGGTGATGGAATGTGGGCTCGAGTGTCAGCAGAGCCAAGAAGGGACTGACTACTCTTTGCTGCCTGCGTCCTTCTGATGTCTGAAGCCATCTCTCCTCTTTATAGGCAGCCCTGGCGGATGGGGAAATGGAATCTGGGGGTGAGGAGGGAAATTTTTAAGTGTAGTGATGCTGTCATGCTGAGTGTTGCACAACTCAGGGTCCCTGGTGACCACAGGGGCTCAGGATATCCAAGAATAGCATCTCTGAGCTACTCTCTAACTCTCAGCTCTCAACTCATGACTGGTTCTAGCTTCATGGGGTTTCTCCTGTGAGTGTGAAGAGGGGTGTGTGTCAACCCAAGGCTATTCTTAGTTGATCCCTTCTCATAAGAACTGGTCTATGCAGCCAGGCATGGTCGCTCACACCTGTAATCCCAACACTTTGGGAGGCCGAGGCTGCAGATCACCTGAGGTCAGGAGTTTGAGACCAACCTGACCAAGAAAGAGAAACTCCATCTCTACTAAAAATACAAAAGTAGTCAGGCGTGGTGGCACATGCCTGTAATCCCAGCTACTCGGGAGGCTGAGGGCAGGAGAATCGCTTGAACCCAGGAGGTGGGGGCTGTGGTGAGCTGAGATCATGCCATTGCACTCCAGCCTGGGCAACAAAAGTGAAACTCCATCTCAAAAAAAAAAAAAAAAAAGAATTGGTCTATGCATGAACTCTCCAGCCCCATTCCTTCCCACAGAGCTGTAATTCTGCTTCCTCAGCTGCTATAACCACAAGGATAGGGTCAATGGGCTGATGCTGTGGAGGGCTAGACAACCCCCAGTCCTCCCAGAGGAAAGGAACTCAATGAAAGCTGGAGGAATAGAAAGCATGAGGTCACGTTTCAGTCATTTGTCTATTTATTAGTCTCGGAGTGACTGGGGCGCTGTGTTAAACGCTAGTTGTGGATCATAAAAATACTTTAGAGGTGGGTGTCAGTATGTCAGGTGCCTAGAAATATGTGTAGCCATTAACCTAGAAAAAGCATTTCTGGGAAAGAGTTCTGTGGAAACAACCCAAATATGGAGCCATCTTCAAACATAAAGATACCTGACCCAGCATCATTTATAACTCTAAAATAAGCAAAGCTAAATTTTTCTCTATCAGGGAATGATAAATTATCCACAAGATCCTTTATTATTAAGTCTCTAACGTGAATGAAGTGGCATAAATATGCTTATAACATCAGTGGTTAAAAAAAAAGCAAGATAAAACATTATACAAATTCTATAAAATTTGAAGAATTGTATAAAGATATATATATGCCATGCCAACTCTAGGCATGGAAAAAATTAAAAGGCTTGGAAATACATGCCTTAAAGAATGAATAGTGCTTAGATCCATGGGTGATTTATTTTCTTATTTTTTTCTTTTTCTGAATTTTCCTCATTTTATTTAGTGAGACTTTATTACCTTCTTGGTCAACCCACAAATTTATGAACTAATTTTGTTTTAAAACATTTCCAACATCACTGGTTGAAAAGTGGGTTGTTGTCAGTTGTTTAATCTGAAAGAAATTACTGATAAATATGCTACAGTTTCTGTTCAATGGGCTTTGCCAAAATGAAGTCTTGATTTCCCATTTCTTTGAACCATTTTAAGGATCCTATACTATACTTACATAAATAATGCCAAACTGAAGCAGTTTTTTCCTTATTCTTTTCAACACATAATTTCAGTGGTGTGGAAGGGTCTCTACCTTCTCAGCCAGATTATATGCTTTTTTTTTTCTTTTCCATACTTTGTTATTTTATTATTTTGCAATCAATCAGCATATCTCATTTTATAATGAGAAATAGATTTAGTTGGTTTTAATGATCTTTGTTTCTGAGATGCCCCTGGTCTCATGGGGGCAGGTAGAGTGTATGAACAGGTAATTGTAAAACTCTTAGTAGAAAAAGAAATGAAAGCTCAGAACCCCATGAGGAAGAAGTGACCTTCCACCAGAGGGTTGGGGAAGGCTTCATGGAAGGGATGGAACTTTAGTTGTGTCTGGATAACTGCCCGGGATTTAGGCATCTATAGATGGGTGGGCAGTGGAGGCCCAGCTGAGGCAGAGTCCTGGGTGTGACATTGTGGCTCAGAGGAAAGAGGGGGTGCTTCAGTGGAGCTGCAGAGCAGTGGGGGTGAATATGGATGATAAAGGTAAATTGGGACCAAACCAGGACAGGCCTTGAATTCCCCCCAAAGGGGTTAGAGTTGACACACTTGATGCTGGAGAACAACGGAGGACAGAAGCCAAGTGGGACCACGCCTTTGAAATTCTGTCCTTCCTGAGTGTCTTTAGAGTTAGGTCTTTTAATACACATGAGCTCTGTTTCCATTCCACCCCAGTGATGGCTAGTGCCAGTCTTGAGGGAGGAGAAGCAGAGGCAAGATCAGGGGCCGTGGTAGGTTTCATCAGAGCTTTGGCATCCACGTATCTTCCCCTATTGCTACCAATTCCAAATAAAGGTATCTCTGCCACTTGTCTCATTAGAAACCTACATCACAGGCAATGACTCCTTCTCACCCCACCCTCTGCCTCTCAGCTCTCGTTGATACCCTGAATTGCGTTCCCTCACTCACTTCTTAGGGGAACCCCCTCCATACTCGTGATTCCTTTTCTGGGAGCTGGCTTCTGTGAGTTGTGGAGAGTGAGAAAAGGAAATGGAAACTGCTGAATCAGTCAGTGTTCTGATAAGGGACATCCTCTATCTCTGTGATTACAGTACAGTGTGTTATAATTAGTTACCTATGTAATTTGCTCTTCAAAAACCTAGACCATGTCCTGTTGATTTTATTTTAGTTTCTTTTTCTCAAGAAATTTATAGTTTAATAAAGGCAATGTGGGAGTTTGGAAACAAACTTTGATTTTGTACTAATGATAGATTAGCAACTACACAAATTTTAGTTCACAATAAGTAATATTTATCGAGTGATCACCATGTGCTGATTTCCATAATATGGATTTACATGTTTGAACTGTCTTCAAAACAACCCTATGATTTAGTTACCAGTATACTTTCTTAGTTGAACAGGTGAAGAAACCAAAGTAAATAGAGGTTAAGCAATTTTCCGAAGGCCGTAAAGCTGATGACTAGCAGAGCAGGGATTCACATCCAGGTAGTCTGACTCTAGGTACCACACGCTACACGTCCTGTACCACAACTTATTATATTTGATCCTCATACCAATCCTATAATGGTAGATTTTTTAGAGTGTCTTCTCAGATTGTAAACCAACTCCAGACCATGTCTCGTTGGTTGATTTAAACCAAATCCTAGTACATGATGATTATAACATGATGAACCTCCTGACCTAGTCTCTATCTCTTATTATTGTGTTCTTTATAATAAAGATGATTTATTGAATATATAATTCTATCTCAGTGTTTATATATTTGTAAGACTTTCTCTATCAATCCCCAAACCAGGAAATAGCCCTTTGCCATGTGTTTTGGCTTGGAGTAAAATATAGTTGCACGCATAGCATTTGCTTAATTTATATACGTTGAATGAATAATGTAAGGGAGATGTAGGACGGGGTTGAGTTGGGAGGGTCTTAGACATTTCCTAGGTGGTAAATTGATGTTCCCAGTTGAAATGACGTACCCAGGGTCATGCAGGTGGAATTGGTCAGTTTTATATTCCACTGTCTGTGTTAGTTACCAGTGTATCTCCAGTGATAACCACAATGCCTGACATATAGTGAAGCTTAATATCTATTTGATGAATAAATAAATCACTGATTTGACTAACAATATGTGTTATGCCTGAACTCTCACTATGGAGTTGAAATACTAATGGGAAAGGTAGGATAAGAAAGGCCATGGTGAGTGGGAACGGGGAGAGGATCAGGAAAAACAACTAATGGGTACTAGACTTAATACCTGGGTGATGAAATCATTTGTACACCAAACCCCCATGACACAAGTTTACCTATGTAACAAACCTGCACATGCATATCTGAACTTAAAATAAAACAAACACACACATACACACACACAGAATCAGGAGAGACAGTCAGAAGCATGACAGGTCTCCAGAGCCAAGGAAGAATTTTTAAATAAAATGAGAATTGAAGCCAGGCACGGTGGCTCATGCCTGTAATCCCAGCACTTTGGGAGGCTGAGGCAGGCGGATCTCCTGAGGCCAGGAGTTTGAGACCAGCCTGGTCAACATGGTGAAACCCTGTCTCTACTAAAAATACAAAAAATTAGCTAGGCGTGGTGGCACATGCCTGTAGTCCCAGCTACTCGGGAGGCTGAGGCAGGAGAATCACCTGAACCCAGGATGCTGCAGTGAGCTGAGATCGCACCACTGCACTCCAGCCTAGGCGACAGAGCGAGACTCCGTCTCAAAAAAAAAAAAAAAAAAAAAAAAAAAGAATTGAGGGTCCCAATAAAGATACAATTTGAAAGAGAAATGTAAATTAAACTTATATAAAGAAGTTTTCAGTAACTTGGATCTAAAAGTTTATGATTTGCTTTAAAGATAAAGGAAAGAAAGAAAGAAGAAAAAGAAGAAAGAGAAAGAAAGAAGAAAGAAAAAAGAAAGAAAGACGAAAGAAAGAAAGAAGCAAAGAAGGAAGGAGAGAGAGAAAGAAAAGAAAAGAAAAGAGAAAAAGGCCATGGTGTCACAGTTTTGATCTTTGGGAAACTGACCACCCAAGATTCCTTAGGTGGTGGTGACAGTAAGTAGCCAGCAGTCAACACCATGGACCCTTCAGCATGGAGGGATTTGATTTGTGTCCCAGCGTTCTGGCTCATTTCAGCCTCTGCGAGGCCCCACCTCAGTCCAGCAGAGCGTCCCAGTCCACAGTGCGGGGAATCCTGGCTGGGCAGTTTGTCCTCTGCGGCGTCTTTGCCTTGCGCTGCTCAGCTTGCCTCCCCACTGTGTGCTGCTGCCTGTGCTCTCCAGTGCGGAGCATTGCTTTCCTTCCAGATTCTGGCCCCGAGGCTCCACTTCCCCAAGTGTCACCCTCCTCTATCTCCTTTGGCAGCAGGCGCCCCAGGGATGGGTTCACTGATGATGACATCCTGTTTGGCCCAGCTTTGGCCTCCTTTTCTCATATGTGGTCTGCGTGGTCAGGTTGCAGCAGGTGTGGGCCCCACTTTTCATGCAGGCAGAAGCAGCAGCCTGGAGTCCCCTGTCTAGTATCTTAGACAGACAATGTCTCATTGACACAGCCCCTTCTTTCTGCAGCCAGCCCCTTGTTTCCCGTCCTGAGTCCTTGTTATTTTCTCTAGCCATTTCTTGCATGTGTGCAGTAGGTCAGGGCGTATGTCTTGGTACTGGATCCGATCCCTCTCCTGGTCCCTTGCCCTTTCTTCCATATTCTCTACCCAATAAAAAGTGCCTCTTCCTATCAGTCTTCCAGTCCAGAAAGCTGAGAGTCACCCTTGTCTCCTCTTTCTCTGTCATCTCCTACAGTTATTCAATCACCAACTCTAGTCTACATTCAATTTTACGTGCATCTGCCTCTCACCATTCCCACTGCCTCTGTCTTAGGTCAGGTTCTTATGGATTCTCACCATGACAACTAGAAGAGGGTCCTAGCAACTGCTTTTTCTTCCACTTTTGTCTCTAATTTATTTATTTATTTTGAGACAAGGTCTCACTCTGTGGCCCAGGCTGGAGTGCAATGGCTCGATCTTGGCTCACTGCAACCTTGGTCTCCCAGGTCAAGCAATTCTTGTGTCTCAGCCTCCCAAGTAGCTGGGATTACAGGCATGTGGCACCACACCCAGCTAATGTTTTGTATTTTTCGTGGAGACGGAGTTTCACCATGTTGGCCAGGCTGGTCTTGAACTCCTGGCCTCAAGTGATCTGCCTGCTTCGGCCTCCCAAAGTGCTGCGATTGATTACAGGAGTGAGTCACCACGCCCGGCCTAGTTTTGTCTCTTTTTAATCTATCTCACCATACAGCATCCAATATACTTTTGCTAAAGCTCAAATCAGTCTCTGTTTCTCTCCTTTTAAAATCTTGCAAACATTCTGCATCGTTTCTGACATGAAATGGAAGCTTCTCTGTAACCTGACCCCTGTCTACCTCTCTGGCCTCGTGACTTGCCTGCTGAGACTTCCTGAAAACCAAGACCCAGCCTTTTTGCACTACTTGTGGTTCCTTAAATGTGCAGCTCTCTACCTTGCTTTTAATGAAGGAGGTGCCCACTTGGTAAAGCACAATTTCACCTTCTTGTAAACCACAGGGCAGAGTGAAATGCTATGAATGTGGGCACATCCCGTGACAGCTGCAGGGATTCATATTTAGAACAATTAAGGAAAAACATTATGTAATTTCCCATCTTTTCTTTTCTTCTTCTTGTTGTTGTTTGTCTTTTTTTGACAGAGTCTCTCTCCGTCGCCCAGGCTGGAGTGCAGTGGGGGCGATCTCAGCTCACTGCAACCTCTGCCTCCCCTTCCCCCTCCCCCTGGGTTCAAGTGATTCTCCTGCCTCAGCCTCCCGAGTAGCTGTGATTACAGGCATGTGCCACCATGCCTGGCTAATTTTTGCATTTTTAGTAGAGACAGGGTTTCACCATGTTGGCCAGGATGGTCCCGAACTGGCCTCAAGTGATCTGCCCACCTCAGCCTCCCAAAGTGCTACAATTATAGGCATGAGCCAGCAAACCCAGCATGTAATTCCCCAAATTTTCTAAGAAAAAGAGAGAAATCCATGGATCTTGCTGTTCAAAGACATGCAAAATGCACAACAGAAAAGACATTTTACACCAGAATAACAGAAACTTTGGTTGTTATGCTTTTAACATAAATTTATAATACAGCACACTTCCCTTTTCTGATTTATTCATGCTCTAGAGCCAGACTTCTTGGCTTCAGTTTCAAATCTGCTGTGTGTCAGCTGTGTGTTTTTCCATAAGTTACGTACCTCTCTGTGCTTCAGTTTCTTCGTGTGTGAAAGGGGATAGTTACAGCACTTAACTCAGAGGGCCACTGTGAGGATTAAATGCATTAATACCTATGAAAGGCCGAGAACATTACTGGTTCATAGTAAGTGCTATCTACTATTATTACTATTACCATTTTATTATTATTGAAATATTTCAATACCTCCATTTTATATCCGAAACAAGTGCAGGTCTCTTGTTCTTTGCCTGGATACCCCTATCCCTGTCTTTGCCTGGCTAATTTCAGTTTAACCTATAATAGAGAAAAGTTAGAGCAATGTAAATGGACTGATGTGAATGATTAAATACAACTTTTGGTATATCTATGCAATAAAATATCATGTGTATATTCATGCCATTTTTGAGTAATATTTAAGTTTGTAATGGCACAGAAGAAGACTAAGTAGCAATAATAAGATATACTAGGTCATGAAAGAATATTAAGTACCAATAGTAAAATATAAAGCTAGGTACAGAATGATAGGGCAATTTTAATTTTCTTATATATGCTTCCCTATATTTTTTCAGTTTTGCAAACGACCACGTATACTTTCTATAAAAGAAAAACAAACTGATATATATGTTAGTTATAAATATATAGATATAATACATATATTAGTTATATATATATATATTATTTATTTATTTATTTATTTATTTATTTATTTATTTATTTTGAGACAGAGTCTCGC
Organism: Homo sapiens; assembly: GCF_000001405.40. NCBI lineage: Eukaryota > Metazoa > Chordata > Mammalia > Primates > Hominidae > Homo > Homo sapiens. The sequence continues at coordinate 36,204,297 of NC_000017.11, forward strand.
TCTGTCACCCAGGCTGGAGTGCAGTGGAGCTATCTCGGCTCACTGCCATCTCCACCTTCCAGTTTCGAGAGATTCTCATGCCTCAGCCTCCCGAGTAGCTGGGACTGTAGGCATGTGCCACCACACCAAACTAAGTTTTTGTATTTTTAATAGACGTGGGGTTTCACTATGTTGGCCAGGCTATTCTCAAACTCCTGACTCAGATGATCCACCCATCTCAGCCTCCGAAAGTGCTGGGATTATAGGCATGAGCCAGCACCCCTGGCCATAAATTTTTTTTCAAAAAAAAAACAAAAACAGATCTCAAATTTTTTGGAAGCCCTCCATAACACTTCACTACCACCATCTAAAGTGCTTACCCTCGCCCTCGGACACAATGCCTGTCACACAGTAGGTACTCAATACAGCTTTACTGAATTATGTTCATCTCTTGCTGGAGTATTCCCTATCGCCTGCATGGAAAAAGGCCAGAAACAATTTGAAGGAAGATGCTTCACAAGGAATACTGAAAGTTTTCTTGACCTCATGAATGCTGGTGAGGCTTTACCCCTCTCTCAGGAATTTAACATCTCCTGAAGTTCCTGACCTCTGCCTTTCACAACTAAGAGCAGGCTGTGGCGGTGACCAAGGTCCATTTCCATGGTAAGAAGAGTGGGGCTGGCCAGCTCTGTAGTCAGAGTGTGGCAGTCACCGATGAGCTGCTCCAACCGCTCACTGTCCTATGGAGGCAGAAATTTAAAAAATAAATATGCACTCATTCATTCCAAGAAAATAACAGGCAATAAAGGAGAAGTTTTCCTCTGCCTAGCAAGCTCGCTTCAAGGACAGTTATAAGATAACGTTGTTTGAGAAGTCGAAGCCAAAGGAATGGGCTCCAGACACCCCACCTCCATAACAAGTCTGAAGAAAAAAAAAAGGGACAAATGTCTGTATTTAGCCAGTTCTGTTTTTCTTTCAGTGCAGCTGTAAGGCCACCAGCTAAGCAAGGCCACAAGTTATGCTATGCTATAGACTATGGGACCTATCATTATATGATTAACTGCTTTAGTTTTGCTTCTGCAAGCCTGCTTGTAAAACCCCACTCTGTCTTTGTTGAAATGCTCCAAATGCTCAGCTTTTTGGATATGAATTCACTGAGCCAGTGCACACCTTAAAATAAATATCCTCCTGTTCTCCCATATTGGTCTCTTCATTCCTCAGTTTACTACAGCATTACAGATTTCATCCTGAAGAATGCTGCACTCTGGATAATTGTGTACTTGTTTCTTCAATCCACAATTCAGCTTCTGCTCCCATTTCCCCCAAAGTGACTTGGATACCATACTGGCAAAACCACAGGATTTGCCTCGTCTTGGTTTCTTATCTTGGCAAAATGACCCTATGTTCCAGCTCCCCTTGGGTTTCCAGTCTCCACATTTGCCCTCCAGGAGTTCTCTAGTTCTAGGCATCCACCTCCTGGAGGCCACCTCTTGGCCCCAACACTCAGAGGTCTCCCCAACACTCTAGGAGAGGCCAGGATGTCCAGATTGACTGCCTCTCTACCCTGCTCCTCAGCACTTTGGTAATCTCTTCTGAGAGTCTGTTATTAACAGAGATTGCCTATATGTGTAATCTCAGAAGGTCATACCTGTAGAGGGACTCTGGTCATCTCTGAACTGGGAATTGTAGGCCTTGGGTCTTGACATGCATCCTGTGTGACCTTGATCAGGTCTTTTCACTTCTCTAGGTTTTGCTTTCCTAATCTGTACCGTGGCAAAACAGATCAGGGTCAGGTAAAACCACAGGCCACGGATATGCTGAGGAAAATGAAAAATACCAGGGCATTTTCAAGGTCATGTTACTGCTGTGGCTGCTGGGCCTGTCTGCAGCCTGGGAGGTTGAGGACAACATGACAAGACAAATGTAAAAATGCCCAGAATGGAGTTATGAATATAGTGGTGGTCAAGGATGTGGGGGGGGGAACCTCTAAATGACCACAAGTGAGGGGGAAAGAAGGGCTTCCCTGCTCAGGGGTGAGAGGGTGGCCCTCTGAATGGAGCTCCCTGGAACCATGGATGACCCTTGCTGTCACTTCTTGCAACCCTGAGCTACAAAGAGTTGAGTCCAAGAATAGTATCCATTATGATAAAACTACTGGATGCGTGGGTTGAGGGTGGGGGAGAAGGGGAAGTACCACACTATCAGGGCTGAGGAATCACCTTTTGGGTGGAATGTCAGAACACCCAGTTCATTCATACTTGGTTTACTCATTTGGCTATATAGGGGTCCACATCTTGAGTCCATATTACTCATCACATCCCCTCCATGGAGATAAGCATAACATAGTTTCTGCATCAAGGAGCTCACTTTCTAGTCGGGGAGGAAACCACATGAATAGATAAATATGTGATAGGTGGTAAGAAGGAAGTAGTTCAGGAGACTGTAGGAGCACAGTGAAGGATACAGAGTTTACTTGGGAAAGAGATCAGGGAAGTTTCTCTAGAGAAGATGAACATCTTTTTTGTCATGTATTTGAGAATCATTTGTTTATTGGCTCTTCTTGGCTTTCCGGTCTCCACGTTTGCCCTCCAGGAGTTCTAAATGGCACCAGTGTCTAAATCTTGTTGGGGGTGGGGGGTAAGTTAATATTGCTGAACAAAATGATACAAGTCCTTTTTACTCTCAGTGTGGACTTCCACTGGTGCAGACATAGTATTGTTGTTAGGATCTTCATGAAGATCCATCAAAACGTTTTACCCCCATGAGCCAAAGATCAGATCAAGGCGAGGAAACAAAAGTCAACAGACAAACTCATTGTATGGCTCAGTGATGGCTAATCACCCATTTTATCAATCATTATTCTCCTGAAGCCCCAGAACAGGCTTCCTCCTAACCCCTCCACCCTGCTCATTCAGACAGCTGCTCTAGTGGGAATTGAGACTTAACTTGAAACTACTCATCTACAGCTAATAGACAGCCTTCTCCATCCTTCAGGCTTCCTGACACTTTGTTTCTTCCTCTGACATGACACTTAGCTTATTCCACCTCTTGGGATAGTTATTTCTGTCACTGTCAATGCCATCACTAGACATGGAACTCTTCGAGGGCAGGGATGGGGCTTCGTTCAGCTCTGTCTGCCCTGGCAAAGAGCAGATGGTTAGTACATTGGGCTGAACAAAAATGTCATAAATAACGAAGTCTGCGTGAATCCAGAGAACATGAAACACATACTGCTTCCCTTAAAGTGAGGTCCTTGATGCATGAAGATGAAACTGCACCAACTAGGAAAGGCCAGGAGAGGTACTAACACATCTGCTATCAGGCAACACGGAACATTACAGCTGGGGGCGAGGGTCTTGGAGAAGATCAGAACATTTGAAGCAAGAGCTGTACAAAGAAAAGGGGGAGAGAACAGATGAGAGAAGTGCAGCTTGTGTGTGCGGGTGGGGAGGGAGGGAGAGTGCTGAGGCAGGATGACCTTGTACTTTATTTAATGACCCTGAAGTACCCCAGGATGCTGCTCCAACCTCTCCTGTGGCTCCCAGATGCTGTGGGTCCCTTTTTTTCTTAACTTGTATTTTAGGTTCAGGGGTACGTGTGCAGGTTTGTTATATAGGTAAGTTGTGTGTTGCGGGGGGTTTGGTGTACAGATTATTTCATCACCCAGGTAATAAGCATAGTACCCAATAGGTAGTTTTTTTTATCCTCACCCTCCTCCCACCCTTCACCCTTAAGTAGGCCCTGGTGCCTGCTGTTCCCTTCTTTGTGTCCATGTGTACTCAATGTTTAGCTTCCACTTATAAGTGAGAACATGCAGTATTTGGTTTTCTGTTCCTGTGTTAGTTCGCTTAAGATAATGGCCTCCAGCTCCATCCATGTTGCTGCAAAGGGCATGATCTTGTTCTTTTTTTTATGACTGAGAAGTATTCCATTATATATATATATATATATATACCAAATTTTTTTTATCCAGTTTACCATCAGTGGGCATTTAGGTTGATTCCATGTCTTTGCTATTGTGAATACTGTTGCGATGAACATACATGTGCACATGTCTTTATGGTAGAATGATTTATATTCCTTTGGGTATATACCCAATAATGGGATTGCTGGGTTGAATGGTAATTCTGTTTTAAGTTCTTTGAGAAATCGCCAAACTGCTTCCCACAATGGCTGAACTAATTTACATTCCCACCAGCAGTGTATAAGTGTTCCTTTTCTCCACAGCCTCACCAACATCTGTTATTTTTTGACTTTTTAAAAATAGCCATCCTGACTGGTTTGAGATGGTATCTCATTGTGGTTTTAATTTGCATTTCTCTAATGATTAGTGGTGCTGAGCATTTTTTGTATGTTTCTTGGCCGCGTGTACGTCTTCTTTTGAAATGTGTCTGTTTATGTTCAATGCCCACGTTTTAACGGAGTTGTTTGTTTTTTGCTTGTACATGTGTTTAAATTCCCTATAGATTCTGGATATTAGACCTTTGTGAGATACATAGTTTGTAAATATTTTCTCCCATTCTGTAGGTTATCTCTTTACTCTGCTGATAATTTCTTTTGCTGTGCAGAAGCTCTTTAGTTTAATTAGATCCCATTTGTCAGTTTTTGGTTTTGTTGTGATTTGTTTTTGGCATCTTCATCATGAAATATCTGCCAGATCCTATGCCCAGAATCATATTGTCTAGGTTATCTTACAGGTATCATATTTTTATAGTTTTATATTTTAGGTTTTACATTTAAGTCTTCAACCCATTGTGAGTTGATTTTTACAGATGGTGTAAGGAAGGGGTCCAGTTTCAATCTTTTGCATACAGCTAGCCAGTTATCCCAGTACCATTTATTGACTGGGAAGTCCTTTCCCTGTTGCTTGTTTTTGTTAACTTTGTCAAAGTTCGGATGGCTGCAGGTATGCAGCATTATTTCTGAGCTCTCTATTTTGTTCTATTGGTCTATGAGTCTGTTTTTGTACCAAAGCCATGCTGTTTTGGTTACTGCAGCCCTGTGGTATAGTTTGAAGTCATGGCTCCCTTTTTTTACTCTTCTTTTTTCTTTCTCAGAGAAGAGCAGGTAACAATGTGGGGTTAAAGGTGAGCAGGTGGGTTAGAGTAGTGGAGCTAAAGGCAGATAGAGGTCTTGATCCAATTATCCTCATTCCCTTCATTTGTCCAACCTTGCACACTCCTGTATGCAGGGCCTTTGTAAGCTTCACCTTCTGTACAGGTGCCCAGCAACTGTCAAACCAGCCAGGGCTTAACATGAGCATGGGCATTCCCTATGGACTGGCTGGGACACACCCACATCCTTAGATTACACATTTTGCCTGTAACATAGATAAACTCATTACTAGGTATATAATTCTGTTTTGTTTTGTTTTGGTTTGTTTTGCTTTGTTTTGTTTTGCTTTGCTTTGTTTTTGGGACAGGGTCTCATTCTGTCAAACAAGCTGGAGTGCAGTGGCACAATCACCACTCACTGCAGCCTGGACTTTCCTGGGCTCAGGTGATCTTCCCACCTGAGCCTACTGAGCAGCTGGGACTACAGGTGTGTATCACCACTCCCAGTCAAGTTTTTTTTTTGTATGTGTGTTTTTTATAGAGACAGTGTTTCACCATGTTCCCCAGGCTGGTCTCAAACTTCTGGGCTCAAGCAATCTGCCTGCCTTGACCTCCCAAAGTGCTGGGATTTCAGGTGTGAGGCCCTGTACCCAGCTCAATTCTGTTTTTATACTAGAAGAACATTCTCTATCTGGGTCTTCCAGACTTGATTCTTACTGGTTAATTTGTCCTGGTCTTTTGCTGGTCCAAGAAAATATCTTGAAATCTTTATTTCTTCTCCGTTCCCTCCTTGTCCTAGGACAGACTAGCCCTATCCCTTCCCTGAATTAAGTCTGAGTATAATCGGTCTTTGAGTGTGGAATAGCTCCTAGCAGTCTATCAGTCAATGGTTTCTCTTTGTGGTCACACTCTATGTTTATTCTGGAGACTACAGCATGGAAAGAAAATGGACTTTGGAGTCAGATGAATCTTGATTCGAATCTTGATTCAAATCTTGGCAGTGCCATTCATCAGCTCTGTGGCATTGAGCGCCATCAGTGGACCACTCTCTGATCCCCAATTGCCTTATCTGTAAAATGAGATTAGACACCCCTGCTCAAGATTATGGTAGGATTATATATAATATGTGTAACACAGCTTTCCCAGTGCCTGGTACAAGGTAAGTGTCCAATAAGAACTTACAAATGTTCCTGAGCCACCCTACTGGGTCCCTCCGCACATCCAATGCTGGACTCTTCATGCCCAAGGAAACATATAGGGCACAAAAGTCAGTGGCACTGAGCTCAGCAGAAGAAGGCACAGGAAGGGGATGGGGGAGTCCTGGTTCCCGCTTTGTTCTTGGGGCCAGGACTGTGGCCAGCCTGGAAAGACTGGCATGAACCCTCCAGCATCTGGGGGTGCCAACCACCAAGAGCAGCACAGTTCTTGTCTACAAGCCACTTGTAGCAGGTGTGAACATTTCATCTTTTCCTCTGGGGTTTGCAACTCTCTCCCCAGTCTCGGTCACTGCTTTTGGCTGTACCACTTCCCTTTTCTTCTCGCCTGCACCTCCCTCATCTTTCCTCTATGATGACATCGCCCTGGGGAAGAGAAGCTGAGAGGAACTCCTCACTCAGCTAGCTTCAGGAGCCATGACATCATCTCTACCATGGAAATTCCACTCACTCTCCTGTGCCCCCACATTTGTCCTAGGCCTCAGAGTCCCTATAAAGAGAGATTCCCAACTCAGTATCAGCACAGGACACAGCTAGGTTCTGAAGCTTCTGAGTTCTGCAGCCTCACCTCTGAGAAAACCTCTTTGCCACCAATACCATGAAGCTCTGCGTGACTGTCCTGTCTCTCCTCGTGCTAGTAGCTGCCTTCTGCTCTCTAGCACTCTCAGCACCAAGTAAGTCTACTTTTGCAGCTGCTATTTCGAGTCAAGGTGTAGGCAGAGTCCTTTTTTCTAGTCATGGCTGGCAAACAGTGGGATCTGGGGATGGGACAAAAGGCAGCTAGGAAGATTGCCATGTAGTCTGCTGCTAAATGTAGAGTCTAGTAGATATTCAGTAACATTCAAGTTCCTATTTTCTTAAGAATTAGCAACCAGCAGAGGAAAACGATGGGCTGGAAGTCAGACTGTTGAATTGGCTCTGCCTTTAATTATTTGTTCAAGCAAGCCCCTGTCCCTCTCTGTGCCTTGGTTTCCCCATCTGTCATATGAAGGGAGTGCGATGTGTTCTGAGACTGAATCCAGTTCCAATCTTCTAGATTTCTTTCTCGTTCTTCTCTGAAGATCCACTATTCAGAATAAGACTCCTGCTCATGTTAGGTGGGAATGGATACAAGGGACCATATTTGGGGTTCTGGTAGCTCCACAGGGATGCTCAATGAAGATGCAAAATTAGAAGTCAAAATAAACAGCTCCCATGGGCAGTGTTGATCTCACCCTGGCCTTTCCTTTCAGTGGGCTCAGACCCTCCCACCGCCTGCTGCTTTTCTTACACCGCGAGGAAGCTTCCTCGCAACTTTGTGGTAGATTACTATGAGACCAGCAGCCTCTGCTCCCAGCCAGCTGTGGTGTGAGTATCAACCCCTGGCTGCCCTGGGAGGCAAGGGTGAGGGCTGGATTTTTAAAGGGGGCCTGTTTTGGGGAGGGGGTGATGAGCGTTGGGGAGGCAGCTCTCAGGGCTGAAGCCTTCCCTGACAGCAGTGAGGTCACAGGTCATGAACTCACTTTTCAAGTGCTGAAGGCGGCTGAGTGGCAGCCGAGACAGAAGGGGGTTCCTGGGGAGGAAGTTATTCAGAGGACAGGGAAGCAGGGGAAGGCAGACAGGTCCCGTGAGATATGGACCAATTCCTTAAACCATGCTAGAAAAACATGTGGAAAAGTCACTACCAGGCTGGCAGGGAATGGGGCAATCTATTCATACTGATTGCAATGCCCACTGGTTCCTAATCTGGGCAACCCCTGGGGCCCACAGCTAAATCCAGTGAGTGGAAGTTACAGGGAGTCTGCTTCCAGTGCTGCTCCGGGAAGGATCCCATCCACCAGAGCTGCCCCACATGGACCATGGTCAGGCAGAGGAAGATGCCTACCACAGGCAAGGGATAAAGCCAGATGACCTCAAAGGTCCCATGGGATTCTAATCTGTCTGCTCCTTGTTCTACGGATTCCAAACCAAAAGAGGCAAGCAAGTCTGCGCTGACCCCAGTGAGTCCTGGGTCCAGGAGTACGTGTATGACCTGGAACTGAACTGAGCTGCTCAGAGACAGGAAGTCTTCAGGGAAGGTCACCTGAGCCTGGATGCTTCTCCATGAGCCGCATCTCCTCCATACTCAGGACTCCTCTCCGCAGTTCCTGTCTCTTCTCTTAATGTAATCTCTTTTATGTGCTGTATTATTGTATTAGGTGTTATTTCCATTATTTATATTAGTTTAGCCAAAGGATAAGTGTCCCCTATGGGGATGGTCCACTCTCACTCTTTCTCTGCTGTTGCAAATACATGGATAACACCGTTAATTCCATGTGTTTTCATAATAAAACTTTAAAATAAAATGCAAACAGTTTCTTTGTGATTTTAATTTGATTTGGGGGTAAAAGGAATTGCCTGGTACCATTGGGCGGTGGGGCAAGCTACAGTTTCCAAAAGCAGTAAGAATGCGCAATTGCTGAGTCCTTAATATGAGCTCTGGGCTGAACACTCTTAATACATGATCTCACTGCGTACTTTCAACAAGGGTTTTAACACCCTTATGAAGTAGGGACTGTTGCCCCCAGTTTCACAGTTAAGGAAAGAGAGGCACAGAGAGGTGAAGTGACTTGCTGAGGCTAGTAGGTCTGCTTGGGGAGTGTCATGAAAAAATGCCTTTAAAAAGGAGGTTATCATTTCAACATCTTGTGGGGGGAGTTGTAAAGAGGGGAAGCAGCACAGCAAAGGCGGAAGAAGAGTGAGAAAAGTGACTTCATCATATTATTATCAGCATAACATTGGGAAAGTCATCTTGCTTTATTAGACCTCAGTGTTCACAAGTGTGAAATGTAGATAATATTAACCCCTTCGAAGGGCTGTTACGAGGTGATGTGTAAAGCACCCATCATGGGACTGGGCACCTGGAAGATTCTCTCCTTCCCCCTCTGAGCCTCAGCCTTTTCACTTAAAATGGACCTAACAATTGTCAGGATCATCATGAGGATTAGATTAGTTAGTTGACAGATCAGCACTCTAAAGCCCAAGTTACTGTGAAGTGTTGTCATGATGACAGAAGGATGGAGGTCTGGTTTTGTTTGGAAGTGTTGCAGGAGTAACCTAAAGCCACTTCTACTTAATTATCCTTCAATCAGTACTCCCATTCCATGGGTCAGAGACTACATGGCTCTGAAATTGAATTACATGCACAATAAAGCCTGATCCACAGGACATAGACTCATGGTCTACTAAAGCTAAAAGGAAACTTTAGACCATCTGGTCCAACCCTCTCATTTTATGGAAACTGAGGGAGAAGGCCTGGGAAGTAACTTGCCACGTGCCACTCAACGAGTACATAGCAGAGCAGGAGCCTGGCCAGTGCCAGCTCCCAAGCTCAGGCCCTTTCCTGCACACATTCCCTAGTGACACACCTCTGTGGTCCTCAAAAGGGAGACCGGTTGAGTAAGGACAAGGCAGAGACTACCTTGAAAATCATTTGAGTGTTGTTAGTCCTGTGCAAAAGCAGAACTGGGGCCCTGTACTTCTCTGGGGTCAACAGACACAATTCCTTTCTTTGTCCTGCCCTTAGTCACCTCTGTCATTCCAGAGCCCCAGTGGAAACTTACTTCAGATTCTGCGGGCACTGAGAGAAGGAGGTTAGGGGGCAGAGCTGATCCAAAACAGGTGTGGGAAGAGGCTAGCAGCAAAGAATGTGCCTGGCCATAGTTTCTGCTTTCATTTGCCTAGATCCGAGCTATCTAATATGTTAGCCACTGGCCAAAGCGGCTATTTACATTTTCATTACATTTAATTAAAATGAAATAAAATTTAAAATTTAGTTCCTGAGTCACACTAGTCACATTTCAAGTGCTCAGTAGACCTTGGTAACATGGCTAGTTACCAGGTTAGACAGCATGCATTATGGACTTTCTGTCCATCATTGCAGAAAGTTCTGTTGGAGAGCAGTCTCCTAGAATGTTCTCAGAGCCTAAAGAGAGTGAAGGGAGGAGCAGTTGGGATGGTCTGTAAGATTAGGGTGCAGATTTGGAGAAAGATACACAATTCTATTCTGAGGGGACGGGATGGGAGAGAGAATGGATGACCCCAAGCCAGAGACAAGGTATAGATCACTATGGTAGCTGAATAATGGCCCCCAAGACATCCACATCCTATTCCCCAGAACCTGTGAATGTCAATTTGTATGGCAAAAGGGACTTTGGAGATATGATCAAGTTATGGATCTTGAGATGGAGTGATTACCTTGAATTATCTGGTCAGGCCCTAAATGTAGTTGTGAGTGTCCTTACCAGAGGAAGGAAGAGAAAAATTTGGTAATAGAGGAGAAGGTAGCAATGTGACAGCAGAAGCAAGATGCTATGCTACCAGCTTGGAAGATGGAAGAAGAGGCCAGGAGTGAAGAGGTTTTAGGATGCAGCTCTAGAAGCTGCAAATGGCAAGGAAATTGTTCCTCCCCTAGAGCCTCCAAAGGGAGTGTCCCAGTGAATCTAATTTCAGACTTCTCACCTCCAGAACTTTTAGAGAATAAATATGTGGTCATAAGACACTAAGTGTGTGGTAATTTTTTGCAGCAGCAATAGGAAACAAATACAACCACCAACTGATGTGTCACTGATAGTGACCCCCAATAGCTCAGTGTGGCAGGAAAGGGAGCATTCTAGAGGGTGAGCCAAATCTCCCTGCAGGAGGAACCCAGGGTGAGAGGGACACACCTCAAGGAGATGAACTATAATGAGGAGAGGCATTCCAAGAGGAGATCTGCTTCAGCAACTGAGTTCTGGGGCTGAGGCTTGATCCAGGGTCCAAGACCCTTAGGAAGCATGCCTCTTCTTGAGACATCTAGGGTGCTCTGAGGGGTCCTGGATTCCTATCTGGGAAAGAGTCCATCCTCTCATCTGTCAGATGCAGCCCAGAGCAGAACCATGACCTGTCTCTGGTTCATTGTTAGTGAGCAGGCAGGGTTAGGGCCAGAGTCCCGGTATCCTCCCTCATGATGGAGTCCCTTTCCCAATCCTCCCTGCCCCTCAGCTAATGGAAAGGGAGGAGCTCAGCTCCACAGAGGCAAGGCCACCAGGGAAGGCTGCAGGAGGCCAGGGCAGCCTCATGAAGAAATGCTTACCAGGAATTACAAACAGCAGAATGGAATCCTCGAAGGGGCAATGTGGGACTTCACCTGTTGCACAATATGAGACTGTTTTTTTCCTTTCTCCTCTTTTCATACAACTTCCTTTTCTCACCCTGGGCCCAGAGAGCTGGAATCTGCTTACTTGACGTTCCAGTTGAGGTTTCTCCAGGTTTCCGGGTGGGGGCAAAAGCCAGAACAGACAAAGCAGGACACTCGAAAGGAACTATGGATTATGGAGCAACTTCTAGGCATCCGGCCTATTTTCCTACTCCTTGCAGTGCCCACCTCCCCCAGCTCACTCTCCAGATGGGAGTCCATTTCCTTATGTACATGTTCCTTTAGGACATGTTCATGCAAACATGTCTTTATCCCCCATCCCACCTCAACCTGGAACCCTCCATCATGCTCCCATTGATACAGGCATTTTCCTCCAAGGAGGCCAGGAGCCGAGCAAGCAGAGGCAGGGATCAAAGGAGCAAGATGAGCTGAGGATGGTGACATAGCCACAGTTCTTCCTGGAGGCTGAGACCAGAGACCAGCTGGCAGTCCTGTACTGCAGTCTGCATTCACCCTTTACAGATTTGAGGGCCTTAAAACCCTCTCTTTCCCACTTATCTCTACCTGTTCTCCCTTCTAAACTCCTTCTGTCTTGGGTTCCCAACTGAGTCTAGCATACAGGAAAATAGAAGAAAAGAATTGAGAGACAAAATTGTGGCTGCATTTTTCTACCTTTTAAATAGTTTCATTTTTAGATACAGTCGACATTTTGAATATGTGGGATCCAAATCTGTGGATTCAACCGATGATGGATGGAAAATATTTGGGGAAGAAAAAAACACAATAGGCCAGGTTTAGTGGCTCACACCTGTAATCCCAGCACTTTGGGAGGCTAAGGTGGGAGGAATATTTGAGCTTAGGCATTCTAGACCAGCTTGGGCAACATAACAAGACCCCTTCTCTACAAAAGTACCAAAATTAGCTGGGTGAGGTGGCACATGCTTGTAGTCCCAGCTACTTGGGAGGCTGAGGCAAGAGGATCGCTTGAGCCCAGGAGGCGGAAGTTACAAACAGCTGAGATGACATGACTGCACTCCAGCCTGGGCGCTAGAGCAATATGCTGTCTCAAAAACTAAAAAAGAAAAAAGAAAAACAAATAAAAAACAATGCAGTATAACAATGATCTACATTTACATTTATGAATAGCATTTACATTGTTTAGGTATTCTAAGTAATCTAGAGATTAAAGTATATGGGAGGATGTTCATAGGTTATGGGCAAATACTATGCTACATCAGAGACTAGAGCATGTGTAGATTTTGGAAGCCATGAGAATTCCTAGAACCAATCCCCTGTGGATACCAAGGGATGGCTCTACATGATAAGTGTGTAAAATATATATATTCAGAAGGAATGAGAAAATCAAAATTAATTTTTTTCAGGGAAGATGGGCTTGATGGGACTTGATGGAGGATGGTCTGGGAGACTCTCCCCTTCTATGGAAACATTCCCAACTGGGAGACCAGCACAGCTGCAGGGAAATAATTTCTTCAGGCAGTGTTAGCTGCTTCTAAATCTCAGGACCCTATGTCCCTGGGCTCCTCAAGGAGACATTTGTTATTTACAGTGACTCCTGATTCATTTGCTTAGGGGGTCCTCTTGTCTTTCTGCTAGGGACTTGGAAAAGGAGAGAGGGCCTAGCCTCCCAGCCTACATCTTTCTCCTCTGCTGGTTGTTTCCTTGTGATCTTGTAAGTTAACACTTAATAAATCCCATATATATATGGGATTTATTAAGTGTTAACTTACACTTATATATATGTATATATATGTGTTATATATATAATATGTGTTATATAATATATACATATTAAATGTTAACTTACACATATATGATTTATTTGTATATATTATATATTTATATATATCCTAATATGTGTGTATATATATATCTATATCTATCTATCTATCTATCTATCTATCTATCTATCTATCTATCTATATATATCCTATTAGTTCTGTCCCTCTAAGAGGACCCTGACTAATCCAGATTTTGGTACCAGGAGTGGTTCTAGAGAAATGGAATATTAAGAGTGGAGTTCTTTCATTGGTTTTGGGTTTTCTAGAGTTGGCTGCTTAATATGGTTAGACCCCAAAATGCTAAGGACTCTACGTCTAATAGTATGGAGAACACTGATAGTCCTTGGTGTGAACTGTTTAGAGAGTTAAGCAAAGTAAATGCATTTGGCACTCCTGATTCACTGCTCATGAGAGGCAAGGAGTTTAGTGACTCTATACATAATACCTTTGACCATATGTGGAGAACCAAGGAACATAATGAAGCTGGTTGGTTGCTCCTGAGTTCAATAGACAAAGTGATGAAAGAAAACGATGAGCTCAGGGATTATGTCTCCTGGCTTCAGAAGCAGATACTGAGCCTCAAATCTGCTAAGATTGCCCTGAGTGAGACCCTTATCTTCTGTAGAGAAAGAGCTGAAATTGTGAAAAAACAAACACAAATTCTTATCATGCAAGTGGCTGACCTGCAACAAAAGGTGCATGTACAGACTCACTAGGTGTCTACTGTTAAAGTGAGGGCATTGATTGGAAAAGAATAGGACCCTGCAACTTGGAATGGGGAAATGTGGGAGCACTCAGATGAAGCTGGGGACACTGAGTTTGTAAACTCTGATGAACCTTTTTTGCCAGAAGGAACAGCTTCCCCATCCCCAGTAGTAGCAACATCCACTCCCGACCCGTGGTGCCATCAGCCTTTCCACCTTTGTCTGAGGAGATAAACCCTGTGCTGCCTGAGGCAACAGTGATGGCCTCCTCTGAGGCAGTTGCCAGGCAAAATAATGTTGATTCTCCTCAGGAGCCACCCCAACACCCCTGTTTCGTGGTCCACTACATTGATGACAGTCTAGACCTGTAACTAGACTAAAGTCTGGTCCATTACATTGATGACAGTCTAGACCTGTAAATAGACTAAAGTCCCAGTGGGCCCCTGGAGGTGAGGTTGAGAGTGTGATCCATGAGGAGGTGCACGGCACTTCAAAAGAACTGTTTGAGTTCTCTAATTTATAAAAACAGCAATCTGGAGAACATGCATGGGAATTGATATTAAGGGTATGGAATAATGGTGGAAGGAACATAGAGTTGGATCAGGCTGAATTTATTGATTTGAGCCCCTAAGTAGGGATTCTGCATTTAATGTTGCAGCTTGGGGAGTTACAAAAGATTCTAATAGTTTATTTGCTTGGATAGCTGAAATATGGATTAAAAGATGGCCCACTGTGAGCAAGCTGGAAATGCCTGATCTCTCTTGGTTTAATGTAGAGGAAGGGATCCGAAGGCTTAGGGAGATTGGGATGGTGGAGTGGATTAGTCATTTTAGACCTACTTATCCCAGTGGGGAGGGTCCCGAAGATATACCCTTGAACAATAGCTTGCGAAACAGATTTGCAAGCATGGCACCAGCATCTTTGAAGAGCCCTGTGATTGCTCTTCTCTGTATGTCAGATCTAACGGTGGGAACTGCAGTCACTCAACTACAAAATTTAAATACAATGGGAATAATTGGATCCCAAGGTAGCAGGGGCTAAGTGGCAGCACTCAACCATGAAAGGCAAGGTGGGCATAACTACTGTAATGGACAGCAGAGGCAAAGTGGCAATCAGAATAGTCTGACTCGTGTAGAGCTCTGGCATTGGCTAATTAATCATGGTGTTCCTAGAAGTGAAATTGATAGGAAGCCTACTGCATTCCTACTTAAATTATACAAACAAAGAACTTCCAGGTCAAATGGACAAACGACTAATTTGAATCATAAAAACAGAGAATCACGGCCCCTCAATCAATTTCCAGGATTGAGCCAGTTTAGAGACCCAAAAACCCTTGAATGAAGCGGAGGCCGGGTCCCCTTGAGGAAGGACCCCACTACATTACTGACAATTTATGCAGTGAATCTTTCTCCCACCCTTCCCCAAGGAGACCTCCAGCCTTTTACCAGGGTAACTGTGCACTGGGGAAGGAGAAATGATCATATATTTTGGGGACTTCTGGACACTGGCTCTGATTTGGCGTTGATTCCAGGGGACACAAAATGTCACTGTGTTCCTCCAGTTAAATTAGGGGCTTATGGAGGTCAGGTAATTAATGGAGTTTTAGCTCAGGTCCAACTTACAGTGGGCCCAGTGGGTCCCTGGATTCATCCTGTGGTCATTTCCCCAATGACAGAATGTGTAATTGGCATAGATATATTCAACAGCTGGCAGAACCCCTACATTGGCTCCCTGACTGGTAGGGTGAGAGCTATTATGGTGGGAAAGGCCAAATGGAAGCCATTAGAGCTGCCTCTACCTAGAAAAATAGTAAATCAAAAACAATATCACATCCCTGGAGGGACTGCAATTAGTGTCACCATCAAGACTTGAAGGATGCAGGGATGGTGATTGCCAACACCTCTCCATTCAAGCCTCCCATTTGGCCTGTGTGGATGACAGATGGACCTTGGAGAATGACAGTGGATTATCATAAGCTTAACCAAGTTGTGACTCCAATTGCAGCTGGTTTCCAATGAAACCAGATGTGATTTCATTGCTTGAGCAAATTAACATGTCTCCTGGTACCTGGTATGCAGGTATTGACTTAGCAAATGCCTTTTTCTCCATTCCTGTCCATAAGGCCCACCAGAAGCAATTTGCCTTCAGCTGGCAAGGTCAGCAATATACCTTTACTGTCCTACCTCACGGGTATATCAACTCTCCAGCTTTGCGTCATAATCTTATTCAGAGAGACCTTGATCACTTTTTGCTTCTGAAAGATATCACACTGGTCCATTACAATGACATTATGATGATTGGATCCAGTGAGCAAAAAGTAGCAAACACACTGGACTTATTGGTGAGACATTTGCATGCCAGAGGATGGGAAATAAATCTGACTAAAATTCAGGGAACTTCTACCTCAGTAAAATTTCTAGGGATTCAGTGGTATGGGCCCTGCCGAGATATTCTTTCTAAAGCAAAGGATAACTTGCTGCATTTGGCCCCTCCTACAACCAAGAAAGAGGTACAATGCCTAGTGCGCCTATTTGGATTTTGGAGACAACACATTCCTCATTTGGGTGTGTTACTCTGGCCCATTTATCTAGTGACCTGAAAGGCTGCCAGTTCTGAGTGGGGTCCAGAACAGGGGAAGGCTCTGCAATAGGTCCAGGCTGCTGTGCAAGCTGCTCTGCCACTTGGACCATAAGACACAGCAGGTCCAGTGGTGCCTGAAGTGTCAGTGGCAAATAGGGATGCTGTTTGGAGCCTTTGGCAGGCTCCCATAGGTGAATCACAGCAGAGGCATCTAGGATTTTGGAGCAAGGCCCTGCCATCTAGTTCAGATAACTACTCTCCTTTTGAGAGACAGCTCTTAGCCTGTTACTGGGCTTTGGTGGAAACTGAACGTTTGACTATGGGTCATCAAGTCACCATGTGACCTGAACTGCCTGTCATGAACTGGGTGTTTTCTGACTTATCTAGCCATAAAGTGGGTCATGCACAGCAGCATTCCATCATCAAGTGGAAGTGGTATATATGTGATCAGGCTCAAGCAGGTCCTGAAGGCCAAGTAAGTTACATGAGGACATGGCTCAAATGCCCAGGGTCTTCACTCCTGCCACCTGCCTTCTCTCCCCCAGCCTGCACTGATGGCCTCATGGGGAGTTCCCTATGATCAGTTGACAGAGTAACAGAAGACTAGGGCCAGGTTCACAGACGGTTCTGCATAATACACAGGCACCACCCAAAAGTGGACAGCTGCAGCACTACACCCTCTTTCTAGGACATCCCTGAAGTATAGCGGTGAAGGGAAATGTTCCCAGTGGGCAGAATTTTGAAAAGTGCACCTGGTTGTGCACTTTGCATGAAAGGAGAAATGGACAAATGTGCAATTATACACTGATTCCTGGGCTGTAGCCAATGGCTTGGCTGGATGGTCAGGGACTTGGAAGAAGCATGATTGGAAAATTGGTGACAAAGAAATTTGGGGAAGAAGTATGTACATGGACCTCTCTGAATGGTCAAAAACTGTGAAGATATTTGTATCTCATGTGAGTGCTCGAGTGACCTCAGTGGAGGGGGAGTTTAACAATCAAGTGGAGAGGATGAGCCGTAATGTGGACATTACTCAGCCTCTTTCCCCAGCCACCCCTGTCACCGCCCAATGGGCCCATGAACAAAGTGGCCATGGTGGCAGGGATGGAGGCTACACATGGGTTCAGCAAGATAGACTTCCACTCACCAAGACTGACCTGGCTATGGCCACTGCTGAGTGTCCAATTTGCCAACAGAAGAGACCAATATTGAGCCCTCAATATGACACTATTCCTCGGGGTGATCAGCCAGCCACCTGGTGGCAGGTTGATTATATTGGACCTCTTCCATCATGGAAAGGGCAGAGGTTTGTCCTCACTGGAATAGACACTTACTCCTGATATGGGTTTACCTATCCTGTATGCAATGCTTCTGTCAAGACTACCATTTGTGGACTCATGAAATTGCCTTATCCACCAGCATGGAATTCCACACAGCATTGCCTCTGACCAAGGCACTCACTTTACAGCTAAAGAAGTGTGGCAGTGGGCTCATACTCATGGAATTCACTGGTCTTACCATGTTCTCCATCATCCTGAAGCAGCTGGATTGATAGAATGGTGGAATGGCCTTTTGGAGTCACTATGACAATACTTTGCAGGGCTGGGGCAAAGTTCTCCAGAAGGCCATGTATGCTCTGAATCAGCATCCAATATATGGTACTGTTTCTCCTATAGCCAGGATTCACAGGTCCAAGAATCAAGAGTCCAAGAATCAATTTGATTACTTTAATGTAAATGAGATTATACCATACTCTCTTCTCTGTCACTTCCTATTTTCATGTAATTTATGTTAGACATCTGTCGATGTCAGTATAAATAGATCTAGATCATTTTTTATAGTTGTATAGCTTTCATTACATGGATGTTTCACAATTTACTTAGCTAACTACCTATTGTTGGACATTTGGTTATTTCCAAATTTTTGCTATTTCATATAATGCTGCGCTTATATAAAATATAGTTCTATATAATTATGTTTAATTATGTACTACCGCTGTATCTGACAACTGACTTGTATCAAGAACATACAAAGAACTGTTACAAGTTGCCAGGCAGAGTGGCTCATGTCTGCAATCCCAGGGCTTTGGGAGGCCAAGGTGGGCGGATCTCTTGAGCCCAGGAGTTGGAGACCAGCCTGGGCAACATGGGGAGACCCCGTCTCGACAAAAATACAAAAATTAGCCAGGCATAGGGGCACACATCTGTAGTTCCAGCTACTTAGAGGCTGAGGTGGGAAGACTGCTTGAGCCCAGGAAGTTGAGGCTGCAGTGAGCCAAGATCACACCACGGCACTCCAGCCAGCGCGTCAAAGGCCCTGTCTGAAAAAAAAGGAAGAAGCGGGGGCGGCAAATAAGTAGAGTATACGCCACCTCATCCAACCTTACTGGAACCAGTAGTTGACTGGTTAATCAGTCCAACCAAGGAAGCATTAAAAACTGATGCATGTGCCGGGCATGGTGGCTCACGCCCGCAATCCCCGCACTTTGTGAGACCGAGGCGGGCTGATCACCTGAGGTTAGGAGTTTGAGACCAGCCTGGCCAACATGGTGAAACCCTGTCTCTACTAAAAATACAAAAGTTAGCCATGCATGGTAGTACACGTCTGTAATCCCAGCTACTCAGGAGGCTGAGGCAAAAAAAGGAGAAGAAATGCTATGTGAAGCCTTTTTATAAGCACATTAATTTCATTCACGAGGGCAGAGCACTCATGACCTAATCACCACCTTGAAAGCCTCACTTCTTAACATCATCACATTAGGTCTTAGGTTATAACATGAATTTTGGAGGACTCCAGAAAAAAAAAGTGAAAGACAACCCACAGAATGGGAGAAAATACTTGCAAATTATATACAAAGTAGGCTCACTTTATTTGTGGAAAATATGTAGCCAGACGCAGTGGCTCATGCCTGTAATCCCAGAACTTTGGAAAGCTGAGGTGGGAGGATCACTTGAGCCCAGGAGCTCAAGACTAACCGGGGCAACATAGGGATACCCTATCTCTACAATAAATAAATAAAATTACCCAGATGTGGTGACATGTGCCTGTGGTCCCAGCTACTTGGGAGGTTGAGGTGGGAGAATCACGTGAGCCCAGGAGGTTGAGGCTGCAGTGAGCCAAGATAACATTAATGTATCCCAGCCTGGGCGATAGACCGAGACCTTATCTCAAAAAAAAAATATATATATATGTATATATTTATTTATCTACCTATATATTCATATATAGATATAGATTAATATAGATATATAAACATATATTTATAGATATATAGATACATAAATATATAGCTATATATAAATATATATTTATAAATATATAGATATATATGTAACAAAATATGTTCCAAGACCTCCAGTGTATACCTGAAACTGCAGATAGTACCAAACTCTATATGTACTATGTTTTTTTCCTATACATACATACATACCTATGATGAAGTTTAATTTATAAATTAGGCACTGTAATAGAATAACAACAATAACTAATAATAAAAGAGAACAATTAGAATATACTTTTTGTTTTTGAGATGGAGTCTTGCTCTGTCACCCAGGCTGGAGTGCCATGGCGCCATCTCAGCTCACTGCAACTTCCACCTCCCAGGTTCAAGCGATTCTCCTGCCTCAGCCTCCCGAGTAGCTGGGCCTACAGGCACCTGCCACCACGCCCGGCTAATTTTTGTATCTTTAGTAGAGGCAGGGTTTCACCATATTGGCCAGGCTGGTCTCCAATTCCTGACCTTGTGATCCACCCACCTCGGCCTCCCAAAGTGCTGGGATTACAGGTGTGAGCCACTGTGCCCGGCTAGAATATACTTTAACATAAGTTACATGAATAGTTTTCTCTCTCTCAAAATACTGTAATATTTGGGATTGCAGCTGCCCGCAGGTAACTGAAACTGCAGAGAGCATACGGGAGACTACAGTATCTGACAATGGACTTGGATCTAGAATACATAAAGAACTCTTACAACTTGATAATAAAAAGGATATAACCCAATTTTAAAATGGACAAAAGATCTGAACAGATATTTCTCCAAAGAAGACATACAAATGGCCAATAAGGGCCAGGTGGTGGCTTATGCCTATAATCCCAACACTTTGGGAGGCCAAGGCAGGTGGATCACTTGAGGCCAGGAGTTCAAGACCAGTCTGGCCAACATGGCGAAAACCCATCTCTACTAAAAATATAAAAATCAGCCAGGCGTTGTGGCGCATGCCTGTAGTCCCAGGTACTCAGGCAGATGAGGCACAAGAATCACTCGAACCCGGGAGGCAGAGGTTGCAATGAGCTAAGATTGCACCACTGCACTCCAGCCTGGGCAACAGAGCAAAACCCCACCTAAAAATAAATAAATAAATAAAAATAAAAGAAAGAAAATAAATGGCCAATAAGCACAAGAAAATACACTCAATTTCTGTCTTAGTCTGTTTGTGCTGCTATAACAAAATACCTGAGACTAAGTAATTTATAAGTAAAAAAATTTATTCCTCACAGTTCCGGAGGCTGGGAAATCCAAAATCAAGGTGGTAGCACATTTGGCATTTGGTGAGGGCCTGTTCCATTGTTCCCGTTCTCGCAGTGGCATCTTCACATGGCAGGAGAAGAAAGGAAAAAAGAAGAAGAAATGTTATGTGAAGCCTTTTTATAAGGGGATTAATTTCATTCACGAGGGCAGAGCCCTCATGACCTAATCACCACCTTGAAGGCCTCACTTCTTAACATCGTCACATTAGGTCTTAGGTTATAACATGAATTTTGGAGGACTCCAACATTCAAACCATAGAAACATCATTAGCCATCAGGGAAGTGCAAATCCAAACCATGTTAAGATACCACTTCACACTCACAAGAATGGCTATAATAAACAGACACATAATAACAAGTGTTGGAGAAAATGTGGAAAAATTGAAACACTCATATGTTGCTGGAGGGAATGTAAAATGCTTTGCAATGAAGTTGGAACTGCTTTGGAAATAGTCTGGCAGTTCCTCCAAAGCTTAAACATAGAGTTATCATATGACCTGGCAATGCCAGGCTTCATCATATTCCCAAGGGGAAGGAAAACATATGTCCACACAAAAACTTATACATGAATGTTCATAGCAGCATTATTCATAATAGTCAAAAAGTAGAGACAGCTGGGTGTGGTGGCTCCCAACACTTTGGGAGGCCAAGGCGGGAGGATTGCTTGAGCTCAGGAGCTCGAGACCAGCCTGGCCAACAGAGTGAAATCCGATCTCTACTGAAAATACAAAAATCAGCGGGACATGGTATACGTGCCTGTAATCCCAGCTACTTGGGAGGCTGAGGCAGGTGAATGGCTTGAATCCAGGAGGCGGAGGCCGCAGTGAGCCAAGATCACACCACCGTACTCCAGCCTGAGTGACAGACTGAGACTCCATCTCAAAAAAAAAAAAAAAAAGTGATAAACAGATAAATGAAATGTGTTATATTCCTACAACAGAATATTATTGAGCCATAAAAAAAAGGAAATAAGTACTGACACATGCTATAACATGAATGAACCTTGAAAACATTAGGTTACTTGAAAAAAGCCAGTCACAAAAGATCACAAATTGTATGGTTCCATTTATATGAAATGTCCAAATAGGCAAATCCTATCCTAAAAGAAAGTAAATTAGTGGTTGCCTAGGACTGAGGGATGGAGGAAATGGGGAGTGACTGCTCATAGGTATGGTATTTTTTTTTGAGAGAAATGAAAATATTCTAAAATTGATTGTGGTGGCCAGGCACAGGGGCTCACGCCTGTAATCCCAGCACTTTGAGAGGCCGAGGCGGGCGGATCACCTGAGGTCGGGAGTTCGAGACTAGCCTGACCAACATGGAGAAACCCCGTCTCTACTAAAAATACAAAATTAGCCGGGCATGGTGGTGCATACCTGTAATCCCAGCTACTCGGGAGGCTGAGGCAGGAGAATCGCTTGAACCAGGGAGGTGGAAGTTGCAGTGAGCTGAGATCGTGCCACTGCACTCCAGTCTGGCGAGAGAGTGAGGCTCCATCTCATAAAAAAAAAAAAAAAAAAGAAAGAAAAAAGAAAAAAAAGAATGTTTCAGGCAAAGGGAAGAGAAGTGCAATGGTGCTATTTCAGGCAGAAGCTTGTCAGGTTTGCTGTGGTGTGGCTAGTGTGGAAGGACTCAGTGGGAAGGAAAAGAAATGAGGGCACAGTAGTGGGCAGGGCCAAGATAAAATAAAGCCATATGCATACTGCTACATTTTTTCCTTGCTAACATATTTCATTGAATGTAGACAAAACTTATTATAAAGACATAACTTTTGATGTTTGTAAGGTCATCTGTTATTTGCACTCCTTTTTTTTTTGAGATAGGGTCTCACTCTGTCACCCAGGCTGGAGTGCAGTGTTGCCACCACAGCTCACAGCAGCCTCGACCTCCTGGGCTCAAGCACTCCTCCCACCTTAGCCTCCTGAGTATCTGGGACTACAGGCACATGCCACCGTGCCCCACTAATTTTTTATTTTTTGTAAAGACAGGGTTTCTCCATGTTACCCAGGCTGGTCTCAAACTCTTGAGCTCAAACAATCTACCCACCTTGGTCTCCCAAAGAGCTAAGATTACAGGCGTGAGCCACTGTGCCTGGCTTGTTATTTGCATTTGTGATTTTAAAATTCCATGTTTTTTATCATAAGATTGTCAGGTGCTTTCTGGACAGGAAATGCCTTAATTTATGACTCAAAATACAAACAAGTGTAGGTGATCAAATGCATATCTATGTCTTCAATGGAAATATATATACATACAAGTCATTAACGAAGACAAATGAGAACATGAAATTCATGACCTATTTTCCTTTCCATCACCTAGCCCCCTAAAGGAGAGATCTTTTTCATTCAGAGCCCTGGGTTTTGTTTTGTTTCATGATTTGCTTTTTTTTTTTTTAAATAAGAGTTTATTTATTTATTTATTTGAGACAAGGTTTCACTCCCATCAGCCAGGCTGGAGTGCAATGGCGTGAACTCAGTTCACTGCAACTTCTGCCTCCTGGACTCAAGTGACTCTCTTGCCTCAGCCTCCTGAGTAGCTGGGACTACAGGCACGTGCCGCTGCATCCAGCTAATTTTTTGTAGAGACAGGGTTTCACCATGTTGGCCAGGCTGGTCTTGAACTCCTGAGTTCAAGCGATCCGTCTGCCTCTGAGTCTCAAAGTGCTAGGGTTACAGGAATGAGCCGCCGCGTGGCCAAAAGAGTTTATTTTTTAAAGAAAATTGACTTCTTTGAAAACGTAGAAATGAGGCCGGGCGCAGTGGCTCACACCTGTAATTCCAGCACTTTGTGAGGCCGAGGCAGGTAGATCGCTTGAACTGAAGAGTTTGAGACCAATCTGGCCAACATGGTGAAACCCCATCTCTACTAAAAATACAAACATTAGCCGGGTGTGGTGGCAGGTGCCTGTAATCCCAGCTACTCGGGAGGCTGAGGCAGGAGAATCGCTTGAACCCGGGAGGCGGAGGTTGCAGTGAGCCAAGATTGCGCCATTGCACTCCAGCCTGGGCAACAAGAGCAAAACTCCATCTCAAAAAGAAAAGAAAAAGTAGAAATGAGGAAGCGGCCAGCCTGTGTGGGGATCTAATCAAACAAATCTTCCCCTGATGAGGGTAGCACTTAAGTTGAAAAAAATTTGCCTATATAATAAATATTGCAATACTTTATTTATTTATTTATTTATTTTTCGAGATGAGGGTCTCGCTGTGTTGCCCAGGCTAGTCTTGAACTCTTGGGCTCAAGGGCTTCTCCTGCCTCAGCCTCCCCAGTGGCTGGGCTAATAGGCACACACCACCATGCCCAGCTCTACATACTGATTTTTTTTTTTTGAGATGGAGTCTTCGCTCTGTCGCCCAGGCTGGAGTGCAGTGGCGCGATCTCCGCTCACTGCAAGCTCCGCCTCCCGCGTTCACGCCATTCTCCTGCCTCAGCCTCCCGAGTAGCTGGGACTACAGGCGCCTGCCACTGCGCCCACTAATTTTTTGTATTTTTAGTAGAGACGGGGTTTCACCGTGTTAACCAGGATGGTCTCGCTCTGCTGACCTCGTGATCCGCCCGCCTCGACCTCCCAAGGTGCTGGGATTACAGGCGTGAGCCACCGCGCCCGGCCCATACTGATTTTGAAATTTAAAAAATCTACATTCTATATTCGCATCATAGCTTCTCCCTAATAAAATCTTTGTGAGTGTTTATGGGACTTATTCCCCGAAAAATCTGCAAGCAGCCTGGTAGCTTTATATACACAGGAAAGCCAAAGGACAAACTAGGAATTACGTCAGAGATGGGGAAAGACTAAGGATCTTACCCAAATCAGTTGAGAATCAGCCTTAAGTATAAATGGGCCAGGTGTTGGTGGCTCACACCTGTAATCCTAGCACTTTGGGAGGCCAAGGCGGGCAGATCACTTGAGGTCAGGAGTTCGAGACCACCCTGGCCAACATGGTGAAACCCCGTCTCTACTAAAAATACCAAAATTAGCCAGGCGTGGTGGCACGTGCCTGTGGTCCCAGCTACTTGGGAGGCTGAGGCAGGAGAATCGCTTGAACCTGGGAGGCAGAGGTTGCAGTGAGCTGAGATCACGCCACTGCACTCCAGCCTGGGTGACAGAGTAAGACTCCGTCTCAAAGAAAAAAAAAAAAAAAGTATAAATGAAGCACAATTAACATTTTTTAATTTTATAGAGCAAAAGTTCATAAAAATAAATATTCTAATTAACTCTCCTACATCTTATAAACACTATTACCAAACCCATTTAAGATTGAAGATAAATTATATCATGGCATGGGTAAAGATTTTCAATAAGGAGTTGCTAGGATGAAAGTCAAAATTCTCCAGCATAAATTCACTGACAGGGATTTCTGTTTAATCTTTTCAAAATTCTAATACCCAATTTGTTTCCTCTAGAGAATAACTCGTGTAGAATCATAACCTCTTTGGTGGACCTTGATTTTTCCATCTGTAAAAGTATAGAACTAGTTTTGACTTAACAGTCAACAAATGCCTACCCTCTCCATATCTAGCTGATTAGAGCGCCCTCGTGCGCATTTGCTGTAATGTTTTAGAAATCTGAAAAAGACAATATTAATCTCAGCAGTAATACAATAAATAATGTCTTCATTTGCACATTTATAGCAAATGCTATAAATATATAGCTCCAAGTATTACTCAGTAAAAGCTAAAGGCAAATGCTGTAGTAGGTTAATCTTACTGTCGTTCACTATCAAACCTTTCTTATGCCAATTTTATCCTAAAACAGTGAAGTTATTGTTTTGGTTTCAATTTTAATTTAATGACTTAAAGGATTTTTTCCCTTAAAACTTCTAAGTATTTCATTATAATATTATTTCATCATTAGGCTTAAAGGAAAATATGTGGTCAATTGAGTTGTTATTTATTATACATGATAGCTTGACATCATCTTTTTAGGGATGGAAAACAGCTCCAGGGACCAAGTCTAACTCAGTTTTTTGATATAAGAATTTACCTGTCGGCCGGGTGCAATGGCTCACACCTGTAATCCCAGCACTTTGGGAGGCCGAGGCGGGCGGATATAGGTCAGCAGATCAAGACCAGGAGTTCAAGACCAGCCTGGCCAAGATGGTGAAACCCCATCTGTACTAAAACTACAAAAATTAGCCAGGCGTGATGGCAGGCACCTGTAATCCCACCTACTTGGGAGGCTGAGGCAGGAGAATCACTTGAACCCGGTTCAAGTGAGCCGGCTGCAGTGAGCCAAGATCACGCCACTGCACTCCAGCCTGGGCAATAAGAGCAAGACTCCATCTCAAAAAAAAAAAAAAAAAAAAAAAGAATGTACTAGTTTGAATCATAACAATTTCTTCCTACTCAAAGAGACTACATTGGAGGAAGCCAAAACAGAAGCTTATTTATTTATATACTTTATTTATTTATTTTTGAGACAGAGTCTTGCTCTGTCACCCAGGCTGGAGTACAGTGGTGTGATCTTGGCTCACTGCAACATCTGCCTCCCGGGTTCAAGCGATTCTCCTGCCTCAGCCTCCCTAGTAGCTGGGATTACAGGTGTGTGCCACCACGGCCAGCTAATTTTTGTATTTTTAGTAGAGACGGGTTTTCACCATGTTGGCCAGGCTGGTCTCAAACTCCTGACCTCAGGTGATCCACCTGCCTCAGCCTCCCAAAGTGCTGGGATTACAGGCATGAGCCACCAAGCCCAGCCTAGAGAAGCTTATTTTTTAAAAGAAAATACACAAAAAAATCAAAATCTCATAAGTCCAGTTGTAATTTTTTTTTTGGCTTTTAAAAACTGTTAATGCCCTCAAATATTCTCCTATCCAATCACTGTATTTTAAATGGCATTCCTCCAACAAATATTTGTTGAGCCCCCACTATGTGCCAGGATTGAAATGTCAAATTGAAGGAGGCAATAGCTACTGAAGTAAAGCAAAAAAAGTACTGGTTATTTTTCCTTCTATAAAATGACCTAGTAATAACCGCTTTACCCAGGAGAGTTGCTGTAAAGATCTAATAACATGACACATATAACCACACCCCTAAAGAATGAGGTGTTACCGCATGTTCTCACTCATAGGTGGGAATTGAACAATGAGAACACATGGACACAGGAAGGGGAACATCACACTCTGGGGACTGTTGCGGGGTGTGGGGAGGGGGGAGGGATAGCATTAGGAGATATACCTAATGCTAAATGACGAGTTAATGGGTGCAGCACACCAGCATGGCACATGTATACATATGTAACTAACCTGCACATTGTGCACATGTACCCTACAACTTAAAGTGTAATAATAATAAAATAATAAAATTAAAAAAAGAAATTTTGCTTAAATAAATATTATAATAAAAAAAACGAATGAGGTGTTATTAAAATGTTTGCAAGAGAAACCCTAGTAATTCCAAGCACATATTTTAGGAATGGTTTCTTGTGTAGAAAATCCTGGAATGTGAGGCTCTGCTGATTTTTTTAATGCATATTCTCTTCTTATGTATGCGGAATTTTTTTTTTTTTTTGAGATAGAGCCTTGCTCTGTTGCCCAGGCTGGAATGCACTGGCACGATCTTGGCTCACTGCAACTGCCACCTCCTGGTTTCAAGTGATTCTCCTGCCTCAGCCTCCCGAGTAGATGGAATTACAGGCGTGTGCCACCGCACTTGGCTAATATTTGTATTTTTAGTAGAGATGGGGTTTCACCATATTGGCCAGGCTGTTCTAGAACTCCTGACCTTGTGATCCACCCACTTCAGCCTCCCAAAGTGCTGGGATTACAGGCATGAGCCACTGTACCTGGCCTATTTTTGTTTTTACTAATGTTTCAAGAGACCCACTTTATGTACAGAATTCTGGCTACAACCTAACAAATGAGTTGCTCTGTTCATCAGTTATAGCCAATTTAAGTAATTATGAAAAGCTCAACAATACTTTAACTGGCAATGAAAGCGTCAATATCTCACATTTACCACCACAACTTAGGATTTCTTGGTAGCTAAATAAAATGCTTCTATTTTGTGGGGGGAAACTGTCACATAAGTTGAAATTCTGCAATGTTCAATTGATGAAAAGGTCTCTATGTTAAATCAAAGGTATAAATTCCACATCAGTAGTACATGAAAGAGAAAAAAAAAGCCAAAATTAAAGTGATCCATGCCCACTTCCCTGAGTGAACCTAAGATTTTACTAACAGAGATGCCGTAACTTTGATCATGCACACATCAAACTTGAATTTAAAAACATGCATGCACTCACTCATCTTTTATCTCTTATGTAATTAATACTGTAAGATTATATTTTGCCTACGTGCTCTATATTACTAATTTATAGGATTATTACTATTCAGTGTTGTTTACTTGAAACCATACTGTACTATACACAACTTTTGCATTCCATGCTAACTTTATTTTTTTAACTAATTTTTTTTTATACAGAGTCTCACTCACTCTATTGGCCAGGCTGGAGTGCAGTGGCACGATCTTGGCTCCTGCAACCTCTGCCTCTCGGGTTCAAGTCATTCTCCTGCCTCAGCCTCCCAAGTAGTTGGTACCACAGGTACATGCCACCACACCCGGCTAATTTTTGTATTTTTGGTAGAGATGGGGTTTCACCATGTGGGCCAGGCTGGTCTCGAACTCCTGACCTCAAGGTTATAGGCGTGAGCCACGATGTCCCAACTCCATGCTAACTTTAGAGCTTATTTCCCATCCCATAAGATACAACACTACTTGTGTTATATAGTGAGCAGTGTGGGGAAGAAAAGCATAGAATTAAGTTAGTGACAAATCCAGTGAACTCAAAAAGAGGGAAAAAACCACTCCCAAACAATTGTTTTCCCCATATTCTATTCTCCCTAGAGGTAGTCCATACAGGAACGACAAAAGAAAAAAAAGGATACAAAATGAGAAAGATGTTCATGTGACATATAAGTACAGTAATAAAATCAACAAGCATATATGGTATTTAAGCAAAATAGTATGTATGCATTGATGGTCATCTGATATAAATCCATCATTTCTGTTGGCCAACATCTAAAACCTTCACTTTTCTGAGGAGACAAGCTATAAATCTATACGGATATTTCTACAATGAGAATTCATTATTACATATGAACCAATATAATTTGATGTCAAATATTCACAATTAGGTTTAAAAAATCCCCTACTTGGCCGGGCGCAGTGGCTCATGCCTGTAATCCCAGCACTTTGGGAGGCCAAGGCGGGTGGATCATGAGGTCAAGAAACCAAGACCATCCTGGCCAACATGGTGAAGCCCTGTCTCTACTAAAAATACAAAAATTAACTGGGCGTGGTGGCAGGCGCCTGTAGTCCCAGCTACTCAGGAGGCTGAGGCAGGACAATCACTTGAACCCAGGAGGCAGAGGTTGCAGTGAGCTGAGATCGCGCCACTGCACCCCAGCCTGACGACAGAGTGAGACTCAGTCTCAAAAAAAAAAAAAAATCCCCTACTTATGTTAAGAGTACCAAAAATAGGGCCAGGAATGATGGCTCATGCCTATAATTTTGGCACTTTGGGAAGCCGAGGTGGGAAGATAGCTTGAGTCCAGGAGTAAAATAGTGAGACTCTGTCTCTACAAAAAAATAAAAAATTAGCTGGATGGGGCACACACCTGTAGTCCAGGTACTCACGAGGCTGAAATGGGTGGATCACTTGAGCCTGGGAGGTCAAGGCTGTAGTGAACTGTGATCACACCACTACACCCTACACCCAGCCTGGGCTACAAGGTGAGACCCTGTCTCAAAAAAAAAAAAAAAAAAGGTACCAAAAATCTATAGCTGTTTCAGGAATAAAATACATGTAGTTAGTGAGGTTTTTCTCTCCCACTGCTATGACTTAATTTTTGGTTGAGATGCTAAGCCAAACATCATTTTAAGTCTGTGGCCCAACCAAAAAAGGGAATCATACTCTCCAAAGAATTGTACATTCCCACTCTAATTGCTAAAATAAAATGTTGGATTATGAAAATCAATTTTATAGGTATCAATAAGTTATAAGAGCATGGCTTATTTAAAAAAAAAAGTGGGCCAGGTTACCTACATGAGCTGCAAAGCAAGCAAACTGAATTTTCTTATCGAAGAGCCCATCCTCATACTTAAAATTTCCCATGACTACATGGAAATTCTTTCACTTACCAAAAAGACCTGATTGGCACTTTCACTGAGAGTTGCGTCATCTGGGCTGTCGACAGGTGTCTGACGTGTAAACTTGGAATCAAACTGACTTACATCCTCTTCAGATTGCTTTATACAAACAAAATAATTTAGAAAATAATGAATAGTCCATATGACATCAATTAAATGCACTGTAAGCTCTGGGAGCTCTTTTCGCAGGGGTTAACTATAATAAAGTATTAGAATAGTCTTAGCAGGCACTTTTCTAATAGTGGAGAAATGCAAGTGGAAGAAAAAAATGCAAGTGGAAAGTACTGAGTCAAATTACATCTTCAAATCTTAAACATGCACTAAAAAAGATTTTAGTATACTGTTATTCCTATTAAAAATGTGAATATATTGACTGGGCATGATGGCTCAGGCCTGTAATCCCAGCACTTTGGGAGGCTGAGGCAGGCAGATCCTGAGGTCAGGAGTTCAAGACCAGCCTGGCCAATAAAGCGAAACCCCGTCTCTACTAAAACTACAAAACATCAGCCGGGCGTGGTGGCGGGCGCCTGTAATCCTAGCTACTCGGGAGGCTGAGGCAGGAGAATTGCTTGAACCTGGGAGGCAGAGGTTGCCGCAAGCAGAGATCGTGCCACTGCACACCAGCCCAGGTGACAGTGCGAGAGTCTGTCTCAATTAAAAAAAAAAAAAGAAAAGAATATATCGAGCTCAAAACAAGCTGGAAAAAATGTGAATATCAATTTCCCCTCTCACAAAGCTTCAGTGTGCCTAGTCCACTGGCTAAATCCCTGTTTAGAGATAATTAATTCAGTTGGCTACTGCAGGTTTGTAATAAACCTGAAAAACTACTGAAGCAGAGTTAAAACATGAATAATACTGGTAAGATGCTCCAGTTAAAGTTTCTTCTCACAGCTCATTTCATTCCTTCAGAAATCTAAAGGAGCAAAAATAATTTTCTATTCCGCATGGGTTATAAGTTATATTTCCTTGTGAAAGTATAGTTATCACTTCAGTTCTAACCATGAGATTTATTTATTTAATTCCTTCTCTCTTTCCCAAAATATCTGGTTAAACTCTTGGGCCAAATGTAAGAAGTAAATAATAATTTAGAATATCTGACTTAATACTAAAAGATGATGACCACATTGACCTTATAATTCTCTTAGAGCCCAGACTGTGAACCTGCACTCCCTGGAGGAATGGCTGATTCCAAGTGTGGGGAAAATGTACAAGATAAGCATAGAACACCAGTTTCCTTATTTTGCTCTCTCGTACAACACCAGACAATGTGCTCATGTCAAAAGGACTCAGAACCCAACATGAAGATGCACCCAGCATTCACTGCACCCAGCATTCAACGAAGGGAAAAAACGAGCACCAATAAAAATAACTGCTAGGTGCGGTGGCTCACGCCTATCATCCCAACACTTTGGGAGGCAGAGGCAGGTGGATTGCTTTTGAGCTCAGGATTTGAAGACCAGCCTGGTGAACACGGCAAAACCCCGTCTCTACCAGAAACACAAAAATTAGCTGGGCATGGTGGTGTACCTGTGGTCCCAGCTACTCAAGAGGGTGAGGTGGGAGGATTGCTGGAGGTCGGGATGTCAAGCCTGCAGTGGGCAGCGATTATACCACTGCACTACAGCTTGGGTGACAGAGTTAAGACCCTGCCTGAAAACAATAAATGAATAAATAAAAATAAAATAAAAATAACTGCGATGAAAGGAAACACAAATATGTTAAAACGTGTAAGTTCATAATATACTAAAAAAGAAAAAAACACACACACAAAGTTCATTGGTCAATTTTGGAAGATGCTAGGAAACTAATTCATTATTTTGAAAACTAGGAAAGAATCAAACATACATCCTGCCTTTTCTGTATGAACTGTACCTTGGGTAACTAACTGATCAAAGAGTTTCTCTTTATGAAAGAATTCCAGCTAACAAAGAAAGAAGAAATAACAGTTAGAATAAAACCATTTCACAAACACCTGATGAAACTACAAAAGTAGGCCAGAGTTTCTCAACCTCAGGGCTACTGACATTTTAGGCCTATTAATACTTTGCGTTAGGGGGCTGTGCTGTGCTGACTCTTACCCCTGAAGGTACCTATAGCATTCCCTCTCCCAAGCTGTGACAGTGTGTCTCCAGACATTGCCAAATTACCCTGGTAGTGAAATGCTGACACAGGCAGTGACCACTAACATCACTAAAAAAACACACATACGCACACACAAGTACACATTATGCCTCCTGATCAAAGCATATGCGATACTGAGAGTGTAATCTGAATCAGATCAACCACCTAAATTTAACTACCAGTTTTTGGAAATTTGGGGAACAGATGAACATGGTCAATGACACTCTGGGGATAATATCAGCAAAATCAAAATTTGAGAATTCTACAGGACAAATGACCCCGTTTCTTCAGTAAATCACGAGGGGAATCTATAAAGGAAAAGAGACCTAAGAGACATAGTAACCAAACTACATACAGACCTTGATTAACAGGAGGAAAAAAAAGAATGGAACAACAACAACAAAAAAATTAGGTGGGGCAACACAGGGAGACCTCATCTCTAGAAAAATTCAAAAAATTGGATGTGGTGATGCACCCCTGTGGTCCCAGCTATATGGGAGGATCCCTTGAGCCTGGGAAGCTGAGGCTGCCATGAGCCACTATCATGCCACTGCACTCCAGCCTGGGCAACAGAGAAAGACCCTATCTCAAAAAAAAAAGAGAAAAAAAAAAAACTGGGGAAACTGTCAACTTCTTAGGTGTGATGATGGGATGACAGTTATGTTTAAAGAAGATGATCTAATTATTTTTAAGCTGGGCAGTAGGTGTATGACAGTTCTCCTCCTTACAATTGTTTGTTGTTTTTTAAAGTGGGTCACATTATGGGGCATGACCAAAAAATAATCACCATCATCATCCTCCTCCTTCTCCACCTACAGCCCAAGGAATGGAAAAAGAAACTGTGTTTTCTCAGATTCTGAGGTGGCAGAAAGACAATAACACACTAACTCATTTACTCATAAACATATTGTTATGGATTGAATCGTGTCCCTTACTCACCCCCCAGAAAATTTCGTATGTTGAAACTCTAACCTCTAGTTCCTCAGAATGTGACCTTATTTGGAAAGGGTTATTGCAGATGTAATTAGTGAAGATGAGGTCCTACTGGAGTAGAGAGGAACCCTAATCCAATATGCCTGGTATCCTTATAAAAAGGGGAAATTTGGCCACAGATACGCACACAGGTAGAACACCATGTGAACATGAAGGCAGAGATCCAGGTGATGCACCTACAAGCCAAAGTATGCCAAAGATGACCAGCAAACCACCAGAAGCCAGGGGAGAGGCATGGAACATAAGGTTTCTCACAGTTGTCGAAGAAACCAACTCTAACAACGTGATCTAGAACTTCTAGTCTCCAGATCTATGAGATAATAAATTTCTGTTGTCTAAGCCACCCAGTTTGTGGTACTTTGTTGCAGCAAGCCTAGCAAACTAATGCACACATATTCTATATTTTGAAGAAAAAATTCCCAGAGAATCATATTTAAAATGGTTAAATTAAGCAAAATAAAACAAACCAAAAAAAGAAAAGTCCCAACTACCTGAAATATTTAATTGTCTTAGGAAACTGACTTAAAAATATCTAATACAGGCCGGGCACGGTGGCTCACGCCTGTAATCCCAGAACTTTGGGAGGCCGAGGTGGGTGGATCACAAGGTCAGGAGTTCAAGACCAGCCTGGCCAAGATGATGAAATCCTGTGTCTACTAAAAATACAAAAATTTGCTGGGCATGGTGGCAGGTGTCTGTAATCCCAGCTACTCAGGAGGCAGAGGCAGAGATTTGCTTGAACCCAGGAGGTGGAGGCTGCAGTGATCCGAGATCACACCACTGCACTCCAGCCTGGGGGACAGATCAAGACTCCATCTCAAAAATAAAAAAATAAAAATAAAGAAGAAAAACGCTATGGAATTTGACTAGAATTAGGGCTAACAATATGAAGCACTTTGGGAAGCCAAGGCAGGTGGATCACCATGTCGGCCAGGAGTTTGAGACCAGCCTGGCCAACATGGTGAAACCTCATCTTTACTAAAAATACAAGAATTAGCCAGGTATGGTGGTGAGCACCTGTACTCCCAGTTACTCCAGAGGCTGAGGCACGAGAATCACTGGAACCCGGGAAGCAGAGGTTGCAGTGAGCTGAGGCAGCCTGGTGTCCAAGCTGTGGTGAGCCATGACCATACCACTGCACTCAAGTCTGGGCAACAGAGGAAGTCCCTGTCTCAAAAAAAAAAAAAAAAAAAAAAAAGGGCCAGGTGCAGTGGCTCACACCTGTAATCCCAGCATTTTAGGAGGCTGAGGCGGGCAGATCATGAGGTCAGGAGTTGAAGACCAGCCTGGCCAACATAGTGAAACCCCATCCCTACTAAAAATACAAAAATCAGCCGAGTGTGGTGGCATGTACCTGTAATCCCAGCTACTCAGGAGGTTGAGGCAGAAGAATTGCTTGAACCTGGGAGGCGGAGGTTGCAGTGAGCCAAGACCACATCATTGCACTCCAGCCTGGGCAACAGAGTGAACCTCCATCTCAAAAAAAAAAAAAAAAAAAATTTAAAAAGGGAGTATAGGGCCAGCCGCGGTGGCTCACGCCTGTAATCCTAGCACTTTGGGAGGCTGAGGTGGCTGGATCATGGGGTCAAGAGATCAAGACCATCCTGGCCAACATGGTGAGACCCCATCTCTAATAAAAATACAAAAAATTAGCTGGACACAGTGGCGAATGACTGTAGTCCCAGCTAATCTGGAGGCTGAGACAGGAGGATCGCCTGAACCTCGGAGGTGGAAGTTGCAGTGAGCTGAGACCATACCACTGCACTCCGGCCTGGTGACAAAGCGAGACTTCGTCTCAAAAAAAAAAAAAAAAAAAAAGAGTTTAAAAAATTCTTTACAGAAGAATGACAATATAGGAAAAATACAGAAAAAGTAGAAAAGTCTCCATTTTCTAATCACTATAGTAATATTTGATTTGGGCAAGAAGCCATCCAGATGAAACCATTAAGTAAAGATTATTATGGGACAGAATATTCACACTGTTTCTATCATGCCATAGATCACTTGTTAATTACAAAAGGAAAAAGAGGCTGAGAATGGAGTCTCACGTCTGTAATCCCAACACTTTGGGAGGCCAAGGAGGGCGGATCACCTTAGGTAAGGAGTTTGAGACCAGACTGGCCAACATGGCAAAACCCCATCTCTACTATAATTACAAAACTTAGGCAGGCATGGTAGCAGGCACCTGTAATCCCAGCTACTTGGGGGGCTGAGGCACGAGAATCGCTTGAACCCAGGAGGTGGAGGTTGCAGTCAGCCAAGATTGCACCACTGCACCCCAGCCTGGGTGACAGAGTGAGACTCCTTCTCAAAAAAAAAAAAAAATGCCCTTATTCTTAGGAGATGTATAGAAGAAATTAGGGGTGAAGTGCTATGAAATCTGCAGTTAACTCTCAAATTGTACAGAAAGAAAATTTATTAATGTTAAAAAATGTCAATATTCATAGATACACATATATGTGGGGGCAGGTAGAAAGGGAGGGACACAGAGACAAAGAAAATATGGCAAAATGGTAACACCTGGTGATCACTGAACTATTCTTGCAACTCTGAAAAGTTTAAAAAATTTCAAAGGTATATTGTTTTTGAACTGCTCGGGAGGTTTAAATTTTTGAATTTTTAAAATAAGCAATCAATTGTGAGGAAGTCTGAGAAGCCACAGACTTAAGAGATAAGATGAAAAATAAGGAAAGTAGAATCACAGTAATAAGAGGAACAGAGTTTCAAAATGCTGTGGTCAGTCAGTAGCTTCAATGCAAAAGAAAGTTAAATTAAGGACCAACTCAGTAAAGACAACTGGATTCAGCAACTGGGAAGTCAGTGATGACCTAGGGTACAGGAGCTGCATTGAAATAGTAGAGTTGGGCCACGCGTGGCCCACATCTATAATCCAGCAGTTTGGGAGGCCGAGGTAGGTGGACCTCTTGAGGCCAGGAATTCAAGACCAGCCTAGCCAACATGGTGAAACCCCATCTCTACTAAAAATACAAAAATTAACCCGAGACAGTGGCGCACCCCTGTAACCCCAGCTACTCAGGGGCCTGAGGCATGAGAACTGCTTGAACCTGGAAGGCAGAGGCTGCAGTGAGCTGAGATAGGGCCACTGCACTTCAGCCTGAGTGACAGGGGAAGACTCTGTCTAAAAAACAAAAAACAGGCCTGGCGTGGTGGCTCATGCCTGTAATCCCAGCACTTTGGGAGGCCGAGGCAGGCGGATCACGAGGTCAGGAGATCGAGACCATCCTGGCTAACACGGTGAAACCCCATCTCTACTAAAAATACAAAAAATTAGCTGGGCGTGGTGGCAGGCACCTGTGGTCCCAGCTCCTCCGGAGGCTGAGGCAGGAGAATGACATGAACCCGGGAGGTGGAGGTTGCAGTGAGCTGAGATTACGCCACTGCACTCCAGCCTGCGTGACAAAGCCAGACTCCCTCTCAAAAAAAAAAAAAAAAAGACGTAAACTGGGTATGTGCCTTTAGAGGTGGTGCACATTTTTAGCATTATAAATGAATATAAATGAGTGGCAACTGTTACTTTGGTCCACAGATTTTTGGTATCTTAACTAGTTTTTGGTCTCTTCCACTAAAGGCATTGCCTGTTGAACCTTGTTAGGAATGTAAGTACTGAAGGCAAACTGCCTGGGTTTGAATTTTGTTCTGTCCCTTGCACCCTGCCTGGTTTCAAATCCTAGCTCTGCTTATTACGTTCTTTTAAGGGGATGACCTTTGAGCAAATGTCTTAGCTTCTGTTTTCCCCAGTAAATGGACACAATAGTTGCTACTTTGTGAAAGATTCATGTAATTGACCAGCGTTTACCAAGTAGCATCAGTGTTTAGTTTCAGTCATTGGTGATTCTGCAGTTGGACTGTGAGGGGGTATTGGGGTGGGGGGTGGTGTGTGTGTAGCACTTAATTGCAGGCAGGAAGGAAAAGATACTTTTGATAACCGACAGGCAGCTTTTCTCTGCTTTTGTGTCAAAAGGGAGGAAGGGAGTTTGGAGAGGGAAATGAATTCTCTGTAACACTAAGCTCTCTTCCTCAAAACCAGAGGTAGATAGAATGTGTAATAATTTACAGAATTTCTAGACTTCAACGATCTGATTTTTTAAATTTATTTTTATTTTTTCAGGTTGAGACTGAGCTAAAGTTAATCTGTGGCGACGTTCTGGATGTACTGGACAAACACCTCATTCCAGCAGCTACAACTGGCAAGTCCAAGGTTTTCTATCATGAAATGTAGGTTCTATACTAACAATTAACAAGTGTACTTCAATAAATTTAAACATTCTCAGGAATAGTTGACTTTGTTTCTTTTTTTCTTAGACATTTCATATTATTTTCCTTATTAAATATAACCAAAAATCCCACAGAAATTAACTGAGGAGCCTCTAAATATCAACAAAGTTATCACTTGATAGACTAGAATTAAACAAGCAAGTGGTTCCAAGAAATGGCACGAGTGTATTAATCATAAAATAAAATTTCTACATGAAACATTCAGCCATTCTAGACCATTTCTGTCTGTGCAGACTCATCTTTTCCTGTTCTTTGCAAAGCCCAGCTAGAGCAAGCAAGTTCTTCCCAATAGGTTTTTCCCATCTCTGGTTGCTTGGCTGGCTGGGCTTCCTCTACAAACCCCCTTCCTTTCCCCTAAGCAGGGCCCGGTGTCCCCATCCCGCGGAGTTGAGCTCATGAGGGCATCTGACCAGGAGTAGCTATTCCTGGTGCTATTGTCATTGTCCTGTTTCATGTGTGAACATGGCTGGCTCTACAGAGATTTGGCGGGTAGCAAGGAGGTTTCTTTTTGAATCTTCTTTTGGAAGTCAGACTTGATGAGGATCTTATGCCCACTTTTTCCTAGCTCTGTGGTGTCAGGCAAAGTCTGTTTCTGCAAATGGGGGTTAAGAATTCCTACCTCACAGCAGTCTTTTGATAAATAAATAAGATCTTAAGTGTAAATTATTCCACTAGAAATTGCACAGTCACTTTGGTCTTCATCCTGGAGGTCCACTGACAAGCCTCATGCAAACCTGTGGCCCTGTTCATAAAGTGTTTTGATCCATACTTTCAAATGGCCTCAGGAAGACCTTTTATAAAGTAAAAATGTTAGGCAGCCACATGATATCCATTGACCCAGTGAGGCTGTTTTACTGGATATAAGAGGTTTGACCCGGCATTTTGGGGGGCCGAGACAGGCAGATCACTTGAGGCCAGGAGCTGGAGACCTGCCTGGCCAACATGGAGAAACCCCATCTCTATTAAAAATACCAAAAAAATTAGCTGGGCATGGTGGCACATGCCTGTAATCCCAGCTACTTGGGAGACTGAGGCACAAGAATCGCTTGAACCCGGGAGTCAGAGGTTGCAGTGAGCCAAGCCGAGATGGCGCCACTGCACTCCAGCCTGGGCAGCAGAGTGAGACTCTGTCTCAGGGGAAAAAAAAGGGTGAGGGGAGGGTTTGAAAAAATAGTAGCATGTAGTTATGTTTCTACAATATTTGATATATATAAGGATTTACCAACCTCTTGCATTAGCTGCTATCCCCTACAGCAGTTGCTGTAGGAAAAAAACATCAAGTTCTGAGCTCCTACTGTTTGCCAGGCATATTCTGAGATGATCACGTTGAAATCTCAGAGTTACCCTGCAGAGTAGTCAGGGTATCACTGCCTGACAGATGAAGAAGCTGAGGCTTCCAGCAGATAAATGACTTACCCCAGGCCACATAGAAAATGAGTGGGAGAGCCCAGGTCTGTCTGTGAGGTATAATGAAATTAGCATAAACCCTCCACATTGGCGCCACTCGCATAAATTAACATATATTCTCTCACAGAAAGTATTTTATTGGGCATAACAGTTTGTATCATTTACCGTTTAACATTAGCCGTGGATCTTCCCACATCACATGACTATGCCTCATTCTTTTTGGATAATATGATTACTATTGAATGGATTTACTATCATTCACTTAATCAATACTCCTTTTGATGGCCATTTTAATTGTCTATTTTTTCCTTTTGCACAGATTGGTGTAATAAACGTGATTTTATAGTAATATTTTTGTCTGCCTGTGAAAATGTTTGCTGGACAATAAATTCCTAGGAGTCAAATAAGGTCAAAGATTATAAATACAGTATTTATTTTCATAAATATTACCAAGTCAGCCACAAATGTTTAAATTACTAATGGTTTCAGATTATTGTATTTAATGAGTAAACACTTTTATAGGGTTTACTTTTATGAACACTTTTATTTGCCAGATATCATTCTAAGTCCTTTACAAAATTAACTTTTTTAATTTGTAATATAACCCTGAGATGTATATTAGGATTATCCCCATTCTACAGATAAGAACACTGAGAAGTTAATTAACTTGCCACATATCTAGGAAGTGGCAAGGCTAGTTGCACAGCCAGGCAGTCTGGCTCCTGAGTCCACATTTTAGACAACACTATACCTCCTGGTTCTTTTGAGGCATTACTGCTGGAACTATCCTAATACTCATAAATAAACATTTCTTTTGGGGAGGGCCAAATAAAATTTTAAACAGAAAAGTTTTCACCAACTGTCAAGCTCATAAAGTTGTACGTTATACACTTTTTTCATGATGCCCACAGATAATTTATTAATGATATCATCTATTTTAAAAGACGTATGTAAAACCCAACCCTTAAGAAAGGATTCCTATCACTGTTCCCACAGGCACCCTCCTCAGTCTTATACCTTTCCATTCCACCCCCCAAAACAAATCATTCAGCATATTTATTTCATACTGTAATATAGGAAGTAGCTTCTTTTTAGATTTTCTTAGATTATTAACATTGATCATACAAACATGGAATAGAAATTCCTTATGTTTTATCTGGATTTAAGGTGCTACATAATGGAATCTATTTCTATCAAGCCATACACATTGGAGATAATGAAATCACTTGTGTTCTAGCCTAAACGTTATGGGAATTTCAGAACTGCAACATAACAGATAATCCTTGGACGAAAACTAAATCTCTCCTCTGGTCAGGCATCTATGTGCATCAGTGAAGAGAAGACGGGGACTGTGGAAGGGAAAACAGTGAGTCAGGAAGGACTGTGGCCACATCTGTTCCCCGGACCCTCAAGTAGTTAAATCCTGACCTCCTCTACCCCAGACTGTCCTGGGGAATGGCCAACACTGGCTTTTCACAACTGTGTGTTACCAGAAATGCAACAGAAACCCAGCTGAATCCCCAGGGTTTCCCTTCTGCCCTTCTCAATGGAAAGATCTGTCCCAGGACCATTTATTCCAACATTTTCAATTATGAGAAATCTGGGAAGATAAAGTTATTTTCACATTTCTCAAGAAATACATACTTATTCATACTCATGACAGGAAAGTCAGAATCTACAGAAAACCAAGAAGATTTTTAAAAATCCATGATACCACCATCAAAAGAGCCACACTTAGTATGTTGGTCCACAGGTTTCCTAGCACCCTTTTCTGTTGGTGTATGCACAAAATACACAATCACATTCTGTCTACATTTTACAATTTGCCATTTTTTGATTAACACTATATATTGACCAATTTTTAAGACCTGCAACATATGTCGACAACATTATTTCAGAATAATATATTTATAAATAAACGCACACACAAACTGTCTGTCTTATATACAACACGTCTTACTTTCTAATTCTCCACTCTGGAAGATTTAGGTTTTCCTAACTTTTTAATATACTCACCAGGAATCAGTAAACTTTTTTTATAAAAGGCCAAAGGGTAGATATTTTAAACTCTGCAGGCCATAGGTTTCTGTTGCAACACTCAACTCTGCTGTTGCAGGGAAAGAAGCCATACACAATTTGTAAATGAATGGGCATGACTGTGTTCTGATAAACTTTACAAAAACAGGTGGTGGACTAGATGCAGCCTGCTCCTCTGGACATGGCTTACCAGCCCCTGACATATACCACTACAGAGGATGCTGTTAGAATGAAATCTCTTTACACATCTCTGATCATCTCCTTAGGACTAATTGCTAGACATGACATCATGGTAGCTGTGGGTCAAAGGGCATGCACGCTCTGGGATGTACATTGCCAGATTGCTCATGATCAGCCTTTCTCATGTCAAAATGTTTTGTGACCACCAGAAGGCTGGTTCTGCTTTTATTATCCATTGACTGAGGAGTAGAAATGACATGGCATGTATGCAGGATATTTAACCATCGTATAGATAATCCTTGTGCACAAGTGCATTCTATATTCTTTCCCAATAGGTCTACATCTGCCAGAGTTGAAATAAAATAAAACAAAACAAACCTATTTAGCACCTTCTGTGTAGCAGGTCCATTCATGTATGTTGTTGTATTTCATTCTCAGAATTCTTATGACCTAGGCATTTTAAACATTTTTTTAAAAATATTGAGTTGACAAGGATTGTGTATATTTAATGCATACAATGTGATGATTTCATATATGTATATATTGTGTACTAATTATCACAATCAAATTTATTACATCCATTACCACCTATGCTGTACATTAAATCTCCAGAATTTGTTCATCTTATAACTGAAAGTTTACACCCTTTGATTAATAGCTTCCCATTTTCCCCACCTCCAGCCCTTGGCAACCACCATTCTACTATCTGTTTTTATGAGTTTGACTCTCTTAGATCCCACATATAAGTGAGATCATACAAAACTTGTCTTTCGGTGTCTGGCTTATTTCACTTAGCGTAATGTCCTCCAGGTTTATCCAGGACAGGAGTTTCTTCTTTTGAATGGCTAATAGTCCATTGTTTATATGTATTTTATTTATCCATTCATCTGTTGCTGGACACTTAGGCTGTTTCCATATCTTGGGTATTGTGAATAGTGTTGTAATAAACATGGGGCGCAGATCTCTCTTCAAGGTTCTAACCTGATTGCTGAATCGTATGGTAGTTCTGCTTCTAATTTTTTGAGGAACCTCCATACTGTTTTCTGTAAAGGTTATACCACTTTACATTCCAACCAACAGTGTACAAGGGTTCTCTTTCCTCTATGCTTTCGCCAACACTTGTTATCTCTTGTCGTTTTTTTATAAGAGCCATCCTATCCTATGAGGCAATATCTCACTGTGGTTTTGATTTGCATTTCTCTGAT
This sequence comes from Homo sapiens, assembly GCF_000001405.40. NCBI lineage: Eukaryota > Metazoa > Chordata > Mammalia > Primates > Hominidae > Homo > Homo sapiens. The sequence continues at coordinate 36,246,695 of NC_000017.11, forward strand.
GATTAGTGGTGTTGAGCACCTTTTCATATGCTGGCTGGCCATTTGTATATCTTCCTTGGGGAAAAAAGTCCATTGGGGTCCTTTGCCTATTTTTAATTGCGTTATTCATGTATTTATTAATTTTTGCTATTGAATTGTGTGAATTCCTTATATTTTTTCAAATAACCCCTTATCAAATATATGGGTCGCAAATATTTTCTTCCATCCCGTAGGTTGCCTTTTCATTTTGTCATGGTTTCCTTTGCTGTGTAAAACCTTTTAAGATTGATGTAGTCCCATTTATTTATTTTCACTTTTGTTGCCTGTGCTTTGGTGTTACATCAAAAAAAATATTGCCAATTATGACCAATGTCGAGGAGATTTTTCCCTATGTTTACTTCCAGGATTTACATGGTTTCAGATATTACATTTAAATCTTTAATCCACTTTGAGCTAATTTTCTGTATATGATGTAAAACAAGTGTGCAATTTCATTCTTTTTCATGCACTTTCCCCAACACCATTCATTGAAGAGAGTTTCCTTTCTACATTGTGCCTTTTTTTTTTTTTACAGTACAGTGAAAGCAAGTCTATTAAGAAAGTAAAGGAATAAAAGAATCTACATTGTATATCCTTGATGGCCTTGTCAAAGATCTGTTGACCATATATGCACGGGGTTATTTCTGGGTGAGCTTGGCATTTTTTTTTTTTTTTTTTTTTTTTGAGACAGAGTCTCGCTCTGTCGCCCAGGCCAGACTGCGGACTGCAGTGGCGCAATCTCGGCTCACTGCAAGCTCCGCTTCCCGGGTTCACGCCATTCTCCTGCCTCAGCCTCCCGAGTAGCTGGGACCACAGGCGCCCGCCACCGCGCCCGGCTAATTTTTTGTATTTTTAGTAGAGACGGGGTTTCACCTTGTTAGCCAGGATGGTCTCGATCTCCTGACCTCATGATCCACCCGCCTCGGCCTCCCAAAGTGCTGGGATTACAGGCGTGAGCCACCGCGCCCGGCCGAGCTTGGCATTTTTATCTACCTCATTCTACCGATGAGGAGGCCGAGTCTCAGAGAGTTCACAGACCTGCCTAAGGTCACTCAGCTAGAGGTGATACAACCAGGGTTTGAACTGAGATCTGCCAAGCTTCTGAGTTTATTCTTTTTCCCCCACACCAAGGATCCTCAATTCTGCCTTACTGACATCAGGATCCGGTCAATTCTTTGTGATGGGGGCTGTCCTGCACCTGGCAGGATGTTTAGCAGCTTCTCTGGCCTCCACCCACTGGATGCCAGGGGAATGCAGAAGAGGCTTGTTCATTCTCCCATTTAATCCTCAGGACAATATCTGACATAAATGTTACGTCTTTTATTTTATAAATGAAGAAAATGAGACTCAGAAAGGTTTAAGTGAGTTACTTAAGAACACACAGACAGCAAAGGTAGAACTGGAAACCGAACACAGGTGTCCACATGGGACAACAAAAAAGTTCACGTTCCATCTTCTTTTGAGTCTCTCATTTCAATAATTACCATTGTGTGGATATGAGCTGAAGTACAGGAAACCTGGGGCTGAACTCTCCTCCCATCAGGCCTAGGAGCCCCAGACCAGAACCCCAGCCCAAGGTCTCCCAGTCAGGCCCGCTGGTGTGAGCTGGCATCTACACTAGCATGGTCTCCCAAAGCTGCAGGGATGCCAGTCTCGCCGCTGATGAAGAAAATGAAGGGCATTTCCTTCTCATGCAGGCTGTCGGGATTTAACACAGATTCCTTTTCTTGCTCTCTTCTCCCATAGCACAAAACTGGGTGGTCCATCCCCCTCCCAGTGTCCCAAGGCTTTGTTGCGTGTTCTCTTTAATTTCTCCCACTCTTGCGGTGTACCCTACCCTCATCTCCCTGGCAACCTTTCTGCTGTATCCTCTCGACACCTGGATCACAAGAACACTTGTGAGACCCCTTAACAAGTTACATCCCAAATTATCATTCCCCTTTGTCCTCAGCCAGTGCTCAGGTCCAACTTGCTCTCCTGGGGTGACTTTCTTTCCTGCCCAATATGGTTTCATCATCTGTAAATTGGGGATAATTAAAGTCTTGATCCTGATATTTGACTCTCAAAGCAGAAGTAGCAAGCTCAGCCAAGTCACTTCAACAAGAGGAGAAGTTCCTTGTGAACCAAAAGGGCACTGGTCACAAGGGCCGCTCCTTCTTCTGTCAGGCCTCTCCAGCACGCCCTTGGCTCAGCCAAAGAAGAGACTCAGGCTGTGCTTCTGCACTGTTGGGATAACATAGGCCTCTTCCATGTGGTTCCACACCAGGAACATGGGGACAATCAGACCTCTCCCAGTGTGGGCATAAGGATACAAGATCATGTCAATATTGACATTCATAATGGCTGGGCGCAGTGGCACACGCCTGTAATGCCAGCACTTTGGGAGGCTGAGGTGGGCAGATTGCTTGAACCCCAGAGTTCGAAACCAGCCTGGGCGACTTGGCAAAACCAGTCTCTACTGAAAATACAAACAATTGGCTGGGCTTGGTGGCGCACACCTGTAGTCTCAGCTACTTGGGAGGCTGAGGTGGGAGGATTGCTCAAACCCAGGGAGGTTGAGGCTTCAGTGAGCTATGATGGCACTGCTGTACTCCAACCTGGGCAACAGAGTGAGGCCCTGTCTCAAAACAAAAACAAAGACAAAACAACATTCATAATAGTAGCAATAGCTACTATGTGCCAAGCCCAGGCACCTCTTCGAGTCTTTGCTGTCACCCTATCAGGTAAGCGTGCTTAGAAGTTACACGAAGCACACGGCTCAGTGTTTGGCCCACGGTAAGGGCCTAAAAAGGGATAGCCCCAGTGGTGGGGATGCTGCTGCTGCTGACCATTAACCCCAGTCTGCTCCACCTTCTTCCAGGCAGTCTGTGAGATGTTTGATGTCCGAGGCAAACAGCACATTCAGATCCCCAAGCTCTACACCTCCAGTGTGACCAGGCACCTGCACCACTTCAGGCTCATGCAGGACTCACAGCCTTTGGACCGCAGCTAAAGGACTTGCTTCTCTTCAGCACACGGGGCTTGTTTGTGTTGGGGTCTGAGCCCTGAGCCCATGGTCAAGGAGACCCCCAGGTCTTTCTGAACAGAGACAGCTGGCCTGGGGGCCTCCCTCTCACTGCGTGCAAGAGGCTGTTAGGGTGCAAGACTCAAGGCGCTGAGGGAGGCTGTTTCAGGAGGGAGCCCCAGGAGGGTGGTGGAGACAGAAGGGGGCAGCATCTGCCGAGGCCCTCCTGTGTGCCTGGCACCGTGTGGGGTTTCTGGCCCATATGGGCTAAGTGACCCTGCACACTCCTCTTAGGAGAGAGGCTCAGATGGAGAAATTGCAGTTCAGGAAGGTGAAGCAAGCTGCTAGCCTGTGGCCATGTTGGGATCTGGGCCTCAGCCTTCCAGCCACGAAGGCAGCCAAGTGTCATGAAGAAGGCATCACAGAGGCAATTCCAGGCTGTAGTGGTGAACTTTCCACTCTGCATCCCCGGGTGCTGTGCCCTGTGCCCTGTCTAAGGTAGCCCTGTGGGTTTCTATATGTTTAAATTGTCCCCAGCATCAATGATGCTCTCCTGTGGATCCCAAGCCATGGAGATGTCCTGGGACTTTTCATTTTTAGGTACCTAAATTGAATTTCCCAACACACAGAAGCAAGACAGCCGCCCTAACAGACTCTTGCATGCAGTGAGAGGGAGGCCGCCAGGCCAGCTGTCTCTGTTCAGAAAGACCTGGGGGTCTCCTTGACCATGCGCTCAGGGCTCAGACCCCAACACAAACAAGCCCCGTGTGCTGAAGAGAAGCAGGTCCCTTAGCTGAGGTCCAAAGGCTGTGGGTCCTGCATGAGCCTGAAGTGGTGCACGTCCCTGGTCACATTGGAGGTGGAGAGCTTGGGGATCTGAATGTGCTGTTTGCCTTGGATCTTTATTTGTGATTCAGAAACAGTGGAATAAAAGGAAAGGAAAGAAAACCTGAATGGCCACCTCAGCAGGATGCTCCAAGGGTAGTGTCCAGGTGGCACTGACTCAGATATGTGGGGGCTTCCCCCACCCATGCTCAAGAGCCACTTTGCCATTTCACCATCTCTCTGTCCTCCACACCCCTCAGCAGCAAGCACAACAAGAATGTGTTCACCATGAAGCTCAAATCTCAGCAGAATCTAGAGTCTGAAATCCAAGTAAGGGAAAGTGTAGAGCTTCTTGGATGATGCCCTGTCAATTTTATTTTAACGAATGAAAGACCAGAAGAAGTCAGTCTTGAAAGGAGAGGACAGGAGCATCTGCTGGCATTAGCAGCCGTGCCATCGTAGGACCGACTCACCTGGACCCGCGGCCACCTGTGCTTTTACATCTAGTCTTGGTTAACCATGGGCCACTTTTCCAGCTTGGAAACTAAGCATATGCTCCACTTCCTCTCCTTCCTCATTGAACTCTTTCACTAAAAGAACAGTGCAAGAGAGACTTAAACTGTTTGCCTCATTCTTAAGACCTTTCAGGAAAAGTGTTGGCAGGGAAGGAAATCTCCCAGCTCTGGGAAACAGTCTTGTGGATTATCTGCTGGTTTCATTGATCTGTGCTGTCCTCCCTGCATTCATTAGGAAAACTGGCCTTGGTTCAAATAAGAACAGGATTTGTCCTGGTGACAGAGAAAGGTTTCTTCTGATGTCCATATATCTCCGAGGGGGATGCTTTCTCCAGGCAGAGGCTGTGGCCAAGCGATCGGGGGGCTCAGAGGGCTGCTGGGAAGGGGTGGGCCCCTCTCTCCCCAGAGGGAAACTCCTGGGGACCTCTCGAGCACCCCTGCCCATCCTTTAAACATAAATTCATAAATACAAACAAGTAGGCCATTCACAGAAATATATAAAATATGTCATAGGACGGGTGGCACTCTCATATGGCAATAATTATGACAGGGGCCGGCAAATGACCTGAGTGACCCGGAGTGGCCTGAGCACTGACTCCCAAATGCCCTCCATAGGATGTTCTGCATCCCCGAGACCCTTTCCTGGGTCCTCCTGGGCCCTACCACCCCCTAGACCATCCAGACCTCAGGTCATCCCCCTGTCTGTTGACAGAGTAGTCTCCGTTCCTGAATGTGCTGGTCACCAGCAACAGCAGCTGCTCCTCCTCCGGGAAGCTCAGCCTATACTTCTACATGCAGAGAACCTGGACGGCACCCAGGTGGACCTAAGCCTTCAGCTCCCAGTAGACACTCTGGGTTTCCTACCCTGCCCAGACACTCTGGGCTTCCCCCCACACCTCCCCTCGGCCGGGGCTCCTGTGTGCATCTGTCTCTCCCAGTGCCCAGCACAGGCGTGGAAGGGAAGAGGTGAATGGACCGATTTGAACACATCATCCTGGATTCTCCGTTCCCTCTCAAGCCCTGCAGCTAACCCATCGGCAAGCCCTGGAGGCTCTGCCTCCAAAATCCTGCCTATCCCATGTGCAAACGCCTCTCACCATGTCCACTGCTATTTGCAGTTCTGTGTGTGTGGAAATACTTCCACAAATTTGGAATGAACAGGTCACAGCTGTGCCTGGAGGGAATGGCCAGGGAAATGTGCCCTCGCCTTGCTGTTCTATCCAGGCCCACCCAGCTGAGGATGGGGGACCTGCCACCACTCTCCTGGCAGTTCCGGACTCCTGGGAACCGGCAGGTGAGGACCCAAGAGTGTTTTCAGTGACCCGGCTGACCTGGTCATCCGTCAGTCCCACCTTGGCCTAGGCCTCTATACAGCACAGATCACAGCTCATTCCATCCTGGCATTACACTGGCCTGTGCCCTGTCCTCAGGGTCACATCCGTCTCCCAGAAGCCGTGCAACCCTGGAAAACCCAGGTCTAACAGTCAGGTTCCTCCTCCGTGCATTAACAATGGAGTTGACGCCTGCTTTGCGGCACGCTGGGAGGGGAGAGGGAGGTGTATGCTGGAGAGCTCCCCAGGGGCAAGGCCTGGCTCTGCGTCACCCACTGTCAGATCCTGAGAGCCTGGGGCTGGCCCAGCACGTGGCCACCGTTCCCTAAGAGTTGGATTTCATCCCTCAGTGCTGAAGGCAGGGGATAGAGCTTAGACAGACCCCCTGCGTCCTGTCTTCTTTATCTACAGCTTTCTCATCCTTGCCCCTTTCACGTGCACCCGGCAGAGCAGGTGTTCACTGAGCTTGAGCAAAATTCAAGCTAGAGCAGCTGATGGATCTTGAGGCCTAGATTCACTGTCAAAGTGTTTCTCAAACGGTGCTCTCCAGAACACCAAGGAAAACTCATTGACTGTGTAAGTCTGAAAATCCCTGCCCACCGGTCTACCTTTGTGTATGAGCAATCAGCTCTACCATTCAGCCCAGGTGTGTGTTTGCTGGACCATGTGGAGGAAGCTGAAGAGACGTGAGCTGAAGGCAGAGGGTGAGTCCAAGGTGGGATCTTGGGACAGGTACGAGAAGTTAGGCAAAAATGGGATAATTCTAGCCTTCATAACCTTAGATAACAGTTCACATTATTATTTAGTTAATAGAACTGTACCCACATTAAATTTCTTAAATTTTTTTAAGAGATAAAGTCTCACTCTGTCACCCAGGCTGGAGTGCAGTGGTGCAATCATGGCTCACTGCTTCCTGGAACTCGTGGGCTCCAGCAATCCTCCTGCCTCAGCCTCCTGACTAGGTGGGACTATAGGCACACGCCACCATGCCTGGCTAATTTCTTTGACTTTTCTCTAGAGACCGGGTCCACCTAGGTTTCCCAGGCTGGTCTCAGACTTCTAGACTCAAGTGAACCTGAACCTCCCGCCTCGACCTCTCAAATTGCTGGGATTACAGGTGTGAGCCACCACACCCGGCCTAAATTTCTTATGTGCCATGGGACTGCAAAACATCATTATTAGGGGCAGCTGGATGGAAGGTATAGGAGGATACTATAGTGCCTTTTCAATATTTCTGTCTAAAATCTAAAATCATTTCAACAGGAAACATTTATTTCAAAACATGAAGGTGGTTATCCTTCCATGAGTTTGAAGTACAAAGGCAGGCTCACGGTGTCGTCAGAATTCAGAACGATGGTCGTGGGGCTGGGGGTGCTGGGAGGGGCTGGGCATGGTTGGCTTTGTGATCTGGGGTCTGGTGTGTTCCATCTCTGAATCTCTCTCGAGCTGCACTCTTTCTTAATACATTTTCATAAGTTTAACCAAAAATAAAACGAGGACGCGAAGCTTGCTTGGGTTGTTAAGCCTAGGGAAATTATCCAGCCATGAGCCCTGGCCCAGATGCTTCTAGAAGCCTGGAGGGAACTGAGAACTTTCCAAGTGGAGGCCGCAGAGGCAAGGCCCTGAGGTGGGAGCACACTGCTGTTCGTCCCTAGCTCTGAAGGGGGTGCCCTGGTCGGAATCAGTGCTGGGTGCAGCGAAAGCCGATCTCACCCGCTCCGCAGGGTGTTCAGCCTGCCAGCAGGGGGCCAGCTGGTCCTCCTGGGATATGGCACGGACCCAGCAGCTCTGTCTGAAATCATAATGGCGGAACCAAGGGCCCTCTACGTCCAGGTCCGTTGGGAGGCGGGGCATGGAGTTCCACTGCAGGAATCTCCAGGAACCCTGAGGTCCTCCCTGAGCCAGGGCCGGGCTGGGCACACCCTGAGTGCCCACAGGGTAGGTGTCTTCCCGGACAGCCCCACCAGGACAGGGTGTGGAAGAACGAGGTGCCCGTGGCGGGGAAGCTGACCAAATGGGCCGCGGGAACCGGGCTGGTGGGCCTGGAGGGGCCTGCCTGTCCCCCTTGCAGAGGGTCTTCCCGCCACGTGAAGCCGGCACAGGCCTGGATGCCGACGACCCTTGCTCGGGTTTGGCTGAAAGGAAAACAGACGCGGTCAGCATCTCCAGTGAGCCCACGCAGGCCTTTCCGGGCTGGGCCCCACCTGCCTGCATCTCGGAGTCCTCGGGGTCTCTGTGTGGCCCCCGTGGCCTGACACCGAGGACACGCCTGTAGTCTGCTGATCCCAGAGGGAGGGGTGCATGCTGCCTGGCGTGGGGAAGCTGTCGTGGCATGGCGGGTGGCTCCTGGGACTGCCCCCAGGGTTCAGACTGGCTGGGGGCTTCCTGCCACACACCTTCGTCCCAGGGCTGTTGGGCCTGGGATACGGCCCCCAGTCAGAACTCAGGTGGGAGGGGCCTTGGATGTCACCCAGCCCCTTGTCACCTCACGTGGGGACCCGTCTCCGCAGTGGGTGATTGGGCCCGGACGTGGGTCACCCTCTGCCCTCCTGGGCTGCCCAGTCCATGCCAGGACTGACCGTTCCCACTTCTGGCTGAACTCTTGGCTCTGGCTCTGGGCCCTCTCCCTGAATGCTCTGTGGGTCAGGGACACGGATTCCCTTGTCTCCCTGGCTCCAGGCTTCTTGTCCTGGCAACCTTGGAGGAGCGTGCAGGAGTGAGGGGCCTCTGCTGCTCTCTGAGGCTGTGGGTGCTTGCAGGGAGGGGCGGGGTCTCCCACAAATGGGTCTGGGCTCGTCTAGTAACTTGGAGGGCCCTGCGAGGGGGAGAGGGAGACACCGTGGAAAGTGGGAGGGGGCTTGTTGGAGGGTCTTGCCCACATCCCCCTCCTGCGTGCACAGCATGTCCAGTATACACGCACTGAGCGCCTGCCCTGAGGACCGGTGGGCCTCCTGTACTTTCTTAGAGTCCAGGAGGAAGAGGAGGAAGAAAAGGTGAAGAGGAAGGCCCAGGTAGTAGGGTTGCGGGTCCCGGGCACTCCCCTACTACTGACTACCCCAGAGGGTGACATGGGAGGGGACATGGCACTGGAGCCCACCTGGGGGTGGCAGGTCCCCCTGCTTTCTTGTTAGTTTCTTCATAGAGGCCCTAAGATGCTTGAGCACAGTGTCCTCATCCCTGGCCCAGGTATCAACGAACCGGTTGCAAAAACGTGCCCACGGGCCACACCTGGACGTCTTCGTGAGGCGCTCTAGGGACAGGGTGGATATCAGGCCAGGGGAGTTACCTGGGAATGGTCACAGCTCATATCCCGTGGCCACTTCAGTCTCCTACTGGGCGGTGCCGGATCCTTTTGTGGCCACCCCAGGTGTCCAGATATACACAGGAGACTGTGGCTGGGGGGCGATCCGGACAGGGAAGTGCTCACCACACTCTCGACTTTCATCTGGGTCATGTGGGGGATGGGCTCGGTGTCACAGTGTCCTGCCCAGCCCACCTGGCCAGACCTCCCTCTGGGCCAGAACAGAGGATCATGAGGACAGTGTGAGGAAGCTGCCCTCGGGCCAGTCGGGGTCTGACCCCAGGGCTCCCCAGGCCCCGCTGGGCACACGTAGACTTACTCTGCTGAACCTTAAAGGCGATTCTTGTTATCGGCATCAACGCCTGTTCGCCTTCTACCAGATACACGTCCCACAGGCGCAGGGTGAGCCCGAGAGAGATCTGTGGGGACAGCAGGTGTGAAAGAACCTGGTCCTTCCAGGCTGGGGCTGGTGGCTCGAGCTGCGCACACTGGGGCTTCAGTCTCCAGAGTCAGTGACCTTCCCCATGAGGGTCGCCTGAGCCCTCCAGGACGCTGGGTCAGACAAGGTCTTGAAGCTCCTCATGGGGGGCACTCATTTGAGTGGGGATGTGGCTCCTGGAGAGAGGGGCTTGCCCAGGGCTTGAGGCTTCCCTGAGCCCTCTCAAGTCGGGTCCTGGCCCAGTCTGCCCATGAGGCTGGGCCTGAGCCCCAGCCATGGCCCTGGGATGACCCCCCTTGGGCAGAGGGTTTTGCTTGTGTGTCCTTTGGGGTCCCGCCTGAGCCTCCTGTGGGCTGGGAGTGAGCCAGACCCCCGGGCTGGGGAAGCAGGGCACTGCAGGGCAAGGAAGGTCCCTGAGCCAGGGTCTCCCTATGCCTCCTTACCCCGTCAATCAATATCCGGATGAGGCAGCCTAACGGGGAACACTGCCCACATAGATCTTTCTTGTCCTGATGGAAGCAACAGAGGTGCTCAGGCCACTGGGCTGCCCTAAAAACCTCCCTCTTCCAGGGCCTCTGAAGACCCTTCCCCTAGTGCAGAACACTGGGCGGTGTCCAGAGCTCCCCACAACACTGTCACCTTCCCACACTCCCGGTGGACACACTGCCCTTTGCCCTGCTCTGCGGGAGCTGGGCCCCCATCCCTGTGCCTCTGTCTCCTCCAGGGCAGGAAAGGAAACCAACTCCCAGCCCATGGAGAACCCGACGTCCCAGGTCAGGCCCTGGCTGGGACTCAGCCAGTCACCAGCCCCACGAGGGGCTCCAGCCCCCCTGCTCCTACAGCCCCACGGGAGGCAGGGCCTCTGGGAAGAGCTGAGGGGACCATAAACTCACCTGATGCCCCATGGTCTTGGGTTGTGACGTGGCTACCACATGCTCCTGTTGGTCTTGGAGCCCCTGGACGGTCCCGCCATTTGGGCTGTGAAATCCTGAGAAGCCCCCAGCCCATCATGAAATCAGAGCCTTCCCCCAAGATGTGGAGCCATCAGCTGCAAGAGCTGGGCAGCTGGAGAGGCCCCCAAACCCCAAGGCCTCCCACCCTCCCATCTGGTGACCCCAACATGCGGCCTTTACCCTGGGGAGGTGGGGCGGGAACATTCCCTGGAGCCTGGCTGGAGGTTCCCCTGGAGGCCTCCTGGGCCAGGGTGCAAAAAGGGCAAGCCTGACTTTCAGGCCACGACAGGGTGGCCGGAACTGGGTGGGCGCTGGGCTTCCCGGTCATCTCCTGGTAGTGGGGTCGGGCCAGGGAACAGGGGATGGGGAGATGCTGCCACCTGGGCTTGGTCGGCCCATTCGTGGGCACCGATGGCAGCAGGAGCCTGGGCAGCTGGAGGGCAGGAGGACTCTCAGGGAGGGGAGAGTCAGCTGCACAGAATCAGAGCCGGAGGGCGTGGCTCCAGGACACAGAGGGTGGCCACGGGGAGGATGAGATGCCCTCTGCTGATGGGGATGACAGGCGTCTGATTTGGGCTTTGGGGGTCAGCCGTGGACTCCTGTGGGACCCTCAGCAGAGACATTCTAAAGTCTCCCAACAAGCTGGCGACACAAGGAGGGTGCCTTGGCTGAAAGCTGTGATCACCCGGCCAGGGTGGCCATCCCCAGGTCTGGCTGCAGGAGGTCCCCGGGGCAGCTGTTCACTTACCCTGCAGGGAGTGCCTCTCACTGGCCAGCAGCTGCACCAGTGCCCAGAATGCATCCTCCTCAGGAAGATAGAGGAGGAACAAGGCGGCGATGTGGCTCAGGTCCCTGCAGTAGCCCACCTCCTGCAAGAGCCAGAGTCACCATGGAAGGACATCACCTGGGAGGGCTGAGGTCACCTGGGAGGACTCATGTCATTGGAGAGGGCAGAGGTGACTGGAGAGGCTTCCTCTGAAGGAGAGGCTTCCTCTGAAAAAGAGGCTTCCTCAGGATGCACATTCATTTCATGACAAGAGCCAAGTCCATCAGGCACTTCAGCACCTTGTCCAAAATGTCTGCTGATAGCACCATCCTGTGTGCGATGCTGCCAAGCTCCTGGGCTTTGGGGCAGCCCCAGGAGGAGGGCGTCATTTCTTGTTCTGAGAAGTGGTGGTCAGGCCCAGGTGACACCAGGAGTCCCGGCCCTGACTCCTTTGTGTCTCAGCTTGACCCCTTGAGACCACCCCCTTCCTTGGAGGTTTATGCCAGCGGTGAGCTGACATCCTACCTCCTATATCCTGGTGGGTCACAAATACTAACTTTAAAAGAAGCAACGACACCCCCACCAGACACCCACTCCTGTCAATATGGAAATATGGCCCGGGAACCTCACTGCCGGGAATACTCACCGGGTTATACTCCTCATATGCCAGGAGGATGTGGAGTAGTTCCCGCTGCCTAGGAAACAGAGAAAGGGGGCTTTGGTTTGTTTTGTGCAGATGTTGTTAATTTCACTTTGTCTACAAAGCCTAACAGCAAATCCCATTTCAGGTTCAGATGTTTCACCAGATAAGCAGTGAGCTCTTCAGGGCCTGAGACTCTTGAAGAAATGTTTCAGTAAAATCCACATCTGTGACATGCAAATAGCCCAGTTGTACAGTGACTTGCCTGATCCTTTTCACTCTGAATGATTTTTTTTTTCAGTTTGCACACACGCCAGTTCAGTCTGTGGGTGTACAGTTCCTCCACGGTTCCAAACCGATGTGCAGAGTCTCCCGGCCACCGCTCCAGCCCCTCCTGGGGCGACTCCTTCATCCTCCAAGTCTCCAGGGTGGCCCCTATGCAACCAGCCTCTCCCCGATCCGTCAGCCCCTGGCCACCCAGACTGCTTCTCAGTCCCTGTGGTTTGGCCTTTTCCAGAATGGCCTAGGAATGGGAATCCTACTGTGGTAGCTTATTGGGTCTGGCTTCTGTCCCTCAGCAAAATGCATCTAGGATCCACCCACGTTCGTGCGGGCATCACCGGCTCGTTCCCTTTTCTCACTGGGTCTTCCGTTTGAAGGGAGGACCAGCCTTGCTCTCCCCATCCCCGTGTTGAAGGCCGTCCCCGAAGGCTCCGTGTGTGAGTGACGAGGAGTCAAGCAGTGAACCTGGCATGCTGGTTTCATGTGGATGTCAGTTTGCAAATCAGTGGGTTCAATATCTGTGACACTTTGGGGATGTGTGGTTCAAGTCCATCGAGCTTTGTGAGCCACTGCCCAACGGGCTGCCAACGTGGCTGTGCCATGTCATGTTCCCAGCGGACCTGGATGAGAGTTTCCAGGACCCCTAATTCTCCCAGCATTTGGTGCTGTCACTGTTGCCTGGCGGGGGCTCATGGGCCCTCTATCCTGCCACCCTCCCGTGGGTCCTACCATGGGTCCCCATGGGTCAGGGAGAGCACCCTTCACCATTGTGCATGATTTTGTTTGCTGCCTTCCATCTCCTCAGGATCCTCCTGGGTTCTGGCCCCACATGTTCCAGTCTGGCCCAGGGCTTGGAACCAGGGAGGTGCTCGGTTCATGGTGCCGGCTGCTCCCTGGGCCGGGAGAGCTCTTGGCAGCTGTGTCATCCCTCCTGGGTGACCCTGGCTTCTGCTCCGGGGAAGCCCCCATCCCTCTCATTCACCCCATCTCTGCTGGGACCCTGTGGCTCCCGTAGGCTTACTTGGTTCCGTATCGATCCCTGAAGAATATATGCTTCCTTAATGTCCCGCTTACGTCCCGGTCGATGCGCTGGATGTGCTCAGATGACCTCTTGCCCTTCTCCTTCATGATCTGTAGGGCAGGGCCAAGAGGAGGAAGCAGTCTCAGAACAGATGGAAGACTCCCTGCCCCCAGTGGCAGTCAGCCCACAGTCAGCACTTCGGGAAGGAAGGACAGAAGGAAGGTTTCCTTCTGCAGAAAGCTGCATTTTGGCTTGTTACTGAAGCCAGGGAGGGTCACCAGAGCTGAGTTTGTCTGTGGTGACTGTGTCACCATCTGTGCCCAGGGTGTTCATCTGACCTTCACCCCCAGCTCCCCAGGGTGGTCTTGACGTTCCCTCCAGCTGGAGACCTGGGCACCGACACGGCCTGTCCTGTTTGTTGTGCTCTGGCTGAGCGTACCTGGTATCTTCCGGGGTTTTTCATCTTCATTTCCTCAGTGTTCAGGAGGACTGACCACATCGGGCCCCGGATGTTCATGGGCATTCCCTTGTACGCTCGATCTATGAGCTGTAGGCAGAAAACAATCTGGTGTCACAGGCCACGGGGTGACCCCAGTGAGGACCAGAGCCCGGGGATTCTGGAAATTGTCGGTTTTGGCCCCATGATTCCTCAGTAGAGGTGAGATCAAGCTGGGACAGGGTCTCCCTTCCCAGGACTGAAAGAGTGGATGGACACTCAGAGTCGAAACTCTGATCTGAACCTTTTCCTTCCTTCAGGTCCCCAGGGCATCCCTAGCCTTGAGCTCCGGGTAGTCCCAGCCCTAGATTCAGATTCCCTCCCTGCAAGGTGACGCTTGCACGAATAGGCAGGAAATCTGGCGACCAGGCCTGCAGTCCTCTGGGCGAGGACAGTGTGCCGCCCACCCTCTGAGAGGCTGATGGTGCCAGGCCACAGCCATGGGTGCCTGTCCCCTGTCTCTGCAGAGAGTGCTTCCTCCCTCCACACGTTACCTTTCTGCTGCTTTTGTATTTCTCCCAGTCTCCCAGCATATCCACCCACTTGCTCTTTCGGCTGATCTCCCGCCGAATTTGCTGTCAAATGAGGCATGTTGGAGTTAGCGGAGCTGCCAGGCTTCCCAGAGCCGCCCGCGGATGCTGGGTCTTGGGCTCTGGAGCCCTGGTGGGAGCCAGCTGGAAGGAGCCAGGGAAGGGCAGACCTCAAGGGCTGAGAGCCTTTGAGCAAATGAGCACCAGTGGGCTGGCTTTGGGACCCCGGGATGTACCATCCTCAGGCCACAGACACACCAGTCTTAGGTCCCAGCCTCTAGGTGGGGTCCTGACACAAGCGCGCAGCCACCCCCAAGCCAGGACTGTGGTTCTCCTTTTGGAATTTTATCAAACTGCCAAAGTGAACAGCAACCTGGGGTCAGGTCCAGCAGGGACTGCTGCCCCTCCCAGTGACAGCGTGTTGCCCTCACCCGCCACCGCTCAGGCCAGCTGCTTCCTCTGCCTCACTGACCACCCGCCCAGTCCCTACGTCCCTGGACCAGCCCCTCCACGCATCAGGCTCTTACCTTCGCCTCCCGCGCAGTCAGAGGAGGCAGCTCCGTCTCACTGTAAGGCAACCCAGGCAGAGCTGAGGAACTGCACGGGGCCTGGAGCGGCCCCAGCCTGGGTGCCGACCCCCAGAAAGGACTGGCTCTGTCCCTTTCCAGCTCAGGGCTCAGCCCAGGAGAAGGCACAGGGAAGGGAGGACAAGGGCCTTCCTGTGGGGCTGACTCCCAGGAGGGGCAGGACCTGGGAGAAGAAGGAGTGTAGGGACAGCCTGGCCGGGGTTACTGGGGCCCCTGGCGTGGGGGGCGGTCAGGCTGCCCAATGGGGCTGCCCGTCCTGGACTCGAGGTGGTGCTTTCTGCTGGAGCTGAGAAAGGTTAGCCCTGAGATGGGATGGGGGCCGCCCAGGGTGGGCGACCGGGCCCTGACAGGAGTCCCTCAGGGAGTGACCACATCCCCCCGCCAGGGTCAAGGGAGCCTGCCCTGAGACCTGCCCGGTGTACTCTGGCTGCACCAGGGGCCCACCCCACTTGACAGCCCCAAGGCCCTTGCAGGTTCTGACCTCCCAGCATCCACCTGCCTCTCCCTGCACCCGAGCCACACACCCTGCGTTTCAGAAGTGGCACCGCTCGTCAGCTCCCTCCCGCCCTACCTCCCCAGGGATCCTCTGTCTCTCCATCCTGTGATCCCTGAGGGATGGGCTTCTGGCTGGGCTCCTCTTACCCGGCCCCAGATCCCTTCCCAGCACCAGACCCAGGTCTTTAGCCGCGAGCCCTGCTGCCTCCCTGGCCTCACCGTGAGATGCCCAGAACGGGGCCCTGCCCATCTTCTCCCCCGTTCTCCTAGGGCTACAGCCCCCATTGTCACCATGCCTTTTCCCCTCACGGGACAGTGAGGGCTGTAGCTCTAGGGGAATGGGGGAGAACAGGGGCAGGTGGGCCCTCAGAGACCTGCTGGACAACAGCCCTGAGGCTGGGCCAGGCGTCCCCTCACCCTGTGGCCATAACCCTTGCATCTCACCGGGGTTGTCTCCAAGTAGACAGGGCCAGACCCTCAGGCTGCCCCGCTCCTCTTGTGCTCACTTGCCGACAGAACTGCTGAGCGCCCAGGGGCCTGACCTAGCCCAGTCTCCATTCCCACCGGCTCCCTAGATGGGCCCCACACCTCTGGCCTAACAACCTCGGGCTGGACCTGCAGGGGAGTCAGGGAGGAGTTCTGTCCCTGGAAAGGAGGTTGACCCGACCTGGTGAGACATGTCCTGCGTCAGAAAGGCCTTTCTAAAAGCAAACCCATCCCTGAGCTGAGACAGGTGCTTTAGGGGTGAGGGGAGTGCAGAGGACTCACTGTACAATCCCCAAATGATCGACGTTGTTGTTGTAGCTTCGAAAAGGCTTAGGCCCCTTGTCCTCTGGCAGCCCAGCTCGGTGTCCCTGTAGCCCAGAGGGAGCCTTGGTGAGGGGTCCAAGGTAAAGGGTGCAAGGGCCTGGGGGCATTGGCCACCCGTCCCTGCCCTGTGCTCCTAGGGAGCCCAGGACCCTTTGACCAGGGCACACTGGAAGAGGCCTCCCTCCAAGAAGCAGACCGACTTGTACCTTTTCGTATTTCATAATGATGTCCTCTCGCTCTTGTGCCCACCAACTGCCCGCGACCTCTACCACGTCCATCCTGTGAGACAGAATTGTCTAAAGGTCACACTGTACGCGGCGGCTTCGGAGAACACCTGAACCGCTCTCGCCGGGCTCCCAGATGCTGGCTGGCTGCGTAACCCCCATTCCACCGCCGCCCCCAGGGAAAAAGGGGCCAGACCCAGTGGCCCACAGCTGCTCCAGTCTCTGGAGTCTCAAGTCCCAAGCAGGGGTGGGCATCTTCCCAAGGACTTGAGTACAGTGGGACCTAGACAGAGAATCCTGTTGTCCCCCAATGCCATGAAATGGGGACACACCGGCCCCAGCAGGTTGAATGGTTTCCACCTGCCAAGGGTG
Source organism: Homo sapiens (assembly GCF_000001405.40). Lineage (NCBI taxonomy): Eukaryota > Metazoa > Chordata > Mammalia > Primates > Hominidae > Homo > Homo sapiens. The sequence goes on from NC_000017.11 coordinate 36,263,304, forward strand.
AAGGGCCCATGATGGGCTATTCCAGGGATGTGGAGGCAGACTGGGGTCAGCGACCAGAGGTCTCTGTGCAATCGGCCTCCTGGGATGCTCAGGGCCTCAGCGATGCCCAGTTTCCTACAGGGAACAAGATCTCTCCCGACTGCTCGGTTCTACTCCGCTCATCACTTTGGCTACCGTGGCTCTTCAGTCTGAACAGTGAAGCCACTTTAGGAATAACGCCTGTTGAGCAGGAGGGTGTTGGGTTTGGAGGATGAGGAAGATCTATTGTACGCATGGAAACCACGTCTCTCGCGGAGGGACTGTGGAGTCCACCATTCTGAGCCGTCCCAACAGGAGGAGGCTTCATTTTCCTGGGTCACTGAGGAAGAACAGTGGGTCCTTGGTCCTGGAGAACAGCTGGATGGACCGTCCCTCCTGGGAATACTCGAGGCAAAAGGAGGGCGAGGCCTCAAGAGGACCACGCAGAGCAAGAAATACCTGGGGAGAACCCTAGTGCCCGGACCCCTTTGAACACAAGGGAAGATAGTCTCCCCTCAGCCAGCCCTCCAGGGCTCCTTCATTTTCCACAGCTGCCCAAGGGCAGCAGGCTCCCCCGGACAAGGGACCATGTGTGTTCAGTGGGGCCCACAGCGACCATCAGGACCCAGCTTAGGGCACAGAGGTGTTCTGAGGACCGTCAGTGGATCTGTACCAGTGGCTCTATACCAGTGGCTCTGCCAGGACCAGGCTCTGCCCCATCGGGATGGGAAACCTGGGCAGATTTGGGATCTAGGGCAGGGAGGTCACAGGGTTCAGGCCTGAATTCCAGCACAGCACACGGCAGGGCTGAGAGCAAAACTCAGGGTCATGTCCGGATTCCCAGGCCGGTTACTGCCTCTCTGACCCCAGACGTCTCATCTGTCGAATGGGGACATTTGGGAACAGCACCCACTCTACGAAGCCACCATGGAGACGAAAGAGCCAATCGTCTACACGGGCAGTGTAGAACGGGCGCCTGGTGAGTGCTCAGGGATGACCCTCCTCGGTAGCTGCCCCACAGAGGCCAACACCGCCCGCACCGTAGCCACTGCCCCCAAGTCCGCCTGGAGGGAAGAGAGCAGGTCACGCTCACCTGATTCTGATGAATCAGCTGGCCTGGGTCATGCCTCTCAGGGAGAAAACCTTTGAGTCCACAGAGCTGCTCACAGATACCACTGCCTGTGTGTAACTGCTGTAGACCACTGAGGCAGACCAGAGAGCAGATAGGTGCTAAGCACCAGTGACATTCTGAGGTCATGGCACGAATCACAGTGGGGCCTTGCCCGGGTCAGCAGCGCCCAGAGTCAGGGTCCTCCGCTGCCTGAGGCGTCAACATGCCTGCCTGCAATGTGTTTGTGCACGTGCGTGGACATGTGTATGTGGGTATACACATCTGTGCACGTGTGTGCTGCTTCTCTGGCCAGGCCCGGCTGCCCCACTCATGTGTGCACCCAGTTCCTCATCACTGTCACCCCCGAGGCCCAGGGCCAGCATCAGAGCATCCATGGCTGCTCCCTAACCTCAGCCCTCCCCGCCCAGGGTGGTCCTGGGATACACATAGGGGTGGAGGGAAGTGACTGCTGCTGTTGGATCTCAGAATACAAAAGCTAGTACTATTACCTAATGGTCTTTTTAGTGTCTCTAATGGTATCGCTTTTTCATTTCTGATATTTTAACTGGGTATTTCTCTCCATGACCCTTGGATATTCTAGCTAGAGGATCCTGTGGGGAAAGTGCCGGGCACACAGTAGGGGCTCACTCTTCTAGACATGTTATCTAAAACCTGGCTCATCTGTCCTTCCACACAGGGCCTAGGGGATGCCAAATTCCAGGGGCCAGAAAGAGCTTGGGATAAAAAGAAACTTCAAGGGGACGGCTTTGACCTGGGCTGAGTCTGCCTGTGCCATCCAACTGGAGTCTCAAGTCCTGAGGCAGGACGTCCAGATGCCCCAGTGCAGGGTCCTCCTGATCAACACCTGCTCCCCTGTACTCATTAGCAACCTCACCCACCCTACTCTCAAAGCACACTTGGCTCTCGTATCCAGGAGCTCTGCATCTGTAGATTCAGCAACAGCAGATGGAAAATATTCAGAAAATAAATTGGACGGTTATGTTTCTATTGAACATGTGCAGAGTTTGTTCTTGTCATTATTCCCTAAAGAATCCAGTATCACGACCATTTATGTAGCATCTGCATTGTATTACACATCATGAATAATCCAGAGATGGTCTAATGTCTACGGGAGGATGTGCATAGCTGATATGTAAATACTAGGCCATGTTATGTCAGAGACTTGAGGATCCATGGATTTTGGCATCCCCGGGGACCCTAGAACTAATCCATGGATACCAAGGGATGACTGTATAAACTCACTCAGGAAGGCTTCTCATTGGAGGAAGGTCCCAGTTCAGGACACACAGGGACATCTCCCTGGACTACTGTCCATTCATCCATCCATTCATCCATTGTCTCCCCCCACCCCCCCATCTCGGACTGTCCCAGTGACAGCCCTAGCAAGAAGAGACAAGAAACAAGTTCACGTTGTCCAGTTTTGAGGTAATGGAAGAAGTTGCACCAGTATGAGAATAGTGGGTCAGTTTTCTACAGGATGCAGAAAGCATATCAGGCAGCCTCGGGGTGCGGAAAGGAGCCTGGCCTCTCTAGCAGCCACACAGGCCTGCAGTAGGATGGGGCTGTGGCTGGCCATGTGGATCACTTGGGCCTCATGAGGGGAAAGGAAATACCAGGGGGGCAGAAGAGGAGCATGGGGGCAGCTGGTTGCCTAAGGAGAAGGCACCTCAGGGAAGGGGACTGTATTCATTTGTTTTCACACTGATGTAAAGAAATACCTGAGATTGGGTAATTTATAAAGGAAACAGGCTTAATTGACTTGCAGTTCCGGAAACTTACAATCATGGCAGAAGGGGAAGGGGAAGCAGGCACCTTCTTCACAAGATGGCAGGAGGGAGATTGTGCAGTGGCACAATCTCGGCTCACTGCAACCTCTGCCTCCCGGGTTCAGGCAGTTCTCCTGCCTCAGCCTCCCTAGTAGCTGGGATTACAGGCATGCACCACCACGCCTGGCTAATTTTGTATTTTTAGTAGAGACAGGGTTTCACCATGTTGGCCAGGCTGGTCTTGAACTCCTGACATCAGGTGATCTGCCTGCCTCCGCCTGCCAAAGTGCTGGGATTACAAGTGTGAGCCACCGCGCCAAGCCATATCTGTTCTTTTTTTTTTTTTTTTTTTTTTTGAGACAGAGTCTCACTCTGTTGCCTAGGCCAGGCTGGAGTGTGCAGTGGTGCGATCTCGGCTCACTGCAAACTCCACTTCCCTAGTTCAAGGGATTCTCCTGCCTCAGCCTCCCTAGTAGCTGGGATTACAGGTGCATGCCACCACACCTGGCTAATTTTTGTATTTCTGTAGAGACCAGGTTTCACCATGTTAGCTAGGCTGGTCTCAAACACCCGACCTCAGGTGATCCGCCCGCCTCTGCCTCCCAAAGTGCTGGGATTACAGGCATGACCCACCGCGCCTAGTCCATATCTGTTCTTTTTTTTTTTTTTTTTTTTTTGAGACAGAGTCTTTCTCTGTCGCCAAGGCCGGAGTGCAGTGGCGTGATCGCAGCTCACTGCAACCTCCGCCTCCCGGGTTTAAGCGATTCTCCTGCCTCATCCAAGTAGCTGGGACTACAGGCACCTGCCATCATGCCAGGCTAATTTTTGAATTTTTAGTAGAGAAGGGGTTTCACCATATTGGCCAGGCTGGTCTCGAACTCGTGACCTTGTGATCCACCCGCCTCGGCCTCCCAAAGTGCTGGGATTACAGGCCTGAGCCACCGCACCCGGCTAGCCTGTGTCTGTTCTTTAAAATTGTTTTGTTTTCCTTACTCTCAGATTCTTCTTGCTGCTTATTGTGCCTTGTTGCTGCCTGTTGTGCAATTTCTTCCCTCTTGTATTTTACTGAACTTCATCTGAAGAAGCCTTAGTAGCCAGATAAACAAGCTTGTTTGGGCTAAAAAATCAATTGCTGTGTGAGAGTTTGTTGGATTCTCTTCTGAGTAAAGGGTATGTGTTTTATTGTACGGACTTTGTATCACCTATTTTGGCTTTTCATCCAGGCCTTTTTTTTTTTCTTTCTTTTTAGCTTCCTGGTTCTAGATACAACTGATACTCTGATACAACCTGGGTAAATGTGGTCTTGAGTAGTAAATTATCTGTGAAGCTTCTCCGAACTTTGCCACATAAATGAGCCTGCTCTTGTTGTGAAGTAAATCTTACTCTAATCTGTATGTGAGTCAGTTGGAAATAACTGAGCCTTCGGATGGCTTTTGTTGTTAACTGAGATTAGTTCTCTAGATTTTAGTGATTTTGTTTTGAACACCATACAAGTATGTGGTTCTTGGTTTATTTGGTCACTTGTAATCTCTTTAAAATTTTATTTTAAATTAGGAAGTATTTTAGAAATACAAGAAAGTCACACACTATGAGATTAAACAGATGTTAACATTTTGCCCCATTTTCATCAGACTGTGCATGCTTTTTTTGGGGGGGAATAAAATGTCACAGATACCACTAAAGCCCGTTTCCATCTCGTCCCACCCTGCCTCTAGAAGTAACTTCTTTCTTCAGGTAGGTGCGTATTATTCCTTTTTATTCCTACGTATAGTTTAAAACTTTAATTGCATATTAGTAGCCACAAACATCACATACCAATATTCTGTGCCTTTTGCATTTTTACATTAATGGTAATTATTTTTGACCTTCTGCAAATGGCTCTTTTCAGTGTTTCTTGTTAGAAAACTTGGCTCAACTTGAGTTTACTAATTATCTGCTTCTTCTTGTCTTTAGCTATTATAGAACTGTTCCACCAAGGCAACAATTATTGCTATTTTAATGGTGAAATCAGTTTTATTAGGCAAATTGACTCAGGCTTCAGACTGGCATTTGGAATTGTCACACTGGAGATTTTCTTTTACTGAAGTCTCAGGACATTGACAATCAGAAAAAAACCCTCTTGAGTCTTACTATCGTACATGTAAGATATGTTCCTGAGTGACTATAGTAAAGACTCATTCAGGAAAATGTTATCTCCGATTTCTGCCTCCCTAGCTCATAGGAAACTTCCATTGTAAAGTTGTTACCAGGCGTCAAGCTGCCTCTTTGGTACAGCCCTTACTTAGTATTTGGCTCAGTTGAAGTGCAGTCTATATAGGAGGCCAAGAAGACTTAATCCTGGGTTTGAAACAAAGCAAGGATACACTAACATTCTATCCTTTAATAACATCAAGTAGAAAAATTGAAAATGAGCTTGTTATCAGTGCACTTTTATATGCCAACCTTGTTTCACTTGTGTTTTAAACTGGGAAACTGAAGATTTTAATGCTGAAATTTCTTTGAATTATTACCTGTTTTTTTGATAGTGGAACACACAGCTAATATTTACTAATATGAAGGTGTCAAAGGTGAGAAATCATGTACTACACCATCAGGTCAGCACTACTGTTTGGAAGAGCAGCATCACAAAGAGCAGTGTTATACTGCGTTGTAGTCAGCACATACACTTATGTCCAGACAGATATTTTAAATTACCTTCTTGGGGTAGTACACATATGCTGATATCCAAAGTGCCATATAATACAATACATAGTTTTTAAACTTCATATCATTCTGATCAGAAGCTTTATAAACTGTTAGGTGAATGCTGTTAGATGATATGAGAGCACAATTTAACCTGTGTGTGTGTATATGTATGTCTTAACATCTATTAAGTGATGACTACATATGAGGCACTAAGTGCTAAAACAGAGACTTTACATAGATTATCCCATTATTGGTCAACTTTTTAAATAAGTGCATCTCTAATATAAGACAAGATGCTGACCAATTTTTAAAATGTGAATGGATTTCTATTTTTAAGATAAGTACCTTTGTTCCTTTGGTTCCTCCCTCCCACCCTTCCAGAAATGGTAGTATCCTGGAAAAAAAAAATTAGTAGCAATTCAAGAAACAGCTTAATTCATTAGTATAAATAGATGAGTTTCCCCTAAACACAGGAGGAGTTGGAAGGTACTTGAAATTGGATGTTGTGCATGGTGCCTTTCCAAAATGCACAAATACTTTCTCTCAAATGGTTGCAGTAGTAATGTGCTGTGTGATTTGGCATGTATAATGTTGTACAGGTATCTTGACATTGGTGGATTAACTGCTTGGCTACTGTGAAATTCACTGTAGATGTTGATGGATGAAAGTGTGGTTGCCTAGGTAATGATTAAGACCAGTAACTAAACCACAGTTATTATTTTGCTGGCATAAACTTCAAACTCAGAAAGGTTTTTATTCATTTTACCCATTGGAGCATACCCCAGTAAGTGCTTCATTTCTTTGTGTTTCTGATTTTTTTTTTTTTTAAGATGGAGTCTTGCTTTTGTCGCCCAGGTTGGAGTGCAATGGCGCGATTTCGGCTCACTGCAACCTCCACCTCCTGGGTTCAAGCGATTCTCCTGCCTCAGCCTCCCGAGTAGCTGGGATTACAGGTGCCTGCCACCACGCCCAGCTAATCTTTGTATTTTTAGTAGAGATGGGGTTTCACCATGTTAGCCAGGCTGGTCTCGAACCCCTGACCTCGTGATCCACCCACCTTGGCCTCCCGAAGTTCTGGGATTACAGGCATGAGCTGCCGTGCCCAGCCATGTTTCTGAATTTTTAAGTCAACTTCTGAATAGGCAAAGAATTCTTTTTGTTTTTTTGTTCAACTTTAGTGCTATAAATCGCCAGTTGGACACAAAGGTTTTAGTGCTATTTAGGTATGTTTTGGTGAAATAGTGTGAAGGAATATTGCTGCTTAAAAGATAAGCCATTCATTAAATGACGTCTTTGTTTTGAAACATGAAGACTTATGAGAAGCATTTTTTTTTGTAAGCCAAAGTAGTTTCACTTTATGTGTTACAGATTTTGAATAGCTCATTATAGACTTTGCAATTTACTGTCTCTCATTTAGGCAGGTAATTTTAGTTGCCAGCTAATCATGTTTAAATATGTATTGGTTATTAATAAATGATTACCCGTATACAGGTCTTTCATGCAGATATCGTACTACTCTGATGTTCTTACCTAGTTTTGTGGTATGTTCAGTTGTCTAAGAGCATTGTTGATCTGCACACAGATTTTGTTTGGTCTATACAGTGTTTCTGAAAACTTGAATTAGTTACCATTAATAAAAAATAGAGAGACTGCACATGAAATCTGAATTTGTAGCTTTTAAAAAAAAAATTGGAAGATCAGGCCAGGTGCGGTGGCTCATGCCTGTAATCCCAGCACTTTGGGAGGCCGAGGCGGTCAGATCACCTGAGGTCGGGAGTTCGAGACCAGCCTGACCAACATGGAGAAACCCCGTCTGTACTAGAAATACAAAATTTACCGGGCGTGGTGGCACATGCCTGTAATCCCAGCTACTAGGGAGGCTGAGGCAGGAAAATCGCTTGAACCTGGGAGGCGGAGGTTGCGGTGAGCCGAGATCACGCCATTGCACTCCAGCCTGGGCAACAAGAGCAAAACTCCGTCTCAAAAAAAAAAAAAAAAAATTGGAAGATCTGTCAGCACTAAACCTGCCAGTCACCATAGCGATAATTCTTTGGCTCCAAGAAATGGCTACCACCTCCTTCTTTTAAGGGGTTGTGCACAGCTTCCACATGGCTTGCTACACTTACCTGCCTCAGGAAGCATTTCTTTGTGATTTAGGGCATCTGTGTTTTTGTTATTTTAGATTTAGAACATTCAAATGTCTGGAAATGAATTTGAAGTTTTGTTTAAAACAAAACAAGTTTTGTTTTAAGCAAGGTTATGACTAAATTGAAAAATGCACAAGAGGCCAGGCGTGGTGGCTGACGTCTGTAATCTCAGCACTTTGGGAGGCTGAGACGGGCGAATCACGAGGTCAGGAGTTTGAGACCAGCCTGACCAACAAGGTGAAACCCCATCTCTACTAAAAATACAAAAATTAGATGGGTGTGGTGTTGCACACCTGTAATCCCAGCTACTCAGGAGGCTGAGGCAGGAGAATCACTTGAACCTAGGAGATGGAGGTTGCAGTGAGCCAAGATCGCATCATTGCACTCCAGCCTGGGTGAGAGAGCGAGACTCCATCTCAAAAAAAAAAAAAAAAAAGAAAAATGCACAAGAGTGTTAAACAAGCAGTTCACAGTGGAAAAACTTAATGGCGCGTGCACACACACACACACACACACACGAGAAAAGATGCATAGTAACCAATGTTATTAGTAATCAGGGAAATTCTGATTAAACCAATGGACTATCAGTACAAAAATTTTTTTTTTTAATTTTTGAGACAAAGTTTTGCTCTTGTTGCCCAGGCTGGAGTGCAATGGCTCAATCTAGCTCACTGCAACCTCCACTACCTGGGTTCAAGTGATTCTCCTGCTTCAGCCTTCCAAGTAGCTGGGATTACAGGCACGCACCACAGGCCTGGCTAATTTTTTTTTTTTTTTTTTTTTTTTTTTTAGTAGAAATGGGGTTTCACCATGTTGGTCAGGCTGGTGTTGAACTCCTGACCTCAAGTGATCCACCCACCTCAGCCTCCCAAAGTGCTGGGATTACAGGCGTGAGCCACTGTGCCTGGCCAGGACTATCATTTAATACCCATTAGATTGTCAAAAATACTAAAGTTTTTCAGAACATGCTGAAAGTGGGATTTCTTCATTCTTTGCTCATGGGAATGTCAGTTGACACCACTCTAGAGGATAATTTGGCAGTTCTTGGTAAAGTTGAAGATTTATGTCCAACAATCCAGAAAGTCCACTATTAGGTTCCTTTCCATGGAAAAATTCTCTCATGTGTGCACAGGAAAACATGGACCAAGATGCTAGTTTGTTTGTTTATTTATTTATTTATTTATTTTTGAGACAGAGTCTTGCTCTGTTGCTCAGGCTGGAGCGTGGTGGCACAATCTCCGCTCACTGCAAGCTCCGTCTCCCAGGTTCACATCATTCTCCTGCCTCAGCCTCCCGAGTAGCTGGGACTACAGGCACCTGCCACCATGCCCGGCTAATTTTTTGTATTTTTAGCAGAGACGGGGTTTCACCATGTTAGCCAGGATGGTCTCGATCTCCTGACCTCATGATCCGCCTGCCTCGGCCTCCCAAAGTGCTGGGATTACAGGCGTGAGCCACCGTGCCCGGCCTTAATTTTTGTATTTTTAGTGGAGATGGGGTCTCTCTACTCTCTATGTCAGCCAGGCTGGTCTTGAATTCCTGGCCTCAAGTGATCTGCCTGCCTGACCCTCCAAAAGTGCTAGGATTACAGGTGTGAGCCACCACACTCGGTGGTAAGAGTTATTGTATAAAGTTTTGACATAATTTATAGTATCAGCCTTCTTCCTCTATCCTCACAGAAGGCCTCATGGTGAGTTTGATGTGCAGGTTAAAATATATAATTATTGCAATATGTTGTAAGAAATGTTTCCTAATTAAGATTTTTATGAAATTAAACGTATTTATTTATTTATTTTGAGATAGAGTATCACTCTGTTACCAGGCTGGAGTGTAGTGGCAGGATTTCAGCCCACTGCAATCTCTGCCTCCCGGGTTTAAGCAATTGTCGTGCCTCAGCCCCCTGAGTAGCTGGAATTACAGGCCTATGCCACCTTGCCTGGCTGATTTTTGTATTCTTTTTTTTTTTTTTGAGACGTAGGCTCACTCTGTCGCCCAGGCTGCAGTGCAATGGTGCGATCTCGGCCCATTGCAAGCTCACCTCCTGGGTTCAAGTGATTCTCCTGCCCCTGCATCGTGAGTAGCTGGGATTACAGGTGTGTGCCACCAGACCTGGCTAATTTTTAGTAGAGATGGGGTTACACCATGTTGGCCAGGCTGATCTCAAACTCCTGACCTCAAGTGATCCGCCTGCCTCGGCCTCCCAAGGTGCCAAGATTACAGGTGTGAGCCGATGCCCCCAGCCTATTTTTATTTTTTGAGACAGAGTCTCACTCTGTTGTTCAGGCCGGAGGTCAGTGATGTAATCATAGCTCACTGCAGCCTTGCTTGACCTCCTGGGCTTAAGGGATCCTCCTCCTTCAGCCTCTCCTGTAGTTAGGACTATAGGTGGGTACCATCACACCCTCCTAATTTAAAATTTTTTTTTGTCTCACTGTGTTGCCCAAGCTGGTCTTGAATTTTTGACCTCAAGTAATCCTCCTGCCTCAGCCTCCCAAAGTGTTGGGATTACAGGCATGAGCCACTGTGCCCAGCCCTTTAATAGTTTAAAATCAAAGTTTAAGTAGAAAACATTATTTTATTTGGCTCATTGGTTAGATGTAAGTGATGTGAAATACTTAAACATCCATTATTGTTTTTAATATAATTTGGAAAATATGAGTTGCTTTGGATTATTAAAACTTCATTTATTTGTACCATTGATGCATAAATTCTCAGTCTAGGTTTTAGCGAAGTCTGGATTTTAAAAAATTGACTGTGATATTAGTTCAAGTCTTACGAACATCATTATTATTATTATTTGAGAGACACAGAGTCTTGCTCAGTTGCCCAGGATGGAGTGCAGCTGCACAATCACAGTTTATTGCAGCCTCAACCTCCTGGGCTCAAGCAGTCCTCCCACTTCAACCTCCCGAGTAGCTGGGACTATAGGCACACATCACAACTCCTGGCCAATTTTTGTATTTTTTGTAGAGATGGGGTTTCGCCATGTTTTCCAGGCTGGTCTCAAACTCCTGGGCTCAAGCGATCCTCTTTGCTTAGCCTCCCAAAGTGCTGGGATTACAGGTGTGTGCCAACACACCTGGCCAAGTTGTATATACTATTAATCTAGGCTATTTCTGACACTGTTGATTTTCCTTTTCCCCTTAGGTGAGGCAGGCGACTAATCAGATTGTGATGAATTGTGCTGATATTGATATTATTACAGCTTCATATGCACCAGAAGGAGATGAAGGTAAGAGCTGTTTTCCATTTTAATTTGCTGTCTGCATGTGCATATGTGGGGTGTGTGTGTGTGTGTGTGTGAGAGAGAGAGAGAGAGACATTTTCAGGTTAAGACTTCAGTGTTTGTTACTTTAGAAATGGGTAAATTCAGCTGGGTGAAGTGGCTCACGCCTATAATCCCAGCACTTTGGGAGGCTGAGGCGAGCAGATCCCTGAGCCCATGAGTTTGAGACCAGCCTGGGCCACATGGCGAAACAAAAACAAACAAACAAACAAAAATATTAGCTAGGCATAGTGGTGCGTGCCTGTAGTCCCAGCTATTTGGGAGGCTGAGGTGGGAGGATCTATTGAGCCCAGGTGGCCGAGGCTGCAGTGAGCCATGACTGCGCCGCTGCACTCCAGCCTGTGCGACAGAGTGAGACCCTGACTCAAAAAAAGAAAAAGAAAAAGGGTAAAATGTTTATGGGAAATATTGAATAGTATAACCTAACAGTATTGTGAAATAAATGTCACAATTTATTTTACTTTTAAATTTATTTTTATTTTTATTTTTTTTGAGACAGAGTCTTGCTCTGATGCCCAGGCTGGAGTGCAGTGGCATCATCTAAGCTCACTGCTATCTCTGCCTCGTGAGTTCAAGCAGTTCTCCCTGCCTCAGCCTCCTGAGTGGCTGAGATTACAGGTGTCCACCATCATACCTAGCTAATTTTTGTATTTTTAGTAGAGACAGGGTTTTGCTATGTTGGCCAGGCTGGTCTTGAACTCCTGATCTCAGGTGATCTGCATGCCTCCCAAAGTGCTGGGATTACAGATGTGAGCCACCACACCCGGGCAAATGTCACAATTAAAATTCCACTTCCAAGATTAACTTATTTTGTGGTACTAGGGAAATCATATTTTCATAAGTATAAAATGAATATAATACGCATAATAAAGCTGATGAGTTATTTGAAAAATTAAGTACTTTGAACATGAAAGGCTCCTCAAAGAGGCTTCGTTTTTATGTTTTTCTTAAAGTTTTTTTTTCTTTTTGTACTATAGTTTAAAATTGAGATAAGTCATACTCCTAATTCAGAGAAAAACATTTGCTTTATGAGACAATATGAAGATTAGAAGCTAAATAATGGAGTTAGTTACAGGGGAAGAACATGCTAAAAAGAAACATGGTATAGAATGTGGAACTCGATTAGTGTCTATAAAATGAGAACTGTTTTATTTTATTTTATTTTTTATTTTTTTTTGAGACGGGGTCTCGCTCTGTCCCCCAGCCTGGAGTGCAGTGGCGCGATCTCGGCTCACTGCAAGCTCCGCCTCCCGGGTTCACGCCATTCTCCTGCGTCACCCTCCGGAGTAGCTGGGACTACAGGCTCCCGCCACCACGCCTGGCTAATTTTTTTGTATTTTTAGTAGAGACGGGGTTTCACCGTGTTAGCCAGGATGGTCTTGATCTCCTGACCTCGTGATCCACCCGCTTCGGCCTCCCAAAGTGCTGGGATTACAGGCGTGAGCCACCGCGCCCGGCCGAGAACTGTTTTAGACCTTATAATTTTAGTATGAAAGTAGTCCATTTTGACTGGAAATCTTATTCCCGTATGAGCTGATTTTTAAATAGATACCAAGTTTGGCATAAACTCTTACAAGTACATCAGTATTGGAGCTGGATTGCTTTTTACTTTTTTTTTTTTTGAGAGAGTCTCGCTCTGTCACCCAGGCTGGGGGGCAGTGGCATGATCTCAACTACCACAACCTCTGTCTCCTGGTCTCAAGCCATCCTCCCACCTCACCCTCCCAAGTAGCTGATATTACAGGCGTGTACCACCATGCCTGGCTAATATTCGTATTTGTATTTTTTTATAGATATGGGGGGGGTCTTCCTATATTGCCCAGGCTGGTCTTGAACTCCTGGGCTCAAGGGATCCGACCTCTTTGGCCTCGCAGGTTGCTGGGATTACAGGCAAGAGCCACCACACCTGGTTGCCTTTTTACTTTTGATTTCACCTAGACATTCCTTGTCAAAATGGTTATTGGTTACTCTGAGACTTCTTTAATAAAAAATAATTTAAGGCCGGGCGCAGTGGCTCACGCCTGTAATCCCAGCACTTTGGGAGGCCCAGGTGGGCGGATCACAAGGTCAGGAGATAGAGACCATCCTGGCTAACTCGGCGAAACCCTGTCTCTACTAAAAATACAAAAAATTAGCCTGGCGTGGTGGCGGGCGCCTGTGGTCCCAGCTACTCGGGAGGTTGAGGCAGGAGAATGGCGTGAACCCGGGAGGCGGAGCTTGCAGTGAGCCGAGATCGCGCCACCGCACTCCAGCCTGGGCGACAGAGCGAGACTCCGTCTCAAAAAAAAAAATAAAAAAATAAATAAAATAAAATAATTTACACATTTGATCTTTTAACTTACATTTTATATTTTGATTTCCTCTCTCCTTTACATTATACTGAAAAGAAGTTTCATTTTAAGGCCTCATAACATTTATGATTTTTTCTTAAACTATTTTGTCTATAGAAAGTCAAAGTAGTAGCAGTTGAACATACTGTTCCGAAGAAGTACTTAAGTTCAATTGATTGTAAATTAGATCAAACTGCTGGAAGAACAGATTCTTCAAATGGACTTGAATGAGTGCCACTTTTAAAAAATTGTCTGGTAAATGAAAGAGTGATTATTTAATTTCTTTAACTGTGGAGAAAAATAGAAGTACTTTAGCCAGGTATATCAAAGCAACAAGGCTTTCTTTGTTGCAGGTAGAGAATGTTTAAATTCGATGTGTGGTTTTAAAGTGGTATGTAGATAGGTAGATCTAGTAATATAAATGTGTACCTTCCAGCTGGCATGGTTTCAGCTCAAGTTTGTTTTTTATCTTCCTGTACTAAAAATGTCGGGATAGAATTCAGGTGACTGAAAAGTTCTTTTTTTTTTTTTTTGAGATGGAGTCTAGCTCTGTCGCCCAACGATCTCAGCTTGCTGCAACCTCCACCTCTGGGGTTCAAGCAATTCTTCTGCCTCAGCCTCCTGAGTAGCTGGGATTACAGGCGTGTGCCACCACACCCGGCTAATTTTTGTATTTTTAGTAGAGATGGGGTTTCACCATGTTTGTTAGGCTGGTCTTGAACTCCTGGCCTCGTGATCCACCCGCCTCAGCCTCCCAAAGTGTTGGGATTACAGGCGTGAGCCACCGCGCCCGACCTGACTGAAAAGTTTTGAATATGTGTAACCGAATGTTGCTAAGCTCATAATGATCTGTATCTCACGGAAGCCCAGTTAGTGTTCTTACTAAGAGAGTCAGGAGAGAAATGAAAACTTAATGGAAAAGAAGATTTGAAGAGAGATTCTGATAAAACATTAAATTATTTTAGATACATAATATATATTCAGTGCTGGGTGCAGTGGCTCACGCCTGTAATCCCAGTACTTTGGGAGGCTGTGGTGGGTGGATCATGACGTCAGAAGTTCAAGACCAGCCTGGCGAAGATGGTGAAACCCCATCTCTACTTAAAATAAAAAAATTAGCTGGGTGTGGTGGCGGGTGCCTGTAATCCCAGCTACTCAGGAGGCTGAGGCAGAGAATTGCTTGAACCCAGGAGGCAGAGGTTGCAGTGAGCCAGGATCGTGCCACTGCACGCCAGCCTGGGTGACAGAGACTCTGTCTCAAAAAAAAAATATTTTCCTTCAGAACTAGCTAAGGTACATTTCTCAACACTTTTCTACCACAGCAACAGGAAAAAACCTGAAGTCATGTGTAAGCCCATGTAATTTTAGAGTTTAAGAGAATGGGAAGTTGTATGAGTTGTTAAAGTTTGAATTGGGGGCAGCCAGGTGTGGTGGCTCACACCTATAATCCTAGCATTTTGGGAGGGCTAGGTGGGCGGATCACCTGTGGTCAGGAGTTTGAGAACAGCCTGGCCAACATGGTGAAACACCGTCTCTACTAAAAACACAAAAATTAGCTGGGCGTGGTGGCAGGCACCTGTAATTCCAGCTACTTGGGATGCTGAAGGCAGGAGAATCGCCTGAACCCGGGAGGTGGAAGTTGCAGTGAGCGGAGATTGTGCCACTGCACGCCAGCCTGGGCGACAGAGCAAGACTCTGTCTCAAAAAAAAAAAAAATAGTTTGGATTGGGAACAGGGATAGATTTGGGCTTCCACATGTATGTATGTGTGTGTGTGTGTGTGTGTGTGTGTATATATATATATGTAATAAAAAAGATAAAAGTAAAATCAGAAAATTACTTTTAAGGCATGAAATTGTTGCTTCTTTTAATTTTTTTTTTTTTTCTTTTTGAGATGGAGTCTTCACTCTGTCGCCCAGGCTGGAGTGCAGTGGCGCAGTCTCGGCTCACTGCAAGCTCTGCCTCCCGGGTTCACGCCATTCTCCTGCCTCAGCCTCCCCAGCAGCTGGGGCTACAGGCGCACGCCGCCACGCCCAGCTAATTTTTGTATTTTTAGTAGAGACGGGATTTTACCGTATTAGCCAGGATGGTCTCGATCTCCTGACCTTGTGATCCGCCCGCCTCGGCCTCCCAAAGTGCTGGGATTAAAGGTGTGAGCCACCGTGCCTGGCCAATTGTTGCTTCTTTGTGTAAGTTTTTATTTGAAGAAAAAGGCCATTTTTTTGTGATATGTGCAGTCATCCTAAAAGACCTATGGGCATGTGTCTGTTTTTTTTTTTTTTTTTTTTTTTGAGATGGAGTCTTGCTGTATTGCCCAGGCTGGAGTACAGTGGTGCAGTATCGGCTCACTGCAACTAGTAGAACTTTTTTTTTTTTTTTTAAATAACTTGTTTTAAAATAATCCTTAATAGGCTTTTATTAACTCTGTTTGGATATTAGTTATGTACCCTTTTCTCTTTGCAAAAATGAAAAATCATTTCAAGTAGAAATTAAAGGTTTGTTTCTCATCCCTTTCTTTAGATATAGTAACAGTTATACCAGATATATATATATATATGTTTTTTTGTTTTTTTTTTTTGAGACAGAGTTTCACTCTTGTTGCCCAGGCTGGAGTGCAATGGCATGATCTTGCTCACTGCAACCTCTGCCTCCCAGGTTCAAGCAATTCTCCTGCCTCAGCCTCCCGAGTAGCTGGGATCACAGGCGTGCACCACCACGCCCAGCTAATTTTTGTATTTTTAGTAGAGACAGGGTTTCACCATGTTGGCCAGCCTGGTCTCGAACTCGAGACCTCAGGTGATCCACCTACCTCGGCCTCCCAAAGTGCTGGGATTACAGGCATGAGCCACCACGCCCGGCCCAGTTATACCAGATATAAGCAAATTTGCTAGTAGTTTAGATTTCTGGAATTGTGCCAACTACACATCAAGAGACTATTTAGCTTTGTTACAGAAGTCAGTATCAGTTTCTTGTTATAAGACGAGACCTGGTTTTACAGACTTTTCTATTTCTCAATGGAACTTTACTCTGAAGATATACTCTTCCATTTAAATACTAGTTCCAAAACCTACATTATATGGTGGCAGCTTAATAAACATTTAACATTTTGGTTAATTTAAATCTTGTTGATGTGTATACATGAATAACTGGGCTAAAAGCAGATACCTTTGATTATTGTGAAACTTCAAGTAAATATTGTGTGAAAAGGACCCCTTCTGTCTCACAAATTCTGGCCCCTCAGCTCATTGTCTGAACAGTGATTCCCTTGCATATAATAAATTCCCTTGGCTTATATATAATAATAAATGAAGTTTATTATTTATTTGAACTTTTTACCCCTGTAAATACCAAGGTTCTTTTTGCCTAAGTGGTAATTTGTGTCATTCAAAGAGTTTTTATTAAATATTATTATTATTATTTGAGATAGAGTCTCACTCTTATTGCCCAGGCTGGAGTGCAGTGGCACTATCTCGGCTCACTACAGCCTCCGTCTCCTGGGTTGAAGCGATTCTTGTGCCTCAGCCTCCCAAGTCGCTGGGATTACAGGTGTGTGCCACCAAACCTGGCTAATTTTTAAATTTTTGTAGAGATGGGGTTTCCCCATTTTGGCCAGGCTGCTCTCAAACTGTTGACGCCCACCTTGGCCTCCCAAAGTGCTGGGATTACAGGTGTGAACCACTGCACCAGACCTTAAATACTCTGTTTAAGTGATAGTTTGATAAGTGTGAACGCAAGTCTGAAATAGGTTTCTTTGCTTGTGAGAAAGTATAACGAATTGCCAAGACAATAGTGACAAACAGAGGGCATATTTTTCAAAGAGGAAGAGTTTATATAGTGTTAACATTAAGACAAAAGTCTTAAGTTTCTAATTTCTGATCTTGTTTGTTGGGATTTCTTTTTTTTTTTTTTTTTTTTGAGACAGGTCTTTCTCTGTCATCCAGGCTGGAATGCAGTGGCACAGTCATGGCTTACTGCAGCCTCCTGGGCTCAAGTTACTCTCCCACCACAGCCTCCCGGAGAGCTGGGATGGCAGGCATGTGCCACCACACCTGGCTAATTTTTTAATTTTTGTAGAGATGGGGTTTTGCAATGTTCCCCAGGCTGGTCTCAGACTCCAAGACTCAAGCAGTCCTCCTACCTCAGCTTCCC
Source organism: Homo sapiens (assembly GCF_000001405.40). Classification (NCBI taxonomy): domain Eukaryota; kingdom Metazoa; phylum Chordata; class Mammalia; order Primates; family Hominidae; genus Homo; species Homo sapiens. The sequence goes on from NC_000017.11 coordinate 36,280,816, forward strand.
AAAGTGCTGGGATTACAGATATGAGCCACTGTGCCTGGCCCTTGTTTGGATTTCTATGCTTATCTGTGAAGTATATTCTGGTTTCTATGCAGGATAGATCCATTCTCAAATAAACAACCCTTAAGTATCATTAGTTCAAACTGGAGCCAAATAAATGTCAGCATTAGAAGGAGCAAGTGATAGTTAGCCAGCCCCTTTATTCCTTTTTAGTGCAAATCAGAGATAAAGAACATGAAGTTTGCAGTGTATTTGCATTCTTTCATTTTTACATTTGTTGGTTTTGAATAATATTGAGGGGCTGTCTGATAAAGAACCTGTGTAGGTTTCCATATGGCTATATACAAAGTATATGAGCGTAGAATAGTTTTAAATTTTGTCTTAGTTATACTTGGTAAGTTTTAAAACGTTATTTAAATAGCCTTAAGGTGATATGGATTGCTTTAGTGACTGCTGTTTTAGGAATTTAGTTGGCTTATTGCTGACTATAGAGGGAACGTTTTATCTTCTTTTTAACCTCCAGTTCAGGTTAGGTGCCTAACCAAGTGAAACATTTTTCATAATATAATGTTTAATAGTGATAATTATAAAAATAATGATGAGTTTAGTGTTTACTCTATACCAGGCACTAAGTGCATTACCTGTTCATATAGAGAACAACCGTAGGCACAGAGAGGGTATCTACTTTAGGTAATAAAACTGATAAATGTTAGAGCCAGGATTCAAACCCAGGCGGTTTGGATCTAGGGTCCATGTACTTGCCACTCTATTGCTTGTCATTAATGTAACCACACCATATTGCAATTATTTGTTTGTGTCATGTCTGTACTACTTTTCAATGGAATCTTAAGATCCTTGAGGGGCCGGGCATGGTAGCTCATGGCTGTAATCCCAGCACTTTGGGAGGCCGAGGCGGGCGGCTCACCTAGGGTCAGGAGTTCAAGACCAGCCTGGCCAACATGGTGAAACCTCGTCTCTACTAAAAAAAAAAGTACAAAAATTAGCTGGGTGTGGTGGTAGGCGCCTGTAATCCTAGCTACTCGGGAGGCTGAGGTGGGAGAATTGCTTGAACCTGGGAGGCAGAGGTTGCAGTGAGCCAAGATCACGCCATTGCACTCCAGCCTGGGGGACAAGAGACTTCTACTCAAAAAAAAAAAAAAAAAAGATCCAGTAATTATGATTCATTCTTTTTCATTTGTGGTTTTCCCTGGTATCTGACATATAGTAGGGATTTAATAAATATACATTGAATGAAACGAAGAAAATCTAGATAAATGGAGTAAGTCTGTCATACAGTAGTTCCTCCTTATCTATGGCAGATGTGTTCTAAGACCCCCAATGGTACGCCTGAAACCACAGATAGTAGCAAAACTTATATATGCTATGTTTTTCCCTATACATATGTACTATGATAAAGTTTAATTTTTACATTAGAAATAGTAAGAAATTAACAAAAGCTAATAAAAAATAGAACCATTATAACAATATACTGTAATAAAAGTTACATGAATGTTGTGTGCATCTCTCTCTCTTTTCTTTTTTTTGAGACTTTGCTCTGTCGCCCAGGCTGGAGTGCAATGGTGCGATCTCAGCTCACTGCAATCTCTGCCTCCCAGGTTCAAGCGATTCTCCTGCCTCAGCCTCCTGAGTAGCTGGGACTACAGGCGCATGCCACCACACCCGGCTAATTTTTTGTGTTTTTAGTAGAGACGGGGTTTCACCGTGTTAGCCAGAATGGTCTCCATCTTCTGACCTCGTGATCTGCCCGCCTCGGCCTCCCAAAGTGCTGGGATTACAGGTGTGAGCCACAATATCTTTTTTTTTTTTTGAGATGCAGTTTCACTCTTGTTGCCCAGGCTGGAGTGCGATGGTGTGATCTCGGCTCACTGCAACCACTGCCTCCCGGGTTTAAGCAAGTCTCCTGCCTCAGCCTCCCAAGTAGCTGGGATTACAGGCATGCGCCACCACGCCTGGCTAATTTTGTATTTTTAGTAGGGACAGGGTTTCTCCATGTTGGTCAGCCTGGTCTCAAACTCCTGACCTCAGGTGATCTTCCCCCCTCAGCCTCGTAAAGTGTTGGGATTACAGGCATGAGACACCGCGCCCAGCCAATATCTTCTTTTTAAAAAAAATTATTTCATTTATTTATTTTTAGAGGCAGAGTCTCTGTTGCCCAGGTTGGAGTGCAGTGGTGCCATCATATCTCACTGCAGCCTCAAACTGCTGGGCTCAAGTGATCCTCCTGCTTCAGCCTCCCAGTTAGCTAGGACTATAGGTATGCACCAACACACCCAGCAAATTTGTAAAAATTTTTTGTGAGTCAGGTCTGGCTTTATTGCTGAAGTTGGTCTTGAACTCCTGGCTTCAAGCGATCCTCCTGCCTCAGCCTCCCAAAGTGCCAGGATTACAGGCATGAGCCACTGTGCCCAGCCTCTCTTATAGTATCTTATTGTATTATACTCACTCTTCTTCTTTGACATTTCCAAACTGCTAGCATCACTACTCTTGTGCTTTGAGGCCATTATTAAGTACAATAAAGGTTACTTAAACACAAGCCTTGTGATACATTGACAGTCAATCTGATAACTGAGATGGCTACTATGTGACTAATGGGCTGGGTGGCATATATATACAGCATGGATAGGTCGGAGAAAGGGATGATTCATGTTCTGGGCAGAATGGAATGGGAGGGCACAAGATTTCATCACACTATTCAGAACAGTACAGTTTAAAACTTATGAATTGTTTGTTTCTGGAATTTTCCATTTAATATTTTCAGACTGTAGTTGACTCTAGGCAATTGAAACTGTGGAAAGTGAAACTGCAGATAAGGGGGACTTGTCAGGTCTGCATTTCTTCATGTGCTCTATCCTAGTAACTTTATGGGTAACAAAATTATTTCGTATTTGAGATTATTTTGTTACCAGCTTTAACTTGTATTTTACTTCCCTTTGAGGACTACCATCAAGATACTTACTAATTGTAAAGATTCTTTACAGTATTTTAAATATTAAGAAAATGGAGAGCATAAAAAACTGCTGTAAATTATGTAGTTTTTGCATTAAATGTAGAGAAAACACTGATTGCATAATGTTAGTAACATTGTAGTGTATGCTGTTCTTTTTTTTTTTTTTTTGAGATGGAGTTTCGCTCTTATTGCCCAGGCTGGAGTGCAATGGCATGATTTCGGCTCGCCGTAACCTCAGCCTCCCGGATTCAAGTGATTCTCCTGCCTCAGCCTCCTGAGTAGCTGGGATTACAGGCATGCACCACCACAGCCGGCTAATTTTGTATTTTTAGTAGAGATGGAGTTTATCCATGTTGGTCAGGCTGGTCTCGAACCTCCGACCACAGGTGATCCGCCTGCCTCAGCCTCCCGCAGTGCTGGGATTACAGGCACAAGCCGCCGCGCCCGGCCATGTATGCTGTTCTTAAGTGTGAAGCTGGAAGAGTTAGTTGTTCTCCAAATCAATGCTTCCTTACTTTTTTTCAAGGCATTAGTAGAAACTGATGTTTTCCTGGTACATAAGGAAGAGGAGGCTCACAACTGGAGGGTATCAGAGATCTTTCATTGCTCTAGGCCTACCAGGCTGGTCCAAGGGCCAAGGGAATTATTATCTTGATAAACCTGTAATACATGTTTGGATCTGCCACAGTTAGGGAAGCTCTGCTATAGTTTCAAGTTAATAGAATTAGAAGGGAAGTTAGGTAGTAGTCAGGGCTCATTTTATTTATTTGTGCCTTCTGTTTTACTTTTTTTTTTTTTTTTGAAATGGAGTCTTGTGCTGGCGTGACCTCGGCTCACTACAACCTCTGCCTCCCGGGTTCAAGCAGTTCTCTTGCCTCTGCCTCCCAAGTAGCTGGGACTACAGACGCAGGCCACCACGCCCGGCTAATTTTTGTATTTTTAGTAGAGATGGGGTTTCCCATGTTGGCCAGGCTGGTCTCGAACTCCTGACCTTGTGATCCACCTGCCGTGGTCTCCCAAAGTGCTGGGATTACAGGCATGAGCCACCGCACCCAGCCTGTTTTACTTTTTTCTTGATCCCAGATCTTTTTCAGTTTTCTTGCTTTTTTTCTCAAAGAACTAACCATTGCTTTGTAGACCTCAGTTAACTATTATTTCCTTATTAACTTCTGCTTCCTTTGGGTTTACTTTGCAAGGTTTTTTTTTTTTATTTTTGAGACGGAGTCTTACTCTGTCACGCAGGCTGGAGTGCAGTGGCGTGATCTTGGCTCACTGCAATCCCTGCCTTCTGGTTTCAAGTGATTCTTATGCCTCAGCCTCCTGATAGCTAGGATTAAAGGCATGTGCCACCACACCCAGCTAATTTTTGTATTTTTAGTAGAGGCGGAGTTTTACCATGTTGGTCAGGCTGGTCTCAAACTCCTGACCTCAAGTGATCGGTTCGCCTTGGCCTCCCAAAGTGCTGGGATTACAGGTGTGAGCCACCGCTACCGTGCCCGGTCTACTTTGCAGATTTAAAAAAACTTCTTTAGGCTGGTCCCAGTGCAGTGGTGTTTATAACTCATCAATCATAGCCAGTTACAGATTTCTTTATTCCTCCTTCACTCCCACTGCTTCACTTGACTGCCCTTAAAAAAAAACAAAAAACAAACAGAAGTCTTGAGATGGATGTTTGGCTTATTACTTTTCAGTCCTTCTTTCTATTATATTCATTTAAATATAAATTTTAATCCTAAAAATGTACTGCTTTTAGCTGCAGCCCACACTTTTTTTGGTTTGTTTGTTTTGGGGGAAATTCTCCAGGCAGTAGTTATGGCTGTTGTTGCTTGCTGCTGCTTCTTTCCTATTTTTGTTGATAGCTTTGTGAGAGTACCTGTAATGTTGACATACTATAAAGGGTACATCTTAAAATATGTAATTTGATAAGTTTTCTCATGAATGTAACCAGGTAATGAGCATATTCATCACCCTAGAACATTTCCTCATGCCCCTTTATAATCCTTTTCTCCCCTTTTCCTTGCTCCTTCCCCAGGCAATTATGATTTGATTCCGTGTTATTTTTTTTTTGTACAGAGTCTCTGTCACCCAGGCTGGGGTACAGTGGCTCTATCTCAACTTACTGCTACCTCCACCTCCCGGCTTAAAGCAATTCTTGTGCCTCAGCCTCCCGAGTAGCTGGGACTTCAGGTGTACGCCACCACACCTGGCTCATTTTTGTGGGTTTTTATTTGTATTAATTAATTAATTTTTATTTATTTATTTAGAGATGGAGTCTCGCTCTGCTGCCCAGGCTGGGGTGTAGTGGTGTGATCTCGGCTCACTGCAACCTCTGCCTCCCAGGTTCAAGCAGTTCTCCTGCCTCAGCCTCCCAAATAGCTGGGATTACAGGCTTGTGCCACCATTCCTGGCTAATTTTTTCTATTTTTAGTAGAGATGGGGTTTCACCATGTTGGCCAGGCTGGTCTTGAGCTCCTGACCTCAAGTGATCCACATGCCTCAGCCTCCAAAGTGCTGGGATTACAGGCATGAGCCACCACACCTGGCCCACCCCCCACTTTTTTTTTTGAGACGGAGTCTCGCTCTGTCACCCATGCTGGAGTGCAGTGGCTAGATCTCGGTTCACTGCAGTCTTTGCCTCCTGGGTTCAAGCGATTCTCCTGTTTCAGCCTCCCAAGTAGCTGGGATTACATGCGCCTGCCACCACGCCTGGCTAATTTTTGTGTTTTTGTAGAGACGGGGTTTCACCATGTTGGCCAGGCTGGTCTTGAACTCCTGTCCTCAGCTGATCTGCCTGCTTTGGCCTCCCGAAGTGCTGGTATTCTAGGCGTGAGCCACCATGCCCGGCCTCTTTTTTTGTTAAGATAGGGTCTTGCGGTTGGGTGTGGTGGCTGACGCTTGTAATCCCAGCACTTTGGGAGGCCGAGGTGGGTGGATCACAAGGTCAGGAGATCGAGACCATCCTGGCTAACATGGTGAAACCCTGTCTCTACTAAAAATACAAAAAATTAGCCGGGCGTGGTGGCGCATGCCTGTAGTCCCCCCTACCTGAGAGGCTGAGGCAGGAGAATTGCTTGAACCCGGGAGGCGGACGGAGGTTGCAGTGAACCGAGATTGCGCCATTGCATTCCAGCCTGGACAACAGAGCGAGACTCCATCTCAAAAAAGAGGGAAAAAAAAAAAGACAGGGTCTTGCTCTGTCACCCAGGCCAGAGTGCAGTGACAGGATCGCAGCTTACTGCAACCTCAAACTCCTGAACTCAAGTGATCTTCCCACCTCAGCCTCCTGAGTAGCTGGAACTACAGATATACGCTACCATGGTGCCTGGCTAATTTTTTTTAGTAGAGATGGGGTCTTGCTTTGTTGCCTAGGCTGGTCTCGAACTCCTGGCTTCAAGGGATTCTCTCACCTCAGCCTCCCAAAGTGTTGGGATTACAGGCATGAGACACCGTGCCTGGCCTGTTTTTTCTTATTACATATTTTTGTTCTAGAATTAATTTTTCCAGATTTGCTTGTTTTCTTTGTTTTGCTTGGTTTTGGGTTTTTTTGGGGGTTTTGTTTGTTTGTTTGTTTTTTTAAAGTAACTTCGCGTTACTTGCCAAATTTTTCAGGATTGGGATTTTATATTTTTGAACATAGTAAGCAGGTATATGAATAGTTTGCTAGTATCTAGGGGAGCTTTGTTTTGTTCCCCGTTGGTTACTAATACTTAAGGTTCATCTTTTTCCAGTGTCTGGGCTTCAGATGTTCAGAAGTTTAATCACATTCCACTTGTGGACTGCTTTTCTTCTTGTTCATCTTTCCTGGTAGGATATCACTTTTTTGGTTTCAAGCCCAAAGCAGGGGGTCATTTACTCAAGCTTCTTGTCTTGTCTTGTCTTGTCTCTTCTAATAGAGACAGAGTCTCACTGTGCTACCTAGATAGACTATGTTACTTAAACTCCTGGGCTTAAGCAGTCCTTCCACCTCGCCTCCCAAAATGCTGGGATTACAGACACAGTGCCCACCCAGCCACAAAGCCCCCAGTGTTGATGGGCCCTGGATTTCCACTTTTGTCCCTGGGGCCTATAGCCTCAGCTTCCAAATCTGCTACATCTCTGCTAGATCAGCAAATGACCCCAGAGCAAAAGTGGCCTAGAATGCAAAGCTTCCTCTTCATGGAATTTCATCCTCTTCTTCATCTTGATCACCTTATCTTGTTCTATGATTCTTTTAAGGAGAAGTTTTCCCTTCCTTCCAGCTTTTTTAGTTTTGTGGGTGTCAAGTAGGAGAGAGATAATTAGTTTGAATTATATACTCCTCTATTACCCAAATATAAAATCCTTTAAAAAAAAAAAAGATAAACTGAGACCTAGACAAATTAAGTAACCGTGTAAGACCACATAATCAATGGAAATCCTGGTCCAGAATCCTGAGTGATTTTAATGAAATAGTTCACAGTCATTTATTAAGAGCAGGGGCACCCTAGAAGGAATTTTTTGATTCTGTTGAACCAGATTTATATTTGGCACATGCTCATTCTTTTTAGACTTTTTAGATAGCCTAATAGGATAGAACCATCACTATGTTATATAAATGTGAAATCCATTTGAAAATATGGGACCTGTCAGTATAGGTACTGCTTGAACTGTAACTATGCATATATCTGATTGGCTTTTATGCCCTACGGTGAGAAGGAGGTCACCTTGAAGCTTTGCAAAGTAAGTTCTTGGTTCCATTTTTCACTTGAATCCCCCTTGGATATCCTCCAGAATGATGTGTTTTCTTTCCCATTGCAACATTATTTTCAGCTTTGTGGAGAAACAAAGTATGTTCCAAGTAGCAGGTAGTCACTGTAGGCCTTCTTTGAACTGTGAACTTTATTTTTTTGCACCTGAACTGCTTTCTAAAACCACATAAACAATATGATAGGGAAGTTGCTATCTGAATAAAAAAACAAAATAAAACCTCACAATGTGTTTGATCTAGTACTGAGCTACACTGGTATATGTGGGCTATATAGAATTATGTGGTTTAGATTACTTGTTTAAGTATAGCAGTGGCTTGGAGGAAAATACATTCTGAGTTTCAAATAGATAATTTGTAAAGGAAAATTTGAAGTACAGTTGACTTGGCACTTCTGATATTGAAATTTTAGAAGATTTTATTTCTGTATCTCAATGTAATGCCTAGGCAGAATCCACTAGATGCTTGTATAGATGGTATAAGCAATAATGATTTCAGCTATTTTAAAAAATTTCAATCTTTTTTTAATGTTGCCTCTTGAAATACCATCTTGTACTTCTCATTTTCCCTATACCTCCTTTTATGTGATTAAGTTTTATTATGTATAGACATAAAGGGGGCCTGGCACAGTGGCTCATGCCTGCAATCCCAGCATTTTGGGAGGCCAAGGCACAAGGATTGCTTGAGCCCAGGAGTTCAAGACAAGCCTACGCAATGCAGTGAGACCCTGTCTCAAACAAAAAAAAAAAAAAAAAAAAAAAAAAGGTTGGGGAGGGTGCTATGATATTATGATACATATGTTGGTTTTCATCCACAGTTTCTGTCATAGAACACCCATAGTCCCTGTTATTTCCTAAGTGACTAAAACAATATACATATATTTTATTGAAATATTTGGCCTTTTATTCTTGGTTTTTGAAGTGGCTTCAGTACAGCTTCAGATCAATAAAAGTGAAAGATGGTCTTTTGTAATAACGTTGGGGCACTTTAAACCTCAGAAGCAGGCTTCAGAAAACAGAATCGCTCTCTGACCTTTTCTTGCCTTGCTTTTACCTGCTCCTTTTTCTCCCCAAGCAGGCAATAGAAACTAAAAATATACTCTGATCATCCCCCAACATTCTGTCTTGGAGCTGACAGCAAAGAAATTATCTGACCTACCTTGTCTGATTGGAGGTCATAAGACCCCCATTTCAGAAGGCATCCTGCCCTGTACTTGGGAGGAAAGAAGTTGCACAGAGAGGCCAAGAAGACTCTGAACAGAGAGGCCTTGCTAGGTTTCCCCACTCAGTCTGTTAGCATTAGGTCCTACTTTGTCCAATCATATTTCTACCCGGTTGTCCATGCTTCAGTCGTGACGGTCCAGTGAAGTCCTGGACCGGGTACAGAGAGCTTCCAGATAGCTGAACACGTGGAGGGTCCTGGAGGGTGGTGCACCCAGGGAGGGTATGAGAGCTCTGCACCCCTTCCCACATGCCTTGTTCTGTGCACCTCTTCATCTGCATTCTTTGTGCTATTCTTTATAATAAACCAGTACACGTGTTTTCCTGAGTTCTGGGCACAGCTTTAGCAAATTAATCAAACCTAAGAAGGGGGTCATGGGAACACTGACTTGAAGCTGGTTGGCCAGAAGTTCTGGATGAGGCCTGGCCTTACAACTAGTGTCTGAAGTGGGGGCAGTCTTGTGAGACTGAGCCCTCTCTCAGCCTGTGGGATCTAATGCTATCTCCAGGTAGATAGCATGAGAATTGAATTGGATTAGAAGGTGCTCAGCTGGTGGTATCTTCTGCAGAACTGATTGCTTCTTGTTGGTGGGGAGAAATCCCCACACATTTGGTCACAGAAGTCTACTGTGTTGATGATTGTGGTGTAAGAGCAGAGGAAAAGCAATTTGATTTTTCTCCACAAGGGGAAGAAAATGTTTCATGATTCAACTAATGATTTACCTTTCATTGTAAGGTTATCATGCTCAAGTATTAATGTAGGAAGGCTTTTTTGATGCAGAGTGTGTGTGTGTGTGTGTGTATATACGTGTGTGTTTGTAGAGGGCTAACATTAAAAAGGGAAATGTAATAAGGAAGAAGAAATGGTGTTCTAAACTTAAAACCCATTTCATCTGCTAAATCGTCCTAGTGAAATACCAACTTTAGTTAATTTTAAAAAAAGTTTAGTTAATTGTAAAAAAAAAAAGAATCTCTTCATTATATTTTAAAAACCATTTATGTTTCCTTTTTCTGTAATTTATTCATATTTGTCCATTTTAAATTTCAGTGTTATTCTTATTCTTGTTATTGATTTTTTAAAACGTGGTCTTTATATTTGAGTGAAATTAACCTTCCATCATGAGTTGGAGCATTTTTTCCCCAATATATACTTCTCTTTTGATTTTGCTTATGGTCATTTTATAATGCCATGGTTTTTTTTGTTGTTTGTTTGTTTTTTTTTTTTTTGAGACGGAGTCTCGCTCTCTCAGCCAGGCTGGAGTGCAGTGGCGTGATCTCAGCTCACTGCAACCTCCACCTCCCCGTTTCAAGCGATTCTCCTGCCTCAGCCTCCCGAGTAGCTGGGATTACAGGCGTGCACCACCACGCCTGGCTAATTTTTGTATTTTTAGTAGTAATGGAGTTTCACCATGTTGGACAGGCTGGTCTCAGACTCCTGACCTCAGGTGATCTGCCCATCTTGACCTCCCAAAGTCCTGGGATTACAGGCATGAGCCACCATGCCCAGCCTGGTCATGGTTTTATACATGCTATGTTTATAATCAAATTTTACTTCTATTTAATAGATGACTAACACACTTACACATAGATGCTTATACCCAAATATATATGTTTATAGATTTTAAAATGCTAATTATATTTAAAAGGCCTAATAAGTAGTTTCAGCAAAAGCTGTTATATATATGTATATAATGGACCAATTGCAGTTGGATCAATAAAGAACTGTAAGGTGTGTTATGATCTAGAAAAGTGATTCTTTTTTTTTTTTGAGATGGAGTCTTGCTCTGTTGCCCATGCTGGAGTGCAGTGGCACGATCTCGGCTCACTGCAAGCTCCGCCTCCCGAGTTCACGCCATTTTCCTGCCTCAGCCTCCTGGGTAGCTGGGACTACAGGCACGTGCCACCACACCCAGCTAATTTTTTGTATTTTTAGTAGAGACGGGGTTTCACCATGTTGGCCAGGATGGTCTCGATCTCTTGACCTCGTGATCCGCCCTCCTTGGCCTCCAGAAGTGCTGGTATTACAGGCGTGAGCCACTGCTCCCGGCCCTGAAAAATGTTTCTTAACAATAACTAGGAACTGTGCTGTGTGTTTTATATAAGAGTATATTATATAATTTTTTTTTTCTTTGAGATGGAGTCTCACTCTGTTGCCCAGACTGAGTGCAGTGGTGCGATCTCAGCTCACTGCAGCCTCTACCTCCCAGGTTCAAGCGATTCTCCTGCCTCAGCCTCCCAAGTAGTTGGGATTACAGGCGCACGCCACCATGCCCTGCTAATTTTTGTATGTTTAGTTTTACCATGTTGGCCAGGCTGGACTCAAACTCCTGACCTCAAGTGATCCTCCCACCTCGGTCTCCCAAAGTGCTGGGATTACAGGTGTGAGCCACCGTGCCTGGCCCCCAATCTTTAATTAAGAAGCAGGTGCCAGGCACAATGGTATACTCCTATAATCTCAGCTACTCAGGAGGCTGAGGTGGGAGGATTGCCAGTGCTTGAGCCCAGGAGTTTGAGACCAGCCTGAACAACATAGTGAGACCCTTATCTCAATTTTAAAAAGAAAGAATTAGGTAATGATATGATTTTAATTTTATAGGTGTGGAAACGGAGGCTTAGAGAATTGAATAATCATATATACCTTATAAGATTCTCTCATACTCCATTTTTAAAAGTTTTCGATCAAGTTTAAGTTGTATTGATACACGATATATAGTGAAGTGTCTATGTACAATGCTTAATTTACATATATACATTTCCAATTATGAATATATTGCAAACTGTATTAGTGAATGAATTATTCATTTATCATATCAGTATTATATATTACTATAATATATAAATATACTAATTATATATTAGTATTAATGTAAACATTAATTTAGAAATACTTTTTTCTCCAGTGAAGCCTCCTCAGACTTCTCATATGCATCTTCAGTATTTATGGGTTTCTACCCTTTAAACAGTCTAACAGTTCCAGAGCAAATATTATCTTCTAAGAGGTTTGAGATAGATCCTTATTTGAATCAGTATATTATGTTGTGACTGGAAATTTTATCCCTAGCCATGTCTCTATTCACATAACATTAGTAAATGTGATTTTTCATTAATATATTTCATATGAGTAGCATTAATGATCTCCATGACATAATTACTTAGTCTGTTGCTTTTGAAGTGATTCATTCATTCTACAGATACTTACTGAACACACACTATGTGCCAGAAACTGCTAGCATTGGAAGTAGAGCTGTGAACAAAATCAAGCATCAACATTTCTGATATTTGAGAAGACAGGCAACAAGCAAATATGTGATGTAAAGTAGTGATAAGTGCTGTAAAATCACAAGAGGGTATAGAATGAGGATTGTTCTTCAAGTTGATAGAACAGATCTTTAAAGAAGTGATTTGAGGCTGGGCGTGGTGGCTTACACCTGTAATCCCAACACTTTGGGAGGCCGAGGCGGGTGGATCATGAGGTCAAGAGACTGAGACCATCCTGGCCAACGTGCTGAAACTCCGTCTCTACTAAAAATACAAAAATTAGCCAGGCGTGGTGGTGCGTGCCTGTAGTCCCAGCTACTCGGGAGGCTGAGGCAGAAGTGCTTGAACCCGGGAGGCGGAGGTTGCAGTGAGCCAAGATCATGCCACTGCATGCCAGCCTGGGCGACAGAGCAAGACTCCATCTCAAAAAAAAAAAAAGATGATTCGAGGCTTCGTGTGGTGGTTCATGCCTGTAATCCCTGCACTTTGGGAGGCTGAGGCAGGAGGATCACTTGAGCTCGGGAGTTTGAGGCCAGCCTGGGCAACATGGTGAAACCCCATGTCTATAAAAAATACAAAAATTAGTCGGGTGTGATGGTGGGCGCCTGTAGTCCTAGCTATTTGGGAGGCTGAGGTGGGAGGAACACTTGAACCTGAGAGGTCAAGGTTGCAGTGAGCCAAGATGGCAGCACTGTACTCCAGGTTGGGCAACAGAGTGAGACCCTGTCTCAAAAAAAAAAAAAAAAGTGATTTGAGCAGAGGCCTGAATGACATAAAGTGTTTAGATATCTGGAGACTTTGCAAGCAGATGCAGAAACCCTGGGGTTGGAAAATGCTTACAGTCTGAATAGTAAAAGAGGCACCACCAGCATGACTTCTAGTTATTGTGCTACACCCTGCACATTTTTTTTTCTTTTTCGAGACAGGGTCTCACTCTGTCACCTAGATGGGAGTGCAGTGGCATGTTCATGGCTCACTCCAGCTTCAACCTCCTAGGCTTCAGCAATGCTCTTGCCTCAGCCTTTGGAGTAGCTGGGACCACAGGTTTGTGTCACCACGTATGACTAATTTTTTTTTATTTTTCCTGTGTTGCCCAGGTTGGTTTTGAACTCCTGGGTTCAGGTGATCCTCCTGCCTTGGCCTCCCAAAGTGCTGGGATTCCAGGCAAGAGCCACCATGCCTGGCCCTGGGCAACATTTTTATTGTCAGTCATTTAATAGCCTAGTCTAATGGATGTGTAGTGATATGTCATTGTGATTTTAATTTGCCTTTCCTTAATGGCTAATGATGCTGAACACTTTTTTATGTGCTTTTTTTTTTTTTTTGCCATTTATAAATTTTCCTTTGTGAAGTTTAAGTCTTGCCATTTTTAAATTGGGTTGTTTACCTTTTTATTCAACAGCTGTAGGTTTTTTGTTTTTTTTTTTTTGATACAGAGTCTCACTCTGTCTCCAGGCTGTAGTGCAGTGGCACATCTTGGCTCACTGCAACCTCCGTTCCCAGGTTCAAGTGATTCTCCTGCCTCAGCCTCCCAAGTAGCTGAGATAACAGGCATGCACCACCACGCATGGTCCACCCACCTCGGCCTCCCAAAGTGCTGGGATTACAGGCGTGAGCCACTGCGCCCAGCCCAGAAAGGAACATTCTTAAGCATTGAAGTGATTCTTGTCAAATTTGATTTCTATTCAAATTTAGGAGCTGGGCCAGGCACGGTGGCTCAGCCCTGTAATCCCAGCACTTCGGGAGGCTGAGGTGGGTAGATTGCCTGAATCCAGGAGTTTGAGACCAGGCTGGACAACCTGGGGAAACCCCTGTCTCTACTAAAAATACAAAAGATTAGATGGGCCTAGTGGCACCTCACGCCTGTAGTCCCCAGCTACCCCGGAGGCTGAGGTGGGAGAATCTCCCGAACCTGATGGGAAAGGTAGCAGTGAGTTGAGATAGTGCCACTGTACTCCAGCCTGGGCAACAAAGTGAGACCCTGTCTCAAAAAACAAAACAAAACCAAACAAATTTAGGAGCTAGCTTGTGATTGTAGAAATAATTTTGGCAATAGAAGTGAGGGAACTGAGTTGTAGTCTAGCTAGTTAACATGTGACAAACCATTAACTTTATATGTCTCATTTTCTTCATCTGTAAAATGAGGAAGATTTGATTAGAGGATTTATTAAAGTTCTTTTAAAATCTGAAATTACAGTTTCTTAATTGGTTTTGTAGAGATTTTGGCTTTATAAAAATGTGTGAACCATAGTGACAGCAGAAACATTTGAAATCCTATATTTGGGTGATTCATAAAAGAAAGGAAGAATTATGGGCATCTTGCCTGTAAAATGTTATGTAATCTGAATCATTGTTACCCACAGCATCCTGTGACTGATAAAGGTACTCATGGCCACCTCTCCTCCCTTGTCTTTCTGTAGTACTTTCCTTTCTCCCCACCTCAATAATAGCTTTATTGATGTATAATTCACATACCATACATGTCATCTATTAATATTTAAAGCATACAATTCAGCGGTTTTTAGTCTATTTACAGAGTTGTACAGCCATCATCACAATCAATTTTAGAACACTTTCTGAACTCCAGAAAGAAAGTACCCTGCCTATTTCCCCTCTATCACCTAGCCCTAGGCAACTATGAATCTACTTTCAGCCTCCATAGATTGCCCTGTTATGGACAAATATGTGGCTGGTTTCTTAGTATAATGTTTTCAAGGTTATTTACGTTGTAGCATGTGTCAGCTATTTCATTTCTTTTTATTGTCAAATAACATTCAGTTGTATGGATATACCACATTTTATCTATTCCATCAGTTGATGGACATTTGAGTTGTTTTCATTTTGGGATTATTATAAATAATGCTACTATGAACATTTGTATACAAACATTATGTGGACATGTGTTTTCATTTCTCTTGGACATATACTTAGGAATGGGATTGCTGTATCACATGATACCTCTGTATTTAACCTTTTGAGGAATTGCCAAACTGTTTTCCAAAAGTGGCTGCACCATTTACATTCCCACTATCAATATATGCTCCAGTTTCTCTACATCCTACCTTATACTTTTTTTTTTTTTTTCTTTTTTTGAGACAGAGTCTCGCTCTGTCGCCCAGGCTGGAGTACAGTGGCACAATCTCGGCTCACTGCAACCTCCGCCTCCTGAGTTCAAGCAATTCTAAATTATCATGCCTCAGCCTCCCGCATAGCTGGGATTAGAGGCGTTTGCCACCATGCCTGGCTAAGTTTTATATTTTTAGTAAAAATGGGGTTTCGCCATGTTGGCCAGGCTGTTCTCGAACTCTTGACCTCAGGTGATCCACACGCCTCGTCCTCCCAAAATGCTGGGATTATAGGTGTGAGCCACCATGTCCGGCCTGATTGGCCAGCTTTTCATTTGGAATGGGGATAGGACATAGTTGGAAGTTGGTGTCTTTGGTTATTTCCCTAACATGTCCAAGCATCCTAAAGTATCAGTCAAATAAGCAGTCTCTTCTCATTCCTGGCAGAGAGTAAGTCAAAGCCTTAATTCAATTTGCATACCTGTTTTCATGTAACAACAAATAATTTTTTTTTTTTTTGAGACAGAGTTTCTCTGTTGTTGTTTAGGCTGGAGTGCAATGATGCGATCTTGGCTCACTGCAACCTCTGCCTCCCGGGTTCAAGCGATTCTCCTGCCTTAGCCTCCCAAGTAGCTGAGATTATAGGCATGCACCACCACAGCCGGCTAGTTTTGTATTTTTAGTAGAGACGGGGTTTCTCCGTGTTGGTCAGGCTGGTCTTGAACTCCTGACCCCAGGTGACCCGCCTGCCTCGGCCTCCCAAAGTGCTGGGATTACAGGCGTGAGCCACCACGCCTGGCCACAACAAAGAATTTTACCAGAAGTGGGTATGATTTATATCTTAGTTTGAATTGCTACTTACCTTTGGGGAACAGACCTTTCCTTGATGTATCTTTAACACTGAAATCTTGGCAAGTTGCCAAGTCTCAAATGTTCATGAGTAAGACTGCAATATCACAATATCATAGTCACACAGGAATCTGATAGAAAAGCATCACATTTATAAAGCCTTCTTTCCTGTACATCACTGACGTTTTGTGAATTTTAAAGAATTTGTAATTATTTTTAAGGAGCATATTTAATGTAGTTAATGTAACCTAGAATAGGCTCATTTGAAATGAAACTCTTGCTAATAGGAACTTAATTCACCAAATTAAGAATATTTAGTTTTTGTAGAGATTTTGCTCTTGAAAATGTTGCAGTCTTGATTTCGTCTTGTCAGTCCAGTCAGAATTGTGAAGTATTTTTTTTTCTCATTCCAGAAATACATGCTACAGGATTTAACTATCAGAATGAAGATGAAAAAGTCACCTTGTCTTTCCCTAGTACTCTGCAAACAGGTAAGAGACATAGCTTTTGTAAAATCTCGTGATGAATATAGTGACATCTGACTTCCTCCAGAGAAATTTATTGTATGCCATTTTTTCCCTCGTTGTTATTAGCAGATTAAGTATTAAGAGCTTTTTTTTTTTTTTACTTTGAGACGGAGTCTTACTCTATTGCCCAGGCTGGAGAGTAGTGGCATGATCTTGGCTCACTACAACCTCCACCTTCCAGGTTCGAGTGATTCTCCTGCCTCGGCCTCCCGAGTAGCTGGGATTACAGGTGCCTACCACCACACCGGCTAATTTTTTTGTATTTTTAGTAGAGACAAGGTTTCGCCATGTTGGCCAGGCTGGTCTTGAACTCCTGATCTCAAGCGATCTGCCCGCCCTGGCCTCCCAAAGTGGTAGGATTACAGGCAGGAGCCACCACGCCCAGCTGTATTAAGAGCTTTTTAAAGAGGTTTGTTGCAACTTTTGGGCCACCAGCATTTCCTTCTGCGGAAGTTGGGCTACGAAAAGCAGGGTTTCCACCTCCTGTCACTCTATATTCTCTTTAAACAAACAAGCCAAGAAAAACAGGACAAAAACTAAAGATCATTCTATCCTAGAATGTAATGTATTGTTTTCCAGTTTTACCTTTTTAAAAATACCTTTACCTAGGCCAGGCGTGGTGGCTCACACCTGCAATCCTAGCGCTTTGGGAGGCCAAGGCGGGCTGATCACTTGAAGCCAGGAGTTAGGGACCAGCCTGGCCAACATGGCAAAACCCCATCTCTACCAAAAAATACAAAAATTACCCAGTGTGGTGGCTCATCCCTATACTCCCAGCTACTCAGAAGGCTGAGGCAAGAAAATCGCCAGAAGTCAGGAAGTGGAGGTTGCAGTGAACCGAGATCATGCCACTGCACTCCAGCCTGGGTGATAGAGTGGGACTCTGTCTAAAACAAACAAACAAAATACTTTTACCTAGCTCCATCTTCTATTAATTCAATCCAAATCCCTGAAGTGAATGGTCACAGATGATTTTGATATACAACCAGAGATCAAATAGGTATTGTGTTATTGAGGGCACAGAAAGAAAGATACGTTGATATGTTACTATTGTTAGGTATAAAAGCACAAAGAAATAGACTTTCTGAGCTTAGTATATGTGGAAGAAATTATATACCAATCAATTGGTGAAGTACTAAGACTTTGATGAATGAACAAATGAAAAGGAACAGATAATTCAAAAGGAAGAAAATGTAAATGACTAATAAACATGCGAAAAGATATTGAGCCTCCTAGTAATGAGAAATTTTTGCTTCTCATGTGAGCTGAAATTTTAAAAATTCCCAATGATATGGCTGCCTTGATATCGCTGGGGGGAGTATAAATCCATGTAATTTTTTTGTAAAGCATTCTGGCAGTATATCAAGAGCCTAAATATGTTCATGTCCTTTGACCCAGCAATTCTGCTAATAGGAATATATCCCAAGGAAAAGTCATAAATACAGAAAATACTTTATGCCCAGAAGTGTCTGAGATATTACTTACGGTAGTAAAAAATTATAATTAATATATTTGTTCAACACTAAGGAAATGATCAAGCCAGGAATGATATATCTATATAGTGAAATATACTTAGCAATTAAAAGTGAGGTTTGCGAATTCTTAACCCTGTAAAGTGCTTATTATAATGTAAAATTGAAAAGAAGAATATAAAATTACATATTTAAGGTGGTGAATCATGTCTCTAAATGGCACAAATAAAATGATAATTATGTCTGGGTGTTGACATAATTGGTGATTTTTATTCTTATTTATATCTTTTGTCTGATTTTCACAATTTTCCTACTGAGAATCTATTGAATTAATATAAAATTATTTTTAGAAAAAATTTAAATTGGAGATGTTTAGTCTTTTATTTCAGTGCTCTTGGAGGCCCTTTATGTGTAATTATTATAAAAATAAATGGGCCGGGCGTAGTGGCTCACGCCTGTAATCCCAGCACTTTGGGAGGCCGAGGCGGGCGGATCACGAGGTCAGGAGATCGAGACCATCCTGACTAACACGGTGAAACCCTGTCTCTACTAAAAATACAAAAAATTAGCTGGGAATGGTGGCAGGTGCCTGTAGTCCCAGCTACTCGGGAGGCTGAGGCAGGAGAATGGCGTGAACCCGGGAGGTGGAGCTTGCAGTGAGCCGAGATCGCACCACTGCACTCCAGCCTGGGTGGCAGAGTGAGACTCCGTCCCAAAAAACAAAACAAAACAAAACAAAAAATGCTTTGCCATGAACATGTATTAAAAGCTATTGAAGAATATAATTTGAAAAGGAAGGAGATTCTTTCGCTGATTTCTTCTACTTCCATTGTCTGGTGAATCTGTCTAGAAATATTCCTATGTATATATAAATTTATGTATATAATTTAACCCACAGATAGGATCACAAATCTCAGTGGCTTATAACCACTGAGATTTCTTTCTTTTTTACACATGGGCCATGAGGACTGCTGATCATATGCAGCCATATCACCAACTCTGCTGGCTCCACTTGGCTCCCAACTGTCTTTCCAGGACTAGTAGTCAGCGAGCAGCCACTCTCTGTATCATGCATGGCAGAGGGCAGAGGCTCAGGGATGGGGAGAAAGCTAGACCACAAAGACACATTTAAAACTTCTGCATGGCCAGGCGTGGTGACTCACACCTGTAATCCCAGCATTTTTGGAGGCTGAGGCAGGAGGATTGCTTGAGCCCAGGAGTTCGAGACCAGCCTAGGCAATGTAGTGAGACCCTGTCTCTATAAAAAATAAAATAAAAAATAAAATTTCTGTGTGATGGTGGTATACTTGATGTCTACTCACATTTCATTGACCAAAGCAAGTAGCATGACCAAGCCCAAAGTCACTGGGGTAGCATTTAACAGACATTTGCGAAAAGTTTCTAATGAAAGATAGGGCAAAAAGCAAAATTATAAGTATAATAGAAATAAAGGAAGTTGGAAAAAGCAAAGACAAATCTAAAGAAAGTTAAAAAAAAAACAAACCCATAGCTAATTACTATCCTTAGAGAGTTAAGAGAAAGCATTGCGTGCATTAAACAAGGACAGGACAGAATGCCATCAGATAGGAAGAATTACAGCAGGAAAACTTGGAAATTATGATAGGTATAAAAAACCCAGTAAAAGTGTTAAAGATGAAGTTGAGGAAACTTCCAAGCAGTAGAAAAAACAGATAGAAAACAGAAAAATAGATTTGAGAACCAGTCCAGCAGAACCAACATCCATCTAGTAAAACAGAAAGCAGAGGAAATGGGAAGAGGATTTTTTAATTTTCATTTTTGCAACAGAATCTTGCTCTGTCACCCAGGCTGGAGTGCAGTGGTGCAATCTCGGCTCACCACAGCCTCCACCTCGTGGGTTCCAGTGATTCTCCTGCCTCAGCCTCCTGGGTAGCTGAGATTACAGGCACACACCACCACGCCCAGCTGATTTTTGTATTTTTAGTAGAGTTGGGGTTTCACCATGTTGGCCAGGCTGGTCTCGAACTCCGGACCTTAGGTGATGTGCCCACTTCGGCCTCTCAAAGTGCTAGGGATTACAGGCGTGTGCCACTGTGCCCGGCCAGAAGAGAAACTCAAAAAGACAGGAACATTTCCTTGAACTGATAGAGCAGGAGCCTTCAGTTTGCAAAGGTACACCATTGAGAGAGACTAGCTTAAAAAATGTAAAAATTGCCACACTGACTGAAATTTTAGAACTTCTGCGATAAAGTAAAACTCCCAGAAAGTTCCTGTCTGGGATAGGGGGCAATAGGAGGGAAGGCAGGTAGCATACTACCTTTAAAATTTAGGAATCAGAATAGTCCTAGACTTACCATTAGGAACAGTGGAAACTTAGACTCTAATGAAGCTGTTCATTCAAAATACAAAGTGAATCTGATTTTCAACCTAAGATTGCATGCTTAGCCCAACTTTGAATTTCGGAGTAAAAATATTTTCAGATTTGCAAGGTCATAGAAAATTTGATTCTTTGTAAAAGATATTGGAGTGGGGGATGGATTAGCTAAAGCATGACTTTCTACAGTGAAGAGAAAATGTCTAAAGTTGAAAAATGAAGAAATAGGCCGTGGTCGTGGCTCATGCCTGTAATCCCAACACTTTGGGAGGCTGAGGTGGGAGGATTGCTTGCCCAGGAATTGAAGGCTGCAGTGAGCCGTGATTGTACCACTGCCCTCGAGCCTGGGCGACAGAGCAAGACTGTCTCAAAGAAAGGAAAAGAAAAAATAGCTGTGTAAGCAAGACATTTAGAAGTCACAGAGTTTGAAATTGATTGCTTCTAGGGGCAGGGTGTGGGGAGTAGGGCCTAGTGTTGAGCAGGGCCTGGAGCTTACGTATTTTAAACTGTGAACTATTACTTTGATAGAAATTTAAAAAATTTTAGAGTTTTAAATCTATATCATTACAGACTATATATATTCTGTGTTTACACTGTGAAAAAATTAGAAGTCAATAGAAAAAGAGAAATGAAAAAAATCCCTTTTTATATATTTGAAAAAATTATACCTCTGAATAATTGAGTCAAAGAAGACTTGTTATGGAAATTAGAAAATATTTAGAACTGAATAATGAAATTACCACATATGAAACATTAGGGATAAACATGTTTCATATGCAGATAAAATATTAGAATATTTAGTTAAGAAGAAAGACTGAAAATTAATTAGCTAAGCATTAAACTCATAAAAACAAAAGGTAACTTGGAGAAAGTAGAAGAAAGTTTTAAGAGCAGAAACAAATGAAATAAGTGAAGTGAGGGGCAGAAATATTAAAAAACTGATATTTAAAAATAGTCCCAAAAGATATATAAACCTAGCCAGTATAGAAAATAAAAGCGTAGATTGAATTGTTGTTCAGCATTAGGAAATATGGTAACCATTTTTCATTAAATTTAAAAAGTTAAACATTCTATATTTATCAAAAGGAATCAGTTTATTTGCTAGAATTCACCAGGGAAGAGTAGACAGAAACTTCTAACATGATAGAAGATATGTATTACACACACACACACACACACACACACACACACGACATAATCTGTGCCAAGTACTGTTTTAAGTGCCTCAAAAATATTAATTTATTTAGTCCTTTCAACAACCTTTTGAGGTAGATTTGTTTTGTGACAAAGTCTCTCTGTCACCCAGGCTGGAGTATAGTGGTGCAGTCACGGCTCACTGCAGCCTCAAACTCCTGGGTTTAAGTGATTCTCCCACTTCAGCCTCCCATGTAGCTAGGACTGCCTACACATGACAGTGCATCTGGTTAATTTTTAAATTTTTTTGTAGAGACAGGGTCTCGTTATGTTGCCTAGGCTGGTCTCAAATGCCTGGCCTCAGGTGATCCTCCTACCTCAGAGAGAGGATCTTGCCATCCTCCCAAATGTTGAGGTTACAGGCATGAGCCACTACGCCAGCCAGATTCTGTTACTTCTATTTTGTAGATAAACTAAGGCAGAAAAATGATTTCAGTAACTTAAATAATTTGTCCAAGGTAACATAGCTAGTAAGTAACATAGCTGGGATTTAAACCCAAGCAGTTTAACTCAAAAGTCTGCACTTTTAACCACCACATTGTGCTATCTTTATTTTTCAAATTAAATATTTCAAAAACATAGTACATTTACATAATTTGAAATTCAAATGCTATGCAATGAAATTTTGTTTGCCAGTCTACCCTGTCTTCTTTCTCAGCTCCATTCCTCAACAGAATGAAATGAAATTTTCCTTTCAAAACTATACCCTGCTTTTGTAAGCATTTATATATATACTTTTTAAGAACACAGAAATCACCATGCCATACATAATGTTCTGCACCTTTCTTCTTTTCCCCTTAACTGTAAATATTGGAGGCCATTTATTACTAGTATATAAGAGATGTATCATTCTTGATAAGGTCTGTTTACAGCAGACATGCTAAATGGTGAAGCTATTTCAAATAATAACAAACAAGTTAGAGAAGGTTATGACCATTAGTATAGTATGATTTAACATAATTTTTGATATTTTTGGCCAATATAACAATTTTGAGCTAATATAACAACTGATATAAATATTAGAACAGAAAAATTATCTTGCAGGTGTGACAATATTGAATTATTATTATTATTATTTTTTGAGATGGAGTCTCGCTCTGTCGTCCAGGCTGGAGTGCAGTGGCGCGATCTCAGCTCACTGCAAGCTCTGCCTCCTGGGTTCATGCCATTCTCCTGTCTCAGCCTCCCGAGTAGCTGGGACTACAGGTGCCCGCCACCACGCCCGGCTAATTTTGTTTTTGTATTTTTAGTAGAGATGGGGTTTCACTGTGTTAGCCAGGATGGTCTTGATCTCCTGACCTCGTGATCCTCCCGCCTCGGCCTCCCAAAGTGCTGGAATTACAGGTGTGAGCCATCACGCCCAGCCGACAATATTGAATTATTGAATATCTGTTTGAAACCATTGGCTTTCACATTTTCCCAAGGTTTGCTTTAAAAATGAAGTTAATCTTTTTCAAGACAGATTGCACAAGTGATCTATCTGATAATGAAGCAAATACTGAGCTTATCTTAGGAGGACATTAATAACCTTTGTGTTTAGCCTCATCAAATTTAACAGTAATGCAAGCTATTATACAGCTAAGTAAAACCTACTTTTCTGAAATTGGCACCATTCTGGGATAGTGATTAAATTACCATAATTATTGTAAGGTCTAACAACCTTAGAATTAGTGGCTGAGGGTCCTGAGGGTGGCATTTATATGGAGAAACACTGGTAGTTGTCAGCATTTTGAAGAGTCAAAAACAAGATAATAAAAAGTGGTGACACATGGCGAAACCCTGTTTCTACTAAAAACAAAAATTAGTCAGGCCTGGTGGCGCACGCCTGTAGTTCCAGCTACTCAGGAGGCTGAGGCAGGAGAATTGCTTGAACCCGGGAGCCGAAGGTTGCAGTGAGCCGAGATTGCACCACTGCACTTTAGCCTGGGTGACAGACTGAGACTGAGACTCCATTTTCCAAAGAAAAAAAGAGGTGGTGACACAAAGGCAACGATCTTTATTCCCTTTTTGTATAAATTAATCTCTTTATTTTTATAGCATTTAGTAGACTCATTAAATTTCTTATTATTAAAGTATTTCAAGATTTACTCCAGGTTTTACAATTGTTATACTCTCCTAAGCTTTAAACATTTAAGGTTTTTGATGGAAGTCCCAATTTTTCAGTTGTTTACTTTATAAACGAGCTTGATGTATGTTTCAAAAGGTTTACAACCCCAAACATAAATATTTCATACATTGGATATGAAATAAGGTATCTAATTTGAGGAAGTGGTGTAAATTATGTGTGTTGATAGGTATAAAATTAGACAATTTGGCAATCCGTTCATTAATATGGTGTAAATTTGATAAATGAAATTTATTAAAAAGTCATTTTTTCTCCTACTTGCCCTAAAATTCTACTATATGAATAGTAAGTAAATACTTTGTAATTGGTATCATATAATGTGACACTAATTAAACTTATTAATGATTTTTAAATACTTTAACTTGTGTTTTGTTTGAATTTCAGGTAATAACTCTTTCCAATACTTTGTATTTTGTTTAGTATGCCACTTTTTGGAAGTGGTCACTGTCAATATCTTGTTATGGTTTGATGGCCTTGGAGATTTAAAACCGAGTAAAAGTGTAAGCAGTCTTTCTTATTTAGTTATGAGTTTTAAAACCACTTATGTTCCAACTAGGAAAAAATGCAAGTAGATTTACCATGAAATATGAATTATATTTAAAAAACATCTTAACAGTTGACTGACTTAGTGAAACAGACTGGGCAATTCCACTTATGGAATTGTAACATAAAATTCCATCATATAGTTTCCATTAAAGGTAGTAGGTTTTTATAATCTGTTAGACGTTCTTTGCAAACTTTATTAATGTGAATACATTTGCTTTTTTAAAAAAATTAAGTGAACTTCTAAAGAAAATAGAAATTAAAAATTTTTAATTTAAATTTTGCTTTATAGTTTAATTTTTTAGTATCATTTAGAATTATCAATTATTTTACTATATCCATATATACTGTCCCAGTAACCTGTCATTCTCTTTAAAGAAAAAAGTATTCATTGTCCTCTTTAGATATTTACAAATATCTGATTTCTAAAAAATAAACATCACAAATGTCTATTCAATTAAGCTTCAGTTGAGTTGTTTTTTTCTCAGAATGATTAAGAATATAGCACTTTCATTAGTGGTGACTTTGCTCTAAAGGTCTGAAATTTTCACTTAAATTACTTTCAGAACCAGTTTGAGGCATCAGGCTAGAGACAGTTTGTAGTTTGTCATTCACTTATTCTGTAGACTCTCACTCCCCATAACTTTTGGTCCTTTCCAAAAGCAAATTCAATTTTATAAGATGAAGATTTGACTTTGAGATCATTCAAAAGAGTGTCAGAGGGGCTGGGCACAGTGGCTCATGCCTGTAATCCCAGCACTTCGGGAGGCCAAGGTGGGTGGATCACTTGAGGCCAGGAGTTTAAGACCAGCTGGCCAACATGGCAAACCCCTGTCTCTACTAAAAATGCAAAAATTAGCCAGGCGTGGTGGTGCCCGCCTGTAGTCCCAGCTACTCAGGAGGCTGAGGCACAATTGCTTGAACCCAGGAGGCGGAGGCTGCAGTGAGCCGAGATCACACCACTGTACTCCAGCCTGGGCAACAGAGTGAGCCTCTGTCTCAAAAAAAAAAAAGAGAGAAAGAGAAAGTCACAACATTTTGAACAATGTCAAATGTCATTGCTCTTTAGCGTTCCAAAATGACAATTTGAAACATTAGGATATAAAAGTTTGGTATGATTGGTTAATTACTTTATAGTCATGCCCTATCTTTGATTTGTTAGACTTCCCATGCTTTAAATCTTGATATACGTAGGGCCTTTAAAATGGTCAACTAAAAAGTCACCATTCCTCTACGTTTTTTCGTGACTTGATTTGTAAAACACAGAATGGGATTACTGTTTTGCCATGCATCTGTATTTAGCAGATGATTACTAGATAATAATTATAATTTTTTATGTTATAAAAAAGAAAGTATATAAACTCAAAAAAGCTCACTTTTTTGTCTAAATTGTTTTTGCTCTTATACAATAGAATACATATTTAAGTTGTATTTTTATTTGCATTTAATAATTTATTAATTAAATGTATTTCTTTGTCAGATTTCAAATGATTGAGGTGACTTGTAAGAATTTGTTTTATGCCCTGTTGCTGATCAAATCATTGGTCTTCCCTATAGCTCCTTACAAAATTATGCAATCAGTGTTCCATTTGGAGTAAACATTTAGTGTCTTATCTTGATAGAGTAATTGGCTACATTTCTCTTTCTATGCATGAAGTTGTGTAAAAGGACCAATTCACATGTATAATTGGCAGAGAGCATGGATTCTGGACTTAACATTTTATCCCATTCTCACTACTTACTAATTTTATGACACTGGACAAGTTATTTAGCTTCTCAGCCTCAGTTTCCTCATCTGAAAAAATGAGGACAATATCTACTTCCAGGTTTATAAATAGTTATATATATTTTAAAAGCACTGTGCACAATAGCACATATCAGGCATTTAAGAATAAATGTTTGTTTCCTTTCCTGTTCTTATTTTCACATATTGGTAGTTTGAGACTAAGTTAATAACTTTTTAGGCAGTCACCCTAAACATGACTTTCAAGAGTTATTTTAGGATTAGTCTGCCTTTTACTTTAGTAAGTACTGTATTCTCTCCATTGCCAGGAGGAATATTTGAAAAAGGAAGGAATGATTTGAACATTGTAAATAGCTAACTGAATATAGTGTCTTGAGGACATATTTTTGGTAACTGTGTTTAACATCTCCATAAAAGTGTTTTTTATTTATCTTCAATCACAGGTACGGGAACCTTAAAGATAGATTTTGTTGGAGAGCTGAATGACAAAATGAAAGGTTTCTATAGAAGTAAGTATACTACCCCTTCTGGAGAGGTGCGCTATGCTGCTGTAACACAGTTTGAGGTATGGGTTATTCTTCTCTAAAATATTATTATTCTTAAATTAGGCATTCTGACAAAGGTGTGTTTATTATGTGGGGTGATTATTTGAGGCTAGGTGCCCTTGGCCATGATTGTATTCACAATTTTAGAATTTTTATTTTATATTTAGCCATTATCTCTATAGAAAGGAGGGAATTAAGGGTATGGGTTGGGGAATGATTATATACAGTTATACACACAGACATTCAAACACACGACACATTTTGATACCTGAATTGCCTATATACTGTGTACCTTTCTTAAAATCATTCTCTTAGTATTTGACACCTATGGCTTTTCCTACAGTATTATTAGCTGTTTTCTAGAATTCCTTTCCTTCTTTGACATCTTTTGTTTATCTTACTGTAGTATCTGTGCTGTCTTTGATTTTTTTTCTCTCTCTCTCTGTGTGTGTGTGTGTGTGTGTGTGTGTGTGTGTGTGTATACATATATATATACACACATATATATATTTGCTGTCCTACGTAGGCCAGGATGATTTTTATTTGTCAGGTATTTGCAAATTATATACATTGTTTTGAATCTGCTAGTCGTATTTTTAAGTGTTAAATCTAATTAAATTTATTTCTATAAATTTCAGTATGGATAAAGAAACAATTCATGATATCCATTCTTATGTTTCTGCCCATATCCCTATATTGTTTGCTTGTTTGGGATAACCTAAAATTTTTTATCCAGTTTACTACTAATTTGTTTTACCTGATGTATCTTCTCTTTCAATAATTTTATGTTACCTTCTGTTTAGAATAATATTTGCCACAGATATTTAGGTTTAATTCTGTGTTTGAATGATTCCAATGCCTTTCTCTACCCACTTTGAACACTTCATCCTGGAATGGTTGGCTGATGTATGTCTCTAAACAATTTTTTTTTTAGGAGAAGGTATGTGGGTAATGTAATTCCTAAACCTTTGCTTTTCTGAAAAATCTTTCATTTGCCTTTATACATGACCAGATTTACTGGGTATATAGATTTGTTGATGAAAAAAGGTAAAAAGAGCAACTTTTGACATCCAGAGGTTGTCTGGCACTCACAGCTAGCCCGTGTTATTCTCCCTATTAGACATAATATTACAGAATACCAACTTTAGACAAGGCTACTTGAGACCATAATAAAGTGAGACAAAACAAGGGATCCATAATTTTGCCTAGGTACAGTACATACAGGATCACTATGCTACCCGCAAAATATCAAACATCTCCATCTCTCAGTTAAAATGAGTGACTACTGCTTCTTTACCAATTACGGTTTTAGATTTGCTCTAGTCTGGCCTCCGTATAGATAAGATTTATTGAGATACATACCCATAGAATTGCCTCATAGGACTTCTTGCAGCACTCAATCTAGAGTGAATCCCTGTTTACTTAGACCCTCTTCCAAATCATGTAAACCAAATCCCAAATCGTATAGTGGGTTCTTTCTTACATTCTTATGGAGACACCAGTGGTTCCCTGTGGTGTGAGTTCTCTCTTGCCATGAGTAATAGGCCCAGCTCATTCAATTGTAAGAGTAGTACAATCAGCTTACAATTTTTCACTTTCAAAAGTCTGTGAATATTGTTTCCAAAGTCTTCTACATCTCACTTTTTCAAGAGGAGGGGTCACAGACTAAAATGTTTCTTCTTCCTTTGTAGGTAAGATGTTGTTTCGTTTTGCTTTATTTTCTTCCTGCTTGCTTGTTAAATTATATCTTGATATCGAAAATTAAACTGTTTTTTAAACCAGGTGTTCACTTTTCATTGATTTTTGCATAGTACTTGGTGAACCCTATTGATTTTTAGATTCAGGTAATTTTTCAGTGTGAAAGAGTTTTTCTGTTATATCTTCACTGTGATATCCATTCCATTCCCTTCTCAGTTAATACTCAGTTTAGCTCTAGTATCTGTCTCTCAAATTATGTTTAATTGCTTTTATCACTTTGTCCTTTAGATATTTTCAAACTTAAATCTTGTTATCTGTCATTAATTTCCTTTAGTATAAATTCATTTCTCTACTGCTGCTGCTTCTAATTTAAATGCTTCTGTGCTGCCATTTCTTTCCTTATACTCTCCCTTCTTTTCAGATGTCTTTTTTATTCATTGATAGAATTCATTATTTATTTAATGTTTTTGAGAATGTAGTCAGCCAAGTTTCTTCTACCTCTTTGGTTTGTTTGTTTGTTTGTTTGTTCGTTTGTTTGTTTGTTTTTTAGTCGGAGCCTTGCTCTGTCGCCCAGGCTGGAGTGCAGTGGTGCAATCTTGGCTCACTGCAACCTCCGCTTCCCAGGTTCGAGCCATTCTCCTGCCTCAGCCTCCCGAGTAGCTGGGATTACAGGCATGTGTCACCATGCCTGGCTTATTTTTGTATTTTTAGTAGAGACGGGGTTTCACCATGTTGACCAGGCTGGTCTCGAACTCCTGACCTCAGGTGATCCGCCCACCTCGGCCTCCCAAAGTGCTGGAATTACAAGCATGAGCCACTGCACCCAGTCTGTTGTTTCTTTTTATGATACAGTATCTTGTCATTGGTTCCATTTTATTTACTAAATAAATGGAAAATTCTGTTTACTGAAGTGTCTTTCCTTTATAACTGATACCCTGCAGAACCCCTAAGTTTTATTTTGCTTTCATAAGGTTGCTCTTTTTTAAATTTTTAATGAAAGAGTAAGGACTCAAGTAGGTCAAGTGGCGACAGTTTTATGTGTAGCATATGGAAGTGCCATTAAATGAATGACCTGTCTTGAATTGATAGAGCATCTGTCTTTATTCCCATTGCTGCCATTCCAGATAAAGAACAAAGCACATCAAAGATTGAGAATATTTTTATTTTTAATTCAAAAATAAAAGCCAGAGAGGCAACTTACCATGTTTTCCCAACTTTGAATTCTTATAGCATACTCTTTACTGTTCTGTGCTCTGTGTTGTGTTAACATTATTGATTTGAAGGCATTTGCATTAAATTTGAAATGTTAAAATGTAAACAAAAATTTAGTTGTAAATAATTATAATATATTGTTAAAATCCATAGCAGACACTGTTCCTGGATATTTGCTGGAATGGCAGTGGTAGCAAGTGTTGTCTTTTCTTTCTAGTTAATGCCTAGCTTGTTGCCTGGCACTGAAGAGAAAGTAAATATTTGAACAAGGGAATGAATGAATGACAGAGGGAAATGGCGACTGCTTTATGAAATAACTTGTTAGGTTAATTCTAAGGTATTTATATTTCATATTCTTTTCTTAAGGCTACTGATGCCCGAAGGGCTTTTCCTTGCTGGGATGAGCCTGCTATCAAAGCAACTTTTGATATCTCATTGGTTGTTCCTAAAGACAGAGTAGCTTTATCAAACATGGTATGTATGTGTTTATAAGTTTATCTAAAATTTTAATAGGCTTTAGCAGATTTAGTTTGCTGATTAGATGGGATAATATGAAACCACCTACCACAGTGCTGGTATATTATAGGAACATAAATAATAGTTTTCTTTATTTTCAATAAGCCTCTTTTTCTTTCTTTTTTTTTTTTTTCTGTAGAGTTGGGGTCTCATTATGTTGCCCAGGCTGGTCTCAAACTCCTGGGGTCAATCTGTCTTCCTGCCTCAGCCTCCCAAAGTGCTGGGATTAGAGGCATGAGCCACCATGCCCAGCCAAGACCTCTTTTTCTTGATAGCTTTATTTTTGGAGGATTTTGTCCTTGTCAAATTCCTTGTTAAATACATTTATAAGATTATCTACTTCTTTTAATTTAGAGAGGTAAATTGACAAGTTTAATAGATTTATAGTAACTAAAAGCAAAAGTCTTGGGCTGGATATGGTGGCTTACACCTGTCATCCCAGCACTTTGGGAAGTCAAGGTAGGCAGATCGCTTGAGGTCAGGAGTTGAAGACCAGCCTGGCCAACATGGTGAAATCCTGTCCTTACTAAAAATACAAAAATTATCTGAGTGTGGTTGCACACACCTGTAGTCCCAGCTACTTGGGAGGCTGAGGTGGGAGGATCACTTGAACCCAGGAAGCGGAGGTTGTAGTGAGCTGAGATCACACCACTGCACTCCAGCCTGGGTGACAGAGCCAGACCCTATCTCAGAAAAAAAAAGAAAAAAAAAAGAAAAAGGTCTTGACTTATTAAATGTCATAAGAAAGCCAGGTACAGTGACTCTTGCTTGTAATCTCAGTGCTTTGGGAGGCTAAGGCAGGAGGATTGCTTGAGGCCAGGAGTTTGACACCAGTCTGGGCAACATAGTGAGACCTCATTTCTACAAAAGATTTAAAACTTAAAAGTTAGCCAGGTATGGTGGCAGGTGTCTGTAATCCTAACTACTTGGGAGGCTAATGTGGGAGGATCTCTCGAACTTAGGAGTTTGAGGCTACAGGGAGCCATGATTGCGCCACTGTATTCCAGCCTGGGTGACAGAACAAGACCCCATCTCTTAAAAAAAAAAAATAGGCCAGGCATGGTGGCTCATACCTGTAATCCCAGCACTTCAGGAGGCTGAGGCAGGTGGATCATTTGAGGCCAGGAGTTCGAGACCAGCCTGGCCAACATGGTGAAACCCCATCTCTACTAAAAATACAAAAATTAGCCAGATATGGTGGCAGGCACCTGTAACCCCAGCTACTTGGGAGGCTGAGGCAGGAGAATTGCTTGAACCTGGGAGGCGGAGGCTGCAGTGAGTTGAGATCGCGCCACTCCGCTCCAGCCTGGGTGACAGAGCAAGACTCCATCTCGGGGGGAAAAAAAAAAGGTTGCAACAGAGCAAGACCCTGTCTCTATCTTTTTAAAAAGTTAAAAGAATTCAAAAGATGTAGCTGCATAATGAAGTATATTTAGGTTTCTGGCTGTTTGTATTCTTGGAATGTATTCTCTTCACCAGTGTTATTGATCTCATTCATGAACAGGGTAAGCATTCCCCACTTGAAGTGTGTTGTCTAGGACTGTCTTGTGTGGGGAACTTGGAAAAACCTGCTGCACCTGAAAATAACTCTTTTATGTATTTACTGGGGGAGAGCATCCCATAAATAGAATGTCATTCTCTTCACACATATTCTTAGAAGAGGAGGCTAATACATTAAGCAGAAATATTCATTCACACTTTAGTATGAGTGAATTTATCAGTGTGTTCTTGAATAAGTCTTCCTTGGAAGGAAGAATAGAGAGAGCTTGAGGAAATGGAGCCTGAATAGGAAAAAGAGGGAGAACACCAAAGGAAATTAGGGACTCCAAAGGTAAAGTTGAAATTTCTTCACAAATAAGCTTAGAGCCAACTTTGGTAGAGAATGCCCTCGATCTAGAAGTTTGTATCCTTTGAAATGGGAGATTCTACAATTATATTATATTTTTTTTATTTATTTTTGAGAAGGAGTCTCGCTGTGTCGCCCAGGCTGGAGTGCAGTGGTGTGATCCCAGCTCACTGCAAGCTCCGCCTCCCTGGTTCACGCCATTCTCCTGCCTCAGCCTCCCAAGTAGCTGGGATTACAGGCACCCCCCACCATGCCTGGCTAATGTTTTGTATTTTTAGTAGAGACGGGGTTTCACCATGTTAGCCAGGATGGTCTTGATCTCCTGACCTTGTGATTCGCCCGCCTAAGCCTCCCAAAGTGCTGGGATTACAGGCGTGAGCCACCGCGCCTGGCCCCTATTTTATTTTTATTAATAGTCATTTTCTCCTAAACTTATGTCAGTTGAAAAGTATGAAGCCCTTACTTAAATCATCCCAATGCCTGGCTTATAATAAGTATTCGAGAAAAGTCCATTCCTCTTTTCTCTCACAGGTCCTTGGTAGTTTTAACACTTCAGCCTCCAGCTTCTTAGTATGAGTGTTTTATCAGACCACTTTCCTTCTTAAAGACAGCATAAAAGCACTGGATGAATTGGGGTAGAGAAATAAGCCATGCTAGAATAGAAAGGGGGAAAGAGATGCAATAAAGCCTACAGTTTTTGGCTGGTATTTGCTCTATGGTATTAATGTAAACCTATTTAAATTTTTCTTTTTTTTCTTTCTTAAAGAATGTAATTGACCGGAAACCATACCCTGATGATGAAAATTTAGTGGAAGTGAAGTTTGCCCGCACACCTGTTACATCTACATATCTGGTGGCATTTGTTGTGGGTGAATATGACTTTGTAGAAACAAGGTCAAAAGATGGTGTGTGTGTCTGTGTTTACACTCCTGTTGGCAAAGCAGAACAAGGAAAATTTGCATTAGAGGTAAATGTACTTGAAGAGGATTGTTCCAGCAGTCCATAACTCCAGGTTGGGGAATTTACATTTCTGGTCAATTATTAGTACAGTTATTTATAATTTAATCTGAAAGTTGTGCTACTTGGTTTATTTTTAATAGAATTTAGGAAATGCCAACCTTGGTGTTTCGTTATTTTACAAAATAATAATTAAGAGAATATAAGAGTGGAATTTCTCTAGGGAATGGGTTGGAAAATATGTAGTTATATTTTTCATATCAAGTTATAAATGGATTAAAGTTTGGCCATTGTATTCAAAGTTTGGAGCTAAGGCAGTCTTCGGAGGTAGGGCTCCCTGGGATTCATTTCTAGTAATTTAAGATACATTGGCTTGCAACAGGATTCCTTTGTGGGTTTCAATATGAATTATAATAACATATTTATTAGATGGTTATTTTGTTTATACTTTTATAGGTTGCTGCTAAAACCTTGCCTTTTTATAAGGACTACTTCAATGTTCCTTATCCTCTACCTAAAATTGATCTCATTGCTATTGCAGACTTTGCAGCTGGTAAAGTAAATTTCATTTTATTGCTGAATTGTAATAACTTTTTAAAATTTTGTGACTTTTGATGCAAGAGTATATATATATATATATATATATATATCTCAATAAATGTTTATATTTATTTTGTGAAGGTGCCATGGAGAACTGGGACCTTGTTACTTATAGGTATGTTAATGATGTATTACCCTGCCTTATCTTTTCAAATCACTGATTTCAAAAGGGCTTCCCTCCTAATCACAGTTGAGTAGCTTCTGCTTTACGATATGGTGTAAATTTTTCTACCTTCCCCCACTTCCATGCACATTTCAAGAATGCAGATGGACACCTCTCCCTTTGGTGCTACTGTCTGAGGGTGTAAGATTTTAAAGTGAGCATCTGGCGGTAGTAGCATTTTTAGATATATTCTTGGCTAAGTTTCTCATTGCAGTGCCTTTCTTTCCTGCCAGTAGTTTCATAGCTATTTATCCAGCTTGGAGAACCTTCCCTAATTTCATATCTTCTAGCCAAGTTTTTACATGTCTGTCACCACAACATAAACATGTGAGTTGAATAACTTTTAAAAGCAGAGTCTGTCTGTAAACAAGTTTTTGCCTTCTACTTTCAATTGCCTTCTTAGATGAGCTAAGTGTTGAACGGCCGGCTCAGTGCTGTTTTTGGGACTATGGAATGCATCTTCCTCCACCACTCCCCTCATTTAATGAAAGGACTTTCTTCTCTCTCCATCTAGCACAGTAATCGCTAATCCCTTAGACAATGTTTTCCCAAAATTTCAGGCAGCTATTCTATCAACAAACTGATAATTAAACTTGTGTCACATCTTTGATATTCTGTTGTATTAATTCTGTTGGGGTAGTCTTTAATCTTCGTGAAACTTTTTCTTTCCATATTAGGAAATATTTTCCTAATATCTCTAAAGCCTAACTTGTCCATCTGACTTACTGTCTGAATCTTCCCAACTTATGCATGCCCACTTTTATTGTTTAAATTTGTTTCTCTTTTTTTTTTTTTTAAACATAGGGAGACTGCATTGCTTATTGATCCAAAAAATTCCTGTTCTTCATCCCGCCAGTGGGTTGCTCTGGTTGTGGGACATGAACTTGCCCATCAATGGTTTGGAAATCTTGTTACTATGGTATTTAATATTTTTAAGTGCTCAAATATATTTATCTTCATCCTACTCCACATTATTTTGGCTACATAGTATTTCAAGTTTGGCTGCAACACTGTGCCAAAAAATAATTGAGTGATAGAAAAGTATTATTTTAAAAGGTCCACTTTGAAAGGGCTTATCAGAATCTCTGCATTGAACAAGGGCATATGGACAGTCTTTATTCAACAGACACTTCCTAAACTGTTCTAAAATTTGTCTGCAAATGGGAAAAGTCAAGATACTAATTTGGGTGAGAGGAAAAGATTCCTCTTAGGTGTAGATGAATGAATCATGCAGTGAGATTCCAGGCTAACTGTAGTTTCTTGAATCTTATTTGTTAATCTGACTCACAGCTGAAAAGTAACCTGATGAATAACAGACTGATCTTTAATTAGAGAGAAATGTTTTTAGGAGTCAGTTTTTTCATTGCCTAAAATGTTAAGTTGAAATTTAATGAAATAAAAGTAAACAAACTGCAGAGTGACTGCAGAATAAAGCTGTATTAAAATTCCAGCTGTTCTGTTGAAATCCTTATAATGTTTGCAGTAATGATCTCTGTCCTTCAGTCCTGATTTTTCACTCTTACTCTAAGTAAATACTATTTATGAATGCCAACTGTGTTAGAGCTTGGGAGCACAGGATTTAATAAGTGAACTAGATGTACCTCTGCAATTAAATAACTGGATATTCTGGAGCCAGCTAGATTCCCTGACATTTTAGGCTGCCAAAGAGCAGAACCTGATTTGAATGTAGATTGAGTCCATACGTTATATAAATAAGAATGTAAGACATTTATCAACTGTTACGTGTCTCAGAGAGTTTCTACAGAAAGTCAACCCTTGAAAATAAATCTTTTCCTTTTATTTTGGATGTTTAAAATTTTACAGGTGAAAAAAATTCTTTGAAATATAATTTCAGGCCGGGCACGGTAGCTCACGCCAGTAATCCCAGCACTTTGGGAGGCCGAGGCGGGTGGATCACTTGAGGTCACGTGTTTGAGACCACCCTGACCAATGTTGCGAAACTCCATCTCCACTAAAAAAAAAATAG
This sequence comes from Homo sapiens, assembly GCF_000001405.40. Lineage (NCBI taxonomy): Eukaryota > Metazoa > Chordata > Mammalia > Primates > Hominidae > Homo > Homo sapiens. The sequence continues at coordinate 36,316,378 of NC_000017.11, forward strand.
AAAATTAGCTGGGCGTGGTGGTATGCACCTGTAATCCTAGCTACTCTGGAGGTTGAGGCAGAAGAATCGCTTGAACCTGGGAGGCAGAGGTTGCAGTGAGCCGAGATCACGCCACTGCACTCCAGCCTGGGCAACAAGAGCGAAACTCCATCTCAAAAAAAAAAAAAAAAAGAAATATAATTTCATGTGGAACTATGTGTTGGTGCCTGTATTCAAATATGTGAAGAAATGGCCTTTTCTTCTAATGCAGCGAGTTTGCTACTTTGTACCAAATAATTTTTTTGCTTGGCTTTGAGATAACTTTATGATTTTATTTTGAAACTACAAGCAATAAATTTTAGTAGGGGAAATGTGTACATTCTTATTAAACAACTTTTTACTGGTTTTATGTAACTATTCTAGTTATTAGAACTGAAATTCCAAGGGCTTAGGGATAGGTTGGAAAATAAGTTTCATTTTATGCTAGTTTATTTTAGGAAGCTACTAGGCAAATAGCCACTTATCACTTAATATCAAAATAATTTTTTTTTTAAGACAGAGTCTCACTCTGTCAGTTAAACTGGAGTGCAATGGCACAATCATGGTTCATTACAGTCTTGACCTCTGGGCTCAAGCAATCCTCCTGTCTCTGCCTCCTGAGTAGCTGCAATTACAGGTGTGTGGCACCATGCCCAGCTTATTTTTGCACTTTTTGTAGAGACAAGGTTTCACTGTATTGCCTTTTGTAGAGACAGGGTTTCACTTTGTTGCCTAAACTGGTCTCAAACTCCTGGGCTCAAGCAATCCTCCCACCTCAGCCTCCCAAAGTGCTGGGATTACAGGCATGAGCTACCACACCTGGCCTTTTCTGGGGGGACTGGTTGGGGATGGAGAATAGGATCTCACTTTGTTACCCAAGCCGGAGTGCAGTGGCACAATCATGGGTCAGTGCAGCTTCATCTTCCTGGGCTTATGTAATCCTCTTGCCTCAGCCTCCCAAGTAGCTGGGACCACAGGTGTGTGTCACCATGACCAGCTAATTTTTTTTTACTTTTTAATTTTTTTAGAGATGGAGTCTCACTGTGTTACCCAGGCTTATCTCAAACTCCTGGGCTCAAGTGATCTTCCTGCCTTGACCTCCCAGAGTATTGGCATTACAGGAGCAAGCCATTGTGCCTGGCCTGCTTTCTTTCACTAATAGGCTTAATCAACTTTAATAAAATTTAGATTAAGATCTTTAAAATTTTTTAAAAACTGATTTTATCTGTCACTCATATTCTTTGTCCATTCCATTTACTATGCATTCTTATTTAACAGGTGATAATTTTATATTCCATAAGTGCTTAAACACCATTCATTACTAAACTACATTTTTGTTTAATTTCACATAATTTTTATATAAGCAGTACTCTTTCTCAGTTTCTCTTGAACATTCAACTCATTAGTGAGTGGTTTTCCCCAGTCATTTCCATTTTTCTTTATTTGGCTCTGATAGTTTTCTGTTTTTGTTTTTCAGAGATAATCCTTTACTATACTAAATTCTACGTGATTATATTTTCCACCTCTATTTGCCTATATTTATCTGCTGTCTTTTCCTTTTCCATATATGGGCTTATTTTTTTTTTTCCCTCTTCTTCCTTTTCTACCTTTGGTATTTAAAAAGTTACTTAGGACTGAGTGCACTGGCTTACGTGTGTAATCCCAGCACTTTGGCAGGCTGAGGCGGGAGGATTGCTTGAGCCCCGGTGTTCAAGGCTGCAGTGAGCTACGATGGTGCCCCTGCCACTCCAGCCTGGGCAACAGAATGAGACCCTGTCTGGGTTTGGGGGAGAAGTTATTTACAATGTTTTGAAAATATCCTTTGGCCCAGGCATGGTGGCTCACACCTGTAATCCCAGCACTTTGGGAGGCCGAGGCAGGTGGATCACTTGAGGTCAGAAGTTTGAGACCAGCCTGGCCAACATGGCAAAACCCCATCTCTACTAAAAATACAAAAATTAGCCAGGCATAGTGATACATGCCTGTAATCCCAGCTACTGGTGAACACTCCAGCCTGGTGACAAAACAAGACTTTGTCTCAAAAAAAAAAAAAAAAAAAAAAAAAAAAAAAAAAAAAAAAGAAAGGAAAAGAAAATGACCCTCAGATATAATTCTAATATCACCAGTTGGCCTTTCTTGACATCTCTTTTAGTCTTCTCTCTTTTTCAGAAATGTGAGTTCTTTGCGAAATGTTTTGAACTGAATTTTAGGTCATTAAATTGTGAGTTTTGGAATATAGTGGAAGGGACATGTGAGTGTTTTAGATTAGTAGAATGACAATCATTTCAATTTCTTTAAGTATTTTCATCTTCTGTTTTTAGGAATAGTGGACTCATCTTTGGTTAAATGAAGGTTTTGCATCCTGGATTGAATATCTGTGTGTAGACCACTGCTTCCCAGAGTATGATATTTGGACTCAGTTTGTTTCTGCTGATTACACCCGTGCCCAGGAGCTTGACGCCTTAGATAACAGCCATCCTATTGAAGTGAGCCATACTTTCTAACCATTAGCCTATGACTGCTCTCATTTACAATGAAATACGTAATTTGTTACATAGATACTTTGGACTTTGAAAAGAAGAGAAAATAGCATGGGTGATTTTACTGGTTCATATTTCTAGTCTTGAAAAGCTAGTAAGTCTAAGTTCTAATTAAACATTTCTTTTAAAGGTAGGCAGTAAAAAAAAATTGGTCTGGCCAGGCGCAGTGGCTTACGCCTGTAATCCTAGCATTTTGGGAGGCTGAGGCGGGTGGATCACCTGAGGTCGGGAGTTTGAGACCAGCCTGACCAACATGGAGAAACCCCGTCTTTACTAAAAATACAAAATTAGCTGGGCACGGTGGCGCATGCCTGTAATCCCAGCTACTCGGGAGGCTGAGGCAGGAGAATCACTTGAACCTGGGAGGCAGAGGTTGCGGTGAGCCGAGATCGTGCCATTGCACTCCAGCCTGGGCAACAAGAGCAAAAAACTCTGCCAAAAAAAAGAAAAAGAGTAGTATGGGAGAAGTCATACCTATTGGGTAACACTATGGTTCCATTGTTTATGTCAAGGAAAATTCTGGACATATTTTATTGTCAGGGTCTGTTTTGTGAATACTTTAATTCTCTTGACTTAGCCTATCCCTACTTCAGTTTATATATATAAATTTTGTATCTAAAGAACTAGAGTTATAATCCTACTTCAACATATTTAATTAGGCTCCCATATAATTGTAATTCATTACAATTAGTGCAAGAAATCTAATGTTCTTCACCTCCATGTCTTCCTCATCACTCCTCTGCAACTACCCCAAAAATAAACAGAACCATAGTGGCTTCTTTCCCAGCAGAACAAAGCCAGGACTGGAACCCAAGCTCTAAGGGATGACAGGAATCATGTTCTATTCAACTTTATTATTATTAGTTACTACATTTTTTTGAGGACCATCGTTATACATTATGAGTGAGTTAAAGGCAGAAAAATGTAAGTTAGAAGGGTTTTCCTAGAAAGCGTTTTATGTAATTCAGTATTACAGGCTATCTGCTTCCTGTCATAACCCTGAATCACACTGTCTGCCAGGTCAGTGTGGGCCATCCATCTGAGGTTGATGAGATATGTGATGCTATATCATATAGCAAAGGTGCATCTGTCATCCGAATGCTGCATGACTACATTGGGGATAAGGTAAAAAAAAAAAACTTTAAGTATTTCATTCTTTCATGGTGAAATCATAAGAGTTTTGCATGAAAAAAAGTCTCACTTTATTTGGATTAAGTTCCCAAATAGTTTCTGGCTTGTCATTTTTTTTAATGACCAAAAAGAATGAGAATTCAATTATTTGAAGTTGACTACTGTGGTCTCTTAGATGAGTGATGTGCAGGTGTGTTTGGGAGTGGAAATGGGAGGCTGTTATAAAACTTAAGAGCAAGAATAGAAGGCATAGAGTACGCATTATTAAATAAAAGGCAGTAGGCATCAGAAGGATATATGTGTTTCAGTGTATCTGATACTTGAGTATTTGAGTAAATTTGTTTTTGATTACTAATATACAAATATACTATAAATTCTGAGATCTGACTTCCCTGGATTTTAAAAATTGTGTTTTCTCAGGACTTTAAGAAAGGAATGAACATGTATTTAACCAAGTTCCAACAAAAGAATGCTGCCGCAGGTAATCTTTAATAGCTTGAGATAGAAATGGAGAGAAAGTATTGTCACTCTATCCAGGCTGGGACATTTTATTTTTGTTCTGAATACTTAACTCAAGGTCAGGATCCATGTAATAAATAAATTAGCCTTATTTGAAGCTGTGTTCAGGTTGAATATCTCTAATCTGAAATTTGAAATGCTCCAGAATCTGAAACTTTTTCTTTTCTTTCTTTCTTTTTTTTTAATTAAAGTTCTAGGGTGCATGTGCACAATGTGCAGGTTTGTTACATCAGTATACATGTGCCATGTTGGTTTGCTGCACCCATTAACTCGTCATTTACATTAGGTATTTCTCCTAATGCTATCCCTCCCCCAGCCCCCTACCCCATGACAGGCCCTGGTGTCTGATGTTCCCCGCCCTGTGTTCAAGTGTTCTCATTGTTCAATTCCCACCCAAAATCTGAAACTTTTTGAGTGCCAACGTGATGCTCAAAGGAAATGCTCATTGGAACATTTTAGATTTTGGATATTGCAATTATAGATGCTCAGCTAGTAAGTATAATGCAAATATTCCAAAATCCAAAAGAAATATGAAATTCAAAACATTTCTGGTCCCAAGCATTTTGGATAAGGGACACTCAACCTGCAGTAAGTCATAGGGTCAACATGAATCAGGACTCATTATCCCTTTGGTCATCCTCCAGCATTCTGCTTTCCATAACTGAATATTTTGCCAACTTAAAGAGTCTGGGCCGGGTGTGGTGGCTCACGCCTGTAATCCTAGCACTTTGGGAGGCCAGGATGTGAGGACTGATTGAGCCCAGGAGTTCAAGACCAGCTTGCAACATAGCGAGACCCCACCTCTACAAAAAATACAAAAATATTAGCCGGGTGTGGTGGTATGTGCCTGTAGTCCCAGCTACTCAGGAGGCTGAAGTGGGAAGGGTCACTTGAGCCCAGGAGTTTGAGGTTACAGTGAGCAATCGTGGCACCACTGCACTCCAGCCTGGGCAACAGAACAAGATCCTGTCTCTGAAAAAATAAAAAATCAAGGGAATAGTCATGTGTTGCTTAACAACAGGGATATGTTCTGAGAAATATGTTGTCAGGCAATTTCATCAATATGTGAACATCATAGAATGTACTTACAGAAACCTACACAGTATGTCCTAGGCTATATACACCTAGCCTACATGGTATATACCCTGTTGCTCCTAGGCTACAAAATACCTGTACAGCATGTTACTGTACTGAATACCATAGGCAATTATAACACAATAGTATTTGTATACCTGAACATTTCTCAATATAGAAAAGTTACAGTAAAAATATGATATTAAAGATGCTCCATCAGCTGGCTGATATGCCTATAATCCGAGCACTTTGGGAGGCTGGGGCAGGTGGACTGCTTGAGTCCAGGAGTTTGATACCAGCCTGGGCACCATGCCAATACCTCGTCTCTATAAAAAGTACAAAAATTAGCTGGGTGTGGTGGCATGTGCCTGTAGTCCCAGCTACTTGGGAGGCTGAGGTAGGAGGATCATAGTTTCAAAGTGTGGCACTTACTGGTTCTCCACTCACTCCCTCCTGCCGTCTTGTGAAGAAGGTGCCTGCTTCCCCTTCCCCTTCTGCCATGATTGTAAGTTTCCGGAACTGCAAGTCAATTAAGCCTGTTTCCTTTATAAATTACCCAATCTCAGGTATTTCTTTACATCAGTGTGAAAACAAATGAATACAGTCCCCTTCCCTGAGGTGCCTTCTCCTTAGGCAACCAGCTGCCCCCATGCTCCTCTTCTGCCCCCCTGGTATTTCCTTTCCCCTCATGAGGCCCAAGTGATCCACATGGCCAGCCACAGCCCCATCCTACTGCAGGCCTGTGTGGCTGCTAGAGAGGCCAGGCTCCTTTCCGCACCCCGAGGCTGCCCGATATGCTTTCTGCATCCTGTAGAAAACTGACCCACTATTCTCATACTGGTGCAACTTCTTCCATTACCTCAAAACTGGACAACGTGAACTTGTTTCTTGTCTCTTCTTGCTAGGGCTGTCACTGGGACAGTCCGAGATGGGGGGGTGGGGGGAGACAATGGATGAATGGATGGATGAATGGACAGTAGTCCAGGGAGATGTCCCTGTGTGTCCTGAACTGGGACCTTCCTCCAATGAGAAGCCTTCCTGAGTGAGTTTATACAGTCATCCCTTGGTATCCATGGATTAGTTCTAGGGTCCCCGGGGATGCCAAAATCCATGGATCCTCAAGTCTCTGACATAACATGGCCTAGTATTTACATATCAGCTATGCACATCCTCCCGTAGACATTAGACCATCTCTGGATTATTCATGATGTGTAATACAATGCAGATGCTACATAAATGGTCGTGATACTGGATTCTTTAGGGAATAATGACAAGAACAAACTCTGCACATGTTCAATAGAAACATAACCGTCCAATTTATTTTCTGAATATTTTCCATCTGCTGTTGCTGAATCTACAGATGCAGAGCTCCTGGATACGAGAGCCAAGTGTGCTTTGAGAGTAGGGTGGGTGAGGTTGCTAATGAGTACAGGGGAGCAGGTGTTGATCAGGAGGACCCTGCACTGGGGCATCTGGACGTCCTGCCTCAGGACTTGAGACTCCAGTTGGATGGCACAGGCAGACTCAGCCCAGGTCAAAGCCGTCCCCTTGAAGTTTCTTTTTATCCCAAGCTCTTTCTGGCCCCTGGAATTTGGCATCCCCTAGGCCCTGTGTGGAAGGACAGATGAACCAGGTTTTAGATAACATGTCTAGAAGAGTGAGCCCCTACTGTGTGCCCGGCACTTTCCCCACAGGATCCTCTAGCTAGAATATCCAAGGGTCATGGAGAGAAATACCCAGTTAAAATATCAGAAATGAAAAAGCGATACCATTAGAGACACTAAAAAGACCATTAGGTAATAGTACTAGCTTTTGTATTCTGAGATCCAACAGCAGCAGTCACTTCCCTCCACCGCTATGTGTATCCCAGGACCACCCTGGGCAGGGAGGGCTGAGGTTAGGGAGCAGCCATGGATGCTCTGATGCTGGCCCTGGGCCTCGGGGGTGACAGTGATGAGGAACTGGGTGCACACATGAGTGGGGCAGCCGGGCCTGGCCAGAGAAGCAGCACACACGTGCACAGATGTGTTTACCCACATACACATGTGCACGCACGTGCACAAACACATTGCAGGCAGGCATGTTGACGCCTCAGGCAGCGGAGGACCCTGACTCTGGGTGCTGCTGACCCGGGCAAGGCCCCACTGTGATTCGTGCCATGACCTCAGAATGTCACTGGTGCTTAGCACCTATCTGCTCTCTGGTCTGCCTCAGTGGTCTACAGCAGTTACACACAGGCAGTGGTATCTGTGAGCAGCTCTGTGGACTCAAAGGTTTTCTCCCTGAGAGGCATGACCCAGGCCAGCTGATTCATCAGAATCAGGTGAGCGTGACCTGCTCTCTTCCCTCCAGGCGGACTTGGGGGCAGTGGCTACGGTGCGGGCGGTGTTGGCCTCTGTGGGGCAGCTACCGAGGAGGGTCATCCCTGAGCACTCACCAGGCGCCCGTTCTACACTGCCCGTGTAGACGATTGGCTCTTTCGTCTCCATGGTGGCTTCGTAGAGTGGGTGCTGTTCCCAAATGTCCCCATTCGACAGATGAGACGTCTGGGGTCAGAGAGGCAGTAACCGGCCTGGGAATCCGGACATGACCCTGAGTTTTGCTCTCAGCCCTGCCGTGTGCTGTGCTGGAATTCAGGCCTGAACCCTGTGACCTCCCTGCCCTAGATCCCAAATCTGCCCAGGTTTCCCATCCCGATGGGGCAGAGCCTGGTCCTGGCAGAGCCACTGGTATAGAGCCACTGGTACAGATCCACTGACGGTCCTCAGAACACCTCTGTGCCCTAAGCTGGGTCCTGATGGTCGCTGTGGGCCCCACTGAACACACATGGTCCCTTGTCCGGGGGAGCCTGCTGCCCTTGGGCAGCTGTGGAAAATGAAGGAGCCCTGGAGGGCTGGCTGAGGGGAGACTATCTTCCCTTGTGTTCAAAGGGGTCCGGGCACTAGGGTTCTCCCCAGGTATTTCTTGCTCTGCGTGGTCCTCTTGAGGCCTCGCCCTCCTTTTGCCTCGAGTATTCCCAGGAGGGACGGTCCATCCAGCTGTTCTCCAGGACCAAGGACCCACTGTTCTTCCTCAGTGACCCAGGAAAATGAAGCCTCCTCCTGTTGGGACGGCTCAGAATGGTGGACTCCACAGTCCCTCCGCGAGAGACGTGGTTTCCATGCGTACAATAGATCTTCCTCATCCCCCAAACCCAACACCCTCCTGCTCAACAGGCGTTATTCCTAAAGTGGCTTCACTGTTCAGACTGAAGAGCCACGGTAGCCAAAGTGATGAGCGGAGTAGAACCGAGCAGTCGGGAGAGATCTTGTTCCCTGTAGGAAACTGGGCATCGCTGAGGCCCTGAGCATCCCAGGAGGCCGATTGCACAGAGACCTCTGGTCGCTGACCCCAGTCTGCCTCCACATCCCTGGAATAGCCCATCATGGGCCCTTCACCCTTGGCAGGTGGAAACCATTCAACCTGCTGGGGCCGGTGTGTCCCCATTTCATGGCATTGGGGGACAACAGGATTCTCTGTCTAGGTCCCACTGTACTCAAGTCCTTGGGAAGATGCCCACCCCTGCTTGGGACTTGAGACTCCAGAGACTGGAGCAGCTGTGGGCCACTGGGTCTGGCCCCTTTTTCCCTGGGGGCGGCGGTGGAATGGGGGTTACGCAGCCAGCCAGCATCTGGGAGCCCGGCGAGAGCGGTTCAGGTGTTCTCCGAAGCCGCCGCGTACAGTGTGACCTTTAGACAATTCTGTCTCACAGGATGGACGTGGTAGAGGTCGCGGGCAGTTGGTGGGCACAAGAGCGAGAGGACATCATTATGAAATACGAAAAGGTACAAGTCGGTCTGCTTCTTGGAGGGAGGCCTCTTCCAGTGTGCCCTGGTCAAAGGGTCCTGGGCTCCCTAGGAGCACAGGGCAGGGACGGGTGGCCAATGCCCCCAGGCCCTTGCACCCTTTACCTTGGACCCCTCACCAAGGCTCCCTCTGGGCTACAGGGACACCGAGCTGGGCTGCCAGAGGACAAGGGGCCTAAGCCTTTTCGAAGCTACAACAACAACGTCGATCATTTGGGGATTGTACAGTGAGTCCTCTGCACTCCCCTCACCCCTAAAGCACCTGTCTCAGCTCAGGGATGGGTTTGCTTTTAGAAAGGCCTTTCTGACGCAGGACATGTCTCACCAGGTCGGGTCAACCTCCTTTCCAGGGACAGAACTCCTCCCTGACTCCCCTGCAGGTCCAGCCCGAGGTTGTTAGGCCAGAGGTGTGGGGCCCATCTAGGGAGCCGGTGGGAATGGAGACTGGGCTAGGTCAGGCCCCTGGGCGCTCAGCAGTTCTGTCGGCAAGTGAGCACAAGAGGAGCGGGGCAGCCTGAGGGTCTGGCCCTGTCTACTTGGAGACAACCCCGGTGAGATGCAAGGGTTATGGCCACAGGGTGAGGGGACGCCTGGCCCAGCCTCAGGGCTGTTGTCCAGCAGGTCTCTGAGGGCCCACCTGCCCCTGTTCTCCCCCATTCCCCTAGAGCTACAGCCCTCACTGTCCCGTGAGGGGAAAAGGCATGGTGACAATGGGGGCTGTAGCCCTAGGAGAACGGGGGAGAAGATGGGCAGGGCCCCGTTCTGGGCATCTCACGGTGAGGCCAGGGAGGCAGCAGGGCTCGCGGCTAAAGACCTGGGTCTGGTGCTGGGAAGGGATCTGGGGCCAGGTAAGAGGAGCCCAGCCAGGAGCCCATCCCTCAGGGATCACAGGATGGAGAGACAGAGGATCCCTGGGGAGGTAGGGCGGGAGGGAGCTGACGAGCGGTGCCACTTCTGAAACGCAGGGTGTGTGGCTCGGGTGCAGGGAGAGGCAGGTGGATGCTGGGAGGTCAGAACCTGCAAGGGCCTTGGGGCTGTCAAGTGGGGTGGGCCCCTGGTGCAGCCAGAGTACACCGGGCAGGTCTCAGGGCAGGCTCCCTTGACCCTGGCGGGGGGATGTGGTCACTCCCTGAGGGACTCCTGTCAGGGCCCGGTCGCCCACCCTGGGCGGCCCCCATCCCATCTCAGGGCTAACCTTTCTCAGCTCCAGCAGAAAGCACCACCTCGAGTCCAGGACGGGCAGCCCCATTGGGCAGCCTGACCGCCCCCCACGCCAGGGGCCCCAGTAACCCCGGCCAGGCTGTCCCTACACTCCTTCTTCTCCCAGGTCCTGCCCCTCCTGGGAGTCAGCCCCACAGGAAGGCCCTTGTCCTCCCTTCCCTGTGCCTTCTCCTGGGCTGAGCCCTGAGCTGGAAAGGGACAGAGCCAGTCCTTTCTGGGGGTCGGCACCCAGGCTGGGGCCGCTCCAGGCCCCGTGCAGTTCCTCAGCTCTGCCTGGGTTGCCTTACAGTGAGACGGAGCTGCCTCCTCTGACTGCGCGGGAGGCGAAGGTAAGAGCCTGATGCGTGGAGGGGCTGGTCCAGGGACGTAGGGACTGGGCGGGTGGTCAGTGAGGCAGAGGAAGCAGCTGGCCTGAGCGGTGGCGGGTGAGGGCAACACGCTGTCACTGGGAGGGGCAGCAGTCCCTGCTGGACCTGACCCCAGGTTGCTGTTCACTTTGGCAGTTTGATAAAATTCCAAAAGGAGAACCACAGTCCTGGCTTGGGGGTGGCTGCGCGCTTGTGTCAGGACCCCACCTAGAGGCTGGGACCTAAGACTGGTGTGTCTGTGGCCTGAGGATGGTACATCCCGGGGTCCCAAAGCCAGCCCACTGGTGCTCATTTGCTCAAAGGCTCTCAGCCCTTGAGGTCTGCCCTTCCCTGGCTCCTTCCAGCTGGCTCCCACCAGGGCTCCAGAGCCCAAGACCCAGCATCTGCGGGCGGCTCTGGGAAGCCTGGCAGCTCCGCTAACTCCAACATGCCTCATTTGACAGCAAATTCGGCGGGAGATCAGCCGAAAGAGCAAGTGGGTGGATATGCTGGGAGACTGGGAGAAATACAAAAGCAGCAGAAAGGTAACGTGTGGAGGGAGGAAGCACTCTCTGCAGAGACAGGGGACAGGCACCCATGGCTGTGGCCTGGCACCATCAGCCTCTCAGAGGGTGGGCGGCACACTGTCCTCGCCCAGAGGACTGCAGGCCTGGTCGCCAGATTTCCTGCCTATTCGTGCAAGCGTCACCTTGCAGGGAGGGAATCTGAATCTAGGGCTGGGACTACCCGGAGCTCAAGGCTAGGGATGCCCTGGGGACCTGAAGGAAGGAAAAGGTTCAGATCAGAGTTTCGACTCTGAGTGTCCATCCACTCTTTCAGTCCTGGGAAGGGAGACCCTGTCCCAGCTTGATCTCACCTCTACTGAGGAATCATGGGGCCAAAACCGACAATTTCCAGAATCCCCGGGCTCTGGTCCTCACTGGGGTCACCCCGTGGCCTGTGACACCAGATCGTTTTCTGCCCACAGCTCATAGATCGAGCGTACAAGGGAATGCCCATGAACATCCGGGGCCCGATGTGGTCAGTCCTCCTGAACATTGAGGAAATGAAGTTGAAAAACCCCGGAAGATACCAGGTACGCTCAGCCAGAGCACAACAAACAGGACAGGCCGTGTCGGGGCCCAGGTCTCCAGCTGGAGGGAACGTCAAGACCACCCTGGGGAGCTGGGGGTGAAGGTCAGATGAACACCCTGGGCACAGATGGTGACACAGTCACCACAGACAAACTCAGCTCTGGTGACCCTCCCTGGCTTCAGTAACAAGCCAAAATGCAGCTTTCTGCAGAAGGAAACCTTCCTTCTGTCCTTCCTTCCCGAAGTGCTGACTGTGGGCTGACTGCCACTGGGGGCAGGGAGTCTTCCATCTGTTCTGAGACTGCTTCCTCCTCTTGGCCCTGCCCTACAGATCATGAAGGAGAAGGGCAAGAGGTCATCTGAGCACATCCAGCGCATCGACCGGGACATAAGCGGGACATTAAGGAAGCATATGTTCTTCAGGGATCGATACGGAACCAAGTAAGCCTACGGGAGCCACAGGGTCCCAGCAGAGATGGGGTGAATGAGAGGGATGGGGGCTTCCCCGGAGCAGAAGCCAGGGTCACCCAGGAGGGATGACACAGCTGCCAAGAGCTCTCCCGGCCCAGGGAGCAGCCGGCACCATGAACCGAGCACCTCCCTGGTTCCAAGCCCTGGGCCAGACTGGAACATGTGGGGCCAGAACCCAGGAGGATCCTGAGGAGATGGAAGGCAGCAAACAAAATCATGCACAATGGTGAAGGGTGCTCTCCCTGACCCATGGGGACCCATGGTAGGACCCACGGGAGGGTGGCAGGATAGAGGGCCCATGAGCCCCCCCCAGGCAACAGTGACAGCACCAAATGCTGGGAGAATTAGGGGTCCTGGAAACTCTCATCCAGGTCCGCTGGGAACATGACATGGCACAGCCACGTTGGCAGCCAGTTGGGCAGTGGCTCACAAAGCTCGATGGACTTGAACCACACATCCCCAAAGTGTCACAGATATTGAACCCACTGATTTGCAAACTGACATCCACATGAAACCAGCATGCCAGGTTCACTGCTTGACTCCTCGTCACTCACACACGGAGCCTTCGGGGACGGCCTTCAACACGGGGATGGGGAGAGCAAGGCTGGTCCTCCCTTCAAACGGAAGACCCAGTGAGAAAAGGGAACGAGCCGGTGATGCCCGCACGAACGTGGGTGGATCCTAGATGCATTTTGCTGAGGGACAGAAGCCAGACCCAATAAGCTACCACAGTAGGATTCCCATTCCTAGGCCATTCTGGAAAAGGCCAAACCACAGGGACTGAGAAGCAGTCTGGGTGGCCAGGGGCTGACGGATCGGGGAGAGGCTGGTTGCATAGGGGCCACCCTGGAGACTTGGAGGATGAAGGAGTCGCCCCAGGAGGGGCTGGAGCGGTGGCCGGGAGACTCTGCACATCGGTTTGGAACCGTGGAGGAACTGTACACCCACAGACTGAACTGGCGTGTGTGCAAACTGAAAAAAAAAATCATTCAGAGTGAAAAGGATCAGGCAAGTCACTGTACAACTGGGCTATTTGCATGTCACAGATGTGGATTTTACTGAAACATTTCTTCAAGAGTCTCAGGCCCTGAAGAGCTCACTGCTTATCTGGTGAAACATCTGAACCTGAAATGGGATTTGCTGTTAGGCTTTGTAGACAAAGTGAAATTAACAACATCTGCACAAAACAAACCAAAGCCCCCTTTCTCTGTTTCCTAGGCAGCGGGAACTACTCCACATCCTCCTGGCATATGAGGAGTATAACCCGGTGAGTATTCCCGGCAGTGAGGTTCCCGGGCCATATTTCCATATTGACAGGAGTGGGTGTCTGGTGGGGGTGTCGTTGCTTCTTTTAAAGTTAGTATTTGTGACCCACCAGGATATAGGAGGTAGGATGTCAGCTCACCGCTGGCATAAACCTCCAAGGAAGGGGGTGGTCTCAAGGGGTCAAGCTGAGACACAAAGGAGTCAGGGCCCGGACTCCTGGTGTCACCTGGGCCTGACCACCACTTCTCAGAACAAGAAATGACGCCCTCCTCCTGGGGCTGCCCCAAAGCCCAGGAGCTTGGCAGCATCGCACACAGGATGGTGCTATCAGCAGACATTTTGGACAAGGTGCTGAAGTGCCTGATGGACTTGGCTCTTGTCATGAAATGAATGTGCATCCTGAGGAAGCCTCTTTTTCAGAGGAAGCCTCTCCTTCAGAGGAAGCCTCTCCAGTCACCTCTGCCCTCTCCAATGACATGAGTCCTCCCAGGTGACCTCAGCCCTCCCAGGTGATGTCCTTCCATGGTGACTCTGGCTCTTGCAGGAGGTGGGCTACTGCAGGGACCTGAGCCACATCGCCGCCTTGTTCCTCCTCTATCTTCCTGAGGAGGATGCATTCTGGGCACTGGTGCAGCTGCTGGCCAGTGAGAGGCACTCCCTGCAGGGTAAGTGAACAGCTGCCCCGGGGACCTCCTGCAGCCAGACCTGGGGATGGCCACCCTGGCCAGGTGATCACAGCTTTCAGCCAAGGCACCCTCCTTGTGTCGCCAGCTTGTTGGGAGACTTTAGGATGTCTCTGCTGAGGGTCCCACAGGAGTCCACGGCTGACCCCCAAAGCCCAAATCAGACGCCTGTCATCCCCATCAGCAGAGGGCATCTCATCCTCCCCGTGGCCACCCTCTGTGTCCTGGAGCCACGCCCTCCGGCTCTGATTCTGTGCAGCTGACTCTCCCCTCCCTGAGAGTCCTCCTGCCCTCCAGCTGCCCGGGCTCCTGCTGCCATCGGTGCCCACGAATGGGCCGACCAAGCCCAGGTGGCAGCATCTCCCCATCCCCTGTTCCCTGGCCCGACCCCACTACCAGGAGATGACCGGGAAGCCCAGCGCCCACCCAGTTCCGGCCACCCTGTCGTGGCCTGAAAGTCAGGCTTGCCCTTTTTGCACCCTGGCCCAGGAGGCCTCCAGGGGAACCTCCAGCCAGGCTCCAGGGAATGTTCCCGCCCCACCTCCCCAGGGTAAAGGCCGCATGTTGGGGTCACCAGATGGGAGGGTGGGAGGCCTTGGGGTTTGGGGGCCTCTCCAGCTGCCCAGCTCTTGCAGCTGATGGCTCCACATCTTGGGGGAAGGCTCTGATTTCATGATGGGCTGGGGGCTTCTCAGGATTTCACAGCCCAAATGGCGGGACCGTCCAGGGGCTCCAAGACCAACAGGAGCATGTGGTAGCCACGTCACAACCCAAGACCATGGGGCATCAGGTGAGTTTATGGTCCCCTCAGCTCTTCCCAGAGGCCCTGCCTCCCGTGGGGCTGTAGGAGCAGGGGGGCTGGAGCCCCTCGTGGGGCTGGTGACTGGCTGAGTCCCAGCCAGGGCCTGACCTGGGACGTCGGGTTCTCCATGGGCTGGGAGTTGGTTTCCTTTCCTGCCCTGGAGGAGACAGAGGCACAGGGATGGGGGCCCAGCTCCCACAGAGCAGGGCAAAGGGCAGTGTGTCCACCGGGAGTGTGGGAAGGTGACAGTGTTGTGGGGAGCTCTGGACACCGCCCAGTGTTCTGCACTAGGGGAAGGGTCTTCAGAGGCCCTGGAAGAGGGAGGTTTTTAGGGCAGCCCAGTGGCCTGAGCACCTCTGTTGCTTCCATCAGGACAAGAAAGATCTATGTGGGCAGTGTTCCCCGTTAGGCTGCCTCATCCGGATATTGATTGACGGGGTAAGGAGGCATAGGGAGACCCTGGCTCAGGGACCTTCCTTGCCCTGCAGTGCCCTGCTTCCCCAGCCCGGGGGTCTGGCTCACTCCCAGCCCACAGGAGGCTCAGGCGGGTCCCCAAAGGACACACAAGCAAAACCCTCTGCCCAAGGGGGGTCATCCCAGGGCCATGGCTGGGGCTCAGGCCCAGCCTCATGGGCAGACTGGGCCAGGACCCGACTTGAGAGGGCTCAGGGAAGCCTCAAGCCCTGGGCAAGCCCCTCTCTCCAGGAGCCACATCCCCACTCAAATGAGTGCCCCCCATGAGGAGCTTCAAGACCTTGTCTGACCCAGCGTCCTGGAGGGCTCAGGCGACCCTCATGGGGAAGGTCACTGACTCTGGAGACTGAAGCCCCAGTGTGCGCAGCTCGAGCCACCAGCCCCAGCCTGGAAGGACCAGGTTCTTTCACACCTGCTGTCCCCACAGATCTCTCTCGGGCTCACCCTGCGCCTGTGGGACGTGTATCTGGTAGAAGGCGAACAGGCGTTGATGCCGATAACAAGAATCGCCTTTAAGGTTCAGCAGAGTAAGTCTACGTGTGCCCAGCGGGGCCTGGGGAGCCCTGGGGTCAGACCCCGACTGGCCCGAGGGCAGCTTCCTCACACTGTCCTCATGATCCGCTGTTCTGGCCCAGAGGGAGGTCTGGCCAGGTGGGCTGGGCAGGACACTGTGACACTGAGCCCATCCCCCACATGACCCAGATGAAAGTCGAGAGTGTGGTGAGCACTTCCCTGTCCGGATCGCCCCCCAGCCACAGTCTCCTGTGTATATCTGGACACCTGGGGTGGCCACAAAAGGATCCGGCACCGCCCAGTAGGAGACTGAAGTGGCCACGGGATATGAGCTGTGACCATTCCCAGGTAACTCCCCTGGCCTGATATCCACCCTGTCCCTAGAGCGCCTCACGAAGACGTCCAGGTGTGGCCCGTGGGCACGTTTTTGCAACCGGTTCGTTGATACCTGGGCCAGGGATGAGGACACTGTGCTCAAGCATCTTAGGGCCTCTATGAAGAAACTAACAAGAAAGCAGGGGGACCTGCCACCCCCAGGTGGGCTCCAGTGCCATGTCCCCTCCCATGTCACCCTCTGGGGTAGTCAGTAGTAGGGGAGTGCCCGGGACCCGCAACCCTACTACCTGGGCCTTCCTCTTCACCTTTTCTTCCTCCTCTTCCTCCTGGACTCTAAGAAAGTACAGGAGGCCCACCGGTCCTCAGGGCAGGCGCTCAGTGCGTGTATACTGGACATGCTGTGCATGCAGGAGGGGGATGTGGGCAAGACCCTCCAACAAGCCCCCTCCCACTTTCCACGGTGTCTCCCTCTCCCCCTCGCAGGGCCCTCCAAGTTACTAGACGAGCCCAGACCCATTTGTGGGAGACCCCGCCCCTCCCTGCAAGCACCCACAGCCTCAGAGAGCAGCAGAGGCCCCTCACTCCTGCACGCTCCTCCAAGGTTGCCAGGACAAGAAGCCTGGAGCCAGGGAGACAAGGGAATCCGTGTCCCTGACCCACAGAGCATTCAGGGAGAGGGCCCAGAGCCAGAGCCAAGAGTTCAGCCAGAAGTGGGAACGGTCAGTCCTGGCATGGACTGGGCAGCCCAGGAGGGCAGAGGGTGACCCACGTCCGGGCCCAATCACCCACTGCGGAGACGGGTCCCCACGTGAGGTGACAAGGGGCTGGGTGACATCCAAGGCCCCTCCCACCTGAGTTCTGACTGGGGGCCGTATCCCAGGCCCAACAGCCCTGGGACGAAGGTGTGTGGCAGGAAGCCCCCAGCCAGTCTGAACCCTGGGGGCAGTCCCAGGAGCCACCCGCCATGCCACGACAGCTTCCCCACGCCAGGCAGCATGCACCCCTCCCTCTGGGATCAGCAGACTACAGGCGTGTCCTCGGTGTCAGGCCACGGGGGCCACACAGAGACCCCGAGGACTCCAGAGACGCAGGCAGGTGGGGCCCAGCCCGGAAAGGCCTGCGTGGGCTCACTGGAGATGCTGACCGCGTCTGTTTTCCTTTCAGCCAAACCCGAGCAAGGGTCGTCGGCATCCAGGCCTGTGCCGGCTTCACGTGGCGGGAAGACCCTCTGCAAGGGGGACAGGCAGGCCCCTCCAGGCCCACCAGCCCGGTTCCCGCGGCCCATTTGGTCAGCTTCCCCGCCACGGGCACCTCGTTCTTCCACACCCTGTCCTGGTGGGGCTGTCCGGGAAGACACCTACCCTGTGGGCACTCAGGGTGTGCCCAGCCCGGCCCTGGCTCAGGGAGGACCTCAGGGTTCCTGGAGATTCCTGCAGTGGAACTCCATGCCCCGCCTCCCAACGGACCTGGACGTAGAGGGCCCTTGGTTCCGCCATTATGATTTCAGACAGAGCTGCTGGGTCCGTGCCATATCCCAGGAGGACCAGCTGGCCCCCTGCTGGCAGGCTGAACACCCTGCGGAGCGGGTGAGATCGGCTTTCGCTGCACCCAGCACTGATTCCGACCAGGGCACCCCCTTCAGAGCTAGGGACGAACAGCAGTGTGCTCCCACCTCAGGGCCTTGCCTCTGCGGCCTCCACTTGGAAAGTTCTCAGTTCCCTCCAGGCTTCTAGAAGCATCTGGGCCAGGGCTCATGGCTGGATAATTTCCCTAGGCTTAACAACCCAAGCAAGCTTCGCATCCTCGTTTTATTTTTGGTTAAACTTATGAAAATGTATTAAGAAAGAGTGCAGCTCGAGAGAGATTCAGAGATGGAACACACCAGACCCCAGATCACAAAGCCAACCATGCCCAGCCCCTCCCAGCACCCCCAGCCCCACGACCATCGTTCTGAATTCTGACGACACCGTGAGCCTGCCTTTGTACTTCAAACTCATGGAAGGATAACCACCTTCATGTTTTGAAATAAATGTTTCCTGTTGAAATGATTTTAGATTTTAGACAGAAATATTGAAAAGGCACTATAGTATCCTCCTATACCTTCCATCCAGCTGCCCCTAATAATGATGTTTTGCAGTCCCATGGCACATAAGAAATTTAGGCCGGGTGTGGTGGCTCACACCTGTAATCCCAGCAATTTGAGAGGTCGAGGCGGGAGGTTCAGGTTCACTTGAGTCTAGAAGTCTGAGACCAGCCTGGGAAACCTAGGTGGACCCGGTCTCTAGAGAAAAGTCAAAGAAATTAGCCAGGCATGGTGGCGTGTGCCTATAGTCCCACCTAGTCAGGAGGCTGAGGCAGGAGGATTGCTGGAGCCCACGAGTTCCAGGAAGCAGTGAGCCATGATTGCACCACTGCACTCCAGCCTGGGTGACAGAGTGAGACTTTATCTCTTAAAAAAATTTAAGAAATTTAATGTGGGTACAGTTCTATTAACTAAATAATAATGTGAACTATTATCTAAGGTTATGAAGGCTAGAATTATCCCATTTTTGCCTAACTTCTCGTACCTGTCCCAAGATCCCACCTTGGACTCACCCTCTGCCTTCAGCTCACGTCTCTTCAGCTTCCTCCACATGGTCCAGCAAACACACACCTGGGCTGAATGGTAGAGCTGATTGCTCATACACAAAGGTAGACCGGTGGGCAGGGATTTTCAGACTTACACAGTCAATGAGTTTTCCTTGGTGTTCTGGAGAGCACCGTTTGAGAAACACTTTGACAGTGAATCTAGGCCTCAAGATCCATCAGCTGCTCTAGCTTGAATTTTGCTCAAGCTCAGTGAACACCTGCTCTGCCGGGTGCACGTGAAAGGGGCAAGGATGAGAAAGCTGTAGATAAAGAAGACAGGACGCAGGGGGTCTGTCTAAGCTCTATCCCCTGCCTTCAGCACTGAGGGATGAAATCCAACTCTTAGGGAACGGTGGCCACGTGCTGGGCCAGCCCCAGGCTCTCAGGATCTGACAGTGGGTGACGCAGAGCCAGGCCTTGCCCCTGGGGAGCTCTCCAGCATACACCTCCCTCTCCCCTCCCAGCGTGCCGCAAAGCAGGCGTCAACGCCATTGTTAATGCACGGAGGAGGAACCTGACTGTTAGACCTGGGTTTTCCAGGGTTGCACGGCTTCTGGGAGACGGATGTGACCCTGAGGACAGGGCACAGGCCAGTGTAATGCCAGGATGGAATGAGCTGTGATCTGTGCTGTATAGAGGCCTAGGCCAAGGTGGGACTGACGGATGACCAGGTCAGCCGGGTCACTGAAAACACTCTTGGGTCCTCACCTGCCGGTTCCCAGGAGTCCGGAACTGCCAGGAGAGTGGTGGCAGGTCCCCCATCCTCAGCTGGGTGGGCCTGGATAGAACAGCAAGGCGAGGGCACATTTCCCTGGCCATTCCCTCCAGGCACAGCTGTGACCTGTTCATTCCAAATTTGTGGAAGTATTTCCACACACACAGAACTGCAAATAGCAGTGGACATGGTGAGAGGCGTTTGCACATGGGATAGGCAGGATTTTGGAGGCAGAGCCTCCAGGGCTTGCCGATGGGTTAGCTGCAGGGCTTGAGAGGGAACGGAGAATCCAGGATGATGTGTTCAAATCGGTCCATTCACCTCTTCCGTTCCACGCCTGTGCTGGGCACTGGGAGAGACAGATGCACACAGGAGCCCCGGCCGAGGGGAGGTGTGGGGGGAAGCCCAGAGTGTCTGGGCAGGGTAGGAAACCCAGAGCGTCTACTGGGAGCTGAAGGCTTAGGTCCACCTGGGTGCCGTCCAGGTTCTCTGCATGTAGAAGTATAGGCTGAGCTTCCTGGAGGAGGAGCAGCTGCTGTTGCTGGTGACCAGCACATTCAGGAACGGAGACTACTCTGTCAACAGACAGGGGGATGACCTGAAGTCTGGATGGTCTAGGGGGTGGTAGGGCCCAGGAGGACCCAGGAAAGGGTCTCGGGGATGCAGAACATCCTATGGAGGGCATTTGGGAGTCAGTGCTCAGGTCACTCCGGGTCACGCAGGTCATTTGCCGGCCCCTGTCATAATTATTGCCATATGAGAGTGCCACCTTTCCTGTGACATAATTTAGACATTCCTGTGAATGGCCTACCTGTTTATATTTACAACTTCATGTTTAAAGGAAATTTGTATCACTCTCATAAATGGAAAGCCAGCAAAACATAAATTCAATGAAAACAAAATGAAGTCAATGAACTTTAGCTAGATACTATTCCCTGACCAAGGCCTGCTGGAGGCCGTACAACCGGGGTTTGAATTGAGATCTGCCAAGCTTCTGAGTTTATTCTGTTTCCCCCACACCAAGGATCCTCAATACTGCATTACTGACATCAGGGGCCAGACAATTCTTTGCGATGGGGGCTGTCCTGCACCTGGCAGGATGTTTAGCAGCTTCTCTGGCCTCCACCCACTGGAAGCCAGGGGAATGCAGAAGAGGCTTGCTTATTCTCCCATTTAATGCTCAGGACAATATCTGACATCAATGTTACGTCTTTTATTTTATAAATGAAGACAATGAGACTCAGAAAGGTTTAAGTGAGTCACCTAAGAACACACAGACAGCAAGAGGTAGAACCCGAAACTGAACACAGGTGTCCACGAGACAACAAAAAAGTTCAGGTTCCAGCTTCCTTTGAGTCTCTCATTTCAACAATGGCCATCGTCTGCATACGAGCTGAAGTACAGGAAAGCTGGGCTGAACTCTCTTCCCATCAGGCCTAGGAGCCCCAGACCAGAACCCCAGCCCAAGTTCTCCCAGTCAGGCCCGCTGGAGGGAGCTGGCATCTACACTAGCATGGTTTCTCAAAGCTACAGGGATGCCAGTCTCGCTGCTGATGAAGAAAATGAAGGGCATTTGCTTCTCCTGCAGGCTGTCGGGATTTAACACAGATTCCTTTTCTTGCTCTCTTCTCCCATAGCACAAAACTGGGTGGTCCATCCCCCTCCCAGTGTCCCAAGGCTTTGTTGCGTGTTCTCTTTAATTTCTCCCACTCTCGCAGTGCACCCTACCCTCGTCTCCCTGGCAACCTTTCTGCTCTATCCTCTCGCCACCTGGATCACAAGAACACTTGTGAGACCCCTTAACAAGCTACATCCCAAATTATCATTCCCCTTTGTCCTCAGCCAGTGCCCGGGTCCAACTCGCTCTCCTGGGGTGACTTTCTTTCCTGCCCAATATGGTTTCATCATCTGTAAATTGGGGATAATTGAAGTCTTGATCCTGATATTGGGCTCTGAAAGCAGAAGTAGCAAGCTCAGCCAAGTCACTTCAACAAGAGGAGACGTTCCTTGTGAACCAAAAGGGCACTGGTCACAAGGGCCGCTCCTTCTCTCAGGCCTCTCCAGCACGCCCTTGGCTCAGCCAAAGAAGAGACTCAGGCTGTGCTTCTGTGCTGTGGGGATAACGTAGGTACCTGGTCCTTGACCCTGGGACTTTAACAGTTCCCTCTTGTGGCTCAGTTCTACAGCTTCAATGACACAAAGTGGCTTTTGCTCAAAATAGCCTTTGATAGGTTAAGGTACTCCTCTGCCACTCTAAGTCTGTGTGGAACAGACAGGGTTTTGCTTCACAGAGAAGATGCATAAAATTTGGTCTTAAAAATGAGTTCACCATGCACACATACACACGAAAAAAGTAAATACTGCATTACTGTATATATGAGGTTCCAAAATAGGCAAAACTAATTTATGGTGACAGAATAGTGGTGACCTCTGAGGGTCAGTGTTGACTGGGAGAGAACAGAAGAGAGCCTACTGGGGTGCTGGAAATGTTCTGTATCTTAATTTTGCAGGATAATTCCTTGGATGCATCCCTAAAAATTCAGTCAAGCTATATAGTAAGATTTGTGCAGTTTATGTAAGTAATAGGAGAGATAAGAGGGGGAACCTGTGGAGAAGCAGAACATTTCAAGATCTAGAAAGCAACAGTTGCAAGGGTACACAGTGTTCAGACAGGGACCAAATCATAGAAACTACTAGGGCTTGCCATGCTGAAATGACTGACTTCAAACCATAGGGCATACGTACCTTCCACTGAAGAAGAGCACCTGAGTAAAATGACTAGAGGTGCATTTCAAAGATTATTCTATGGGAAATATAAAGAACGAATTGGAGGAGTAGGAGGCAAATAGTCCAAGGGACAGATACAGATCTTTCTTTCTCTTTTTTTTTTTTTTTTTTTTTTTTGAGATAGGGTCTCCCTCTGTCACCCTAGCTGGAGTGCATTTCTGCGATCATGGCTCACTGCAGCCTCTACTTCCTGCGCTCATGCAATCCTTCCATCTCAGCCTCCCAAGTATCTGGGACTCCAGATGTGCGGACCACACCTGGCTAATTTTTTTATTTTGTTGTAGTAATGGGAATCTCACTGTTGTTTCCCAGGCTGGTCTTGAACTCCTGAACTCAGGCAATCTTCTGGCCTTAACCTCTCAAAGTGCTGGGATTACAGGTATGGGCTACAGTGCCTGGCCTTATTAAAATGTTGATGTAATAAATGGGACTACCTAGTGCTGTGCTTTCTCCTTAAAGGAGAGAGCTGACAGAATAAAACTAGCAGTAATAATCTGGTAAATTGTGCTTTCTACAGAGTAAATTTTGTTTGTCTCATGACATTTATGCAAATATTCAAATGTTTCAGGAATATAAACATTTAAAATTTGGGTTATAAATAATGCCTCCTGGCTCTGAAATTATCTGAATTCATGAAGCAATCAGTAGTAAATATGAAGGAAAAATGAAACACAGCCTTATATGCAAGGACAAACACAAATTTCTAATTCTTGTTATAATTTGGGTGCCCACCTGGTTTTGAAGGTGAGCCTTGGTTTGACTGGTTCTGAGACATTTCTCTCAAATAGCAAATGAGTAGTGGGTATGAATAGGGTACATTGGAAAGTCATGTCAAAATTCCATGTAATTTTTGGAGCGTTTTTTCTCCCATATGATTTATATAATTTGACATGTGTATTCCTATGTAAAATATTTAACCACTTCTCTACAATAAGCATTAAGTGGGCTAATTAGTATGCTCTTCTTATTCCATATTTCTGTGATTTCTCTTATCTGGAACGACTTTTTTATGCCACCCAGGCTGGAGTGCAGTGGCACATTTACTGCTCAC
Source organism: Homo sapiens (assembly GCF_000001405.40). Lineage (NCBI taxonomy): Eukaryota > Metazoa > Chordata > Mammalia > Primates > Hominidae > Homo > Homo sapiens. The sequence goes on from NC_000017.11 coordinate 36,339,893, forward strand.
TGCAGCCTCAACTCCCCAGGGTCAAGCCATCCTCCTATTTCAGCTTCCCTAGCAGCTAGGACTACAGGTGTGCACCACTATGCCCTGCTAATTTTTGTGTTTTTTTGTAGAGACGGGGTTTTGCTATGTTGCCCCGGCTGGTCTTGAACTCCTGAGCTCAAGAGATCCACCCACCGCAACCTCCCATAGTGTTGGGATTACAGGCGTGAGCCACTGCACTCAGCTTCTTTTCTAATTTGTTTTTATTCTGAGATCAGATGAGATCGGCATGTTCAGGTTGGTATGGCCATAGACTGCTTTTATCTATTCTAATAATTTTGTATTGTACAATGTGTTGGAAAGGCAAGATGAAGTTAGATTATGAAGGGTTCATTTCCATTCAATTCTGTCTATCCTTCTGGACTTTGCCTAAATCTTACCTTCTTTGGAGCTTTCCTGAACTAACTTATCTCCTTTGAATTCTTACATTTGGATCCTTTGTATTTGAGTATTTTTACATATATATGTACATAAATAACACGTTTTATGTGTAGTAATTTACTCTCCCAACTAGATTGAAAGCTGCTTGAAGAGTAACCTTTTTTTAAAGTCACATTGGACCGTTTTAAGTACAAATTTAGCATATGCTTGATGATTGAGAGAACCATATGGTTACAGTCATTGGTGTGTCTATGATTGTGATATGTTGCTATTTAAAAATCAATAGTTATTTCTTATTTAGTTTTCTGTTAAGCCATAACCTTTTGCTCTCATTTATACATCTTCTGAACGTTAAGTAACATGTGGCTCATATTTCAAACTCCCAATTTGGAAGTTTATAGCAATGTAACTGAAGTTTATAATTACAGGTCTCAGAAAACTGCACTACACAGAAGTTCTCTATGTGTTAGAAGAATTTATTAGAAGATAGACAATTGTAGGTTACACTGTAATTTAGAAGACTTTTGCGCATCTCATGTATTTGTGTCAGTTTGAGAATTTGAAAATGCCCCCAAAATGTCTGTTCTTCACTAGTGCCTCTTGTGATCCTGGCAGAGATAAGCTAAACTTTTGAAAGGGTAGACTTTTTCTGTTTATCTTAGTATCCTGAGTCCCTAAATCTGGAATGTAGTAGATGTTTGTGCATTTCCCTATGTCAGCGAAGTCAAAATACTAGAGGTGGATTTTTCAGCTTTTCAAAGTTTTCACATTTACTAAGTCCTTCACAGTTATCGCCTACTAGTTAAAAAACTATTTGCCTCAATTTAGGCCAGTGCTACTTTGACATTTGCATTGCTGTAAAACCCTTACTAAAAGGTATATTTTTCTGGTATATAAATACATGTATGCAGCTTTTCTCATATCTTTGAGAAAGCAAAAAATTGTACTAAATTATGATTTCCACTGTAATAGGATTATGGCTTAGTCATGATCAGTATTATGTTTTCAGCTATGTCTTACTAGGATTATTGTAAAAGACTTTCAAAATAGTTCATGTGAATCTTTGTCTGATCTTCACAAACTCGGGTATGTACATAGCTCTCCCCCACCTTCTCCTGGCTTTGGCAATTTACTTTATTTTTATGGTGGTTATATATATATATATATAAAACATACCATTTACCATTTGAACTATTTTAAAAAGTGTACAATTAGTGGCATGAAGTACATTCACAATATTGTATAACCATCACCACTGTCCATTTCCAGAACTTGTTCATCATCCCAAACAGAAATTCTCTATCCCTTTTCTTCCCCAGCCCCTGGTAACCTCTATTCTACTTTCTCTTTTTATGAATTTGCCTATTCTAGACACTTCATGGAAATAGAATCAAACAATATTTGACCTTTCTTATTTCACTTAGGATAATGTTTTCAAGGTTTATCCATGTTGTAGTACATAGCAGAATTTAATTTCTTTTTTTGACTGAATAATTTGTATATACTACATCTTGTTTATACATCCATCTGTTGATGGGACATATTTGGGTTGTTTCCACCTTTTGGCTATTGTGAATAATGTTGCTGTGAACACTGGTGTGCAAATATCTATCTGAGTCCTGCTTTCACTTCTTTTGGATATAAACCTAGGAATGGAATTGCTGGGTCATATGGTAATTCTATATTTAACCTTTTAAGGAACAGCTAACCTGGTTTCCACGGCTTCTGTACCATTTTATATTTCTACCAGCAATGCACAAGTGCTCCTTCCATTTTCTCCATATCTACCCAATACTTGTTATTTTCTGTTTTCTTTCAATTAATAACCATCCTAATGGGTGTGACATAGTATTGTCATTTTGATTTTTAGCTTCCTAATGGCTAGTGCTAATGAGCATTTTTTTATGTGCTATTGGTCATTTGTATGTCTTTTTTGGAGAAATGTCTGTTCAATCCTTTGCCCATTTTTGAATTGAGATGTGCGCTTTTTTGTTGTTGAGTTGTAGTTCTGTAGTTCTTTATACATTCTGGATATTATTCTCACATCAGATATATGATTTACAAATATTTTCTCCCAAATACTTCTGTGGGTTACAGATATATTAATATCTGTAGATTGTCTTTCATGGTCTTGATAGGATCTTTTAATGCCCAAAAGTTTTTAATTTTGATGAAATAATGTATGTAGTTTTGAACTTAAACAATGTTACAGATTGCGCAAAGGATATAACCATGAAATTCTGATGGAGTGACCCCACAGCTGCAGAAAACCAGAAAGAACCCTACTCTAAAACCCAAAAGACTTCCCTAGATAGAGTCCTTCGAAAATAATTTTCTAAATTATTCACACAGCCTGTGGATAAATTAAGAGGAAATGATATCTGTAACAGTGCTGCTTGTGATGAAAACACAGAAGAGTCAATTATATTATCAAATCTTAGCTGGAATGGAAAATCAGGAGGATATTTATTAGCAAACATTAATAAAAGGTTGGCCTTTATTATTGTAAGCATGTACACAGACGACAGCATGTAGTCTCTACCATAAGAATGAGAAATGCCTCCTATCTTTATGCATTCTGAAATTTAACCTTTCTTAACCCAATTGCTGTAAGGGCCTAGGGTTTATTTGTTATGTGTGTTATTGGAGTAGAGACTGTTTGAAGGTTAAGGGGGTATTTAGTGATGCAAGTGACATTTATATGTTTTAAAATCTTCTGCTTTTCTAGGCACTTTTTAAAATGAAATGCTATATTTTTAAACTTTTAAAAATTATTTTTATTATTTTTTGCAGAGATGAGGTCTTGCTGTGTTGCCCAAGCTGTTCTCAAACTCTTGGCCTCAAGAGATCCTCCTGCCTTGGCCTCCCAAAGTGCTGGGATTACAGGCGTGAACCACGTGCCTGGCCCAAACTTTTTAAAGACTTTATTTCTGGAGGCAGGTTCTCAAAAGATATCCTATCTTAATGGGCATATATAGAGAGAGAGTAGTAGGTGAGTTTAAGGGGGATGTAAATATTGGCCGAAAGAGGTTTCTTTTAGGTATATAACCCCTCAAATGTAGCCCTTTGGATATCAAAAGTTTATTATGGCAATGTTCTTTGTGCATTTTTATTCGATGTTGTCAGCCATTCATCTAATAACTCTTCAGAAGATTTTGTCTCTGGGCAGTGGCATTTTATAACTTCCTATATGGAAGAAAACTTTTATCCAACTGATAACTGATATGCCAATGTGTTAGTATGAAAAAATTTTCCCAACATTCTTACCAGGTGTGGTGGCTCAACCTGTAATCCCAGCACTTTGGGAGGTGGAGTCGGGCGGATCACTTGAAGTCAGGAGTTCGAGACCAGCCTGGCCAACATGGTGAAACCCTGTCTACTAAAAATACAAAAATTAGCTGGGCGTGATGGCAGGCACCTGTAATCCCAGCTACCTGGGAGGCTAAGGCAGGAGAATTGCTTGAATCTGGGAGGTGGAGGTTGCAATGAGCCAAGATTTCCTCACTGCACTCTAGCCTGAGCGACAGAGTGAGACTCTGTCTCAAAAAAAAAAGAAAAGGAAAAAAAAAGAAAATTTCCCAAAATTCAAATGTCGTTTCACTGCGTGGCTTTGTTTGATTATTAATACTTTAATACTGTGTTTAAAATTAATATTTATTATTTTTAAAAATCAGCTTCCTTAGGTCAAAGAAACATTAATGTTTAATATTAAGCTATTATTGTAGCTTAGTGTAGTTATAATAAGATACTGGAACTCATGGAAGGGGTTAGATTTTCTTCATCTTAGAAACCGTTACTTTTCATAAAGTATATATTGTGCAATTATATATAAAATTATATAATAATTAGATATACAAATAAAAAATCGGATTATAGTTGGGCTCAGTGGCTCGCATTTGTAATCTCAGCTCCTTGGGAAGCTTAGACTGGAGGATTTCTTGAGTCCAGAAATTTGAGGCTGCAGTGAGCCATGATTGTGCCACTGCATTCCAGACTGGGCGACAGGAATGAGACCCCGTCTCTAAAAATAAAAACTAAAAAAAAATAGATTATGATTGGCAAAAGATTGAGTGACAGTGAAAATGCAATGAATATTTTGACTACTATTTTTTGATTACATACATAGGAAGATACGAATTTTTCTGTCTTTCCAAATTAGTTTAGAAATTAAAGATTTGGCCGGGCATAGTGGCTCACCCCTGTAATCTGAGCACTTTGGGAGGCTGAGATAGGCAGATCACCTGAGGTCAAGAGTTTGAGACCACCCTGGCCAACATGGTGAAACCTCGTCTCTACTAAAAATACAATAAAAATTAGCTGGGCATGGTGGCATGCACCTGTAGTCCCAGCTACTTGGGGAGACTGAAGCAGGAGAATCACTTGAACCCAGGAGGCGGAGGTTGCAGTGAGCCAAGATCGTGCCACTGCACTCCAGCCTGGGCGACAGAGCGAGACTCTGTCTCAAAAACAAACAAACAACAACAAAACACCAGAAAAAGGAAAAATAGTGTTAAGAGATAACTTAGTATGTATTGTTTGTACACTTCATGGGTGTGCATATATGACGTGTTTGGTTTTATAGTGAAAATTCTAACATTCTGCTGTATGGTTTATGGTGCATTGTAGACGTTCCTTTAAGCACTCAATGATAAAGATTAAAATTACTAAGATAGAGAGTAAATCTATGTTATATGTAGTCATTTCTCAGTTTGCATAGTAGTATGGGACTGTAAAAATGACCATGCAAGCTAAGACTATTCAAAGGGATCACAGTAATCAGTGGAAAAAATTGTGATTGTTCTGTTGGACCTTTAAAAATTTTTGTCAAAACATTAAAAACTCTCTCACAGTTGGTTATAGATATACAGGGTAAGAAGAAGCGTGGTATCCACAGAGAAGGAGGGAGCTTCATAAACAAAGACAAACAGGAATATCAACTACCAGCCACCAACAGCACTCTTGTAAAACTTATTTAAATATTACAAAAAACAATATACAAGATTACTAAGAGATTGGAAGATAAAGGGAGAAAATTTCACTAATGATCTCATCACCAAACACAGTTAATTATTTGCTGTTACTCTTTTATCAAATTAGTGTTTAGTATTGTTTTAATCATAATGTACATACAATTTTGTATCTTGCTTTTTCTGAGATGTCTGTTTCTGTCCATGTTATACATACCTATACAGTCCTGTGCTGCATGATGATGTTTTGGTTAACGATGGACTGCATACACAACTGTGATCCCATAAGATAATAGTAGAGCTGAAAAATTCCTATTGCCTAGTGACATTGTAGCCATTTACTTGTTTTTGCTTTCTGCTTTTTTTATGTAGTCATTTACTATACTAAACCTTTAATCATTATTTTAGAGTATACTCCTATTTATTTAGAAAGGTCCCCCAAGGGAGGACAGAAAACACTCATAATTTAATGTTATTGTCCTTTTCACACATATGTAGCTATATCTATTATATTTTATTTTACTTTATTTTATTTTAATTTTTGAGACAGAGTTTCACTCTGTCACCCAGGCTGGAGTGCAATGGTGCAGTCTCAGCTCACTGTGACCTCCACCTCCCAGGTTCACGCAATTCTTCTGCCTCAGCCTCCCGAGTAGCTGGGATTACAGATGTGCACCACCATGCCTAGCTAATTTTTGTATTTTTAGTACAGACGAGGTTTCACCATGTTGGCCAGGCTGGTCTTGAACTCCTGACCTCAGGTGATCCACCTGCCCCAGCCTCCCAAAGTGCCGGGATTACAGCACTTTTACAGCATGAGCTGCCATGCCCAGCCTATTTTATTTTATTTTGTTTTATTTTATTAGAGACAGTCTTGCTCTGTCCCCAAGCCTGGAGTGCAGTGGCGTGATCGTAGCTCACTTGGCTAATTTTTAAACTTTTTGTAGATATGGGGTCTGGGTATGTTGCCCAGCCTGATCTTGAACTCCTAGGCTTAAGTGATCCTCCTGCCCTGACCTCCCAAAGTGCTGGGATTACAGGCGTGAGCCATCCTGCCCAGCCTGTATCTATTATATAAGCTGGTTTTTTTGATTACTTTAATGTAAATGAGATTATACCATACTCTCTTCTCTGTCACTTCCTATTTTCATGTAATTTATGTTAGACATCTGTCAATGTCAGTATAAATAGGTCTAGATCATTTTTTATAGTTGTATACCTTTCGTTACATGGATGTTTCACAATTTACTTAGCTAACTACCTATTGTTGGACATTTGGTTATTTCCAAATTTTTGCTGTTTTATATAATGCTGCGCTTATATAAAATATAGTTCTATATAATTATGTTTAATTATGTACTACCGCTGTATCTGACAACTGACTTGTATCAAGAACATACAAAGAACTGTTACAAGTTGCCAGGCAGAGTGGCTCATGTCTGCAATCCCAGGGCTTTGGGAGGCCAAGGTGGGCGGATCTCTTGAGCCCAGGAGTTGGAGACCAGCCTGGGCAACATGGGGAGACCCCGTCTCGACAAAAATACAAAAATTAGCCAGGCATAGGGGCACACATCTGTAGTTCCAGCTACTTAGAGGCTGAGGTGGGAAGACTGCTTGAGCCCAGGAAGTTGAGGCTGCAGTGAGCCAAGATGACACCACGGCACTCCAGCCAGCGCGTCAAAGGCCCTGTCTCAAAAAAAAGGAAGAAGCGGGGGCGGCAAATAAGTAGAGTATAAGCCACCTCATCCAACTTTATTGGAACCAGTAGTTGACTGGTTAATCAGTCCAAGCAAGGAAGCATAAAAACTGATGCATGTGCCGGGCATGGTGGCTCACGCCCGCAATCCCCGCACTTTGTGAGACCGAGGCGGGCCGATCACCTGAGGTTAGGAGTTCGAGACCAGCCTGGCCAACATGGTGAAACCCTGTCTCTACTAAAAATACAAAAGTTAGCCATGCATGGTAGTACACGTCTGTAATCACAGCTACTCAGGAGGCTGAGGCAAAAAAAGGAGAAGAAATGCTATGTGAAGCCTTTTTATAAGCACATTAATTTCATTCACGAGGGCAGAGCACTCATGACCTAATCACCACCTTGAAAGCCTCACTTCTTAACATCATCACATTAGGTCTTAGGTTATAACATGAATTTTGGAGGACTCCAGAAAAAAAAAGTGAAAGACAACCCACAGAATGGGAGAAAATACTTGCAAATTATGTACAAAGTAGGATCACTTTATTTGTGGAAAATATGTAGCCAGACACAGTGGCTCATGCCTGTAATCCCAGAACTTTGGAAAGCTGAGGTGGGAGGATCACTTGAGCCCAGGAGCTCAAGACTAACCTGGGCAACATAGGGATACCTTATCTCTACAATAAATAAATAAAATTACCCAGATGTGGTGACATGTGCCTGTGGTCCCAGCTACTTGGGAGGTTGAGGTGGGAGAATCACGTGAGCCCAGGAGGTTGAGGCTGCAGTGAGCCAAGATAACATTAATGTATCCCAGCCTGGGCGATAGACCGAGACCTTATCTCAAAAAAAAAAAAAAATATATATATATATGTATATATTTATCTATTACCTATATATTCATATATAGATATAGATTAATATAGATATATAAACATATATTTATAGATATATAGATACATAAATATATAGCTATATATAAATATATATTTATAAATATATAGATATATATGTAACAAAATATGTTCCAAGACCTCCAGTGTATACCTGAAACTGCAGATAGTACCAAACTCTATATGTACTATGTTTTTTTCCTATACATACATACATACCTATGATGAAGTTTAATTTATAAATTAGGCACTGTAATAGAATAACAACAATAACTAATAATAAAAGAGAACAATTAGAATATACTTTTTGTTTTTGAGATGGAGTCTTGCTCTGTCACCCAGGCTGGAGTGCCATGGCGCCATCTCGGCTCACTGCAACTTCCACCTCCCAGGTTCAAGCGATTCTCCTGCCTCAGCCTCCCGAGTAGCTGGGCCTACAGGCACCTGCCACCACGCCCGGCTAATTTTTGTATCTTTAGTAGAGGCAGAGTTTCACCATATTGGCCAGGCTGGTCTCCAATTCCTGACCTTGTGATCCACCCACCTCGGCCTCCCAAAGTGCTGGGATTACAGGTGTGAGCCACTGTGCCTGGCTAGAATATACTTTAACATAAGTTACATGAATAGTTTTCTCTGTCTCAAAATACTGTAATATTTGGGATTGCAGCTGCCCGCAGGTAACTGAAACTGCAGAGAGCATACGGGAGACTACAGTATCTGACAATGGACTTGGATCTAGAATACATAAAGAACTCTTACAACTTGATAATAAAAAGGATATAACCCAATTTTAAAATGGACAAAAGATCTGAACAGATATTTCTCCAAAGAAGACATACAAATGGCCAATAAGGGCCAGGTGGTGGCTTATGCCTATAATCCCAACACTTTGGGAGGCCAAGGCAGGTGGATCACTTGAGGCCAGAAGTTCAAGACCAGTCTGGCCAACATGGCGAAAACCCATCTCTACTAAAAATATAAAAATCAGCCAGGCGTTGTGGCGCATGCCTGTAGTCCCAGGTACTCAGGCAGATGAGGCACAAGAATCACTCGAACCCGGGAGGCAGAGGTTGCAATGAGCTAAGATTGCACCACTGCACTCCAGCCTGGGCAACAGAGCAAAACCCCACCTAAAAATAAATAAATAAATAAAAATAAAAAAAAGAAAATAAATGGCCAATAAGCACAAGAAAATACACTCAATTTCTGTCTTAGTCTGTTTGTGCTGCTGTAACAAAATACCTGAGACTAAGTAATTTATAAGTAAAAAAATTTATTCCTCACAGTTCCGGAGGCTGGGAAAACCAAAATCAAGGTGATAGCACATTTGGCATTTGGTGAGGGCCTGTTCCATTGTTCCCGTTCTCGCAGTGGCATCTTCACATGGCAGGAGAAGAAAGGAAAAAAGAAGAAGAAATGTTATGTGAAGCCTTTTTATAAGGGCATTAATTTCATTCACGAGGGCAGAGCCCTCATGACCTAATCACCACCTTGAAGGCCTCACTTCTTAACATTGTCACATTAGGTCTTAGGTTATAACATGAATTTTGGAGGACTCCAACATTCAAACCATAGAAACATCATTAGCCATCAGGGAAGTGCAAATCCAAACCATGTTAAGATACCACTTCACACTCACAAGAATGGCTATAATAAACAGACACATAATAACAAGTGTTGGAGAAAATGTGGAAAAATTGAAACACTCATATGTTGCTGGAGGGAATGTAAAATGCTTTGCAATGAAGTTGGAACTGCTTTGGAAATAGTCTGGCAGTTCCTCCAAAGCTTAAACATAGAGTTATCATATGACCTGGCAATGCCAGGCTTCATCATATTCCCAAGGGAAAGGAAAACATATGTCCACACAAAAACTTACACATGAATGTTCATAGCAGCATTATTCATAATAGTCAAAAAGTGGAGACAGCTGGGTGTGGTGGCTCCCAACACTTTGGGAGGCCAAGGCGGGAGGATTGCTTGAGGTCAGGAGTTCGAGACCAGCCTGGCCAACAGAGTGAAATCCGATCTCTACTGAAAATACAAAAATCAGCGGGACATGGTATACGTGCCTGTAATCCCAGCTACTTGGGAGGCTGAGGCAGGTGAATGGCTTGAATCCAGGAGGCGGAGGCCGCAGTGAGCCAAGATCACACCACCGTACTCCAGCCTGAGTGACAGACTGAGACTCCATCTCAAAAAAAAAAAAAAAAAAAGTGATAAACAGATAAATGAAATGTGTTATATTCCTACAACAGAATATTATTGAGCCATAAAAAAAAAGGAAATAAGTACTGACACATGCTATAACATGAATGAACCTTGAAAACATTAGGTTACTTGAAAAAAGCCAGTCACAAAAGATCACAAATTGTATGGTTCCATTTATATGAAATGTCCAAATAGGCAAATCCTATCCTAAAAGAAAGTAAATTAGTGGTTGCCTAGGACTGAGGGATGGAGAAAATGGGGAGTGAGTGCTCATAGGTATGGTATTTTTTTTTTGAGAGAAATGAAAATATTCTAAAATTGATTGTGGTGGCCAGGCACAGGGGCTCACGCCTGTAATCCCAGCACTTTGAGAGGCCGAGGCGGGCGGATCACCTGAGGTCGGGAGTTCGAGACTAGCCTGACCAACATGGAGAAACCCCGTCTCTACTAAAAATACAAAATTAGCCGGGCATGGTGGTGCATACCTGTAATCCCAGCTACTCGGGAGGCTGAGGCAGGAGAATCGCTTGAACCAGGGAGGTGGAGGTTGCAGTGAGCTGAGATCGTGCCACTGCACTCCAGCCTGGCGAGAGAGTGAGGCTCCATCTCATAAAAAAAAAAAAAAAAGAAAGAAAAAAAAGAAAAAAAAGAATGTTTCAGGCAAAGGGAAGAGAAGTGCAATGGTGCTATTTCAGGCAGAAGCTTGTCAGGTTTGCTGTGGTGTGGTAGTGTGGAAGGACTCAGTGGGAAGGAAAAGAAATGAGGGCACAGTAGTGGGCAGGGCCAAGATAAAGCCATATGCATACTGCTACATTTTTTCCTTGTCCAATATATTTCATTAAATGTAGACAAAACTTATTATAAAGACATAACTTTTGATGTTTGTAAGGTCATCTGTTATTTGCACTCCTTTTTTTTTTTGAGATAGGGTCTCACTCTGTCACCCAGGCTGGAGTGCAGTGTTGCCACCACAGCTCACAGCAGCCTCGACCTCCTGGGCTCAAGCACTCCTCCCACCTTAGCCTCCTGAGTATCTGGGACTACAGGCACATGCCACCGTGCCCCACTAATTTTTTATTTTTTGTAAAGACAGGGTTTCTCCATGTTACCCAGGCTGGTCTCAAACTCTTGAGCTCAAACAATCTACCCACCTTGGTCTCCCAAAGAGCTAAGATTACAGGCGTGAGCCACTGTGCCTGGCTTGTTATTTGCATTTGTGATTTTAAAATTCCATGTTTTTTATCATAAGATTGTCAGGTGCTTTCTGGACAGGAAATGCCTTAATTTATGACTCAAAATACAAACAAGTGTAGGTGATCAAATGCATATCTATGTCTTCAATGGAAATATATATACATACAAGTCATTAACGAAGACAAATGAGAACATGAAATTCATGACCTATTTTCCTTTCCATCACCTAGCCCCCTAAAGGAGAGATCTTTTTCATTCAGAGCCCTGGGTTTTGTTTTGTTTCATGATTTGCTTTTTTTTTTTTAAAATAAGAGTTTATTTATTTATTTATTTGAGACAAGGTTTCACTCCCATCAGCCAGGCTGGAGTGCAATGGCGTGATCTCAGTTCACTGCAACTTCTGCCTCCTGGACTCAAGTGACTCTCTTGCCTCAGCCTCCTGAGTAGCTGGGACTACAGGCACGTGCCGCTGCATCCAGCTAATTTTTTGTAGAGACAGGGTTTCACCGTGTTGGCCAGGCTGGTCTTGAACTCCTGAGTTCAAGCGATCCGTCTGCCTCTGAGTCTCAAAGTGCTAGGGTTACAGGAATGAGCCGCCGCGTGGCCAAAAGAGTTTATTTTTTAAAGAAAATTGACTTCTTTGAAAACGTAGAAATGAGGCCGGGCGCAGTGGCTCACACCTGTAATTCCAGCACTTTGTGAGGCCGAGGCAGGTAGATCGCTTGAACTGAAGAGTTTGAGACCAATCTGGCCAACATGGTGAAACCCCATCTCTACTAAAAATACAAACATTAGCCGGGTGTGGTGGCAGGTGCCTGTAATCCCAGCTACTCGGGAGGCTGAGGCAGGAGAATCGCTTGAACCCGGGAGGCGGAGGTTGCAGTGAGCCAAGATTGCGCCATTGCACTCCAGCCTGGGCAACAAGAGCAAAACTCCATCTCAAAAAGAAAAGAAAAAGTAGAAATGAGGAAGCGGCCAGCCTGTGTGGGGATCTAATCAAACAAATCTTCCCCTGATGAGGGTAGCACTTAAGTTGAAAAAAATTTGCCTATATAATAAATATTGCAATACTTTATTTATTTATTTATTTATTTTTCGAGATGAGGGTCTCGCTGTGTTGCCCAGGCTAGTCTTGAACTCTTGGGCTCAAGGGCTTCTCCTGCCTCAGCCTCCCCAGTGGCTGGGCTAATAGGCACACACCACCATGCCCAGCTCTACATACTGATTTTTTTTTTTTGAGATGGAGTCTTCGCTCTGTCGCCCAGGCTGGAGTGCAGTGGCGCGATCTCCGCTCACTGCAAGCTCCGCCTCCCGCGTTCACGCCATTCTCCTGCCTCAGCCTCCCGAGTAGCTGGGACTACAGGCGCCTGCCACTGCGCCCACTAATTTTTTGTATTTTTAGTAGAGACGGGGTTTCACCGTGTTAACCAGGATGGTCTCGCTCTGCTGACCTCGTGATCCGCCCGCCTCGACCTCCCAAGGTGCTGGGATTACAGGCGTGAGCCACCGCGCCCGGCCCATACTGATTTTGAAATTTAAAAAATCTACATTCTATATTCGCATCATAGCTTCTCCCTAATAAAATCTTTGTGAGTGTTTATGGGACTTATTCCCCGAAAAATCTGCAAGCAGCCTGGTAGCTTTATATACACAGGAAAGCCAAAGGACAAACTAGGAATTACGTCAGAGATGGGGAAAGACTAAGGATCTTACCCAAATCAGTTGAGAATCAGCCTTAAGTATAAATGGGCCAGGTGTTGGTGGCTCACACCTGTAATCCTAGCACTTTGGGAGGCCAAGGCGGGCAGATCACTTGAGGTCAGGAGTTCGAGACCACCCTGGCCAACATGGTGAAACCCCGTCTCTACTAAAAGTACCAAAATTAGCCAGGCGTGGTGGCACGTGCCTGTGGTCCCAGCTACTTGGGAGGCTGAGGCAGGAGAATCGCTTGAACCTGGGAGGCAGAGGTTGCAGTGAGCTGAGATCACGCCACTGCACTCCAGCCTGGGTGACAGAGTAAGACTCCGTCTCAAAAAAAAAAAAAAAAGTATAAATGAAGCACAATTAACATTTGTTAATTTTATAAAGCAAAAGTTCATAAAAATAAATATTCTAATTAACTCTCCTACATCTTATAAACACTATTACCAAACCCATTTAAGATTGAAGATAAATTATATCATGGCATGGGTAAAGATTTTCAATAAGGAGTTGCTAGGATAAAAGTCAAAATTCTCCAGCATAAATTCACTGACAGGGATTTCTGTTTAATCTTTTCAAAATTCTAATACCCAATTTGTTTCCTCTAGAGAATAACTCGTGTAGAATCATAACCTCTTTGGTGGACCTTGATTTTTCCATCTGTAAAAGTATAGAACTAGTTTTGACTTAACAGTCAACAAATGCCTACCCTCTCCACATCTAGCTGATTAGAGCGCCCTCATGTGCGCATTTGCTGTAATGTTTTAGAAATCTGAAAAAGACAATATTAATCTCAGCAGTAATACAATAAATAATGTCTTCATTTGCACATTTATAGCAAATGCTATAAATATATAGCTCCAAGTATTACTCAGTAAAAGCTAAAGGCAAATGCTGTAGTAGGTTAATCTTACTGTCGTTCACTATCAAACCTTTCATATGCCAATTTTATCCTAAAACAGTGAAGTTATTGTTTTGGTTTCAATTTTAATTTAATGACTTAAAGGATTTTTTCCCTTAAAACTTCTAAGTATTTCATTATAATATTATTTCATCATTAGGCTTAAAGGAAAATATGTGGTCAATTGAGTTGTTATTTATTATACATGATAGCTTGACATCATCTTTTTAGGGATGGAAAACAGCTCCAGGGACCAAGTCTAACTCAGTTTTTTGATATAAGAATTTACCTGTCGGCCGGGCGCAATGGCTCACACCTGTAATCCCAGCACTTTGGGAGGCCGAGGCGGGCGGATATAGGTCAGCAGATCAAGACCAGGAGTTCAAGACCAGCCTGGCCAAGATGGTGAAACCCCATCTGTACTAAAACTACAAAAATTAGCCAGGCGTGATGGCAGGCACCTGTAATCCCACCTACTTGGGAGGCTGAGGCAGGAGAATCACTTGAACCCGGTTCAAGTGAGCCGGCTGCAGTGAGCCAAGATCACGCCACTGCACTCCAGCCTGGGCAATAAGAGCAAGACTCCATCTCAAAAAAAAAAAAAAAAAAGAATTTACTAGTTTGAATCATAACAATTTCTTCCTACTCAAAGAGACTACATTGGAGGAAGCCAAAACAGAAGCTTATTTATTTATTTATATACTTTATTTATTTATTTTTGAGACAGAGTCTTGCTCTGTCACCCAGGCTGGAGTACAGTGGTGTGATCTTGGCTCACTGCAACATCTGCCTCCCGGGTTCAAGCGATTCTCCTGCCTCAGCCTCCCTAGTAGCTGGGATTACAGGTGTGTGCCACCACGGCCAGCTAATTTTTGTATTTTTAGTAGAGACGGGTTTTCACCATGTTGGCCAGGCTGGTCTCAAACTCCTGACCTCAGGTGATCCACCTGCCTCAGCCTCCCAAAGTGCTGGGATTACAGGCATGAGCCACCAAGCCCAGCTTAGAGAAGCTTATTTTTTAAAAGAAAATACACAAAAAAATCAAAATCTCATAAGTCCAATTGTAATTTTTTTTTGGCTTTTAAAAATTGTTAATGCCCTCAAATATTCTCCTATCCAATCACTGTATTTTAAATGGCATTCCTCCAGCAAATATTTGTTGAGCCCCCACTATGTGCCAGGATTGAAATGTCAAATTGAAGGAGGCAATAGCTACTGAAGTAAAGCAAAAAAAAGTACTGGTTATTTTTCCTTCTATAAAATGACCTAGTAATAACCGCTTTACCCAGGAGAGTTGCTGTAAAGATCTAATAACATGACACATATAACCACACCCCTAAAGAATGAGGTGTTACCGCATGTTCTCACTCATAGGTGGGAATTGAACAATGAGAACACATGGACACAGGAAGGGGAACATCACACTCTGGGGACTGTTGCGGGGTGTGGGGAGGGGGGAGGGATAGCATTAGGAGATATACCTAATGCTAAATGACGAGTTAATGGGTGCAGCACACCAGCATGGCACATGTATACATATGTAACTAACCTGCACATTGTGCACATGTACCCTACAACTTAAAGTGTAATAATAATAAAATAATAAAATAAAAAAAAGAAATTTTGCTTAAATAAATATTATAATAAAAAAAACAAATGAGGTGTTATTAAAATGTTTGCAAGAGAAACCCTAGTAATTCCAAGCACATATTTTAGGAATGGTTTCTTGTGTAGAAAATCCTGGAATGTGAGGCTCTGCTGATTTTTTTAATGCATATTCTCTTCTTATGTATGCGGAATTTTTTTTTTTTTTGAGATAGAGCCTTGCTCTGTTGCCCAGGCTGGAATGCACTGGCACAATCTTGGCTCACTGCAACTGCCACCTCCTGGTTTCAAGTGATTCTCCTGCCTCAGCCTCCCGAGTAGATGGAATTACAGGCGTGTGCCACCGCACTTGGCTAATATTTGTATTTTTAGTAGAGATGGGGTTTCACCATATTGGCCAGGCTGTTCTAGAACTCCTGACCTTGTGATCCACCCACTTCAGCCTCCCAAAGTGCTGGGATTACAGGTATGAGCCACTGCACCTGGCCTATTTTTGTTTTTACTAATGTTTCAAGAGACCCACTTTATGTACAGAATTCTGGCTACAACCTAACAAATGAGTTGCTCTGTTCATCAGTTATAGCCAATTTAAGTAATTATGAAAAGCTCAACAATACTTTTAACTGGCAACGAAAGCGTCAATAGCTCACATTTACCACCACAACTTAGGATTTCTTGGTAGCTAAATAAAATGCTTCTATTTTGTGGGGGGAAACTGTCACATAAGTTGAAATTCTGCAATGTTCAATTGATGAAAAGGTCTCTATGTTAAATCAAAGGTATAAATTCCACATCAGTAGTACATGAAAGAGAAAAAAAAAGCCAAAATTAAAGTGATTCATGCCCACTTCCCTGAGTGAACCTAAGATTTTACTAACAGAGATGCCGTAACTTTGATCATGCACACATCAAACTTGAATTTAAAAACATGCATGCACTCACTCATCTTTTATCTCTTATGTAATTAATACTGTAAGATTATATTTTGCCTACGTGCTCTATATTACTAATTTATAGGATTATTACTATTCAGTGTTGTTTACTTGAAACCATACTGTACTATACACAACTTTTGCATTCCATGCTAACTTTATTTTTTTAATTATTTTTTTTTTATACAGAGTCTCACTCACTCTATTGCCCAGGCTGGAGTGCAGTGGCACGATCTTGGCTCCTGCAACCTCTGCCTCTCGGGTTCAAGTCATTCTCCTACCTCAGCCTCCCAAGTAGTTGGTACCACAGGTACATGCCACCACACCCGGCTAATTTTTGTATTTTTGGTAGAGATGGGGTTTCACCATGTGGGCCAGGCTGGTCTCGAACTCCTGACCTCAAGGTTATAGGCCTGAGCCACCATGTCCCAGCTCCATGCTAACTTTAGAGCTTATTTCCCATCCCATAAGATACAACACTACTTGTGTTATATAGTGAGCAGTGTGGGGAAGAAAAGCATAGAATTAAGTTAGTGACAAATCCAGTGAACTCAAAAAGAGGGAAAAAAACACTCCCAAACAATTGTTTTCCCCATATTCTATTCTCCCTAGAGGTATTCCATACAGGAACGACAAAAGAAAAAAAAGGATACAAAATGAGAAAGATGTTCATGTGACATATAAGTACAGTAATAAAATCAACAAGCATATATGGTATTTAAGCAAAATAGTATGTATGCATTGATGGTCATCTGATATAAATCCATCATTTCTGTTGGCCAACATCTAAAACCTTTACTTTTCTGAGGAGACAAGCTATAAATCTATACGGATATTTCTACAACAAGAATTCACTATTACATATGAACCAATATAATTTGATGTCAAATATTCACAATTAGGTTTAAAAAATCCCCTACTTGGCCGGGCGCAGTGGCTCATGCCTGTAATCCCAGCACTTTGGGAGGCCAAGGCGGGTGGATCATGAGGTCAAGAAATCAAGACCATCCTGGCCAACATGGTGAAGCCCTGTCTCTACTAAAAATACAAAAATTAACTGGGCGTGGTGGCAGGCACCTGTAGTCCCAGCTACTCAGGAGGCTGAGGCAGGAGAATCACTTGAACCCAGGAGGCAGAGGTTGCAGTGAGCTGAGATCGCGCCACTGCACCCCAGCCTGATGACAGAGTGAGACTCAGTCTCAAAAAAAAAAAAAAAATCCCCTACTTATGTTAAGAGTACCAAAAATAGGGCCAGGAATGATGGCTCATGCCTATAATTTTGGCACTTTGGGAAGCCGAGGTGGGAAGATAGCTTGAGTCCAGGAGTAAAATAGTGGGACTCTGTCTCTACAAAAAAATAAAAAATTAGCTGGATGGGGCACACACCTGTAGTCCAGGTACTCACGAGGCTGAAATGGGTGGATCACTTGAGCCTGGGAGGTCAAGGCTGTAGTGAACTGTGATCACACCACTACACCCTACACCCAGCCTGGGCTACAAGGTGAGACCCTGTCTCAAAAAAAAAAAAAAAAAAGGTACCAAAAATCTATAGCTGTTTCAGAAATAAAATACATGTAGTTAGTGAGGTTTTTCTCTCCCACTGCTATGACTTAATTTTTGGTTGAGATGCTAAGCCAAACATCATTTTAAGTCTGTGGCCCAACCAAAAAAGGGAATCATACTCTCCAAAGAATTGTACATTCCCACTCTAATTGCTAAAATAAAATGTTGGATTATGAAAATCAATTTTGTAGGTATCAATAATTTATAAGAGCATGGCTTATTTAAAAAAAAAAGTGGGCCAGGTTACCTACATGAGCTGCAAAGCAAGCAAACTGAATTTTCTTATCGAAGAGCCCATCCTCATACTTAAAATTTCCCATGACTACATGGAAATTCTTTCACTTACCAAAAACACCTGATTGGCACTTTCACTGAGAGTTGTGTCATCTGGGCTGTCGACAGGTGTCTGACGTGTAAACTTGGAATCAAACTGACTTACATCCTCTTCAGATTGCTCTATACAAACAAAATAATTTAGAAAATAATGAATAGTCCATATGACATCAATCAAATGCACTGTAAGCTCTGGGAGCTCTTTTCGCAGGGGTTAACTATAATAAAGTATTAGAATAGTCTTAGCAGGCACTATTCTAATAGTGGAGAAATGCAAGTGGAAGAAAAAAATGCAAGTGGAAAGTACTGAGTCAAATTACATCTTCAAATCTTAAACATGCACTAAAAAAGATTTTAGTATACTGTTATTCCTATTAAAAATGTGAATATATTGGCTGGGCATGGTGGCTCAGGCCTGTAATCCCAGCACTTTGGGAGGCTGAGGCAGGCAGATCATGAGGTCAGGAGTTCAAGACCAGCCTGGCCAATAAAGCGAAACCCCGTCTCTACTAAAAATACAAAACATCAGCCGGGCGTGGTGGCGGGCGCCTGTAATCCTAGCTACTCGGGAGGCTGAGGCAGGAGAATTGCTTGAACCTGGGAGGCAGAGGTTGCCGCAAGCAGAGATCGTGCCACTGCACACCAGCCCAGGTGACGGTGCGAGAGTCTGTCTCAATGAAAAAAAAAAAAAAAAAAGAATATATCGAGCTCAAAACAAGCTGGAAAAAATGTGAATATCAATTTCCCCTCTCACAAAGCTTCAGTGTGCCTAGTCCACTGGCTAAATCCCTGTTTAGAGATAATTAATTCAGTTGGCTACTGCAGGTTTGTAATAAACCTGAAAAACTACTGAAGCAGAGTTAAAACATGAATAATACTGGTAAGATGCTCCAGTTAAAGTTTCTTCCCACAGCTCATTTCATTCCTTCAGAAATCTAAAGGAGCAAAAATAATTTTCTATTCCGCATGGGTTATAAGTTATATTTCCTTGTGAAAGTATAGTTATCACTTCAGTTCTAACCATGAGATTTATTTATTTAATTCCTTCTCTCTTTCCCAAAATATCTGGTTAAACTCTTGGGCCAAATGTAAGAAGTAAATAATAATTTAGAATATCTGACTTAATACTAAAAGATGATGACCACATTGACCTTATAATTCTCTTAGAGCCCAGACTGTGAACCTGCACTCCCTGGAGGAATGGCTGATTCCAAGTGTGGGGAAAATGTACAAGATAAGCATAGAACACCAGTTTCCTTATTTTGCTCTCTCGTACAACACCAGACAATGTGCTCATGTCAAAAGGACTCAGAACCCAACATGAAGATGCACCCAGCATTCACTGCACCCAGCATTCAACGAAGGGAAAAAACGAGCACCAATAAAAATAACTGCTAGGTGCGGTGGCTCACGCCTATCATCTCAACACTTTGGGAGGCAGAGGCAGGTGGATTACTTTTGAGCTCAGGATTTGAAGACCAGCCTGGTGAACACGGCAAAACCCCGTCTCTACCAGAAACACAAAAATTAGCTGGGCATGATGGTGTACCTGTGGTCCCAGCTACTCAAGAGGGTGAGGTGGGAGGATTGCTGGAGGTCAGGACGTCAAGCCTGCAGTGGGCAGCGATTATACCACTGCACTACAGCTTGGGTGACAGAGTTAAGACCCTGCCTGAAAACAATAAATGAATAAATAAAAATAAAATAAAAATAACTGCGATGAAAGGAAACACAAATATGTTAAAACGTGTAAGTTCATAATATACTAAAAAAGAAAAAAACACACACAAAGTTCATTGGTCAATTTTGGAAGATGCTAGGGAACTAATTCATTATTTTGAAAACTAGGAAAGAATCAAACATACATCCTGCCTTTTCTGTATGAACTGTACCTTGGGTAACTAACTGATCAAAGAGTTTCTCTTTATGAAAGAATTCCAGCTAACAAAGAAAGAAGAAATAACAGTTAGAATAAAACCATTTCACAAACACCTGATGAAACTACAAAAGTAGGCCAGAGTTTCTCAACCTCAGGGCTACTGACATTTTAGGCCTATTAATACTTTGCGTTAGGGGGCTGTGCTGTGCTGTGCTGACTCTTACCCCTGAAGGTACCTATAGCATTCCCTCTCCCAAGCTGTGACAATCAGTGTGTCTCCAGACATTGCCAAATTACCCTGGTAGTGAAATGCTGACACAGGCAGTGACCACTAACATCACTAAAAAAACACACATACGCACACACAAGTACACATTATGCCTCCTGATCAAAGCATATGCGATACTGAGAGTGTAATCTGAATCAGATCAACCACCTAAATTTAACTACCAGTTTTTGGAAATTTGGGGAACAGATGAACATGGTCAATGACACTCTGGGGATAATATCAGCAAAATCAAAATTTGAGAATTCTACAGGACAAATGACCCCGTTTCTTCAGTAAATCACGAGGGGAATCTATAAAGGAAAAGAGACCTAAGAGACATAGTAACCAAACTACATACAGACCTTGATTAAATCCTTACAAACAGGAGAAAAAAAAAAAAAGAATGGAACAACAACAACAAAAAAATTAGGTGGGGCAACACAGGGAGACCTCATCTCTAGAAAAATTCAAAAAATTGGATGTGGTGATGCACCCCTGTGGTCCCAGCTATATGGGAGGATCCCTTGAGCCTGGGAAGATGAGGCTGCCATGAGCCACTATCATGCCGCTGCACTCCAGCCTGGGCAACAGAGAAAGACCCTATCTCAAAAAAAAAAGAGAAAAAAAAAACTGGGGAAACTGTCAACTTCTTAGGTGTGATGATGGGATGACAGTTATGTTTAAAGAAGATGATCTAATTATTTTTAAGCTGGGCAGTAGGTGTATGACAGTTCTCCTCCTTACAATTGTTTGTTGTTTTTTAAAGTGGGTCACATTATGGGGCATGACCAAAAAATAATCACCATCATCATCCTCCTCCTTCTCCACCTACAGCCCAAGGAATGGAAAAAGAAACTGTGTTTTCTCAGATTCTGAGGTGGCAGAAAGACAATAACACACTAACTCATTTACTCATAAACATATTGTTATGGATTGAATCGTGTCCCTTACCCACCCCCCAGAAAATTTCGTATGTTGAAACTCTAACCTCTAGTTCCTCAGAATGTGACCTTATTTGGAAAGGGTTATTGCAGATGTAATTAGTGAAGATGAGGTCCTACTGGAGTAGAGAGGAACCCTAATCCAATATGCCTGGTATCCTTATAAAAAGGGGAAATTTTGCCACAGATATGCACACAGGTAGAACACCATGTGAACATGAAGGCAGAGATCCAGGTGATGCACCTACAAGCCAAAGTATGCCAAAGATGACCAGCAAACCACCAGAAGCCAGGGGAGAGGCATGGAACATAAGGTTTCTCACAGTTGTCGAAGAAACCAACTCTAACAACGTGATCTAGAACTTCTAGTCTCCAGATCTATGAGATAATAAATTTCTGTTGTCTAAGCCACCCAGTTTGTGGTACTTTGTTGCAGCAAGCCTAGCAAACTAATGCACACATATTCTATATTTTGAAGAAAAAATTCCCAGAGAATCATATTTAAAATGGTTAAATTAAGCAAAATAAAACAAACCAAAAAAAGAAAAGTCCCAACTACCTGAAATATTTAATTGTCTTAGGAAACTGACTTAAAAATATCTAATACAGGCCAGGCGCGGTGGCTCACGCCTGTAATCCCAGCACTTTGGGAGGCCGAGGTGGGTGGATCACAAGGTCAGGAGTTCAAGACCAGCCCGGCCAAGATGATGAAATCCTGTGTCTACTAAAAATACAAAAATTTGCTGGGCATGGTGGCAGGTGTCTGTAATCCCAGCCACTCAGGAGGCAGAGGCAGAGATTTGCTTGAACCCAGGAGGTGGAGGCTGCAGTGATCCGAGATCACACCACTGCACTCCAGCCTGGGGGACAGATCAAGACTCCGTCTCAAAAATAAAAAAATAAAAATAAAGAGGAAGAACGCTATGGAATTTGACTAGAATTAGGGCTAACAATATGAAGCACTTTGGGAAGCCAAGGCAGGTGGATCACCATGTCGGCCAGGAGTTTGAGACCAGCCTGGCCAACATGGTGAAACCTCATCTTTACTAAAAATACAAGAATTAGCCAGGTATGGTGGTGAGCACCTGTACTCCCAGTTACTCCAGAGGCTGAGGCACGAGAATCACTGGAACCCGGGAAGCAGAGGTTGCAGTGAGCTGAGGCAGCCTGGTGTCCAAGCTGTGGTGAGCCATGATCATACCACTGCACTCAAGTCTGGGCAACAGAGGAAGTCCCTGTCTCAAAAAAAAAAAAAAAAGGGCCAGGTGCAGTGGCTCACACCTGCAATCTCAGCATTTTAGGAGGCTGAGGCGGGCAGATCATGAGGTCAGGAGTTGAAGACCAGCCTGGCCAACATAGTGAAACCCCATCCCTACTAAAAATACAAAAATCAACCGAGTGTGGTGGCATGTACCTGTAATCCCAGCTACTCAGGAGGTTGAGGCAGAAGAATTGCTCGAACCTGGGAGGCGGAGGTTGCAGTGAGCCAAGACCACATCATTGCACTCCAGCCTGGGCAACAGAGTGAACCTCCATCTCAAAAAAAAAAAAAAAAAAATTTAAAAAGGGAGTATAGGGCCAGCCACGGTGGCTCACGCCTGTAATCCCAGCACTTTGGGAGGCTGAGGTGGCTGGATCACGGGGTCAAGAGATCAAGACCATCCTGGCCAACATGGTGAGACCCCATCTCTACTAAAAATACAAAAAATTAGCTGGACACAGTGGCAAATGACTGTAGTCCCAGCTACTCTGGAGGCTGAGACAGGAGGATCGCCTGAACCTGGGAGGCAGAAGTTGCAGTGAGCTGAGACCATACCACTGCACTCCGGCCTGGTGACAAAGCGAGACTTCGTCTCAAAAAAAAAAAAACAAAAGAGTTTAAAAAAATCTTTACAGAAGAATGACAATATAGAAAAAATACAGAAAAAATAGAAAAGTCTCCAATTTCTAATCACTATAGTAATATTTGATTTGGGCAAGAAGCAATCCAGATGAAACCATTAAGTAAAGATTATTATGGGACAGAATATTCACACTGTTTCTATCATGCCATAGATCACTTGTTAATTACAAAAGGAAAAAGAGGCTGAGAATGGAGTCTCACGTCTGTAATCCCAACACTTTGGGAGGCCAAGGAGGGCGGATCACCTTAGGTAAGGAGTTTGAGACCAGACTGGCCAACATGGCAAAACCCCATCTCTACTATAATTACAAAACTTAGGCAGGCATGGTAGCAGGCACCTGTAATCCCAGCTACTTGGGGGGCTGAGGCAGGAGAATCGCTTGAACCCAGGAGGTGGAGGTTGCAGTCAGCCAAGATTGCACCACTGCACCCCAGCCTGGGTGACAGAGTGAGACTCCTTCTCAAAAAAAAAAAAAAATGCCCTTATTCTTAGGAGATGTATAGAAGAAATTAGGGGTGAAGTGCTATGAAATCTGCAGTTAACTCTCAAATTGTACAGAAAGAAAATTTATTAATGTTAAAAAATGTCAATATTCATAGATACACATATATGTGGGGGCAGGTAGAAAGGGAGGGACACAGAGACAAAGAAAATATGGCAAAATGGTAACACCTGGTGATCACTGAACTATTCTTGCAACTCTGAAAAGTTTAAAAAATTTCAAAGGTATATTGTTTTTGAACTGCTCGGGAGGTTTAAATTTTTGAATTTTTAAAATAAGCAATCAATTGTGAGGAAGTCTGAGAAGCCACAGACTTAAGAGATAAGATGAAAAATAAGGAAAGTAGAATCACAGTAATAAGAGGAACAGAGTTTCAAAATGCTGTGGTCAGTCAGTAGCTTCAATGCAAAAGTAAGTTAAATTAAGGACCAACTCAGTAAAGACAACTGGATTCAGCAACTGGGAAGTCAGTGATGACCTAGGGTACAGGAGCTGCATTGAAATAGTAGAGTTGGGCCACGCGTGGCCCACATCTATAATCCAGCAGTTTGGGAGGCCGAGGTAGGTGGACCTCTTGAGGCCAGGAATTCAAGACCAGCCTAGCCAACATGGTGAAACCCCATCTCTACTAAAAATACAAAAATTAACCCGAGACAGTGGCGCACCCCTGTAATCCCAGCTACTCAGGGGCCTGAGGCATGAGAACTGCTTGAACCTGGAAGGCAGAGGCTGCAGTGAGCTGAGATAGGGCCACTGCACTTCAGCCTGAGTGACAGGGGAAGACTCTGTCTAAAAAAACAAAAAATAGGCCTGGCGTGGTGGCTCATGCCTGTAATCCCAGCACTTTGGGAGGCCGAGGCAGGCGGATCACGAGGTCAGGAGATCGAGACCATCCTGGCTAACACGGTGAAACCCTGTCTCTACTAAAAATACAAAAAATTAGCTGGGCGTGGTGGCAGGCACCTGTGGTCCCAGCTCCTCCGGAGGCTGAGGCAGGAGAATGACATGAACCCGGGAGGTGGAGGTTGCAGTGAGCTGAGATTACGCCACTGCACTCCAGCCTGCGTGACAAAGCCAGACTCCCTCTCAAAAAAAAAAAAAAAAAAAAAAAAAAGACGTAAACTGGGTATGTGCCTTTAGAGGTGGTGCACATTTTTAGCATTATAAATGAATATAAATGAGTGGCAATTGTTACTTTGGTCCACAGATTTTTGGTATCTTAACTAGTTTTTGGTCTCTTCCACTAAAGGCATTGCCTGTTGAACCTTGTTAGGAATGTAAGTACTGAAGGCAAACTGCCTGGGTTTGAATTTTGTTCTGTCCCTTGCACCCTGCCTGGTTTCAAATCCTAGCTCTGCTTATTACGTTCTTTTAAGGGGATGACCTTTGAGCAAATGTCTTAGCTTCTGTTTTCCCCAGTAAATGGACACAATAGTTGCTACTTTGTGAAAGATTCATGTAATTGACCAGCATTTACCAAGTAGCATCAGTGTTTAGTTTCAGTCATTGGTGATTCTGCAGTTGGACTGTGAGGGGGTATTGGGGTGGGGGGTGGTGTGTGTGTAGCACTTAATTGCAGGCAGGAAGGAAAAGATACTTTTGATAACCGACAGGCAGCTTTTCTCTGCTTTTGTGTCAAAAGGGAGGAAGGGAGTTTGGAGAGGGAAATGAATTCTCTGTAACACTAAGCTCTCTTCCTCAAAACCAGAGGTAGATAGAATGTGTAATAATTTACAGAATTTCTAGACTTCAACGATCTGATTTTTTTAATTTATTTTTATTTTTTCAGGTTGAGACTGAGCTAAAGTTAATCTGTGGCGACGTTCTGGATGTACTGGACAAACACCTCATTCCAGCAGCTACAACTGGCAAGTCCAAGGTTTTCTATCATGAAATGTAGGTTCTATACTAACAATTAACAAGTGTACTTCAATAAATTTAAACATTCTCAGGAATAATTGACTTTGTTTCTTTTTTTCTTAGACATTTCATATTATTTTCCTTATTAAATATAACCAAAAATCCCACAGAAATTAACTGAGGAGCCTCTAAATATCAACAAAGTTATCACTTGATAGACTAGAATTAAACAAGCAAGTGGTTCCAAGAAATGGCACGAGTGTATTAATCATAAAATAAAATTTCTACATGAAACATTCAGCCATTCTAGACCATTTCTGTCTGTGCAGACTCATCTTTTCCTGTTCTTTGCAAAGCCCAGCTAGAGCAAGCAAGTTCTTCCCAATAGGTTTTTCCCATCTCTGGTTGCTTGGCTGGCTGGGCTTCCTCTACAAACCCCCTTCCTTTCCCCTAAGCAGGGCCCGGTGTCCCCATCCCGCGGAGTTGACCTCATGAGGGCATCTGACCAGGAGTAGCTATTCCTGGTGCTATTGTCATTGTCCTGTTTCATGTGTGAACATGGCTGGCTCTACAGAGATTTGGCGGGTAGCAAGGAGGTTTCTTTTTGAATCTTCTTTTGGAAGTCAGACTTGATGAGGATCTTATGCCCACTTTTTCCTAGCTCTGTGGTGTCAGGCAAAGTCTGTTTCTGCAAATGGGGGTTAAGAATTCCTACCTCACAGCGGTCTTTTGATAAATAAATGAGATCTTAAGTGTAAATTATTCCACTAGAAATTGCACAGTCACTTTGGTCTCTTCATCCTGGAGGTCCACTGACAAACCTCATGCAAACCTGTGGCCCTGTTCATAAAGTGTTTTGATCCATACTTTCAAATGGCCTCAGGAAGACCTTTTATAAAGTAAAAATGTTAGGCAGCCACATGATATCCATTGACCCAGTGAGGCTGTTTTACTGGATATAAGAGGTTTGACCCGGCATTTTGGGGGGCCGAGACAGGCAGATCACTTGAGGCCAGGAGCTGGAGACCTGCCTGGCCAACATGGAGAAACCCCATCTCTATTAAAAATACCAAAAAAATTAGCTGGGCATGGTGGCACATGCCTGTAATCCCAGCTACTTGGGAGACTGAGGCACAAGAATCGCTTGAACCCGGGAGTCAGAGGTTGCAGTGAGCCAAGCCGAGATGGCGCCACTGCACTCCAGCCTGGGCAGCAGAGTGAGACTCTGTCTCAGGGGAAAAAAAAGGGTGAGGGGAGGGTTTGAAAAAATAGTAGCATGTAGTTATGTTTCTACAATATTTGATATATATAAGGATTTACCAACCTCTTGCATTAGCTGCTATCCCCTACAGCAGTTGCTGTAGGAAAAAAACATCAAGTTCTGAGCTCCTACTGTTTGCCAGGCATATTCTGAGATGATCACGTTGAAATCTCAGAGTTACCCTGCAGAGTAGTCAGGGTATCACTGCCTGACAGATGAAGAAGCTGAGGCTTCCAGCAGATAAATGACTTACCCCAGGCCACATAGAAAATGAGTGGGAGAGCCCAGGTCTGTCTGTGAGGTATAATGAAATTAGCATAAACCCTCCACATTGGCGCCACTCGCATAAATTAACATATATTCTCTCACAGAAAGTATTTTATTGGGCATAACAGTTTGTATCATTTACCGTTTAACATTAGCCGTGGATCTTCCCACATCACATGACTATGCCTCATTCTTTTTGGATAATATGATTACTATTGAATGGATTTACTATCATTCACTTAATCAATACTCCTTTTGATGGCCATTTTAATTGTCTATTTTTTCCTTTTGCACAGATTGGTGTAATAAACGTGATTTTATAGTAATATTTTTGTCTGCCTGTGAAAATGTTTGCTGGACAATAAATTCCTAGGAGTCAAATAAGGTCAAAGATTATAAATACAGTATTTATTTTCATAAATATTACCAAGTCAGCCACAAATGTTTAAATTACTAATGGTTTCAGATTATTGTATTTAATGAGTAAACACTTTTATAGGGTTTACTTTTATGAACACTTTTATTTGCCAGATATCATTCTAAGTCCTTTACAAAATTAACTTTTTTAATTTGTAATATAACCCTGAGATGTATATTAGGATTAT
The DNA here is from genome assembly GCF_000001405.40 of Homo sapiens. Taxonomy (NCBI): domain Eukaryota; kingdom Metazoa; phylum Chordata; class Mammalia; order Primates; family Hominidae; genus Homo; species Homo sapiens. The sequence continues at coordinate 36,367,793 of NC_000017.11, forward strand.
CCCCATTCTACAGATAAGAACACTGAGAAGTTAATTAACTTGCCACATATCTAGGAAGTGACAAGGCTAGTTGCACAGCCAGGCAGTCTGGCTCCTGAGTCCACATTTTAGACAACACTATACCTCCTGGTTCTTTTGAGGCATTACTGCTGGAACTATCCTAATACTCATAAATAAACATTTCTTTTGGGGAGGGCCAAATAAAATTTTAAACAGAAAAGTTTTCACCAACTGTCAAGCTCATAAAGTTGTACGTTATACACTTTTTTCATGATGCCCACAGATAATTTATTAATGATATCATCTATTTTAAAAGACGTATGTAAAACCCAACCCTTAAGAAAGGATTCCTATCACTGTTCCCACAGGCACCCTCCTCAGTCTTATACCTTTCCATTCCACCCCCCAAAACAAATCATTCAGCATATTTATTTCATACTGTAATATAGGAAGTAGCTTCTTTTTAGATTTTCTTAGATTATTAACATTGATCATACAAACATGGAATAGAAATTCCTTATGTTTTATCTGGATTTAAGGTGCTACATAATGGAATCTATTTCTATCAAGCCATACACATTGGAGATAATGAAATCACTTGTGTTCTAGCCTAAACGTTATGGGAATTTCAGAACTGCAACATAACAGATAATCCTTGGACGAAAACTAAATCTCTCCTCTGGTCAGGCATCTATGTGCATCAGTGAAGAGAAGACGGGGACTGTGGAAGGGAAAACAGTGAGTCAGGAAGGACTGTGGCCACATCTGTTCCCCGGACCCTCAAGTAGTTAAATCCTGACCTCCTCTACCCCAGACTGTCCTGGGGAACGGCCAACACTGGCTTTTCACAACTGTGTGTTACCAGAAATGCAACAGAAACCCAGCTGAATCCCCAGGGTTTCCCTTCTGCCCTTCTCAATGGAAAGATCTGTCCCAGGACCATTTATTCCAACATTTTCAATTATGAGAAATCTGGGAAGATAAAGTTATTTTCACATTTCTCAAGAAATACATACTTATTCATACTCATGACAGGAAAGTCAGAATCTACAGAAAACCAAGAAGATTTTTAAAAATCCATGATACCACCATCAAAAGAGCCACACTTAGTATGTTGGTCCACAGGTTTCCTAGCACCCTTTTCTGTTGGTGTATGCACAAAATACACAATCACATTCTGTCTACATTTTACAATTTGCCATTTTTTGATTAACACTATATATTGACCAATTTTTAAGACCTGCAACATATGTCGACAACATTATTTCAGAATAATATATTTATAAATAAACGCACACACAAACTGTCTGTCTTATATACAACACGTCTTACTTTCTAATTCTCCACTCTGGAAGATTTAGGTTTTGCTAACTTTTTAATATACTCACCAGGAATCAGTAAACTTTTTTTATAAAAGGCCAAAGGGTAGATATTTTAAACTCTGCAGGCCATAGGTTTCTGTTGCAACACTCAACTCTGCTGTTGCAGGGAAAGAAGCCATACACAATTTGTAAATGAATGGGCATGACTGTGTTCTGATAAACTTTATAAAAACAGGTGGTGGACTAGATGCAGCCTGCTCCTCTGGACATGGCTTACCAGCCCCTGACATATACCACTACAGAGGATGCTGTTAGAATGAAATCTCTTTACACATCTCTGATCATCTCCTTAGGACTAATTGCTAGACATGACATCATGGTAGCTGTGGGTCAAAGGGCATGCACGCTCTGGGATGTACATTGCCAGATTGCTCATGATCAGCCTTTCTCATGTCAAAATGTTTTGTGACCACCAGAAGGCTGGTTCTGCTTTTATTATCCATTGACTGAGGAGTAGAAATGACATGGCATGTATGCAGGATATTTAACCATCGTATAGATAATCCTTGTGCACAAGTGCATTCTATATTCTTTCCCAATAGGTCTACATCTGCCAGAGTTGAAATAAAATAAAACAAAACAAACCTATTTAGCACCTTCTGTGTAGCAGGTCCATTCATGTATGTTGTTGTATTTCATTCTCAGAATTCTTATGACCTAGGCATTTTAAAAATTTTTTTAAAAATATTGAGTTGACAAGGATTGTGTATATTTAATGCATACAATGTGATGATTTCATATATGTATATATTGTGTACTAATTATCACAATCAAATTTATTACATCCATTACCACCTATGCTGTACATTAAATCTCCAGAATTTGTTCATCTTATAACTGAAAGTTTACACCCTTTGATTAATAGCTTCCCATTTTCCCCACCTCCAGCCCTTGGCAACCACCATTCTACTATCTGTTTTTATGAGTTTGACTCTCTTAGATCCCACATATAAGTGAGATCATACAAAACTTGTCTTTCTGTGTCTGGCTTATTTCACTTAGCGTAATGTCCTCCAGGTTTATCCAGGACAGGAGTTTCTTCTTTTGAATGGCTAATAGTCCATTGTTTATATGTATTTTATTTATCCATTCATCTGTTGCTGGACACTTAGGCTGTTTCCATATCTTGGGTATTGTGAATAGTGTTGTAATAAACATGGGGCGCAGATCTCTCTTCAAGGTTCTAACCTGATTGCTGAATCGTATGGTAGTTCTGCTTCTAATTTTTTGAGGAACCTCCATACTGTTTTCTGTAAAGGTTATACCACTTTACATTCCAACCAACAGTGTACAAGGGTTCTCTTTCCTCTATGCTTTCGCCAACACTTGTTATCTCTTGTCGTTTTTTTATAAGAGCCGTCCTATCCTATGAGGCAATATCTCACTGTGGTTTTGATTTGCATTTCTCTGATGATTAGTGGTGTTGAGCACCTTCTCATATGCTGGCTGGCCATTTGTATATCTTCCTTGGGGAAAAAAGTCCATTGGGGTCCTTTGCCTATTTTTAATTGCGTTATTCATGTATTTATTAATTTTTGCTATTGAATTGTGTGAATTCCTTATATTTTTTCAAATAACCCCTTATCAAATATATGGGTCGCAAATATTTTCTTCCATCCCGTAGGTTGCCTTTTCATTTTGTCATGGTTTCCTTTGCTGTGTAAAACCTTTTAAGATTGATGTAGTCCCATTTATTTATTTTCACTTTTGTTGCCTGTGCTTTGGTGTTACATCAAAAAAAATATTGCCAATTATGACCAATGTCGAGGAGATTTTTCCCTATGTTTACTTCCAGGATTTACATGGTTTCAGATATTACATTTAAATCTTTAATCCACTTTGAGCTAATTTTCTGTATATGATGTAAAACAAGTGTGCAATTTCATTCTTTTTCATGCACTTTCCCCAACACCATTCATTGAAGAGAGTTTCCTTTCTACATTGTGCCTTTTTTTTTTTTTACAGTACAGTGAAAGCAAGTCTATTAAGAAAGTAAAGGAATAAAAGAATCTACATTGTATATCCTTGATGGCCTTGTCAAAGATCTGTTGACCATATATGCACGGGGTTATTTCTGGGTGAGCTTGGCATTTTTTTTTTTTTTTTTTTTTTTTGAGACAGAGTCTCGCTCTGTCGCCCAGGCCAGACTGCGGACTGCAGTGGCGCAATCTCGGCTCACTGCAAGCTCCGCTTCCCGGGTTCACGCCATTCTCCTGCCTCAGCCTCCCGAGTAGCTGGGACCACAGGCGCCCGCCACCGCGCCCGGCTAATTTTTTGTATTTTTAGTAGAGACGGGGTTTCACCTTGTTAGCCAGGATGGTCTCGATCTCCTGACCTCATGATCCACCCGCCTCGGCCTCCCAAAGTGCTGGGATTACAGGCGTGAGCCACCGCGCCCGGCCGAGCTTGGCATTTTTATCTACCTCATTCTACCGATGAGGAGGCCGAGTCTCAGAGAGTTCACAGACCTGCCTAAGGTCACTCAGCTAGAGGTGATACAACCAGGGTTTGAACTGAGATCTGCCAAGCTTCTGAGTTTATTCTTTTTCCCCCACACCAAGGATCCTCAATTCTGCCTTACTGACATCAGGATCCGGTCAATTCTTTGTGATGGGGGCTGTCCTGCACCTGGCAGGATGTTTAGCAGCTTCTCTGGCCTCCACCCACTGGATGCCAGGGGAATGCAGAAGAGGCTTGTTCATTCTCCCATTTAATCCTCAGGACAATATCTGACATAAATGTTACGTCTTTTATTTTATAAATGAAGAAAATGAGACTCAGAAAGGTTTAAGTGAGTTACTTAAGAACACACAGACAGCAAAGGTAGAACTGGAAACCGAACACAGGTGTCCACATGGGACAACAAAAAAGTTCACGTTCCATCTTCTTTTGAGTCTCTCATTTCAATAATTACCATTGTGTGGATATGAGCTGAAGTACAGGAAACCTGGGGCTGAACTCTCCTCCCATCAGGCCTAGGAGCCCCAGACCAGAACCCCAGCCCAAGGTCTCCCAGTCAGGCCCGCTGGCGTGAGCTGGCATCTACACTAGCATGGTCTCCCAAAGCTGCAGGGATGCCAGTCTCGCCGCTGATGAAGAAAATGAAGGGCATTTGCTTCTCATGCAGGCTGTCGGGATTTAACACAGATTCCTTTTCTTGCTGTCTTCTCCCATAGCACAAAACTGGGTGGTCCATCCCCCTCCCAGTGTCCCAAGGCTTTGTTGCGTGTTCTCTTTAATTTCTCCCACTCTTGTGGTGCACCCTACCCTCATCTCCCTGGCAACCTTTCTGCTGTATCCTCTCGACACCTGGATCACAAGAACACTTGTGAGACCCCTTAACAAGTTACATCCCAAATTATCATTCTCCTTTGTCCTCAGCCAGTGCTCAGGTCCAACTTGCTCTCCTGGGGTGACTTTCTTTCCTGCCCAATATGGTTTCATCATCTGTAAATTGGGGATAATTAAAGTCTTGATCCTGATATTTGACTCTCAAAGCAGAAGTAGCAAGCTCAGCCAAGTCACTTCAACAAGAGGAGAAGTTCCTTGTGAACCAAAAGGGCACTGGTCACAAGGGCCGCTCCTTCTTCTGTCAGGCCTCTCCAGCACGCCCTTGGCTCAGCCAAAGAAGAGACTCAGGCTGTGCTTCTGCACTGTTGGGATAACATAGGCCTCTTCCATGTGGTTCCACACCAGGAACATGGGGACAATCAGACCTCTCCCAGTGTGGGCATAAGGATACAAGATCATGTCAATATTGACATTCATAATGGCTGGGCGCAGTGGCACACGCCTGTAATGCCAGCACTTTGGGAGGCTGAGGTGGGCAGATTGCTTGAACCCCAGAGTTCGAAACCAGCCTGGGCGACTTGGCAAAACCAGTCTCTACTGAAAATACAAACAATTGGCTGGGCTTGGTGGCGCACACCTGTAGTCTCAGCTACTTGGGAGGCTGAGGTGGGAGGATTGCTCAAACCCAGGGAGGTTGAGGCTTCAGTGAGCTATGATGGCACTGCTGTACTCCAACCTGGGCAACAGAGTGAGGCCCTGTCTCAAAACAAAAACAAAGACAAAACAACATTCATAATAGTAGCAATAGCTACTATGTGCCAAGCCCAGGCACCTCTTCGAGTCTTTGCTGTCACCCTATCAGGTAAGCGTGCTTAGAAGTTACACGAAGCACACGGCTCAGTGTTTGGCCCACGGTAAGGGCCTAAAAAGGGATAGCCCCAGTGGTGGGGATGCTGCTGCTGCTGACCATTAACCCCAGTCTGCTCCACCTTCTTCCAGGCAGTCTGTGAGATGTTTCATGTCCGAGGCAAACAGCACATTCAGATCCCCAAGCTCTACACCTCCAGTGTGACCAGGCACCTGCACCACTTCAGGCTCATGCAGGACTCACAGCCTTTGGACCTCAGCTAAAGGACTTGCTTCTCTTCAGCACACGGGGCTTGTTTGTGTTGGGGTCTGAGCCCTGAGCCCATGGTCAAGGAGACCCCCAGGTCTTTCTGAACAGAGACAGCTGGCCTGGGGGCCTCCCTCTCACTGCGTGCAAGAGGCTGTTAGGGTGCAAGACTCAAGGCGCTGAGGGAGGCTGTTTCAGGAGGGAGCCCCAGGAGGGTGGTGGAGACAGAAGGGGGCAGCATCTGCCGAGGCCCTACTGTGTGCCTGGCACCGTGTGGGGTTTCTGGCCCATATGGGCTAAGTGACCCTGCACACTCCTCTTAGGAGAGAGGCTCAGATGGAGAAATTGCAGTTCAGGAAGGTGAAGCAAGCTGCTAGCCTGTGGCCATGTTGGGATCTGGGCCTCAGCCTTCCAGCCACGAAGGCAGCCAAGTGTCATGAAGAAGGCATCACAGAGGCAATTCCAGGCTGTAGTGGTGAACTTTCCACTCTGCATCCCCGGGTGCTGTGCCCTGTGCCCTGTCTAAGGTAGCCCTGTGGGTTTCTATATGTTTAAATTGTCCCCAGCATCAATGATGCTCTCCTGTGGATCCCAAGCCATGGAGATGTCCTGGGACTTTTCATTTTTAGGTACCTAAATTGAATTTCCCAACACACAGAAGCAAGACAGCCGCCCTAACAGACTCTTGCATGCAGTGAGAGGGAGGCCGCCAGGCCAGCTGTCTCTGTTCAGAAAGACCTGGGGGTCTCCTTGACCATGCGCTCAGGGCTCAGACCCCAACACAAACAAGCCCCGTGTGCTGAAGAGAAGCAGGTCCCTTAGCTGAGGTCCAAAGGCTGTGGGTCCTGCATGAGCCTGAAGTGGTGCACGTCCCTGGTCACATTGGAGGTGGAGAGCTTGGGGATCTGAATGTGCTGTTTGCCTTGGATCTTTATTTGTGATTCAGAAACAGTGGAATAAAAGGAAAGGAAAGAAAACCTGAATGGCCACCTCAGCAGGATGCTCCAAGGGTAGTGTCCAGGTGGCACTGACTCAGATATGTGGGGGCTTCCCCCACCCATGCTCAAGAGCCACTTTGCCATTTCACCATCTCTCTGTCCTCCACACCCCTCAGCAGCAAGCACAACAAGAATGTGTTCACCATGAAGCTCAAATCTCAGCAGAATCTAGAGTCTGAAATCCAAGTAAGGGAAAGTGTAGAGCTTCTTGGATGATGCCCTGTCAATTTTATTTTAACGAATGAAAGACCAGAAGAAGTCAGTCTTGAAAGGAGAGGACAGGAGCATCTGCTGGCATTAGCAGCCGTGCCATCGTAGGACCGACTCACCTGGACCCGCGGCCACCTGTGCTTTTACATCTAGTCTTGGTTAACCATGGGCCACTTTTCCAGCTTGGAAACTAAGCATATGCTCCACTTCCTCTCCTTCCTCATTGAACTCTTTCACTAAAAGAACAGTGCAAGAGAGACTTAAACTGTTTGCCTCATTCTTAAGACCTTTCAGGAAAAGTGTTGGCAGGGAAGGAAATCTCCCAGCTCTGGGAAACAGTCTTGTGGATTATCTGCTGGTTTCATTGATCTGTGCTGTCCTCCCTGCATTCATTAGGAAAACTGGCCTTGGTTCAAATAAGAACAGGATTTGTCCTGGTGACAGAGAAAGGTTTCTTCTGATGTCCATATATCTCCGAGGGGGATGCTTTCTCCAGGCAGAGGCTGTGGCCAAGCGATCGGGGGGCTCAGAGGGCTGCTGGGAAGGGGTGGGCCCCTCTCTCCCCAGAGGGAAACTCCTGGGGACCTCTCGAGCACCCCTGCCCATCCTTTAAACATAAATTCATAAATACAAACAAGTAGGCCATTCACAGAAATATATAAAATATGTCATAGGACGGGTGGCACTCTCATATGGCAATAATTATGACAGGGGCCGGCAAATGACCTGAGTGACCCGGAGTGACCTGAGCACTGACTCCCAAATGCCCTCCATAGGATGTTCTGCATCCCCGAGACCCTTTCCTGGGTCCTCCTGGGCCCTACCACCCCCTAGACCATCCAGACCTCAGGTCATCCCCCTGTCTGTTGACAGAGTAGTCTCCGTTCCTGAATGTGCTGGTCACCAGCAACAGCAGCTGCTCCTCCTCCGGGAAGCTCAGCCTATACTTCTACATGCAGAGAACCTGGACGGCACCCAGGTGGACCTAAGCCTTCAGCTCCCAGTAGACGCTCTGGGTTTCCTACCCTGCCCAGACACTCTGGGCTTCCCCCCACACCTCCCCTCGTCCGGGGCTCCTGTGTGCATCTGTCTCTCCCAGTGCCCAGCACAGGCGTGGAACGGAAGAGGTGAATGGACCGATTTGAACACATCATCCTGGATTCTCCGTTCCCTCTCAAGCCCTGCAGCTAACCCATCGGCAAGCCCTGGAGGCTCTGCCTCCAAAATCCTGCCTATCCCATGTGCAAACGCCTCTCACCACATCCACTGCTATTTGCAGTTCTGTGTGTGTGGAAATACTTCCACAAATTTGGAATGAACAGGTCACAGCTGTGCCTGGAGGGAATGGCCAGGGAAATGTGCCCTCACCTTGCTGTTCTATCCAGGCCCACCCAGCTGAGGATGGGGGACCTGCCACCACTCTCCTGGCAGTTCCGGACTCCTGGGAACCGGCAGGTGAGGACCCAAGAGTGTTTTCAGTGACCCGGCTGACCTGGTCATCCGTCAGTCCCACCTTGGCCTAGGCCTCTATACAGCACAGATCACAGCTCATTCCATCCTGGCATTACACTGGCCTGTGCCCTGTCCTCAGGGTCACATCCGTCTCCCAGAAGCCGTGCAACCCTGGAAAACCCAGGTCTAACAGTCAGGTTCCTCCTCCGTGCATTAACAATGGCGTTGACGCCTGCTTTGCGGCACGCTGGGAGGGGAGAGGGAGGTGTATGCTGGAGAGCTCCCCAGGGGCAAGGCCTGGCTCTGCGTCACCCACTGTCAGATCCTGAGAGCCTGGGGCTGGCCCAGCACGTGGCCACCGTTCCCTAAGAGTTGGATTTCATCCCTCAGTGCTGAAGGCAGGGGATAGAGCTTAGACAGACCCCCTGCGTCCTGTCTTCTTTATCTACAGCTTTCTCATCCTTGCCCCTTTCACGTGCACCCGGCAGAGCAGGTGTTCACTGAGCTTGAGCAAAATTCAAGCTAGAGCAGCTGATGGATCTTGAGGCCTAGATTCACTGTCAAAGTGTTTCTCAAACGGTGCTCTCCAGAACACCAAGGAAAACTCATTGACTGTGTAAGTCTGAAAATCCCTGCCCACCGGTCTACCTTTGTGTATGAGCAATCAGCTCTACCATTCAGCCCAGGTGTGTGTTTGCTGGACCATGTGGAGGAAGCTGAAGAGACGTGAGCTGAAGGCAGAGGGTGAGTCCAAGGTGGGATCTTGGGACAGGTACGAGAAGTTAGGCAAAAATGGGATAATTCTAGCCTTCATAACCTTAGATAATAGTTCACATTATTATTTAGTTAATAGAACTGTACCCACATTAAATTTCTTAAATTTTTTTAAGAGATAAAGTCTCACTCTGTCACCCAGGCTGGAGTGCAGTGGTGCAATCATGGCTCACTGCTTCCTGGAACTCGTGGGCTCCAGCAATCCTCCTGCCTCAGCCTCCTGACTAGGTGGGACTATAGGCACACGCCACCATGCCTGGCTAATTTCTTTGACTTTTCTCTAGAGACCGGGTCCACCTAGGTTTCCCAGGCTGGTCTCAGACTTCTAGACTCAAGTGAACCTGAACCTCCCGCCTCGACCTCTCAAATTGCTGGGATTACAGGTGTGAGCCACCACACCCGGCCTAAATTTCTTATGTGCCATGGGACTGCAAAACATCATTATTAGGGGCAGCTGGATGGAAGGTATAGGAGGATACTATAGTGCCTTTTCAATATTTCTGTCTAAAATCTAAAATCATTTCAACAGGAAACATTTATTTCAAAACATGAAGGTGGTTATCCTTCCATGAGTTTGAAGTACAAAGGCAGGCTCACGGTGTCGTCAGAATTCAGAACGATGGTCGTGGGGCTGGGGGTGCTGGGAGGGGCTGGGCATGGTTGGCTTTGTGATCTGGGGTCTGGTGTGTTCCATCTCTGAATCTCTCTCGAGCTGCACTCTTTCTTAATACATTTTCATAAGTTTAACCAAAAATAAAACGAGGATGCGAAGCTTGCTTGGGTTGTTAAGCCTAGGGAAATTATCCAGCCATGAGCCCTGGCCCAGATGCTTCTAGAAGCCTGGAGGGAACTGAGAACTTTCCAAGTGGAGGCCGCAGAGGCAAGGCCCTGAGGTGGGAGCACACTGCTGTTCGTCCCTAGCTCTGAAGGGGGTGCCCTGGTCGGAATCAGTGCTGGGTGCAGCGAAAGCCGATCTCACCCGCTCCGCAGGGTGTTCAGCCTGCCAGCAGGGGGCCAGCTGGTCCTCCTGGGATATGGCACGGACCCAGCAGCTCTGTCTGAAATCATAATGGCGGAACCAAGGGCCCTCTACGTCCAGGTCCGTTGGGAGGCGGGGCATGGAGTTCCACTGCAGGAATCTCCAGGAACCCTGAGGTCCTCCCTGAGCCAGGGCCGGGCTGGGCACACCCTGAGTGCCCACAGGGTAGGTGTCTTCCCGGACAGCCCCACCAGGACAGGGTGTGGAAGAACGAGGTGCCCGTGGCGGGGAAGCTGACCAAATGGGCCGCGGGAACCGGGCTGGTGGGCCTGGAGGGGCCTGCCTGTCCCCCTTGCAGAGGGTCTTCCCGCCACGTGAAGCCGGCACAGGCCTGGATGCCGACGACCCTTGCTCGGGTTTGGCTGAAAGGAAAACAGACGCGGTCAGCATCTCCAGTGAGCCCACGCAGGCCTTTCCGGGCTGGGCCCCACCTGCCTGCGTCTCTGGAGTCCTCGGGGTCTCTGTGTGGCCCCCGTGGCCTGACACCGAGGACACGCCTGTAGTCTGCTGATCCCAGAGGGAGGGGTGCATGCTGCCTGGCGTGGGGAAGCTGTCGTGGCATGGCGGGTGGCTCCTGGGACTGCCCCCAGGGTTCAGACTGGCTGGGGGCTTCCTGCCACACACCTTCGTCCCAGGGCTGTTGGGCCTGGGATACGGCCCCCAGTCAGAACTCAGGTGGGAGGGGCCTTGGATGTCACCCAGCCCCTTGTCACCTCACGTGGGGACCCGTCTCCGCAGTGGGTGATTGGGCCCGGACGTGGGTCACCCTCTGCCCTCCTGGGCTGCCCAGTCCATGCCAGGACTGACCGTTCCCACTTCTGGCTGAACTCTTGGCTCTGGCTCTGGGCCCGGGGTCCCGCCTGTGCCCTCTCCCTGAATGCTCTGTGGGTCAGAGACACGGATTCCCTTGTCTCCCTGGCTCCAGGCTTCTTGTCCTGGCAACCTTGGAGGAGCGTGCAGGAGTGAGGGGCCTCTGCTGCTCTCTGAGGCTGTGGGTGCTTGCAGGGAGGGGCGGGGTCTCCCACAAATGGGTCTGGGCTCGTCTAGTAACTTGGAGGGCCCTGCGAGGGGGAGAGGGAGACACCGTGGAAAGTGGGAGGGGGCTTGTTGGAGGGTCTTGCCCACATCCCCCTCCTGCGTGCACAGCATGTCCAGTATACACGCACTGAGCGCCTGCCCTGAGGACCGGTGGGCCTCCTGTACTTTCTTAGAGTCCAGGAGGAAGAGGAGGAAGAAAAGGTGAAGAGGAAGGCCCAGGTAGTAGGGTTGCGGGTCCCGGGCACTCCCCTACTACTGACTACCCCAGAGGGTGACATGGGAGGGGACATGGCACTGGAGCCCACCTGGGGGTGGCAGGTCCCCCTGCTTTCTTGTTAGTTTCTTCATAGAGGCCCTAAGATGCTTGAGCACAGTGTCCTCATCCCTGGCCCAGGTATCAACGAACCGGTTGCAAAAACGTGCCCACGGGCCACACCTGGACGTCTTCGTGAGGCGCTCTAGGGACAGGGTGGATATCAGGCCAGGGGAGTTACCTGGGAATGGTCACAGCTCATATCCCGTGGCCACTTCAGTCTCCTACTGGGCGGTGCCGGATCCTTTTGTGGCCACCCCAGGTGTCCAGATATACACAGGAGACTGTGGCTGGGGGGCGATCCGGACAGGGAAGTGCTCACCACACTCTCGACTTTCATCTGGGTCATGTGGGGGATGGGCTCGGTGTCACAGTGTCCTGCCCAGCCCACCTGGCCAGACCTCCCTCTGGGCCAGAACAGAGGATCATGAGGACAGTGTGAGGAAGCTGCCCTCGGGCCAGTCGGGGTCTGACCCCAGGGCTCCCCAGGCCCCGCTGGGCACACGTAGACTTACTCTGCTGAACCTTAAAGGCGATTCTTGTTATCGGCATCAACGCCTGTTCGCCTTCTACCAGATACACGTCCCACAGGCGCAGGGTGAGCCCGAGAGAGATCTGTGGGGACAGCAGGTGTGAAAGAACCTGGTCCTTCCAGGCTGGGGCTGGTGGCTCGAGCTGCGCACACTGGGGCTTCAGTCTCCAGAGTCAGTGACCTTCCCCATGAGGGTCGCCTGAGCCCTCCAGGACGCTGGGTCAGACAAGGTCTTGAAGCTCCTCATGGGGGGCACTCATTTGAGTGGGGATGTGGCTCCTGGAGAGAGGGGCTTGCCCAGGGCTTGAGGCTTCCCTGAGCCCTCTCAAGTCGGGTCCTGGCCCAGTCTGCCCATGAGGCTGGGCCTGAGCCCCAGCCATGGCCCTGGGATGACCCCCCTTGGGCAGAGGGTTTTGCTTGTGTGTCCTTTGGGGACCCGCCTGAGCCTCCTGTGGGCTGGGAGTGAGCCAGACCCCCGGGCTGGGGAAGCAGGGCACTGCAGGGCAAGGAAGGTCCCTGAGCCAGGGTCTCCCTATGCCTCCTTACCCCGTCAATCAATATCCGGATGAGGCAGCCTAACGGGGAACACTGCCCACATAGATCTTTCTTGTCCTGATGGAAGCAACAGAGGTGCTCAGGCCACTGGGCTGCCCTAAAAACCTCCCTCTTCCAGGGCCTCTGAAGACCCTTCCCCTAGTGCAGAACACTGGGCGGTGTCCAGAGCTCCCCACAACACTGTCACCTTCCCACACTCCCGGTGGACACACTGCCCTTTGCCCTGCTCTGTGGGAGCTGGGCCCCCATCCCTGTGCCTCTGTCTCCTCCAGGGCAGGAAAGGAAACCAACTCCCAGCCCATGGAGAACCCGACGTCCCAGGTCAGGCCCTGGCTGGGACTCAGCCAGTCACCAGCCCCACGAGGGGCTCCAGCCCCCCTGCTCCTACAGCCCCACGGGAGGCAGGGCCTCTGGGAAGAGCTGAGGGGACCATAAACTCACCTGATGCCCCATGGTCTTGGGTTGTGACGTGGCTACCACATGCTCCTGTTGGTCTTGGAGCCCCTGGACGGTCCCGCCATTTGGGCTGTGAAATCCTGAGAAGCCCCCAGCCCATCATGAAATCAGAGCCTTCCCCCAAGATGTGGAGCCATCAGCTGCAAGAGCTGGGCAGCTGGAGAGGCCCCCAAACCCCAAGGCCTCCCACCCTCCCATCTGGTGACCCCAACATGCGGCCTTTACCCTGGGGAGGTGGGGCGGGAACATTCCCTGGAGCCTGGCTGGAGGTTCCCCTGGAGGCCTCCTGGGCCAGGGTGCAAAAAGGGCAAGCCTGACTTTCAGGCCACGACAGGGTGGCCGGAACTGGGTGGGCGCTGGGCTTCCCGGTCATCTCCTGGTAGTGGGGTCGGGCCAGGGAACAGGGGATGGGGAGATGCTGCCACCTGGGCTTGGTCGGCCCATTCGTGGGCACCGATGGCAGCAGGAGCCCGGGCAGCTGGAGGGCAGGAGGACTCTCAGGGAGGGGAGAGTCAGCTGCACAGAATCAGAGCCGGAGGGCGTGGCTCCAGGACACAGAGGGTGGCCACGGGGAGGATGAGATGCCCTCTGCTGATGGGGATGAGAGGCGTCTGATTTGGGCTTTGGGGGTCAGCCGTGGACTCCTGTGGGACCCTCAGCAGAGACATTCTAAAGTCTCCCAACAAGCTGGCGACACAAGGAGGGTGCCTTGGCTGAAAGCTGTGATCACCTGGCCAGGGTGGCCATCCCCAGGTCTGGCTGCAGGAGGTCCCCGGGGCAGCTGTTCACTTACCCTGCAGGGAGTGCCTCTCACTGGCCAGCAGCTGCACCAGTGCCCAGAATGCATCCTCCTCAGGAAGATAGAGGAGGAACAAGGCGGCGATGTGGCTCAGGTCCCTGCAGTAGCCCACCTCCTGCAAGAGCCAGAGTCACCATGGAAGGACATCACCTGGGAGGGCTGAGGTCACCTGGGAGGACTCATGTCATTGGAGAGGGCAGAGGTGACTGGAGAGGCTTCCTCTGAAGGAGAGGCTTCCTCTGAAAAAGAGGCTTCCTCAGGATGCACATTCATTTCATGACAAGAGCCAAGTCCATCAGGCACTTCAGCACCTTGTCCAAAATGTCTGCTGATAGCACCATCCTGTGTGCGATGCTGCCAAGCTCCTGGGCTTTGGGGCAGCCCCAGGAGGAGGGCGTCATTTCTTGTTCTGAGAAGTGGTGGTCAGGCCCAGGTGACACCAGGAGTCCGGGCCCTGACTCCTTTGTGTCTCAGCTTGACCCCTTGAGACCACCCCCTTCCTTGGAGGTTTATGCCAGCGGTGAGCTGACATCCTACCTCCTATATCCTGGTGGGTCACAAATACTAACTTTAAAAGAAGCAACGACACCCCCACCAGACACCCACTCCTGTCAATATGGAAATATGGCCCGGGAACCTCACTGCCGGGAATACTCACCGGGTTATACTCCTCATATGCCAGGAGGATGTGGAGTAGTTCCCGCTGCCTAGGAAACAGAGAAAGGGGGCTTTGGTTTGTTTTGTGCAGATGTTGTTAATTTCACTTTGTCTACAAAGCCTAACAGCAAATCCCATTTCAGGTTCAGATGTTTCACCAGATAAGCAGTGAGCTCTTCAGGGCCTGAGACTCTTGAAGAAATGTTTCAGTAAAATCCACATCTGTGACATGCAAATAGCCCAGTTGTACAGTGACTTGCCTGATCCTTTTCACTCTGAATGATTTTTTTTTTCAGTTTGCACACACGCCAGTTCAGTCTGTGGGTGTACAGTTCCTCCACGGTTCCAAACCGATGTGCAGAGTCTCCCGGCCACCGCTCCAGCCCCTCCTGGGGCGACTCCTTCATCCTCCAAGTCTCCAGGGTGGCCCCTATGCAACCAGCCTCTCCCCGATCCGTCAGCCCCTGGCCACCCAGACTGCTTCTCAGTCCCTGTGGTTTGGCCTTTTCCAGAATGGCCTAGGAATGGGAATCCTACTGTGGTAGCTTATTGGGTCTGGCTTCTGTCCCTCAGCAAAATGCATCTAGGATCCACCCACGTTCGTGCGGGCATCACCGGCTCGTTCCCTTTTCTCACTGGGTCTTCCGTTTGAAGGGAGGACCAGCCTTGCTCTCCCCATCCCCGTGTTGAAGGCCGTCCCCGAAGGCTCCGTGTGTGAGTGACGAGGAGTCAAGCAGTGAACCTGGCATGCTGGTTTCATGTGGATGTCAGTTTGCAAATCAGTGGGTTCAATATCTGTGACACTTTGGGGATGTGTGGTTCAAGTCCATCGAGCTTTGTGAGCCACTGCCCAACTGGCTGCCAACGTGGCTGTGCCATGTCATGTTCCCAGCGGACCTGGATGAGAGTTTCCAGGACCCCTAATTCTCCCAGCATTTGGTGCTGTCACTGTTGCCTGGGGGGGGCTCATGGGCCCTCTATCCTGCCACCCTCCCGTGGGTCCTACCATGGGTCCCCATGGGTCAGGGAGAGCACCCTTCACCATTGTGCATGATTTTGTTTGCTGCCTTCCATCTCCTCAGGATCCTCCTGGGTTCTGGCCCCACATGTTCCAGTCTGGCCCAGGGCTTGGAACCAGGGAGGTGCTCGGTTCATGGTGCCGGCTGCTCCCTGGGCCGGGAGAGCTCTTGGCAGCTGTGTCATCCCTCCTGGGTGACCCTGGCTTCTGCTCCGGGGAAGCCCCCATCCCTCTCATTCACCCCATCTCTGCTGGGACCCTGTGGCTCCCGTAGGCTTACTTGGTTCCGTATCGATCCCTGAAGAACATATGCTTCCTTAATGTCCCGCTTATGTCCCGGTCGATGCGCTGGATGTGCTCAGATGACCTCTTGCCCTTCTCCTTCATGATCTGTAGGGCAGGGCCAAGAGGAGGAAGCAGTCTCAGAACAGATGGAAGACTCCCTGCCCCCAGTGGCAGTCAGCCCACAGTCAGCACTTCGGGAAGGAAGGACAGAAGGAAGGTTTCCTTCTGCAGAAAGCTGCATTTTGGCTTGTTACTGAAGCCAGGGAGGGTCACCAGAGCTGAGTTTGTCTGTGGTGACTGTGTCACCATCTGTGCCCAGGGTGTTCATCTGACCTTCACCCCCAGCTCCCCAGGGTGGTCTTGACGTTCCCTCCAGCTGGAGACCTGGGCCCCGACACGGCCTGTCCTGTTTGTTGTGCTCTGGCTGAGCGTACCTGGTATCTTCCGGGGTTTTTCAACTTCATTTCCTCAGTGTTCAGGAGGACTGACCACATCGGGCCCCGGATGTTCATGGGCATTCCCTTGTACGCTCGATCTATGAGCTGTGGGCAGAAAACGATCTGGTGTCACAGGCCACGGGGTGACCCCAGTGAGGACCAGAGCCCGGGGATTCTGGAAATTGTCGGTTTTGGCCCCATGATTCCTCAGTAGAGGTGAGATCAAGCTGGGACAGGGTCTCCCTTCCCAGGACTGAAAGAGTGGATGGACACTCAGAGTCGAAACTCTGATCTGAACCTTTTCCTTCCTTCAGGTCCCCAGGGCATCCCTAGCCTTGAGCTCCGGGTAGTCCCAGCCCTAGATTCAGATTCCCTCCCTGCAAGGTGACGCTTGCACGAATAGGCAGGAAATCTGGCGACCAGGCCTGCAGTCCTCTGGGCGAGGACAGTGTGCCGCCCACCCTCTGAGAGGCTGATGGTGCCAGGCCACAGCCATGGGTGCCTGTCCCCTGTCTCTGCAGAGAGTGCTTCCTCCCTCCACACGTTACCTTTCTGCTGCTTTTGTATTTCTCCCAGTCTCCCAGCATATCCACCCACTTGCTCTTTCGGCTGATCTCCCGCCGAATTTGCTGTCAAATGAGGCATGTTGGAGTTAGCGGAGCTGCCAGGCTTCCCAGAGCCGCCCGCGGATGCTGGGTCTTGGGCTCTGGAGCCCTGGTGGGAGCCAGCTGGAAGGAGCCAGGGAAGGGCAGACCTCAAGGGCTGAGAGCCTTTGAGCAAATGAGCACCAGTGGGCTGGCTTTGGGACCCCGGGATGTACCATCCTCAGGCCACAGACACACCAGTCTTAGGTCCCAGCCTCTAGGTGGGGTCCTGACACAAGCGCGCAGCCACCCCCAAGCCAGGACTGTGGTTCTCCTTTTGGAATTTTATCAAACTGCCAAAGTGAACAGCAACCTGGGGTCAGGTCCAGCAGGGACTGCTGCCCCTCCCAGTGACAGCGTGTTGCCCTCACCCGCCACCGCTCAGGCCAGCTGCTTCCTCTGCCTCACTGACCACCCGCCCAGTCCCTACGTCCCTGGACCAGCCCCTCCACGCATCAGGCTCTTACCTTCGCCTCCCGCGCAGTCAGAGGAGGCAGCTCCGTCTCACTGTAAGGCAACCCAGGCAGAGCTGAGGAACTGCACGGGGCCTGGAGCGGCCCCAGCCTGGGTGCCGACCCCCAGAAAGGACTGGCTCTGTCCCTTTCCAGCTCAGGGCTCAGCCCAGGAGAAGGCACAGGGAAGGGAGGACAAGGGCCTTCCTGTGGGGCTGATTCCCAGGAGGGGCAGGACCTGGGAGAAGAAGGAGTGTAGGGACAGCCTGGCCGGGGTTACTGGGGCCCCTGGCGTGGGGGGCGGTCAGGCTGCCCAATGGGGCTGCCCGTCCTGGACTCGAGGTGGTGCTTTCTGCTGGAGCTGAGAAAGGTTAGCCCTGAGATGGGATGGGGGCCGCCCAGGGTGGGCGACCGGGCCCTGACAGGAGTCCCTCAGGGAGTGACCACATCCCCCCGCCAGGGTCAAGGGAGCCTGCCCTGAGACCTGCCCGGTGTACTCTGGCTGCACCAGGGGCCCACCCCACTTGACAGCCCCAAGGCCCTTGCAGATTCTGACCTCCCAGCATCCACCTGCCTCTCCCTGCACCCGAGCCACACACCCTGCGTTTCAGAAGTGGCACGGCTCATCAGCTCCCTCCCGCCCTACCTCCCCAGGGATCCTCTGTCTCTCCATCCTGTGATCCCTGAGGGATGGGCTCCTGGCTGGGCTCCTCTTACCCGGCCCCAGATCCCTTCCCAGCACCAGACCCAGGTCTTTAGCCGCGAGCCCTGCTGCCTCCCTGGCCTCACCGTGAGATGCCCAGAACGGGGCCCTGCCCATCTTCCCCCCGTTCTCCTAGGGCTACAGCCCCCATTGTCACCATGCCTTTTCCCCTCACGGGACAGTGAGGGCTGTAGCTCTAGGGGAATGGGGGAGAACAGGGGCAGGTGGGCCCTCAGAGACCTGCTGGACAACAGCCCTGAGGCTGGGCCAGGCGTCCCCTCACCCTGTGGCCATAACCCTTGCATCTCACCGGGTTTGTCTCCAAGTAGACAGGGCCAGACCCTCAGGCTGCCCCGCTCCTCTTGTGCTCACTTGCCGACAGAACTGCTGAGCGCCCAGGGGCCTGACCTAGCCCAGTCTCCATTCCCACCGGCTCCCTAGATGGGCCCCACACCTCTGGCCTAACAACCTCGGGCTGGACCTGCAGGGGAGTCAGGGAGGAGTTCTGTCCCTGGAAAGGAGGTTGACCCGACCTGGTGAGACATGTCCTGCGTCAGAAAGGCCTTTCTAAAAGCAAACCCATCCCTGAGCTGAGACAGGTGCTTTAGGGGTGAGGGGAGTGCAGAGGACTCACTGTACAATCCCCAAATGATCGACGTTGTTGTTGTAGCTTCGAAAAGGCTTAGGCCCCTTGTCCTCTGGCAGCCCAGCTCGGTGTCCCTGTAGCCCAGAGGGAGCCTTGGTGAGGGGTCCAAGGTAAAGGGTGCAAGGGCCTGGGGGCATTGGCCACCCGTCCCTGCCCTGTGCTCCTAGGGAGCCCAGGACCCTTTGACCAGGGCACACTGGAAGAGGCCTCCCTCCAAGAAGCAGACCGACTTGTACCTTTTCGTATTTCATAATGATGTCCTCTCGCTCTTGTGCCCACCAACTGCCCGCGACCTCTACCACGTCCATCCTGTGAGACAGAATTGTCTAAAGGTCACACTGTACGCGGCGGCTTCGGAGAACACCTGAACCGCTCTCGCCGGGCTCCCAGATGCTGGCTGGCTGCGTAACCCCCATTCCACCGCCGCCCCCAGGGAAAAAGGGGCCAGACCCAGTGGCCCACAGCTGCTCCAGTCTCTGGAGTCTCAAGTCCCAAGCAGGGGTGGGCATCTTCCCAAGGACTTGAGTACAGTGGGACCTAGACAGAGAATCCTGTTGTCCCCCAATGCCATGAAATGGGGACACACCGGCCCCAGCAGGTTGAATGGTTTCCACCTGCCAAGGGTGAAGGGCCCATGATGGGCTATTCCAGGGATGTGGAGGCAGACTGGGGTCAGCGACCAGAGGTCTCTGTGCAATCGGCCTCCTGGGATGCTCAGGGCCTCAGCGATGCCCAGTTTCCTACAGGGAACAAGATCTCTCCCGACTGCTCGGTTCTACTCCGCTCATCACTTTGGCTACCGTGGCTCTTCAGTCTGAACAGTGAAGCCACTTTAGGAATAACGCCTGTTGAGCAGGAGGGTGTTGGGTTTGGGGGATGAGGAAGATCTATTGTACGCATGGAAACCACGTCTCTCGCGGAGGGACTGTGGAGTCCACCATTCTGAGCCGTCCCAACAGGAGGAGGCTTCATTTTCCTGGGTCACTGAGGAAGAACAGTGGGTCCTTGGTCCTGGAGAACAGCTGGATGGACCGTCCCTCCTGGGAATACTCGAGGCAAAAGGAGGGCGAGGCCTCAAGAGGACCACGCAGAGCAAGAAATACCTGGGGAGAACCCTAGTGCCCGGACCCCTTTGAACACAAGGGAAGATAGTCTCCCCTCAGCCAGCCCTCCAGGGCTCCTTCATTTTCCACAGCTGCCCAAGGGCAGCAGGCTCCCCCGGACAAGGGACCATGTGTGTTCAGTGGGGCCCACAGCGACCATCAGGACCCAGCTTAGGGCACAGAGGTGTTCTGAGGACCGTCAGTGGATCTGTACCAGTGGCTCTATACCAGTGGCTCTGCCAGGACCAGGCTCTGCCCCATCGGGATGGGAAACCTGGGCAGATTTGGGATCTAGGGCAGGGAGGTCACAGGGTTCAGGCCTGAATTCCAGCACAGCACACGGCAGGGCTGAGAGCAAAACTCAGGGTCATGTCCGGATTCCCAGGCCGGTTACTGCCTCTCTGACCCCAGACGTCTCATCTGTCGAATGGGGACATTTGGGAACAGCACCCACTCTACGAAGCCACCATGGAGACGAAAGAGCCAATCGTCTACACGGGCAGTGTAGAACGGGCGCCTGGTGAGTGCTCAGGGATGACCCTCCTCGGTAGCTGCCCCACAGAGGCCAACACCGCCCGCACCGTAGCCACTGCCCCCAAGTCCGCCTGGAGGGAAGAGAGCAGGTCACGCTCACCTGATTCTGATGAATCAGCTGGCCTGGGTCATGCCTCTCAGGGAGAAAACCTTTGAGTCCACAGAGCTGCTCACAGATACCACTGCCTGTGTGTAACTGCTGTAGACCACTGAGGCAGGCCAGAGAGCAGACAGGTGCTAAGCACCAGTGACATTCTGAGGTCATGGCACGAATCACAGTGGGGCCTTGCCCGGGTCAGCAGCGCCCAGAGTCAGGGTCCTCCGCTGCCTGAGGCGTCAACATGCCTGCCTGCAATGTGTTTGTGCACGTGCGTGCACATGTGTATGTGGGTAAACACGTCTGTGCACGTGTGTGCTGCTTCTCTGGCCAGGCCCGGCTGCCCCACTCATGTGTGCACCCAGTTCCTCATCACTGTCACCCCCGAGGCCCAGGGCCAGCATCAGAGCATCCATGGCTGCTCCCTAACCCCAGCCCTCCCCGCCCAGGGTGGTCCTGGGATACACATAGCGGTGGAGGGAAGTGACTGCTGCTATTGGATCTCAGAATACAAAAGCTAATACTATTACCTAATGGTCTTTTTAGTGTCTCTAATGGTATCACTTTTTCATTTCTGATATTTTAACTGGGTATTTCTCTCCATGACCCTTGGATATTCTAGCTAGAGGATCCTGTGGGGAAAGTGCCGGGCACACAGTAGGGGCTCACTCTTCTAGACACGTTATCTAAAACCTGGTTCATCTGTCCTTCCACGCAGGGCCTAGGGGATGCCGAATTCCAGGGTCCAGAAAGAGCTTGGGATAAAAAGAAACTTCAAGGGGACGGCTTTGACCTGGGCTGAGTCTACCTGTGCCATCCAACTGGAGTCTCAAGTCCTGAGGCAGGACGTCCAGATGCCCCAGTGCAGGGTCCTCCTGATCAACACCTGCTCCCCTGTACTCATTAGCAACCTCACCCACCCTACTCTCAAAGCACACTTGGCTCTCGTATCCAGGAGCTCTGCATCTGTAGATTCAGCAACAGCAGATGGAAAATATTCAGAAAATAAATTGGACGGTTATGTTTCTATTGAACATGTGCAGACTTTGTTCTTGTCATCATTCCCTAAAGAATACAGTATCACGACCATTTATGTAGCATCTGCATTGTATTACACATCATAAATAATCTAGTAACGGTCTAACGTATACGGGAGGATGCGCATAGCTTATACGTAAATACTAGGCCACGTTATATCAGAGACTTGAGCATCCATGGATTTTGGCATTCCCGGGGACCCTAGAACTAATCCTCCATGGATACCAAGGGATGACTGTATATACTCACTCAGGAAGGCTTCTCATTGGAGGAAGGGCCCGGTTCAGGACAGACAGGGACATCATCCCTGGACTACTGTCCATCCATCCATTCATCCATTGGCACCACCCTCTAGGACTGTCCCAATGACAGCCCTAGCAAGTGGAGATAAGAAAAAAGACTGGCTCAAATGGTACAGCTTTGAGGTCTTGGAAGATGTTGCACCAGTATGAGAATAGGGGGTCAGTTTCCTCCAGGATCCAGAAAGCATATCAGGCAGGCTCGGGGAGAGGAAAGGAACACGGCCTCTCCAGCAGCCACACAGGCCTGCAGTAGGATGGGGCTGGGGCTGGGGCTGGCACTGGGGCTGGCCCCGTTTATCACTTGGGCCTCATGAGGGGAAAAGAAAGAACAGGGGGCAGAGGAGGAGCATGGGAGCAGCGGGTTGCCTAAGGAGAAGGCGCCTCAGGGAAGGGGTATTAGTTTGTTTTCACACTGCTATAAAGAAATACTTGAGCCTAGGTAATTTATAAAGGAAAGAGGTTTAATCGACTCCCAGTTCAGGGAACTTACAGTCATGGCAGAAGGCGAAGGGGAAGCAGGCACCTTCTCCACAAGGCGGCAGGAGGGAGTGAGCGGAGAAGCAGGAAGTGCCACACTTTCAAACCATCAGCTCTCCTGAGAACTCCCGCACTATCAGGGGAGCAGCAGGGGGGAACCTGTCCCCAGATCCCATCCCCTCCCACCAGGTTCCTCCCTTGACACAGGAGGATTACAATTCCAGATGAGATTTGGGTGGGGACACAGAGCCCAACCTGTGAGGGTCTCAGTCTATCTTGCAGCTCCCCTGGGGCTGGGGCTGAGTACAGTTCTGCTGGCCCTGCTCTACAGCACGTGGGGACTCTGCCTGTGTGCCCCCATCTGCTCTTCCTGGGGATGGTGGCTGCTTCCTCAAGAGGAGGGTGGATCTGCTCTCCTGCCCACCCCTCTCCAGGGCCTTTTGGAGCCCTGGCCACGTCCTCCCCAGGTAAGGGCAGGAAACTGGGCTCCTTGCCCTTCTTGCTGCTTGGGTGACAATCCTGGGGTCATCCATAGGCCCCATCACTGTTCCCGCTTCTAAATGGAGGGTATTTTGGCACATCTTCCTGGCGGGGTCCGGGGCCTCATCCCTGTTATTTATTCTATCTTGGTAAAGCCAGGTTAAGACATCTGGGCAAGGAGATAGTAGAGTGGCCCCCAGGAAGGGTGGGTGGAGGGCCTGGCCTTTGGGCTTGCCTGGAGCAGGGTGGGAGGGGGCAAGGTTACCAGGAAGCAGGGCTGTCAGGGCCAAAATCAGGAGGCGGTGATAATGCTGGTGGGGGGACAGGGCTGTGTGCTTGGCTTGGGGTGGGGCATGAGAGCCAAGGTTTGTCAGCACGCAGAGGGGTGGCTGACTCATGGACTAGGGGCTATGGAACCCAGAGGCTGCCCTTAGTTCCTGGATCCTGGGAGACTTCTGGAGCCTGGGTGTGGGGCAGCCTAGGGGTGGAGGTGGGGCAGACAGGGGTAGGGGTAGGGGTAGGACTTGCATGGCAGGGTGCAGGGTAGGAAACCAGCCAGGGGCCAGTTTGCATTGGCGGCTCCCATCCCCATCCCCACCCCCAAGCCCACCCCTACCCCCACCCTGCTGCAGAGATGGGCCTGGGCTGCTGTCCTCTGCTTTGGCCTCAGCAGATCACACGATGGAAGCTGGCAGCCCCGTGGGCACCACTCGAGCCAGCTGTGACCTGCAGTTTCTGCTTCCTGGAGTGTGGGGCGCCCACTCAGGAGAGCAGGGCATACCCCACACCCCTCATTTTGAGGATGCTGGGAGGTGGGGACCAAGGTCCTGCAGCCCTCTGCTTGCGCTATGAAAGGTAGCCTAGGAGTCCTGTGTCCGCCCATCCACGTGGGGCCCCAGGAGCCTGAACAGTGGCAGGCAGAGAGATGAGGAGGGTGAGAGAAGTGGAAAAGAAGGAGAGAGAAAGAGAGATGGGGAGAAGGGAGTGAGATAGAGAGAGAGAGGATGAGAGATAAGGAGAGAGACAGAGGAGGCTGAGAGGAAAAGGAGCGAGAGAGACAGGCAGAGAGACACAAAAGGCAAAGAGAGAGACAGGGAGAGACGAGCATGAGTAGGAGGTCGGATCACTCTCGATCCCAGTCCCCAGTGAAAACCGTAGGTCGCCATCACCTAACTACGCGTGCAATAAAGTCTTCTGCCTGCTGCTTACAGCCCGAGAACCCTTTTCCGAGAGAATAAAATCTTTGACCGTTGCCCTTTCTCGCCGGAGTTTGCTCGTGTCTTCTGATGAACTGTGATGTCTCACCTATCGCCTTCCTGGGCTCAAGGATCCACGAAAAGCCGACGACTCTTTTGGGGAGGCTCTGCAGTGCCTTCATCTCACTAGGCTCCCCAGGAAGCTTGCGAACTTGGCTTGAGCCCTAAGCAGCCGAGTATGTGCCGGGCCTCTGCTTCTCTCTTTCAGTAAGAGGGAGAACCAAGAAAGAGGCTGAAGCATGGTCTGCAGAGAAGGCACTTGTGCAAACACCAGGAGAATGAGGGGCCTGAGTTGTCTTCATTTCTCCTAAAAACACGCATTTCCTCCCAGGCCACCCTAGTGAGGGCATGAAGCACAGCGTGTGTGTGTGTGTGTGTGTGTGTGTGTGTGTGTGTGTGTGTTTGCAGGAATATGCATGTGTATGTGTGTGCATGTGTGTGTGTGCAGGTATATACATGTGAATGTATTTATGTATGTGCATCTGTGTGCATGTGTGTGTGCATGTGTGTGTGCAAGTATATGCATGTGCATGTATGTGCATGTGTGCGTGTGTGTGTGTGCGCCTGTATGTGTGTGTTGCAGGGCTTTACAGCGGACAGGATGTGGGAGGGCAGCTGCAGCTCCAAGCTGCAAGTCTTTCTGATAGAATGGTTAAGATTCCCTGGACCACAGAAAGAATGTTTTCATTTGCACCTATTTTTATTAGCATTTAAAGCTGTATTCTTCGTAGCATGTGAAGCTTAAGTTGCTTAACTATTCTTAGAAACATTTACACCAGCGGTCCCCAAACGTTTTGGCACCAGAGAGCAGTTTTCTTGAAGACAACTCTTCCACGGACCTGGGAGAAGGGGAAGGGATGGTGCAGAGATGATTCGAGCCCATTACATTTATTGTGTGCTTTATTTCTGTGATTATTTCACTGTAATATATAATGAAATAATTACACAACTCACCATAACATAGAATCAGTGGGAGCCCTGAGCTTGTTTTCCTGTAATTACGTGGTCCCACTTGGGGGTGATGGGAGACAGTCAGAGATCATCAGGCATTATGTTCTCATAAGGAGCACGCAATCTAGATCTCTGGCATGCTCAGTTCCCAGTTGGGTTCTATGAGAATGGAACGGCACCACTCATCTGACAGGTGGCAGAGCTCATGCGGTAATGCGAGGGATGGGGAGCGGCTGTTTCTACAGATGAAGCTTTGCTCCCTGGCTGGCTGCTCACCTCCTGCTGTGTTGTCTGGTTCCTAACAGGTGGGGACCCCTGATTTACCCAGTAAGAGAAACACATTTTTATGTCATTTGAAATTATTCACCCTGCACCACCCAAAATTATCTTGCATACCTACACCCATCCAGGGGTCCTGTAGCACACTTTGGGAGCTGTAGACAGTAAGCCTGGAGCTCCACTGAGCATTCCTTCTCTCCACCATCTGTGGGCTAACAGGCTGTGTTAGTTTCCTAGGGCTGTTTTACAGTACCACAGACTGGGCACCTTCAGCAACAGAATGTTACTGTCTCACAGTACTGGAGGCCGTGGGTCCAAGATCAAGGTGTCATCAGGGTGGGTATTTGTTTTCCACTGGACTGTTGATACATTCTTAGAAGGTTTTTGGTTGCTGTTCACGTTAATTTCTCTTCCTTTCTGCAATTGTTCTCTTTCAGTACTCCCTGATATTTTTCTTCTTGAAGAAGTAGCTAGTTAATTTTGTATTTTAAAATTCCTCCCCTCACCCCAAGAACTTCTACCTTCATAATTGGTTCTCTCTTCATATTTATTTTATACAAGTTATGTGGCTGATTACATTGTTTCTGTCTGTACAGATGGAGAGTTAAGGAATAAAGAGGACAGACAGACTAGATTACCTCAAACACTGAAATGCTATGATTTGTCCGAAGTCATACACGCATTATCTGACCAGACATATGTGCTTTTTCTCTAGAAGCATTTTGTCATTTTGAATCAAACAGGTCTTCTGAATCTACCTTAATGAAGTTGACAACTTTCAGAGGTTTTCAGTGGTGAAGAGAAACTTGGACAAGGAGATAACTTCCACAAACAGAAAAAGCCTCGTCTCTTCTGGATTCCTTTAATGCCAGTGGTCATCACCAGGGGCAGATTAGCCACCTTTTCCCTGGGCTGGGACCTCCACCTTCTCCTCTACAGGTGTATCACCTTAGAAATCTTCTGCATCTCACTGTCACCCAACACATTTTCTCCTTCCAAGCCTCTGCAGTCTCACGAGTTTGTCTGTATTTTTCTTCTTATAACCTGCCTTGCTACCCTAGCCAGCCTGGATCTCATAGGAGATTAATGGAAATACTCCCAACATTGGGCCTTTCCTGTGCCCGTCTTCCTGGTGTATCCTGGCAAAATGCCAGCCCAATCCACAGTCTGTTGTTCTACTTCTGTATCTGAAGGCTAAAGAAAAAGCACCTAGTCATACAGATTAACCCTGTTTTAATGTAACTATTCCATAATTTCAACCTCATCTGAGTACTCAGCCTTGCCTGATGCCTTTGCTTGCCCAGCCCTGTTTAGTTCTCTCATTCTCTTCAACATCTTTAGCAAATCTTCTCCTTCCCCGTCTTGACCTTCCTGTCTCTTCACCTGATACAGAGGTTCTTAGCTCCTACTTCGTTGACAATTTTAAGGTTTTGCTCTCTTCTGTAAATTGACCTATAGGAGTATCCTTCTTTACCCCTTTCCTGTGGTTTTCAGGGGATGGAATATTTGTCCTGAGAAGGCCAATACATCCATCGGACACGTGTCTCTATCCCCATTTGCTACGTAAGTATTTGACTTCAGCCATCCGGTACACTGGCTCTGTCTCTGGTTTACACCTGCTGTCTCTGTGTCAGCACTCATTTCCGCTTTAGCCCATTGACTTTTCCCTCACAACGCTACTGAACTTGTCAATAGGCACATCAGTGATCTCCTACATGCCAAGTCTCGTGGACATTTTTCTTCATGTTGTTTGACTGCTGCTCTGCCTGACTGGATATTATAATCTCCTTTCCTTGAAACCCTAGGCTACTGTAGCACTACACTTTACTGGTTCTCCGCTTACCTTCGTTACATCTCTTTTGTTTTTTTTTTTCCCGGATCCCTCCAGATGTGGCCTAGGAATCCTTTTAAACACAGTGCTCCAGGCAGAAGTTAGTTGGAGGTAGTTCACAAGATGCAATTTATTTGCCATCCACCCTTGCATTTCAACTCCATTATTTGTCCTTGCCATGCCTATCTATAAAAACACTTTCTCCTTCCCAGAGATGGCAGCTAACAAGACCTAGCAAAGAGAAATGGGAATTTTCATTCACAATTTCATAGGGAGAGCAATTGGTAAGATTATTTTACTGCCAAGGGTAATAAAATTAATGAGAGAGTTGAAGAAAGAGGCACGAATTCTGAAACTGTCTAGAACCATCTAAGAGGTAAAGCTGAGGAGTTTTATCCGTATTTGTAGGCTGTGATTATTTTCATAGAAGTACTCTCTGATTTATGGGTATGTCACTGATTACCACTAGAATTGCAGATTGGACACATTAAGCACATCAGCGTAAAAATCCTTGACATTTTGGCCGGGCGCGGTGGCTCACGCCTGTATTCTCAGCACTTGGGAATGCCGAGGTGGGCGGATCACAAGGTCAGGAGTGCGAGACCAGCCTGACCAACATGGTGAAACCCCGTCTCTACTAAAAATACAAAAGTTAGCCGGGTGTGGCGGCACGTGCCTGCCATCCCAGCTACTCGGGAGGCCGAGGCAGGAGAATTGCTTGAACCCGGGAGGTAGAGGTTGCAGTGAGCCAAGATCTCACTGCTGCACTCCAGCCTGGGCAACAGAGGGAGACTCTGTCTCAAAAAAAAAAAATCAAAAAAATCCTTGACATTTTAAAAATACCTCTGGCAGGGTTTCAGTGTAGTCATGATATTTAAAATATTACCATGATTTGTCAGTTTCTTAAGTATAATTTTGTTTAGTCGCACGTATGATAAGAACATACAGACTTCTTGCTGGGGGCATTGGCTCATGCCTGTAACGCCTATAATCCCCACTACTCAGGAGGCTGAGTCGGGAGGATTGCTTGAGGTCAGGACTTTGAGACTAGCCTGGACAATAGAGCAAGACTCTGTCTCTTACAACAAACATAATCATAAATAGATTTCTTGGTTTGTGGGGTTAACTTTTTAAATTTTCCTCTCATTAATTTGCCACATTTTTAAAAAATTTTTTGAGATGGAGTCTCACTGTGTCACCCAGGCTGGAGTGCAGTGGCACAATCTTGGCTCACTGCAACCTCTGCCTCTCAGCTTCGAGCGATTCTCCTGCCTCAGCCTCCCGAGTAGCTGGGACTACAGGCGTGTGTCACCACGCTCGACTAATTTTTTGTATTTTTTTAGTAGAGGTGGGGTTTCACCGTGTTAGCCAGGATGGTCTCGATCTCCTGACCTCGTGATCTGCCAGCCTCGGCCTCCCGAAGTGCTGGGATTACAGGCGTGAGCCACCACGCCTGGTCTAATTTGCCACTTTTATCTGACTAAGATACCTTAACTTTATTTATTCCTTGGATTGGTAATACAGTGAAATGATTAGGGCAGGGTTTTGAAACCAGAGAGATCTGGGTTCAAATCTTGGTGTGGGCTGTAGATGTTGGGGGCAATGGCCCTAAATCCTCTGACTTTCCAGTGATTTTTCAATGGGTAAAATAACCCTTACTTTGTGGAATGTTGCAAAGATTAGAGAGGATGTATATAAAATGTTTACCTATTACAGTGCTTGATATGTAGAAGATGAATTCTACAATTACACTGACCCATTTTGCTCATTGCGGCTTTAGAATAGAAAAGTATACTCATACACTAGAATTGTGCACCTAGAGCTAAGTGACTCCAGCCCTGTGGAACCCTTCAATGCCAAAATGGCGTGTAGGACTAGATAGATGAATGTCACCTGACTCTGTCTATTAAAACTCATTGTGTTGGGCCGGGAATGGTGGCTCACGTCTGTAATCCCAGCACTTTGGGAGGCCGAGGTGGGCGGATCACGAGGTCAGGAGATCGAGACCATCCTGGCTAACATGGTAAAACTCCGTCTCTACTAAAAATACAAAAAATTAGCCGGGCGTGGTGGCGGGCGCCTGTAGTCCCAGCTACTAGGGAGGCTGAGGCAAGAGAATGGCGTGAACCCGGGAGGCGGAGCTTGCAGTGAGCTGAGACCGCGCCACCACACTCCAGCCTGGGTGACAGAGCGAGACTCGGTCAAAAAAACACACAAAAAAAACCCCAAAAAACCAACCAAACAAAAAAAAACACCTCACTGTATTTTATTATTATTATTTTCGAGATGGAGTCTTGCTCTGTCGCCCAGGCTGGAGTGCAGTGGGGTGCAATCTCGGCTCACTGCAACCTCTCCCTCCCAGGTTCAAGGGATTCTCCTGCCTTAACCTCCCGAGTAGCTAAGATTACAGGCACCTGCCACCACGCCCAGCTAATTTTTTGTAGTTTTAGTAGAGATGGGGTTTTGCCATGTTGGCCAGCCTGGTCTCCAACTCCTGACCTCAGGTGAACCACCCGCCTCGACCTCCCAGAATGCTGGGATTGCAGGCATGAGCTGCCGAGCCTGGCCAAATCTGAAATACGTTTGATGCCAGGGTAGCCTTAGTGGAGTGAAATGCTTATTAACAATGAGAGTATTTGAAAAATATGAGATATACAATCATCAGAATTGAATGACCTTTCTAAGGAATGGTTTTATCCTAATTAAGTAATGATCAGAGTCGGGCGAGGTGGCTCACGCCTGTAATCCCAGCACTTGGGGAGGCTGAGGTGGGCGGATCACTTGAGGTCAGGAGTTCAAAACCAGCCTGGCCAATATAGTGAAACACCGTCTCTACTAAAAATACAAAAAAGTAGCGGGTATGGTGGCGCGTGTCTGTAATTCCAGCTACTCGGGAGGCTGAGGCAGGAGAATTGCTTGAACCCCGGAGGCGGAGGTTGCAGTGAGCCGAGGTCGCGCCACTGCACTATAGTCTGGGTGAGAGCAAGACTCCGTATCAAAAAAAAAAAAAAAAAAAAAAAAAAAAATCCGATTATAACATCTGTGAATGGAATAATTTGTAGACTCTTGGCATGCAAGAATTTGATGTTAGCTTTCTCAACTGTTTATGAACCGTAAAGGTTCATGATGCGTAAGTTCTGTTGAGATGGAAACTTGAACGCTGTGTGCGGTGGAGGCGAGGTTGAGGACTTCGCTTGGCGGATGAGTAAGCCTCACCCATCTGGACAGCAGCATTTACACTGCAACTTCACTTTTAACTTCGTATTTGCTGCTTGTTGTTATTTACGTGGTAACTAGCATGAATGATTCACATACACACATACGTATTCTTTGTCTCCTTGTGAAATATTACACCAAGGAGAAAACACCATTATGAAGCTAGTGATAGTAAAGTAGTCCCCAGACACAGTGCTCTTCAGTGCAAACGTTTGAAGTTTATGGAAGAAGCTCTGTGGCAGTAATAGCCATAAACTTTGGAATATGCAAAGATCTTGAAGTATATCTCTCACTTATACCAGGGATTTTTGTAGAGTAGAGAATTGAATTTTGAGCTTATGAGAGCTGGTAGCATTGGATTTTTTCGCTTTTTGTCTATCAATCCATTCATGCGGTATTTTTTTTTTTTTTTTTTTTTTTGAGATGGAGTCTGGCTCTGTTGACCAGGGTGGAGTGCAGTGGCCCGATCTGGCTCACTGCAAGCTCCACCTCCCGGGTTCACGCCATTCTCCTGCCTCAGCCTCAGGAGTAGATGGGACTACAGGCTCCTGCCACCACGCCCCGATAATTTTTTGTACTTTTAGTAGAGACGGGTTTTCACCGTGTTAGCCAGGATGGTCTCGATCTACTGACCCTGTGATCTGCCCGCCTCGGCCTCCCAAAGTGCTGGGATTACAGGTGTGAGCCACCGCGCCCGGCCACCATTTATGGGGTATTTTAAGATTTCATGTCAAAGCTCCATTTGTCTCAGATGGTACAATTGTCTGCCGTGTTGAAATAGGTGGTAACGCAAATTAATATTACCCTGAAACAAGACTTTATTTTATTTTTTATTTTTTAAATTTTTTAAAATTATACTTTAAGTTCTGGGATACATGTGCAGAACGTGCAGGTTTGTTACATGGGTATACATGTGCCATGGTGGTTTGCTGCACCTATCGACTTGTCGTCTAGGTTTTAAGCCCCACATGCATTAAGTATATGTCCTAATGCTATCCCTCCCCTTGCCCGCCATCCCCTGACAGGCCCTGGTGTGTGATGTTCCCCTCCCTGTGCCCATGTGTTCTCATTGTTCAACTCCCACTTTTGAGTGAGAACATGTGGTGTTTGGTTTTCTGTTCCTGTGTTGGTTTGCTGAGATGATGGTTTCCAGCTTCATCCATGTCCCTGAAAATGACATGAACTCATTCTTTTTTATGGCTGCATAGTATTCCATGGTGTATATGTGCCACATTTTCTTTATGCAGTCTATCCTTGATGGGCATTTGGGTTGGTTCCAAGTCTTTGCTATTGTAAATAGTGCTGCAATAAACATACATGTGCATGTGTCTTTATAGTAGAATGATTTACAATCCTTTGCATATATAGCCAGTAATGGGATTGCTGGGTCAAATGGTATTTCTGGTTCTAAAAGTCTTAAAATATCCTCTAAAGTAGATTTCAAAATACAACATACATGAGCCTGCAGGAGACCTGCTCACAGAAGGCATCTGTAATTTATAGGAAGATGATGCTGACACTAGATTAACCATGCATTTAGCACACCTCAGTTACAGTGAAAATCCAATTTTGTGCAAAAAGTGGGAAATAAATGGAGGCGTGTTTGCTTTACGAGAATTTATTTGATTTTTGTAAATAGAAAATGGTTTTATTACATGTAAAATATAATTTCAATTGGTCACTGTGAGGAATCGCCACAGTCTTTGGTAATGATGGAACTAATTTACACTCCCACCAACGGTGTAAAAGCATGCCTGTATCCCCACATCCTTTCCAGCATCTGTTGTTTCCTGACTTTTTAATGATCACCATTCTAAATGGCGTGAGATGGTATCTCATTGTGGTTTTGATTTGCATTTCTCTAATGAGCAGTGATGATGAGCTTTTTTTCATATGTTTGTTGGCCGCATAAATATCTTCTTTTGAGAAATGTCTGTTCATATCCTTCACCCTCTTTTTGATGGTTTTTTTTTCTTATAAATCTGTTTAAATTCCTTATAGATTCTGGATATTAGACCTTTCTCAGATGGATAGATTGCAAACATTTTCTCCCATTCTGTAGGTTGCCTGTTCCCTCTGATGATTTTTTTTTTTTTTTGCTGTGCAGAAGCTCTTTAAGTGTTTATTTTAATATTTGTGTAATAATGTCCAGTTTTACCAAGCAGAATGATCTACATAGGAGCTTTTATGCAGAACTCATTGTTCTTCACTAAGAGCTTGTTAGTCCAGTAGTAAAATCAAATCCATCCTCAGTTGCTATGTGGCTTTGTTAAACAGTTAAACTTGAGTTGGAGATGCTCTGCTATAGGGAGGAATTTTCGCTCCCCAGATGTGTTTGTATATAATATAATGTATTTTTCCCCTCTCCCCTGTGGAAACTTTGTGGAAAGATTATTTCAGTGTTAACCCTGATTGACATTTTAGTAATCGAACAAGTGTTTGTTACTCCTTTACTCATTCATTTATCAAGTGCTTAATGGGTGCCTTCTGGGTGCCAGACACTGCATTAGACTCTGGGGAATCAAAGATGAATCACACTTAGTCTCTACCCCCTGGGAATTTATTCTGGTTAGAGAAATTGTAAACACATAATCATGATCCTATGGGATATTTTTAAAGTATGAAATGAGATAATGTGTGTGAAAAAGCTTTGTAAGCTTCACACATTTAAGATTTTTTCTCCAGTGCATAGCATGATGTCTGACATATTTTAACTGCTCGTTACACTCTTGAATGAACTGGGGAAGAGCCAAGAGTTATGAGAGCAAAATACTAGAGTGTAGATGGATTAGTTCTGCCTGGATGGACAGGAGGGACGCGGAGGCTTCCAAGAATATAACTTTTGAACTGGACTTGGAAGTATAAGTTGTTTATGTTAAGAATCGAGAAAGGAGGTTCTGGGGGGACAGCTATCAGTCGTTAAAGTGCCTGGATTTAGATGGACCACAAATCTACAGGCTTATGCAGTTTACAAGATGCTTTTGTTTACAGTATCTCTTTTGAGCCTTATGACAGGTCCATGAAGTGAGTTCATACAACCAAGACAAGCCTTGACCAGAACCTGGGTTCTAGGGTGTAAGAGACAGCATCTGGCCAGTTTATTCTTTACACTTTCACAAATGTTATGATTGCTAATATTATTGTATTTCTATTATTACATTTGTGAAAGCATGGTTTTCTGAGTTACAAGTATATGAAAGACAAATGTGTACATGTAATAAAATACATAGTTTTCTTTTTTTCTTTTTTTTTTTTGAGACAGAGTCTCGCTGGGTCCCAGGCTGGAGTGCAGTGGTGCGATCTCGGCTCACTGCAATCTCTGCCTCCGAGGTTCAAGCTATTTTCCTGCCTTAGCCTCTCAAGGAGCTGGGATTACAGGCGCCTGCCAGCATGCCTGGCTAATTTTTGTATTTTTAGTAGAGCAGGGGTTTCACCATGTTGGCCAGGCTGGCCTCGAACTCCTGACCTCGTGATCCGCCCACCTCGACCTCCCAAAGTGCTGGCATTATAGACGTGAGCCACCGTGCCCAGCCATGGTTTTCTTCTGATTTCTGTAAAGCAGGTTAGCTTGTATTGATACATGAGGAGGTTTTTTTCAGAGGTTTCAAGAAACAAGCTAGAAAATGCTTCCATAATATTTCAAAGATTCTTTATGATTCAAGCAGTTTTTCAGGATTTTCAGTCCATTTAAACCATTTATCTAACAAACACTAAGTAGAAACTATGAGCTCTACATTCTCTTGTAAGCTTTCTTTTTCTGTTATAGTTGAGCAAATTTGTTGACATTTTTATTTTTATATTTATTTATTTATTTATTTTTGAGTCAGAGTCTCACTCTGTTGCCCAGGCTGGAGTGCAGTGGCACGATCTCAGCTCACTGCAAGCTCTGCCTCCCCAGTTCACGCCATTCTCCTGCCTCAGCCTCCTGAATAGCTGGGACTGCAGGCGCCTGCCACCATGCCCAGCTAGTTTTTTAGTAGTTTTAGTAGAGACGGGGTTTTACCGTGTTTGCCAGGATGGTCTCGATCTCCTGACCTCGTGATCCACCTGCCTCGACCTCCCAACATGCTGGGATTACAGGTGTGAGTCACCATGCCCGGCCCAGATGTAGCTCTTTTTTTTTTTTTTTTTTTGAGACGGAGTCTCGCTCTGTCGCCCAGGCTGGAGTGCAGTGGCGGGATCTCGGCTCACTGCAAGCTCCGCCTCCCGGGTTCACGCCATTCTCCTGGCTCAGCCTCCCAAGTAGCTGGGACTACAGGCGCCCGCCACTACGCCCGGCTAATTTTTTGTATTTTTAGTAGAGACGGGGTTTCACCGTTTTAGCCGGGATGGTCTCGATCTCCTGACCTCGTGATCCGCCCGCCTCGGCCTCCCAAAGTGCTGGGATTACAGGCGTGAGCCACCGCGCCCGGCCACCAGATGTAGCTCTTATGTTTAGGTCTTTGATCCATTTTGAGTCAATTTTTGTGTGCGGTGTAAGAGAAGTGTCCACCTACATTCTTTTGCATGTAGATAATGCAGTTTTCCCAAAATTATTTGTTGAAAAGAGTCTCTTTCCCACTGAATGATCCTGGCACTTTTGTTGAAAATCACTTCACCATATAAGCGAGAGTTTATTTTTGAACTCTCTATTCTCTTTCAGTGCTCTGTTTTTATGCCAGTACAACACTGTGTTTTGTTTTTGTTTTTGTTTTTTTGAGGTGGAGTTTCATTCTTGTTGCCCAGGCTGGAGTGTAGTGGCCTGATCTCAGCTCACTGCAACCTCTGCCTCCTGGGTTCAAGCGATTCTCCTGCCTCAGCCTCCCGAGTAGCTGGGATTACAGGCATGTGCCACCACACCCGGCTAATTTTTGTATTTTTAGTAGACACGGGGTTTCTTTATGTTGATTAGGCTGGTCTCAAACTCCCGACCTCAGGTGATCCGTCCGCCTCGGCCTCCCAAAGTGCTGGGATTACAGGCATGAGCCACCAAGCCTGGCAACACTGTTTTGATTACTGTAGCTTTGTAGTAAGTTTTGAAATCACGAAGTGTGATGTCTTCAAATTTATTCTTTTTCAAGATTGTTTTGACTATTTGAGGTCCCTTGAGATTCTACATGAGTTTTAGAATGTATTTTTTTTTAATTTCTGCAAAAAACATTCTTGGGATTTTGACAGGGATTTTATTGAATGTGTAGATTGCTTTGGAGTAGTAACATCTTAGCAACATTAAGGTGTTGCAATCCAAGAACATGAAATGTCTTTCCATTTATATATGTTGTCTTCAGTTTACTTCAGTAAAGTTTTATGATTTTTCTGTGTACAAGTCCTGCATTTTCTTCATTGCTGACTTATATATACTTGTTTTTTTTTTTTTTTTTTTCTGAGATGGAGTTTCACTCTTGCTGCCCAGGCTGGAGTGCAATGGCGCGATCTTGGCTCACGGCAACCTCCGCCTCCTGGATTGGAGCAATTCTCCTGCCTCAGCTTCCTGAGTAGCTGGGATTACAGGCATGCACCACCACGCCCGACTAATTTTGTATTTTTAGTAGAGACGGGGTTTGTCCATGTTGGCCAGGCTGGTCTTGAACTCCCGACCTCAGGTTCCTGGTGCTTCCTATTGCACCATCTTCCCAGAATCCTCTCCCTTCCTGTTGTGCTTTTATAGCCACACCTGCTTTCCTCCTGCCGCCAGACTTAGTCGTAACTGCTAATGTATTCCTCATTTTGGTAATTTTGTTATCTCAAGGATGTTATATAAATGGGATGATAGAACTTGTAATTTTCTGAAGGCCAGGTGCCTGGCTCACGCCTGTAATCCCAGCACCTTGGGAGGCTGAGGTGGGTGGGTTACTTGAGGTCAGGAGTTGGAAACCAGCCTGGCCAACATGGTGAAACCCTGTCTCTACTGAAAATACAAAAATTACAGGGATTAACCTGTAATCCCAGCTGCTTGGGAGGCTGAGACATGAGAATTGCTTGAACCCAGGAGGTGGAGGTTGCAGTGAGCCGAGATTGCACCACTGCACTCCACCCTGGGTGACAGAATGAGATTCTGGTCTAAAAACAAAACAAAACAAAACAACATGTAATTTTCTGGGATTGAGTTTTTTACACTAAGTTTAATTCCTTGGAGATTCCTCCGGGTTGTTGCTTAGTGTTTGTTACGGTTATACTGCACTTTGTTTACTTATTTGCTGAAAGATAATCTCAGTTATTTCCACTTGTAGGTTATTATGAATAAAACTGTTAGAAACATCACACAGGTTTTCATGTGAACGTAAGTCTTCATTTAGTAATGTTGATAGGTGGGTAGTGATATCTCATTGTGTGTATTATTATTATTATTATTATTATTTTTGAGACAGGGTCTTGCTCTGTTACCTAGGCTTTGAAGGGCAGTGTCATGATCATGTCTCATTGCCACCTTAACCCTCTGAGTAGCTGGGACTATGGGTGTGTGCTACACTACACCCAGCCAATGTTTTTAGAAATATGTTTTTGAAGAGATAAGGTCTTGCTATGTTGCTCAGGCTGGTTTTGAACTTCTGAGCTCAAGTCATGCTCCAGACTGGTCTCCTAAAGTGCTGGGATTACAGACCACTACACACACCTCATTGTGTTTTTAATACGTATTTACTTAGTGGCTAATGATGTTGACCATCTTTTCGGGTGCTTATTTGGTATCTTTTTTTAAAAATATGGAACACTTTAAGAATTTGCATGTCATCACTGTGCAGGGAGCATGCTAATCTTCTCTGTATTGATTCAATTTTGGTATATGTGCTGCTGAGACAAGCAGTAGTACCTTTATATATCCCCTGTTCATCACTTTTGGCTATTTTCTTTTTTTGAGACGGAGTCTCCCTATCTCTACTCAAAAACAATACAAAAATTAGCCAGGCATGGTGGCACATGCCTGTAGTCCCAGCTACTTGGGAGGCTGAGGCAGGAGAATTGCTTGAACCCAGGAAGCGGAGGTTGCAGCGAGCTGAGATTGCACCACTGTACTCCAGCCTGAGCGACAGAGTGAGACTCTGTCAAAAAAAAAAAAAAAAAGTATTCCACTCTTGCTGGGTGGAATGTCCTGTAAATGTCCATGGATCCAGTTAGTTCATGGGGTTGAAGTAAATACTCTTGCTGTGATCATATGTATAGTTTTAACAGTTGTTACAGAGAAATACTGAAGTCTCTATAGTGGATTTGTGTATTTCTTCATTCTGTTCCATCAGGTTTTCTTTCACAGATTTCGTAGTCTGGTTTTTTGCTGCATACACATTTAGGAATGTTATGTCCTCTTGGTGGATTGACCCCTCTCTCAATAAATAATTTCCTTCTTAGTCTCTAGTACTTTTTCTTTGCTCTGAAGTATACTGTTTCTGATATTAATATAGTCATCCACTTTTCCTTAGTGAATGGTTGCATCATATACCTTTTGAATTTTTTTTTTTTTTTTGCTTTCAATGTGCTTAGATTGTTATATTCGAAGTAAATGTCTTGTACACAAAACAGTGTTAGGTTATGTTTTCTTTCTTTCTTTCTTTTTTTTTTTTTTCTTGAGATGGAATCTTGCACTGTCACCTGGGCTGGAGTGCAATGGCGTCATCTTGGTTCACTGCAACCACCACCTCCCGGGTTGAACCAATTCTCCTGCCTCAGCCTCCCGAGTAGCTGGGATTACAGGTGCCCGCCACCATGCCTGGTTAATTTTTTATATTTTTAGTAGAAACCGGGTTTCACGATGTTGACCAAGCTGGTCTCGAACACTTGACCTCTTGATCTGCCTTCCTTGGCCTCCCAAAGTGCTGGGATTACAGGTGTGAGTCACTGTGCCTGGCCTTTTTTTTTTTTTTTTTTTGAGACACGGTCTTGCTCTGTCACCCAGGCTGGACTGCAGTGGCACAATCATGGTTTACTGCAGCCTGGACCTCCTGGGCTCAAACAATTCCCCCACCTCAGCCTCCCAAGTAACTGGGACCACACATGTGCACCATCACACCCGGCTAATTTTTTTATTATTTGTAGGGACGAGGTCTTGTTATGTTGCCCAGCCTGGTCTCGAACTCATGGGCTCAAGAGACCCTTCTGTCATGGCCTCCCAAAGTGCTGGCATTACAGGCGTGAGCCACCATGCTTGGCTGTAGGTTATGTTTTTTAAATCTAGTTTGTCAATCTTTGTCTTTTTCTTTTTTTTTTTTTTTTTGAGACGGAGTTCATCACTCTGTCACCCAGGGTGGAGTGCAGTGGTATGATCTCGGCTCACTGCAACCTCTGCCTAGTGGGTTCAAACAATTCTCCTGCCTCAGCCTCCAGAGTAGCTATTACAGGTGCCCACCACCATGACTGCCTAAATTTTTTTTTTTGTATTTTTAGTAGAGACAGGGTTTCACCATGTTGGCCAGGATGGTCTCGAACACCGAACCTCAAGTGATCTGCTCTCCTCAGCCTCCCAAAGTGCTTGGATTATGGTTGTGAGCCATTGCACCTGGCCAGTTTTTGTCTTTTATTTGCTGTTTTTAGGTATTTGGGTCATTTACATACTTACAGATGTTGTCAGAATCCTTTTTTTTTTTTTTTTTTTTTTTTTTTTGAGACAAAGTTTTACTCTTGCCCAGGCTGGAGTGCAGTGGCTCAATCTTGGCCTACTGCAACCTCTGCCTCCCGGGTTCAAGCAGTTCTTGTGCCTCAGTCTCCCAAGTAGCTGGGATTACAGGCATGTGCTACCACGCCCAGCTAATTTTTATATTTTTAGTGGAGTTGGGGTTTCACCATGTTGGCCAGGCTGGTCTTGAACTCCCGGCCTTAGGTGATTCACCCACCTTGGCCTCCCAAAGTGCTAGAATAACAGGTCTGAGCCACCACGCCTCGTTTTAGTTTTAGTTTTTTGATTGTTCTTTTTCCTGCTTTCTTTTGAGTTACTTGAACATTTTTGGAATCCCATTTTTCTTGTCGTATTTTTTTTCTACCCCAATTCACTACGCCAAAACCATTTTTCTTTATTGTATTTTATATCTGCTTATTTTAGTTCATTGATATGGTTTGGATATTTGTTCCGCTGAATTTTTTTTTCTTCTTTTTTGAGACAAACTTTCGTTCTTGTTGCCCAGGCTGAAGTGCAATGGCGTGATCTCAGCTCACTGCAACCTCCGCCTCCCAGGTTCAAGTGATTCTCCTGCCTCAGCCTCCTAAGTAGCTGGGATTACAGGCATGTGCCACCATGCCCGGCTAAGTTTGTATTTTTAGTAGAGACGGAGTTTGTCCATGTTGGTCAGGCTGTTGTTCTCCAACTCCAGACCTGAGGTGATCCACCCACCTCGGCCTCCCAAAGTGATGAGATTACAGGCGTGAGCCACCATGCCCGGCCTAAAAATTGTTTTTGGGAGGCCAAGGTGGGTTAGTCACCTGGGGTCCGGGGTTCAAAACCAGCCTGGCCAACGTGGCGAAAACCCGTCTCTACTAAAAATACAAAAATTAGCCAGGAGCGATGGCGGCACCTGTAATCCCAGCTGCTCAGGAGGCTGAGGCAGGAGAATCGCTTGAACTTGGGAGGCAGAGCTTGCCGTGAGCTGAGATCATGCCAGTGCACTCCAGCTTGGGCAACAGAGCGAGACTCCGTCTCAAGAAACAAACAAACAAAAAGCAACAACAAACAAACAAAAAATTTTTTCAGTTAATTCTGATGTATCTGTGAGATATTAGAATTAAGATATCTTGATGTTTGCATTTGTTTATTGCCTTTTTCCATTCAATTTGAAATCTTCTGGATTCTTCATATCTTTTTGGTATCACAAATAACTTTTGATTGAAACCTGGGCATTTTTGTGTTGTCATGAGACTATGCATCTTACTTAAACAACTGTTTTAGTTTTTTTGTTTGTTTTTTTTTTTTGGAGACCATCTTTATCACCCAGTCTGGAGTGCAGTGGCGCCATCTCTGCTCACTGCAACCTCCGCCTCCCAAGTTCAAGCGATTTTCGTGCCTCAGCTTCCGGAGTAGCTGGGACTATAGGCACCGGCCAACACGCCCAGCTAATTTTTATTTTTAGTAGAGGCGGGGTTTTGCCATGTTGGCCAGGCTGGTCTCCAACTCCTGACTTCTGGTGATCCACCCGCCTCGGCCTTCCAAAGTGCTGCGATTATAGGCGTGAGCCATCGCGCCGGGCCCTGTTGGGGATTCTTTTTTTTTTGGTCTGTGTTCATCGGTGTCCTGATGTACTCACTTCTTCCATTCCAGGAGTAGGATACATTAGGCAAAAAGAAGAATACCCAGGGAATTTACTGCTATATTGTGCCTTGTGTCCTGTGATCCTGAGCTAATTTGCCTTCTCTCCACCTTTCAGAGAATATTCGTTTTATTTACAATGTTCACATTTTAAATTTGTACTTAGTGGGAGGAATAGGGAAAAGTATGTCCATTCCATCGTCCCAGAAGTGTAAGTCTAACCTTTGATTTCACTGAGTGTGCCCTATTTTTCTGTTTTCTATTTCATTGACTTCTGCTCGATCTTTCTTTTGCTCTTCTAGTTTCTTAAGGAACAAGGTGAAGTCACTGATTTGTTTCTTTTCTAATATAGTCATGTAATTGTATAAATTTCTCTTTCAATCACTGCTTTAACTGTCTTAAAATACTTGATATATTTGTCCTTTTTTTACCCCTTGGTGTTATGGGTTATGTTATGTTATGTTATGTTATTTATTTTATATTTTGAGACAGATTCTCGCTCTGTCGCCCAGGCTGGAGTGCAGCAGCGTGATCTTGGCTTGCTGCAACTTCCGCCTCCCGGGTTCAAGCAATTCTCTGCCTCAGCCTCCTGAGTAGCTGCGGTTACAGGCGCCGGCTACCATGCCCGGGTAATTTTTGTATTTTTAGAAGAGACGGGGTTTCACCATCTTGGCCAGACCGGTCTTGAACTCCTGACCTTGTGATCCACCTGCCTCGACCTCCCAAAGTGCTGGAATTAGAGGCGTGAGCCACAGCTCCTGGCCCCCATTGGTTATTTTAAAAGTATGTTTTGATTTCAAATATGGGGATTGCCTATTGATTTTTTTTTCTGTCACTGATTTCTAAATATCATAGTGGTAAGAAAAAAATCATGATAAGACTTCAAACCTTTTAAATGTACCAAGAGTTGTTTTTTTTGGCCCGAATATGGTATATCTTGGTGAATGTTCCAAATGCACTTGAACAGAATGTGTATTCTGGTAGGTTGTGTAGAGTGTTCTAAAGTTAGTTAGGTCAGTTTGGTGTTATTCAAGCTTCTGTATCCTTACTGATTTTCTGTCTGCTGGTCTGGAATCTCTCTCTGTCGCCCAGGCTGGAGTGCAGTGGCATGATCTCGGCTCACTGCAACCTCCATCTCCTGGGTTGAAGCGATTCTCCTATCTAAGCTTCCCGAGTAGCTAGGATTACTGTTGTGTGCCACCACGCCCGGCTAATTTTTGAATTTTTAGTAGAGACAGGGTTTCACCATGTTGGCTGGGCTGGACTTGAATTGCTGACCTTAGGTGATCCGCCTGCCTCTGGCTCCCAAAGTGCTGGGATTACAGGTGTGAGCCACCACGCCTGGCCCACCCAGTTAATTTTTAAAACTCTTTTTGTAGAGACAGGGTCTCCCTGTGTTGCTCAGGTTGGTCTTGAACTCCTGTGATCAAGCAATCCTGTCTCGGCCTTCCAAAGTTCAGGGATAACAAGTGTCATTCACCATGCCTGGCCTGGTTCTATTACACAGAGAGGTTTGCTGAAATTTTAAAATATAATTGTGGATTCTTTCATTTCTTCTTACAGTTCTCTCATTTTTGCTTTATTTATTTTGAAGCCCTGTTATTAATAGGTAAATAAATGTTTAGGATTTTTGTGTGTTCTTGATGAATTAAACCCTTAATGTATATAAAATGATGCTCTTTTTTCCTGATAAAATTTTTATTTTTGTCCACTTTACATGATAGTATTATAACGATTTCAACTTTCTTTTGATTTTGTAGTGTGTAATAAGATCTTTTTCTTGGCTGCACTGGAATTTTAATTTCTGATTGTAGTCATTTTGGTCATGGTTTACCCTGTTTTTTGGAGATGGGCTTTTACTCTGTCACCTGGGCTGGAGTGCAGTGGCATAGTCATGGCTCACTATGGCCTTGACCTCCTTCTGCCTTAGCCTTCCTGAGTAGCTGGAAGGACCACAGGTGTGTGCCACTACCCGTGGCTAATTCTTTTTTTTTTTTTTGAGACGGAGTTTTGCTCTTGTTGCCCAGGCTGGAGTCAATGGCACGATCTTGGCTCACCCCAATCTCCACCTTCCGGGTTCAAGCAATTCTCCTGCCTCAGTCTCCCGAGTAGCTGTGATTACAGGCATGAGTCACCATGCCCAGCTAATTTTGTATTGTTGGTAGAGATGGGGTTTTTCCATGTTGGTCAGGCTGGTCTCGAACTCCCGACCTCAGGTGACCTGCCCACCTCGGCCTCCCAAAGTGCTGGGATTACAGGCGTGAGCCACCATGCCAGGCCATTTTTCATGTGTGTGGTGTGTGTGTGTGTGTGTGTGGGGGGGGGGTATGTATGTTTTTAGAGATGGGTTCTGCAGCGTTGCCCACACTGGTCTCGAACTCCTGGCCTGAGGCGATTTTCCCACTTTGGCTGCCCAAAGTGCTGGGATTACAGGCATGAGCCACTGCGCTCAGCCACTTTTCTTCATGTTTCTAGCGAATGATAATTCATTAAAAGAGTGCCTTGTTATATATGCTTATAATTTCCCTCAAATATGTGAAAAGTTGTTGGCCATGATTTCTAAAAAATTTTTTTCAATATTATCTCCTGTTTTGTGGCTCTAGTTACAAATATGTTTGGCCTCTTGAAGTTATTTCAATTATCACGTATTACATTTTTTAGTGTTTTTTTCTGTGTTTCATTTAGGTTAGTAATTTTGATTTCATGTGTTGCAAATTTCAAAGTGTATTTTTCATCTTAGACTTTGTAATTTTCATCTTTAGAAGTTCAAATTTTAAAAATAATTCATATTTTTACTTAATATGTTGTTTCTTCTAGCCTTCTCATCATATGAAATATCATCATAATTGTTTTAAAGGACTTGTCTACCAATTCTATTTTCTGTTTCATTTCAAAATTGGTTTGTTTTTTGTTTCATTATGGGGTATAATTTCCTGCTTCTATGTAAGTCTTATAAATTTGGATTGGCTTTTGAGCCAGTGTGAATTTTACCTTGTTTTCTAGTTTCTCTAGTTTTGTTTGCCTTTTAAAAATATTTGTGGACTTTGTTCTGTGGCATTATTAAGTTGCTTGAAAACAGTTTCTTTCTGTTGGGTCTTTTATGTTTTCCTTGATTGGACCAGGGTTGTGTTTAGGGTTAAATTTTTCCTCCTTCTGAAGCCTTTTCTTTCTTAGTATTCCAATGTCACATCTCCAATGTGATATAAATTATATCACGTCATTTCCTTTTGGACTTTTGGGTGTGGGTACTATACACATCCTTAAGTCAGTCCTGGATGCTATTACGTCTAATTGTTTTGGTGATTTCTCACCTTGCCCTTGGACAGCTCCTTTACATTGCAAGTGCTGATTTGTCATTCAACCAAAAGTTCTAGGGTGAGCCCTTGTAGATCTCTTCATTTCTCTCTCTCTCTCCAGCTCTCTACTCAGTGCTGGTCTCCCTTGTGAGCTCTAGGCACCTTGGCCTCCTTGGACTTCCAGCTCCATTTCCTCAACTTGGGGAGACGACAGGCTCTGCCTGGGTTCCTCCTCCCTGTTCCACGACCTGGAAAACTCTCTC
Organism: Homo sapiens; assembly: GCF_000001405.40. NCBI lineage: Eukaryota > Metazoa > Chordata > Mammalia > Primates > Hominidae > Homo > Homo sapiens. The sequence continues at coordinate 36,411,912 of NC_000017.11, forward strand.
AAGGCAGTAAGCTGGGCACACGTGTGGCCCGTTTGTTTTTTGTCTTCCAGGGATCACTGTCTTTTGTTACTTGTCCAATATCTTCAGTGCTGTTGTTTCATTCATTTTATTAGGTTTTTATTATTTCACGCAAGGAGGCTAAATCTGGTCCCCTTTATTCACTCCATCTTGACCAGAAGTGGTATCACTGTGGTTTGAATTTACATTTTCATGATAACTGGTGATATTGAGCACGTTTTAGCTTGTGTGTTGGCCATTTGTGTGTTCTCTTTTGTGATGAGTTTGTTCATTTTGCCTTTACTGTTCTTTGTTTTCGTTTTTCATCTATTTGAGTTGCAGAAGGTGTTTATATGTCCTAAATACTCATCCTTTGTTAGACAAATGTTTTGTAAATACTTTCCCCAAGTCTATGTGGTTTACCCATTTATTTATTTATTTATTTATTTATTTATTTATTTATTTTTGAGGCGGAGTCTCGCTCTGTCACCCAGGCTGGAGTGCAGTGGCGCGATCTCGGCTCACTGCAAGCTCCACCTCCCGGGTTCACGCCATTCTCCTGCCTCAGCCTCCCGAGTAGCTGGGACTACAGGCGCCCGCCACTACGCCCGGCTAACTTTTTGTGTTTTTAGTAGAGACGGGGTTTCACCGTGGTCTCGACCTCCTGACCTCGTGATCCGTCCGCCTCGGCCTCCCAAAGTGCTGGGATTATAGGCGTGAGCCACCGCGCCCGGCCTATTTATTTTAACTGTACCTTTTGATGAGCAGAAATATTTATATCTGCTAGGTTTAATTTATCAGTGTTTTCTTTTGTAGTTATTGCTTACTGTGAGCTAAGACACTTTTGCCTAACCTCAAAGTCTTGAAGGTAATTTCCTTTGTTTCCTGTAAAAGGGCTTGCTTTTGCTAATTTATATTTAGGTCTGTGATGCGTCTGAAGTTATTTTTGTAGGTCTGAGTTTTTTGCATGTGGCTATCCAGTTGTTTGTCACCATTTGTTGAAAAGAGTCTCCTTTTCTCACCGGGTTGCTTTGGGAACATCGCGTGGCTGCCTAAGTGGGATCTCTTTCAGAAATCTTTATTCTGCTTCAAAAATCTGTTTGTCTAGCCCTGTTAGAGTATTCGGATTATTTGGTAACTTTATATTGTCTTGAAGTCAGAATTGCAAGTCCTAAAACCTTTTTCTTCTTTTTCGAAGTTCTGCATACTCTACGTCCTTCACATTTCCGTATAAATTTTAATCATCTCTTTTCTGTCTTCTCCAAAAAAGGCTGATGGGATCATGATTGTAATTGTCTTGAATCTGTTGATCAGTTTGAGGAGAACTGACATCTTAACAACCACTGAGTCTTAGTCATTAGTATAGTATATCTCTCCATTTATTTAGGTCTTTTTTGTTTTGTCTGAGCAGTCGTTTGTTGCTTTTAGCCTTTGGTCTCGCATGTCTTCTGTTTTTAAAATTACTTATTTTTTTTCCTTTTTGTTGAGACAGAGTCTCACTCTGTCGCCTAGCTGGAGTGCAGTGGCCCAGTCTTGGCTCACTCCATCTCCTGGGTTCAAACAATTCTCCTGCCTCAGCCTCCCAAGCAGCTGGGATTACTGGCATGTACCCTAAGCCCAACTAATTTTTATATTTTTAGTAGAGATGGGGTTTCACCCCGTTGGCCAGGCTGGTCAACTCCTGATCTCAAATGATCTGCCTGCTTCGGCCTCCCAAACTGCTGGGATTACAGGCATGAGCCACCACGCCTGGCCTAAAATTATTTTTATTTTTAAGTATTTTGTCTTTTTTTGATGCTATTTGTATTTTAAAATATTAAATACTTTTTCAGCAATTATGAAGTATTATAAAAATTTCTAATTTTTTGTTGGAAATAGAATTTTTGTATATTGACCCGTTTCTTACAACCTTAAGTCATATTAATTCTACGAGTTTTTTTAGGTACATTTCTTAGATTTTTCTAATAGATGATTGTCATAAAACACAGTTTTATCTCTTTTTTTCCCTAGTTGTAATGCCTTTTATTCTCTTCCCTCACAGAATTGACTTAATCTTGTTTTCATTCTTTGAATACAGCATTCAGTGTTACACCACTAATTATAAGTCAGCTGTAGGGGTTTTATTGATGAACTTTATCAGATTGTTTTCAAATATAGGTTTTATTACTGTTTAGATATGACAAGGACAACAGAACCCAACATAACTGCCATTGAAAAGATAGTTATAGTCACAGACCCTAAGAGGAATAATCATGCCATGCCATGGAGAATACACAGTTGAGTAAGGTCTAGCCCTAGCTTCCTGAGGGTTTATGTCCTGAATGGATATTGAGTTTTCTCAGAAGCTTTTTCTGTATCTATTGAGATAATGCTATATATTTAAATATATTAATGTAAATTTCATTGTTTTATTTTCAAATGTTATACTAAATGCCATTTGGTGTCATGGTGTATTATTATTATTATTATTTTTTTGGAGATGGGTACAGTGGCACAATCTCTGCTCACTATAACCTCCGCCTCCTGGGTTCAAGTGATTCTCCTGCCTCAGCCTCCGGAGTAGCTGGGATTACAGGCACGTGCCACCATGAGCAGCTAATTTTTTTCGTGGAGACAAGGTTTCACCATGTTGGCCAGGCAGGTCTCCTGACCTCAAGTGATCCTCCCGCCTTGGCCTCCAAAAGTGCCAGGATTACTTTCGTAATCTGTGTGAGCCATCGCAACTGGCCTATTCCTCTTAATATATTGTTGGATTTAAATTGCTAATAGTAAATATTTGCGCATCTTTGTATGTGAGGGATTTTGGTGTAACCTTGCTGCTTTTTGTCAGGTGCTGGTATTTTTGGCATATGCATTGGTATTCTTCATGCTCAACTTAGAAAATGATTTGGGAAGCATTGTCTTCTCTGTTTTCTGGAAATGTTTGTGTGAGATTGATGCTATTTTTTCTTTAGTGTTTGAAGGAACTTATCAGTGAAAAAATCTGAGTCTAGAGTTTTCTTTTTGGAAAGGATTTTGATAATTCAACTTAAAATGCTTCTCAGATATTCTGTTTTATCAGTTTTGATAAGTTTTGTTTTCAAAGAATTTCTTCTTTTCATCTCAGCTGTTGAATTAGTTAGCATGAAGTCATTAATAATAATCTTTGGCCCTCAATACCTTTGGGATCGTAGAGCTAATTCCCCTTTTATTCTTGGTAATTTGTATTCTTCCTCTTTAAAAATAAATTAATTTCGCTTGCAGACTGTCAACTTTGTAGGTCTTTCCAACGTGTTACCAGAAGGGGTCCCAATCCAGACCCCAAGGAGAGGTTCTTGGATGTCATGCAAGAAAGAATTTGGGGCGGATTCATCAAGTGAAAGCAAGTTTATTAAGAAAGTAAAAGAATAAAAGAATGGCTAGTCCATAGGCAGAGCAGTGCCATGGGCCACTGGTTTCCCATTTTTATGAGTATTTCTTGATTGTATGCTAAACAAGGGGTGGATTCTTCATGAGTTTTCTGGGAAAGGGGTGGGCTATTCCCAGAACTAGTGGTTCCTCCCCTTTTTAGACTATATAGGGTAACTTGCTGGCATTGCTATGGCATTTGTAAACTCATGGCGCTTGTGGGAGTGTCTCTTAGCATGTTAATGTATTATAATTAGTGTATAATGAGCAGTGAGGATGACCAGAGGTCAGTTTTATCACCATCTTGGCTTTGGTGGGTTTTGGCCCCCTTCTTTATTACAACCTGTTTTATCAGCAAGGTTTTTCTGTCTTGTATCTTGTGCCAGCCTCCTATCTCATTCTGTGACTTAGAATGCATGACTTACTGGGAATGCAGCCCAGCAGGACTCAGCCTTATTTGACCCAGCACCTGTTCAAGATAGAAGCACTCTGGTTCAGAGGTCTCTGACAAAAGGACCAGCTTTGACTTCAAATTTTCTGTTACTTTTCTGTTTCATTTCTTCTGCTCTTATTTTTACTATTTCTTTTTTTTTTTCTACTTACTTTGGGTTTACTTTACCCTTTTATATATAGGTTCTTTAGGTAGAACCCTACATATTTTATTTTATTTTATTTTATTATTTTATTTTATTTTATTTTATTTTATTTCATTTCATTTCATTTCATTTCATTATTTCATTTCATTTCATTTCATTTCATTTTATTTTATTTTATGACAGAGTTTTGCGCTGCCACCCAGGCTAAAGTGCAGTAATGCAATCTTGGCTTACTGCAACCTCCGCATCCCAGGTTCAAGCGATTCTCCTGCCTCAGCTCAGCCTCCTGAGTAGCTCGGATTGCAGCCATCCGCTACCACGCCCAGCTAATTTTTGTATTTTTAATAGAGAAGGGGTTTCACCATGTTAGCCAGGCTGGTCTTGAGCTCGCGACCTCAGGTGATCCGCCTGCCTTGGCCTTCCAAAATGCTGGGATTACAGCCGTGAGCCACCGCACCCGGCTGCTAGGTCATTCATTTCATATCTTTTTTTCTAATGTGGTTAGGGAACATAATCTGTATGATTCCCATTATTTTCATTCTATTGTGTCCAGCTTTGTGGCTCAGTATGTGGTCTTTCATGGGGAATGCACCAAGTTTACCTGAAAAGAATGTTTATAGTGGTTTTAACATTGCTAGATGATGATGATGACTATTATTATTTGGTCTGGTTTTGTCAATCACAAAGAGGGATGCTAAAATATCTTACCATGTTTGGGGCACTGAGTATTCTGACTGTTTATGCCTTATGCCAAATTTTCCTTCATGTATTTTGAAGCCTTGTTTTTAGGTGCATACATTTATAATTATTATGACTTCTTCATTGTCTGACTTACTGTGAAATGTCCCTCCCTCTCTTTACTATGTAGCCACTCACCATCTTTTTGTTGTTGTTTGTTTGTTTGTTTGTTTTGAGATGGAGTTTTAATCTATCACCCAGGCTGGAGTGCAGTGGTGTGATCTCGGCTCACTGCAGCATTTGCCTCCCAGGTTCAAGCAGTTTGCCTGTTTCAGCCATCCTAGTAGCTGGGATTATAGGTGTGTGGCACCATGCCTGGCTAATTTTTGCATTTTTAGTAGAGACAGGGCTTTGCCATGTTGGCCAGGCTAGTCTCAAACCCCTGGCCTCAAGTGATCAAGTGCCCGCCTCGGCCTCCCAAAGTGCTAGGATTACAGGCATGAGCCACCGCGCACCCAGCCTATCCATTTACTTTGGACCTGTTTGTGTCTTCCCTTAAAGTGTGTTTCTTACAGACACCTTGTGATTGAGTTTTACTTTTCTATGTGTGCTAATACACTATTTTTTTTTGAGAGTCTCTACGTCACTACAATCAATTTTAGAACACTTGGATCCCCTCAAAAAGAAGCCCTTTGGCCCATTAACAGTCACTCTCCATTACCCTACTTGCCCAGCTCCTGGCAATCACTAATCTTCATTCTGTCTCCATCCCTATTTGTCACATTTCATATAAATGGAATCATTTGGTGTATTGTGAGTGGCTTCTTTCTCCTAGCATCATGTACAAGCATTTGTTTTGTAGCATTTATTAGAACTTCATTCCTTTTTGTTGTCAAATAATATTCTATTGCATGGCTATACTACATTTTCTTTACTCATTCATTAATTGATAAACATTTAGGTTGTATATACTTTTGCAATATTATGAATAATGTTATTATTATGAACATTTGTCTGCAAATCCAGACATTTGTTTTCAATTCTCTTGGGCCTAGGATTTTTGTTTCATGCTGCAACTCTGTTTAACCTTTTGAAAAACTGACAAAGAGGCTGTAACATTTTAAATTACCAGCAACAATATATGAAGGTTTTAATTTCTCCATCTCTTTGCCAACATTTTTTATTGTTTGGCTTTTGATTTTAGCTATCCTACAGGGCATGAGGTAGTATCTCATTGTGGTGTTGATTTTTACTTATCTTTTTTCATTATATTCTTTTGTAGACAGAGTCTCACTCTGTTGTTCAGGCTGGAGTGCAGTGGTGTGATATCTTGGCTCACTGCAACCTCTGCCTCCCGGGTTCAAGCGCTTCTCCTGCCTCAGCCTCCTGAGTACCTGGGATTACAGGTGCCCGCCACCACGCCTGGCCAATTTTTGTATTTTTAGCAGAGACGGAGTTTCACCATGATGGCCAGGCTAGTCTCAAACTCCTGACCTCAGGTGATCCCCCTGCCTAGGCCTCCCAAAGTGCTGGGATTACAGGTGTGAGCCACCGTGCCCGGCCCCTTTGTTCAATTTTTAACTGGGCTGTATAGCTTTTTATTTCTGAGTGGAAGAGCTCTGTATTCTGGATACAAACTACTTATCAGACATATGACTTGTAAATATTTCTTCCATCCTTTTACTTTCCTGATGATTTTGTTTGTAGCAAAAAAGTCTGTAGGTTTGGTAAATTCTAGTTATTTTTTCTTTTGTTGCCTCTACTTTTATCTAGTGTTATGTCTAAAAACTGTTGTTCAACCAAGTCCTAAAGACTTACCTCCTATGTTTTTTTCTAAAGTTTTATTGTTTTAGCTCTTACATTTAGGTCTGCGATTCACTTTTGAATTAATTTTTTAATATCAGGAAGGGTTTCAACTTAATTCTTTGGCACATTTCTCTAGCAATTTAAATATATTTCTTTACTCTTTTCAGTCTGTTTTTATAGTATTACCACTTCTGACTAATATTGTACAAGTTGTAAAGTATACAAAGCTTGTAAGTTGTTCTTTTATATCACCTCTGTTTGTTGTCAGTTATGCTATTGTCATGTGTGTTGGAACTATGTACATTATAAGCCCCAGAAAACAACAATGTAATTTTGGCTTTCAATAATCATGTAATGTTAAGAACTTAAGAGCTAAAAGTCATCTAAGTTTACCCAGATATTTACCATTTGTGGTAGTCTTCTTTGTCTTCTGAAGATTTGCATTTTCTAGCATCATTTCTCTTAATCCTGAAGAATTTCTTTAGCCTTTCTTGCAGGGCGTATCTTTTGGTGATAAATTGTGCTTGCTTTCTTTTATCTGAAAGTATCTATTTCACCTCTATTTTTGAAGGGCATTGTGGTTGGATATAGAATTCTGTGTTGACAGTGCCTTATCTTTTAGCAAGGGGTATTTTAGTTTATTTTCTTTTGGCTTCCATATTTTATGATGAGAAATCTGCCGTTTATCCAGTCATGGTTCCCTCTGTGTAATGTGACATTTTCTTTTGGTGCTTCAAGAGTTTTCCCTCTGTGTTTGCTTTTTAGCAAGGCATTTGACTATTCGAGGTTTGCTGAGATTCCTGAATCTGTGGATTTGTCTTTTTTCAAATTGAAGAAAATTTCAGCCATCATTTCTTCAAAAGTTCCTTTCCTGCCTCATATTCTTTCTGTCTTCTTTTTTAGGCCTTTGGTTATGTATGTAAGACCTTTTGGTACTGTGCTGTAGGTCCCTGAAGCCCTGTTTTTTGTTTGTTTGTTTAACCTCTATTTTCTCTTTCAGATTAGATTCTTTTTTTTTTTTTTTTTTTTTTGAGACAGAGTTTCACTCTTCTTGCCCAGGCTGAAGTGCAATGGTGGGATCTCAGCTCACCCCAACCTCTACCTCCTGGTTCAAGCGATTCTCCTGCCTCAGCCTGCTGAGTAGCTGGGACTACAGGTGTGTGCCACCACACCTGGCTAATTTTGTATTTTTTAGTAGAGATGGGATTTCTCCATGTTGGTCAGGCTGGTCTCAAACTCCTGACCTCAGGTGATCCACCCATCTCGGCCTCCCAAAGTGCTGGGATTACAGGTGTGAGCCACCGCGCCTGGCCTCACATTAGATTCTATCTATCGATGTAGCTTCAAGTTCACTGACTCTTTTGTCATCTCAGATTTGTTGTTGTGAAGCTTGCCGAGTGAAATTTTCACTTCACATGTTGTATTTTTAGTATTTAAAAAATTCTATCTTTTTTTTTTTTTAATTTGAGACCGAGTCTTGCTCTTTTGCCCAGGCTGGAGTGCAGTGGTGCGATTATATTACTGCAGCCTCAAACTCCCAGGCACAAGTGATTCTCCTGCCTCACCCTTCTGAGTATTTGGGACTGCAGATTGGTGCTACCATGCTTGGCTTATGGTTTCTTTTCTTTTTTTTTTTTTTTGTTGTTGTTGTTGCTGAGACACCCTGTTTTATTATAGGTTTATCTTTGGTGGGCAGACTTGATTAGCATTTAGCGACATTTTTCTATAAAATTTCACATTATAGACCAGGCGCGGTGTCTCACGCCTGTAATCCCAGCACTTTGGGAGGCTGAGGCGGGCAGATCACGAGGTCAGGAGTTCGAGACTAGCCTGACTAACACAGTGAAACCCCATCTCTACTAAAACTGCAAAAATCAGTCGGGCGCGGTGGTGTGCACCTGTAACCCCAGCTACTCAGGAGGCTGAGGCAGGAGAGTCGCTTGAACCCGGGAAGTGTATGTTGCAGTGAGCCGAGATTGAGCCACTGCACTCCAGCCTAGGTGACAGAGTGAGACTCCATCTCAAAACAAAACAAAACAAAAAAACACTTCACATTATAAAGGAAATGGTATAGTTTGCAATAGAGGAAAGAAATCACTCATAATCTTACCATCCTTACCACAGTCTTATTAATATATTTTGTGGTTTTTTTTTTTTTTTTTTTTGAGACGGAGTCTTGCAGTGTGGCCTGGGCTGGAATGCAATGGCGCCATCTTGGCTCACTGAAACCTCCGCCTCCTGGCTTCACGCGATTATCCTGCCTCAGCCTCCCCAGTAGCTGGGATTACAGGCGCACACCAAGCCTGGCTTATTTTTTTTTGTATTTTTAGTAGAGATGGGGTTTCACTATGTTGGTGAGGCTGGTCTCGAATTCCCGACCTCATGATCTGCCTGCCTTGGCTTCCCAAAGTGCTAGAATTACAAGCGTGAGCCACTGTGCCCAGCGTATTTTGTGTATTTTCTTTTAATGTTCAGTGAATTTTTATTTTATTATAATTTTTTTTTTGAGACGGAGTCTCCCGCTGTCACCCAGGCTGGAGTGCAGTGGTGCGATCTCGGCTCACTGCAACCTCCGCCTCCCGGGTTCACGCCATCCTCCTGCCTCAGCCTCCCGAGTAGCTGGGACTACAGGCTTGTGCCACCACATCCGGCTACTTTTTTGTATTTTTAGTAGAGATGGGGTTTCACCATGTTGGTCAGGATGGTCTCGATCTCCTGACCTTGTGATCTGCCTGCCTTGGCCTCCCAAAGTGCTGGGATTACAGGCGTGAGCCACTACTCCCGGCCAGATCTTTTTTTTTTTTTTTTTTTTTGAGATGAGATCTTACTCTGTCACCCAGGCTGGAGTTCTGTGGTGTGACCTCAGCTCACTGTAGCCTCGACCCCCTGGGCTGAAGTGATCCTCCGACCTCAGCCTCCCTAATAGCTGGACTATAGTCTCACGCCACCATGTCCAGCTAATTTTTTGTATTTTTAAGTAGAGATGGGTTTCACCATGTTGCCTAGGCTGGTCTTGAACACCTAACCTCAAGTGATCCACCTGCCTCGGCCTCCCAAAGTGCTGGGATTACAAGTGAGAGCCACTGCAGCCGGCCAGACTTTTATAAAAGTTGTATGGTTATAAATGGTTATATAAAATATCTTTGTGCATACATTTTCATGTCTTGAAGATAAAGTATATAAATGATATAAAAGACACAAAGGTAATTTATACATGCTATATCTTATATTATTTGCTTTGGCTCTCTAAAAGTGAAGCAATTAAATCAGATTTTTTTCCTTGATTCTTATTGCTTAACTGCTGTCCAAAAGAATAGGATTATGGTGTCATCGAAATTATATAAAAATGAATTTTGAGTTTTTTTTTTTTTTGACAGAGTCTCTCTCTGTCGCCCAGACTGGAGTGCAGTGGCGTGATCTCGGCTCACTGCAACCTCCGCCTCCCGGATTCAAGTGATTCTCGTGGCTCAGCCTCCTGAGTAGCTAGGATTACAGGTGCCTGCCACCACTCCTGGCTAAATTTTTTTTTTTGAGACGGAGTCTTGCTCTGTCGTCAGGCTAGAGTGCAGTGTTGGGATCTCAGCTCACTGCAACCTCCACCTCCCAAGTTCAAGTGATTCTTCTGCCTCAGCCTCCCGAGTAGCTGGGACTACAGCCATGTGCCACCACACCCAGCTAATTTTTGTATTTTTTTTTAGAGATGGGGTTTCACCATGTTGGCCAGGATGGTCTCGATCTCTTGACCTTGTGATCCATCTGCCTTGGCTTCCCAAAGTGCTGGGATTACAGGTATGAGCCACAGTGCCAGGCCTAATTTTTGTATTTTTAGTAGTGACAGGGTTTCGCCACGTTCGCCAGGCTGGTTTTGAACTTCTGACCTCATGTCATCCGCCTGACTTGGCCTCCCAGAGTGCTGGAATTACAGGCATGAGCCATCACGCCTGGCCTATTTTTTAAAATTAAGACCTTTTTTTTTTTTTTTTTTTTTTTTTTGAGACGGAGTCTCGCTCTGTCGCCCAGGCCGGACTGCGGACTGCAGTGGCGCAATCTCGGCTCACTGCAAGCTCCGCTTCCCGGGTTCACGCCATTCTCCTGCCTCAGCCTCCCGAGTAGCTGGGACTACAGGCGCCCGCCACCGCGCCCGGCTAATTTTTTGTATTTTTAGTAGAGACGGGGTTTCACCTTGTTAGCCAGGATGGTCTCGATCTCCTGACCTCATGATCCACCCGCCTCGGCCTCCCAAAGTGCTGGGATTACAGGCGTGAGCCACCGCGCCCGGCCGAGCTTGGCATTTTTATCTACCTCATTCTACCGATGAGGAGGCCGAGTCTCAGAGAGTTCACAGACCTGCCTAAGGTCACTCAGCTAGAGGTGATACAACCAGGGTTTGAACTGAGATCTGCCAAGCTTCTGAGTTTATTCTTTTTCCCCCACACCAAGGATCCTCAATTCTGCCTTACTGACATCAGGATCCGGTCAATTCTTTGTGATGGGGGCTGTCCTGCACCTGGCAGGATGTTTAGCAGCTTCTCTGGCCTCCACCCACTGGATGCCAGGGGAATGCAGAAGAGGCTTGTTCATTCTCCCATTTAATCCTCAGGACAATATCTGACATAAATGTTACGTCTTTTATTTTATAAATGAAGAAAATGAGACTCAGAAAGGTTTAAGTGAGTTACTTAAGAACACACAGACAGCAAGAGGTAGAACTGGAAACCGAACACAGGTGTCCACATGGGACAACAAAAAAGTTCACGTTCCATCTTCTTTTGAGTCTCTCATTTCAATAATGACCATTGTGTGGATATGAGCTGAAGTACAGGAAACCTGGGGCTGAACTCTCCTCCCATCAGGCCTAGGAGCCCCAGACCAGAACCCCAGCCCAAGGTCTCCCAGTCAGGCCCGCTGGCGTGAGCTGGCATCTACACTAGCATGGTCTCCCAAAGCTGCAGGGATGCCAGTCTCGCCGCTGATGAAGAAAATGAAGGGCATTTGCTTCTCATGCAGGCTGTCGGGATTTAACACAGATTCCTTTTCTTGCTGTCTTCTCCCATAGCACAAAACTGGGTGGTCCATCCCCCTCCCAGTGTCCCAAGGCTTTGTTGCGTGTTCTCTTTAATTTCTCCCACTCTTGTGGTGCACCCTACCCTCATCTCCCTGGCAACCTTTCTGCTGTATCCTCTCGACACCTGGATCACAAGAACACTTGTGAGACCCCTTAACAAGTTACATCCCAAATTATCATTCCCCTTTGTCCTCAGCCAGTGCTCAGGTCCAACTTGCTCTCCTGGGGTGACTTTCTTTCCTGCCCAATATGGTTTCATCATCTGTAAATTGGGGATAATTAAAGTCTTGATCCTGATATTTGACTCTCAAAGCAGAAGTAGCAAGCTCAGCCAAGTCACTTCAACAAGAGGAGAAGTTCCTTGTGAACCAAAAGGGCACTGGTCACAAGGGCCGCTCCTTCTTCTGTCAGGCCTCTCCAGCACACCCTTGGCTCAGCCAAAGAAGAGACTCAGGCTGTGCTTCTGCACTGTTGGGATAACATAGGCCTCTTCCATGTGGTTCCACACCAGGAACATGGGGACAATCAGACCTCTCCCAGTGTGGGCATAAGGATACAAGATCATGTCAATATTGACATTCATAATGGCTGGGCGCAGTGGCACACGCCTGTAATGCCAGCACTTTGGGAGGCTGAGGTGGGCAGATTGCTTGAACCCCAGAGTTCGAAACCAGCCTGGGCGACTTGGCAAAACCAGTCTCTACTGAAAATACAAAAAATTGGCTGGGCTTGGTGGCGCACACCTGTAGTCTCAGCTACTTGGGAGGCTGAGGTGGGAGGATTGCTCAAACCCAGGGAGGTTGAGGCTTCAGTGAGCTATGATGGCACTGCTGTACTCCAACCTGGGCAACAGAGTGAGGCCCTGTCTCAAAACAAAAACAAAGACAAAACAACATTCATAATAGTAGCAATAGCTACTATGTGCCAAGCCCAGGCACCTCTTTGAGTCTTTGCTGGCACTCTATCAGGTAAGCGTGCTTAGAAGTTACACGAAGCCCACGGCTCAGTGTTTGGCCCATGGTAAAGGCCTAAAAAGGGATAGCCCCAGTGGTGGGGATGCTGCTGCTGCTGACCATTAACCCCAGTCTGCTCCACCTTCTTCCAGGCAGTCTGTGAGATGTTTCATGTCCGAGGCAAACAGCACATTCAGATCCCCAAGCTCTACACCTCCAGTGTGACCAGGCACCTGCACCACTTCAGGCTCATGCAGGACTCACAGCCTTTGGACCTCAGCTAAAGGACTTGCTTCTCTTCAGCACACGGGGCTTGTTTGTGTTGGGGTCTGAGCCCTGAGCCCATGGTCAAGGAGACCCCCAGGTCTTTCTGAACAGAGACAGCTGGCCTGGGGGCCTCCCTCTCACTGCGTGCAAGAGGCTGTTAGGGTGCAAGACTCAAGGCGCTGAGGGAGGCTGTTTCAGGAGGGAGCCCCAGGAGGGTGGTGGAGACAGAAGGGGGCAGCATCTGCCAAGGCCCTACTGTGTGCCTGGCACCGTGTGGGGTTTCTGGCCCATATGGGCTAAGTGACCCTGCACACTCCTCTTAGGAGAGAGGCTCAGATGGAGAAATTGCAGTTCAGGAAGGTGAAGCAAGCTGCTAGCCTGTGGCCATGTTGGGATCTGGGCCTCAGCCTTCCAGCCACGAAGGCAGCCAAGTGTCATGAAGAAGGCATCACAGAGGCAATTCCAGGCTGTAGTGGTGAACTTTCCACTCTGCATCCCCGGGTGCTGTGCCCTGTGCCCTGTCTAAGGTAGCCCTGTGGGTTTCTATATGTTTAAATTGTCCCCAGCATCAATGATGCTCTCCTGTGGATCCCAAGCCATGGAGATGTCCTGGGACTTTTCATTTTTAGGTACCTAAATTGAATTTCCCAACACACAGAAGCAAGACAGCCGCCCTAACAGACTCTTGCATGCAGTGAGAGGGAGGCCGCCAGGCCAGCTGTCTCTGTTCAGAAAGACCTGGGGGTCTCCTTGACCATGCGCTCAGGGCTCAGACCCCAACACAAACAAGCCCCGTGTGCTGAAGAGAAGCAGGTCCCTTAGCTGAGGTCCAAAGGCTGTGGGTCCTGCATGAGCCTGAAGTGGTGCACGTCCCTGGTCACATTGGAGGTGGAGAGCTTGGGGATCTGAATGTGCTGTTTGCCTTGGATCTTTATTTGTGATTCAGAAACAGTGGAATAAAAGGAAAGGAAAGAAAACCTGAATGGCCACCTCAGCAGGATGCTCCAAGGGTAGTGTCCAGGTGGCACTGACTCAGATATGTGGGGGCTTCCCCCACCCATGCTCAAGAGCCACTTTGCCATTTCACCATCTCTCTGTCCTCCACACCCCTCAGCAGCAAGCACAACAAGAATGTGTTCACCATGAAGCTCAAATCTCAGCAGAATCTAGAGTCTGAAATCCAAGTAAGGGAAAGTGTAGAGCTTCTTGGATGATGCCCTGTCAATTTTATTTTAACGAATGAAAGACCAGAAGAAGTCAGTCTTGAAAGGAGAGGACAGGAGCATCTGCTGGCATTAGCAGCCGTGCCATCGTAGGACCGACTCACCTGGACCCGCGGCCACCTGTGCTTTTACATCTAGTCTTGGTTAACCATGGGCCACTTTTCCAGCTTGGAAACTAAGCATATGCTCCACTTCCTCTCCTTCCTCATTGAACTCTTTCACTAAAAGAACAGTGCAAGAGAGACTTAAACTGTTTGCCTCATTCTTAAGACCTTTCAGGAAAAGTGTTGGCAGGGAAGGAAATCTCCCAGCTCTGGGAAACAGTCTTGTGGATTATCTGCTGGTTTCATTGATCTGTGCTGTCCTCCCTGCATTCATTAGGAAAACTGGCCTTGGTTCAAATAAGAACAGGATTTGTCCTGGTGACAGAGAAAGGTTTCTTCTGATGTCCATATATCTCCGAGGGGGATGCTTTCTCCAGGCAGAGGCTGTGGCCAAGCGATCGGGGGGCTCAGAGGGCTGCTGGGAAGGGGTGGGCCCCTCTCTCCCCAGAGGGAAACTCCTGGGGACCTCTCGAGCACCCCTGCCCATCCTTTAAACATAAATTCATAAATACAAACAAGTAGGCCATTCACAGAAATATATAAAATATGTCATAGGACGGGTGGCACTCTCATATGGCAATAATTATGACAGGGGCCGGCAAATGACCTGAGTGACCCGGAGTGACCTGAGCACTGACTCCCAAATGCCCTCCATAGGATGTTCTGCATCCCCGAGACCCTTTCCTGGGTCCTCCTGGGCCCTACCACCCCCTAGACCATCCAGACCTCAGGTCATCCCCCTGTCTGTTGACAGAGTAGTCTCCGTTCCTGAATGTGCTGGTCACCAGCAACAGCAGCTACTCCTCCTCCAGGAAGCTCAGCCTATACTTCTACACGCAGAGAACCTGGACGGCACCCAGGTGGACCTAAGCCTTCAGCTCCCAGTAGACGCTCTGGGTTTCCTACCCTGCCCAGACACTCTGGGCTTCCCCCCACACCTCCCCTCGGCCGGGGCTCCTGTGTGCATCTGTCTCTCCCAGTGCCCAGCACAGGCGTGGAACGGAAGAGGTGAATGGACCGATTTGAACACATCATCCTGGATTCTCCGTTCCCTCTCAAGCCCTGCAGCTAACCCATCGGCAAGCCCTGGAGGCTCTGCCTCCAAAATCCTGCCTATCCCATGTGCAAACGCCTCTCACCACGTCCACTGCTATTTGCAGTTCTGTGTGTGTGGAAATACTTCCACCAATTTGGAATGAACAGGTCACAGCTGTGCCTGGAGGGAATGGCCAGGGAAATGTGCCCTCGCCTTGCTGTTCTATCCAGGCCCACCCAGCTGAGGATGGGGGACCTGCCACCACTCTCCTGGCAGTTCCGGACTCCTGGGAACCGGCAGGTGAGGACCCAAGAGTGTTTTCAGTGACCCGGCTGACCTGGTCATCCGTCAGTCCCACCTTGGCCTAGGCCTCTATACAGCACAGATCACAGCTCATCCCATCCTGGCATTACACTGGCCTGTGCCCTGTCCTCAGGGTCACATCCGTCTCCCAGAAGCCGTGCAACCCTGGAAAACCCAGGTCTAACAGTCAGGTTCCTCCTCCGTGCATTAACAATGGCGTTGACGCCTGCTTTGCGGCACGCTGGGAGGGGAGAGGGAGGTGTATGCTGGAGAGCTCCCCAGGGGCAAGGCCTGGCTCTGCGTCACCCACTGTCAGATCCTGAGAGCCTGGGGCTGGCCCAGCACGTGGCCACCGTTCCCTAAGAGTTGGATTTCATCCCTCAGTGCTGAAGGCAGGGGATAGAGCTTAGACAGACCCCCTGCGTCCTGTCTTCTTTATCTACAGCTTTCTCTTCCTTGCCCCTTTCACGTGCACCCTGCAGAGCAGGTGTTCACTGAGCTTGAGCAAAATTCAAGCTAGAGCAGCTGATGGATCTTGAGGCCTAGATTCACTGTCAAAGTGTTTCTCAAACGGTGCTCTCCAGAACACCAAGGAAAACTCATTGACTGTGTAAGTCTGAAAATCCCTGCCCACCGGTCTACCTTTGTGTATGAGCAATCAGCTCTACCATTCAGCCCAGGTGTGTGTTTGCTGGACCATGTGGAGGAAGCTGAAGAGACGTGAGCTGAAGGCAGAGGGTGAGTCCAAGGTGGGATCTTGGGACAGGTACGAGAAGTTAGGCAAAAATGGGATAATTCTAGCCTTCATAACCTTAGATAATAGTTCACATTATTATTTAGTTAATAGAACTGTACCCACATTAAATTTCTTAAATTTTTTTAAGAGATAAAGTCTCACTCTGTCACCCAGGCTGGAGTGCAGTGGTGCAATCATGGCTCACTGCTTCCTGGAACTCGTGGGCTCCAGCAATCCTCCTGCCTCAGCCTCCTGACTAGGTGGGACTATAGGCACACGCCACCATGCCTGGCTAATTTCTTTGACTTTTCTCTAGAGACCGGGTCCACCTAGGTTTCCCAGGCTGGTCTCAGACTTCTAGACTCAAGTGAACCTGAACCTCCCACCTCGACCTCTCAAATTGCTGGGATTACAGGTGTGAGCCACCACACCCGGCCTAAATTTCTTATGTGCCATGGGACTGCAAAACATCATTATTAGGGGCAGCTGGATGGAAGGTATAGGAGGATACTATAGTGCCTTTTCAATATTTCTGTCTAAAATCTAAAATCATTTCAACAGGAAACATTTATTTCAAAACATGAAGGTGGTTATCCTTCCATGAGTTTGAAGTACAAAGGCAGGCTCACGGTGTCGTCAGAATTCAGAACGATGGTCGTGGGGCTGGGGGTGCTGGGAGGGGCTGGGCATGGTTGGCTTTGTGATCTGGGGTCTGGTGTGTTCCATCTCTGAATCTCTCTCGAGCTGCACTCTTTCTTAATACATTTTCATAAGTTTAACCAAAAATAAAACGAGGATGCGAAGCTTGCTTGGGTTGTTAAGCCTAGGGAAATTATCCAGCCATGAGCCCTGGCCCAGATGCTTCTAGAAGCCTGGAGGGAACTGAGAACTTTCCAAGTGGAGGCCGCAGAGGCAAGGCCCTGAGGTGGGAGCACACTGCTGTTCGTCCCTAGCTCTGAAGGGGGTGCCCTGGTCGGAATCAGTGCTGGGTGCAGCGAAAGCCGATCTCACCCGCTCCGCAGGGTGTTCAGGCCTGCCAGCAGGGGGCCAGCTGGTCCTCCTGGGATATGGCACGGACCCAGCAGCTCTGTCTGAAATCATAATGGCGGAACCAAGGGCCCTCTACGTCCAGGTCGGTTGGGAGGCGGGGCATGGAGTTCCACTGCAGGAATCTCCAGGAACCCTGAGGTCCTCCCTGAGCCAGGGCCGGGCTGGGCACACCCTGAGTGCCCACAGGGTAGGTGTCTTCCCGGACAGCCCCACCAGGACAGGGTGTGGAAGAACGAGGTGCCCGTGGCGGGGAAGCTGACCAAATGGGCCGCGGGAACCGGGCTGGTGGGCCTGGAGGGGCCTGTCTGTCCCCCTTGCAGAGGGTCTTCCCGCCACGTGAAGCCGGCACAGGCCTGGATGCCGACGACCCTTGCTCGGGTTTGGCTGAAAGGAAAACAGACGCGGTCAGCATCTCCAGTGAGCCCACGCAGGCCTTTCCGGGCTGGGCCCCACCTGCCTGCGTCTCTGGAGTCCTCGGGGTCTCTGTGTGGCCCCCGTGGCCTGACACCGAGGACACGCCTGTAGTCTGCTGATCCCAGAGGGAGGGGTGCATGCTGCCTGGCGTGGGGAAGCTGTCGTGGCATGGCGGGTGGCTCCTGGGACTGCCCCCAGGGTTCAGACTGGCTGGGGGCTTCCTGCCACACACCTTCGTCCCAGGGCTGTTGGGCCTGGGATACGGCCCCCAGTCAGAACTCAGGTGGGAGGGGCCTTGGATGTCACCCAGCCCCTTGTCACCTCACGTGGGGACCCGTCTCCGCAGTGGGTGATTGGGCCCGGACGTGGGTCACCCTCTGCCCTCCTGGGCTGCCCAGTCCATGCCAGGACTGACCGTTCCCACTTCTGGCTGAACTCTTGGCTCTGGCTCTGGGCCCGGGGTCCCGCCTGTGCCCTCTCCCTGAATGCTCTGTGGGTCAGGGACACGGATTCCCTTGTCTCCCTGGCTCCAGGCTTCTTGTCCTGGCAACCTTGGAGGAGCGTGCAGGAGTGAGGGGCCTCTGCTGCTCTCTGAGGCTGTGGGTGCTTGCAGGGAGGGGCGGGGTCTCCCACAAATGGGTCTGGGCTCGTCTAGTAACTTGGAGGGCCCTGCGAGGGGGAGAGGGAGACACCGTGGAAAGTGGGAGGGGGCTTGTTGGAGGGTCTTGCCCACATCCCCCTCCTGCGTGCACAGCATGTCCAGTATACACGCACTGAGCGCCTGCCCTGAGGACCGGTGGGCCTCCTGTACTTTCTTAGAGTCCAGGAGGAAGAGGAGGAAGAAAAGGTGAAGAGGAAGGCCCAGGTAGTAGGGTTGCGGGTCCCGGGCACTCCCCTACTACTGACTACCCCAGAGGGTGACATGGGAGGGGACATGGCACTGGAGCCCACCTGGGGGTGGCACGTCCCCCTTCTTTCTTGTTAGTTTCTTCATAGAGGCCCTAAGATGCTTGAGCACAGTGTCCTCATCCCTGGCCCAGGTATCAACGAACCGGTTGCAAAAACGTGCCCACGGGCCACACCTGGACGTCTTCGTGAGGCGCTCTAGGGACAGGGTGGATATCAGGCCAGGGGAGTTACCTGGGAATGGTCACAGCTCATACCCCGTGGCCACTTCAGTCTCCTACTGGGCGGTGCCGGATCCTTTTGTGGCCACCCCAGGTGTCCAGATATACACAGGAGACTGTGGCTGGGGGGCGATCCGGACAGGGAAGTGCTCACCACACTCTCGACTTTCATCTGGGTCATGTGGGGGATGGGCTCGGTGTCACAGTGTCCTGCCCAGCCCACCTGGCCAGACCTCCCTCTGGGCCAGAACAGAGGATCATGAGGACAGTGTGAGGAAGCTGCCCTCGGGCCAGTCGGGGTCTGACCCCAGGGCTCCCCAGGCCCCGCTGGGCACACGTAGACTTACTCTGCTGAACCTTAAAGGCGATTCTTGTTATCGGCATCAACGCCTGTTCGCCTTCTACCAGATACACGTCCCACAGGCGCAGGGTGAGCCCGAGAGAGATCTGTGGGGACAGCAGGTGTGAAAGAACCTGGTCCTTCCAGGCTGGGGCTGGTGGCTCGAGCTGCGCACACTGGGGCTTCAGTCTCCAGAGTCAGTGACCTTCCCCATGAGGGTCGCCTGAGCCCTCCAGGACGCTGGGTCAGACAAGGTCTTGAAGCTCCTCATGGGGGGCACTCATTTGAGTGGGGATGTGGCTCCTGGAGAGAGGGGCTTGCCCAGGGCTTGAGGCTTCCCTGAGCCCTCACAAGTCGGGTCCTGGCCCACTCTGCCCATGAGGCTGGGCCTGAGCCCCAGCCATGGCCCTGGGATGACCCCCCTTGGGCAGAGGGTTTTGCTTGTGTGTCCTTTGGGGACCCGCCTGAGCCTCCTGTGGGCTGGGAGTGAGCCAGACCCCCGGGCTGGGGAAGCAGGGCACTGCAGGGCAAGGAAGGTCCCTGAGCCAGGGTCTCCCTATGCCTCCTTACCCCGTCAATCAATATCCGGATGAGGCAGCCTAACGGGGAACACTGCCCACATAGATCTTTCTTGTCCTGATGGAAGCAACAGAGGTGCTCAGGCCACTGGGCTGCCCTAAAAACCTCCCTCTTCCAGGGCCTCTGAAGAGCCTTCCCCTAGTGCAGAACACTGGGCGGTGTCCAGAGCTCCCCACAACACTGTCACCTTCCCACACTCCCGGTGGACACACTGCCCTTTGCCCTGCTCTGCGGGAGCTGGGCCCCCATCCCTGTGCCTCTGTCTCCTCCAGGGCAGGAAAGGAAACCAACTCCCAGCCCATGGAGAACCCGACGTCCCAGGTCAGGCCCTGGCTGGGACTCAGCCAGTCACCAGCCCCACGAGGGGCTCCAGCCCCCCTGCTCCTACAGCCCCACGGGAGGCAGGGCCTCTGGGAAGAGCTGAGGGGACCATAAACTCACCTGATGCCCCATGGTCTTGGGTTGTGACGTGGCTACCACATGCTCCTGTTGGTCTTGGAGCCCCTGGACGGTCCCGCCATTTGGGCTGTGAAATCCTGAGAAGCCCCCAGCCCATCATGAAATCAGAGCCTTCCCCCAAGATGTGGAGCCATCAGCTGCAAGAGCTGGGCAGCTGGAGAGGCCCCCAAACCCCAAGGCCTCCCACCCTCCCCTCTGGTGACCCCAACATGCGGCCTTTACCCTGGGGAGGTGGGGCGGGAACATTCCCTGGAGCCTGGCTGGAGGTTCCCCTGGAGGCCTCCTGGGCCAGGGTGCAAAAAGGGCAAGCCTGACTTTCAGGCCACGACAGGGTGGCCGGAACTGGGTAGGCGCTGGGCTTCCCGGTCATCTCCTGGTAGTGGGGTCGGGCCAGGGAACAGGGGATGGGGAGATGCTGCCACCTGGGCTTGGTCGGCCCATTCGTGGGCACCGATGGCAGCAGGAGCCCGGGCAGCTGGAGGGCAGGAGGACTCTCAGGGAGGGGAGAGTCAGCTGCACAGAATCAGAGCCGGAGGGCGTGGCTCCAGGACACAGAGGGTGGCCACGGGGAGGATGAGATGCCCTCTGCTGATGGGGATGAGAGGCGTCTGATTTGGGCTTTGGGGGTCAGCCGTGGACTCCTGTGGGACCCTCAGCAGAGACATCCTAAAGTCTCCCAACAAGCTGGCGACACAAGGAGGGTGCCTTGGCTGAAAGCTGTGATCACCCGGCCAGGGTGGCCATCCCCAGGTCTGGCTGCAGGAGGTCCCCGGGGCAGCTGTTCACTTACCCTGCAGGGAGTGCCTCTCACTGGCCAGCAGCTGCACCAGTGCCCAGAATGCATCCTCCTCAGGAAGATAGAGGAGGAACAAGGCGGCGATGTGGCTCAGGTCCCTGCAGTAGCCCACCTCCTGCAAGAGCCAGAGTCACCATGGAAGGACATCACCTGGGAGGGCTGAGGTCACCTGGGAGGACTCATGTCATTGGAGAGGGCAGAGGTGACTGGAGAGGCTTCCTCTGAAGGAGAGGCTTCCTCTGAAAAAGAGGCTTCCTCAGGATGCACATTCATTTCATGACAAGAGCCAAGTCCATCAGGCACTTCAGCACCTTGTCCAAAATGTCTGCTGATAGCACCATCCTGTGTGCGATGCTGCCAAGCTCCTGGGCTTTGGGGCAGCCCCAGGAGGAGGGCGTCATTTCTTGTTCTGAGAAGTGGTGGTCAGGCCCAGGTGACACCAGGAGTCCGGGCCCTGACTCCTTTGTGTCTCAGCTTGACCCCTTGAGACCACCCCCTTCCTTGGAGGTTTATGCCAGCGGTGAGCTGACATCCTACCTCCTATATCCTGGTGGGTCACAAATACTAACTTTAAAAGAAGCAACGACACCCCCACCAGACACCCACTCCTGTCAATATGGAAATATGGCCCGGGAACCTCACTGCCGGGAATACTCACCGGGTTGTACTCCTCATATGCCAGGAGGATGTGGAGTAGTTCCCGCTGCCTAGGAAACAGAGAAAGGGGGCTTTGGTTTGTTTTGTGCAGATGTTGTTAATTTCACTTTGTCTACAAAGCCTAACAGCAAATCCCATTTCAGGTTCAGATGTTTCACCAGATAAGCAGTGAGCTCTTCAGGGCCTGAGACTCTTGAAGAAATGTTTCAGTAAAATCCACATCTGTGACATGCAAATAGCCCAGTTGTACAGTGACTTGCCTGATCCTTTTCACTCTGAATGATTTTTTTTTTTTTCAGTTTGCACACACGCCAGTTCAGTCTGTGGGTGTACAGTTCCTCCACGGTTCCAAACCAATGTGCAGAGTCTCCCGGCCACCGCTCCAGCCCCTCCTGGGGCGACTCCTTCATCCTCCAAGTCTCCAGGGTGGCCCCTATGCACCCAGCCTCTCCCCGATCCGTCAGCCCCTGGCCACCCAGACTGCTTCTCAGTCCCTGTGGTTTGGCCTTTTCCAGAATGGCCTAGGAATGGGAATCCTACTGTGGTAGCTTATTGGGTCTGGCTTCTGTCCCTCAGCAAAATGCATCTAGGATCCACCCACGTTCGTGCGGGCATCACCGGCTCGTTCCCTTTTCTCACTGGGTCTTCCGTTTGAAGGGAGGACCAGCCTTGCTCTCCCCATCCCCGTGTTGAAGGCCGTCTCCGAAGGCTCCGTGTGTGAGTGACGAGGAGTCAAGCAGTGAACCTGGCATGCTGGTTTCATGTGGATGTCAGTTTGCAAATCAGTGGGTTCAATATCTGTGACACTTTGGGGATGTGTGGTTCAAGTCCATGGAGCTTTGTGAGCCACTGCCCAACGGGCTGCCAACGTGGCTGTGCCATGTCATGTTCCCAGCGGACCTGGATGAGAGTTTCCAGGACCCCTAATTCTCCCAGCATTTGGTGCTGTCACTGTTGCCTGGGGGGGGCTCATGGGCCCTCTATCCTGCCACCCTCCCATGGGTCCTACCATGGGTCCCCATGGGTCAGGGAGAGCACCCTTCACCATTGTGCATGATTTTGTTTGCTGCCTTCCATCTCCTCAGGATCCTCCTGGGTTCTGGCCCCACATGTTCCAGTCTGGCCCAGGGCTTGGAACCAGGGAGGTGCTCGGTTCATGGTGCCGGCTGCTCCCTGGGCCGGGAGAGCTCTTGGCAGCTGTGTCATCCCTCCTGGGTGACCCTGGCTTCTGCTCCGGGGAAGCCCCCATCCCTCTCATTCACCCCATCTCTGCTGGGACCCTGTGGCTCCCGTAGGCTTACTTGGTTCCGTATCGATCCCTGAAGAATATATGCTTCCTTAATGTCCCGCTTACGTCCCGGTCGATGCGCTGGATGTGCTCAGATGACCTCTTGCCCTTCTCCTTCATGATCTGTAGGGCAGGGCCAAGAGGAGGAAGCAGTCTCAGAACAGATGGAAGACTCCCTGCCCCCAGTGGCAGTCAGCCCACAGTCAGCACTTCGGGAAGGAAGGACAGAAGGAAGGTTTCCTTCTGCAGAAAGCTGCATTTTGGCTTGTTACTGAAGCCAGGGAGGGTCACCAGAGCTGAGTTTGTCTGTGGTGACTGTGTCACCATCTGTGCCCAGGGTGTTCATCTGACCTTCACCCCCAGCTCCCCAGGGTGGTCTTGACGTTCCCTCCAGCTGGAGACCTGGGCCCCGACACGGCCTGTCCTGTTTGTTGTGCTCTGGCTGAGCGTACCTGGTATCTTCCGGGGTTTTTCAACTTCATTTCCTCAATGTTCAGGAGGACTGACCACATCGGGCCCCGGATGTTCATGGGCATTCCCTTGTACGCTCGATCTATGAGCTGTGGGCAGAAAACAATCTGGTGTCACAGGCCACAGGGTGACCCCAGTGAGGACCAGAGCCCGGGGATTCTGGAAATTGTCGGTTTTGGCCCCATGATTCCTCAGTAGAGGTGAGATCAAGCTGGGACAGGGTCTCCCTTCCCAGGACTGAAAGAGTGGATGGACACTCAGAGTCGAAACTCTGATCTGAACCTTTTCCTTCCTTCAGGTCACCAGGGCATCCCTAGCCTTGAGCTCCGGGTAGTCCCAGCCCTAGATTCAGATTCCCTCCCTGCAAGGTGACGCTTGCACGAATAGGCAGGAAATCTGGCGACCAGGCCTGCAGTCCTCTGGGCGAGGACAGTGTGCCGCCCACCCTCTGAGAGGCTGATGGTGCCAGGCCACAGCCATGGGTGCCTGTGCCCTGTCTCTGCAGAGAGTGCTTCCTCCCTCCACACGTTACCTTTCTGCTGCTTTTGTATTTCTCCCAGTCTCCCAGCATATCCACCCACTTGCTCTTTCGGCTGATCTCCCGCCGAATTTGCTGTCAAATGAGGCATGTTGGAGTTAGCGGAGCTGCCAGGCTTCCCAGAGCCGCCCGCGGATGCTGGGTCTTGGGCTCTGGAGCCCTGGTGGGAGCCAGCTGGAAGGAGCCAGGGAAGGGCAGACCTCAAGGGCTGAGAGCCTTTGAGCAAATGAGCACCAGTGGGCTGGCTTTGGGACCCCGGGATGTACCATCCTCAGGCCACAGACACACCAGTCTTAGGTCCCAGCCTCTAGGTGGGGTCCTGACACAAGCGCACAGCCACCCCCAAGCCAGGACTGTGGTTCTCCTTTTGGAATTTTATCAAACTGCCAAAGTGAACAGCAACCTGGGGTCAGGTCCAGCAGGGACTGCTGCCCCTCCCAGTGACAGCGTGTTGCCCTCACCCGCCACCGCTCAGGCCAGCTGCTTCCTCTGCCTCACTGACCACCCGCCCAGTCCCTACGTCCCTGGACCAGCCCCTCCACGCATCAGGCTCTTACCTTCGCCTCCCGCGCAGTCAGAGGAGGCAGCTCCGTCTCACTGTAAGGCAACCCAGGCAGAGCTGAGGAACTGCACGGGGCCTGGAGCGGCCCCAGCCTGGGTGCCGACCCCCAGAAAGGACTGGCTCTGTCCCTTTCCAGCTCAGGGCTCAGCCCAGGAGAAGGCACAGGGAAGGGAGGACAAGGGCCTTCCTGTGGGGCTGACTCCCAGGAGGGGCAGGACCTGGGAGAAGAAGGAGTGTAGGGACAGCCTGGCCGGGGTTACTGGGGCCCCTGGCGTGGGGGGCGGTCAGGCTGCCCAGTGGGGCTGCCCGTCCTGGACTCGAGGTGGTGCTTTCTGCTGGAGCTGAGAAAGGTTAGCCCTGAGATGGGATGGGGGCCGCCCAGGGTGGGCGACCGGGCCCTGACAGGAGTCCCTCAGGGAGTGACCACATCCCCCCGCCAGGGTCAAGGGAGCCTGCCCTGAGACCTGCCCGGTGTACTCTGGCTGCACCAGGGGCCCACCCCACTTGACAGCCCCAAGGCCCTTGCAGGTTCTGACCTCCCAGCATCCACCTGCCTCTCCCTGCACCCGAGCCACACACCCTGCGTTTCAGAAGTGGCACGGCTCGTCAGCTCCCTCCCGCCCTACCTCCCCAGGGATCCTCTGTCTCTCCATCCTGTGATCCCTGAGGGATGGGCTCCTGGCTGGGCTCCTCTTACCCGGCCCCAGATCCCTTCCCAGCACCAGACCCAGGTCTTTAGCCGCGAGCCCTGCTGCCTCCCTGGCCTCACCGTGAGATGCCCAGAACGGGGCCCTGCCCATCTTCTCCCCCGTTCTCCTAGGGCTACAGCCCCCATTGTCACCATGCCTTTTCCCCTCACGGGACAGTGAGGGCTGTAGCTCTAGGGGAATGGGGGAGAACAGGGGCAGGTGGGCCCTCAGAGACCTGCTGGACAACAGCCCTGAGGCTGGGCCAGGCGTCCCCTCACCCTGTGGCCATAACCCTTGCATCTCACCGGGGTTGTCTCCAAGTAGACAGGGCCAGACCCTCAGGCTGCCCCGCTCCTCTTGTGCTCACTTGCCGACAGAACTGCTGAGCGCCCAGGGGCCTGACCTAGCCCAGTCTCCATTCCCACCGGCTCCCTAGATGGGCCCCACACCTCTGGCCTAACAACCTCGGGCTGGACCTGCAGGGGAGTCAGGGAGGAGTTCTGTCCCTGGAAAGGAGGTTGACCCGACCTGGTGAGACATGTCCTGCATCAGAAAGGCCTTTCTAAAAGCAAACCCATCCCTGAGCTGAGACAGGTGCTTTAGGGGTGAGGGGAGTGCAGAGGACTCACTGTACAATCCCCAAATGATCGACGTTGTTGTTGTAGCTTCGAAAAGGCTTAGGCCCCTTGTCCTCTGGCAGCCCAGCTCGGTGTCCCTGTAGCCCAGAGGGAGCCTTGCTGAGGGGTCCAAGGTAAAGGGTGCAAGGGCCTGGGGGCATTGGCCACCCGTCCCTGCCCTGTGCTCCTAGGGAGCCCAGGACCCTTTGACCAGGGCACACTGGAAGAGGCCTCCCTCCAAGAAGCAGACCGACTTGTACCTTTTCGTATTTCATAATGATGTCCTCTCGCTCTTGTGCCCACCAACTACCCGCGACCTCTACCACGTCCATCCTGTGAGACAGAATTGTCTAAAGGTCACACTGTACGCGGCGGCTTCGGAGAACACCTGAACCGCTCTCGCCGGGCTCCCAGATGCTGGCTGGCTGCGTAACCCCCATTCCACCGCCGCCCCCAGGGAAAAAGGGGCCAGACCCAGTGGCCCACAGCTGCTCCAGTCTCTGGAGTCTCAAGTCCCAAGCAGGGGTGGGCATCTTCCCAAGGACTTGAGTACAGTGGGACCTAGACAGAGAATCCTGTTGTCCCCCAATGCCATGAAATGGGGACACACCGGCCCCAGCAGGTTGAATGGTTTCCACCTGCCAAGGGTGAAGGGCCCATGATGGGCTATTCCAGGGATGTGGAGGCAGACTGGGGTCAGCGACCAGAGGTCTCTGTGCAATCGGCCTCCTGGGATGCTCAGGGCCTCAGAGATGCCCAGTTTCCTACAGGGAGCAAGATCTCTCCCGACTGCTCGGTTCTACTCCGCTCATCACTTTGGCTACCGTGGCTCTTCAGTCTGAACAGTGAAGCCACTTTAGGAATAACGCCTGTTGAGCAGGAGGGTGTTGGGTTTGGGGGATGAGGAAGATCTATTGTACGCATGGAAACCACGTCTCTCGCGGAGGGACTGTGGAGTCCACCATTCTGAGCCGTCCCAACAGGAGGAGGCTTCATTTTCCTGGGTCACTGAGGAAGAACAGTGGGTCCTTGGTCCTGGAGAACAGCTGGATGGACCGTCCCTCCTGGGAATACTCGAGGCAAAAGGAGGGCAAGGCCTCAAGAGGACCACGCAGAGCAAGAAATACCTGGGGAGAACCCTAGTGCCCGGACCCCTTTGAACACAAGGGAAGATAGTCTCCCCTCAGCCAGCCCTCCAGGGCTCCTTCATTTTCCACAGCTGCCCAAGGGCAGCAGGCTCCCCCGGACAAGGGACCATGTGTGTTCAGTGGGGCCCACAGCGACCATCAGGACCCAGCTTAGGGCACAGAGGTGTTCTGAGGACCGTCAGTGGATCTGTACCAGTGGCTCTATACCAGTGGCTCTGCCAGGACCAGGCTCTGCCCCATCGGGATGGGAAACCTGGGCAGATTTGGGATCTAGGGCAGGGAGGTCACAGGGTTCAGGCCTGAATTCCAGCACAGCACACGGCAGGGCTGAGAGCAAAACTCAGGGTCATGTCCGGATTCCCAGGCCGGTTACTGCCTCTCTGACCCCAGACGTCTCATCTGTCGAATGGGGACATTTGGGAACAGCACCCACTCTACGAAGCCACCATGGAGACGAAAGAGCCAATCGTCTACACGGGCAGTGTAGAACGGGCGCCTGGTGAGTGCTCAGGGATGACCCTCCTCGGTAGCTGCCCCACAGAGGCCAACACCGCCCGCACCGTAGCCACTGTCCCCAAGTCCGCCTGGAGGGAAGAGAGCAGGTCACGCTCACCTGATTCTGATGAATCAGCTGGCCTGGGTCATGCCTCTCAGGGAGAAAACCTTTGAGTCCACAGAGCTGCTCACAGATACCACTGCCTGTGTGTAACTGCTGTAGACCACTGACGCAGGCCAGAGAGCAGATAGGTGCTAAGCACCAGTGACATTCTGAGGTCATGGCACGAATCACAGTGGGGCCTTGCCCGGGTCAGCAGCACCCAGAGTCAGGGTCCTCCGCTGCCTGAGGCGTCAACATGCCTGCCTGCAACGTGTTTGTGCACGTGCGTGCACACGTGTATGTGGGTAAACATGTCTGTGCACATGTGTGTTGCTTCTCTGGCCAGGCCCGGCTGCCCCACTCATGTGTGCACCCAGTTCCTCATCACTGTCACCCCCGAGGCCCAGGGCCAGCATCAGAGCATCCATGGCTGCTCCCTAACCTCAGCCCTCCCCGCCCAGGGTGGTCGTGGGATACACATAGGGGTGGAGGGAAGTGACTGCTGCTGTTGGATCTCAGAATACAAAAGCTAATACTATTACCTAATGGTCTTTTTAGTGTATCTAATGGTATCGCTTTTTCATTTCTGATATTTTAACTGGGTATTTCTCTCCATGACCCTTGGATATTCTAGCTAGAGGATCCTGTGGGGAAAGTGCCGAGCACACAGTAGGGGCTCACTCTTCTAGACATGTTATCTAAAACCTGGTTCATCTGTCCTTCCACGCAGGGCCTAGGGGATGCCAAATTCCAGGGTCCAGAAAGAGCTTGGGATAAAATGAAACTTCAAGGGGACGGCTTTGACCTGGGCTGAGTCTGTCTGTGCCATCCAACTGGAGTCTCAAGTCCTGAGGCAGGACGTCCAGATGCCCCAGTGCAGGGCCCTCCTGATCAACACCTGCTCCCCTGTACTCATTAGCAACCTCACCCACCCTACTCTCAAAGCACACTTGGCTCTCGTATCCAGGAGCTCTGCATCTATAGGTTCAGCAACAGCAGATGGAAAATATTCAGAAAATAAATTGGATGGTTATGTTTCTATTGAACATGTGCAGACTTTGTTCTTGTCATCATTCCCTAAAGAATACAGTATCACGACCATTTATGTAGCATCTGCATTGTATTACACATCATAATCTAGTAACGGTCTAACGTATACGGGAGGATGCGCATAGCTTATACGTAAATACTAGGCCATGTTCTATCAGAGACTTGAGCATCCATGGATTTTGGCATTCCCGGGGACCCTAGAACTAATCCTCCATGGATACCAAGGGATGACTGTATATACTCACTCAGGAAGGCTTCTCATTGGAGGAAGGGCCCGGTTCAGGACAGACAGGGACATCATCCCTGGACTACTGTCCATCCATCCATTCATCCATTGGCACCACCCTCTAGGACTGTCCCAATGACAGCCCTAGCAAGTGGAGATAAGAAAAAAGACTGGCTCAAATGGTACAGCTTTGAGGTCTTGGAAGATGTTGCACCAGTATGAGAATAGGGGGTCAGTTTCCTCCAGGATCCAGAAAGCATATCAGGCAGGCTCGGGGAGAGGAAAGGAACACGGCCTCTCCAGCAGCCACACAGGCCTGCAGTAGGATGGGGCTGGGGCTGGGGCTGGGGCTGGGACTGGGGCTGGCCCCGTTTATCACTTGGGCCTCATGAGGGGAAAAGAAAGGACAGGGGGCAGAGGAGGAGCATGGGGGCAGCGGGTTGCCTAAGGAGAAGGCGCCTCAGGGAAGGGGTATTAGTTTGTTTTCACACTGCTATAAAGAAATACTTGAGCCTAGGTAATTTATAAAGGAAAGAGGTTTAATCGACTCCCAGTTCAGGGAACTTACAGTCATGGCAGAAGGCGAAGGGGAAGCAGGCACCTTCTCCACAAGGCGGCAGGAGGGAGTGAGCGGAGAAGCAGGAAGTGCCACACTTTCAAACCATCAGCTCTCCTGAGAACTCCCTCACTATCAGGGGAGCAGCAGGGGGGAAACTGTCCCCAGATCCCATCCCCTCCCACCAGGTTGCTCCCTTGACACAGGAGGATTACAATTCCAGATGAGATTTCGGTGGGGACACAGAGCCCAACCTGTGAGGGTCTCAGTCTATCTTGCAGCTCCCCTGGGGCTGGGGCTGAGTACAGTTCTGCTGGCCCTGCTCTACAGCACGTGGGGACTCTGCCTGTGTGCCCCCATCTGCTCTTCCTGGGGATGGTGGCTGCTTCCTCAAGAGGAGGGTGGATCTGCTCTCCTGCCCACCCCTCTCCAGGGCCTTTTGGAGCCCTGGCCACGTCCTCCCCAGGTAAGGGCAGGAAACCGGGCTCCTTGCCCTTCTTGCTGCTTGGGTGACAATCCTGGGGTCATCCATAGGCCCCATCACTGTTCCCGCTTCTAAATGGAGGGTATTTTGGCACATCTTCCTGGCGGGGTCCGGGGCCTCATCCCTGTTATTTATTCTATCTTGGTAAAGCCAGGTTAAGACATCTGGGCAAGGAGATAGTAGAGTGGCCCCCAGGAAGGGTGGGTGGAGGGCCTGGCCTTTGGGCTTGCCTGGAGCAGGGTGGGAGGGGGCAAGGTTACCAGGAAGCAGGGCTGTCAGGGCCAAAATCAGGAGGCGGTGATAATGCTGGTGGGGGGACAGGGCTGTGTGCTTGGCTTGGGGTGGGGCATGAGAGCCAAGGTTTGTCAGCACGCAGAGGGGTGGCTGACTCATGGACTAGGGGCTATGGAACCCAGAGGCTGCCCTTAGTTCCTGGATCCTGGGAGACTTCTGGAGCCTGGGTGTGGGGCAGCCTAGGGGTGGAGGTGGGGCAGACAGGGGTAGGGGTAGGAGAGGAGGACTTGCATGGCAGGGTGCAGGGTAGGAAACCAGCCAGGGGCCAGTTTGCATTGGCGGCTCCCATCCCCATCCCCACCCCCAAGCCCACCCCTACCCCCACCCTGCTGCAGAGATGGGCCTGGGCTGCTGTCCTCTGCTTTGGCCTCAGCAGATCACACGATGGAAGCTGGCAGCCCCGTGGGCACCACTCGAGCCAGCTGTGACCTGCAGTTTCTGCTTCCTGGAGTGTGGGGCGCCCACTCAGGAGAGCACGGCACACCCCACACCCCTCATTTTGAGGATGCTGGGAGGTGGGGACCAAGGTCCTGCAGCCCTCTGCTTGCGCTATGAAAGGTAGCCTAGGAGTCCTGTGTCCGCCCATCCACGTGGGGCCCCAGGAGCCTGAACAGTGGCAGGCAGAGAGATGAGGAGGGTGAGAGAAGTGGAAAAGAAGGAGAGAGAAAGAGAGATGGGGAGAAGGGAGTGAGATAGAGAGAGAGAGGATGAGAGATAAGGAGAGAGACAGAGGAGGCTGAGAGGAAAAGGAGCGAGAGAGACAGGCAGAGAGACACAAAAGGCAAAGAGAGAGACAGGGAGAGACGAGCATGAGTAGGAGGTCGGATCACTCTCGATCCCAGTCCCCAGTGAAAACCGTAGGTCGCCATCACCTAACTACGCGTGCAATAAAGTCTTCTGCCTGCTGCTTACAGCCCGAGAACCCTTTTCCGAGAGAATAAAATCTTTGACCGTTGCCCTTTCTCGCCGGAGTTTGCTCGTGTCTTCTGATGAACTGTGATGTCTCACCTATCGCCTTCCTGGGCTCAAGGATCCACGAAAAGCCGACGACTCTTTTGGGGAGGCTCTGCAGTGCCTTCATCTCACTAGGCTCCCCAGGAAGCTTGCGAACTTGGCTTGAGCCCTAAGCAGCCGAGTATGTGCCGGGCCTCTGCTTCTCTCTTTCAGTAAGAGGGAGAACCAAGAAAGAGACTGAAGCATGGTCTGCAGAGAAGGCACTTGTGCAAACACCAGGAGAATGAGGGGCCTGAGTTGTCTTCATTTCTCCTAAAGACACGCATTTCCTCCCAGACCACCCTAGTGAGGGCATGAAGCACAGCGTGTGTGTGTGTGTGTGTGTGCGCGCGTGTATGTGTGTGTTGCAGGGCTTTACAGTGGACAGGATGTGGGAGGGCAGCTGCAGCTCCAAGCTGCAAGTCTTTCTGATAGAATGGTTAAGATTCCCTGGACCACAGAAAGAGTGTTTTCATTTGCACCTATTTTTATTAGCATTTAAAGCTGTATTCTTCGTAGCATGTGAAGCTTAAGTTGCTTAACTATTCTTAGAAACATTTACACCAGCGGTCCCCAAACGTTTTGGCACCAGAGAGCAGTTTTCTTGAAGACAACTCTTCCACGGACCTGGGAGAAGGGGAAGGGATGGTGCAGAGATGATTCGAGCCCATTACATTTATTGTGTGCTTTATTTCTATGATTATTTCACTGTAATATATAATGAAATAATTACACAACTCACCATAACATAGAATCAGTGGGAGCCCTGAACTTGTTTTCCTGCAACTACATGGTCCCATCAGGAGGTGATGGGAGACAGTCACAGGTCATCAGGCACTAGGTTCTCATAAGGAGCATGCAATCTAGATCCCTGGCATGCTCAGTTCACAGTTGGGTTCTATGAGAATGGAACGGCACCACTCATTTGACAGGTGGCAGAGCTCACGCGGTAATGCGAGGGATGGGGAGCGGCTGTTTCTACAGATGAAGCTTTGCTCCCTGGCTGGCTGCTCACCTCCTGCTGTGCAGCCTGGTTCCTAACAGGTGGGGACCCCTGATTTACCCAGTAAAAGAAACACATTTTTATGTCAATTGAAATTATTCACCCTGCACCACCCAAAATTATCTTGCATACCTACACCCATCCAAGGGTCCCGTAGCACACTTTGGGAGCTGTAGACAGTAAGCCTGGAGCTCCACTGAGCATTCCTTCTCTCCACCATCTGTGGGCTAACAGGCTGTGTTAGTTTCCTAGGGCTGTTTTACAGTACCACAGACTGGGCACCTTCAGCAACAGAATGTTACTGTCTCACAGTACTGGAGGCCATGGGTCCAAGATCAAGGTGTCATCAGGGTGGGTATTTGTTTTCCACTGGACTGTTGATACATTCTTAGAAGGTTTTTGGTTGCTGTTCACGTTAATTTCTCTTCCTTTCTGCAATTGTTCTCTTTCAGTACTCCCTGATATTTTTCTTCTTGAAGAAGTAGCTAGTTAATTTTGTATTTTAAAATTCTTCCCCTCACCCCAAGAACTTCTGCCTTCATAATTGGTTCTCTCCTCATATTTATTTTATACAAGTTATGTGGCTGATTACATTGTTTCTGTCTGTACAGATGGAGAGTTAAGGAATAAAGAGGACAGACAGACTAGATTACCTCAAACACTGAAATGCTATGATTTGTCCGAAGTCATACACGCATTATCTGACCAGACATATGTGCTTTTTCTCTAGAAGCATTTTGTCGTTTTGAATCAAAAGGTCTTCTGAATCTACCTTAATGAAGTTGACAACTTTCAGAGGTTTTCAGTGGTGAAGAGAAACTTGGACAAGGAGATAACTTCCACAAACAGAAAAAGCCTCATCTCTTCTGGATTCCTTTAATGCCAGTGGTCATCACCAGGGGCAGATTAGCCACCTTTTCCCCGGGCTGGGACCTCCACCTTCTCCTCTACAGGTGTATCACCTTAGAAATCTTCTGCATCTCACTGTCACCCAACACATTTTCTCCTTCCAAGCCTCTGCAGTCTCACGAGTTTGTCTGTATTTTTCTTCTTATAACCTGCCTTGCTACCCTAGCCAGCCTGGATCTCATAGGAGATTAATGGAAATACTCCCAACATTGGGCCTTTCCTGTGCCCGTCTTCCTGCTGTATCCTGGCAAAATGCCAGCCCAATCCACAGTCTGTTGTTCTACTTCTGTATCTGAAGGCTAAAGAAAAAGCACCTAGTCATACAGATTAACCCTGTTTTAATGTAACTATTCCATAATTTCAACCTCATCTGAGTACTCAGCCTTGCCTGATGCCTTTGCTTGCCCAGCCCTGTTTAGTTCTCTCATTCTCTTCAACATCTTTAGCAAATCTTCTCCTTCCCCGTCTTGACCTTCCTGTCTCTTCACCTGATACAGAGGTTCTTAGCTCCTACTTCGTTGACAATTTTAAGGTTTTGCTCTCTTCTGTAAATTGACCTATAGGAGTATCCTTCTTTACCCCTTTCCTGTGGTTTTCAGGGGATGGAATATTTGTCCTGAGAAGGCCAATACATCCATCGGACACGTGTCTCTATCCCCATTTGCTACGTAAGTATTTGACTTCAGCCATCCGGTACACTGGCTCTGTCTCTGGTTTACACCTGCTGTCTCTGTGTCAGCACTCATTTCCGCTTTAGCCCATTGACTTTTCCCTCACAACGCTACTGAACTTGTCAATAGGCACATCAGTGATCTCCTACATGCCAAGTCTCATGGACATTTTTCTTCATGTTGTTTGACTGCTGCTCTGCCTGACTGGATATTATAATCTCCTTTCCTTGAAACCCTAGGCTACTGTAGCACTACACTTTACTGGTTCTCCGCTTACCTTCGTTACATCTCTTTTGTTTTTTTTTTTTCCCGGATCCCTCCAGATGTGGCCTAGGAATCCTTTTAAACACAGTGCTCCAGGCAGAAGTTAGTTGGAGGTAGTTCACAAGATGCAATTTATTTGCCATCCACCCTTGCATTTCAGCTCCATTATTTGTCCTTGCCATGCCTATCTATAAAAACACTTTCTCCTTCCCAGAGATGGCAGCTAACAAGACCTAGCAAAAGAAATGGGAATTTTCATTCACAATTTCATAGGGAGAGCAATTGGTAAGATTATTTTACTGCCAAGGGTAATAAAATTAATGAGAGAGTTGAAGAAAGAGGCATGAATTCTGAAACTGTCTAGAACCATCTAAGAGGTAAAGCTGAGGAGTTTTATCCGTATTTGTAGGCTGTGATTATTTTCATAGAAGTACTCTCTGATTTATGGGTATGTCACTGATTACCACTAGAATTGCAGATTGGGCACATTAAGCACATCAGCGTAAAAATCCTTGACATTTTGGCCGGGCGCGGTGGCTCACGCCTGTATTCTCAGCACTTGGGAATGCCGAGGTGGGCGGATCACAAGGTCAGGAGTGTGAGACCAGCCTGACCAACATGGTGAAACCCCGTCTCTACTAAAAATACAAAAGTTAGCCGGGTGTGGTGGCAACGTGCCTGCAATCCCAGCTACTCGGGAGGCCGAGGCAGGAGAATCGCTTGAACCTGGGAGGTAGAGGTTGCAGTGAGCCAAGATCTCACTGCTGCACTCCAGCCTGGGCAACAGAGGGAGACTCTGTCTCAAAAAAAAAAAAAAATCGAAAAAATCCTTGACATTTTAAAAATACCTCTGGCAGGGTTTCAGTGTAGTCATGATATTTAAAATATTACCATGATTTGTCAGTTTCTTAAGTATAATTTTGTTTCGTCGCACGTATGATAAGAACATACAGACTTCTTGCTTGGGGCATTGGCTCATGCCTGTAATGCCTATAATCCCCGCTACTCAGGAGGCTGAGTCGGGAGGATTGCTTGAGGTCAGGACTTTGAGACTAGCCTGGACAATAGAGCAACACTCTGTCTCTTACAAAAAACATAATCATAAATAGATTTCTTGGTTTGTGGGGTTAACTTTTTAAATTTTCCTCTCATTAATTTGCCACATTTTTAAAAAATTTTTTGAGATGGAGTCTCACTGTGTCACCCAGGCTGGAGTGCAGTGGCACGATCTCGGCTCACTGCAACCTCTGCCTCTCAGCTTCAAGCGATTCTCCTGCCTCAGCCTCCCGAGTAGCTGGGACTACAGGCGTGTGTCACCACGCTCGACTAATTTTTTGTATTTTTTTAGTAGAGGTGGGGTTTCACCGTGTTAGCCAGGATGGTCTCGATCTCCTGACCTCGTGATCTGCCTGCCTCGGCCTCCCAAAGTGCTGGGATTACAGGCGTGAGCCACCACGCCTGGTCTAATTTGCCACTTTTATCTGACTAAGATACCTTAACTTTATTTATTCCTTGGATTGGTAATACAGTGAAATGATTAGGGCAGGGTTTTGAAACCAGACAGATCTGGGTTCAAATCCTGGTGTGGGCTGTAGATGTTGGGGGCAATGGCCCTAAATCCTCTGACTTTCCAGTGATTTTTCAATGGGTAAAATAACCCTTACTTTGTGGAATGTTGCAAAGATTAGAGAGGATGTATATAAAATGTTTACCTATTACAGTGCTTGATATGTAGAAGATGAATTCTACAATTACACTGACCCATTTTGCCCATTGCGGCTTTAGAATAGAAAAGTATACTCATACACTAGAATTGTGCACCTAGGGCTAAGTGACTCCAGCCCTGTGGAACCCTTCAATGCCAAAATGGCATGTAGGACTAGATAGATGAATGTCACCTAATCCTGACTGTCTATTAAAACTCATTGTGTTGGGCCGGGAATGGTGGCTCACGTCTGTAATCCCAGCACTTTGGGAGGCCGAGGTGGGCGGATCACGAGGTCAGGAGATCGAGACCATCCTGGCTAACATGGTGAAACTCCGTCTCTACTAAAAATACAAAAAATTAGCCGGGCGTGGTGGCGGGCGCCTGTAGTCCCAGCTACTAGGGAGGCTGAGGCAAGAGAATGGCGTGAACCCGGGAGGCAGAGCTTGCAGTGAGCTGAGACCGCGCCACCACACTCCAGCCTGGGTGACAGAGCGAGACTCGGTCAAAAAAACACAAAAAAAAACCCAAAAAAACCAACCAAACAAAAAAAAACTCCTCACTGTATTTTATTATTATTATTTTCAAGATGGAGTCTTGCTCTGTCGCCCAGGCTGGAGTGCAGTGGGGCGCAATCTCGGCTCGCTGCAACCTCTCCCTCCCAGGTTCAAGGGATTCTCCTGCCTTAACCTCCCGAGTAGCTAGGATTACAGGCACCTGCCACCACGCCCAGCTAATTTTTTGTAGTTTTAGTAGAGATGGGGTTTTGCCATGCTGGCCAGCCTGGTCTCCAACTCCTGATCTCAGGTGAACCACCCGCCTCGACCTCCCAGAATGCTGGGATGGCAGGCATGAGCTGCCGGGCCTAGCCAAATCTGAAATACGTTTGATGCCAGGGTAGCCTTAGTGGAGTGAAACGCTTATTAACAATGAGAGTATTTGAAAAATATGAGATATACAATCATCAGAATTGAATGACCTTTCTAAGGAATGGTTTTATCCTAATGAAGTAATGATCAGAGTCGGGCGAGGTGGCTCACGCCTGTAATCCCAGCACTTGGGGAGGCTGAGGTGGGCGGATCACTTGAGGTCGGGAGTTCAAAACCAGCCTGGCCAACATAGCGAAACACCGTCTCTACTAAAAATACAAAAAAGTACCGGGTATGGTGGCGCGTGCCTGTAATTCCAGCTACTCGGGAGGCTGAGACAGGAGAATTGCTTGAACACCGGAGGCGGAGGTTGCAGTGAGCCGAGGTCGCGCCACTGCACTATAGTCTGGGAGCAAGACTCCGTATCAAAATAAATAAATAAATAAATAAATCCGATTATAACATCTGTGAATGGAATAATTTGTAGACTCTTGGCATGCAAGAATTTGATGTTAGCTTTCTCAACCGTTTATGAACCGTAAAGCTTCATGATGTGTATGTTCTGTTGAGATGGAAACTTCAACGCTGTGTGCGGTGGAGGCGAGGTTGAGGACGTCGCTTGGCGGATGAGTAAGCCTCACCCATCTGGACAGCAGCATTTACACTTCAACTTCACTTTTAACTTCGTATTTGCTGCTTGTTTTTATTTACGTGGTAACTAGCATGAATGATTCACATACACACATATGTATTCTTTGTCTCTTTGTGAAATATTACACCAAGGAGAAAACACCATTATGGGATAATTCTAGCCTTCATAACCTTAGATAATAGTTCACATTATTATTTAGTTAATAGAATTGTACCCACATTAAATTTCTTAAATTTTCTTAAGAGATAAAGTCTCACTCTGTCACCCAGGCTGGAGTGCAGTGGTGCAATCATGGCTCACTGCTTCCTGGAACTCGTGGGCTCCAGCAATCCTCCTGCCTCAGCCTCCTGACTAGGTGGGACTATAGGCACACGCCACCATGCCTGGCTAATTTCTTTGACTTTTCTCTAGAGACCGGGTCCACCTAGGTTTCCCAGGCTGGTCTCAGACTTCTAGACTCAAGTGAACCTCAACCTCCCACCTCGACCTCTCAAATTGCTGGGATTACAGGTGTGAGCCACCACACCCGGCCTAAATTTCTTATGTGCCATGGGACTGCAAAACATCATTATTAGGGGCAGCTGGATGGAAGGTGTAGGAGGACACTATAGTGCCTTTTCAATACTTCTGTCTAAAATCTAAAATCATTTCAACAGGAAACATTTATTTCAAAACGTGAAGGTGGTCATCCTGCCATGAGTTTAAAGTACAAAGGCAGGCTCACGGTGTCGTCAGAATTCAGAACGATGGTCGTGGGGCTGGGGGTGCTGGGAGGGGCCGGGCATGGTTGGCTTTGTGATCTGGGGTCTGGTGTGTTCCATCTCTGAATCTCTCTCGAGCTGCACTCTTTCTTAATACATTTTCATAAGTTTAACCAAAAATAAAACGAGGATGCGAAGCTTGCTTGGGTTGTTAAGCCTCGGGAAATTATCCAGCCATGAGCCGTGGCCCAGATGCTTCTAGAAGCCTGGAGGGAACTGAGAACTTTCCAAGTGGAGGCCGCAGAGGCAAGGCCCTGAGGTGGGAGCACACTGCTGTTCGTCCCTAGCTCTGAAGGGGGTGCCCTGGTCGGAATCAGTGCTGGGTGCACTGCAGGGCCGGGAAGTCCATGCCCACGTTGTGGCTCAGTGCAGCGAAAGCCGATCTCACCCGCTCCGCAGGGTGTTCAGCCTGCCAGCAGGGGGCCAGCTGGTCCTCCTGGGATATGGCACGGACCCAGCAGCTCTGTCTGAAATCATAATGGCGGAACCAAGGGCCCTCTACGTCCAGGTCGGTTGGGAGGCGGGGCATGGAGTTCCACTGCAGGAATCTCCAGGAACCCTGAGGTCCTCCCTGAGCCAGGGCCGGGCTGGGCACACCCTGAGTGCCCACAGGGTAGGTGTCTTCCCGGACAGCCCCACCAGGACAGGGTGTGGAAGAACGAGGTGCCCGTGGCGGGGAAGCTGACCAAATGGGCCGCGGGAACCGGGCTGGTGGGCCTGGAGGGGCCTGTCTGTCCCCCTTGCAGAGGGTCTTCCCGCCACGTGAAGCCGGCACAGGCCTGGATGCCGACGACCCTTGCTCGGGTTTGGCTGAAAGGAAAACAGACGCGGTCAGCATCTCCAGTGAGCCCACGCAGGCCTTTCCGGGCTGGGCCCCACCTGCCTGCGTCTCTGGAGTCCTCGGGGTCTCTGTGTGGCCCCCGTGGCCTGACACCGAGGACACGCCTGTAGTCTGCTGATCCCAGAGGGAGGGGTGCATGCTGCCTGGCGTGGGGAAGCTGTCGTGGCATGGCGGGTGGCTCCTGGGACTGCCCCCAGGGTTCAGACTGGCTGGGGGCTTCCTGCCACACACCTTCGTCCCAGGGCTGTTGGGCCTGGGATACGGCCCCCAGTCAGAACTCAGGTGGGAGGGGCCTTGGATGTCACCCAGCCCCTTGTCACCTCACGTGGGGACCCGTCTCCGCAGTGGGTGATTGGGCCCGGACGTGGGTCACCCTCTGCCCTCCTGGGCTGCCCAGTCCATGCCAGGACTGACCGTTCCCACTTCTGGCTGAACTCTTGGCTCTGGCTCTGGGCCCGGGGTCCCGCCTGTGCCCTCTCCCTGAATGCTCTGTGGGTCAGGGACACGGATTCCCTTGTCTCCCTGGCTCCAGGCTTCTTGTCCTGGCAACCTTGGAGGAGCGTGCAGGAGTGAGGGGCCTCTGCTGCTCTCTGCGGCTGTGGGTGCTTGCAGGGAGGGGCGGGGTCTCCCACAAATGGGTCTGGGCTCGTCTAGTAACTTGGAGGGCCCTGCGAGGGGGAGAGGGAGACACTGTGGAAAGTGGGAGGGGGCTTGTTGGAGGGTCTTGCCCACATCCCCCTCCTGCGTGCACAGCATGTCCAGTATACACGCACTGAGCGCCTGCCCTGAGGACCGGTGGGCCTCCTGTACTTTCTTAGAGTCCAGGAGGAAGAGGAGGAAGAAAAGGTGAAGAGGAAGGCCCAGGTAGTAGGGTTGCGGGTCCCGGGCACTCCCCTACTACTGACTACCCCAGAGGGTGACATGGGAGGGGACATGGCACTGGAGCCCACCTGGGGGTGGCAGGTCCCCCTGCTTTCTTGTTAGTTTCTTCATAGAGGCCCTAAGATGCTTGAGCACAGTGTCCTCATCCCTGGCCCAGGTATCAAGGAACCGGTTCCAAAAACTTGCCCACAGGCCACACCTGGACGTCTTCGTGAGGCGCTCTAGGGACAGGGTGGATATCAGGCCAGGGGAGTTACCTGGGAATGGTCACAGCTCATACCCCGTGGCCACTTCAGCCTCCTACTGGGCGGTGCCGGATCCTTTTTTGGCCACCGCAGGCGTCCAGATATACACAGGAGACTGTGGCTGGGGGGCGATCCGGACAGGGAAGTGCTCACCACACTCTCGACTTTCATCTGGGTCATGTGAGGGATGGGCTCGGTGTCACAGTGTCCTGCCCAGCCCACCTGGCCGGACCTCCCTCTGGGCCAGAACAGCGGATCATGAGGACAGTGTGAGGAAGCTGCCCTCGGGCCAGTCGGGGTCTGACCCCAGGGCTCCCCAGGCCCCGCTGGGCACACGTAGACTTACTCTGCTGAACCTTAAAGGCGATTCTTGTTATCGGCATCAACGCCTGTTCGCCTTCTACCAGATACACGTCCCACAGGCGCAGGGTGAGCCCGAGAGAGATCTGTGGGGACAGCAGGTGTGAAAGAACCTGGTCCTTCCAGGCTGGGGCTGGTGGCTCGAGCTGCGCACACTGGGGCTTCAGTCTCCAGAGTCAGTGACCTTCCCCATGAGGGTCGCCTGAGCCCTCCAGGACGCTGGGTCAGACAAGGTCTTGAAGCTCCTCATGGGGGGCACTCATTTGAGTGGGGATGTGGCTCCTGGAGCGAGGGGCTTGCCCAGGGCTTGAGGCTTCCCTGAGCCCTCTCAAGTCGGGTCCTGGCCCAGTCTGCCCATGAGGCTGGGCCTGAGCCCCAGCCATTGCCCTGGGATGACCCCTCTTGGGCAGAGGGTTTTGCTTGTGTGTCCTTTGGGGACCCGCCTGAGCCTCCTGTGGGCTGGGAGTGAGCCAGACCCCCGGGCTGGGGAAGCAGGGCACTGCAGGGCAAGGAAGGTCCCTGAGCCAGGGTCTCCCTATGCCTCCTTACCCCGTCAATCAATATCCGGATGAGGCAGCCTAACGGGGAACACTGCCCACATAGATCTTTCTTGTCCTGATGGAAGCAACAGAGGTGCTCAGGCCACTGGGCTGCCCTAAAAACCTCCCTCTTCTCGGGTCTCTGAAGACCCTTCCCCTAGTGCAGAACACTGGGCGGTGTCCAGAGCTCCCCACAACACTGTCACCTTCCCACACTCCCGGTGGACACACTGCCCTTTGCCCTGCTTTGCGGGAGCTGGGCCCCCATCCCTGTGCCTCTGTCTCCTCCAGGGCAGGAAAGGAAACCAACTGCTAGCCCATGGAGAACCCGACGTCCCAGGTCAGGCCCTGGCTGGGACTCAGCCAGTCACCAGCCCCACGAGGGGCTCCAGCCCCGCTGCTCCTACAGCCCCACGGGAGGCAGGGCCTCTGGGAAGAGCTGAGGGGACCATGAACTCACCTGATGCCCCATGGTCTTGGGTTGTGACGTGGCTACCTCATGCTCCTGTTGGTCTTGGAGCCCCTGGATGGTCCCGCCATTTGGGCTGTGAAATCCTGAGAAGCCCCCAGCCCATCATGAAATCAGAGCCTTCCCCCAAGATGTGGAGCCATCAGCTGCAAGAGCTGGGCAGCTGGAGAGGCCCCCAAACCCCAAGGCCTCCCACCCTCCCCTCTGGTGACCCCAACATGCGGCCTTTACCCTGGGGAGGTGGGGCGGGAACATTCCCTGGAGCCTGGCTGGAGGTTCCCCTGGAGGCCTCCTGGGCCAGGGTGCAAAAAGGGCAAGCCTGACTTTCAGGCCACGACAGGGTGGCCGGAACTGGGTGGGCGCTGGGCTTCCCGGTCATCTCCTGGTAGTGGGGTCGGGCCAGGGAACAGGGGATGGGGAGATGCTGCCACCTGGGCTTGGTCGGCCCATTCGTGGGCACCGATGGCAGCAGGAGCCCGGGCAGCTGGAGGGCAGGAGGACTCTCAGGGAGGGGAGAGTCAGCTGCACAGAATCAGAGCCAGAGGGCGTGGCTCCAGGACACAGAGGGTGGCCACGGGGAGGATGAGATGCCCTCTGCTGATGGGGATGAGAGGCGTCTGATTTGGGCTTTGGGGGTCAGCCGTGGACTCCTGTGGGACCCTCAGCAGAGACATCCTAAAGTCTCCCAACAAGCTGGCGACACAAGGAGGGTGCCTTGGCTGAAAGCTGTGATCACCTGGTCAGGGTGGCCATCCCCAGGTCTGGCTGCAGGAGGTCCCCGGGGCAGCTGTTCACTTACCCTGCAGGGAGTGCCTCTCACTGGCCAGCAGCTGCACCAGTGCCCAGAATGCATCCTCCTCAGGAAGATAAAGGAGGAACAAGGCGGCGATGTGGCTCAGGTCCCTGCAGTAGCCCACCTCCTGCAAGAGCCAGAGTCACCATGGAAGGACATCACCTGGGAGGGCTGAGGTCACCTGGGAGGACTCATGTCATTGGAGAGAGCAGAGGTGACTGGAGAGGCTTCCTCTGAAGAAGAGGCTTCCTCTGAAAAAGAGGCTTCCTCAGGATGCACATTCATTTCATGACAAGAGCCAAGTCCATCAGGCACTTCAGCACCTTGTCCAAAATGTCTGCTGATAGCACCATCCTGTGTGCGATGCTGCCAAGCTCATGGGCTTTGGGGCAGCCCCAGGAGGAGGGCGTCATTTCTTGTTCTGAGAAGTGGTGGTCAGGCCCAGGTGACACCAGGAGTCCGGGCCCTGACTCCTTTGTGTCTCAGCTTGACCCCTTGAGACCACCCCCTTGCTTGAAGGTTTATGCCATCGGTGAGCTGGAATCCTACCTCCTATATCCTGGTGGGTCACAAATACTAACTTTAAAAGAAGCAACGACACCCCCACCAGACACCCACTCCTGTCAATATGGAAATATGGCCCGGGAACCTCACTGCCGGGAATACTCACCAGGTTATTCTCCGAATATGCCAGGAGGATGTAGAATAGTTCCCGCTGCCTAGGAAACAGAGAAAGGGGGCTTTGGTTTGTTTTGTGCAGATGTTGTTAATTTCACTTTGTCTACAAATCCTAACAGCAAATCCCATTTCA
This sequence comes from Homo sapiens, assembly GCF_000001405.40. Classification (NCBI taxonomy): domain Eukaryota; kingdom Metazoa; phylum Chordata; class Mammalia; order Primates; family Hominidae; genus Homo; species Homo sapiens. The sequence continues at coordinate 36,454,773 of NC_000017.11, forward strand.
GGTTCAGATGATTCACCAGATAAGCAGTGAGCTCTTCAGGGCCTGAGACTGTTGAAGAAAAGTTTCAGTAAAATCCACATCTGTGACATGCAAATAGTCCTGTTGTACAGTGACTTGCCTGATCCTTTTCACTCTGAATGATTTTTTTTTTTTCAGTTTGCACACACGCCAGTTCAGTCTGTGGGTGTACAGTTCCTCCACGGTTCCAAACCAATGTGCAGAGTCTCCCGGCCACCGCTCCAGCCCCTCCTGGGGCGACTCCTTCATCCTCCAAGTCTCCAGGGTGGCCCCTATGCACCCAGCCTCTCCCCGATCCGTCAGCCCCTGGCCACCCAGACTGCTTCTCAGTCCCTGTGGTTTGGCCTTTTCCAGAATGGCCTAGGAATGGGAATCCTACGGTGGTAGCTTATTGGGTCTGGCTTCTGTCCCTCAGCAAAATGCATCTAGGATCCACCCACATTCGTGCGGGCATCACTGGCTCGTTCCCTTTTCTCACTGGGTCTTCTGTTTGAAGGGAGGACCAGCCTTGCTCTCCCCATCCCCGTGTTGAAGGCCGTCCCCGAAGGCTCCGTGTGTGAGTGACGAGGAATCAAGCAGTGAACCTGGCATGCAGGTTTCATGTGGATGTCAGTTTCCAAATCAGTGGGTTCAATATCTGTGACACTTTGGGGATGTGTGGTTCAAGTCCATTGAGCTTTGTGAGCCACTCCCAACTGGCTGCCAACGTGGCTGTGCCATGTCATGTTCCCAGCAGACCTGGATGAGAGTTTCCAGGACCCCTAATTCTCCCAGCATTTGGTGCTGTCATTATTGCCTGGGGGAGCTCATGGGCCCTCTATCCTGCCACCCTCCCGTGGGTCCTACCATGGGTCCCCATGGGTCAGGGAGAGCACCCTTCACCATTGTGCATGATTTTGTTTGCTGCCTTCCATCTCCTCAGGATCCTCCTGGGTTCTGGCCCCACATGTTCCAGTCTGGCCCAGGGCTTGGAACCAGGGAGGTGCTCGGTTCATGGTGCCGGCTGCTCCCTGGGTCGGGACAGTTCTTGGCACCTGTGTCATCCCTCCTGGGTGACCCTGGCTTCTACTCCAGGGAAGCCCCCATCCCTCTCATTCACCCCATCTCTGCTGGGACCCTGTGGCTCCCGTAGGCTTACTTGGTTCCGTATCGATCCCTGAAGAATATATGCTTCCTTAATGTCCCGCTTACGTCCAGGTCGATGTGGTGGATGTGTTCAGATGACCTCTTGCCCTTCTCCTTCATGATCTGTAGGGCAGGGCCAAGAGGAGGAAGCAGCCTCAGAACAGATGGAAGGCTCCCTGCCCCCAGTGGCAGTCAGCCCACAGTCAGCACTTTGGGAAGGAAGGACAGAAGGAAGGTTTCTTTGTGCAGAAAGCTGCTTTTTGGCTTGTTACTGAAGCCGGGGAGGGTCACCAGAGCCCAGTTTGTCTGTGGTGACTGTGTCACCATCTGTGCCCAGGGTGTTCATCTGACCTTTGCCCCCACCCCCTCCAGGGTGTGCTTGACGTTCCCTCCAGCTGGAGACCTGGGCCCCTGACACGGCCTGTCCTGTTTGTTATGCTCTGGCTGAGCGTACCTTGTATTTTCTGGGGTTTTTCGACTTGATTTCCTGAATGTTCAGGAGGACTGACCACACCAGGCCCCGGATGTTCATGGGAATGCCCTTGTACACTAGATCTATCAGCTGTGTGCAAAAAACAATCTGGTATCACAGGCCACCGGGTGACCCCAGTGAAGACCAGAGCCCAAGGATTCTGGAAATTGTCGGTTTTGGCCCCATGATTCCTCGGTAGAGGTGAGATCAAGCTGGGACAGGGCCTCTCTTCCCAGGACTGAGAGTGGATGGACACTCAGAGTCAAAACTCTGATCTGAACCTTTTCCTTCCTTCAGGTCACCAGGGCATCCCTAGCCTTGAGCTCCGGGTAGTCCCAGCCCTAGATTCAGATTCCCTCCCAGCAAGGTGACGCTTGCACGAATAGGCAGGAAATCTGGCGACCAGGCCTGCAGTCCTCTGGGCGAGGACAGTGTGCCACCCACCCTCTGAGAGGCTGACGGTGCCAGGCCACAGCCATGGGTGCCTGTCCCCTGTCTCTGCAGAGAGTGCTTCCAGGGGCCTCTCCCTCCACACATTACTTTGGTACTGTTCTTATATGTCTCCCATTCTCCCAGCATTTCCATCCACTTGCTCGTTCGTCTCATCTCCCACCACATTTGCTGTCAAATGAGGTATGTTGGAGTTAGTGGAGCTGCCAGGCTTTCCAGAGCCACCCGTGGATGCTGGGTCTTGGGCTCTGGACCCCTGGTGGGAGCCAGCTGGAAGGAGCCAGGGAAGGGCAGACCTCAATGGCTGAGAGCCTTTGAGCAAATGAGCACCAGTGGGCTGGCTTTGGGACCTGGGGACATGCCATCCTCAGGCCACAAACACACCAGTCTTAGGTCCCAGCCTCTAGGTGGGGTCCTGACACAAGCGGGCAGCCACTCCCAAGCCAGGACTGTGGTTCTCACTTTGGAATTTTATCAAACTGCCAAAGTCACAGCAACCTGGGGTCAGGTCCAGCAGGGACTGCTGCCCCTCCCAGTGACAGCGTGTTGCCCTCACCCACCACCGCCCAGGCCAGCTGCCTCCTCTGCCTCACCGACCACCTGCCCAGTCCCTACATCCCTGGACCAGCCCCTCCATGCATCAGGTTCTTACCTTCACCTCCCACGCAGTCAGAGGAGGCAGCTCCGTCTCACTGTAAGACAACCCAGGCAAAGCTGAGGACCTGCACAGGGCCTGGAGCCATCCCAGACTGGGAGCCAATCCCCAGAAAGGACTGGCTCTGTCCCTATCCAGCTCAGGGCTCAACCCAGGAGAAGGCACAGGGAAGGGAGGACAAGGGCCTTCCTGTGGGGCTGACTCCCAGAAGGGGCAGGACCTGGGAGAAGAAGGAGTGTAGGGACAGCCTGGCTGGGGTTACTGGGGCCCCTGGCGTGGGGGGCGGTCAGGCTGCCCAGTGGGGCTGCCCGTCCTGGACTCGAGGTGGTGCTTTCTGCTGGAGCTGAGAAAGGTTAGCCCTGAGGTGGGATGGGGGCCGCCCAGGGTGGGCGACCGGGCCCTGACAGGAGTCCCTCAGGGAGTGACCACATCACCCTGCCAGGGTCAAGGGAGCCTGCCCTGAGACCTGCCCGGTGTACTCTGGGTGCCCCAGGGGCCCATCCCCCATGACAGCCCCAAGGCCCTTGCAAGTTCTGACCTCCCAGCATCCACCTGCCTCTCCCTGCACCAGAGCCACACACCCTGCATTTCAGAAGTGGCACGGCTCATCAGCTCCCTCCCACCCTACCTCCCCAGGGATCCTCTGTCTCTCCATCCTATGATCCCTGAGGGATCATCGATCCGGTCTCTACTAAAAATACAAAACTTAGCAGGGCATAGTGGCACGCACCTGTAATCCCAGCTGCTCAGGAGGTTGAGGCAGGAGGATCACTTGGACTCGGGAGGAGGAGGTTGCAGTGAGCTGAGATTGTACCACTGCACTCCAGCCTGGGCAACAGACTGAGATTCCATCTAAAAAAAAAAAAAAAAAGTTTTCTGGGCACCACATTCCAAGTTTATGTAGTTTTCAAGGAAAATAGAATACTGGGCCCTTCGTAGTCCAGGCCTTAGCTTTGAGTCTATAAAAAAAAGTGCGTTAGCCAAGCACTGTGGCTCCCTGTTGTAAGAAGTCCCAGCTACTCTGGAGGCTGTGGTGGGAGGATTACTTGAGCCCAGGGGTTTGAGTCCAGCCTGGACAATATAATAAGATCATGTCTTTTTAAAAAAAGGTTTATTTATTTTTTTAGTTATTAAAAAGTAGAGATGGGGTCTTGCTATATTGCCCACGCTGGTCTGGAACTCTGCCTTCAAGTGATCTTCTTGCCTTGGCCTCTAAAATTGCTGGGATTACAGGTGCGAGCTATTGCACCCAGCCAAAAAGCTGGTGCAATAAAAATTCCATCTACACTCTACCTTTTTTTCCAATACTATAGCATAATAACTATATTTTCCTTTGTTTGGTGAGGCAATCTCCGTGTCCTCTGGTGTGTGGTCTCTGCTATTACTAAGAGAGTCAATAATCTTTACTTAGTTGAAGTACAGGTCTGTCTCTTATGGTCTTAGGCCAATTGGCCCAGGACAGTCCTCACCACAACCCTGAAGGAGGGGCTGTCTTGACCCCCTTTTTCTAGCTGGGGACACTGAGGCTGAGGAAGGTGAAGGGATTCGTTCCTGTGTTGTACTTGACATGTGAGCTCAGGACAGTGTTGGTTTCTCCAAAGCCCACCGCAATCCTCTGCCTGGTCCTCTTCTGCCCAGTGCCCCTGGCCTTAAGCCATGGTGGATTTCTGTTTAGGGCATGCGTCAGACCCTTCCTTGAGCTACAGACATCGGAGTACAGGGCCCCGGCTCCCTTGTTTCTGCTCCACATACAGAATGGGTCCAGTAGCACTGAACCCAAATCTGGCATTATCTGGTCTACAAATACCCTCCCTCTCACTGCCCTGCCACCCCAGGTCTTGGAGGTACCAGAATACCCTATCATGTACTGGGAATCCCATGTGACTGGACTCATGATGTAGACCACACAAACCCAACCAAAGACCCCTTTCCGGCCATGCTGGGTCCCTGCCCACAAGGGGCAGGTTTCTGACTTGAGGTTGAGGGTAATCACCCAGGGTCGGCACAGGACATGAGGAAGGAGATGGAGCCTGGTGCCCCCACCTCAGACCCCAAGCCTCAGCTCCCTCCCTATAAAATGGCCTCCCAGTGGATTAAAAAGTACACATATAAAGCACTTGGTGCCAAGCATAGCAGATGCTCAGGGCACCTCAGAAGTTAACTGGGTTACTTATGAAAGAGGGTTTGCTGGAGCAGCCTGCTTGCCGCTCACCAGCATCCCTCTCATATCTGTTCCCATGGAGGTAGGGACAATGCTGAGGACTGGCTGGGCGAGGACAGAGGCTCCCGGGGTGGTGTGGGCGTCTGGTGGCAGCAACAGGGCTGCTGCAGGAGCATGTAGTGTGTGTCAAGTGGTAGTGGCACAGCTGCTCAGAGGGAACTGCCTGCCCGGCACTTCACTCTCATGCCCTGGCACTTCACTTTCATCATGAACTCATTCGTGCCTGTGCGCTGGATCTGCCATCATCCACATATGAGTTGAGCTCCCTTCCTTTGCCAGCCCTGGGTGAGGCACCAGGGGTAGGAGGGTGGGACAGGGAAATGACCAGGGCATCTCCCAGGCTTTCTGGAGCTCTCAGACCTCCCGCTTCTGTTTGGGCTGGCTGCCTCGTGTTCCTGCTATGAATTGTCATGCATGAGTGTTTCTGCCCCTTCATTTATGGGGTCCCCAGGCACTCCACTCCCACCCCATGACATCCCATTTTTCTGAGTCTCACAGCTTCTGCATTTTAGTTCACTTCTTTACGTTTGTGAGGTACATTCTCTGGAAGTTTCCTGGCAGAGGTACATGGAAGGTAAAGTTTTCAGACCCTGAACATCTAATGATATCTTTTTTCTACTCTTACATTTGATCAATATTTTGACTAGATATGTACTTCCATATGGAGATAGTTTTCCCTCCAACATTTGAAGTTTACTTCTGTATTCTTCCGGTGTTGCTGTGACAATATCTAGTCCCTAGGGGGTGGACTTCTTTTCCCCCAGAAGTTTTAGGATCTTTTGTTTATCCTGTAGGCATTTTTCAAAATTGCCAGTGCTGTGCTTTCTATGGTATTTTTTTCACGCATTATGTGGATATGTGGTATCAGTTCCTTCAGCTGGTAAACATATGCTCTTCCATTCTGGGGATTTACAAAAATTCGTTATAATAATTTCCTCCCTATTGTTTTCTCTTCCTAGAATTTCTACTAATACGAAGTTAATCAACTAACTCTTTTCGTCTCCTTCCTTCCTTCCTTTTCTTTTACTCCAATTCTCCTTCCCCTACCTCCAGCTAACTTCCTGGGAGATTTTTTCAACTTTATCCTCCAATCCTACTGAATTTTTATTAAACAGCTTAAATTATTTAAAACATTTTTCTTAAGAGATGGGGTCTCACTTGTTGCCCAGGCTGGTCTCAAGAGATCCTCCTACCTCAGCCTTCAGAAGCTCTGGGATTATAAGTGTGAGCCACCGCACCTGGCTAAACAGTTTAAATTCTAAAAGCTCTTTCTTTTTCTTAGACTAGTTCTTTCTTTCCATCAAATTGATTTTGTTTCTGTTTTTGTCTTTTTGAGACAGTCTTGCTCTGTCGCCCAGGCCGGAGTGCAGTGGCACAAACTTGGCTCACTGCAACCTCTACCTCCTGGGTTCAAGTGATTCTTGTGCCTCAGCCTCCCGAGTAGCTGGGATTACAGGACTGCCACCATGCCTGGCTAATTTTTGTATTTTTGGTAGAGATGGGGTTTCACCATGTTGGCCAAGCTGGTCTCGAACTCTTAGCCTCAAGTGATCCTTCTGCCTCGGCCTCCCAAAGTGCTGGGATTACAGGTATGAGCCACCACATCTGGCCTCAAAAAGGCTAACAATCTTTGACTATCTCTTCCTGTCTGGGGATGAGGCATTAAAAAGCTGCTCAGAAGTTCCAGCAGAAGGGGCTACTCCTAAGAGACACAGGACCAGAAAATACAGACTCAAAAGTAGGCCTTGGTGCGCTGGGGCTGCCCCTCATCCTCCACTGGGCCTTTGCATCTGTTCTAGGCTCACAGAGAGAGCAGAATGGGAAACGGGGACCATTCCAGGTGGTGTATGGAGGGTTGCATTTGCTCTGTGCACTGCCCAGTGTGATGTTCCTCAGCCTTACTGTAGGTCATCCAGGTGGTAGAATTATTCTGGTTTATACAGATGCTGAATTATTCTATTTGGCGGGAGCCTTGCCACCCTGGGCTTCAGGGAGACCCTCTCCCAGGGCCCCCTGGGTTTTTCCCATTCTAGCAGGCTTGCTGAATGCGTTTGGATTCACATTCTTCCCCAACAACTGCTGTCACAGCTCTGGATTGGCTACCGCAATGAGAAGGTAAAGCAACACTTTGTGTCTCACGACCTGAGGGCCCAGCAGGTGTGGCCGGCAGCCAAATCCCGACATCTGCACTTCCTCCAGGCTCCTGCCCCTCCCCACGGTGTGCCCAGCAGTCTCCTTTCCTCAGTGGATGCTGTTCATGTCCTTGCCATGGCTGCCAAGCCAGCCAAGAGGTAACATGTTGGTCCTCGGGCCACAGAAGCCCTCTTCTGTCCCTCCAGGAGGATTACTTTGTTAAGAGCCTGGAGTGGCTGTTTGTTAACTACCATAGTAACCATAGCAGTCTGGCTCTGAACAAGGGAACCCCATTAGCATCAGCTCCTTGATGGATGAGGTGGAGAGCAGGGGACAGGGAAGAGGATGTTGCTGAGAAGTTTGAAGAAGTTAGTCATTAGGAGTCTTGGTGACTGTCCCGTGCCCTCTCTGCCCTTCTGTCTCCCCTAATGTGTTCACTAATACCCACCTTTTCTGTCTCTTGGGGTCACTCTAATGTCCATGGTGACACTTGTTATTATCTATTGCCAGGGGACCCACAATGTGAGGACCATGAGGGAGGGGAGTTAGATCTTCCTGCCCCATGGTTGACAGTCCACCTCAACCATGGGGCAGAGCAGCCCCTCAAGGGGCTGAGCAGCACCATCTGTCTCAGACATCATCCAGGGTGTACCAGCAGGCACCCTAGAGAAGGAAGGGGGCCAGCTACAAGAGTCAAAAGCAACATGATTCAGTATGCAGCACAATCATTTTAAGAATCCTGATTCTGGGCTGGGCGAGGTGGCTCACGCCTGTAATCCCAGCACTTTGGGAGGCTGAGGCAGGTGGATCACTTGATGTCAGGAGTTGCAGACCAGCTTGGCCAACATGGCGAAACCCCATGTCTATCTAAAAACACAAAAATTAGCTGGGCATGGTGGTGGGCACCTGTAATCCCAGCTACTTGGGAGGCTGAGGTAGGAGAATCACTTGAATCCGTGGGATGGAGGTTGCAGTGAGCCAAGATCATGCCACTGCACTCCAGCCTGGGTGACAGAGTGAGACTCCATCTCAAAAAAGGAAAGAAAGAAAGGAAGGAAGGAAGGAAGGAAGGAAGGAAGGAAGGAAGGAAGGAAGGAAGGAAGAAAGAAAGAAAGAAAGAGAAAGAAAGAAAGAGAAAGAAAAGAAAAGAAAGAAAGAAAGAAAGAAAGAAAGAAAGAAAGAAAGAAAGAAAGAAAAGAAAAGAATCCTGTTCTGGGACAGCTCAACAGCCCTGAGGCCACCACCTGCTCTTTGCCATAGTGTGAACTCATCCCTGACACAGAGCCCAGTCCCCTGGGGCCCTGCTCACGGGGTCTAGCCAGAATGCTCTCCACAGCTCGAAATGGAACGGCCTAGCAGTTGGAGATGCCAGACGTGAGTTATTGAACACATCTGCCGAGACCAGAGACCAGGACACGACATTTGTATCTACCAAATGAGTGCTGGCAGCTAGCTCTGCTCCCCTGGAACATCCTCTCAAAACCCTTTTGCCTTGACTATTATCTCATCTCTCTCCTGGCCTGCACTGATCCTTGGCCGACTCTAAGAAGTCACCCGTGGGGGCCTGGGGCAAGACAGGTCATGGTTCTGGGCACCAGCACTGCCATCTGGCTGCTTCTTCTGGCCTCTCTTTGCTGGACTAGTGCCTGGCCCAATATCATGCCATCATGATCACGCTCAACTCGAGGGATATCATTTACTCCTTCAAGGGCAAGATTCTAGACCCCTCACTGCAGAGCCCTTCACTGGGGACACCCGGTCTTCTTTGCCTGCTTGGACATTGAGGGTGGAGGGAGGAAGGGGTTGTGGGCATCCATAGAAGCTGTGGGGGGCATCCAGAAATAAGGGAGAGAGGCATCTTCACTGCTGGCGGTGTGCGGGACCAATTCCAGGGATTGTCTGACTGCGCTCCCCCCCACCACCCCATAGGTAGCAGGGTCTGCTGGGCTTGGATGCCAGTGGGAAGAATGCGTTCTTCGAGAGTGAGTGGACCCTCCTCTGGGCTCACTGGAGGGGACGGGTCTGGAGCAGGCAGAGTGAGCCGCTGCTTGCGGGATCCGGGATGGAGCTCAGGAATGGAGCTCCACACTCTCCCAGCTGCCTGGCCCGGGACAAGCATTGGCCCTTTCTGGGCCTCCTCAGGAATCTCCAACCTCCGAGGCGATTCTAGTTTAAGCCTGATGAGGCAGACGTGCATCCGGGCGGATGATTAGCCGGTGTGGGCGCGGCCTGGAGCGGGCCCAGGCTGGGGAGTGGCGGCTGCACGCGGTGACGACTGTGTGTTCGCTGAGTCAGGGCCCGGAGCGCTTCAGCACCGCGGCTTGGACAGCGCCCCGGGGCAAGCGGGTGGCGCTCTCCCTACAGGGACAAATGACCCCAGGGCCGGCATTTCTGACCTAGAGAACGGGCCTGGATTGCTCTGGCGGGTTCTGAGCCTGGGGTTGGGGGCGGGTGGGGAGCGGACGAAGTGGGGGCGGCCTTTGGAGACGATGGCAATTTACCGCCTTAGGCGGGCAAGCGCACGAGTCCCGGGAACCCTAAACAGGTTGGGGTGCCCCTTGGGGTCTAGATGAGGCCCGGGCTTGCGATAAAGCGTGGCGGCGTCTAGACATAACGTCCCATCTCCTGAACCCGTCAAGGCCGGTGGCACCCAACCTGGCGGGCTCATCTAGGACCAGTCCACACCCAAGGCCCCAAGACCCAAAACCTCCTGGGCTGGGTCTGCCTGGCTAGGGGCCCCTCATCCTGGGCTCTACTCTTTTGGCGCAGAGGCCATGTGGCAGGCCCCTGGTCTGCGCCCTGCTCAGCTTCCCCTCCCCACCCCGAAAAGTGGAGAGCCCCACGGCTTCCCCAGAAAAGCAGTCTGCTCCCCGCGCCCCAGCGCAGCTCGTTTACTATGGGTCAGGAGAGGAATCCCGCCTTTTTTCCGCAGCGAGGATGGCCTGGGCTCCTGCGCGAAGCGAGGCTCCGTCCTGGAGAGGCTCAGTGACCCGGCAGTGGCGCCGATCCGGGTTAGCCAGGGCCGCGCTGGGACCCGCGGAGTCGCGTGATGCAAACGGGAAGGCGGGAGCAACCCAGCTCCTTCCCGGTGCTGCCTGGCTGCTGCATAAGCCGCCCTTTCTTCCCTGACAAACACTGTCCAGATGGGCAACAGGTCCGTGTCTCCTTTGGCAGCCACTGTCTCCAGAAAGGCATTGGGCAGTTAAGGTGGTCAGAGCCCTCAGGTAAATCCTCCCTCTCCAGGAGTCAGCCCTTCCAGCTGCGGGAGGGCAGGTAGTGGGATGCGGGACCTTCGCAGGGCTGGGAGATGTCATCAACTTTTACCCTCACATGGGGAGAGTGGGAGTGCTGGGCCTGGCGGTCCTCTTACGTCCTTACTGTGCAGCTTGGGATTCTAGGTTGGAAGGAGTCACCCTACTGCTCAGTCAGCTCTATTTGCCACCTGCCCAAGAAGACCCATGGGAATGGAGGCTACAAGACACTCTAGGGCACAGTGACAAGGAGGGATTGATTCCAAGACTCCTTGGAAGAACCAGATCCCTGAGCTTCTCAACAAAACAAGGGGCCACCTCTGGTCTTTGCCCTCCAAAGGGGAAGGCAGGAAAATTGTTAGAGGCAGATTGGCAGGAGGGGCCTGTGGAGTGTGCAGGGGGCCAGAGCCAGTTCCTAGAAGTTGAGCAAGGGGATATGGGCACCAATGCACACAACTGTGCACTGGGGGCCTCTGTCTCCTATCCCCTGGTCCCAAGGATGTCATGATGGTTTGACCTGTCTTCTAGGACATTCTCTAACTAGGGCAGCAGCCATGCCTGTTGACCTGGTGAAACAACTCCAGCCCTGGTACCCTGTGACATGACCCAGGAGGTGGTGACCATATGTGGTAAGTGAGTTGGGAAGCAGAGTGGAGGATGAAGAGGACCACCACAGGCGCCAAAACAGCAGTCTCAGTGCAGGGGACCGGGCTCTGGGAAGCAAGGGGCTGTGGTCCTCAGTGATGCTTCTCGGCTCCCAGCTAGAGCTGCAGGAAGTTGTGGACAAATTCAGCCAAGGACTCTGAAACTCAGGTGAAATAAATAAAGAGAGAGAGAGAGAAAGAGAGAGAGAGAGAGAGAGAGGAAGGGAGGAAGACAGAGAGAGGCAGAGGCAGAGACAGAAAGAAAGAATTTCAAAAGATGCAGGCGAATCAGCCCTCCTTCTGCCCCCTGAGCCTGTGTCCTGGACTGAGTCTGAGATGGGAGGTGAGACGCTGCTGGGCCTCCCACCAATCTTAGTTTCTGTAGGTATTTCTCCAAAGTATGGGTTGGTTGAGGGTTGGTTTAAAACATGTTTCTGGCTGGGCATGGTGGCTCAGGCCTGTAATCCCAGCATTCTGGGAGGCTGAGGCAGGCAGATCACTTGAGCCCAGGAGTTGAAGACCAGCTTGGGCAACAAGGTGAAATCCCGTCTCTACAAAAAATATAAAAAATTAGCCAGGCGTGGTGGTGCATGCCTGCAGTCCCAGCTACTCAGAAGGCTGAGGTGGGAGGATGGCTTGAGCCCAGAGGGTGGAGGCTGCAGTGAGCCTAGTCTGGGTGACAGAGTGAGACTCTGTTTCAAAAAAACAACAAAACAAAAAAACCGCAATGTAGTTTCTGACTTTCATGCTGACTGTAGAACTTAACTTTTATGAAGAAACATAATATATTTCAGAACTTTATAGCAACTCTGGTGGCACTGCAGAGTCAGGTCATTCTTCCTGGACTTCTGTCCACTTCCATTATGGGATGTCTCCACTGAGCGTTGCCTACATCATCTCTGAATTTGAGGCCTAAAGTGTGACCAGATTTAATCAAATCCTGCTTGGAAAATATAGGCCCATTCAATGGTGATCCATTCTGGCTAAAGACTTTTTTTTTTTTTTTTTTTTTTTTTTTGAGACGGAGTCTCGCTCTGTCGCCCAGGCTGGAGTGCAGTGGCACAATCATGGCTCACTGCACGTGATCCTCCTCTGCCTCCCAGTGTCAAATTATCCTCCCACCTCAGCCTCCCAAGTAGTTGGGACTGCAGGTACACACCACCACACTCAGCTAATTTTTATATATTTTTTGTAAAGACGGGGTTTTGCCATGTTGCCCAGGCTGGTCTCTAACTCCTGGGCCCAAGTGATCCTCCTGCTTTGGCCTCCCAAACTTCTAGGATTACAGTCATGAGCCACTGCACCTAGACTAGAATCTCTTTGACTGTTTAAATGAATTACAAGATAATTGGCATTTTTAGTACATAGGACTAACATTCCATCATTTATGTACTCTTTAAAGTTTTTCAAATTGTTGTATAATTTCCCCCACAAAGTTTTCGGATAGCAATCTTACAGATTCCCCTGAGAATGTTGGAAGACAATGGTGGGACTACCCAGGCAAAGCCAGAATAAAATAAGGTTTACAATTCTGGCTGAGAAAGGAAGTAGGATTAGGCATGTAGTTAAAAGGGAACCAAATTTTGGTATTTAATAAATAAAAATTTGCCGAATGATGTGATCTTTGATTATGTCTATCTTAACTATTCGAAAAACCAAAGCAACCATTTGACAGTAGATCAATGTCAAGTTTTCTTTCCACAAGGAATTTGACACCTGGACTATTCCGTGTGTCTGAAACATTATCTACACAGATAAAGGTGAAGGCCTGAATTGCCCATGTTAGCCTGTCTACACTCCTGGAAATCAATCTTCCTTGCTTAGGGCTTTAGCAAGACTCTCCCCACCCTAGCCTGAGTCTCCTGGGAAAAAGAGGAATTCAGGCAGGAGGACACAAGCGGTGACTTAGCATGCAGCAAAAAGAGGTGCAAGGGCAAAGAAAAAAGGCAGTGGGGAAGCAGTGCCAGGCCTGGCATGGGTGAAGTAGAGGTGCCTTGCAGAAAGAGAGGCTGGAGCCACACTGTGAAGGGCCTTTACCGCCATGCTGAGCCATGGGTGACACAATCAGAGCCATGTTTAAAAAATATATATCTACAACATCATGTGAAGTTGGAGGTTGACTAGAGAGGGCAATACCCAGGTTAGGAACCTCTACGTGAGGTGCTAGTGAACCCTGGAGAAATTCACCAGAGGAGTGAACTTGTCAGATCCACATGTTCAGAAACATCACCGCTGGCAGCAATAGGGTGGCAAAAATGACTTTCTCAATGCCCTAAGGGATCCTGGTGGAGCTTCGCAGGGCTGCAGTGAATGAGGGATCCAGGGAGGTGTTTGGGACTCCATATCCTATCCCTGATTACAGAAGAGTGCTTTCTTCTGTTTAAAGATTTATCTAGAGATATTAATTTTAAAAAGATTGAAAACTACTGCTGCAAAAACAAAGATTGGGGCCAGGTGTGGGGGCTCACGCTTTTGTAATTCCAGCACTTTGAGAAGCTGAGGCAGGAGGATCGTTTGAGCCCAGGAATTCAAGTCCAGCCTCGGCAGCAAAGCAAGACCCCATCTGTACAAAAAAAATTTTTAAGTAGCCAGATGGGTGTCACACACCTGTAGTCCCAGTTACCTGGCAGGCAAAGGCAGGAGCATTGCTTGACCCAGGAGTTCCAGGCTGCAATGAACTACGTTCATGCCACTGCACCCCACCCTGGGCAACAGAGCAAGGCTCTGTCTCTAAATACAAAACAAAACAAAACAAATTAAAAAAAAAAAGAGAGAGATTGGAGTGGATAAGACCAAAGGCAAAAAAAATCCAAGGAGAATGAGCAAAATACAATAGGTTGAGGACCTAGAAAGGGTCTCTGAGAACAGAGAAGGGTCAGATTGAAGAAAGACAGGCTTGAAAAAACTTGGGAAGCAATCAGATGTGAGAAGTGAAGGAAAGGGGTCTAACCAGGGAGTTGGTGAGGACAGCTACCAATAACTGAAAACTTACTAACAGCCAGGCACTTATTCATAGTGTCTCGTTTAATTCTTGCAAAAAAGCCTGTGACAGTGGTATTATTTCCACTTACTGATGAGGAAACAAAGGCTTCAGGGAATAAAGAAACTGGTCGAAGCTCCACAGCTAGAAAGTGTCAGAGACAGACTGTGAACCCAGGTCTAACTCTAAGGCTGTGTTACACACTAGGAAGTAGGGAGGATGAGGAGAATAGAGAGGAGAGCGAACCCCAAATGTGGACAGATGGTTCTAGCGAAGCAGGGTATTTCCCTGACCGCTTCGCGGGATTTGCAACAGGAGTGCCTCATTTACTCAGCCGGCAGCTCTCAACATCCCGTGGGAGGGAATGCATGAGTGAATGAGGCAGGAACTGGAGTGCACAAGTGCTGGAACCAGCTGGCCACTTCGGTGCTGGCAGGAGCGATCTTCACTCACTTGGACCACCCCTTGCAGGAGGGAGCACACAGGTGAGTGGGTGCAGGATCTGGGGAGAGTGCTTTTGGGCGCCGGCAGGAGCAAACTCTGTGTGGGCTCCACAGCAGCATCTAGGCAGGAGGGTTCCTGTGGCCCCTGAAGCCCCAGAGGGCGTGTTACGGTGTTCTTTTAGCTCTTCTGTCCATGGATGGCTTAAGCATTAACAGCTCAGTGGACCCTCTGCCTTTTCACATGAGGCGGCTGCCTTCCACCAGCGAGGGCAAAGGGCCAGTGTGACAGCCTTTTGTATCTGCACTCGTAGCTCCCAGGCTCTAGTCCAGCATCCAGGAAAAATGAAGTTGCATGAATGAATTGAAGGATGGTAAATGCGGGGATTTTACGGCTGATTAAAGTGGCCCTCAGTGGCTCTCAGTGGGAATGGGAGCTGAAAAGGGGTCAGGGGGGTGTAAGTGATCCTCCCCTGAAGTCCGGCCATCTCCAGCTGATTCTTCTCCAAAGTTACGCTGTCAGACCGTCCCTCTGAAGTCAAGCCATTTCTCTCTGACATTCAGCCAGAGTGCCTGATGTCCAGCTCCTTCTTTCTGATGGCTGAGTCTGGGGTCTTTATAGGGACAGGATGGGGTGGAGCAGGGCCATGTGTAGTTTAGGAAAAGGCAACATTTGAGCAGGAAAACATCGATAGAAGTTCTCACTTTGGGTCTCAGGCTTTTTGGCTTGAGTCGGGGGGGCTTCACCGGGGACCCCCCCGCCAACCCCGTGTCTGCCTAGAATTTCTCGGCCTCCTGTAGCTATCATTTCCCCCCTCTGAAGATGCACATCTAACTGCTGTTAGGATACAGACAATGACCGATCTAAGCTGCTTCCTGCAGAGAGGGGGCATTGTTTTGGGGAGAAGAGCAGTCAGATTCTTCCCAGAGGTCTACCTAAGGGTCCCCAGCAAAAGGGAGCCATCATCCAGGGCTCTGCTTGCCTTGACCATTTGGAGTTTGATGGTCTCTAGGTGAGAAGAAACAAGTTCTACAAGGTTAAGTATGCATGAATCAAATATGTGTATTATACAAAAAGGGGTTAAAAGGAAAGAATCTAGTGGCAAAGTTTACAGAAATAAGAAGTAAAATATACAAATTATTCTGAAAACAACATTATATCCTGTGGTATAGAACAGAGCAAAGGTAAGAACAGCAAGCATAGCCAAGACTTTTAAGGAAGATATCCATGGAAGGTTAATTATTAACACTTATCTTTTGTGATTCTTAGCTTGAGGTCCCTGATCTCTTCACATTGGTACTTTGAGTGCTCTTCTGGGTTAATGGAGGTAACTCCATTAGCTTCCTAGGCCCTTACTAGGGTATAATGAATCCAAGAATCTATTCCAGTGACCTTCACTGCCATAGGAGTAGAAAGAAGTACAGTGTAAGGTCCCTCCCAATCTGGGCTTATAGAGGGACAAAGGGAAGGAAGTACCTTTACCAGTACTAGGTCCCCAGGGTTGAATAGAGGTGGTCCTGGTTCATGGGATTGTGCCTCTCTGACAGTTGTTTCAGTTCCTGTTGGAAATGGGCCAAAGAAGTGATATGTTTAACCAAATCAAAGGTTTCTTGGTCTAGCAAGAAATCATTGGTGAGAAAAGGCCATCCATACATCATTTCAAAGGGATTCAAACCTAGCCTTGAAGGGGTGTTTCTAATACATAGTAGAGATATGGGCAGAAGGGTAGTCCAGGGGAGGTGAGTCTCCTGAGGTGTCTTTTGATAATATCATTTGTCTTTTCTACCTTTCCTAAGAATTGTGGTCTCCAAGCACAATGAAGAACCATCTTCATTGTACTGTATGCCTAGTGCCTTTGAGATCCCC
This sequence comes from Homo sapiens, assembly GCF_000001405.40. Taxonomy (NCBI): domain Eukaryota; kingdom Metazoa; phylum Chordata; class Mammalia; order Primates; family Hominidae; genus Homo; species Homo sapiens. The sequence continues at coordinate 36,471,029 of NC_000017.11, forward strand.
TGGGTGACAGCCGCATTGAACAAGGGGCCATTATCACTCTGGAGGTACTTAGGGAGTCCAAAGCGAGGAATTATCTCATTAATTAGTAAACCTTACATCCTCTGTTAGCCAGAAAATTAAGAAGAGCCTTACTGCCCTCCTGAGAGATTTTTTTAGTTAGAGTGCAGAGGAGAATGTCATCTACATATTGTAAAACTTTCACCTGAGGATAAAGGAACTTGGAGAAGTCTCTTGACCGTGCCTGCCCAAAAAAGTGGGGGCTGTTTCAGAATGCCTGAAGTAACACTATCCAGATTAACTGGGTGGTCTGGTTAGAGGGATCCTCAAATGCAAACAAATACTGGGGGTTTATATAACAGTATGCAGAAGAAGCATACCATTATATCTTTAGGTCCAGGACTGTGAACCTTTTAGTTCCCTCAGGTATGTGAGCTAGCAAGGTATACAGATTGGGAGCCACTGGGTGAATTGGAACCACAGCCTCATTAACAAGATGAAGGTCCTGAACTAGTCTCCATTCCCCTTTGGGTTTTTGTACCCCCAATATTGGGGTATTACAAGGGCTGTTGCAGAGTTTGAGGAGGTACTGCAACCTTAAGTTATCAATGATGGCTTCTGGTCTTTTCTTAACTTCTGGTTTCAGGGGCTATTGTGTCTGGTTCAGACTGGTATGGTGGTTGTGGCTCTGCCAATTTTCCCTTGAGTTACCCAAACTTCTGGGTTAAAATCAGTCTCCACTAAGGGGAGACAAAGAGTTTGTCCTGGGGCCATCAGGATGGTGGTTCCTACACGGGCCACAATACCCCTACCCAACAGAGTATTTGGCCTTTCAGGCACAATTAGAAAGGCACAGGTGAACAAGAGGTCTCCCCAACTACAACTAAGGGGTTGGAAAAAATATTGGGTTTAAGGCCTTCCTGGGATGCCCCTCACAGTCATGCTAAGAGAGGACAGGGGGCTTGAATTGGAGATGAAAACCGAGAGACCAGCCCCAGCGTCCAGAAGGAGGTCCACTTTCCTCCCTTCCATATCCAGAATTGTAAATTCTGGGGCTCCTGGATGGTAATGGTGGTCTGGACCACCGGAGCCAGGGAGAGGAGCCCCAGGACTTGTCAGTCTTGCTGGACCATTTGGGAGATTGGCTCTGGGCCTGGCGACCAGTGCCCCCGGGGACAGTCCACTTTCTAGTGGTCCCCATTGTACATTGGACAGGGTTGGGGTGGCTTCCTCATGTTGCCTGGGCAATCCTTCCTAAAATGCCCTGGCTTACCACATCTGTAGCAGTTAACAGGTGTAGCTTGGGGATTCTGGAGTTTGTGGGTTTGCATGGTGGCCATTAAAGCCTCTGCCTCTTGCCTGTGTCTCCTCTCTCTCTCTTCTGGGCCTCCCTATCTTATTACAAAAGACTGAGGTGGCCACTTTCAGGAGATTCTCTAAGGTACTATCTGGTCCCAGGGCCTGTTTCTGCAGCTTTCTCCTGATATCAGGGGCTGCCTGAGTAATAAATTTATCCTTTAGGATTACTTGTCCCTTGATGGAATCAGGAGCTAGTGAGGTGTGCTTTACCAAGACTCTATTAGCCTCTCCAGGAAGGCAGTAGGATGCTCATTGAATCCCTGGTCCATCCTGGATAGCTTGGTATAGTTGAGAGGCTTAGTTCTAGTCCTACATAAGCCCTCTATTATGCCCACCTGAAACTGTCTCCTCTTACATTCTCCCGTCTTGTCATTGGGATCCCATTTAGGGTCATTCATTGGTACTGCTTCTCCTCCAGTTGGATAAAGTTTGACCCCCTCCCTGACACTATATGTGACACAAACCTCATCCCCAGATCTCTCTGTCACTTGCAGAGCAGACTGCTTCTCAGTGTTAGTCAGGTTTGATTCAAAAGTAACATAATGTCTTTCCAGGAGAGTTCAAATACTTGGGTTAAATTCTGGAAAGCCTTTATATATCTGTCAGGGTCATCTGAAAACTTGCCAAGATCCCCCTTAATTTGCTTTAAGTCCTGTAGAGAGAAGGGGGACCTGGACCAGGGGGCCAAATTCACCAAGCATCTGATGGAGGGCAGGAATGAGACTGGGGCTTGTCTAGGGTGAGGAGTTCTAGGAGGGGCCAAGTGAGAGAAAAACTGGGTAGGCAGGATGGGGTGGACCCAGAGGAGCAGGGCCAGTGGGAGCTGGCTCCCTTGCTGGAGGTGCCTCTGGAGTTCATTTCTTTAGTTCTCTGGTATTGTTCTCTGAGATGGCAAACAAGAGGTCTGGAGCAATCCTACACTGTCAGCAAAGGTCTGGATTGCCCTGCAAGGTAAAGAAGGCCTGCACATATGGAGCCTCAGACCATTTGCCCTCACATTTACAGAAAAGGTCCACCTGCAGGATGGTTATCGAAATTAATGGTTCCTTCCTGAGGCCACGCCAGTCCTTCCTACAGATCATAATTTGGCCAAACCTTTGTGCAAAGGGCTATGAGGTGTTTTCCCTCTAGAGTCTGAGGGTTAAAGCAGTCCCAGTGATTCAGGATACACTCCAGAGGCGTATAGACTGAGGATGGTGAAAGTAGTTGGTGCCCATTCTGAAAGAGAGGGAAATAGGCATCGCTCATTTTCTTTCCCTCTTTCCCCAAGAGAAAACAGGTGTCCTCCTTTTCTCTTCTATATGTTTATCCCCGAGTTCTGGCAACCTTAGATGGACACCATCCATAGGTGCCATTGTGGCCTGTACCCGTGAAGCAGGGAGGGCCTAGAGAATAGGAATTATCTGCACTCACTTACGCCTCCATGCCCCCTACTGTCGGCAACCTTTGGGTTCCTTGGGCCTTATCTATGCCATGGAGTGTGGCCTCCTTCCATGAAGCAGGGGCTTAATTGGCAGGAATTAGTCCTGCCCATTGATACTGTGCCTGTTGCTTGGCTTTGAATCCCTCAGATCTGATTTTCCTTTCTAGGGCTTCAACCTGAAGTTTAGAATTGAGTTTGGGATTGGGCCAGGCACAGTGGCTCACGCCTGTAATCCCAACACTTTGGGAGGCCGAGGAGAGCAGATCAAGAGGTCAGGAGTTCGATACCAGCCTGGCCAACATAGTGAAACCCCATCTCTACTAAAACTACAAAAATTAGCTGGGCGTGGTGGCGGGCGCCTGTAGTCGTAGCTACTCCGGAGGCTGAGGCAGGAGAATTGCTTGAACTAGGAGGCAGAAGTTGCAATGAGCCAAGATTGTGCCACTGCTCTCCAGGCTGGGAAACAGAGCAAGACTCCATCTCAAGAAAAAAAAAAAATGAGTTTGGGATGAAAAGGTGTCTCGGGGGTGCATGGATTCATTTAGATTAAGTCCCAGGCAGGCCTTGCCAAATTTGCAGTTATTAGCCAGTGGGCTCGCTCCTCCACTGCTTTTCTATCATAAGCAGAGTGCTGAGGTAGGAAAAGAACCTCCTCGCATAGAAAAGGAAAGAGGGAAAAAACAAAACAGCTTAAGAGGGGGAAGAACCTCTTGCTCTCTGTAAATGGGTTCCTTTAATCACTATATCCTTCCTCTGGTTTGGACGGAGCTGGACCCCTCGGCTGTCTGGGGGAGGAAAGACTCTGTGGGCATGTGGAAGGAGGGGATGGTGAGTGGGAAATGCTGGCCAACTGGCTGCATTGGGCCCCTGGCCCCCAAGACTGCCCTGGGGCCTGGGCAGCAGCCACAGTTCTCTCCCACCCTGCCCTTGGGCACTTCATGTGCATGCTGTGGACACGCCCAGGTGCCGTAGCTGGGAGGGAAGGGTGAGGAGGGGAACAGCCACGTGCTGCACACCTTTGTGGCTGTTGGGGTTGGGCGTGGGGGTCGCACCTCTAAGAACAAATGGAAGTCACATTGTTCTGAATTGCATATCTGGTGGCTGAGCCAAATGCTCATTCTACCTAGTAACATTTCTGCAGTTTGCAGCAAAACCCTTATCATTATAAAGGGAGAGAGAGGAGCCATTTTTAACCATGAAAGAAGAAAGGGAAAGATACCATAGAAAGGTCCAGGGGTGTTGGTCAACGCCTTAAGTGCTATCGGGGATGGGATCCAGTTTAGGGGCCTTCTGGCAACACCAAGGAGTGGCCTCCTCCAGATGCCTTCAGTTGCCCCAGGACTTTATTCTGGTCCCACCCGATGGCTAGACCTCTTTGAAGGGAAACAGAGCCAACATTCCTTTCACCTGAAACAAAGAGATAGGTGGCAGGATTGCATCCTGTCCTCTGCAAATGGCATAGCTCAGAGGAAAGTCTGAGGACAAGAAGTCTTAGGAAAAAAGTGAAGAGACAGATATGGCAGATCTGCATTTATTTGCCCTTCTGAGAAATCCTGGATAGGCCCTGTGGAAGCAGGCTATTTCCCTGACCCCTTCAAGGGACTTGCAACAAGGGTGCCTCATTTACTCAGCCTGCAGCTCTCAACTCCTCACAGGAGGGAGTGTGGGAGTGAATGAGACAGGAACTGGAGTGCATGAGTGCTGGAACCAGCTGGCCACCTTGGCACTGGCAGCAGCAAACTCCACTCACTCAGACTGGCTGTATTGCACCACTCACAGGAGGGAGCGTGCAGGTGAGCAGGTGCAGGAGCCAGCATGAGCACTTTTAGGCACTGGCAGTAGCGAATGCTGTGCAGGTCCCAGGCAGCATCTAGGGTGGGGGTGCCTGTGACCCCTGAAGCCCCAGAGGGCGTGTTACATTGCTCACTTAGCTCTGCCATCCGCAGACAGCTTAAGTGTTAACAGCTCAGTGGGCCCTCTGCCTTTTCATGTGGGATGGCTGCCTTCCACTAGTGAGGGCAAAGGGCCAGTGTGACAGCCTTTTGTATCCACACTTGTGGCCCCCAAGCTCTTGTCCAGCATCCAGAAAAAATGAGGTCACACAAATGAATTGAAGGATGGTGAATGTGGAGGATTTTATTGCTGATGAAAGTGGCTCTCAGAGGGAAGGGAGGTTGAAAAGGGGCCAGGGAATGTAGGTAATCTTCCCCTGAGGTCCAGCAGTCTCTGGCCAGATTCTTCTTTGAAGTTACACTGTCAAGCTGTCCCTCTGAAGTCAAGCTGGTTCTCTCTGACTTTGGCCATAGTCCCCAACATGCAGCTGCTTCTCCTCTCTACCGGCTGAGTCTGGGGTCTTTATAGGCACAGGATGGGGCAGGGCAGGACCATGGTAGTTTAGGAAAAGGCAACATTCAAGCAGGAAAATGGGGATATAAGTTCTCACTTTGGGCTGTGGTCTCAGGCTTTTTGGCTTGAGGGTGGGGCTTCACCAGGGATCCACCCCTCTCTGCCTAGAATTTCTCTGCCTCTTGTCACTATCACTAGGACTAGAGCTATGGATCTGAGAGGCGGAATAAAAAGATAAAAGCCATGCAGCCTTGGATAATCATTAAGTTAAAAAGGAATTTGCTTAGGGGACCAAGGGAAGGGGACACTACAGACTGTCCATCCCCTCCACCCCTACCCTAGGTGTCATGCCCTTAACTTTTCACAGCTACACTCAACTTTAGTCAGATTTTTTTTCGTCTGTTTGTTTGGTAATTGTCTTTATTTGCCATGTTCAACTGTAATCTGCAAAAGAATAAAAACAATTGTCTTTGGCTGGTAAGTGAGTAGTTAAAAACTTTGATTTGAAGGTGTCATCAGATATCACCTTTGTTTCTGTCTCAAGGCAGGAAAGTTTTGCTTCCATTCAATGCAAACATAGCTGCCTGGATCTGGCTAGTGTTAACTCATCAGATGCTTTGTGTGAGGGACCCCTAAGTTCTTTATTTCAGGCAGTGAAAGGGCCAAGGGGGTATCATTGTTGGGCTGTGTTTAAGGCATCGGTTGACCTTTATCCAGCTTTGAAGTCATGATATAGAACAGTTCCAGCATCCTGAAAAATTTCCTCATACCACTTGGCCATCAACCCCCACCCTGCCCCCACCCCAGCCTCTGTCACCATAGTTTTGCCTTTGCTACACCTTTTTTTTTGTTTGTTTGAGACAGAGTCTTGCTCTGTCACCAGGCTGGAGTGCAGTGGCACGATCTTGGCTCACTGCAACCTCCGTCTCCTGAGTTCAAGTGATTCTCCTGCCTCAGCCTCCTGAGCAGCTGGGACTACAGGTGCACACCACCACGCTCAGCTAATTTTCGTATTTTTAGTAGAGACGGGGTTTCACCATGTTGACCAGGATGATCTCGATCTCTTGATCTCGTGATCTGCCCACCTTGGCCTCCCAAAGTGCTGGGATTACAGGCGTGAGCCACCGTGCCTGGCTGCTACACCTTCATATAAGTATTAGACAGTATGTAGTCTTTTGTATCTAGCTTCTCTCACTTAACATAATGATTTGGATTAATCCACGATTTTGCTTTTATCAGTGATTTGTTTCTTTAGGTTGCTAAGAGGTATTTCATTCTATAAATCTGCCATAAATTGTTTATCCACTTATCAGTTGATGGACAAATGGGTTGTTTCTAATTTTTTGCTTTTAGGAATAAAGCTGATATAACCTTTTGCAGAGAAGACTTTGTGTGAACATACATTTCCATTCCTCTTAGCTAAAAATCTAGGACTGTGTTTGCTGGGTTGGATGATAAGTACATGTTTAACTTCATTAAAAAAAAATGGCCAAGCTATTTTCCAAAGTGATTGAATCATTTTGCATTTCCAGCAGCAATATATGAGATATCCAGTTGCTCTGCCTCTTTGTCAGCACTTGGTATTGTCAGTTTTTTTAATTTTCGTCATTCTAGTAGATGTGTGGTGGTGCTGTATTGTGAGTTTAACTTGCATTTCCCTAATGGCTGTTTATGCTGAGTATCTACTGATGTGTTTATTTGCCATCTGTATATATTCTTTGGTGGTAAAAGACAAAAGTTATTTATCTAAGATGTCTTTTGCAAATATTTTTTCTTGTCTGTGGCTTTTTTCCTTTTCTTAACAGTGTCTTTGGAGAATAGAAGTTTGGCGTTTGTGGGTTTTTTTAGATGAAGTTCAACTTACTAGTTTTTTGTGATTTGTGGATTTTATGTCTAACCTAAGAAATGCTTGCCTGACTCAAGGTCACAAAGATGTTCTCTCATTTTTTTCTAGAAATTTTAGTTTTAGTTTTTATATTTAGGTCTATGAGCCATTTCAAGTTATTATTATTTGCATATGGAAGTCCTTTTTTTGGGGGGAGTGGGGACTGGGTCTTGCTCTGTTGCCCAAGCTGGAGTGCAGTAGTGCGATTACAGCTCATTGTAAATTTAAACTCCTGAGATCAAGCAATCCTCCTGCCTCAACCTCCCAGGTATCTGGGACTACAGATGTGCACCACCATGCCTGGCTATGAAGTCCAATTTTTCAGTCATTTTTTGTTGAAGCAACTATTGAATCACCTTGGCTTCTTTGTTGAAAACAATTGACCATACTGGTGTGGCTCTACTTCTGGACTCCTCTCTGTCCCTTTATGTCTATTCACACATCAATACCATGCTGTCCATGCCTGTAGTCTAGCTACTCTGGAGACTGAGGCCTGAGGAAAACTTGACCCCAGGAATTCAAATCTAGCCTGGGCAACACAGACCCTCTCTCTTATTATTATTATTATTTTTTAGATGGAGTCTCGTTTTGTCGCCCAGGCTGGAGTGCAATGGTGTGATCTTGGCTCACTGCAACCTCTGCCTCCTGGGTTCAAGTGATTCTCCCACCTCAACCTCTGGAGTAGCAGGGATTACAGGCACCCACCATCATGCCCAGCTAATTTTTGTATTTTTGTAGAGATGGGGTTTCACCATGTTGGCCAGCCTGGTCTTCAACTCCTGACCTTAGGTGATCTCCTGCCTCGGCCTCCCAAAGTGCTGGGATTATAGATGAGAGCCACTGCACCTGGCTGGGACCGTCTGTCTTAGAACAACCACAGCAATAAAAAAAAAAAACACAAAAAACCACGATACTGTCTTCTTCACTGTATTCTTTTCAGAGTATTGAAATCAGGTAATATACATTCTCAAATTTTTTCTTTCTTTTATAAAATAGATTTGGCTAATCTATATCCTTTGCATTTCCTTTAATTTTTTTTTTTTGAGATAGAGTCTCACTCTGTCGCTTAGGCTGGAATGCAGTGGCGCAATCTTGGCTCACTGCAACCTCTGCCTCCCGCGTTCAGGCGATTCTCCTGTCTCAGGCTCCCGAATAGCTGGGATTACAGGCGCGTGCCACTACGCCGGGATTTTTTTGTATTTTTGGTAGAGACGGGGTTTACATCCTGTTAGTCAGGATGGTCTCAATCTCCTGACCTCGTGATCAGCCTGCCTCAGCCTTCCAAAGTGCTGGGATTACAGGCGTGAGCCACTGTGCCCGAACTTCCTTTAAATTTTACAGTCATCTTGCCAGTTTCAACAGAAGAGCCTTCTAGGATTTTGATAAGGATTGCATTGTTCTACAGATCAATTTGGGGAGAACTGACATCTTAGCCATATAGAATCATCTGATCCATGTATGTCATATCCCTCCCTCCTCACCCCTTTCTTCTTCATCAGTCTGACTAGAGATTTCTCAATCTTACTGAATTTTTTCTAAGAACCATTTTTTGTTTTATTACTTTTCTATAGTTTCTGTTTTATTGATTTCTGCTTTTCGTTTATCTGTTTCTTCTGCTGACTTTGGTATTCTTTATTTAGTCTCTTAGTGAGGAAGCTTAAATCATTTATTTGAGGCTTTTCTAATTTAGCAGTATTTTCAGCATCAGCGCTGTTGACATTTGGGGCTTTATAATTGTTGGGGGACTGTCCTATGCACGACAGGATGTTTAGTAGCATCCCTGGCCTATAGTCACTAGATATCAGCAGCACCCCTCTCCAGTTGTGACAACCAAAAGTGTCTTCATGTATTGCCAAATGTCTTGGGCATGGGAGAATTGCTCCTGGCTGAGAATGACTGCTATAGTAGGCATTTTATGATAGAAACCTCAGTTGTGTATCACAAATTTTGACATTTTTTTCATTTAGTTGAAAATTTTTTCTTAGTTTCCTTTGCGATTTCCTCCTTGGCACATGCAATACTATATTTTTTTAAACTTTTATTTTTTTAGAGACAGGGTCTTTCTATGTTACCCAAGCTATCTTTGAACTCCCAGGCTGAATTGTTGCTCCCACCTCAGCCTCCCTGAGTAGCTGGGGCTACTGGTGTTTGCCACCGCACCTGGCTGACCCATACATTATTTGTAAGTGTATTTTTTAGTTCCAAATATTTGAGGATTTTCCAGAAATATTCCTGTTACTGATTGCTAATTTAGTTCTTTTGTGGTCAGAGAACACACTTGAATGGCTTCAATTCTTTTGAATTTGTTGAAATGTGTCTTATGGTCCTGCATGTGATCTATTTTGGGAATTGTTCAGCGTGCACGTGAAAATAACGTATTCTTGGATAGAGTTGTCTATAAATGTCAATTGGGTCAAGTGGGTTGATAGCGTTGTTCAAGGTTTTTATATTCTGGTTGGGCGTGGTGGGTCATGCCTGTAATCCTAACACTTTGGGAGGCCGAGGCGGGTGGATTACTTGAGGTCAGGGGTTCAAGACCAGCCTGACCAACATGGTGAAACCCTGTCTGTACTAAAAAAACAAAATTAGCCAGGATTAATCCAATATGGCAATATCTGTCTTTTAAGTAAGTGTTTAGAAACCATTTCCTTTTTTTTTTTTTTTTTTGTGAAACAGAGTCTCACTCTGTTGCCCAGGCTGGAGTGCAGTGGGCAATCTCCGCTCACTGAAACCTCTGCTTCCCGGGTTCAAGTGATTCTCCTGCCTCAGTCTCCTGAGGAGCTGGGATTACAGGCACCCACGACCACGTCTGGCTAATTTTTATATTTTTAGTAGAGACGGGGTTTCACCATGTTGCCCAGGCTCATCTTGAACTCCTGACCTCAAGTGATCTGCCTGCCTTGGCCCCCCAAAGTGCTGGGATTACAGGCGTGAGCCACAGCGCCGGGCAACCATTTACATTTAATATGTTGATACAGAAAGGTTTATCATCTTGCTATTTCTTCTTATTTATCCCATTTGCTTGTTCTTTTTTTCTTTTTTGCTAGCTCCTCTCTTTTTTATTGAAGTACTACTCCACAATGCTGCCTTCTTTGAGACTAAGTACCCGATGCCATTTTACCTCCACAGTGGAGATAATAATATTAGACCATGTCACATATAGTGTAAGAGTCTTACCTAGTAACTTCTATTTCCCTCCATCATTTTTATGTTTTATGAAAATGTTATTACTTTCATATATTTAATTCTGCATGTGCTAAGAACTCCACACTGTACTGTTATATTTGCTTGAACCAGTTATCATTTAAAGAGATTAAAAAGGTAAAAATGGGCCGGGCGTGGTGGCTCACACCTGTAATCCCCAGCACTTTGGAAGGCCAAGGCGGGTGGATCACCTGAGGTCAGGAGTTCGAGACCAGCCTGGCCAACATGGTGAAACCCCGTCTCTACTAAAAATACAAAAATTAGCCGGGCGTGGTGGCGGGCACCTGTAGTCGTAGCTACTTGGGAGGCTGAGGCAGGAGAATCGCTTGAACCTGGGAGGCGGAGGTTGCAGTGAGCTGGGATCGCGCCATTGCACTCCAGCCTGGGTGACGGAATGACACATTGTCTCAAAAAAACAAAAAAAAAAAACAAAAAAAACCCCCAAAAAGTAAAAATGTTTTTTTGATTTTACCTATAGGTTTACAATTTTTGGTACTCCTTTGTGCAGATCCAAATTTCCATCTCATGTCATTTTCCTTTTGCCCGAATAACTAACATTTCTTGTAGCGTAGATCTGCTAGTGAAGAATCCTGTTGGGTTTTGTCTAAAAAAATCTGTTTCTTGTCCTCATTTTTAAATGATAAGGAAATAAACCTGGGGTCTCAGTTCCTCTTCCCCGCCCCTCACTGAGCAGAGTTCTTATGCACTGCTGCCATGTGGGAGGTGGAGATGGGTTCAGAGGTTTGTGAAAAGCTTGACGCGCTGCACGCCCACTCCACAGGGCACCTTTAGAGGCTTCTTGGGGAAGCTGGTCGGGTAGCTCTGACTCCTCGCATCTCTGTGTGTCCTTGGGAATGTCAGGTGGAAGATCGATGTGCATTTGCAAATGGGAGTGAGTGTGAGAAAAGAAAAATGTGGGGTTGTGGCTGGTAGGGTGTGTTCAGGGAGCAATGGTGACCTCTGTTGTCTGTGCTCTCCCAACAGTTCTGGGATTGTGGGGAATGCAATTGTTCTGTATCCCTTTTGTATTTTGGAAGTTCTCCGTGAAGTCTAACTGCAGGTCATATTGTCATTTAGTCTAGAGTTGGAGGATGGATATAATTTCATGAGTATGAAATAATATGCAGAGTTGTTGGACACCAACTGGGCCCACCCACTCCACCAGAACTCAGGTCTCCTTCATTTGACTCCCACCGGCAACGTCACTCACTTTAACACCTGAATTACTCTCTCTTAGATACCAGAGGGGAAACGGAGGCATGCAGGTGAGAACGTGGCAGCAGTCCCTAAAAGTCACTTCTGGTGCTGGCCCTGGCTCATCCGTGCCCTGGGGGAGAAATGCAAGTGTCAGAGCTGCGGAAAGGAGCTGAGATCTAGCAGGGCTCGCCCTTATCAACCTCCGCCTCTAACAAGGGCCACACAGCACGTAGGGGAGATTAGGCCGATCTGCCTGCCTCATCGCGGGAGGCCAGGAGGGTGGAAGGCAGCGGATCGCGCCCTAGCGAGCAACCCACATGCTCTGGAAGTGTGGTTCAACTTTCACCAGGCTACTGCGGGCGGCCGGCCAGCTGTCAGCGGGCACTCCGCCCCCAGGAGCTGTCCGCAAGCGCGGGGCGGTGGGCACCGCGGGGAACAGCCCCCGGACAGCCAGTGGCACGCGGAGACCTCGGAGAGCGCAGGCCCTGCTTTCCCGTAGGAACACTCGTGGGCATCGGGTCGCCCGCTTCGCCCCCGCGCTCTAGACGCACTTTCCTGCCGCCTGGCGATGTCCGAAGTGCATATCAGAGCATGGACTTGGTCTTCCCAGCGCTACCAGACCGCTGAGCCTCCCCGCACGTGGTGGGGCGCAGGCGGGGCGCCAGCTGCGCGGGAATCCGGGCGAGCGCGCTCCACCCGGGCAGTGCGGGCCTGGAGCGCCCTCTGGCGGGACGGTGCGCGGCGTTGCGCGTCTCCAGCCTTGGGATTGGCCCGGACTCGCCTTCAACGCACCGGACAGCGCTGCCAGGAGGCAGAGCTCTGAAAACCTCGACAACGACGCCTCTCTCTTCAGTGCCCGCACTGCGTCCCAGGCTGACGCCAAGGAGGCCCAAGACAGCCCTGGGTGGCCATTAGGACGGGTCTGGAGGGGACATCAGTGTGGACATCTAGTTGCTGGGCCTGGGGTCACAGCCCCCTTTCTTGTCTGAACTGGCCACTGCCCGGAGGAGCTGCGCTGTGCGCCTTAGTGTGCCACCACCTAACCGCCATCGCGGCTGAGCCCACCTCCTTTCCCGGACATTAGAGGACGAGGGGTGCGAAGGTCGGGGAAAGCTGGGGGCATCCAGATATCCAGAGTAGAGGAGGGGCCTCTTCCCTGCGTGGATGTGCATGGGAAGGATTCCAGGAATTTAATTTTCTTTTCTTTTGAGATGGAGTCTCGCTCTGTCACCAAGCTGGAGTGCAGTGGCGCGATCTGGGCTCACTGCAACCTCCGCTTCCCGGGTTCAAGGGATTCCCCTGCCTCAGCCTCCCTAGTAGCTGGGACTGCAGGCGCGTGCCACCACACCTGGCTAATTTTTTGTATTTTAGTAGAGACGGGGGTTTCACCATGTTGGCCAGGATGGTCTCGATCTCCTGACCTCGTGATCTGCCCGCCTTGGCCTCCCAAAGTGCTGGGATTACAGGCGTGAGCCACCGCGCCTGGCCGAATTTTCTTTTTTCTTTTTTTTTTCTGGAGTCATCATCTCTCCACTCGCAGATAGGGAGTCAGCGTGGTTTGTATGCAGGTGGGAGGGACTGAGCCCCTGAAAATGGTTAGGATTGTCTCTGGCCTCAGCCTTGGTACACACATCACAGGACAAATCAAGCAGACAGTGGTGAGTCCGCCACAGTGGGCAAATTTCTACCCGTGCCAGACAGTGTACAGGATCTTTTGTTTTTTTTTCTCTCTCTCTCTTCCTTTTGAGACAAGGTCCTGCTCTGTCACCCAGGCCGGAGTGCAGTGGCGTGATCTCCACTCACTGCAACCTCCACCTCCTGGGCTCAAGCGATTTTCCCACCTCAGCCTCCCCAGTAGCTGGGATTACAGGCTCAAGCCACTGCCCCCCGCTAATTTTTGTATCTTTTTGGGTAGAGATGGGTTTTTGCCATGTTGCCCAGGCTGGTCTTGAACTCCTGGGCTCAAGCCATGTGCCCGCCTTGGCCTCCCAAAGTGCTAGGATTACTGGCGTGAGCCACCTTACCTGGTGGGGCACAGGATTTTAAATTAAATTTTTTTTTTTTTAATTTTTAGAGACAGAGTCTTGCTCTGTCGCCCAGGCTGGAGTGCAGTGGCATGATCTTGGCTCACTACAATCTCTGCCTCTAGAGTTCCGGCGATTCTTGTGCCTCAGCCTCTCTAGTAGTTGGGATTACAGGCGTGCACCACCACACCCAGTTAATTTTTTCTATTTTTAGTACAGACAGGGTTTTGCTATGTTAGCCAGGCTGGTCTTGAACTCCTGGCCTCAAGTGATCTGCCTGCTTTGGCCTCCCAAAGTGCTGGGATCACAGGCGTGAGCCACTGCGCCTGGCCTAAATTTTTCGTCTTTAAGACGGGGTCTCTCTCTCTCTGTCATCCAGGCTGGAATGCAGTGGCACAATCATAGCTCACTGCAGCCTTGAACTCCTGGGCTCAAGTGAGCCTCCAGCCTCAACTTTCTAAGTAGCTGGGACTACAGGCTGATGCGACCATGCCCGACTTGGCACAGGATTTAAATATGGCCCTGGACAAGTCACTGGCCTTCTCTGGCCTTCCCAGGTAAGCTTGGACTTTCTGGGATGCTTCAAGTTCAAATCATCAGTGGTACAACTGTTGAACAATATGAGGAACGCTGCGGGTTACTGGGCCTGTGTGGACCCGTTTTGGATTCTAAGCTGGGTCCTGGGCAGAAGTTGGAGGCTGGGGCAGCTGCAAGCAGGACAGGCAGGTGGCCAGAGGGCCCAGCAGCTTCAGCACTGAGGACTGGACTGGGTCGCCACGCCCAAAGGAAGGATAATTACTCACCTCCCACTCAAGAAGCAGGCGGCAGAACTGTTTTGGAGAGCATGGCTTGGGGCCTGGGACCTATGTTCATGCGGTCCAGACGGAGATCCATGAGAGTTAAGACTCTTTCTAGATATCAGGTAGCACTTCTGATTACAAAACTTTTGCACATGGTCTCCTCTCTGCTTTACAACAGCTCAGGAAAGTAGGCCCAAACATCCACTTTAATAGATGAGGGAGCTCAGAGGGGGTAACCAACCCCTCCAGGTCACACAGCCAGGGAGGGGGTTGAGCCAAGGTTCAAACCACTGCCTCGGTTGTTGCAGATACATCCCTGCAGACACCTTTATTGAAGAGGGACCCTGAAGGCTGAACGGCCAACACAGAAGAGGAGGCACTTGGGAGTAAGGGTGATTTATGGCCCTGGGAGGGCCCAGTGCAGGTAGGATGGGAGCTAAGGTAAGGCTGGGCCATGCCTAGCTGCAAGCAAATTTCCTTAAAAAACAAACAACAAAAAACATTACTTTTTCTAAACCTAAAGTTTGTGGTGGCATTCAAGTCCCATCATAGCCCATCTATCCAGACTCATCTGCCTGGGATCCCCGTCTTGGGACTAGTGGTCACTGGCCTGCTTCCTGGTCAATTAGCTTCCGGGACTAGGGGGAGGTGTGAGGAGCCTAGAGTGCAAAATTTAAGAAGCACTCAGTCTCAGGGGCGTGCAGGTGCAGGGTAGCGACGGCAGGACTCTAAGAGTGAGTCTCTTTCCTCCCCGTTTCCCCGTCCTACTTTCACTCTAAGCATTTAGTTCCCAGGGGACAGAGACGACTTCTTCATTAGAAGACCCCGGGGGGTCCCCAGCCCGGAAGGGCTCACAGTTGGAGCTCAAACATTTGCCACTGTTCAGGCTCATCTTTCTTTCCCCAGTGAAAAATGGTCTAGGTTGGGAAGGGCAGGTTCCTGTCTACTGCGTGATCCAACCGATTCTGGTTCGCCCAATGTCTGGACTTGTCCTTTGCCAAGAATAAGCAGATGAGATGGGCGGATGAACCCCAATGTCCCTGCAAGATTCAGGAAGTCCCAGCCAGAAAGTAAAGGACGTTTAGTTCCATGTATTGTTTTCTTTTTTACATGCGGGGCAACACACCTGGACAGTGTCGATGGCTTGCTCCAAGCCACACGGCCGCATAGGGACAGGGACTGGGCTACATAACAAGTTCTTCGACGCTGTGATCTAATCAAGGAAAACCTGGGACGCAGCTAATAGATGCGCATCGAGTGTATCGACGCTCTAAGTACGAGGGCTGGAACAGTGAGCAGGATCAGTCCATTGCTTTTGCCTACCTGCTGAGCGCTGATTGGTCCCCGTTTAGGAAACGGAAAAAGGGGCGTGCACGCGGGCGCGGCTGCGTGAGAGGCGCGCGGCGGCGCAGTGAACAGTCTCCTTCCACAAAACCATGGCGTCGCTCAAATGTAGCACCGTCGTCTGCGTGATCTGCTTGGAGAAGCCCAAATACCGCTGTCCAGCCTGCCGCGTGCCCTAGTGAGCGGGGAGGTCGCGGGGTCCAGGGGCGCGGGTGTCCGGCCATGGCGGGAGGGCGGGAGGCCGGGAGGCCGGGCGGGAGCGGGCGGGCTGCTGGAGGGGCCGGGGACCCTCGGGGCTGACGCGGCCTGTGGCCTCTGTTGTTACAGCTGCTCGGTAGTCTGCTTCCGGAAGCACAAAGGTGAGCCCCGTCCCCGCCAGCCCTCGTACCACTGCGCACGGGGCAGCCCCCACGTCCAGCCTCCGTCTTGGGGGCGTGGACCCTTGGGCTGCGCTTCCTTTCCCGCCTCGGGTCTCCGCGGGTTCTGCAGGAACCTTGCTTCCTCTGACTTGGTCCCTGGTGTCTCTGTGTGTCGGACAGTTCCCTCTGTTGTCCCTGCCTGTAATCGCTCTCAGGGTTTTGGTCAGTAGCCTTTCTTCTACCCCGCTTCTCCTTCTGCGTGTTACTCTTTTTTGCTTAGAAATAGTTTCCGATTGCTTTTCCCACCGAGGTCTACCCTAGCAGTTTCTTCCTCAGTATTCTGATGTAGCCCCTCACCATTTGGCTGAAACTGCGCTAACTTTAACAGTATTTTCACTCGTGTAAATAATGTCTTGTTAGAAACAAAGAGGTAAGTCCATGTACAATACAAGGAGACGTCCTTGATTTGTTAAGAGAAAAAAAGAACCAAGTAAGTTCTGTGTATGATGTGAACACACTTTTGTACAGTTAAAAAGAAGTGACCTGGCCGGGCGCGGTGGCTCACGCCTGTGGTCCCGGCACTTTGAGAGGCCAAGGCGGGTGGATCACCTGAGCCCAGGAGTTCGAGACCAGCCTGGCCAACATGGTGAAACTCCGTCTCTACTAAAAATACAAAAATTAGGCGGGCGAGGTGCGCGCCTGTAATCCCAGCTACTCAGGAGGCTGAGGCAGGAGAATCGCTTGAACCCGGGAGGCGGAGGTTGTAGTGAGCCGAAATCGCACCACTGCACTCCAGCCTGGGCTACAGAGCCAGACTCAGTCTGGAAAAAAAAAGAAAAAAAAAAGTTTGATGTAGGTGGGGCGCGGTGGGTCACGCCTGTAATCCCAGCACTTTGGGAGGCCGAGGCGGGCGGATCATTTGAGCTCAGGAGTTTGAGACCAGCCTGGGCAACATAGCGAAACCCCGTCTCTATAAACAAACAAAGCCAGGCGTGGTGGCCTGTGCCAGTGGTCCCAGCTACTCAGGAAGCAGAGGTGGGAAGATCGCTTGAGCCTGGGAGGAGGAGGTTGCAGTGAGCCAGGATCGTACCACTGCACTCCAGCCTGGGAGACAGCAAGACTGTCTCAAAAAAAAAAAAAAAAAAAGCTTGATGTAGATTCTTTCAGCTTATTTCCACTCTTGTACCAATATATAGAACTTTTTTTTTTAGCTTTTAGAATCTCAGCAATGAGACTGTACCCAACATCCTCATTTGAGTTTATATATTGGGCACTTTTTAAAACCTAGTGCATACAGGCTGGGCGCAGTGGCTCATGCCTGTAATCCCAGCACTTTGGGATGCCAAGGTGGGTGGATCACCTGAGGTCAGGAGTTCGAGACCAGCCTGGCCAACATTATGAAACCACATCTCTACTAAAAATACAAAAATAAGCTGGGTGTGGAGGTGCGCGCCTGTAATCCCAGCTACTTAGGAGGCTGAGGCAGGATAATTGCTTGAACCATGGAGACGCAGGTTGCAGTGAGCCAAGACTGCACCACTGCACTCCAGCCTGGGCAACAGAGTGAGACTCCATCTAAAAAAAAATTAAAAAAATTAAAAATAAAGACTAGTGCATACAAGTTCTAGCTCACTGACTTAAAGGACTGTATGTTATTTCATTATATAGTTGGTACGACCATTATTTATATAAAGCCTCCTATTGGTTGATTTTTCTTTTTAATATTTGTTTTTAATTGACACATAATTGCATACAATTTGAGTTACAGTGTGATACTTCGATACCTGTATACAATGTTTAAGGATCAAATTAGGGTAATTAGCATATTCGCCCCAAATAATCATTTCTTCATGTTGGGAACACTCGCAATCCTCTCTTGTAGCTATTTGAAAGTATAAATTGCTGCCAACATGGTCACACTAAGGTACTGTGTAACACTAGAACTTATTCCTCCCATCTAGCTGTAATTTTGTATCCATTAAGCAACTTCTCCCTAGCCCCCTACACTCTACTCTTCCTAGCCTCCAGTTACCACTATTCTGCTCTCTACTTCTGTGAAATCAACTTGCTTAGCATCCACATGTTAACAAGAACATCTTATGGTGCCTGGCTTGTTTCACTTAACATTATGTTCTTTGGGCTCATCCATGTTCCTGCAAGTGACAGGATTTCATGGTTTTTTATGGCTAATATCCAGTGTATATATGTACCGCATTTCTTTATCCATCTGTTGGTGGATCCTTAGGTTCATTCCTTATCTTGGCTGTTGTGACTAGCAGTAAACGCAGGAGTGCAGGTATCTCTTCGGCAGACTGATTTCATTTCCTTTGGATATATATACAGTAGTGGGATTGCTGGATCATATGGTAGTTCTATTCGTAGTTTTTTTTTAGGAACCTCTATGCTGTTTTCCATAATGACTATACTAATTTACATTCCCAATAACAGTGCAGTGTATAAGAGTTCCCTTTTCTCCACATCCTTGCCAACATGTTTTTTTCTTTTTGATAATAGCCATTCTTACTGTGGTGAGATGATACCTCATTGTGGTCTTGACTTGCATGTCCCTAATAATTAGTGATGTTGAACATTTTTTCATGTACTTGTTGGCCATTTATATGTCTTCTTTTGAGAAGTGTCTGTTTGGCTCATTTGCCCATTTTTTTTTTTTTTCTTTTTGAGACAGAGTCTTGCTCTTGTCGCCCGGGCTGGAGTACAGTGGCGCAGTCTCTGCTTACTGCAACCTCCGCTTCCAGGGTTCAGGTGATTCTCCTGCCTCAGCCTCCAAAGTAGCTGGGATTACAGGTGCCTGCTGGCTGATTTTTGTATTTTTAGTAGAGACAAGGTTTCACCATGTTGGCCAGGCTGGTCTTGAGCTCTTGACCTCAGGTGATCCACCTGCCTCGGCCTCCCAAAGGGCTGGGATTACAGGGGTGAGCCACCATGCCCGGCCCATTTGTCCACTTAATTTTTTTTTTTTTTTTTTTTTGGCTGTTGAGCTCCTTGTGTATTCTAGATATTAATCCTTTGTCAAGTGAATATTTTGCAAATATTTTCTCCCATCCTGTGGGTTGTCTCTTCATTCTATTGTTTCCTTTGTTGTACAGAAGCTTTTTTGTGTAATAGAATTCCATTTGCCTATTTTTGCTTTTCTTGCCTGTGTTTTTGAGATTTTATTCATAAAATCTTTGCCTAGACCAATGTCCTGAAGCATTTCCCCTGTGTTTTCTTGTAGTAGTTTCAGGTCTTACATTTAGGTCTTTAATCCATTTTGATATTTATATATGGTGACAGATAAGGATCTAGTTTCATTCTTCTGCATATGGTTATTCTTACAGTTATCCTATTTTTCCAGTACCATTTATTGAAGAGTGCTTTTTTCCCCAGTATATGCTCTTGGTGCCTTTGTGAAAAGTCAGTTGGCTGTAAATGTGTGAATTTATATCTGGGTTCTCTATTCTGTTCCATTGATCTATGTGTCTATTTTTATGCTAGTACCATGCTGTTTAGATATTATAGCTTTGTAGTATATTTCGAGGCCAAGTAGTGGTGATGCCTCCAGCTTTGTTCTGTTTGCTCAGGATTGCTTTGGCTATTGGGGGTCTTTTGTGGTTCCATATTAATTTTAGAATTTTTTTTTGACATTTCTGTGAACAGGATCATTGGTATTTTGATAGGGATTGCATTGACTCTAGATTACTTTGGGTAGTATGGTCATTTTAATATTTATTTTTCTTATTGGTGGATATTTACATTAATTTTGCCTTTGTTGCTGCTATAGGCAGTGTTAAAGTGGTATTTAATAAATAATTTTTATCAGAAATTTCTAATAGCCACATCTGTTGTACACTTTTCATTTGTCTTTTTTATTTTTTTGCAACAAAGTCTTGCTCTGTCACCCAGGCTGGAGTGCAGTGGTGCTCACTATAGCCTTGACTTCCTGGGCTCAGGCAGTCCTCCTACCTCAGCCTCCCAAGTAGTTGGGACTGCAGGCGTGTGCCACCATGCCTGGCTTATTTATTTTTAATTTTAATTTTTGTGGAGATGAAGTCTCACTGTATTGCCTGGGCTGGTCTTGAATTCCTGGGCTCAAGTGATCCTTCCACCTTGGCCTCCCAAAGCGTTGGGATTACAGACGTGAGCTACCCATGCTCAGCCTGTCATCTTTCTTGATTCCCATGAATATCTGCTGTGTTTGGCTTTTTCTTTCTTGATATTCTTTGGAGGCTGGGAAGATACCGCTCTGTGGTATTCTCTCCTCCCTTTCTCCCTTCGAAGTCCTAACCAGGCCTGACCCTGTTACAGCTTCTGAGGTCAGATGAGATAGGGTGCATTCAGGGTGGCTTAGCTGTAGACTCTCGTTTTCTTTTTTTTCCTTTTTTCGAGACAGGGTCTTGCTCTTTTGCCCAGGATGGAGTGCAGTGGTGTGATCACAGCTCATTGCACCCTTGGCCTCCTGGGCCCAAGTGATCCTCCCACCTTAGCCTCCTGAGTAACGGAGACAAACTTTATCTATTTTTCGTAGAGACAGGGTCTCACTGTATTGTCTAGGCTGGTCTTGGACTCCTGGGCTTAAGCAGTCCTCCTGCCTCAACCTCCCAAATTGCTGGGATTACAGGCAGGAGCCACTGTGCCCAGCTTCTCCTTCCTTTTGCTAGATCTCTCTCTTGAAATGTGGTCCTTGACTTTTATTCCTAGGTAGGTGATCTCTCTTTCACTTTAAACTTTTTTTTTTCTTGCTGACATCCAACTGTTTAGCTCCAGCCTCTTTTTGAGCACCTTAGACACAAATGTATTTTGGGGTCAGGTACAACCCAGAAAATTCACCTCTCCTTCAGTCCCTCCTGCTGTGTTCCTTACACATATAGCATAGCCGTAAAGTTAGACCCGGATTCCAAATCTGCCTCTGCTACTTACTAGCTGTGGACCCCAATGGACAAGTTTATTACAAGAAAATTTAATCCTTTCATCTGTAAGTGGAATTAACAGTCTCCATGTCATGGGGGCTTCGTAAAGGTTCATTGAGCCACTATGTATCTCACTGTGTACCTGGCACAGTGCTCGGCACTTAGTCACTGGCAGCTGTTGTAACTGCCACCTACATGACTAGAACCTTTCCGTAGCATATTGTCAAATCTACATTTTAAGTCTCTACAATCTGGTCCTGCCTTTATGTCCTCAGAACCCTTTCCTGTGACTTCATGCTCTGTTGATACTGTCACCCAGGCTGGAGTGCAGTGGCACAATCACAGCTCACTGCAGCCTTGACACACTGGGCTTAAGGGATCCTCCTGCCTCAGCCTCCCAAGTAGCTGAGACCACATGTGTGTACCACCATGCCTGGATGATTTTTTTTATTTTCTGTAGAGACATAGTCTTGCTAGGTTGCCCAGGCTGGTCTCAAACTCCTGGGCTCAAGTGATCCTCCCACCTTGGCCTCCGAATGTTAGGATTACAGGCGTGAGCCAGCACAGCTGGCCTTCTGTTGACTCTGTAAGTTCTTTGGTGGTTTTGCCCCTAGTTTTATCCCATCTGGTATCTGGTTTACAGCAGCTATTTCAAACACCTCAGTTAATTGTGGTGAGAATTTTGTAAGATTCGGCAGGGTAGGGAGGATGGGGACAGGTTCTTGGGGTGCATGAATGAGTCCTGCTTTCTCAGCCTGCTGGCGGTTTTCCTTAATCTCTCTCTTGCTTTGATCTCTCACTTCTTCCACATTCCTGGGCACCCACCCACATCCCTTACCCCAGACACTTGCTTCCTACCTAGATGCTACCTTGGTAGGGAGGTGCAGCCTTGTCGCTGAAATGGAGGTAATGTGGGCCTGGGATTTGTGTCTTTTTCAGAACAGTGCAACCCTGAAACTCGTCCTGTTGAGAAAAAAATAAGATCAGCTCTTCCTACCAAAACCGTAAAGCCTGTGGAAAACAAAGGTGGGTTGGTTGACTTCAAACAAATCTACAAGGGACTTCACATAGAATAAGTCGAAGGAAAAGGGGAGAGTGGGGCTGGTCAGGGAATCCAGAACAATAGCTTCATTGGGAAGGAACAGCTTCCTTAGCCTTGAGCATCAGGAGTGGGGCCATGTCATCATGGGTGATATTGAGGCAACAGCCTGAAAGCAGTATTCAGGAGAAGAAAAATGGGCAGAAGACAGAGATGAGAAAGGCCATGGCTGTGGTTTGGGGGTTTGCGGTGGGCCCTGCTGGCAGGAGCCTTCTCTAGCCCATAGCTGCTGGTCTCCCTCCATGAATCTGGCTGGGACTGTCAGTTCACCTGAACTCAGCCCAGGCAGGAGGCTTTCTTTGTCCTAGATCATCTCGCTGCTGCTGGGGGTTCAGAGCTCACAGCAGTAGTGGGCTGTCAACCCATCCGTCCAGCCATCTAAACGTTCTTTAATACCTCCTGGGTGTCAAGCACCATGCCAGGCTCTGAAAGCAGCCCCTCTGGTGCCACCAAAGAGGTATTGAACATTCACTCCAAAGGCATGGCCCATTTTTGCCCTTTGAGAAATTTCCAGGTTGGGTTCAGGCAATGCCAGCAGTTTCTGCCCATGCTGAAAGCACAGGAGATTCTACTTGGCTGGTTTTTACAGAGCATCCAGTTAATTGGCCCATCACAGGGTTGGAGCCATGTTGAGGTGGGGATGGGTATTAAGTTATTAGACAACCGGGGTCTAAGCCTAAAGACCACAGGACCACATATACAGTAAGGATGTGAACACTAGAGTGCATTTGTTAAAATCACCAATTCTTTCACTTAGCCTCCCTCTTCTAAAAAAGGAGTGTTAGTATAGTCACAGACTCCGGAGAAGAGGATTTTTGTCTGTACCTGCTTGAATACCCCTATCACTATCACATGTGCGTGCACACATTTTTATCCTGTTCAAGTAGTGGTTAAAATCTGGTGCCCAGGCCTCCTTTTTAGCCATGAGCCATTGACTGTTTTGTATTCCTTAGATGATGATGACTCTATAGCTGATTTTCTCAATAGTGATGAGGAAGAAGACAGAGTTTCTTTGCAGAATTTAAAGAATTTAGGTAAGTCTGTGCTATGCTTGTCAATCGTTGAGATACATTTACTGTGTTGTAAGGATTGTGATTTTTTAAAAAGTTTTTAATTTCTTGAATAAGTATGGCATGTAGGGCTCTTACTATCTAGCCACATAATCTGTAAACATACAGGGTTTCACACCTCCCAGCCTGCCCACACCATTCCTTCTGCCTGGAATCCTGCTGGTCTTGTGGGTTGGCAAAATTCTGCTCCTCCTTCAAGCCTTGGTTCAAGTTTTCTTCACTCAGCTAAGCTTTTCTTGACCTTTTGTGTCTCTTTCAGAATTAGGCACTTTTTTGGTTTCCCATAGCAACTTGGACTTAATAGTAATAAATCACTGTTACATTTCATGGTAATTTGTCTCTCACATACCGATTTGTACAGCAGGGACCTGTATTCCCAGATCCCCAGTGCTCAGCTCACAGTCCAGCCCTTAACACAAACTGGTTATCACATGATTTGATTTAGGGGGAAACAGGTGTTGCCATTTTTGTAGCACTGCTTATTCAGTCCTTACAACATTCTGTTACATGTGCATGGGGTCTGTTAATTTCATTCTTCCCATTTCACAGAATCATGTTAAAAGGTTATGTTTTGCACTTAGTCTCATGGTAATGATTAGTTAGACTGAGTTTGGAGATGAGCTAGTAATAGGTGTGAAAAATTTTACAGACTGTGAAGTACCATGCAGGTATTATTGTTGGTTCCCTGCTACTGGTGCTGCTGCATGCCAAATGGCATGCTTAGACATCATTCAGATTATTTCGTATAGCCGTCTTCACCACTGGCAACTTTTATGGCTAGAAAGAAAGAAAACATGCCAGCAGCTTAATGCTACTATTTGCTTTGTGATTGTGCTGATAAAGCATTTTTTTCTTAGCTGAAGTGGCACGAAGTTACAATATTTACAAAGATACCAAGAACTGGTATCTGTTACTGCATTTAATGCGGAAATAGTTTGATATGCTGGTCTTACCTTTCATTTTATAGAGGTGGGGTCTCGCCATGTTGCACAGGCTGGTCTTGAACTCCTGAGCTCAAGCAATCTGCCCACCTTGACCTCCCCAGTTGCTGGTATTACAGGCATGAGCCACCACACCTTGCTGATAGTTTTATTACACTTGAAATAGCTCTTCACTTTTCAGCCATCTCCATGTGTTTCCACTTGAACTCAGACTGGCTTTTTTTCTTGTTAATTTTTAGGGGAATCTGCAACATTAAGAAGCTTATTGCTCAATCCACACCTCAGGCAGTTGATGGTCAACCTCGATCAGGGAGAAGACAAAGCAAAGCTCATGAGAGCTTACATGCAAGAGCCTTTGTTTGTGGAGTTTGCAGACTGCTGTTTAGGAATTGTGGAGCCATCCCAGAATGAGGAGTCTTAAGATGGATTATTGTGCTGCTTGCTCAAGCGTGTGCTTGACTCCTGGAACCTGCCTGCTCCCTCTCCCAGACCAGCTAGTTTGGGGCTGGGGAGCTCAGGCAAAAGAGGTTTCCAGGATGCAGATTAGGTCATGCAGGCCTTTACCGGCATTGATGTGGCTCATGTTTCAGGCAGACTTGGGGTCCTTAAGGTGGCAAGTCCTTTATGGAGAGAAAACTTGACATTCAGATGATTGTTTTTAAATGTTTTACTTTTGGTACAGTTGATAGACATCATAAACGATATCAAGCTTACACTTCATATGGAGTTAAACTTGGTCAGTGTTAATAAAATCAAAACGTGATTCTACTGTACATTGCATTATTCATAATTTAATTGTTTGAAATTACATTAAATAAATCAACTAATTAAATACTAAAGTTTTGTTCCTTTTTAAAGGAAATAACCACAAGATTTTTCCCAGCCCAAATTCCAGCGCCAATTTTAGGCCAACTTTGGCTGTTTTCTTCCAAAAGTGCTTATGTGGAATTGGGATCCCCAGTGTAGTGACAGACAGTCATGACTGCTGCTGAGTTTGATCTGTGAAGGTAGTGAAATGTGGCCCTGATGTTTCTTAACCCTGATTTGGTAACTACCAGCCCTGACACCATCAGTGCTTGATGTAGCCTGGAACCCCAGGCCCACTGACGCACTGGGCACGGGGCTCTGGGTCGAAGGCTGGAGCCGTCACTGTTGTTCATGTGCATTTGGAGCACTGTGGGAATAGTCTGGCAGCTGTGTGCTGATTAAATGTCTTTGGCAAGGCAGGGGGCAGGAAAAGGCCTTGTGGAAACAAAGGCACCAAGGATCACCCCAGCCCAGTGAAGGCAGAAGAGGTCACGTGGATCAGCCTGTGTCTTTCCAGCAGAATCTGATTAAAGCCTGTAATGCTGTAGGGTGAAGGTTCAGGGCAGATGTCAGCATACCGCAGTGGAGACTTTCTGCAGTGAAACTTTATCGATCCCTAGAGGGGAGAGAGAGATGCAGCTTTAGCACTAGTTCCTGGGAGTGCCAGGGCCTAACAACCCCACAGAGCAGACGCTAAAAATGCAAGAAGGTATGGACAAGTACTAGTATTGGGGGCCACAGCAGGATTAAAATAGCATTACATCCACTCAGTGTGAGACAGATGAGGAAACCCTAGGAGGAGGCGCTCCCTAAGAGGAATGTCTGTCACATTCCTATGACTGCTTAAAGCCAGAAGGGCAAAACATTTACCCTTCTGTTTAGCAGGCCTGTGTGTTTTCATGGGAGACTTCATCCAGATTAAGGCCTATAGTTATTCCTCTGAATGGAAATTTGGTGTTTCCTTCTGCCTTGTCATTTCACTTACTCCTTGCTGTGACTCCATGCAGTAGGTTGAGTATTAGCCCATTTTATAGACAGGCTCCGAGAAAATGTGTCTTAGCCAAGATCATCCAGTGAATGGGGCAGAACCAGGATCCAGACCCTGGGGTTCTACCTCCCAGTGCAACATACTTTCACCTTTCCTCGGCCACTTTAATTCTATGAGGCCTGGCTTACTGGGGTGACTCACAAAGCCCTGAGTGACAATGACTTCCTGAGTGTGCTGGCTGACTTTTCCCTGGATGCTTATATAAAAACAGCTGGGCACGGTGGCTCACACCTGTAATCCCAGCACTTTGGGAGGGCAAGGCAGGCAGACCACTTGAGGTCAGGAGTTTGAGACCAGCCTGGCCAATATGGCGAAACCCCGTCTCTATTAAAAATACAAAAAAAAAAATATAGCCAGGCATGGTGGCACATGCCCTGTAGTCCCAGCTATTCGGGAGGCTGAGGCAGGAGAATCGCTTAAACCCACTGCATTCCATCCTGGGCGACAGAGTGAGACTCCGTCTCAAAAAATTAAATAACATGAAAAAAAAAAAAAACCCACAGAGAACTTGGACCACTGACCCTGCTTGTCATTTCGTCAGCCAGAAAAGGAAAAAACCAAGCAATACAATTTGGGGAAAACATGGTGCCAAATCCAGTGCCATTTGAGGTAACAAACTCCTCACAACCCAAGTTGTGATGTGGGACTAATTAGATTATTTGCTCTCAAGTCTTGGGTAGTTTCTTTTTTGCTATGTCTCGTGAATTTTTCCTCTTTTCTGTAATTGACCTATTATTACCCTAAACCAAACTTTTTTTTTTTTTTAGATGGACTCTCGTCCTGTCACCCAGGCTGGAGTGCAGCGGCGCAATCTCGGCTCACTGCAACCTCTCCCTCCCAGATTCAAGCAATTCTCATGCCTCAGCCTCCCGAGCAGCTGGGACTACAGGCGCCTGCCACTACGCCCAACCAATTTTTGTATTTTTAGTAGAGATGGGGTTTCGCCATGTTGGCCAGGCTGGTCTTGAACTCCTGACCTCAGGT
The DNA here is from genome assembly GCF_000001405.40 of Homo sapiens. Taxonomy (NCBI): domain Eukaryota; kingdom Metazoa; phylum Chordata; class Mammalia; order Primates; family Hominidae; genus Homo; species Homo sapiens. The sequence continues at coordinate 36,497,823 of NC_000017.11, forward strand.
GATACACCCGCCTCGACTTCCCAAAGTACTGGGATTATAGGCGTGAGCCACCGCTCCAGGCCCTAAGCTAAACTTTCATCACCTCCTGCTCCTGACTCATCTAAAGCCTTGGTTCTCACAGTGTGGTTCATGGAGCATCAGAATCAGCTGGGAGCTTGCTAGAAACGCAGCATTGCATTTGGAAATGGGACTAGAAGATTTAGAGATGCTGAAATAATTAGAAGCAGTTTTTAAAAAGATAAAGGGCTCTGGAAGATTCCCAGTTATAACAAAATAAATAATCCAAACCTGCAGCTGATTGGGACATGCAGCCCTCTGGTTTACCCAGTAGGGTTAGGGATGGATCTTGTCCCAGCCTCAGTCTCATTCCCGCTGTGAACTTGTAGGCTTTGCTCCTGCTGTTCTCAGGAACAAAGCTGTCATGGCCATCACACACAACGTACCTGAGGCAGCGCTCGGATGGACGTGACACCAGCCTGGTCTTGTGCTGTCTGGACAGTGTAGCTACTGGGGCTGCCCCTGGGGAGCTGGAGGCAAGCCCAGACCACTAATTTCCTCTGAAAGCTGCCTACACCCATAGCCGTATTGGCCAGGACCAGTCCCAGGGGCCAGAGGCGGATTATTGCCTCCAGGAGCCTGGTCTGCAGCGGCGAGGTGCTCAGGGAACAGGGAGCTTGAGAGAAGTGTTTTTCTTCCACACCATCCAGCTCTTTAGCAGCAAGGCAGGCCATTCTGATCTTAAAAAGCAAATATCCCTTTATAGCTTTAGATTTATCTAGCCCTCTTAGCAGAAAATGGAAATCAAAACTATCTTTAACAAATCATCTTAACAAGGTGAACTGAAGGCACCTGGTTGCAAACAGCTGGCTGCCCTGAACCAAACTGGTTCCATATGCCACAAGTCTATACACCCCAGGCAACTGTGCTTAGGCCTTACATATGCTACTTGAAAACAAGATAAGAGTCCATCAAGATATAACTGATATGCCATAAAACCCAGTCTTCTAAAGTGTACATCCCAGAGTTTGGTATATTCCCAGAGTTGCTTATACCACTCTTCACCTACATAACCACCCTGCAGGGTAGGTGTTACTGTGCCCACTGCATACATGAGGAATATGAGGCTCAGAGAGGCTAAACAACCTGCCCAAGGCCACCTGCATTGCAGTGGCAGAGCCAGCATTCCCACTCGGGTCCATCTGGTCCCCAAAATTGATCCACTGCCCACCCCGACTTCTTGGGTCTTACTTACTCTCCACTTCTGCCATGCACGCTTGATGACTGTGGCAGCTGCATGCAGCCTCTGGATGTGTTTCCGAGTTAACCAGGAACGAATGGCTAAGAGGTTTGCCCAGAAACAGGAAAGAGATAATAAAGGGGCCATTAGAGCTGTCAGTGACCTCGCTGCAGCAGCACCACAGTTGCTGTCAAAGTTTCAAATACGTTTTTTTTTTTTCAATAAATTGCTACAAATAAGGTTCTAAAATCAATACATAAGGCAAAATTGGCTTTTAAACATTCCTTACACTGCCCACACACTTGAATACACCTACACAACACAGTGAAGGGGCACTGGGGAGAAGGACTGGCTGAGGGCCCAGCAATCACTTCCCGTCTCAGGCTGGGTCCAGGTCAGCACCCAGGGAATGGGAGGGGTCTGGATTGTCTGTGCCTTTAAAAACTTTTTTTTTTGTTTTGTTTTTAATCCTCAGTTGAATTTGTTCGCTTTATGCATCCCTGATCTCACATCACCATATACCCAAACACTGATACAATTAATAGATGGTGGTAATTTTTATTCCCTTCTCTGCAATTTCAGCATATTCTTTTTCTTTTTGTTTCTTTTTTTTTTTTTTTTTTTTTTTTTTTTTGAGACAGGGTCTTGCCCAGGCTGGAGTGCAGTGGCACGAACAGCTTATTGTAGCCTCCGTAAGGCTGTAGCTTCAATCTCCCAGGCTCAAGCAATCCTCTTGCCTCAGCCTCTGGAGTAACTGGGACTACAGGCATGTGCCACCAGGCACGGTTAATTATGTTTTGTTGTTTTTTTTTTTTTTGAGACAGAGTCTTGCTCTGTCACCCAGGCTGGAGTGTAATGGTGCAATCTCAGCTCACTGCAACCTCTGCCTCCTGGGTTGAGGTGATTCTCCTGCCTCAGCCTCCTGAGTAGCTAGGATTATAGGTGCATACTACCACACTTGGCTAATTTTTGTATTTTTAGTAGAGAAAGGGTTTTGCCATGTTGCCCGGCTGGTATGAAATTCCTGGGCTCAAGTGATCCTCCCACCTCAGCCTCCCAAAATGCTGGGATTACAGGAGCGAACTACTGTGCCCAGCTTCCTTATACAATTTTTTAATGCCTACACACACACAAACACACCTTAAAAGGAGGGCATCGCCCTTAATATGTAGTTTGACATCTAGGTATGAATATCATTTTGGAAGTGGTTCTCCATTAAATTTATAATATTCTTCAAAAACACTTAGCTGCATCATAGGGATGGTCCAGTCCATCATTTGGCCATGATGTCACCACTGTTAGATATTTGGGTTCTTTCCAACACTTTTCCTTTTCAAAATAAGACCACTATGAACATGTTGGTTAATACATCTTTTCATCTGATGAACTCCTTTTGGTTTTTACCTTCTCCTTAAATTCATTCCAGCCCTAGAGCCCAGCAGGTAATGGTTTGAGTTGTCATAAAGGGAAAAAAAGTTGGCCTAAACAGCTGTCAGGGTCTGAGAAAGGAATTAAAGACAACGCTTAGACAACGCTTAGCCTCCACTTCTTACAGAGCACCTTTGTTTGTGGAGTGACTTGGTTTCCATTGAACTGGAGAGACGTTATGAGTGAGGGGGACAGGGAATTTGAATCCCAGCACACCACAGGGACATCTCTTCAGGCTGGGACACAGCTTCAGGAGATGGGGACTCGACGAGCTATGTTTCAAAGGAAACCAACATCCTGTGGGGTCTGTGAGCAGTGCTGACAGGTGACCTGCCCACCTACCTGCCTGGATGAGCATGACGGCCCGCCACTGCCGCTCCTGCTCTCGGTGCCGGTGTCGCCTCCAGCCACCCTGGATGCAGCGGGCACACTGCTCCAGCACCCGGGCACGCCCACATTCCAGAAGCTCCAGCTGGGAGAAAAGGCATCCATTGAGGGCAGCCTCTTCTCCCCCTGCCCCCTCCTGCTGAGGAGAGCACACAGCTTGCCTCTGTAACCTCCTCATCCCCAAACCAGCTCACCATAGAGTCAGTCATGAACACCTTGGTCCTGCCACAGTGCATGGGGGCTGGCATGGCCTCAGCCGAGTCACCAGTTATGGCTGCTGCCTGAGTTAGGACCGGCAGAGTGTGGAGAATGTCCTGGATGAGAGGTTCAAGCGTGGCTTCCTCGCTGTGTGGACACCATTCTGGGGGAGGGAGATGGCCCCATCAGTGCATGGTCATCTCTACATGCCTCTGTGGCCTGAAGAAACTGGCTTTGGCCTCCCTAGCACTCTACAGGTCTCTTTCCTGCTGTTCTTGGCTCTAGCCATTTTCTCCTTGTTCTTCTTTTGGAGGAAGCCACAAACAGCCTCTCTGTTGTCCCTCAGGGTGCTAGCTGTTCCGTGGAGCCTTGGAATACCCACTTGCGCCTGTGTGTCCTGGGGTGTCCCACAGCCTCTACTGCCATGAGTCCCTTTGGGCAGGCTGGCAGAGGGTGCTTGACACCTGGAAGGGTGACTCCTTCCAAGCTTGGAATCCCAGGCTGCTCAGCCAGCATTTGTTTCCAAGGCCCAAACACACATCCTGAGGGCCAAATAGGGCAGCTATAGGCCACTCCCTCAGCCCCGACCCCTCAACTCCCCACCATGTATGGGAAAAGGGAGATCCAATCCCAGCCCTTAGTTTGGGAATCTTCTACTGCAAATAAAAAGAATAAATTAAAAAATAAATTTAAAAAATCCCAGCCCTGCAAAGGTCCCGTGTCCCACTGCCTGCCCTCCCGCAGCTCGCAGAGCTGACTCCTGGAGAGGTAGGATTTACCTGAGGGCTCTGACCACCTTAGATGCCCAGTGCCTCTCTGAAGACAGAGGCTGCCAAAGGAGACACCACAGATGAGAAACAGCAGCAAAATCAACCAGGGGCCAGAAGGGCTATGGGCAAGAGACACGGAACAGGACAGCAAACCATGGAGAGGGAGAAGAAAGGAGAAAGGGTGAAAGGAAAGTGAAAACTGCCCAGGAGGGGAGGAAACAAAGCAGGATTGCCCCAATGGCTGTGAGGGGCCCAGGGTAAGGCTGGGTGGGAGGGGCAGAGGTGCTGGGCTGGGGTCCTGCCGAGGCGGGGCCCCCCGGCAGCCTGTCCTTGGCCTGTTCTCCCTCTGCCTGTGTCTGGGCCCTGTGGCTCCCACAGCCTCTCTTTTATCTGCATGCCGACAACCCCCATATGAGGGCCTCCAGATCCTTCCTTTGAGACTAAAGCCTGCCTAAGTGCCTTGCAGACTTCTTCACTGGACCTGCAGGACAAGTCACCCATGCCCGGGCTCTTCAGCCTCCCTGAACCTCTTTTCCTCTTGCTTTTCCTCACTTCCCAGGCTAAGTTAATTTACTCCTTTCCTCTCCCTCTACATCTAGTCAAGCCCCTACCAAGACTGACCAGTTTCTTCCAACAAATATTTCCCGACTGTGCCCACAATTCTTGTTTCTCTCTATTGGGGCAACTTTGCAGCCTCAATCCCACAGCCCTCCATGGTGCCCCCAGAGTGGTCTCCAGAAAGTGTGAGGCTGATAAGAGTCATTTGCTCCTTCCCCTGCAGTGCCTGCTCATCTGCCCAGAGAATAAAGTCCAGATTCCTTGATGGAGCCCTACCTGCCACTCCAGCCTCACCTGCCCCAGTTCTCTGCCTCAATGAACCAGCAACACAGAACTGGCTGGAGTTCCTCATACCCACACTGCTGCCTCAAGCCTCTAGGCCTTTGTTCAGATTACATTTATCATGTGGACCACCCATCACCTGGCTAATCCAATTTATTCTCAGATACTACCTCTTCCAGGAAGCCTTCCCCAATTCACACCTCCCTAGCACCACCCACAGCATCCTGCTCATAGCTCTGCTTTTCCACTTTCCATGCTATTTGTCTTTTTTGAATCTGTTTCCCCCACTGAACCAAAACCAGGGCTGTGTTTTATTCACCAGTAAGCCCCAGCCCCTAGCCCTAAGACAGGGCACAGGGTAGATGCTCAGTAAACTGTGGTTGCACAAATGACTAACTCATGGGTCCCACTCACCAGGGAGCCCTTTGGCAGGATATGGGCTGTCGGGGCCAGAGGATGTGCAAGGATGAAGCCTTCTTAGTAACTTGTATCGTTCTACAAAGTTTCGGTGAGAGACCCTGGAGGCCAAAGCAGGCAGAAGTAGAGAATTACTTCATCTGTGAGCCAGGTTAACGGTTCAGGGCTCATCAGAAGTTATTCTATTTAATCTGCTCAACAACACAGCACGGTGCTGCCCTCCCCGAGTATCCCCACTGAATGTGAATGTGGTTTTGAAGCGATTTCTAGGATCACTTAGTTGGAAACCCATAAAGACTATTTAAAATGGGTCTGCTCTCCCTGCTGCCTTGGTCTACCAACACAAAGCATCTCTTGTGTTAGCAGGGGATTTGCGGGCTGCCTCCCTCCAAAGGGGCTGACAGGCCTCTCCCCAAACAATTGGACCAGTCCTATGACGCAGACATGCTTGGCCACATCTCCCCTCTGACCTCTCTGACCCCACAGTCTCCTCTGCCTCCCCCAGATCTCCCTGCTCCTCATCAAGGCAACACTTCTCAGACAGCTGCTGGCACCTGATATCTGCACTTCCTCCCAATTGCTTGTCAGCCCTCCTGAGTCTGGCTTCTGTCCCCAACATTGTACCAGTGTGGCTTTTGTCACAGCCATCAGCTGGGTACAAAATAGTGCACAATAAGTGAATGGATGAACGAATGGGTGCTGCTCCCTAGTTCCCAGCTGACTTCTACAGACCAGCCTCTTTCTCTTCATTTCCACATCTCACTCTGGGTTGGGCAGGCTCTTGCCCAATGAGAGTCCTGAGCCCCACTCTGTACTGGCCCTGCACTGTGCCGTGATCGAGCCCACTCACCGGATGGGGAAGCCAGCAGCACTGATATGGATGGTCTCCACGAGGCCACAGGCCTCCAGCTGGCTCAGGACCTGCAAGGGTGGGGAGACAGGGCAGGCACCTGCAGCATGGGGCCAGCAGGCCAGAAATGCCATTCTCTCAGCCCTTCTTCTTAGACCCTGGCCAGTGCCAAGCTGCAGGCTCTCCCAAGGCTTGGCTAATGGGGGTATCTCCTTGGGGCTGTGAGAAATCGAGGGACCTTGAAAACAAATCTCCCACTAGAAAGGGTCCTGGTGGTCCCAAGTCCCCCTCATCCGACGCATGGCTTCTGATACAGCTGAAGCAAGTGATGTCCTGGCTCCGTCTCACCCTGCCCTCAGTGTAGTCTCACTACCACACAACCCAGCCCAGGCAAATTTCCAGTTTGGATTGTTTTCACTGTCTGCAGGCATTAGAGGGTGGTTCACAGCTGAGAGGCAGGGAAGATTATACTATGAAGATTCTTCTGTGACCTGAACCCAGGTCTTTACCACAGAGCTGAGTTGTCCTGGCTACAAACCGGAAGGCCACATCTACCAGGCCACACCTTCAGCAGTGCCCAGCATTCACCCCTCATCCACATCCCTCAGAACCTGGAATCCCAAGAAAAGGGCAGCTGCTGGCTAGAGTGCTTTTGTTAGATTAGAAAAAAATGATACCGGCTGAGTGCAGTGGCTGCTCATGCCTGTAATCCCAGCACTTTGGGAGGCTGAGGTGGGCAGATCACCTGAGGTCAGGAGTTTGAGACCAGCCTGGCTAACATGGTGAAACTCCATCTCTACTAAAAATACAAAAATTAGCCAGGTGTGGTGGTGCATACCTGTAATTCCAGCTATTTGGGAGACTGAGGCAGGAGAATCACTTGAACTCGGGAGGCGGAAGTTGCAGTGAGCTGAGATTGCACCACTGCACTCCAGCCTGGGTGACAGAGTGAGGCTCAGTCTCAAAAAAAAAAAAAAAAAAGAAAAAAATGATACCTCCAGTGAGAAATGGCTGCACTGTGCGGGGACTGTGTGGTGATGTAGACTTTCAGCTAATCACGAGACACCCATTCCTCTGGGCAGTTTCAGTCTCTCATCAGGGTACATGGCTCAAAAAAACAAGATGCACTGGAACTTGCCTCCCTGGCTAGGCTACTATGCACAGACCACACAACCATACATGCCTGCCCTGCCACAGCAAGGGAGATGGGTCCTCTCTCATGTCAGGCCTGGCCGGAGAGACCACTTCTGTGCACTCCATTTGGAACAGATGTCCTGCCCTTCATCTCTCCAGGGCCTTGGCCAGATGGGGTTTGGTGCGAAGCAGCTTTGGCCCGGTGTTAATTACCTCCTCTTGGAGAAAGGTCTGCGCCTGGCCCTGGCTGTTGGGCTTGATGCAGCGAATGTAGTGGGGCGTGGTGCTGTGTAGGACCTGCAGAAGCTGCTCCAGTGAGGCCTGCAGATGAGAGACCATGGGGTTAGGCAGGGAGAGGGGCTGCCCAGGGCCATCAACTGGGCTCTGGTTAGTAACTACATCAAATGCCTCCAGCGGGCCCTTCCATGATCCTGAGACCAAGAATCTCCTGTGCAGGGATGACTGCTGCAGGCTCTCAACGAGCAGGCTCAGAGCACATTCCTCTCCCAACTTCCCATGCTCCTCACCTCTGTCTTAAGGGACCCTTCTAAACCTGTGATCCTCCCTGACTGTTCTCCCTGAATCCAATCTCCTCCTCTTTCCCCTCCCCACTTCTCCCCAGAGCAATCTTCTTAGAAAAGAACAATCTCAAAACTTCTTGCCATTCGTCCAGCAACAACTGTTATCACTCAGCTCATCCTGTGTGTTGGAGGCTGTGCCACAGGCTGCCTGCTGCCATGTCAGAGCTCACTCCAATGGGCCACACATGTTGGATGAACACCCTCGGGGGTGTGTTTGAGGCTGGGTAGGAAGGTGCTAATCAAACCTGGTTTTCCAGGTGCCTCCTCGAGGTGGTGGTGATAAAGCTAAAGTCTGAAGGATGAGAAGGACTAAACTAGGAAAAGGGGCGTGGAGGATGGGAGTGAGGTGGAGCTGATGGGGCAGTAGTCAAGAGTATCCCAGGAAGGTGGGGCGGTACATGCAAGGACTGAGAGGTGGTAGAAAGCAGACGATGTGAGAGAAGTGAGTGAGGGTAGGGTTAGAACAGGAAGCTAGACAGCTGGAGATGAGCCAGGTCAAAGAAGCTCATGTAGCTGATCCTCTTCCCATGAGCACCCCAGTGGCAGGGGGTGAGAGGCTGCATAGTGCCCCCATAGGCCCCTAGACTTCCCATCATATTATACCTGATAGCCTATTTGTCTACTGTTTCTGTCTTCCACACTGAAGTATAAACTCCAGGGGACTGGGACCACATCTACTTGACTTGCCACTGCTCCCCAACAAACAGCACCGATCCCGGCAGGTGCTCAATAAATATTTGTGAGACCGTGGAGTTTGAACCAAGCACCTCCCATCAGCACATCAGACCCACCTTGAACTTGGACACCACGGTCAACACAGGGGCCCTGCTCTGGCCAGGGGGTTCCTCCTGGGTCTTCTCTTTGGGGTTAGTAGGAAACAGCCCCATGAGCAGGGGGTCCTGGGATTGCTGCAGGAGCCTGGTCAGCTCAGGTGGGATAGGGTCCTATTGGGAAATGGCAAGAGCAGCAGTGAGGGCAGGTGGAGCTTCTGCTCAGGGCCATCCACTGCCCACCCAAGCCGCAGATGACGGGGCTTCCAGGTAGGACAGGGCCTGAGTCCAAGAGAAGGTCCATTGGACAACCAGAGACCTGGAGACCCAGTCTAACATGGGTTATCTCCAGGCAGGTCATGCTTGATTAGTGGAGACCTCAGACAGGTGGGCCCAAGATGGTGATTCTGGATTCTGGGAGGAGGTTCAGGAGAGAAAGGACTCACGATGGGAAACTACTATGTCTGCATAGCAAAGACCCAGCATCTCGTTTCTCGCAGGCCCCACAGGGCATGGCCCAGCCCGTACCTTGTTCTTCTCCACCAGGCCTGCTGTGTGGTACCGCACAGGCCCCGCATAATGCACCACAATGAAGCTGGGCTCCCGGCTGAGCTTATTGTGGCCCAGGCAGGGGCTGCCTGCCAGGGCAGTCTCAATGCGTGTCTGGAGCTGGGCTGCGCTGCTGGGTCGATTGAGGCGGCATTCCTGTGGGATGGGAACAGGGGGTCAGCCACCAACATGAGAGTGTCTCACCACAACCCTCACTGTCCCCACCCTGTGGACCCCATGACAGCAGACATCACACAGGCATCATAGTGTCCCCAACAGAAAAAATATAGCAATTAGCAGATCTATTTGGCAGACTGGGAGGAGAGAGGCACAGAGAGGAAACAGGATAATCATCAAGGCCCCAGAAAACCCAAAGGCCAACTCTGGTGCTCGGCTCATTAGCTGACCTCCCCACCTCATTTATGAGGGAGCAGATGCTGATGGGGCTTCCCTCAATGAGATCCAAACAGGGCTGGTTGTCCTGGTAGTTGATGAATGACCACTCCAGGCCCTCAACTGCGTATTCCTCCTAAAGAACAAGGTGGGATGAGGTGGGAGAAGGCAGCTGTGGTCTGATGTCCTGACGGGCCATCCACGGCTGGCCTCGGTACCACAGCGTATTCCAGAACAGCATCAAAGAAACAAAAGTATATCAAAACATTACATTGTACTCCATATGTGCAATTATTATTTGTCAATTAAAAATAAAATAAGAAGGAACAAAAGGCTTCTAATCAGAACCTGGACTGGGGCTGGAAGGTCAGGAAGGGATTGAGGATCCAAAAGAAGGACCTGCCTCCTGCTCACCCCATCCCTCACCTGCTGGGCCCTTAGGTAGTGAGCCACAAAATGCTGCTGCAGCTTCTCATTGGCGTAGTTGATGCACAACTGTTCCAGACTGTTGTCAGGAAATGATTCAAATCCATACACATCCAGCAGGCCTGGGAAGATGGCAGAGAACCCATGGGGCCACTGCAGGGAGCAGATGGGGAATAGGGGACCAAGGAACCCAGGGTGGCTGGGCCCCTGCCAATGCCTTATACTTGGCAGCCTGGGCATCAGGCTGAGTGAGCATGACACCTGTGGTGGGCAGAACATACCTTCCCCACCCTCCACCCAAGGTGGCTCCCATCTCTACCCCATTCCCCTGTAGAGCTCAGAGCAAGCAGGAAACCCAAATGAAGTGTGAAGACAGCCCAGAGCATCAGGCCCATTTTTGAGTCTGAATTCTCTGGTTCTGATAGGCACCTCCTATGAGGAAACCAGGTCCCAGGGAACATTTTCTGTGTTAAATCTAGTTCGGAGGGCATTAGTCTCACTAGCCAATTTGGTGCCTAGAATTCCACCATTCCATGAGCAAACTGCACTTGTACCTTTAAGCTTTATTTCCTCCTATAACTGACTGTCCCACCTAGTTACAACCGTGTTGACCTCCCTCAGTCATGTCCCCCAAGTCTTTTTTTGTTCTCCCCCCTGAGATAGGGTCTTGCTCTGTTGACCAGGCTGGAGTGCAGTGGTGTGATCACAGCTCACAGAAGCTTCAAACTCTTGGGCTAAAGTGATCCTCCCACCTCGGTCTCCTGAGTAGCTGGGACTACAGGCATGTAGCACCATGCCTGGCTAATTTCTTTGAAATGGGGTCTTGCTATATTGCCCAGGCTGGTCTCCAACTCCTGGCCTCCAGTGATCCTCCCACTTTGGCCTCCCAAAATGTTGGGATTACAGGTGTGAGCCACGGTGCCAGCCTCCAAAGTCCCTTCTAATACAGCTATTTTCCCCAACCCCCACTACTCTCCCACAATTAGAGCTGGGTCTCTGGGGAGGTAAAGGGCTCTTTCAGACAAGGCACTGTTGAGCCTGTCTGGAGAGTTATGGACTGCTCAGATGTGGGTGCAGGAGAGCAGAGATCTCACCCTATGCAGAGATCTCGCTCTATGCTGGCAGGCAGATGCAAGAGGAGACAAAAAAGGGAAAGGAACTGCCCAGAGTCACACAGTGGACCCAGGGCTCCTGCCTCTCCATCCAGGGCTTTATTGCTCTTTTTCTGGAGTGCTCCCAGCACAGTGAGGCCTTGCTACCTATGAAAGTGGTCCACGAGTCGGTGTCTGCACAGATGCTGCTGTTGATCACTGATACCAGCCAGTCAAACAACCTGTTGGGGGAAGAGAGTGGACTCTGGTAAGAGGGTCTGGCTGAGTCAAAGGGGTGGTAAAATTGCTCCCCCCATCAGGGTGCTACACCCTGGGGGGCCCTTGTATTCTGAGCCTGACAGGTCAAAGACCAAATCCTCTCCTCTTGCTTCCGGCCTATCACGTCTTGACCTACTACAGATGCAGGCTATGGGCATGCATGTTGCCAGGTACACACAAACCTGGCATGTCCTTATGGGAAGACTGAGCACAGGACAAGCTCAGCTCCTAGGCTGGGGAGGGAATCAGTCGAGCTCAGTCACATGGCTCGAGACCCAGCTAGTGTCTTGGGAAGGGGCAGATGGGCCTGGGTGTGGTTTGTAAATAACTGAGTTCATTGAACACCCCTGCAAAACTCTACCGGTGGAGCCCAGAGCTCAAGGCCCCACCATACCCCCTGATGTAGTTCTGCACAAGTGGGCCCCCAGTCCCGAGGTCAACAATGGCATCCTCCACTCTAGAACCGGCCCCAGCCCAGAGAAGATGAGACTACCACACAAGACGCTGACACGTACAGCACTATACAGGGGTTTCTTCCTCACATTTTTTCTTAAAGTAATTGCTCTGCAACTTTTTTCCCTTCAGTAAATAAACTGGCTCTTTTTGCAACAGGGGCTGTGCAAATGTCCTGTGGTCAGAAGCTCACTCTATCTGTGTTCATCACACTTTATCTGCTCATCTTGGAGTGACTTGTAGGCAAAGGCTTTAAAAGCCTTTGACCTCAAATTGTGACCTGAAATTAGCTTGAGGCAGTGGTAACTAGTCTCTTGCTGAAATGGATTTAGTCTGGCCTCAGCTGCCCTGGACCATTTTCAACTCGGACGATCTGGTTCCCCCAGCAGAGCTTCTCAGGCTATTGGCTCTTTGTGGAGTTTATGAAAGCAGGGGACCCTCTCCCCAGAAAGGTGCCCAAGGTCTCATGTGCACATGCACACACATACACTCATTCTGGCTCATCTCAGAGGATTCTGGGCCCCTGAAGCCCTTACAAGGCCTGCTGAAGAATCTCAGAACTCAAGGTGAGAGATCATCCTTAACCACATGGCCAGAGGGTGGAGGTACCCACGTAATCTACCAGAAAAGGCCAGGACCCCACCTTCACCACTGTGCTACATGCTGTGGGCTGAGCCTCTGGCTTTACCACAATCTATCAAACTCCTAGGTGATGTACAAAGGCACAGGGAGACAGAGAGGCCCATTCAGCCAAGGATCTGAAGCAGGAACTGCGAAGGCTCTAGATCACCTTTGGGGCCTGCCTTGCCAGCAGACAGCTGAGCAGGTTCTCTTCACCTTGCTGAGGCTAAAGCAGCCTCCTGAACTTTAATAATGAGCTGAATTCTGGCCAGGAATGTAGCAACTTTCCCACTCAGAAAGAGGCCACAGACGCTGCTTGGTGAAACCTGGGAGCTGTGCCCTGATGTGTCCAGGGGTTTGAGGAGCAGGGAGAGGAACCAGTCTGTCTTATCTCCCACCCTGGGCCTGTGCCTATTGCCTGATGTTGTCTGGCCCAACCCCGGACAGGAAGAGCACTTGTCGGGGTCCTCCCCAACAAGGGGCCAGAGTAACTGCTCACCGCGCATAGATCAGTTTGGCCAGGCAGTCTCTACGGGTGTCACACTCGGCTCGGGCGCAGGGCTTCCGGAACACCTGCTGCTGTCTGCCTGCCCTGATGGTTCTAATCTGCACCATCTCCAGCAGCACGTCCTCTGGGAGCCCCAGCAGCGAGGCTGCCGTCCTGACAGAGTCTGGGAGGGGCAAATCCTCTTTAGGCAAATCACTCTCCATCCAGTCCTCTTCACGAGGCACTGTGAAGTCATCACAGCGGGACCATGACTTGCCCAACTGGACAGAAGAAACCTAAGTTCTGATCAGTGAAGTGACTCACCCAAAGGACTCCATAAACAGCAGTCAGAACTCAAACCCAGCACTTTCATGTACCAGTCCATGCTGCCATGTATGGGACAAATCACTTTACAAACCTCTGACTCATTTTCTCATCTTTAAGATGGGGACGATACTGTCTGCCTCACCAGACAGGGTGAGGAGTAAATGATCCAGGGCCAGGCCCTATGGTGGGTGGCATAAGCAAGGGCATCAGATTCCAATTTTCACCATCCAGCCTTCCACCCAACCCCAGCAATGCTGGCTACCTTCCTGACAGGGCCTGCCCCATCCTACACCCTGACCCTCACACTTGGCATCATCCATCGGCTGGCAGGGCTGGGCTTCATCCTCGGAGGCAGCAAACTGGATATTGCCAAGGTGCAGCAGTCCAGCTAGGACCTGGGGGAAAGAAAAGGATGGGTGGGAGTAGGAGAGGGCGTGACGTGGGCCTACTCTGGGAAGGGCCGTTCTGCTGAGTACAATCACGACAGCAGAAGGGCAGCTCCCAATCATGGCCCAAGTGCCCATCTCTGCCAGACACAATTCTATACAAGTTACATGCATCGCCTCATTGCAACTTTTCAACAACCTGTAAGGTATGTGCTACGCCACTGCCTATGATAGAGATGAGACTGAGGACACGTGCTTCCTGAGGGGAAAGGTGGGATGAGAACCCAGGCTGACTTCAGATGTCTCCTGGGGCAGCCTGTGGGCCTCCATGCCCACCCATCCTCTACATTTCTGCCCCCTGCTCTCTAGGAATAGACTGGTGACTGGGGGCAGGGCTGCTTCTGTGTGCCTGCTGGAGGCTTGTCTCTGCTTCCTTGAGCCCTTTCCCACTGTCAGGCTTCTGAGAGCCCAGCCTGCTGGAGGCACTGTGACCTTGGTCTGTGTCCGATGGGTGCCCCTTTGCCTTTGTACTCAATGTTCCACACCGACAAGCCCCCTGGGGCTATAGACAGAAGCTCCCCTCACCCCACCAAGGCCCAGCAACTTCAAAACCCTCAGACCCAGCTAGGCATGGTGGCACACGCTTGTAATTCCAGCACTCTGGGAGGCTGAGGCAGGTGGATCACTTGAAGTCAGAAGTTTAAGACCAGCCTGACCAATATGGTGAACCTCCATCTCTACTAAAAATAAACACACACACACACACACACACACACACACACACACACACAAAATTAGCTGGGTGTGGTGGCACATGCCTGTAATCCCAGCTACTCGGAGGCTGAGGTAGGAGAATCACTTGAACCCGGGAAGAGGAGGTTGCAGTGAGCTGAGATTGTGCCACTGCACTCTAGACTGGGCAACTAGAGTAAAACTCCATCTCAAAAAAAAAAAAAAAAAAGAAAAAACCACCACCCTCAGACCTGACACAGGGACCCCACCCACCATTCCTATATGGTCCCAGGCAGGGTGCCTCCATGTGCTACTGGTCTTCCGGCCACAACTTGCTCCAGAAGACTGCCATGCCCACCAGGCAGAAGGGCTGTGGCAGAGGGTCATGCCCACCCCCAAAGCACTCCTGCCCCGACTCCCAGTGTTGTCCACTTATCCTGGGCTTGTCCCCAGGTACTGTCCTTCTGTCAAGTTCTTACCTGGCAGTGTCTGAGCAGCCCCCATCTGGAGGTGAGGGTCACTTTCCACTGCATTGCTACCTCCCTGAAGTGGCCTCCCTTTCTCGACTGCCAGGCCATCCTATCTATCCCCTCCTGCTGCTCTAGAGGGTGAGGAAGATGAGAGGAGGTAGTCAGCTCTGTCAGCAAAGACAGAAGGGAGGCCCCCCTAGTGTGACTGAGAGGAGCCCAGCTCACCTGGGGCAGTCTCATGTTCCAGAGGACGACGGGGCACGGGTTGGGGGAAGACAGAGAGGGTAGGAACTTGGAATTACTATGTCTGGTACTCTGTATCACCACTTAGTGGTATCTGACCTTGGGCACGTCACTTTACCTCTCTGGTTTTCTCAGGCATAAAGGGAAATAAACACACACAGAGGACTGTTTAAAAAACTAAGTGAGCAGAGAAGTGTGAACATGACTTGTAAGTTTTAATGTACTAGACAAGCAAGGCGGTAGCACTAGTTCTCTCTTCTGATCATGCGGTACCTTGCTCTCTGCCCCCATGGATCACTTACTGCATTCTGTACTCTAGCACTGTGTATGCATCACTCTTCCTTATGCCCCGTCCACCCCACCACCTGGTCTCCAGACTCAGCAGAACAGAGGTGACTGATTCCTTGGAGGTAGCACAGAAGGGCCCAAAGTCCTAGATCCTCAGGGAAAGACCAACTCCAAGTCCAGGGAAAAGCTCTATGCAAAGGGCTGCCCGTCATCTCTGCCAAACTTAAGTGGCGTGGCTTTTCTTCTGACCTTAAAGATGTTGTTCTGGGTAGGGGTGTCAATGCCCAAATGGAGCATGGCCTCTCTGGTCACCTCAAAACAATCCTCTGAAAAAGAATCCAAGTTCGGGGCAGAGGTCAGCAGCAGCAAGATGCGAGGGAGGCAGGCTCTGTACAGAGTGGGTGGGTGATGCTGGGTCAGCGCAAGGTGCTGGATGGGGCTCCCCTTACCTTCTAAGCTCCTCTCTGGGTTGGGCAGCCAGGAGAAGGCAGCTCCCTCAGGAAGGTGCCACTGGAGCCTCTCGTCCTCACTGGCTCCTTTGCAAATCTGTGGAGAAGGGTAGGTGGGAGGCTGGGTAGGGGGTCTGAGAAAAGCCCAGGCCTGCATAGGCAGGCATGGGGTTGGGATAAGAGGAGAGTTGGTAGCAACATCACAAGGCTCAGAGGTCCCTTCCGAGAGCCCACGGCAGGTATGGGGGCAAAAGATGCCGTAAACATAGCCCTGGATGTCTCCAACCTGATGCAAAAGAACCTTGCTCTAGGGAAACCTGCAGTCTGGTGAAAAAAGGACAACTCCTGCCCAGGGAGTCCGTCGTCTTGACGTGGGAGGCATACCCATCACCTAAGGATGCTCCGATTTTGAGAGAAAGGGAGATATCCTATCCATGCCTTGGGGGACTCCCAGTCCGATGGAAAAGGCACAACTCTAGGGAAGCCCTTGTTCTGTTAGCGACAGATGCCATTCTAGGAGAGCCCTTAAAATGATAAGAGTGACACGGCTTCCACCCTAGAGATACAGTCCCAGCCTCAAGGACCTTCTGGTCTGATGGAGGAGGTAAAACATACTCCCAGGCCACAACTGTGCTGGGAGCCAAGGCGCAGTGTGAGGCAGAAGTGCTGCATGTAAAGTCTGCAGGATAAAGTGGTGGCTCCATCAAAAGCTAGGTGAAGGAACCAGGTATGGAGCATTCTGGGGAGTGGGGGGTTGAAAAACACGGACCCATCCCTGTCTCGCATCTGGGGGGCTGTGGCCCCATTTGGCACAAACCTGATAGAAGATGTGGAAGTTCCTCTCACTGGAAGCCTGGCAGGCCACTCGAGTTTTCTCTAGGAGGTAGGTCTGGACTGCGGCTCCAGTCATTTGCTGAGCCCTGGGACACACACAGGCCAGAGCCCGTTAGTTGCCCATTCATTCCATAGCCATGTCTGGCAATCTGGGTGTGCCAGATTGCCTGCTACCTGGCAACTCCCCGCCAAGCTCTTCCACTTAGCCAATGGGCACTGAGGGGTGGGGACCACTCAGAATGTCCTTGGGTGTCCTGGAATATTCCCCTGCATCTAGCTCAGGTGGGCAGGGCCAAGGCCTCTGCACATCACTTTGCTCTACCCCAAGACAGGAGTCGAAGTCTCAGCCTCAAGCTCAGGGATATGGTCCAAAGAGGTGGCAATTTAGCTTGAAGTCCCTGAGCAAGAGTAAAAGCCAGGAGGAACCCAGGCCTGAATAAGCGCACTGCCCCAGGGTTCCCCAAGGGGAGAGGAGCTATAGTTCTCCAGGTGCAAAGATCACCCTCAGAGCTCACACCTGAGGTAAAGGGCATGCACCAGGAGGAGCAGGGTTTTTGCCCATAGGGGTGGCCCAGGCCAGATACTGCCCCAGCCACTTTCAACCTCCCCAGTCCCATCCTCCCACTAGCCAGGGCAACAGCAGCTATTACCTGTTCAGCTGGAGCTGGATGAACTTCCCAAAGCGACTGCTGTTGTTATTCCTCAGTGTACACGCATTCCCTACAGATCACACCTATGTTTATTTCACTCCCCTGGGTTTGCAGAGTCCTCATAAGCCAAGGTGGCTGCAGGTCTCTGGAGGTCATGTTCCCGTGCTCAAGTCACCTAAAGGCCCCTTTGTTGGTTTTCATGTCATAGGGGACAGGACTAGAAAATGGGCCCTCATGCTTTAGCAAGTGGGATTCAGGGGAGTTAGAAGAAATTCCTGGCAAGAAATTGGAATGAGCAAGCCTAGGCAGTCAGGGACCTTTCTTTGAAGGGAAAGGTCAAAAACAATCAGCTGTCACTACTGACTTTAGACAGGAAGGCACATCTGGGTTCCAGTGCCAACACAAACACTAATCACCTTGTATCCCTTAACAAGTACCCTTCATTGAACCATCAGGAAACTGGATAGAAAGACAGAATTTGGACGAGCTAAGCCACCAGGTCTTCTCCAGCACGACTGTTATGTGTGCCTAGGCTGGAGCGAGGAAGAGGACTGAATGACATGACCTCTGTTAGAATGATGCTAAGGAGTACCAGGGAGAGGTTGGGGATCTGAGGCAGTGAAGGATACACTCATCCTCCACCCCCACCCAAGAGAGGGTCTCAAAGCACTGTCCCTCTCCCTGGAAGGTGGAAAATCCCAGAGGAAATGGGACTGAGATACTGTGCAAAGGAGCCCAAGCTCACCAAAAGCTTCCATGACAGGGTTGGAGTTCAGGATCCTCTGTTCTATCCTCTCTGCAATCTTGTGGCTCTCCCAAGATGCAGGTGAGGTGGCCACCACAGCATAGAACTTCATTAGGCAGCGAGACGTCCATGTCTGTGGCAGAAACAGCCCTGTGGGAGCTGTATCTATGCTCCCGCCCACTTCTGAGCCTGCCTGAGAGAACAGTGCCCACCAGAGCTCTCTTCTCCACCAGTGTGTTGCTGACAAAATGGGTGAAGGCAGAATTCAACCCTGGCCTCAGGCAAGGCACTTCCTCTACCTCTGTTTGTAAAATGGGAGTAGACATCTGTTTCTCTCAGCTCTGTGGCAGACACTGAGCTATCGAGGCTTTCTGTGTATGTTTTTTTTGCAAACTCTGCAAAGGTGTGATTATACAATTGTTTATAAACAATAAAACCAAAGCATAGAAATTTAAAAATTTATTAAAAATCATGCATCTACTCAATGACAGGGCTCCCATTTATACCCAAGCAGTCTAACTTTTTTTTTCCGAGACGGAGTCTCATCTTGCCTCCCAGGCTGGAGTGCAATGGCACAATCTCAACTCTCTGCAACCTCTGCCTCCTGAGTTCAAGCGATTCTCCTGCCTCAGCCTCCCAAGTAGCTAGGATTACAGGCGCACGCCACCACGCCTGGCTAATTTTTTACATCTTTAGTAAAGACGGGGTTTCACCATGTTGGTGAGTCTGGTCTTGAGCTCCTGACCTCGTAATCTGCCCACCTTGGCCTCCCAAAGTGGGATTACAGGTGTGAGCCACCGCACCTGGCCCCAAGCAGTCTAATTTTAATTCATACTCTTGTTCTTAATCAGCTGAAGTGAGGTATACTTTCATTTTAACTTCTAATTGTTTGTGGCTAGGACATAGAAATACACTGTCTTTACATATTGACCTTGTATCCTATCACCTCACTAAACGCTCTACAACTTTTTAGTTGCAGTAAGGTGGCAACTTACTTTGTAGATTCTTTAGATTTTTCTTTGGGATCAGAGATATTTCTATCTTCTGAAAGACTTTATGTAGAACTGGTAACATTTCTTCCTTAAATGTTTGGTAGAATTCACAAGTGAAGCCACCAGGGCCTACAGCTTTCTCTGTGGGAGGGCTTTTAACTATGACTTCAATTTCTTTCAGAAATAGGGGCTATTCAGGTTCTTTTTCTTCTTGTGTGATCTTCAGCAGTTTGCGTTTCTCAAAATATTTCTCCATTTCATCTAAATTGTATAATTTCTTGGCATAAAGTTATTCAAAATATTATCTTAATCTGTAAGATCTATATTGATGTCTACTCCTTCATTCCTGATACTGGTGATTTACATCTTTTTTCTCTTTTTATAAGTCTGACTGGAGAGTTATCATTTTTTTGTTTGTTTGTCTTCTTTAGAGGCAAAGTCTTGCTGTCACCCAGGATGGAGTGCAGTGGCACGATCTCGGCTCACTGCAACCTCTGCCTCCGGGGTTCAAGTGATTCTCCTGCCTCAGCCTCCTGAGGAGCTGGGACTACAGGCGCTCGCCACCATGCCCAGCTAATTTTTGTATTTTTAGTAGAGACGGGCTTTCACCATGTTGGTCAGGCTGGTCTCTAACTTCTGACCTCAGGTGATCCACCCACCTTGGCCTCCCAAAGTGCTGGATTACAGGCGTGAGCCACTGCACCCAGTGAGTTATCATTTTATTCATCTTTTCAGAGAAAAGTCTTTTATTTCATTAATTTTTCTATTTTATTCATCTTTACTTTTTCCCTTCTTCTGCATACTTTGGGTTTATTCTGTTCCCCTCTAGCTTCTTAAGGTATGCCACAGACTGAATTGTGTTCCCCTCAAATTCATATTTTGAAGCCCTCACTCCCAATGTGACTGCATTTGGAGAAGGGATCTTCGGGAGGTAATTAAGATTAAATAAGGTAATGACGCCAGGTGCGGTGGCTCACGCCTGTAATCCCAGCACTTTGGGAGGCTGAGGTGGGTGGATTGCCTGAGTTCAGCAGTTCAAAACCAGCCTTGACCAACATGGTGAAACCCTGTCTCTACTAAAAATACAAAACTTATCTGGGTGTCATGGCATCCACCTGTAATTCCAGCTACTAGGGAGACTGAGGCAGGAGAATCGCTTGAACCCGGGAGGCGCAGGTTGCAGTGAGCTGAGCTCGCACCGTTGCACTCCAGCCTGGGCAACAATAGCGAAACTATCTCAAAAAAAAAAAAAAAGAGGTAATGAAGATGTTGTGCTTTCATTTTAATTTATTAGTTCAAAATATTTTCTAATACCGACTTGGTAATGAAATTTCAGACAAGGCTGGACACAGTGGCTCACGCCTGGAATCCCAGCAATTTGGGAAGCTGAGGCGAGCTGATCACTTGAGGCCAGGAGTTTGATACCAGCCTGGCCACCATAGTGAAACTATAACGTCTCTACTAAAAATACATAGTCTCTACTAAAAATACAAAAATTAGCCAGGTGTGGTGGCATGCACCTGTAATCCCAGCTACTCAGAAGGCTGAGGCAAATGAATCACTTGAACCCAGGAGGTGGAGGTTGCAGTGAGCTGAGATCACACCACTGTACTCCAGCCTGGGCCAGAGGATCTCAGAGGAAAAAAAAAAAAAAAAAAAAAAAAAAAAAAAAAAAAAAATATATATATATATATATATATATATGTGTATGTGTATATATATGTATATACATAAAAGTATGTATATATATATAAAAGTATGTATATATATGTCTCCTTAGAAGATAATCACTAAGGCAAAAATGGTAACAATGTTTATATGACAGCATAGCATCATTAAAATGCTGAATTTAATCAAAGGCAATAAAAAAAGGAACTAAGATCACACGGAACAATTTAAAAAATAAGATGGTAGATTTAAACCCAGGCATAGTGAGATAGATAGATAGACAGATAGATAGATTTTTTTTCTTTATAGTATCATTGTGATTTTATCTTTTACCCATAGGATATTTAGAAGTGCATTGTTTAATTTCCCAATGTTTTAGGATTTTCTAGGTGTCTTTGTTGTTTATTTCTAATTCAATTCTATTCAGCTCAAGGAACATAGTTTGTATCATTTTAATCTTTTTGTTTTTTGTTTTTAGACAGAGTCTTGCTTGCTCTGTGTGAGTAAACTGGGACTACAGGCACAAGCCACCACGCTTGGCTAATTTTTGTATTTTTTTGTAGATATGGGTTTTCCCCACATTTCCCAGGCTGGTCTTGAACTTAAGCAATCCATCAGCCTTGGCCTCCCAAAGTGCTGGGATTACAGGTGTGAACCATTGTGCCTGGCCTCAAAATGTAGTTTTGATTTTATATATTTTTCCTTTCAATGAGAGCAGATTTTACTTCATGTATTTTGAAACTGTAATTAGGTACACACCTGTTTAGAACTGTTTTCTTGATGAATTCACCCATTTATCATTATGAAATGTCTCATCTTATCCTTAGCAACATTGCTTGTTCTAATGTAACCACTTCAGCTTTCCTTTATGAATGTTAGGATGTTATATTTTTTCCCATCCATTTAGTTTGAACTTATCCACGAGTAGACCACTTATATTTATCGTAATTGTCACTATGCCTGGGTTTAAATCTACCATCTTATTTTTTTAAATTGTCCCATGTGATCTTAGTTCCCTTTTTTCTTATTGCCTTTGATTAAATTTGGCATTTTAATGATTCCATTCTATCATATAAGCATTGTTACCATTTGTGCCTTATAGTGATTATCTTCTAAAGAGACAAAAAAAAAAAAAAGATTTTACATCTGTGATGCTGAAACTTACCCCTTTGTGTAGATCCAAATATTTATCTGGTTTTCATATTCTTTTGCACTAAAGAATTTATCACTTCTTGCAGTGCAAGTCTGCAGGCAATGAATTCCCTCAACTTCTATTTGTCTTAAAGTCTTTATTTCACTTTCATTGTTGAAAAATATTTTTGCTGATAACAGAATTCTAAGTTGACAGATTTTTTTCTTTCAGCACCTTAAAGGTGTCACTTTTATCTGTGGGCTTACAGTTTTTGTCAAGATTCCTATGGTCATTCTTATCTTTGTTCATTTTTATGTAATATTTATTTTCCTGGCTTCCTTTAAGATACTTTTTTTCCTTTTTTTTGAGACAGAGTTTCACTCTGTCATGATCTTGGCTCACTACAACTTCCTCCTCCTGGGTTCAAGCAATTCTCCCACCTCAGCTCCCAAGTAGCTGGGATTTCAGGCACCTACCACCATGCCCTGCTAATTTTTTGTATTTTTAATAGAGACGGGATTTCACCATGTTACCCAGACTGGTCTCAAACTCCTGACCTCAAATGATCTGCCTGCCTCAGCCTCCCAAAGTGCTGGGATTACAGGCGTGAACTACTGCACCTGGTCCTTAAGATTTTTTTCTTATATTTAGTTTTCAGCACTTTGACCATAATGTGCCTAAATGTGTTTTCTTTGTATTCATTCTACTTGGCAATTTTTGAGCTTTTTGGATCTGTGCTTGCCATCTTTGGTTAATTTTGTAAAAATATTACTTTTGACCCATGTCCTCTCTCTACTCCTAGGACACCAATTACAAGTACAGTTGACCCTTGAAAACACGTGTTTGAATTGCATGGGTCCACTTATACGTGGGTTTTTTTTCAATAAATCTCTCCTGCCTCCCCTTCTATTATACTTCCACTACCTCTGCCACCTCTGAGACAGCAAGACCAAGCAAGACTGTCCTCTTCTTCCTCAGCCTACTCAAAGTGAAGATGACAGTGATGAAGACCTTTATGAGGATCCACTTTCACTTAAGTAGTAAATATATTTCTTCCTTCTGACTTTCTTAATTTCATTTCTCTAGCTTATTTTATTGGAAGAATACAGTATATAAGACATATAACACACAAAATACGTACTGACTGTTATGTTATTTGTCAGGTTTCCAGTCAACAGTAGTTAATCAGCAGTTAAATTATATGCAGATTTTCAATTGCGTGGGGAGTTGGTGCCCCTAACCTCTGCATTGTTCAATGGCAGACCATTTGATATTGTACTACAGTTCTTGGATGCAATTTTCTTTGTTTTTCAATTTGGATAATTTCTATTCACCAACAGTTAAGTTCACTAATGCATTCTTTTGCATGTCTAGTCTGTTGATATGCCCAAAGATTTATCATGTTTTAAATTTTTATCATCTCCATTTGATTCTTTATAGTTTCCACCTATCTGCTGAAAGACTGGAGGAATCTTTTCTGGAGACACCAATAAGCTCACGGGAAAAGTTATGGCCATTCAGGGATCCCACAAGTTTAAAAAGCTACTTACAGTGAGGCCCCATTGGTTGACAATCTTGTACGTAAACACAGATTCTAATCAGTTGTTTAATGCCTTATTTTAAATATGAACAGACACTCTAGGATCATTATTTCATAAGCCTCTTTTACGTGAAATGACAAATATCATAAATGTTAGAAAAAAACTAGAATGTAGAATTAAAATTTTTAACAAATATTCGAAGTTCCAAAGAATTGGAAGGTAAAGAAAAGAATATCTCTCAGAAGATTAAAAAAATAAAGAGAAAGGAGGATAGGTGAGAAAAACATGATTACACAACTAACCAAATTTCCTCACAGAAGTTCCAGAAGGAGAAAACAGGGGAGGAAATTATTAGATATAACACAAAAATACTTTCCTGAACAAAAGGACATGAGTTTCCAAGTTAAAAAGACCCACACAAAGTACCCAGCATAATAAGTGAAGAAAGGCTATACCACAACACAGCACTGTGAATTTTAATACCTAAAACCTTTGGGGGAAAAAAGAAATCACCATTATGGACTGGCTCTCTCAACAGCAATATATGAAAATAAAACCTCGGCCAGGCACAGTGGCTCATACCTGTAATCCCAGCACTTTGGGAGGCCGGGGAGGGTGGATCACGAGGTCAAGAGATCGAGATCATCTTGGCCAACATGGTGAAACCCCATCTCTACTAAAAATACAAAAATTAGCTGGGTGTGGTGGTGCATGCTGGTAGTTCCAGCTACTTGGGAAGCTGAGGCAGGAGAATTGCTTGAACCCGGGAGGCGGAGGTTGCAGTGAGCCAAGATTGTGCCACTGCACTCCAGCCTGGCAACAGAGCAAGACTGTCTTTAAAAAAAAAAAAAAAAAAAGAAAAGAAAAAGAAAAAAGAAAATAAAGTCTCTATATTCAGAAAGAAAATTATTTCTAACCTGGAATTATAAAACCCAGCCAAAATATCCATCAGATTTGAGGCAGAATAGACATTTTCAGATGTGCAACAATTTGCCCTCCAGGTACCTTGTTCAGGAAACCACTAAAGAATATGGTTTGGCCGGGCGTGGTGGCTCACGCCTGTAATCCCAGCACTTTGGGAGGCCGAGGCAGGTGGATCACGAAGTCAGGAGTTCAAGACCAGCCTGGCCAAGATGATGAAACTCCGTCTCTACTAAAAATACAAAAATTAGCCGGGCCTGGTGGCAGGCGCCTGTAATCCCAGCTACTCGGGAGGAGGCTGAGGCAGAGAACTGCTTGAACCCAGGAGGCGGAGGTTGCAGTGAGCCGAGATCACACCACCTGCACTCCAGCCTAGGCGACAGTGCGAGACTTGGTCAAAAAAAAGAAAAAAAAAAATAGAATATGGTTCATAAAAACAAAACAAGGCAGTAAATGAAGAAAAAGAAAGCCATGGAGACTAGGCGTGGTGGCTCATGCCTGTAAACCCAGCACTTTGGGAGGCCAACGCGGGAAGATCACTTGAGGCCAGGAGTTCAAGACCAGCCTGGCCAACTTGGTGAAACCCCACTCTACTAAAAATATAAAACTTAGCAGGTCAGGCGTGATGGCTCACGCCTGTAATCCCAGCAATCTGGGAGGCCGAGGCGAGTGGATCACGAGGTCAGGAGATCGAGACCATCCTGGCTAACACAGTGAAACCCGTCTCTACTAAAAATACAAAAAATTAGCCAGGCGTAGTGGCGGGCGCCTGTAGTCCCAGCTACTCGGGAGGCTGAGGCAGGAGAATGGTGTGAACCCGGGAGGCAGAAGTTGCAGTGAGCCAAGATTGTGCCACTGCACTCCAGCCTGGGCAACAGAGCAAGACTCCGTCTCAAAAAAAAAAACAAAAAACAAAAAAAAAAAACTTTGCTGAGTGTGGTGGTATGCATCTGTAATCCCAGCTACTCGGGAGGCTGAGGCATGAGAATTATTGGAACTGGGGAGGCGGAGGCTGCAGTGGGCTGAGATTGTGCCACTGCACTCCAGCCTGGGCAACAGAAACCCTGTCTCAAAAAAAAAAAAAAAAAAACAAAAACAAAATAAAGAGAACGCTATGGGTTCCTGCCATGGGGGATTTATCCTAGGACAGATGGGAATCTGGGGATGTGCAGAAGCAAAGAAGCTTCCATGCAACAGCTGTGTGGCAGCAGCCCTCAGCAGGCACCAATCCAGACAGAAGAAAAGATATGGTCTGAGAGCTCTAGGAAGGGTATCTCCAATGAAAGAAGCTGATTTGCTTGCCAGTTTGACAGGTGTTTTCCAGATTTGGTGACAAGTCTGGTAATGAGTTAATAATGGTATATAAAAACTAAACAAGTGAAAAAATGGGGCAATTATTTATTTATTATTTATTTTACTTGCCCCACTTTTTCACTGGTTTAGTTTTTGTACACCACTATTAAACAGGGAAAACAGAGGGAAAATAAAAATTATGCAAGAATATATAGTATATTATATGGCTCTGCTATGCATATACACATGACCATAACCATGTAAATACTGCTTATTAACTTAATTAGAAATTATGAAATAATTATATACAGAATATGTATTTTGAGGGCAGGGAAATAAGGGTTAAATCCTCATCAAAGTAGGAAGTGAACAGATAAGGTCCAAAACCAAAAAGTCAGTAACAACATAAGCAGTAGTTTAAAAATACGGATGTAAACACCCAAATAAACTGATAAAAGATGTGCAAGTAACTGCATCTGGAGACAGGGAACAAGGTTGAAAGACAAGGAGCAGGTTTGCTGTTTTTCTTTATAAGCCTTGTAGTATTGCTTGATTTTTTGAACTATGTAACTACATTACTATTTATTAAAAATAAATTTTTGAAAATATACCAGGCCCAGCCCAGGGCTACAGTGGCTGCTCAATAAAGGGTTACCTAGCTCTCTGGTTGAATGAGTCTTGGACCAGGTTCAGCTTCAGTTCCCCAGAGCAATTCTGGGGGACAAGGCTTCGTTGAGAAGCT
The DNA here is from genome assembly GCF_000001405.40 of Homo sapiens. NCBI lineage: Eukaryota > Metazoa > Chordata > Mammalia > Primates > Hominidae > Homo > Homo sapiens. Next base: position 36,524,147 of record NC_000017.11, read on the forward strand.
GGGCATAAGCCACTTCACTAGCCACCTTGATATAGCTCCTAGAGATCCCCTCCTAACCCAAGTCCAAGCCCTCATCCCTGCAACTTACTGTCTTTGTTTTCTTATCTGTCTCTCAGCAGACTAAGTGCCCCCTGAAAGCTACATGTTGCATTTTTCATCCCCCTGCCACCCCTCAGTGCCCAGCCAGAAGCCTAGAACCTGGCAAGTTCTCAGTGTTCAGCAATTCTCATATGTGAGTGAAGGCAGAAGGAGTTTATGGTCCAAAGAGTTCCTCATGAAGGTAAAAGTGTTGTGGAAAGGGCGAGGCAGCTGGGTGAGGCTTGTCAAGAAGGTGGCAAGGCCTTGGCCAATAGTCTCCTTTGACTAGCTGTGCAACTCCCCACTCATCTGTATGCAACATCCTGTCTCACCTGTTGTGGTTTTGCTACCCAGAAGGCCACGTGGCCATACCAGGAGCTTCTGTCCTCCCCAACACCTGGCCCAATATACTGCCCTTGCCACCATGCGCAACCCAGAGGGTTCAGGTGGTTTACTCCAATAAACTTTTTCCCACAAGAACCCCAGCTACTTTGGAGGAGCACTGCCACATGCCAAGCATGCCACCAGGTGCCATATGTACAGTGACTCATTTAACTCTCACAGAAGTCCTATGAGTCAGGTGTTGGTCCTCCCTTCCCTTCCATTTTACAAGTGGAAGAACTGAGAGCTTTGCAGAAGCTACGTACTTTTCTGATGTGTTCTTAACCACTATGCTGGAATCCCCAGCAGCTGACTTTTGTTTCCAGTAGTGTCAAGAGCTGGGAGACACTTTCGATGAGAAAATAAGGCTTAGAAAGGAAACTTCATTCCTATTTCACCCAGGGTGATGGCAGAGCTTGCAGTAGAGCCTGGACTGGTATCCTGTCTCTTGACTTCCGGCTCAGTGCTAGCCCACCATTGTGCACCAACCCCAGCTTCAGCCAGCCTATGTGGGAATGATTAGGAAGCAAACAACTCCACAAGGAAGGCCAAGGAATGACCCCTGCCTCCCTGTCCACCCAGCCAGTCGTGAGTTGACAGGATGGGAAAGACGTCTTCCTACCTTTCCAGCACCACTCTCTCCACTGACAACAATAGACTGGTTGACTGGTTCAATCAGGCTCTTGACATTCCTGTAGGTCTGTTCACCCACAGTGAACACATGGGGCTTCAGTTTCTGGAACATCAAGGAGTGAAAGGTCATGTGAGGGAATGCCTGTTTTTCAATGATGACTGAGCCAATGATGACTGAGATGGGGAGGCTGCCAATAGCAGTGGTGGGATGCTTCCTCCAGAAAAATTTTCTGGATGTCACATTGTTAGGCCCAACTTTAGAACCCCTATGTTGGCTTTACCTATTCATTTTCTCTCAGCCTAGAAGCAGGGCTAGCCTTGACCAGTTTATGACATTAACACTTTATACCCCCATCTTATCTTGCTTTAATTGTCTTATCCTTCTGCCTATTACTTCATATTACTATAATTTGCAATTTGCAAAGTTCGTATAAACTACTAAGAAGCCTGTCCACTAATTGGAAATATAACCCTATTTTATAGATAAGGAATGTGAGGTTCAGAGGAGTTAAATAACCTTGCAAGGCCACTCAGCAAGTAAGTATATCCATGTGATTTAAATTCCAAAGCCACTGTTCCCCTTTTCTTCAACAACTATTAACTGTCTTCAATGTACTAGGCATCAATCAAGCTGGATGCTGAGGAAACATAGGGGACTACGACTTGGCTTTTACTTTTCCGGAGGCAGGGCAGACAGCAGACAGGGCTCTCAGGACAGACTGCCCCTGGATTCCAACTGGATACCTCATCACGCATGAACTTCTGGAGGGCCACGCCATCTCCACAATGCCTAGCTAACCCAGCCAGCAGTGATCACTTACCCACAGCTTGCTGAGGGAGAAGGCAACTGTTCCATATGGCGTCAGAGCCACTCCTCTCTACACCTGCCCTTGCCCCAGCCACCTATCACCTGGAGGGATACAAAGCCTCCAACTGTTGTCTCTGCCTCCTGCCTCACCTTCTTGAACCCAACTCCCACAGTAATTATTCGTCTAGTGGGTTCTGTTCCCAGTCCCACCTCTACCTGGATGAAGATGCTCTGCAGATTCTCTCTGCCTGCTATGGTGCTTCAGACTCTTCACAAACAACCCTGGCTTTCTCGTCTTCCTGCTCTCATCTACTCCCTCTTGCCCCCAAGACCTCCCTCCTGCCAGCAAGTTTTCTCTCACCTCTCCCTGAATGCATCATGCACTTTTACACCAACAAGCTCATTATCTGTCTGTACCTCCACCACCCCACCCCAAATAACTTATCCTTTTCTCAGTAAAAGAATAAGTTACTTTCCTCAGCAGAGATAAACATATGCTGAATTTTCCAGGGCAATCCTTATCGTGTATAATTTCATTCTTTCCTAAAAAGGTAGTTTTGCTGGACTCAGTGGCTCATGCCTATAATCTCAGCACTTTGGGAGGCTACGGCAGGTGGATCACTTGAGGTCAGGAGTTCGAGACCAGCCTGGCCAACATGGTGAAACCCCATCTCTACTAAAAATACAAAAATTAGCCGGGCATGGTGGTGGGCACCTGTAGTCCCAGCTACTCGGGAGGCTGAGGCACAAGAATCACTTGAACCCTGGAGGCGGAGGTTGCGGTGAGTCAAGATCGCACTACTGCGCTCCAGCCTGGGTGACAGGGAGAGACTCAGTCTCAAAATAAATAGGGCCGGGTACAGTGGCTCACACCTGTAATTCCAGCGCTTTGGGAGGCCAAGGTGGGTAGATCACCTGATGTCAGGAGTTTGAGACCAGCCTGACCAATATGCCTACTAAAAATACAAAATTAGCCAGGTGTGGTGGCATATGCCTGTAATCCCAGCTACTCAGGAGGCTGAAGCAGGAGAATTGCTTGAACTCAGGAGGTGGAGGTTGCGCTGAGCCCAGATCATGCCATTGCACTCCAGTCTGGGCAATAAGACTGAAACTCCATCTCAAAATAAATAAATAAATAAATAAATAATAATAAAAAATAAAAAGGTAGTTTGTTAAATAAACAAATATATAATACCTTTATAAATCCTTTCCTGTTAATAAAACCGCAAACAAGAAAAAAAAATCCTTTCTCTTATGTCTCTTATTTTAGGTTCCAAACTCAGTTAAACAAATATTTATTTATTCCCCACTTTGCACCTTCTGTCCTGTAGTCAGTTCTTCATGGTTCAAAATTCTGCCAGCTCCTATTGGGCAGGCCGTGGCACTAGCAGACTCTGAATGACCACATTGCTGGTGAATAGATGAATAAGGACAGGGGTAACTGCAAAGAGGTTTAGCGGGAGGTAGAGGAGCCCTGAGGCCACAGGCAGCGGCAGAGCCTTACCTGGGGCTGAGGCGCAGCATGGTACTCTCTCATTAGCTCGGGCGAGTAGAGCTGAGGAACAGGCTTGAAGGGGTTCAAGGCTACCAGGGTGCAGCCAGCATTGGTGTAGAATGTGTCTGCCATGTACCGGGCCTGCAGGCACCTCAGGACTGAGGCAGAGATGCCTTTAGCAAACTCGGGCTCAAATATAGTCAAACCACACACACAGACACACATCTACTTAAGTAACAGCCCTCTTTCTGCAATTAGCCAAGAATCATTAAATCCCAGCAGCTCCCTGAAGAAAAGATACAAGATCTAATTAAGATGAGCTCCAAATCTGAAGCAAAGCATGCCCTGGGGAGCCCAGGTGCAGCTGTCATGCTCCCTCAGGCGGAGGTCTGGAGCAGCCCACCTGGCTCCAGATCAGGAGTCCTGCCGACCTCCGTCTGACCTGGAGAAGCTGTGCTGACTACTCTCATTACACCTCCAACCTCCTGGAGATGATACTCCTGAGGAATGGGAGGCCCATACCTGTCTCTAGTGTCACAGGATTCACCCTGGTGAGGTCATCCAGTTTGTACAGCAGGACCTCCCCACCCAGGAACTCCTGCAGGTCTTCTCTGAGGTACTCCCTGGCTTGGCCATCAGACCCCGGATTGTGGCCATTGACCTGGAAGAGATAACGTGAAGGTGAGGCCAGGCACAGTGGCTCATGCCTATAATCCCAGCACTCTGGGAGGCCAAGGCGGGCAGGACACAAAGTGAGGAGATCGAGACCATCCTGGTTAACACGGTGAAACCCCGTCTCTACTAAAAAAAATTCAAAAAATTAGCCAGGCATGGTGGCGGGCACCTGTAGTCCCAGCTACTCGGAAGGCTGAGGCAGGAGAATGGCGTGAACCCGGGAGGCGGAGCTTGCAGTGAGCCAACATTGTGCTACTGCACTCCAGCCTGGGCGACAGAGCAAGACTCTGTCTCAAAAAAAAAAAAAACCAAAAAACATGAAGGCCGCGACAGCTGGTACTCAAAACAGCTGGCAGCTACAGAAGGGTGGGAACCTGTATAGTAGAAGGAGACTCTGGTATCATAGTCTGGTTGGGTTCAAATTTCAGTTCTGCCTCTTAGTAGCCCTGTGAGCCTGGGTAAGTTACCCTCTTTGAGTCACAGTTTGTTTATTCGTAAATAAAGGAAAATAAACTCAACTGACAAGGTTATTGGGAAGAAAAGAAGAGATATACAAAGCATTTAGTCAGTGCCCGGCATACAGCATGTACTCAACAAATGCTATCTCTTCTGCCAAGAGCTCCGGCCACTTGCAAGTAGCACTTCCAGGCTACTAGCCTTATTAGAAATAAGGCTATAGGAATGTTGCAAAGGAAAAGAACCATGGGTTAGGCCTTTTTGGGAAGAGACAGTTCAGCTTTTGATGTAAAACAGCTGTACCTTCTGAGAGAGGTAGCCCCATGTCTTCATCACCTGCCTTTTGTGGCTTAAATTTAGGCTGGCTAATGAATTGGTTCCCTTGGCCCGAGTCTGCTTGAGAGAAAGCCTGGCTCAGACGGCTGTCTGAGGTCAAGAATAAGCACCAAGGGAACAGGTCCTTTCTCCTCCCTTGCCTATCTTTTTTTTTTCCTTTCTTTTTTAAGAGATGGAGTCTTGCTCTGCTACCCAGGCTGCAGTGCAGTGGCATGATCATATCTCACTGCAGCCTCCAACTCCTGAGCTCAAGTGATCCTTCTGCCTCAGCTTCCTGAGTAATTGGGACTAGAGGCATGAGTCACCCTATCTTCCTTTGCCCATTCTTGATGTATCATCCCTCCACTTCCTCCTGTGGTCCCATTTCTCCTACTGTCTCCTTTGGGGATGCAGGAAAGACAGAGTGGGGGTTGAAGACAGGTATCTTGCTGAAATGTGCTTTTGAAGGAAGAGGTCTGTGATACAACAGGTGAATTTCCAATGAGAATGGTGAGCCTAAAATTTCAAATCTCTCATAGAAATAAGCCATGGTGGCAAATTTCCTCCAAGAGGCCCAGTAATGCATTTCTTCCAAAACTGTTGCCTGTTCTCTGAACTTTGGGCCCACTATAATGCACAAGGTAGGCTCTTGGCCTCCAGAGTAACTGCGGAGGTCAGAGCACAGCTATATCTATGCATATCCCTCTCCTTTTATGAAGGGGAAAAAAAAACCACCACTACACAAACCATTCACAAACACAGACACAATTTATGAAGAGTTCTGATCCAACCAGAGAGGCATCTGAGTATAGTGATCAAGTACCTGGACTTGAAAGTTAGTTGTCTGGCTCTGAATCCTGACTCTATCTCTTACAGTTATATACTCTTATGTTAATTTCTTAATCTCTTTCTGCCTCAATTCTCCTCATCTGGTCCCTGTAATCCCAGCTACTTGGGAGGCTTAGGTAGAAGAACCACTTGGGCCTAAAAGTTCGAGGCTGCAATGAGTTATGATTGTACCGCTGCACTCTAGCCTGGCCAACAGAGCAAGACCTTGTCTCTAAAGTAAAAAATAAAAATAGAAAAATTTCCAGCTGGCCATAGTGGCTTAAGCCTGTAATCCCAGCACTTAGGGAGGCCAAGGTGACCCTGTCTCTATAAAAAATATTTAAAAATTAGCTGGGCATTATGGCATGTGCCTGTAACCCCAGCTATTCTAGAGGCTGAGGCAGGAGGGTTGCTTCAGCCCAGGAGGTCGAGGCTACAGTGAGCTATGGGGATATCACTGCACTGGGCAACAAAGTGAGACCCTGTCTCTAAATAATTATTTAAAGTTCTTTTCTGTAAAATGGGATAATGGTACCTACCTCACAGATACTCACAAGCACAAAAACACACGAAGGATTTAGAAAGGCCATCTGGAATCTGCCAAAAGGGGTTAGCTATTCTTCTTCTAAAAGTGGCTTTTTTTTTTTTTTTTTTTTTTTGAGACGGAGTTTCGCTCTGTCGCCCAGGCTGGAGTGCAGTGGCGCGATCTCGACTCACTGCAAGCTCCGCCTCCCGGGTTCACGCCATTCTCCTGCCTCAGCCTCCTGTGTAGCTGGGACTACAGGCACGCGTAAAAGTGGCTTTTGTATTTTTTTTTTTTTTTGACACAGAGTCTCGCTCTATCGCCCAGGCTGGAGTGCAGTGGCACAATCTCGGCTCACTGCAACCACTGTCTCCCAGGTTCAAGTGATTCTCATGCCTCAGCCACCCAAGTAACTGGGATCACAGGCATGCACCACCATACCTGGCTAGTTTTTGTATTTTTAGTAGAAATGGGGTTTTGCCATGTTGGCCAGACTGGTCTTGAACTCCTGGCCTCAGGTGATCTGCCCGCCTCGACCTCCCAAAGTATTGGGATTACAGGCATGAGCCACCGTGCCTGGCCTTATTTATTTATTTATTTAAGAGACAGGGTCTCACGGCTGGGTGCGGTGGCTCACCCCTGTAAAAGCACTTTGGGAGGCTGAGGCAGACGGATCACTTGAGGTCAGGAGTTTGAGACCAGCCTTGTCTACAGAGTGAGACTCCATCTCTAAAATAAAAATAAATAAACAAAAATTATTAAAAAAAATTTGGAGGCTGGGCGCGGTGGCTCACGCCTGTAGTCCCAGCACTTTGGGAGGCCGAGGTGGGTGGATCACGAGGTCAGGAGATCGAGACCATCCTGGCTAACACGGTGAAACCCCATCTCTACTAAAAAATACAAAAAATTAGCCAGGCGTGGTGGCCAGCACCAGTAGTCCCAACTACTCGGGAGGCTGAGGCAGGAGAATAGCATGAACCTGGGAGGCAGAGATTGCAGTGAGCCAAGATCAAGCCACTACACTCCAGCCTGGATGACAGGGTGAGACTCCATCTCAAAAAAAAAAAAAAAAAAAAAATTGGAAAATAGAGATAAGCAAAAGGAGCATAAAAATCCATAATCATACTACCCAGAAATAACCAATATTTTAGAGAATATCATAGGTTTTTTCCCCTACATACTTTAAAAACATTGAAAAGTATTATATTTTTGTGTAACTTGCTTTATTCCATTGTATTGATATACCTTTTTTTTAATAAGAGAAAAAAAAAGTTTAAAAATAAGCAAGAAAAAAGCCCAGAGCAGTCAACTGTTTTGCCCACTTCTTACCTTCAAACCTGTTCCAGGAGCCATATGGCTGGAAGGTCAAGCTGCAGTGTCTACTATGGCTCCCTTGATGCTGGCAGGCCCCACACCTGGCTGCTACCTTGCTGATGTCAGGCACTTACCTACCCAAGACTCCACTAGACTCTGAGCTCCTTGAGGGCAAGCACCAACCTCAACATCTGCCTCAGCCCAGTGCCTGGCAACACTTGGTAAAATAAAAAGTCAGCAAATAAGTACTGGCACTCTCTCAGGACCAAGAGTTACACATGAAGGATGATATGGGTATGAGAGAGAGCTCCGCTGTAAAAGGTGATTTGGAATCCTACAGGCCTGGGGCAACAGTAGCCTTTTCAGAGAGGCAGAGACATGGGGATCATGTAACCCATGATCCACTCATTAGAATCCTTCTATATTTCCTCATAGTCTCCTACATTTCTGCACAGGCTGACCTCTTTGCCTGGAGTGCTTATTTTCCTTCTCCAAGTGGCTAATTCTTTCTAGTTCTTTAAGGCTTAGCTTCAAGGAACACATCCTCTTGGAAGCCCCAGGCTTCTACTATGCCTCAACAATTCAGGTGGCAGGGACATCTCTCAGGACTTCCTCTGCAGAATCCCCAAAGTGCCCTAAGGATTCCCTTACCCATCCCACCTTACCTATCCCAAAGAAAGGAGCTAAAAACCACAAGACAGATTCAAATTAGGTATCAGGAAGAGTTTCTTGATGATGAGTAAAAGGCACTGGAGAGACAATTTGAGGAGAGAAAAGAGACCTTTAAGGGGGCTTTCCCTTCCTTCCAGGTTAGGGCTAGCAACAGATGCTGCAGGTGCTTGAGGGCCTGGGTTATCTAAGGTTGAGGTTTTACCTGCTGGAGCATCCTCCTTCAAAGTGGTCAGCCAGGGTTCTGGGTTGCAGGAGGTACAAGGAGTACTATCCACCTAGTCATGGGACCATGGGCTGGGGTATGGTTCCAACAAAGGGCTCAGTTCTGGAGGAATCTCAGACAAGTCACTCCAGCGCCTGTGGCATGAGAGAGAAGACAAGGACCACACACAGGTGAGGGCTTTTCTGGAGTGACTCACTCACTCCTTCCCACCTAGCAGAAGCAACCAAAATGAGATGCAAGGCAGGCCTGGGCGGAGAGTGGGCCTGTCCTTTCCCTTGCCAATTAGGAGACAGGGAAACTTTTATGAGAGCCTCAGAGGCTCCCTGGGCCAGTTTTATTACAGGGTTAGGGTTTGGGTTGGGGTGGGGCTGCAAACCCTCTGGGTCAGTGTGCCATGGAGGAGGAGTAAGACACTGGGGAGACAGAGAAGCCTTGTGCCCTATCCTCTACATTAGACAGAAATATCCTATTTCAGTCGTTGGTGAGGAGGAGAGGCTGGAGTCATCTCTCGCTGCTCCAGGAAAGGTGTGGTGTGGTAGTTTATATCACAGTTCAATCACTCACTGGGTGTGTGATCCTGGGTCAGGCACATCACCTACCTCAATTTCTTACCTTGAAAATGGGGACAGTTAAATCTGCCTCATAAGGAGTGGTTGTGAAGGTCAATGAGGTCATGGTTTGACAGCACCACACAAAGTACGAATCTGAGTATTCACTCAGAGGATAAACACTGTTAGCACTACGACTAAGGGTTGATGATCCATTTGGGAGCGCTAATCAGGTGAACGGTCCAGTGTCAACTTCAAGAAGGTGAGGATTTCAGGGAGATGAATCCATCTGGGAGGTGGGGTGTTGTGAGGCTGGGCCTAAGCCAATCTTTGAAGAATGGTTAAGTGACCCTCAGACTTGGAATTTTCTAGGCCTTGGCACCACCCCTAGCAAGGAGAGATGAGGCTGAGGGTGAAGCGTGCCTGCAATGGATTAACCCTGGTGGAGACTTTCTTGAGGCTCTGAATACATCAAGTCTTTAAAGAACCCAGGGATAGGGACTTCCATAGAAGCTGGAAAAAGGACAATTGAGGCGGAAACAGGTATCAGGACCGTGCTGGACCACTTAAGGTGTGGTGCTACAGCCCTAAAAGATCCTGACCCTGGACACTGACTGTACCCCATCCAAGGGACAGCCATGCAGAGGGCTCCAGAGAACAAAGCTCTTTCAACTGGGAACTCATCTCAAGCAATAGGTCCAGAGGGGCAGCACAACAGGTTTGGGGTTTGAATCCAAAACCCAAGGCCCCTGGCACAGAACCCAAGAACTAAGCCTCACTCTGTTTCCTCGTTTACAAAACGGAGTGATAATATCCAGATCTCACGGGGCTAAATGAAGCGTTAAAGGGGCTAATACCTGTGAAAGCGCTCTGCAAATGTTATTACGATGCAGCATCAGCTCCTAGCTGGAGTCAAGTGAGATTAGAGCAGTTTTCTCCAGTTCTCCCAGCTCCTGCTCCAGTCGGTTTCGCGGTTACCAGCCAAGAATTTCTGGAAAGGGTGTGAACACTGTGGGCAGAAAGGAGACGGTAATGAGTAAATGGAACACCGAATCAAGGCAAGTGGCAACCTGATCACCAGTCCCTCCTTCTCAGACTGTTTCTTTCTAGGCATGGAGGACAGTGGGAGGGCAGACGCTGAGAAGCGCTGGGTAAGGATCTCATCAGTCCAGCTGGCTCCGCCCCCAGGTTCCCGGCGGGAACCGGGGACTCAAGGTCCGGGCGTCGTGCCGCAAACCCAGGGCTGGGATGCCGTTCCGGAAGCACCTGGCACGGGGAGAGTATGTCCTTCCCAGGAAGGTGGACGTGACCCCAGCCAAGGGCGCAGCTGCCCTGACACCTCCCGGGACCAGCCGCCCCCTCCCGGGGTCCTCAGCTGGGCGAAGAGTGGAGCAAGGACCCTCTCCCCCCAGGCCGCCCCCTGCCGGCCAGGTGGAAAGGTGGAGGGTGATCAAGAAAGACTTGTTTCAAGCAAGAGCCAAGAGCTGGGCTACCCCCTCGTGAGACACAAGAGGGTCAAAAGGAAAAGGCAAAAAGGAGGGAAACGGCGCTTTGGAAGGGGAGGTGGAGACGCCTACTTCTTCCTCACCGCTGCGGGGCAAACTGGCCTCCCAAGCCCCTTCCGCGTCTGAAGGGCTTCAGATATAGGTTCGGGTTGACACTCACCGGTCCCACGGCCCGAGCCGCCGTGCTTCAGGCCCCCGCCCGGCCAGACTGGAAAGGCGGGCGGGCCAGGTCAGGCGGCGGGAAGAACACGGGCAGGAGAGAAAAGAGGAGGGGCAAGAGCGTGCAGTGAGGAAAGGAACCTGGGAGCGCCGAACCGCACCCCGTCGGCTGCGGCACTGCTAAGTGGCCGGGGGTCGGCCGGCTCCTCCCTAGGGGCGGGGCGAGCACTCGCGGCGCGGGGCGCGCACGTGGCTTGGCCGGGACGCCTGGTCCGGCTTGCTGGCTTCAACTACGGTGAGATGTTTTGCGACCCTGGGGTAAAATGAGGGTAAAGCGGCAGCTTCCCACGTTCTGGGGGAGAAGCGCGGAAGCACGGTTTCCTGGGCCTTCGGGCGACACCAGGACTGGGGGTCTTTCAGTAGAGGTCGCCGCGGCGGAGTCTTGTGCGAGTGCGGCGGAGTGTTGTGCGAGGCCGGCGGACACCATTACCCTGATAGGGCCTCGCCGTGAGGTCTGAGGGGCCGTGTGAGGTGCATGGCGCGCCGTTTCCTCTCCAGGCGCTCCTCTCAGGGCTACGGCCCTAGAAGATCTGGCCTGCACCAGCCCAAAGGACATGACAGGAGTGGGTAGCCCACGGGACACTGGCACGAGCGCCATGATGGGCGGAGACGCGCGGAATCGGCCGGCCCGGAAGTGCCAGCTGCCTGCGTCGGCCGGAAGTGCCGCGCGGGAGGCGGAAGCGGCTGGTTCCCGCGTGGTTTGGCGGGTGCAGCGGCAGTCCGGCTGCCCTTCCCACGTAGACCGTCTGCTGGGGGCGCCGGCACCATTTGGAGTACGTGAGGTATACGGGTAGGGCGCGGCCAGGTCGGGCGTCTGTTAGGAAAAAGACTTTTTATTTTTATGTTTATTTTTTAAGAGACGGAGTCTCGCTCTGTCGCCCAGGTAGGAGTGCAGTGGCGCGATCTCGGCTCACTGCTGCCTTCCACCTCTGGGCTCAAGCGATCCTCCCGCCTCAGCCTGGCATTACAGGCGCGCACCACCACGCTCAGCTAATTTTTAATTTTTCTTTTTTTTTTTTTCACTCCTGGCCTTAAGCGATCCTCTCTCCTCCCAAAGCGCTAGGATTGCAGGCATGAACCACTTCTCTCGGCTAGGACTTTTATTTTTAATGGTCAACTGATTTGAGTTGGTTACTGTGAGATATTGTCACAGGTTCCAGACAGGCCATAATGCACGCATGCATTCACTTACTTATTCAGCTCATGGTACATTTAGAAACTCTAGGTTCATGTTTAACCAACAAATGTGTTCTTCCAGTATGCCGTTTTTCAGACAATGATGTGTGGCATTCAGAGGTGTTTTACAACCCTTAATAAAAGAGCAACTAACACTAGTATGTGCTATACATCCATTCTTAATGCACCCACCGTACCTACTTCCATCCTAACCTGAAAACATAGCTGTCTGTAAATGAGGAAAGGAGCAGCCTGGGGATCCAGAAATCACTGCAGGGGTCACGTTTTGTACCAAGGCAGTAGGTTTGGAGAGGCTCTGAACTGGAACCAAGGCCCCCAACTTCAAAATGTACTTGGCCCCTAGCGTTTGAATTTGCTTTAAGGTCATTAGTAAATCCTATTCAATTTGCATCAAAGAATCTTCATGATACGTACTGTGCTCCATAATAGAAATTCCCATCTGCCTATGATGCCATTCTCAGAGTTTATATCCCAAATTCGCTCTCTTTTCCTTTGCTTTTTCTTTTCCTTTTTTTTTTTTTTTTTTTGAGATGGAGTCTCACTCTGTGGCCCAGGCTGGAGTGCAATGGCTCACTCCAACCTCTGCTTCCCCGGTTCAACCGATTCTCCTGCCTCAGCCTCTAAAGTAGCTGGGATTACAGGCGGGTGCCATCACGCCTGGCTAATTTTTGTATTTTTAGTAGAGACGGGCTTTCACCATGTTGACCAGGCTGGTCTCGAACTCCTGACCTCAGGTGATCCTCCCACCTCGGCCTCCCGAAGTGCTAGGATTACAGGTGTGAGCCACCACGCCTGGCCCCAAATTCACTTTCTTTGTGAGTCTGTCTTGTACAGGGAATAGCTGAAGCTTTGTAACCAATAATTTAATATTATTAGTATGACATTTCTATCTGAACACATTAGTGTTAAGCTTCTTCCCACAATCCTTGGAAGGGGAATCACAAATCCTAGGTGAACTCATTAGGGCCCAAAGTTCTGCTCTGAAATCTAGTAATAAGAGTAAAATTAAGCCAGGTATGCTAATTACACAAGAATGCTGCTTTTCACAAATCCATTCCTTTGCTCTTGTTTTCACAGGAAGAAAAATGTCTGAAAAGCAGATGAAGGAAGCTTTTGTCAGTAACCTCAATGGAACCACCGTGCTGGAAATCACCCAGGGATTGTGCTTTCCTGCATTCTGTATCCTGTGCAGAGGGTTCCTGATCATTTTCTCACAGTACTTGTGTTCTTTTTCACCTACCTGGAAAACTAGATTCCTCACTGACTTTGTTGTCCTAATAGTTCCCATGGTAGCCACTTTGACCATTTGGGCTTCATTTATCCTCCTTGAGCTTCTCGGTGTAATTATCTTTGGGGCAGGGCTGTTGTATCAAATATACCGAAGGAGGACCTGCTATGCCAGACTGCCTTTCCTAAAAATCCTTGAAAAATTCTTGAACATCAGTCTAGAATCAGAATACAATCCAGCCATCTCCTGTTTCCGTGTAATTACCAGTGCGTTTACTGCTATTGCTATTTTGGCTGTGGACTTCCCACTTTTTCCCAGAAGATTTGCCAAAACTGAGCTCTATGGGACAGGAGCAATGGATTTTGGAGTAGGTGGCTTTGTTTTTGGGTCTGCAATGGTTTGTCTAGAGGTCAGGAGGAGAAAATATATGGAAGGGTCCAAATTGCATTACTTTACAAACTCATTGTACTCTGTTTGGCCATTAGTCTTCCTAGGAATCGGACGATTAGCCATTATAAAATCAATAGGCTATCAGGAACATTTAACAGAGTATGGAGTTCACTGGAACTTTTTCTTTACCATAATAGTTGTGAAATTGATAACACCACTGCTGTTGATTATTTTTCCCCTAAATAAGTCCTGGATTATTGCCCTCGGCATTACTGTATTATACCAGCTAGCCCTTGACTTTACCTCACTGAAGAGGTTAATATTATATGGCACTGATGGTAGTGGCACACGGGTTGGTCTATTAAATGCCAACCGCGAAGGAATAATCTCTACCCTGGGGTATGTGGCAATACACATGGCTGGTGTGCAAACAGGGTTATATATGCATAAGAACCGATCACATATCAAAGACTTGATAAAAGTAGCCTGTTTTCTTTTACTGGCAGCTATTAGCCTCTTCATATCTCTTTACGTAGTTCAAGTAAATGTAGAAGCAGTATCTCGAAGAATGGCAAATTTAGCCTTTTGTATTTGGATAGTTGCTTCTAGCCTGATCCTTCTTAGTAGTTTATTACTGGGTGATATAATTTTGAGTTTTGCCAAATTTCTAATTAAAGGAGCTCTAGTACCATGTTCTTGGAAACTTATCCAGTCACCTGTTACAAATAAAAAGCATTCAGAATCTCTAGTCCCTGAAGCCGAAAGAATGGAACCCAGTCTTTGTTTAATCACAGCTCTAAACAGAAAACAGTTAATATTTTTCTTGCTGTCAAATATAACAACTGGCCTGATCAACCTGATGGTAGATACATTACACAGCAGTACCTTGTGGGCCTTATTTGTGGTCAATCTCTATATGTTTTCCAACTGTTTAATTGTATATGTACTATATTTGCAAGATAAGACTGTACAATTTTGGTGATCAGCAGGAGTAGGATATATAAGTATTTGGGCAATATTTAATGAGGAATATTAATTGTAAAGAAATTGTGCTTTTGGCAACAGTGTTAACCATATTTTATTATAAAATAGTTTCAGTCATCTAAACAGCAGTGATGCTTAATTATTTTTTTTTTTGAGACAGAGTCTTGCTCTGTTACCCAGGCTGGAGTGTAGTGGTGCCATCTCAGCTCACTGCAACCTCCACCTCCCGGGTTCAAGCAATTCTCCTGCCTCAGCCTCCTGAGTAGCTGGCACTGTAGGCATGTACCACCATGCCCAGCTAATTTTTATATTTTTAGTAGAGATGGGGTTTTGCCATATTGGCCAGGCTGGTCTCAAACTCCTGAACTCAAGTGATAACACCCACCTTGGCCTCCCAAAGTGCTGGGATTACAGGTGTGAGCCACCACACTGGGCCAATGCTTAATATTTTAATGTATCTCAACAATAAAACCAAGAAGAAACAAAGCCTTTTGACTTGTTAGAATGTATTAAGTAGTATTTTAAAGAAACTTTATAGTTGTGACATTGAAAGACTGTTGGGGTGGGGGGAGGAAAATTTTTACTTTCCATCTTAATGTAACCTTATGCTATTCTGTATTTTTACTGTATATTGCTTTTACAATAAATATAAAATGAAATGTTTATGTTGACATTTCAGTGTGAACTGTGGATTGTCAATACTTGTTTATTGCTCAATTTAAATTTTTGAATAAAACCTAGGACTAAGAAGCAAGTGTTTAAAATCAAACACTCCAATGTGCAGATGGGTGGATATAAAAAGAAAAATTTTAAAAATAAAATACTTATATACTATGAAGTCAGACAGTTAAATGCACCAAAGAATAGATGGAAGGCTGGGCATGGTGACTCACGCCTGTAATCCTAGCACTTTGGGAGGCTGAGGTGGGAGGATTGCTTGGGCCCAGGAGTTCAAGACCATCCTGGGAAACAGTGAGACCCTGTCTACAAAAAAAAAAATAGACTGAATTGGATGTTATATTATAGCTTATACACATAATAATTACGAGACAAAGTTTTGCTTTGGGATTAATTCATCTTTTAGCCTACCCTATGCTAGGGATTTAAGAAGCACAGCACAAATTTCCTGATACCTCAGAGCTTGCAATCTAGTGGAGGAAACAGACATTAAACATCTATTGTGAAATGCTAAGTTATGAAGAAAAAGCATAGGTTGTCAAGAGTGTCAAATCAAGAACTGACCTAGTAAGGAGTCAAGTTTTCCCCACAGATTTTTTTTTTTTTTTGAGCTAGAGCTGATTAGTGGGATGAGGAGTTATAAAGTCTTATGTGTCTGGGGGCTGGGGGGCAAATGGCAGAGAACATTATAGATGGATGACTCCCTCAGCAAAAGTCCTACGTTGGGAGGGCACCAAGCACATAATGGAATTGAAAGAAGGCTGAACACAGAAGAAGGAAGAGCATGGGCAGAGAGCTGGAGAGGCAGGCAGGGGCCACATCAGGCATCCTCACCTACCATGCTAAGGGAAAGGAGAACCAATAAGAAAGATGAGAGTCATCAAGTACCCAGTGTAATTTAATAAAACTATGGCTAAATTAAGGTTTAATTTAAATCTGTAAAAAATAGAGATGGGGTTGCCCAGGCTGGTCTCAAATTCCTGGCTTCACGTGATCCTCCCATCACAGCCTCCCAAAGTGCTGGGATTACAGGCGTCGTGATCCTGGCCTATAATGACGTTTAATATTCTACTGTCTTTTTTTTTTTTTTTTGAGATGGAGTCTTGCTCTGTCTCCCAGGCTGGAGTGCAGTGGCACAGTCTTGGTTCACTACAACCTCCGCCTCCCAGATTCAAGCAATTCTTCTGCCTCAGCCTCCCGAGGAGCTGGGATTACAGGCACACGCCACTTCGCCTGGCTAATTTTTGTATTTTTAGTAGAGATGAGGTTTTACCATGTTGGCCAGGCCAGTCTCGAACTCCTGTCCTCAAGTGATCCGCCCACCTTGGTCTCCCAAAGTGCTGGGATATAGGCATGAGCCACCGCACCCAACCAGGTGTGTTTATTTTTGACAGATAAAACAGAACTTCCCAGTGTCAGCTCATGAAAAAGAAAACCCAATCCACAGATCCTCAGGTTTAGGTCACTATGGTAATTTAAATAACATTCTGTGGCCATAGATTGTCTTACCACATAAAACTGTGGTTATTATAATGAAACAACAAAAAGTCTTCTAATCAACTATCATTTTCCTTGCAACTATCAATTTTTGAGGGCAGAGGAGAGGGAAAGATAACAAAGTGAGGAGTAAGAAGAACATAATCTGTCCAGGACCTCAGCCTATCTATGCCCTTCAGAAAGTGACTCCCATAATTTTAATTTTTTTTTTTTGAGGCGCAGTCTTGCTCTGTTACCCAGGCTAGAGTGCAGTGGCACGATCTCCTGCCTCTGCCTCCCGAGTAGCTGGGACTACAGGTGCCCGCCACCACACCCGGCTGATTTTTTGTATTTTTATTAGAGACGGGGTTTCACCGTTAGCCAAGATGGTCTGGATCTCCTGACCTCGTGATCCGCCTGCCTCGGCCTCCCAAAGTGCTGGGATTACAGGTGCGAGCCACCGCACCCGGCCAATTTTAATTTTACACAATTATAAACTGGGGATGTCTACTACACGTGCCCCAGTAGCTCTTGTGTGCCGAAGATGACAACCAGTTTTATTTTTATTGAGCATAAATGTCCAATGTATTTATATAAATCATACAAGAACCTTATGTTCCTCCCTAGGAGTTTAAATATAGTCTATGAAGCTAAGACATAATAAGGAATACCTTGGTACTTTTCATTTTTTTTAAACCTAGGTAGCCTGGAGAACAGATAGATCTCATTTATGCCTGCATTTTGTGGCTAGCGTCTCACACATTTGGACCTAAGAAAAAGAATGGTAGTTTGCTGATAATTTATTACAGCTCCGTCCCTCCAACTGTTCTTTATTAGGTACCAGCAAAATGTGTTCTGCTGTTGATTGCCTTTACTTTCCTGGCCTTTCAAATCCTTTGAACTTGCATTTCACAATGCCAATATCAAAATGAAATAATAGGCAACAGACAACTGTCTTTTAATGTAGCAATTATATATTTCGTCAATTAGAGGTTTGCTCTCTAAAAGCAGATACTTTTCATTTTAAAGTACATAGGATAATTCTCAAGAAGTATTTGCTGCAGTACTGGTGGTTATGGCTAAAAATAGAGCAATAGTGAAAATAAAAATAAGTGCCTACTCTAAAACCAGGAAGATGCACAGTGAAAACTTTGAAAAATTATTTTGCCATGAAATAATTTTCTAAGCGTTTTCCTTGGGATATTGATTTTATTGTATCGATTGTATTATATTGTATGGTATTAGATTAGATTAGATTGGATTGGATTTATAGCACCCAGGCTACCTCCTTGAGAAACAGCAACTTACCTAGCAAATCCACCTTTTTCGCCTTTAAGAATACGTTTTCATTGAATTCCTATTTGTCCAAAGATACTAAGTATGCCCGGTGGACCTAAGAGACAAACCCAAATTAGGGAAAGTAAGCTCAGATGGAAAGAGACCTTTGGGATTTCATTTTATTATGTTTTATATATGTTTTAATACCTTTTCACAGATTTAAATCCCCAGGGTGAATACTCCCTTCTTTGTTAGTACCTGGCGTGTGTTCAGTAGTCAAAGTAATTAAAATTAGCACCTATATAATGAGCTTGTCATTTTTAATGTTCTTTACCAACCAGAATCCTAATGAAGTCTAAAAGGTTTAGGCTGGGCACGTTGGCTCACGCCTGTAATCCCAGCACTTTGGGAGGCCGAGGCGGGCGGATCAAGAGGTCAGGAGATCAAGACCATCCTGGCTGACACGATGAAACCCCGTCTCTAATAAAAACACAAAAAATTAGCTGGGCGTGGTGGCAGGCGCCTGTAGTCCCAGCTACTCGGGAGGCTGAGGCAGGAGAATGGCATGAACCCGGGAGGCGGAGCTTGCAGTGAGCCGAGATAGCGCCACTGCACTCCAGCCTGGGCGACAGAGTGAGACTCCGTCTCAAAAAAAAAAAAAAGGTTTAAAGTGGGTACATTAATTGATGTACCACTGTAGGAGCACCTCTAGATACTGAAGGCCACAGTATCTTGGCTCACTGCAACTTCCGCCTTCCCGGTTCAAGCGATTCTTCTGCCTCAGCCTCCGGAGTAGCTGGAATTAAAAGTGCTCGCCACCACGCCCAGCTGATTTTTGTATTTTTAGTAGAGACAGGTTTTCTCCATGTTGCCCAGGCTCGTCTCGAACTCCTGACCTCAAGTGACCCGCCCGCCTTGGCCTCCCAAAGTCTTGGGATTACAGGTGTTAGCCGCCGCCCCCGTCCTGGTTTTTGTTTTGTTTTTTACATAAAACGCAAGATTCTCTAAAAATGTCCAAATTTTGGCTATGTATATGAACATCATACATACGTATTAGATTCAAGCTAATACTCACTCTTCTACTCTGCTAACATGGCCAGAAGACATAAAAAAAATTTTTTTTTGAGACGTAGTTTCACTCGTCGCCCAGGCCGGAGCACAATGGCGCGATCTCGGATCATTGCAACCTCTGCCTCCCGGGTTCAAGCGATTCTCTTGCCTCAGCCTCCCGAGTAGCTGGGATAACAGGCGTGCGCCACCACGCTCGGCTAATTTTGTATTTTTAGTAGAGACTGGGTTTCACCATGTTGGTCAGGCCAGTCTCGAACTCCTGACCTCAAGTAATCCACCCACCTCGCCTCCTAAAGTGCTGGGATTACCGGCGTGAGCCATGACCCCGGCCCAGAAGACATAAATATTTGCCGGGTAATGACACCTTCGGGAATGAACAATGGTTCTTCGTTTATTATGTCACCGACCCTAACAATGACCACACAATGTACTAAGTCAACATGGCTAAGGGTGCACTATGGGTTATTTGTTGTGAATCTCTAAGACTCCATGTGATAACCAAAATACTTTATTTTGTTTTGAGATGGAGTTTCGCTCTTGTTGCCCAGGCTGCAGTGCAATGGCGCGATCTGGGCTCACTGCAACCTCCGCCTCCCGGGTTCAAGTGATTGTCCCGTCTCAGCCTCCCTAGTAGCTGGGATTACAGGTACATGCCACCACGCCCGGCTAATTTTTGTATTTTTAGTAGAGACGGGGGTTTCATCATATTGGTCAGGCTGGTCTCAAACTCCTGACCCTCAGGTGATCCACCCACCTCGGCCTCCCAAAGTGCTGGGATTACAGGCGTGAGCCACCATGCCCGACCCAAAATACTTTTTTTAAAGGTATCACAGCTCCAGGAAATAGAGCAGTAAATTGATCTGTCCTTCAGATCACCAGGACTTTCATAGGCTAAATATCTTCACAACAGACCTCCAAAACCTTCAAGGTCAGAACTGAACACACGGTGGCGAGAGGAACTGTCTTCACAGCAGCTCTGCTTCCTCGGAGACGGCCAGAGGGAAAGGCCGTTGGCCAGTGCCAGTACTTCGCCCAAGGGAGTACCTGCTCACATTAACCCAGCCCAAGAAGTTCCTTTGGCCAAGACGCACACACACACACCACTGTCCGGTTTTCTATTTCCTTCCAGTGTAACGACAACCACAAGCTATCAGCACTTCACTATTTGCTGTCCCCTCAGCGGGATCGGGATGCAGCTACGCAGCGGGCCCCTGGCGAGCCGCGGTGTCAGGGCCCTTTTCTCCTCTTCCCACCGTGGGAAGCGAATTCAGTGGCGTCAAGGGCCAAGAGCCAGACCTGAGTTTGTCTCTCACCCCCCGATGCTCGTCTCCCTTTTCTCACTGCCTTCCGCCCCCTCTGATCTCGACTTCTCGCAACCTATCCAGGTCCTCTCTGGGCCTCTGCCCTGAGTCAGCCCCGAATCAGACGGGCTTGACTCGCTGAAAGAATTCCCCTTTGAGAGGAGGCAGATTCCCCTCTACATAGACGACACCCTGACGTCGAGGGGCTTGCCCCTCGTCCGTGGGGAAGCCTTCCCGGCCCGCGGCTGGGGCCTGAGGTTGGGCCGATCACCCCTCCTACCAGTCCTAGTTCGGGTCTAGCGGAATGGCTGGGCTCCGAGAAGGGCGCCGGGCCCACGGGCGGGACGGCCAGGGCGGCCCCGCACCCTCTGGGCGCAAATTTCTCCAGCGGGGTCCCCAGCGCGGCCAGCCCCAGTCTCGCGAGAGGACGTGGGTCCCGCCCGGCGCCCGACCCCGCCCGGCCCCACCTTCCCCTCGTCCCCCGCCCTCCTTCTTCCACTCCCCGCGGCGCGAGCGGCTGACTGCCCGTAGAGGAAACGACATTCGGAGCTGCGCTCCCGCCCACGCCGGCCCTGACGCGGGCCTCGTCAGCCAGTAACAGGGAGCAGAGGTGGGAGTTAGCGAGGCGACCACGAAAACGGTGAAGGTCGGAACCGACAGCCTCCTCCGAGAAGGGTGAGGAAAGGGTCTGAGCCTCCCCGTTCCCTGGACTCCGCAGAGCCGCTGCGGGGTCGATCCCTCCCAGGGGCGGGGTCGCGCTGGGCAACTGCAGTCCTGGGGCCGACTGGGCGGGGTGCGCCCAGAAGCGGGGAGAAGGGGTCAGTTGGGGGCAGAGGGCACCCGGGCGGCGGGCGGCGGGGAACAGGCTGCGGGGCCCAGGCCAGGGGTGGGGTCCTGGGGCCGGGACTCCTGCAGCGGGCGGGGAAGCCCCCGGCAGGCCGGTCCCTTCCGCCTCTCCTTTGGACCCTGACTGGAGGCCGGCGGGCGGGCGGGCGGGCGGGAGAGAGGGAGGGAGCGCGGCGCGAGGGGGGCGGGTCCCGGCGGCGCTGGGCGCTGATTGGCTGAGCGTGTGTGGAATCGGGTGATGGGAAACGCAGCCCGGCTCTCCCGTACCCTCCCGCTCCGCTCCCTGCCCCCCGTGGCGAATGTGCTGCGCAGCGGCGGGTGCTTACGCTCGCGGGGTTTGGCTGTTGCAGGCAGGAGCTGGGAGGAGGCGGCAGCGGCGGCGGCAGAAACAGCAGCGGCGGCGGCGGCGGCAGCTGGGAGGAGGTGGTGACGGTGGCAACGGCAGCGTCGGGGACGATGGCGCGACTCGTGGCAGTGTGCAGGGACGGGGAGGAGGAGTTCCCCTTCGAGAGGAGGCAGATTCCCCTCTACATAGACGACACCCTGACGGTGAGCGGGCCGGGCCGGGCTGGGCCCGCCGCTCCCCTGGCAGCTGTTTCCCCTCCTCCCCCTCCCCCAGGCCGAGCGCTGCGCACTGGAGAAAGAGTGTGTTGCAACTCCTAGGCGAGGCCTTCTCTTCAGCAGGCCCCACAAACTCGCCTTTGCAGTGGGTGGCTCGGTAACCTCTGTCGGCCCCAAGCCCAGAGCTCCGTACGCACTCCCTCTCTCCAGATTTTCCTTCTTTTGGAACCTTATTCCTTGACCCTTTCCCTTTAGGAGACGCTGCTTTTGTCAAAGCACACATCTCAGAGAGGGGTTGAAGGATCTTGGGCGTTTAGGGCCTACCCCATACAGAAACCACCTACCCTCGGGGAGGCTTAATTACCTGGTAATGTCGCAGCTGCACTGCTACCTGTGTATTTTCTGTTTTAATACTGGTAGCTCTCACCACATAAGCTTAATTACTGGGGGCAGAGTGACATGCTCGTGCACAGTCAAGATTCCACTAAAATGGTTTGATTTCGTTGTAAATAGTCTCGTATTGCCTAATGCATTAAAACTCTTGAAATGATTGTATTGCTAGGCCCTTTCTTCAAAACGGGCTTTCTTCGCATTATTTAGTTTACAGGTGGACTTTTTTTTTTTTAAAGGAAGCCAAATTATTGAATGTGTAAGAGTACTATAAAAAGCTGATTGCTCATCTTGAGTGTCAAGACCCAGTTCCGGGTACTTTATTCTTTAGATTTGGTAGTGTAGCATTATCGACCCTCTGCCCTATGTTGCTGTACTGTTTCCTTTAAAAGGAAATGGCTGAAATTTGAATTGAATCTGAACAGGAAATGAGTGCAGTTGCTTGCCACTTAAGAAATGAAATTAACCTTTTCCGAATATCTTTTGAAATCTGCGTTTTGATGATGCTGAAGCTTTGGATTATACATTTGCTTATTTCGATAAGGTGCACCTAAGTCTCTTCATCTCATCAGTATTCTTTTGCTATCAAAGGCAGTTGATCAGTTTTGTTCCTCAATATTTTTTTTTGCAAATATCTACCGAAGTTTTTTCAAATTTTATGTAAAATGCAAGTCATTGTAGAGATGCCAGTCTATGCCTTTATGCTTGCCAGTCTCAATTAAGACTTGATTGAGCTGCAGTACTTTAAAAAGGATTAGAAGAGCTATTGAATGACTTAATTTATTAGAAGTTTTTAAGTGACAGCATTTCTAATTATTCAAGTGCATTTATTTTTCATGAAAAAAGGTAGAATGATTTGTTCTGACATAAAGTAAATAGTGTTGATGCATTAGAAATTGTGTGTCTTGATTATGATTTCTGTACTTTTTGCATTAGAAGTATAATGGACTTGTATTTTTAAATAGTTGAAACTAGCACTGTGATCATATTAAATAATGCATTTCTCAGTTTGGACTTCAGATAGGGATTCATTTGTTGATATTTTCTTTCTTCTCTCCCCTGCTAACATAAACACTTTTCTGAAGCATATAGTTATGATATCAGCCTTTAAGGTTTATTGTCCCACAATGGCTGTGGAGTTAAAAAAAAAAATTCAGTGAGTTTGGATATAAGATTATTATTTAATGAATAATCATAACATAGGAAAACATATCAAAACATAGGGAAAACCAACATAAATAGTCTTCAAAAGACACTAGTTCTTGGTATATTCACATAACCACCTTTGTGAATGCAGCACATTAATACATCTGTCATATAGCACTTTAAAATGGCCAACTTTTTAAGTGCTTTTATACTGTATTCTCTCCACAATGATGTGACTTTCCAAAATTTTCCACTGAAAAAGATGTAACCTTGCAATGTGGTTTAGTATGGAACTTACTTTGCACTGTATCTGGCGGTTGAATTTTGCTTTTATTGTACTGTGGACTTGTGACTAAGGCAAATAAAACTTAAGCTCACTTAATTTAAATATCTCAAAATAACATTTAGGAAAAGGTGCAGTTTTTCTTTGCTTCAGAATGGGTTTTTATCACAAAGGAATGAGTGAGACATTTATTTGTGCTGGGACTTCTGCACAGTCATTGAATGCTGTGAGTGAATGTTAGTGAAAATTCTTGTCAAGGGAAACAAGTTTCTTTCAGGATATTCTACCAAATACTACTGAAAGGGAGAATGCAGAGCAAAACACCTGTTGGGAGAGAAGGGGAAAAGGGAAGAGGGAAGGAAGATGCCCCTATCAGAGTTTTATGCTCTGCATTGTTCCTTTGATAGATGGCAGTGGATGCCTGAAGTTAACCTTAGGTTTTGTCTTTGTCCCTAGGGTCTGTAGGTAATGCACTGAGGAAACATTGTTTGAACTTATTTCAAATAGTAGTCTTAGGATTTTGATAGTAGCTAAATGTTGCAATATAGTTACAATGTTTACAGGCAGTTGCAGACTTTATCATTTTAGTTGGGATGCTGAAACTTTACCCTTAGTTAAACTGGCAGTTGTAATTTGGACTTGTAAAATGAAATTAACAAACTTGTATGTAAAGAAGTAGCCTTAGGCTGGGTTTGGTGGCTCACGCTTGTAATCCCAGCACTTTGGGAGGCTGAGGCAGGTGGATTACTGGAGGTCAGGAATTCAAGACCAGCCTGGCCAACATGGCAAAACCCCGTCTCTACTAAAAATACAAAAATTAGCCAGACATAGTGGTGGGTGCCTGTAATCCCAGCTACTCAGGAGGCTGAGGCAGGAGAATCCTATGAACCCGGGAGGTGGAGGTTGCGGTGAGCCGAGATCGCACCACTGCACTCCAGCCTGGGCAACAAGAGCAAGACTCTGTCTCAAAAAAAAAAAAAAAAAAAAAAAAAAAAAAAAAAAAAGTAGCCTTAGGCCCGGTGCTGTGGCTCATGCCTGTAATCCTAGCACTTTGGGAGGCCGAGGCTGGCAGATTGCCTGAGCTCAGGAGTTTGAGACCAGCCTGGGCAATGTGGTAAAAACCTGTCTCTACTGAAATACAAAAAAATCAGTGGGTGTGGTAGAGTGTGCCTGTAGACCCAGCTACTGATGAGACTGAGGCAAGAGAATTGATTGAACCCCCAGAGGCGGAGGTTGCAGTGAGCCAAGATTGCGCCACTGCACTCCAGCCTGGGAGACAAAGTGAAACTCCGTTTCAAAAAAAAAAATAGCCTCTTCTTTTATGTGATATGTTGTGTCCATGTTTAGAAGATTCCCATGGTAGTTCAGTGAGTTTGAACACCTGAGTATAGGATAGGGCTGATGTAGGTGTACTTGAGAAAATTCCAAATAAGTTGGTGGAATGGTGAAATATTTAAGAAAGTTTTATACTCTGGCTAAAATGTTGTTCAGTGTTACTACAATTATAAAATAACAGATAGAATACATATTTGATTTTAGAGAAATCTGAAGAATTAAAGTTTTTTTTTTTTTGAGACACAGTCTCGCTCTGTCGCCCAGGCTGGAGTACAGTGGCCTGATCTTGGCTCACTGCAACCTCTGCCTCTCAGGCTCAAGTGATTCTCCTGCCTCAGCCTCCTGAGTAGCTGGGATTACAAGTGCGTGTCACCACGCCCAGCTAATTTTTTTGTATTTTTAGAAGAGATGGGGGTTTCCCTATGTTGGCCAGGCTGGTCTTGAACTCCTGACCTCAGGTCATCTGTCCGCCTCGGCCTCCCAAAGTGCTGGGATTACAGGTGTGAGCCACCACACCCGGCCAAAATATATATTCCTTCTAAAATCTTGAAAAATAACTACAAAACAAATTACCCTTAGTCATGCTTCTCAGGGATAAGCACATTTGGTGTAATTTCAGTCCTAGACACACAGATACAGTTAATATATTCTGTAACTTTTTGTCCTTATTTATTTCACTAAATGTAATTTTGAAAACATTTTTTCTTGTCATTCTTAAACATTTTTAATGGCTGTGTAATATTCCGTTGTATGACATTCTGTAATTATTTTTCCACTGTTGGACATGGAGGTTGTTCTAGTTTTTGCTATGAATAAACTGTAAGAACATAAATAATGCAAAAATCTTTGCATTAAAATGTTTTCTCAGGCTTTTGGAAGTGGAATTACTGGTTGGATCAAAGGATAAGAACCTTTTGTAAAGTTCCAGGTACATATTGTCAGATTGCTATGATATTTCTTTTTTTTTTTTTCGAGATGGAGTCTCACTGTGTCACCTAGGCTGGAGTGCAGTGGTGTGATCTTGGCTCACTGCAACCTCCGCCTTCCAGGTTCAGGTGATTCTTGGGCCTCAACCTCCTGAGTAGCTGGGATTACAGGCGCCCGCCACCATGCCCGGCTAGTTTTTGTATTTTTAGTAGAGACGAGGCGTCACCATTTTGGCCAGGCTGGTCTCGAACTCCTGACCTCAAGTGATCTGCCTGCCTCGGCCTCCCAAAGTGGTGGGATTACAGGCGTGAGCCAATGCGCCCGGCCAGATTGTTACATTTCTGCATTGCAGTTTACTCTCCTAATTTAAACCAATCTAAATAGACTACTCTGATAAGAGTTTGGGGTTTTGTTTTTTTTTTCTTTTTGTTCTTGTTTGCATGTACAGCATTAATCTGGTAAGAGTTCTTAATGTCTTACACTTTAAAAAAATGATAAATGGTGGCATATCCACTTGGGAATTAGATGTTTTGTAATTGTTAAAAGTTAGCATTTAATGTTTTCTTTCAACTTTTAACAGTTAATTTTACTGAGGGTGATAGATGTTACAAATAGCTGTGTGGAGTAAAACCAAAATGACAGTGATTTTAATAAATGCAAACTTAGTATATTGTTGGTTAGAACTTGTGAGAATGCGCTAAAAACAGGTTTTTTTTGTGGTCAGGAGAAACCAGAACAGATACTTAAGAGTGAAAGTGGGTAATTGATTCAATAAACTTTATAAAGCAGTAATTGCAGCACAATGACTTGTTCTATTTGTTGCTAGCTATGGGTAGGGAACCTCTTCATGAAGCTGAATGCTAATGATGCCTCTATAAAACCACACCTGAAATACTTTACAGGACTGTCTTCCTTTAGGTAACCTAGAATCTCAAGATTAAGTTAAGGAAGTGGTTTTAAAGAATGAAGAACAAATTGTGCTACTAGCCTCTTTGCCTTCCCCTTTTTATTTTCATCTCTTAAAACACTGAACAGCATATAGTGATTGGCCAGAAAACAGTAAGGTAAAAAGCCATTGTCCTAAGTGTTTGAAAGGCGAGGACAGAGTATTTAGTTTGAGTGCATTGTCTCCAGCCAGAGTAGTGAGTAAATACAAGAGAAAATTTAGTAGTATGCAAGCTGATGAAACCAGGAAAGATAGAAATAGATTAGATCTTAGTATTTTTGCTACTAATTAGGTGAAAATGAAATGATTGGAAACAAGTTTTGTTTTTAAAAATAACCGTGTTCTTTATTGACTTTTTTTTTTTTTTGAGACCGAGTTTTGCTCTTGTCGCTCAAGCTGGCGTGCAATGGCACGATCTTGGCTCACCACAACCTCCGCCTTCTGGGTTCAAGTGATTCTCCTGTCTCAGCCTCCCAAGTAGCTAGGATTACAGGCATGTGCCACTATGGCTAATTTTTTGTATTTTTAGTACAGACAGGGTTTCTCCATGTTGGTCAGGCTGGTCTTGAACTCACGACCTCAGGTGATCCACCCGCCTGGGCCTCCCAAAGTGCTGGGATTACGGGCGTGAGCCACCGGCTTCTTTATTGACTTCTTAGAAAGAATTCCTAAATCAGGTATTATCCATATAATTAAAATATTTTAGGCTGGGCGCGGTGGCTCATGCCTGTAATCCCAGCACTTTTGGAGGCCTCGGAGAGTGGATCACCTGAGGTCAGGAGTTCAGGACCAGCCTGGCCAACATGGTGAAATCCTGTCTCTACTAAAAATACAAAAATTAGCTGGGCATGGTGGTACGCCTGTAATCCCAGCTACTTGGGAGAATTGCTTGAACCTGGGAGGCAGAGGCTGCAGTGAGTCGAGATTGAGCTACTGCACTCCAGCCTAGGCAACAGAGTTGAGACCCTGTCTCAAAAAAAAAATTTTACAAATCAGCTCGCAGGTCTCAGTATTATTAGATGTGTTCTTTGATCTCCGTTTCAATTTTTAAAACAGTTGATCAGAATATAAATACATACTGAGTCAGAATTTAGGATTTTGCCTAAGAACCAGACTGGAGAGATTTTGATTTGGTTAAATAAGGAATATTCTTTGTTTCTTAAATTGATAGCTTTGATCTTTAAACAGTATAGATAATTGTCATTTTTTATTACGGCTATTGGTATGTGGTGAAATGGTGTATATTTGTATCAAGCAAATGAAAATATAAATCAAGGTATTAGTTACTTAAATGGTAGGTTTGGAGTGACCTCCAATATTCTGTTGAGTTACATGGCTCTAAAAGTTTATACCTTTTTAATGACTTGACAGTTAAATTTTTGTGTGTCTTAAACCTTTTGATGATTCCAGAAAATATGAGTTAATTGAACTATTAACTATTTTATTGCTTTTATTATAATAGTTTTCTGGACCAGGATTTCCAATACCAGGATTATTATTATTTTTTTAAATTTGAGTAGAGCATGTTAATTAGAATAAATACAATAGGCAGTATGGTTCATTAGATATTTTGCTCTTTTCAGTCATCCTCACCAGATTATTGATAGCTACAGCATTAAAATAGACCATTGACTTCAGTTTTGCTTTGTGCTGTTGATAAAGTTAATGTATGAAAGTGCTTATAACAATGTCTAATACACATGAAGTGTCTTTATTATTACTTATTGCTACCCCCCTTTAGAGGTATTAATAAGACTGAGAAGGAAAACTAGAAACAAGATGTCAGGGTTGATAAACCTGAAAATTGGATAATTGACATTTGGACATTTCATCTGTATGCATGGAAGAAAAAACTTTCAGAATGGTAAAAGCTATTGAAATGGGTCAGGCGTGGTGACTCACGCCTGTAATCCCAGCACTTTGGGAGTCCGAGGCAGGCAGATTGCCTGAGCTCCGGAGTTTGAAACCAGCCTGGGCAACATGGCAAAACCCTGTTTCTACTAAAAATACAAAATATTAACCATGTTTGGTGGCAGGTGCCTGTAATCCCAGCTACTCAGGAGGCTGAGGCAGGAGAATTGGTTGAACCTGGGAGGCGGAGGTTGCAGTGAGCCGAGATTGTGCCACTGCACTCCAGCCTGGGTGACAGAACAAGACTCTGTCTCAAAAAAAAAAAAAAAAAAAAGCTATTGAAATGGAAGCATGTCTCTAAACATGGTATAGTGAATATAGAATTGGAAGCAAGGAGCATTAACTCTTCCCCTGCCATAATATATAGTATATATGCATTGTAATACATTTGGGAAATATAGGAACACATACAGAAAAAGTTGTCTTACTACCTAGAGATAGCCACATCTAATATGTTTTCCTTTTTTGAAAGATAAAGTATACACACTGAAAATTTGAAGTGTGTTGCACATGCAGTCTGGATTATGTTAGTATTTGCATCATAGTCTATCCTTTAGTATCTATTTGTCTCTGTACTTCATATATCTCATATTCCTCCGTTATCAAGAAAAACTCTTAAATCTATTGCTTACGTTTGACTTAGCTGTTAATGAGGCCTCATTTTGCTGTTAGAACAAACATGTTTTAAATTTCTCTAATATGGAAGGAAAGGAATGGTTACATCTATTAAAGAAGCAGGTCTCTGGTGCTGGTTGGGGAAGGGAGTGATCTTTTTAAGATCGCATTCAACTGGGTAGGGATATTTTGTTTTTGCCTTAAATCGGTGTTTTTCTCTTGACTTCACTCTTTGATTTTGTAGGAGTTTGTGGTCCTTGTTATGTGGCAATGTGGAAATAGTTTGTCCTAGTACGATATGTTTGATCTTTAACAATGTTTTAGTTAAGATATACATGTG
The DNA here is from genome assembly GCF_000001405.40 of Homo sapiens. Lineage (NCBI taxonomy): Eukaryota > Metazoa > Chordata > Mammalia > Primates > Hominidae > Homo > Homo sapiens. The sequence goes on from NC_000017.11 coordinate 36,553,723, forward strand.
TTACTTTCATTGTTTTGAAGGCATATCTTTTTCCCCCACATTTTAATACCTGAAATCAGGATGCTGCTTGAATTTGATGACATCTTATAGTAAAAATGGCTTGTAGTGATACATAACTATGGTACTAAAAATCTGTGGTGTGACAACAGATCAGTAAAATGTACTAATTACACATTCCCATTATGTGACATAGTGAAGCCTCCTTAAGTTTCATATGCCTTCCTATGGTAGTGAATTTTGATAATTGAATAAGTATATCAATGTGCCCTTTTTGTTCATAATTAGAGCAAACATTTACTATGTGCCAGGCAGGTACTGTTCTGGCCAGGCACAGTGGCTCACGACTGTAATCCCAGTACTTTGGGAGGCTGAGGTCAGGAGTTCGAGACCAGCCTGGCCAACATGGTGAAAACCCATCTCTACTAAAAATACAAAAATTAGCTGGGCTTGGTGGTGGGTTCCTGTAATCCCAGCTACTCGCGAGGCTGAGGCAGGAGAATTGCTTGAACCCAGGAGGTGGAGGTTGTGATGAGCTTAAATCATGCCACCGCACTCCAGCCTAGGTGACGGAGCAAGACTCCGTCTCAAAAAAAAAAAAAAAAAAATGGAAACTTGTCTTATGTACTTGAATTTTTTTTTTTTTTTTTTTTTTTTTTTTTTTTTTGACAGAGTTTCACTCTTGTTGTCCAGGCTGGAGTGCAGTGGTGCGATTTCAGCTCGCTGCAACCTCTGCCTCCCGGGTTCAAGTGGTTCTCCTGGCTCAGCCTCCCAAGTAGCTAGGATTACAGGCATGCGCCACCAAACCTGCCTAATTTTATGTATTTAGTAGAGATGGGGTTTCTCCATGTTGGTCAGGCTGGTCTCGAACTCCCAACCTCAGGTGATCCGCCGCCCCCCACCCCACTGGCCTCCCAAAGTGCTGGGATTATAGGTGTGAGCCACCGCACCAGGCCATGTACTTGGATTTAACAAAATTTTTTGAGGGGCTAGGGATGGGTGCAAATCTGGCTTTCACGGGTCTATTTCTGGAGTTTGTAGGCTGTATCCTGTTCTCAGAGGGGTAAAGTAATTGATTTCCGTTCTGTTTGCATTTTAAGATGGTGATGGAATTTCCTGATAATGTGTTAAATCTCGATGGACATCAGAATAATGGTGCACAGCTAAAGCAGTTCATTCAGGTAATAGTTTTTTCAATCAGTGTTTTTAATGGTGTATGTGTATTTTAAAGACTCATTTAAAATTTAGCTGTATTAATTTTATATAGGATTCTCTAGGTCTTAATATTGCACTGGAATTGCTCTTTCACCATTGCTATAGTAAGCATGCATAGTTATTTACATGATTTATGTAACTGCCATGTGAAAAAGAATTGGTGGTGGTGTGTTAATATTTTACATGTCCATAAGACTTTAATTTTAAAACCAGGCCATCTTTCCTAGTTTTTAAAAGATAAGGTATATAATTTTTCATTAAAAACTTGTTGGTTTTCTGCTGTACTAATTGTTTTGTTCAGACAAAGTAATCCTATATTATGAATTTTCTGATGTTTGTTTAATTCCTGAGAAATATAGTGCTTTATAAATACACTTAAATGCAATGTATAGTGGTCCCTCAGTATCCGTGGGGGATAGTTCAAGGATCCCTAGGCAAACCAAAATCCACAATGCTTATACAAAATGATATAGTAAGGGCTAGGCATGGTGGCTCATGCCTGTAATCCCAGCACTTTGGGAGGCCAGGGCAGGTGGATCGCTTGAGTTCAGTAGTTGGAGACCAGCCTGGGCAACATGGCAAAACCCTGTTTCTACAGAAAATGCAAAAAAGTTGGGCAGACATGGCAGCATGTGCCTGGGGTCCCAGCTCCTCCGTAGGTTCAGGTGACAGGATCTCTTGAGCCCAGGAGGCAGAGGTTGTAGTCAGCTGAGATCGCATCACTGCACTCCAGCCTGGGCAATAGAGTGAGACCTTGTCTCAGAAAAAATAAGATGTATATTTGCATGTAACCTCTGCACATCCTCCCATATACTTTAAAGCATATTTAGATTACTTATAGTACCTAATACAATGTAAATGCTGTGTAAATAGTAGTTATACTGCATCTTTAGGGAATAATGACAAGGAAGAAAAGTCTGTACATGTTTAGTATTTCCTGTCAAATATTTTCGATCCTTGGTTGGTTAAATTCACAGATGTAGAACCCATGGATATGGAGGGCTGACTGTAATTAAGATATTGGAAGATGACTTGTTAGTTTACTTCAGAACTCTTATTTCTACTTTTAGGAAAACTTTGAATGGAAGGGTAATGGTAAATGTGAGAAAATGCTTCTTGGGAATTGTCCTACTTTCCTATCCGTTTTTGGCAAATCTGAAAGTGTTAACTGCAGTTAACTATAACTCCATCAGGTAGAAGTTACTTACTAGAGTTTGCTCATTTCTCTGCAACAGTAGCTCTCAGTTATTTTTCTACCTTGTCATAACCAGCAGATACAATTCATAAGCAGCAGCATGCTAGTTACTTCCCTACATAAGGAAGATAGGCCATGTTTTCTCCCATTAATTCGTAATATACCTGTTCATGCCTCTGGATTGGGAATTGCTGCTCCATATGATTACCATCCTAACTTGACTCCTGTAGCTAAACATAGTGATAGTAAGTGTGTTGTTAAAAGTTGTCAAAACAAAACAAAACAAAAAAAACAGGCCAGGCGTGGTGGCTCACGCCTGTAATCCGAGCACTTTGGGAGGCTGAGGCGGGTGGATCACAAGGTCAAAAGATCAAGACCATCCTTGCCAACATGGTGAAACCCCATCTCTACTAAAAATACTAAAATTAGCCGGGCGTGGTGGTGCACACCTGTAGTCCCAGCTACTCGGGAGGCTGAGGCAGGAGAATTGCTTGAACCCAGGAGGCAGAGGTTGCAGTGAGCTGAGATTGTGCTACTGCACTCCAGCCTGGCGAGAGAGCAAGATGCCGTCTCAAAAAACAAAAACAAACAAACTTAAAAAAAAGGTACAGCTGTATTGTGCTTTTTTTTTTTTTTTTTTTTTTTTTTTTTGTGAGAGGACTGGCCTAATACTCACTGAACCAGCCCTACATTTCCAGATGCAGTACTGCTTTTTGGCATCCTAAGCAGAGTTGTTTATATACCCTAGATTCTAGAGCAAGGGGGTTTGTGGAGGAAATTCCGTACAGCATGGACAAAGCTGACTACTTTGCCTTTCTGACTCAGTTGCAGGTAGAGCTGGTAAACCCTGGCCAGGTTGTACTTTACTGCACAAGGATAGGAACCAGTAGTAGTGAAAGTGTAATTTTACGTCTTTTTAAAGGACACTCTTTCATTTTCTTTCCCTCTTTCAGCGACATGGTATGCTTAAGCAACAGGATCTAAGTATTGCCATGGTGGTGACATCACGCGAAGTCCTGAGTGCACTTTCTCAGCTTGTCCCATGTGTTGGTTGTCGTCGCAGTGTGGAGCGTCTCTTTTCCCAGCTTGTAGAGTCTGGAAATCCTGCTCTTGAACCCCTAACAGTAGGGCCCAAGGGAGTCCTGTCTGTAACTAGAAGCTGCATGACTGATGCAAAGAAGCTTTATACATTATTTTATGTACATGGGTAAGTATAATCAATTAGGAGAAAATGGGTTTGTTAAAATTTAAAACAGCTTGGTGACAGTGGCAGCTTATTTTCTTGATGGAAAGATTGAGTCTGATTTAATAATTTTATTGAGTAAGTTGTATGTACCAGTGGATGTAAAGTTTCAACTCTCCACGTGGGGAGAGGCAGACAGAAAGCAAATATTCAATTTGTCAGGGATGATAAGTTAGAAAAATCAGTAAGGGAGGTAGAGAATGGAGTGGGGGTAGAATTATTGTGGAGGATGGTCAGGGAAGGCCTCCCTGATAAAATGACATTGAATATAGATTTGAATGAAGTGAGCAAGCAAATCTTGTAGAAAACTGGGGGGAAGGCAGAGAAGGGACAGCTAGTGTAAAGGTTCTGAGGTTGGGGTTTTATTGGCATGTTTGAGGAATAGTAAGGAAGCCCTTGTGGCTGGAGCCAGATGAATGAAGGGAACAGTAATAAAAGATGGGGTCAGCAGAGTAATAAGGCCGGGCGCGGTGGCTCACGCCTGTAATCCCAGCACTTTGGGAGGCCAAGGCAGGCAGATCATGAGGTCTGGAGGTCGAGACCATCCTGACCAACGTGGTGAAACCCCATCTCTACTAAAAATACAAAAATTAGCTGAGCATGGTGGCGCATGGCTGTCATCACAGCTATTCAGGAGGCTGAGGCAGGAGAATCACTTGAACCCAGGAGGCAGAGGTTGCAGTGAGCCGAGATCACGCCACTGCAGTCCAGCCAGGGCGACAGAGCGAGACTCCGTTTCAAAAAGAAAAAAAGAAGAGCGACTGGGCGCGGTGGCTCACGCCTATAATCCCAACACTTTGGGAGGCCGAGGCAGTTGGATTGCCTGAGCTCAGGAGTTCAAGACTAGCCTGGGCAACACGCTGAAACCGAGTCTCTACTAAAAATACAAAAAATTAGCCAGGAGTGGTGGCGGGTCCCTGTAATCCCAGCTACTCGAGAGGCTGAGGCAGGAGAATCTCTTGAACCCGGGAGGCGGCAGTTGCAGTGAGCTGAGATCGCACATTGCACTCCAGCCTGGGCAACAAGAGTAAAGCTCCATCTCAAAAAAAAAAAAAAAAAAAAAAAAGGTAATAAAAGGTCCAGTCATATTTTTATTTTTTCAGACAGAGTTTCACTATTGTTGCCCAGGCTGGAGTGCAATGGCTCGATCTCAGCTCACTGCAACCACTGCCTCCCGGGTTCAAGCGATTCTCCTGCCTCAGCCTCCCAAGTAGCTGGGATTACAGGTGCCCACTACCACGCTTGACTTTTTTTTTATTTTTTAGTAGAGACAGGGTTTCGCTATGTTGGCCATGTTGGTCTTGAACTCCTGACCTCAGGCGATCTGCCCGCCTTGGACTCCCAAAGTGCTCGGATTACAGGCGTGAGCCACCGTGCCTGGCTGAGGTCTTTTTTTTTTTACTCTGAGTGAGGTGACAAGCTTTGGGAAGGTTTTGAGCAGAAGAGTGGCATAGTCTGATGAAATCTGGCTTACTTTGACCTCTGTATTGAGAATGAATGACGGCTTTGGAGGTAGTGAAAAATGGTTATAAAGGATCCTGGATATATTTTGAGGAATGAGCCAGTGGGATTTTTTGGATAGATTGGTTGTGAGGGAGGCCATCAAAGATGATTCTCAGATTTGTGATGTAAAGAATGGACAACAGGCCTTGCGTGGTTGCTCACACCTATAATCCCAGCACTTTGGGAGGTCGGTGAGGGTGGATCACCAGAGGTCAGGAGTCTGAAACCAGCTTGGCCAACATGGTGAAACCCCATTTCTACTAAAAATAAAAAATTAGCCGGGCGTGGTGGCAGGCACCTGTAATCCCAGCTACTCAGGAGGCTGAGACGGGAATCGCTTGAACCCGGGAGGCGGAGGTTGCAGTGAGGCAAGATTGCGCCACTGCAGTCCAGCGTGGGCAACAGAGCGAGACTCTGTCTCAAAAAAAAAAAAAAAAAAAAAAAAAGAATGGGCAAATGGTTACCATTTACCGAGAGGGACGAGACTGAGGAGAAATGTAACAGAGCTCATCTTTGGGTGTGCTAAGTTTGAGATAGCGATTAGACATCCAAATAGAATTCAGAGAGGTCTGGGTTAGAGATGTAAATTTGTCTCATTTAGTGAATATAAATAGGAAAAGAAGAAGAGGTCTGAAAAGTAAACCCGAGGCTTTCCTATTTAGAGATGGTGGTAGGGACTTTTGATATTTACTGTGCCTGGGCTTGAGAAAATAAGCCTTGGAGTGTTTTTGAACAGAGGAATAATGTAATCTGATTCATATTTTAAAAGGATCACTGTAGCTGCTGAGTGAGGCCTGGAATGTAAAGGGCAGAAGGTGCAGCAAGGAGACCATTTAGGAGGCCAGCTATTGCAGTTGACTAAGCTAGAGATTGGTGGGTTGGACAGGGATGATAATGGTAGAGGTGATAAGAAGTGATCTGATTCTAGATTGGTTAATTTTTATTTAGCTTTTATTCTATCTTATTTATTAATTTTTTTGAGACAAAGTCTCACTCTGTCTCAAGCTGGAGTGCAGTGGTGCAATCTTGGCTCATTGCTACCTCCGCCTCCCAGATTCAAGTGATTCTCGTGCCTCAGCCTCCTGAGAAGCTGGGATTACAGGCGTGCACCACCACACCTGTCTAATTTTTGTATTTTTTTTAGCAGAAATAGAGTTTCTCCATGTTGGCCAGGCTGGTCTCTTAACTCCTGGCCTCAGTCTCCCAAAGTGCTGGGATTACAGGTGTGAGCCACCATGCCTGGCCTCATTTTAAAATTTTCTGTAGAGATGAAAATTTTGCTATGTTACCCAGGCTGGCTTTGAACTCCTGGCCTCAAGTGATCCTCTTACCTCAGCCTTCCAAAGTGCTGGGATTATAGGCATGAGCTACTGCACCAGGCCTGATTCTAGATAATATTTAAAAGGTAGAATTGGCAAACTTTGCTCATTGGTTGGATGGAAGGTGCGGATAGTAGTAGTGTGTATTCCATATTTGCATAAAAGTTCTGTTGATGACTCCTCTTCAAGGATGTATTGTGTTTACATAATGTTTTGTGAGGTTTTTATATATTTTTTAAAGACATGGGATCTCACTATGTTGCCCTGGCTGGTCTCAAACCCTTGGGCTTAAGTGATCCTTTCACCTCGGCCTCCCAAATAGCCGGGACTACAGGTGTGTGCTTCTGCAACTGGTGTATTTACATAATGGCTGGGCAAGGGAAGATGGCTGAGAGTCAGGTAGCAGTCAGTGTTGAAATAACGTGAGTGCCAGGCACACTGCTAGATACAGTGGGGATAGAGAAAAGTGGTTTTTTTGTGTTTTGTTTTGAGACTTCTCTCTAAAAGACAGTAAATAGAGATTTTAAAATTTGAAAGTAAAATGAATTAAACCCTTAATATGTTTTATTTTTAATTAGGTCCAAACTAAATGACATGATAGATGCTATTCCAAAAAGTAAGAAGAATAAGAGATGTCAGTTGCACTCCTTAGATACGCACAAGCCAAAACCTTTGGGGTAAGTAGAATTGAATACCAAGAGGCTTTGTCATTGTTAAGATTATATATTTGATCATATTTAGTAAAAGAAATAAACCCACTGTTTGCTTTAATTCATTAATTGGTTATACTCTATGACATAGGTCAAAATAAATAGATCCTCTTGTTATGTTGGCCATTTTGCCTTGATATATATAAAGTCTCAATGTAGATCTGATTTAAAAAAATTTTTTTATGTTAAATATGTTTTAGAGGAGGGAGGTTGAAGTCTTTTTTTTTTTCTTTTTTTGAGACGGAGTCTCCCTTTATTTCCCAGGCTGGAGTGCAGTGGCACAATCTCAGCTCACTGCAACCTCCACCTCCCTGGTTCAAATGATTCTCCTGCCTCAGCTTCCTGAGTAGCTGGGACTACAGGTGCGTGCCACCACACCTGGCTAATTTTTGTATTTTTAGTAGATATGGGGTTTCACCCTATTGGCCAGGCTGGTCTCGGACTCCTGACCTCAGGTGATCGCCCACCTCAGCCTCCAAAGTGCTGGGATTACAGGTGTGAGGCACCACACTCGGCCGGTTGAAGTCTTTATGGAAATGTATGCAGCTAATATGAACGTTTTCAAAGTAGTGGTAATCATTATTTGATCTACAGAATAGTCATAATGTATAAATTATTTATCTTTCTTGTCTCTAGCTGTAATTTACCAAGGTTTTAAAAAAAGTAGTTATGACGATATTATGACAATATGTATTTATGTAACTAATTTGTAGTTTTCTATATTTATTATTATTTTTTGAGATGGAGTCTCCTCTGTCGCCCAGGCTGGAGTGCAGTGGCGTCATCTCGGCTCACTGCAACCTCTGCCTCCTGGGTTCAAGCTGTTCTCCTGCCCCAGCCTCCCGAGTAGTTGGGACTACAGGTGCGTGCCACCAAGCCCGGCTAATTTTTTGTATTTTTGGTAGAGACAGGGTTTCACCGTGTTAGCCAGGATGGTCTCGATCTCCTGACCTCATGATCCGCCCACCTCGGCCTCCCAAAGTGCTGAGATTACAGGCGTGAGCCACCGCGCCCGGCCTATTTTATTTTTTAAGCAAATATTGCCTGATAATAATTTGTAGTTTTCTTCTTGATTAAGTGCTATAGTGTCCAAGGCTGCTTTTTCACTTTCTCCCAGCACAGTGCCATAGTTGTCCCCTACAAAATTGCCTGGGGGTGGGGATAGTGAGGCGAAGCCATGGAGTGTGAAGGGACTTTCTAAGACGTGACTTTAGTTTTGGAGAGAATGGGATATTAAAAAACTATACTTCTTTATTAATTTTATCTTTTAATTATTTTTTTGAGACACAGTCTTGCTCTGTCACTCAGGCTGGAGTGCAGTGGTACGATCTCAGCTCATGCAACCTCTGCCTCTTGGGTTCAAGCAATTCTTGTGCCTCAGCCTCCTGAGTAGCTGGGATTACAGGTGTTCGCCACCACTCCTGGCTAATTTTTTTGGATTTTTAATAGAGACGGGGTTTCGCCATGTTGCCCAGGCTGATCTCAAACTCCTGGCCTCAAGTGATCTGCCTGACTTGGTCTCCCAAAGTGCTGGGATTACAGGCGTGAGCCACTGCACCTGGCCTCTGAAAAGTTAATTTTTAAATATCTCATTTGTGTCATTGTCACCTTTTTTTGATTTTTTTTTTTTTTTGACCTGAACTTCCGAGTTACACCATTATTGTATAGACATTTTCCTCCCTGACACAAAGACTTGGATGACCAGGCAGTGGTATGTTAATAATCTATTAAGTTTTTTTCCCCTATACCGAGCAACAAAAAATATTTAAAACATTTTATCGGCCGGGTGCAGTGGCTCATGCCTGTAATCCCAGCACTTTTGGAGGCCGAGACGAGCAGATCACAAGGTCAGGAGTTCGAGACCAGCCTGACCAACATGGGGAAACCTCATCTCTACTAAAAATATAAAAATTAGCCAGGCATGGTGGCACACATCTGTGATCCCAGCTACTTAGGAGGCTGAGGCAGGAGAATTGCTTGAACCCAAGAGGTGGAGGTTGCAGTGAGCTGAGATCGTGTCGCCTGGGCGACAGAGCGAGACTCTGTCTCAAAAAAAAAAAAAAAAAAAAAAAAAAAAAAGGCTGGGCGTGGTGGCTCACGCCTGTAATCCCAGCACTTTGGGAGGCCAAGTTGGGTGGATTCTCTGAGGTCGGGGGTTCGAGACCGGCCTGGCCAACATGGTGAAACCCTGTCTCTACTAAAAATACAAAAATTAGCCAGGCGTGGTGGCAGGTGCTTGTAATCTTAGCTACTTGGGAGGCTGAGGCAGGAGAATCGCTTGAATCCAGGAGGCAGAGGTTGCATTGAGCCAAGATCGCACCATTGCACTCCAGCCTGGGCGACAAGAGTGAGACTTTGTCTCGAAATAAATAAATAAATAAATAAAATAAATTTTATTAGTAAAATTGTCAAACATAGAAAAGTAAAAAATACAATGATTGAACCTCCCATGCACTTTTACCAAGATTTAGTAGTAATCAAGAGTTGCCACACTTGCTTCATTTATCCACCTTTTTCTTTGTATTTTAAAGCAAGTCCCAGGCTTCGTGTTACTCTATTGCATCCTTCCACATGCATCTCTAAATATATGGACATTTTTTTTCACACATTGCCATCATAACACCTAACAAAATTAAGTGTAACAATCGAATACCCAGTTCATACTTAGATTTTACCTGTTTCTGGTTTTTTTTTTTTTTTTGAATGTTGGTTTGTATGAATCAGGATCCAAACAAGAACCACACATTATGTTCTTGTAGCCTGAAGAAAAGAAGTTTTCTTAAGGATAGTTGTTATTTTGCTGCTTGATTTGTCAGTATCTTTTTTTTTTCTTTCTTTCAAATTCTTTTTTTTTTTTTGAGATGGAATTTCCCCTGTCACCCGGGCTAGAGTGCAGTGGCGCGATCTCGGCTCACTGCAACCTCTGCCGCCTGGGTTCAAGTGATTCTCCTGCCTCAGCCTCCCAAGTAGCTGGGATTACAGGCACCTGCTACCATGCCCGGCTAATTTTTGTATTTTTAGTAGACACAGGGTTTCACCAGGTTGGCCAGGCTGGTCTCGAACTCCTGACCTCAGGTGATCAACCCGCCTTGGCCTCCCAAAGTGTTGGGATTAACAGGCGTGAGCCACGGCGCCTGGCCCAATTTGTCAGTATCTTTTAAAAATTTTTTATTTTTTATTTTTTCATCAGCTCATTCTTCCTTCTCAGATTTGTCAGTAGCTTCAGAGAATTTCTGACTCTAAATGCAGAGTACAGGCTAATTTTTCACATTAGAGATGACCTGTTGGCTGAAGGCCTAAAGTGGTATGATACAGTAAAGAGCTTGCCTTCTGGTGCTTTTTTTCTGTTAAGCATATTCTTTGTTGATGAACTGAGAAGCAAGTAGCCCAGCATTTTATGCATCTGTGTTCATTGCTGCCTTCCTTCAAAGACCAATCCTTCCACTCTTGCTCTGCACTCCATTTTCTTTGTTTTCAATCACTTTGCTTATTCAGTTACCTACTTTTGTTAAATTTACATTCAGCTCTGTTTTCCTATCTTTCAGCTTAAGAAACAAAACAAACCTCCACAGATTTTACATCCCCTTCTAGCTACAGTTCCACTACATGGGAAGTCATATGTTTTAGAAGGCTGTTTGCTGAGTATGGAATCAGTGTGAATGGACTTAATTGATCTTAAGTGGTGTCTGTCTCTTGATTAAGGTAGCTTCAGTTATTCCCACAGGCCACATAGAATAGCAGGCTAAGCAGTACAGTATGCTTAGCCAAGGCTCCCTCTCCCTTGGATGGTCACCACTATTAAATGCTACTATGATTCTCCATTTTATGTATTTCCACTCCCCCTCCTGCTGCTACATCCCCACCCCCCATAGCTTTTTTAATTTGTTTAGTCTATTTCCAGAGAAAGTATAATACAGTTGATTAGGTTTTAGCCTAATAAATAGAAATCTAGGTCAGCCTTTCTGAGAGTATTCTCTCATCTATGCAAGTAAACCCAGGTTATTGTCTGTCTGGGAGTAAGTTTGAGATCTGGAAGAAAGATCTAGGCTGGAGTTGTAGGCCTGTAGTTTATCTTAGAGAATGTTATGTAAGATCACCTAAAGGGAAAGAGAGTAAAAGAATTCTGAGGAATTTAATGGTAGAAAAGAAATTAGTAAAGAAACCTGAGAAAGAGTAGCCAGATAGGTAGAAGGAAGCCAAGGTGTAAAAGCGTTCCAAGGAAGTCTGATCAACTATATTAAATGCGGCCAAGTTATCAAGGACCCAAAAGTGGACATTGGATTTAGTAACAATGAGATAATTGGTGATCTTGAAGAGCTGAGCTAGTGATTGAGTGGAAGCAGAATCCAGGTTGCAATGATTGAAAAGTGAATGCAATGTAAGGTTGTCATGGATTAAGCTGTGAATGGAGAGTATGGGAGCAGAATCAGAAAGTGGAAAGGTTATTTTTTTGGAAAGTTTGATCTTAAAAGAATAATAGAAGGCATAAGGTCTAGAATGTTTATAAATAAAATCCTGATTTGAGATACAGATTTTTTTTATAGAGCTTTTTTTTAAAAAAAAAATGCCTTCACATTCTAATGATATAATAATCATTCTTTAGCTGATTTCTCTTTATGAACCTTTCCCTCAATTATGAGAGCTTGAGTTTGAGAGTTTTTCAGTTCTGGGAAATTATGCATTATACTGATCAAGTATAGTTAATAAAAGGGGCTGGGCGGGGTGGCTCACACTGGTAATCCCAGCACTTTGGGAGGCCGATGCAGGCAGATCACGAGGTCAGGAGTTCGCGACCAGCCTGGCCAATATGGCGAAACCCCGTCTCTACTAAAAATACAAAAATTAGCCAGGTGTGGTAGCACACGCCTGTAGTCCCAGCTACTTGGGAGGCTGAGGCAGGAGAATCGCTTGAACCTGGGAGGCGGAGGTTGCAGTGAGCCGAGATCACACCACTGCACTCCAGCTTGGGCGACAGAGTGAGACTCTGTCTCAAAAAGGAAATATCAGAGTTGAGAATAGAAGGATGTAGCATGGAAAGTGGAACAGATGATGTTTTTGTTGTCACAAATAAGGGGAGCTAAACCTTGGCCTGAGCCCTTGTGAGAGGGAGTACAGAGCTGAATTGTGTGGATAACTTACATTTTAGGCAGAGGGTTGAGAAATACCCATTTAGCTACATAGAGTAAGTTAAAAGTTCAGAGGTTTTTCCGTCTCTGGCGTCCAAGGTGTAATGAATTCCTTGGACTGTACTGAGACCTGCAGAAGAACAGACAGGAGCCAGTTGTTCAGAATCATGAAAAATCAAGAAGGCTGTGATTGAATGGAGTGTAAACCCACATTTCCCTTGGAATGCAGGTCCAAGATAAATGTGCTGCAACAAAGCAAAATGTGTGGCAATTTTCATACTGAAGTTGAACCCTGTTGGGGAGGGAGAGTGGGAAGTTTTTAGTAAGTTTGTTAAAAAATTGTATAGGGCTGGGCTTGGTGGCTCACGCCTGTAATCCCAGCCCTTTGGGAGGCTGAGGTGGGTGGATTGCTTGAGCTGAGGAGTCGGAGATCAGCCTGGGCAACATGACAAGACCCTGCTGTCTCTACTTAAAAAATACAAAAAATAAAAAAATAAAAATAACCTGGTGTGGTGGTACACGCCTATGGTCCTAGCTATTCGGGAGGCTGAGGTAGGAGGATCACTTGAGCCCCTGCAGGGGTGGGGTTGCACTGAGCCAAGATCACGCCACTGCATTCCAGCCTGAGTGACAGAGCGAGAATCTGTCTCAAAAAAAAAAAAATTACCACATAGTTCTTATTAATTTAGGCTGTATAAAGTGTTCGTCTTAGTGTACTATCTTTTAGTAAATGTAAAACTTATTCACTGTAATTAATCTATGACCTTCCCAGCTACTTATACATGTGAAGGTAGATGATAGTTTTGTTACCATGGTTTAGCTTTAAAAAGGAGTGATTACAAAAAAAAAATTGAGCTGAGCATGGTGGCTCACACCTGTAATCCCAGTGCTTTGGGAGGCTGAGGTGGGAGAATGGCTTGAGGTCAGGGGTTTGAGGCCAGGCTGGGCAACATAGTAGAGACCTTGTCTCTACAAAATAAAAGTAAAAAAAAAATTACTTGATGATGATCTCATTAAGTAGATCAAAACTTCTTAGAATTTTCAATTTGTGGAAGATTGGTCTGTGTTTAAAAGGGAAAATACTTGATAATTTTTTCGGTCATTTTGACTTTAGAACATTCCAACTATATTTGCTCATAGAATACTTAGTTTATTAACCAGTTGCTCTCTTGATAACTACAGATGTTGTTAAATTGTATCAGATAAACTTGATAGTCAAGCAGAAGTTTTTATATAAAGATATGAGCACACATTTAAATGAACGTTATATTAATATAAAGTGAGTATGTAATCATATAATTTGTAAACATGTTCTAATATCTTAATCATTAAAGTGTTCATGATTTTAATTTAGACTATAGAAATTATTTCTTCAGATTATCTCAGTGTCACTAAGCTTTGTACTATACTACGGTGAAGGGAGCAGTAGCAGTGTCAGTTCAGAGAAGTTAAGTACAGATGAGAAATAGTGAAGGCCACAGGAAGGACGGCAAGTATAGGATCATTTTCCATTATGGACGTTTCCAGGGAACAGCCAGGTAAAAACAAGCAATACTTTAATCTGTTTTTTGTTTTTTTAAGGTTTTACCCTTCTGTATTCTCCCTTTTCACTAATATTTGTTCTTTCTACAGAGGTTGTTGGATGGATGTATGGGAACTAATGTCGCAGGAATGCAGGGATGAAGTAGTTTTAATTGACTCGAGTTGTCTTTTAGAAACACTAGAAACATATCTGCGAAAACACAGGTAAGTCTGATGGTTGTTCCAGTATAATGTGGAAGGTGCCTTATGTGTCAGTCACCTAGAGTGGCCTGTCACTGAACTCCTTTGTATAATAGCATTCTAGCCTTCCCTTTAATACTTGGCACTAGGCGGAGCTTAATATTAGAGTAGGCAGTTCCTTTTTTTTTTTTTGAGATGGAGTCTAGCTCTGTCGCCAGGCTGGAGTACAGTGGCGCGATCTCGGCTCACTGCAACCTCTGCCTCCCAGGTTCAAGAGATTCTCCTGCCTCAGCGTCTCGAGTAGCTGGGATTACAGGCATACGCCGCCACACCCAGCTAATTTTTGTATTTCTAGTAGAGATGGGGTTTCACCATGTTGGCCAGGATGGTTTAGATCTGCTGACCTTGTGATCCACCAACCTCGGCCTCCCAAAGTGCTAGGATTACAGGCATGAGCCACTGCGCTTGGCCAAAGCAGTTGCTTTATGGGATGACTCTCAGGGTTAGCCTTCTTGTGTTAAGCCAGCATCTCCTATTTTGTGATTTTTTTTTTTTTCTTTTTGAGACAGAGTTGCACTCTGTCACCCAGGCTGGAGTGCAGTAGCGAGACCTCGGATCACTGTTCCCTCCGCCTCCCGCGTTCCAGCGGTTCTCCTGCCTCAGCCTCCTGAGTAGCTGAGACTACAGGCGCATGCCACCACGCCCGGCTAATTTTTGTATTTTTAGTAGAGACGGGGCTTCGCCATGTTGTTCAGGCTGGTCTCGAACTCCTGACCTCAGGTAATCCATCTGCCTCGACCTCCCAAAGTGCTGAGATTACAGGCATGAGCTGTGCCCAGCCTATAATGGCATTTTCAAAATTAAATTAGTAGCTTTTTACTTAATATTTGAAGTATTTCTTCTGTCATTATCAGGACCCCAAAAGAGAGTTGATATTCATGTGTTTTGTTACTATAAAAGTAACTTCAGATTTTTCTTTATAGAACACTACTTTTACAAAGGAATTTTCTTTTTTTTTTTTTGAGACGAAGTCTCGCTCTGTTGCCAGGCTGGAATGCGCTGGCTCGATCTCGGCTCACTGTAACTGCTGACTCCCTGGTTCAAGAGATTCTCCTGCCTCACCCTCCCAAGTAGCTGGGATTACAGGCACATACCACTGTGCCCAGCTAATTTTTGTATTTTTAGTAGAGATGGGGTTTCACCATGTTTGCCAGGATGGTCTCAGTCTCCTGACTTGTGATCCGCTCTCCTCAGCCTCCCGAAGTGCTGGGATTACAGGTGTGAGCCACCGTGCCTGGCCTACAAAGGAATCTTCTAAGTGTCATTAACATTTGGAAATTCATAGGGAGGAGACTCCAGTAGAAAAGGAAACTGGTGGGCAGGGTGCGGTGGCTCACGTCTGTAATCCCAGCACTTTGGAAGTCTCAGTCAAGTGGATCACCTTAAGTCAGGAGTTTGAGACCAGCCAGGCCAACGTGGCGAAACCCCGTGTCTACTAAAAATAAAAAAATTAGCCAGGCATGGTGGCACGCACGTGTAGTCCCAGCTACTTGGGAGACTGAGGCAGGTGAATTGCTTGAAACCAGGAGGTAGAGGTTGCAGTGAGCCAGGATCGTGCCACTGCACTCCAACGGAGCAAGACTCCGTCTCAAAAAAAGAAAAAGCAACTGGTAAGGTAACAGCATCTAGAGATGGTGTTCTTGGGGCAGTTCTACTGTTTAAATTTGTTACAAGTTGCGTTTGTGGTTGTATGTCCTTTGACTTTGAGGCAGATATACACAATTATTTTGGGAGTGCCTCTAAAAATCAAGTGAATGATAAAAACTGGTGTCATTACTTTATGTGGCAGTAAGCTAATGACTTCGCCCGCATACCAAGTTTATTGGTGTTTTTCTTTTTTCAATTAAAAACTTTCTTTCTTTGCCTTTTTGGTGGATTATGCCCAAGAGAGTAGAGAATGTGTCACTTACTTGGAGTTTTACAGGGACTATACAGACACAAAACATATATCCTTCCTCTTTAAATATGAATTGATCCTCCCAAAAGATAGTTTTTGCAGGTGATAAATGACAAGTTATTAGAGCACATGTTTTGGAGTTTCTTATAATGGTTTTGTAGATTTTCCTATGTTTAGGGTTAGTGTTTTAACATTTTTAGATGGATTTTAGTCCATTTTACAGATATCTTAACGGTTGTGAGAAAGTATGGTTGAGAGTAATAATAATTAAGGCAGTGAGTGATGAATTTAGGGAGATTGTATTGCATCTGGATTCTACTAATTGTAACTGTACAAGTTAGTTGACTTTCTGTGCCTCAATTTTTGTCTTCTTTAAAACAAACATAGGCTGGGCATGGTGGCTCACAACTGTAGTTCCAGCACTTTGGGAGGCCAAGTCAGGTAGATGGTTTGAGCTCAGGAGTTTTAGACCAGCCTAGACAACATGGTAAAACCCCGTCTCTACAAAAAAGCAGAAAAATTAGCTGCCATGGTGGCACAAACCTGTAGTCCTAGCTACTGGGGAGGGTGAGGTGAGAGTATCACTTGAGCCCAGGAGGTTGAAGGTGCACCATGATCACAGTGGCCGTGATTGTACCACTGCACTCCAGCTTGAGCAACAGAGTGAAACGCCATCTCAAAAATAATAAAAATTAAAATAAAATTAGCAGCTGGGTGCAGTGGCTCATGCCTGTAATCCCAGCACTTTGGGAGGCCAAGGCGGGTGGATCACCTGAGGTCAGAAGTTCAAGACCAGCCTGGTCAACATGGGGAAACCCCATCTCTACTAAATATACAAAAATTAGCTGGGCGTGGTGGTGGGTGCCTATAATCCCAACTACTCAGGAGGCTGAGGCAGGAGAATCGCTTGAACCCAGGAGGAGGCAGAGGTTGCAGTAAACTGAGATCGCGCCATTGCGCTCCAGCCTGGGCAACAAGAGTGAAACTTCGTTCCCAAAAAAACAACAACAAAAAAAGAATTACGGTAGAGGCCGGGCATGGTGGCTCATGCCTGTAATCCTAGCACTTTGGGAGGCTGAAATGGGCAGATCACATGAGGCCAGGAGTTTGAGACCAGCCTGGCCAACATGGTGAAACCCCTCTCTACTGAAAATACATAAATTAGCCAGGCATGGTGGTGCACTTCTGTAATCCCAGCTACTCAGGAGGCTGAGGCATGAGAATTGCTGGAATCTGGGAGGCAGAGTTTGCAGTGAGCTGAGATTGTGCTACTGCACTCAAGCCTGGGTGACAGAGTGAGACTCTGTCTCAAAAGAAAAGTATTACGGTAGAACATCGGCAGATACTACACTTGATCTTAGTCAAAAGGCTGAGACGTGATAGAACATCATTAGAAATGAGGTGTTAATAAACTGAAACCTCTGCCTTAAGGGTTTTTTAAGGCTGGGCATTGTGGCTCAAGCCTATAATTCCAACACTTTGGGAAGCCAAGGCAGGAGGATCACTTGAGTTCAGGAGTTCAATACCAGCTTGGGCAACATAGGGAGGCCCATTTATAAAGGCTGAGTGTGGTGGCTCACTCCTCTAATCTCAGCACTTTGGGAGGCGGAGGTGGGTGGATCACAAGGTCAGGAGTTCAAGACCAGCCTGGCCAACATGGTGATACCCCGTCTCTACTAAAAATACAAAAATTAGCCGGGCTTGGTGGCGTGTGCCTGTAATCCCAGCTACTCAGGAGGCTGAAGCAGGAGAATCACTTAACCTGAGAGGTGGAGGTTGCGGTGAGCCAAGATTACGCCATTTGCTCTCCAGCCTCGGCAACAGCAAGACTCCATCTCACAAAAAAAACAGGCCGGGTGCCATGGCTCACGCCTGTAATCCCAGCACTTTGGGAGGCCGAGGCGGGCGGATCATGAGGTCAGGAGATTGAGACTATCCTGGCTAACACTGTGAAACCCCATCTCTACTAAAAAATACAAAAAATTTAGCCGGGCTTGATGGCGGGCGCCTGTAGTCCCAGCTACTTGGGAGGCTGAGGCAGGAGAATGGCGTGAACCGAGGAGGCGGAACTTGCAGTGAGCCGAGTTTGCGCCACTGCACTGCAGCCTGGGCGACAGAGCGAGACTCCATCTCAAAAAAAAGATAATAGTAAATAAAAATAAATAAATAAATATAAAAACAAAATAAAAAAATTAGCTGGGCGTAGTGACACACCTGCAGTTTCATCTACTCGGGAGGCTGAGGTGGGAGGATCACTTGAGCCCAGGAAGGTTGAAGGCTGCAGTGAGCCATGATCATGCCACTGCACTTCAGCCTGGGTGACAGAGTGAGACTCTGTCTCGAAAAAAAAAAGTTTTAAAAAAGTCATATGCAATGCTGCTTTTGCAAATGGGAAAAAAGCTTTTACGGCTTTTATATCCTATTTTTAACTTGCTATTTACTTATGCTTATAGTTGTACAATCAAACATATATTAAACTACTATGAGAGTATAAAGCAGTAAAATAGGGGGAAAATATTTCAAGTTTTATTATTGTTCTCTTTGATATTTGACCATTTAATTACCTGAAAATGTGAACTTGCTGTTTATAACCTGAAAATGTGGAAGTATTTGTTGTTATTTCTGTGTCCGTTTTTTCTCTCCTAAAGGAGAGACTTTCTGTTCCTGCGCGCGTATGTGTATATTTTAAAAGAACACAAAATAAGGCTAAGCACAGTGTCTCACAGTTCAGCATTTTGGGAGACTGAGGT
This sequence comes from Homo sapiens, assembly GCF_000001405.40. Classification (NCBI taxonomy): domain Eukaryota; kingdom Metazoa; phylum Chordata; class Mammalia; order Primates; family Hominidae; genus Homo; species Homo sapiens. The sequence goes on from NC_000017.11 coordinate 36,572,460, forward strand.
GGGCGGATTGTTTGAGCCCAGGAGTTCAAGACTAGCCTGGGCAACATGGCCAAACCCTGTCTCTCCAAAGAATACAAATATTAGCCATGCGTGGTGGCACACACCTGTAGTCCCAGGTACTCAGGTGGATGAGGCGGGGAGGGTCACCTGAGCCTACTAGGGAGGTTGAGGCTACAGTGAGACAAGAGTATGCCACTGCACTCCAGCCTGGGCAACAGAGTGAGACCCTGTCTCAAAAAACCGTGAAACATAAATTTACCTTTCAAACAGTTTTTAAGTGTACATTATAATTTTGTTAACTATATGCACATTGTTGTACAACAGATCTCTAGAACTTTTTCATCTCAACTGAAACTATACGCATTGAACAACACCTTTTTTCTCCCCTCACCCCCTAGCAACCACAATTCTTCTTTCTGTTTCTGAGTTTAATTATTTTAGATAGCTCATATAAATGGGATAATGTAGCACTTGAATTTTTGTGATTGGCTTATTTTACTTAGCCATTATCTAAGACAATACTTAGATAATGTCTAAGATTCATCTATGTTGTAGCATATGACAGGATTCCCCTCTAAAAGCTGAATAATGTCACAATACTGTGACATTATTTAAAAATGGGCAGTGTCATAGTATATGTGATATTATTCACTTTTCTTTTTTCTTTTTTTTTGAGACAGTCTCGCTCTGTTGCCCAGGCAGGGGTGCAGTGGCTTGATCTCGGTTCACTGCAACCTCCGCCTCCCGAGTTCAAGTGATTCTCCTGCCTCAGCCTCCTGAGTAGCTGGGATTACAGGCACACACCACCACACCTGGCTAATTTTTGTGTTTTTAGTAGAGACAGGGTTTCACCTTGTTGGTCAGGCTGGTCTTGAACTCCAGACCTCAAGTGATCCATTCGCCTCGGTCTCCCAAAGTGCTGGGATTACCGCACCTGGCTATTCACATTTCTTTGTCCATTCATACATTGATGGACATTGAAGGTTGCTCTCACATTTCGCCTGTTGTCAATAAATGCTGCAGTGAACATGAGTGTGCAAATATCTCTTCAAGATCCTTGCTATCAGTTCTTTTGGATATATACCTAGAAGTGGGATTCCTGGATCGTATGGTAGTTTTATTTTGAAGAACTTCCGTACCGGTTTCCATAGCAGCTGTACCGTTTTATATTCCTGCCAGCAGTGCATAAGGGTTCCAATTTCTTCACATCCTCAGTAACACTTGTTATTTGTTGTTGTTGTTGTTTTGATAGTGGTCATTCTAGTTGGTTTAAGGTGATATCTCATTGTGTTTTTGATGTGCATTTTCCTGATGATTAGTGATGTTGAGCATCTTTTCATATGTTTGCTGGCCATTTGTATATAATCTTTGGAGAAATGTCGATTCATGCTTTGCCCATTTATTTATTTACTTTTAAGTTATTTTATTTTTTTGACAGGATCTTCTTTGTTGCCCAGGCTGGAGTGCAGTGGCATGATCACGGCTTTGCCCATTTTTAAATTAAGCTATTTTTTTTGTGATTGAGTTCTAGTGGTTCTTTATATTCTGGCTATTAACCCCTTATTCAATATATGGTTTGCAAATATTTTTTCCCATTCTTTGGGTTGCCTTTTTACTCTGTTGATCATCTTTGCTGTGCCAACGTTTTTAAGTTTAATGCATAGTCATGTGCTATGTGATGACATTTTGGTCAGTGATAGACCACATATATGACAGTGGGCCCGTAAGATTATAATGGAGCATACTGCGTTGCAGATCAAGTAGAGGAAATGATTAATATTCAGTGATGGTGCTGGGACATTTGGTTTTCCATGTGAAAAAAATATAAATAAAAATATGTATACTACCTAGGTTTGTGTAAGTACACTCTGATGTTCGCACAGCAACAAAATAGCTAACAATGCATTTCTCAGAATGTGTCCCATTGTTAAGTGACACGACTGTAGTCTTTTTTTTTTTTTTCAGGCTTAATTCACTTTATTTTTCTTGTATAAAAACCCTGTGTTGTAGCCACAGCTGGAGCCTGGGTCCTCTGCATGGAGACTCTGGTGTGGGTCTTGACGAGATGGTCAGTGAATTCCTGACAGGAAGACTTGATGAATACAGTCTCCTTCCAGAGGTCGGGGGTCAGGTAGCTGTAGGTCTTAGAGATGGCATCAAAGGTGTCCTTGGTATAGTTACCCAGGGCGGCAGTGTAGCCCCTGGCTAAGGTGTAGCAGTCATCAATACCAGCCATCATAAGCAGCTTCTTGGGTACAGGCACTGAGACGATGCCAGTGCCTCTGGGCGTAGGGATGAGGCGCACCAGCACAGAGCCGTGGTGGCCTGTCGGCTTGCAAGGGATGGTGTGGGGCTTGCTGATCTTGTTCCCCCAGTAGCCTCTGTGCACAGGGACAATAGAGAGCTTGGCCAGGATGATGGCCCCGTGGATGGCAGTGGCCACCTCCTTGGAGCACTTAACACCCAGACCGATGTGGCCATTGTAGTCCACGATGGCAACAAACATCTTGAACCTGGTGCGCTGGCCGGCACGGGTCTGCTTCTGCACTGGCATAATCTTCAAAACCTCGTCCTTGAGAGAGGCCCCCAGGAAAAAGTTAGTGATCTCAGATTCCTTCATGGGCAGGGAGAAGACATACATCTCCTCCAGGGACTTGATCTTCATGTGCTTGACCAGGCGGCCCAGCTTGGTGATAGGCATCCACTCTTTATCCTCGGCCTTGCCTCCATGAGCTCTGCGGCCTCAGCCGCGGCCTCAGCCCCAGCCCCGGCCCCGGATGCCACTGCCGAAACCTCCACGGAAGCCACTGCATTTCCCCATCCCAGGCGATCCCCACCACCGGCTGCCACCAGCATCATCTGCCATTTGGTGTTTTCTCAGAGAAGCATCTATTTTTGTTTTTGTTGTGCATGTGTGCTTTTGGTGTCATAGCCAGGAAATCATCACTTAGTCCAGTGTCATGAAGAGTTTCCCCTATGTTTTCTTCTAGTTTTATGGTTTTCAGATGTTAACATTTAGTTTTTAATCCATTTTGTGTTAATTTTTGTATATTTTTGCCCATATTTAAAACTTTAGTGAAATAACATAATTTAACATTATTTGTCAGCATTGTTGCCTCTGTTTACCAAGTGGGCTTAGAGCCTCTAATGTAACATATATATATATATATATATATATATATATATATATTTTTTTTTTTTTTTGAGATGGAGTTTCGCTCTTCTTATGCAGGCTGGAGTGCAGTGGTGCGATCTTGGCTCACTGCAACCTCTGCCTCCCGGGTTCAAGCAATTCTCCTGCCTCAGCCTCCTGAGTAGCTGGGATTACAGGTGTATGCCACCACATCTGGCTAATATTTGTATTTTTAGTAGAGACGGGGTTTCACCATGTTGGCCAGGCTGATCTCGAACTCCTGAGCTCAGATGATCCACCCGCCTTTGCCTCCCAAAGGGCTGGGATTACAGACGTGAGCCACCGCGCCCAGCCCATATCTTCATTTTAAGAAACATTGTTATCTACTATTGGTCCAGCAAAACGTGTGTGCATGAAACAAAGATATGGCAGTAGAAGGGTAAATACTATAGTAAGAAGTCTAGGCCGGGCGTGGTGGCTGATGCTTGTAATCCCAACACTTTGGGAGGCTGAGGTGGAGGGATCACTTTGAGGTCAGAAGTTCAAGACCAGCCTGGCCAACATGGTGAAACCCCATCTGCACTAAAAACACAAAAATCAGCCCAGTGTGGTGGTGGGCGCATGCAATCCCTCCTACTCAGGAGTCTGAGGTACGAGAATTGCTTGAACCTGGGGGGCGGTGGTTGCAGTGAGCCATGATTGTCCCGCTGCACTCTAGCTTAGTTTAGGCGGACAGATCCTCTGAGTTCAAGAGTTCAAGACCAGCCTGGCCAACTTGGCGAAACCCTGTCTCTACTAAAAAATACAAAAAATTTGCTGGGTGTAGTGGTGGGCGCCTGTAATCCCAGCGACTCGGGAGACTGAGGCAGGAGAATCGCTTGAACCCAGGAGGCAGAGGTTACAGTGAGCCTCGATGGCGCCACTGCACTCCAGCCTGGGCAACAGAGAGAGACTCTGTCTCAAAAAAAAAAAAAAAAAAAAAAAAAAAAAAAATATATATATATGTGTGTGTGTGTGTGTGTGTGTGTGTGTGTGTGTATATGTATATATGTATATGTATATATATGTATATATATGTGTATATATATATATATAGCATAGGCAACTTAAACCATGCCAGAGGGAATTGAAAATAGGGACCTACAGGAGAAACAAGAAAGAATGAATACTAGTTGGCTCTACTCAATAGGAAGACCCAGGGAGAAGTTGGAATTAACTCAGATTTCCAGCCTGGGTGACTCTGAATGGCTGTGAATGGCAGTGTTCTTATTAACAGGGATTGAGAAGGCACATAGGAATAGAACAGCATTACCCTTGGACAGTGAATTTAAGGTGTTGCCTATTGGACATCTGCCATGTCTTGTCACTTTTCGATATGGGTCTGGCCCTCAGGCAATAGCAGAGATTTGAATGGAGCTGTAGAGTCACAAGTCATCTTTATAGACATGTTAGTTGAAGCCATACGCATAGATGAGCTCATCTGGGAGATGAATTTAAATCAAAGAGATCAAAATTTCCTTGTTTCACTTAACTAATCTTCTTAGCCATTTACTCTTATTGTGAGCCTGGCTTTTCCACCTGACCAAGTTCTTCTTGTTCCAGGAATTCAAAGATAAAGAAACCAGGCTCTATTATTTCTTTCTGATTGATTGATATTTGGTTTCTAAAAGAAATTTTCTTCCTTCTCTACATTCACAAACTCTTCTATTCTTTTGCCACATTTTATACACTTAAGTTTAAACCAGTTTCCATGTATATTTTGTCTATATTATGTTTGTTATTGAGAAATAGGCATTTTTGGGAAGAAAGAATTTGGCATTTTGGAAATAATCAGAAAATTAAAAAATGCACACACCACTTTCCCATTCTTCTCCCCACCCCAACCCCTACCCCTATCCTCAAATGCTTAGCTAGTGAAATATTAAAATGTTGTAATAGAAATTGGAGTCAAGGTCTCCTTGCTGAAGAGACCATCTATTTTCAGAGACTGGAAGGAGAGAGAACAAACCAATCAAGAGTCATTGGTTTGTTGCCTCTATTGTTTTATTTCTGACCTGCGCAAATAGCTTTTGAAGTGGAGATATGCTAGTTCTTGGCAACTAATACTTTTCTGGGCATGCATTTTATGAAATAATAGGTATGTATCTGCCTCATTCTTTTAGGCTATGTGTTTCTCTAGTTTAAAAATAATTTGCCAATGAAGGTCTATCTGTATTTATGCAATCCCTAAATTTGTATTTACCTTATGTGCGTATGTTTTAAATGTGTGTATGGAGGCTTATTTTGGATGCTGTAGATGGGAGAGAGTGCCATCATCTAGTACACTGTTATATGCCACAAGAAATAATTGCACAGCCATTTCTTAATTTTAAGGTTTTTCTTTTCAACAGGTTTTGCACTGATTGCAAAAATAAAGTCCTCCGAGCATACAATATCCTTATTGGTGAACTTGACTGCAGCAAAGAAAAGGGCTACTGTGCTGCACTTTATGAAGGCTTGCGGTGCTGTCCACATGAACGACACATACATGTTTGCTGTGAAACAGACTTCATTGCACATCTTTTGGGTCGTGCTGAGCCAGAGTTCGCAGGAGGGTATGAGTATGTAATTTGCTAGAATGGGCTATCTAGCGCTTTGCTTCATTTTATTACTGAAAGTTTATTTTCATCACCTTCTGCCTCAGTACATATGATATATGTATAAATTAAAGTATGCCTGTAAAGATTTTGCTTCTCTTTAAAGTATGCATTTCTTAATTGACTGAAAATAGGGAAAAACTGTTCTCTGGTGTTTGGTTCAGTCCTCTGCTAGTTCTTGCTTGAAGGGAGGCAGGCTTTTTTGGCTTTCATTGTTACAGACTATCATTTTCATTTGAAAATGATTAGAAGGGATTTTTCTCCCTCTATCCATGCATTATCATGTGTAAATTTTATTCACAATAATGGTTTTTGCATAAGTCAGATCTTTGCAGTAGGGGATTAAGAAATGCCTTATTGAATGTAATTCACGAACTGTGTATATTATATTATTATTACTACACAGAAACCTAAAGTAGTATCTCTGGCTTTGTTGTAAAAATAAAATCAGATGATGATGTTAATAGAATAAATCAAATGCATTTCCTTTTGTATTTAGGGTATCAACCCTCATTTGAGTGCCTACTTTCTGCTAGAATACAAAGGGCTTTTTTATCGCCAAAGTTCTGTGAACACTTGTAAAGACTGGCCTGGTGGAGGACTCTTGCCCATGATGAATCACTTTGGCATTGCCTTTCTCAATTCCTCCTCAAAACAAAAAACCTAAAGAAGGAAAAAATGTTTTGCTATAATTGGAAAGTAAAAGGAACTGTTGTGTCTACTATGAGCTGGACACTTCTATGTGATTGCTTTGTGCCCTAAAACCCATCTTTTTAGAGCCAGTTCCTGAATTACTTTATTTTTAGCAATACGAGGACTAAATTCTACTTGCATGTGTATTTCTCATTGGTTGTGGACATGCATGCTTGTATAGCAACATATACGTTGAGTGTAAATGTATAACTGTCTTGTTACTAGGTAAGCACATTGTGTTTAAAACCTGAACTTGCAGCTGTGTTATCCATCTTTTACTGTTTCAGTTAAAGGTATTAGTGTGTGATTATTCCCTTTTATAGGCGAAGAGAAAGGCATGCAAAGACAATAGATATAGCTCAAGAAGAAGTTCTGACCTGCTTGGGAATTCATCTTTATGAAAGACTGCATCGAATCTGGCAGAAGCTACGGGCAGAAGAGCAGACATGGCAGATGCTTTTCTATCTTGGTGTTGATGCTTTACGCAAGAGTTTTGAGGTAAGAACAGTGGGCTGTTCCAGTATCTCAGATTGCTTAGTCACGTTATTGGACTGAATCTTAATGTAAGCCACCAGTGCCTAAAAGGACTGTCCATCACTGATAGAGCTTCATGGATTTGGCTGGATATTGTTACATGGCTTTGGGTTGGAGTGGGGGTGGTCTAGGGAACTGGGATTTAGAAGAAGTTGATGGATTTAAAAAAATGTTTTTAATCCTGTTAACTTTGCTAGCTTTGGTTTTTAGACTTTCTCAGAGTAGAAAACTGAAGATGTTTAATAAGATGCTGCTATGAAACATAACTAGTGAGGCTGGGCATGGTGGCTTACGCCTGTAATCCCAGCACTTTGGGAGGACGAGGCAGGCGGATCACCTGAGGTCAGGAGTTTGAGACCAGCCTGACCAATATGATGAAACCCCGTCTCTACTAAAAATACAAAAATTAGCTGGGCGTGGTGGCGGGCACCTGTAATCCAGCTACTTGGGAGGCTGAGACAGGAGAGTTGCTTCAACCTGGGAGGTGGAGGTTGCAGTGAGCCAAGATCACGTCACTGCACTCCAGCCTGGGCAACAAGAACAAAACTCCGTCTCAAAACAAAAACAAAAACAAAAACAAAACAAAAAAAACACACATAACTAGTGAAAAGTTAAATGCCCCCAAGGATTAAGCAGGAAATGTTAAAACCTTCAGTGAGTTTCATTTTGCCTGCTAATGTCCAGTAGTATGAAGTAAATGCTGTGTGAATGCCATGGTATAAGGACTATTTTTCTTTCTTTCTTTTCTTTTCTTTTCTTTTTTTTTTTTTGAGACGGAGCCTCGCTCTGTTACCCAGGCTGGAGTGCAGTGGCATGATCTCGGCTCACTGCAAGCTCCACCTCCTGGGTTCACACCATTCTCCTGGCTCAGCCTCCCGAGTAGCTGGGACTGCAGGCGCCCGCCACCACGCTCGGCTAATTTTTTGTGTATTTTTAGTAGAGACAGGGTTTCACCATGTTAGTTAGGATGGTCTCAATCTCCTGACCTCGTGATCCGCTGCCTGCCTTGGCCTCCCAAAGTGCTGGGATTACAGGCATGAGCCACGGCGCCCAGCCCTTACTCGTTTTCTCTTTGTATTTTTGTACCTTCAGAGACTAGATCATCTAATCAGGTTAAATAGTTTTTTCATTATGTCAGTAAATGGTATGTTTACTTTTGTTGTGTTAAAATTCTGAAATTTAGGCCAGATATGGTGTCTCATGCCTGTAATCCCAGCACTTTGGGAGGCCAAGGTGGGCGGATCACTTGAGGCCAGGAGTTCGAGACCAACCTGGCCATGATGGCGAAACCCTGTCTCTACTAAATATACAAAAATCAGCCAGTGTGGTGGCGCATGCCTGTGGTCTCAGCTACTTGAGAGGCTGAGGCAGGAGAATCGCTTGAACCTGGGTGGTAGAGGTTGCAGTGAACTGAGATGGTGCCACTGTACTCCAGCCTGGGCGATGGAGCAAGACTCTGTCTCAAAAAAAAAAAAAATTCTGAAATTTAAAACTAGAATCTTGCTGGTTTGGAATAGGAGTGTGTATATTACCACAGAAAACAAAGGGACCGGGCACGGTGGCTCACGCCTGTAATCCCAGCACTTCGGGAGGCTGAGGCGGGTGGATCACGAGGTCAGGAGATCGAGACCATCCTGGCTAACACGGTGAAACCCCGTCTCTACTAAAAAATACAAAAAATTAGCCGGGCGTGGTGGCGGGCACCTGTAGTCCCAGCTACTTAGGAGGCTGAGGCAGGAGAATGGCGTGAACCCAGGAGGTGGAGCTTGCAGTGAGCTGAGATCATGCCACTGCACTCCAGTCTGGGCGACAGAGCAAGATTCCGTCTCAAAAAAAAAAGAAAAGAAGTTCTGACCAATATTCACCCTCAACCTTATTTTTATAATAGATGACCGTGGAAAAAGTACAGGGTATTAGCAGATTGGAACAACTTTGTGAGGAATTTTCAGAAGAGGAACGAGTAAGAGAACTCAAGCAAGAAAAGAAACGCCAAAAACGGAAGAATAGACGAAAAAATAAGTGTGTGTGTGATATTCCTACTCCCTTACAAACAGCAGATGAAAAGGAAGTAAGCCAAGAGAAGGTAATATTTCTTAATATCAACTCTTAAGTGTGTATGTATTGCTTGTAGATAGAAGTACAGGCCAGGTGTGGTGGCTCACGCCTGTGATCCCAGCACTTTGGGAGGCCCAGGGTGGAGGTATCACTTGAGCCTAGGAGTTTGGGACCAGCCTGGGCAAGATAGTGAGATCTCTATCTCTATTTATTTTATTTTATTTTTTTAATAAAAATAAAAAGTACAGTCGTCCCTTGGTATCTGTGGGGTTTGATTCCAGGACTTCCTGTAGATACCAAAATCTGCAGATGTGCAAGTCCCTGATGTAAAATGGTGTAATATTTGCATATAGTCTATGCACATCCTCCTTATACTTTTATTTCTGAGACAGGGTCTCACTCTGTCACCCGGACTGGAGTGCAGTGGCACAATCATGGCTCACTGCAGCGTTCATCTCCCAGGCTCATGTCATCTTCCCACCTCAGCTTCCCAAGTGGCTGGAACTACAGGCTTACCCCACCAGGCCCAGCTAATTTTTTGTATTTATTGTAGAGATGGCGTTTTACCATGTTGTTCAGGCTGGTCTCCAGCTTGTGGGCTCAAGCAATTCTCCCACCTCAGCCTCCCAAAATGCTACAATTACAGGCATGAACCACCGTGCCTGGCCTCTTGTATTCTTAAATTATCTCTAAATTATAATACCTAATGCAATGTAAAAGCTATGTAAGGCTGGGCATGGTGGCTCACGCCTGTAATCCCAGCTACTTGGGAGGCTGAGGCATGAGAATTTCTTGAACCCAGGAGGCAAAGGTTGCAGTGAGCCAAGATCGCTCCACTGCAGTCCAGCCTGGGCGACAGAGTGAAACTCTCTCAAAATAAATAAAAACTGTTTAAATAGTTGTTATACTGTATTGTTTAGAAAATAAGGACAAGAAAAAAGTCTGTACATGTTCAGTACAGATGCAGGTTGATTTTTTCCCCCCCAAATATTTTCGATTCTTGGTTGAATTTATGGATGCAGCACCCACAGATATGGAGGGTTAACTGTATGGCTTTTTGCTAGATTTGGGCATTTTTACTATGCTTTTCCAGATGTGAGCTCCTGCAGTTTTTATATCAGCTTTTTTCCTACTGTAGTCTGTATAAGCCAGAATTTTAATGTCATGTCTATGTTTTATTAAGACAATGTTGAGTAGTTATCTCTTTACCTGACTTTAATGTATTATTAGATCAAAGTCAAAATATAGAAAGCCACCTCTGTGCATGACCTAGAGCAGTTCTCAAGTTTTTGGTCTTAGGATCCCTTTACATTCTTAAAAATTAAGGTACTCAATGAGCTTTTGTTTATGTGGGTTATACTTACCAATATTTACTGTATTAGAAATTAAATGATAAATTTTAAGCTACTCCTTCAAAAATAATGTTAACTAAATATTTTTTCAAAAATAACTATTTTCTAAATAAAATGAGAGTGAGAAGAATGGTATTATACTATATATATTTTTTGCAAATATCTTTAATGTTCATCTTAAAAGGAATAAGCTAGATTCCTTTTTTTTTTGAGACAGAGTCTCGCTCTGTTGCCAGGCTGGAGTGCAGTGGCATGATCTCGGCTCACTGCAACCTCCGCCTCTCGGGTTCAAGCAATTCTCCTGCCTCAGCCACCCAAGTAGCTGGGGCTACAGGCGTGTGCCACCATGCCCGGCTAATTTTTGTATTTTTAGTAGAGACAGGGTTTCACCATGTTGGCCAGGATGGCCTCGATCTCTTGACCTCGTGATCCGCCCGCCTCAGCCTCCCAAAGTGCTGGGATTACAGGTGTGAGCCACCGCGCCTGACGGAATATACTAGATTCTTATATCTGCTTCTGCATTCAATCTGTTTCCATTTATTGGCTTGGTTGAAGCATATGAAGAAAGTCTAGTCTCACACAGATATTATATGGTAGGAAAAGTATTTTATTTTGGAGCAGAGTCTTGCTCTGTCACCCATGCTGGATTGCAGTGGCACAATCTTGGTTCACCGTAACTTCCTCCTCCTGGGTTCAAGCGATTTTTGTGCCTCAGCCTCCCAAGTAGCTGGGACTACAGGCGCCTACCACCATGCCCGGCTAATTTTTTTTTGTATTTTTAGTAGAGATGGGGTTTTGCCTTGTTGCCCAGGCTGGTCTCGAACTCCTGAGCTTAGGCAGTCTGCCCGCTTCTGCCTCCCAAAGTGCTGGGATTACAGGAATAAGCCACTGTGCCTGGCTGGGAGCAGTATTTTAATATAAACCTTTTCAGATAGTTGTGGATATTCTTCAATACTACACTTTGACCAGTGGTAGTTTCTAAAAGATTCATTGCAATATGGAATCTGGCACCTTATCAATGACCTTTTTGTACTCTGTTAAATTAGAATCCGTTGGACTATATTGGACTTTGAATAGATCTTTTACTCATGCATTGTTTTGTAACATCATGCATTGGAATTTATTTCAAAGTTCACTGAATTATGCAGGTCAGAAAAGTCCAAGTATTAGGAAGCTTCAAGTTCATAGCACTGCTGGTTGCAAGGCCAAAATTCTGATTGTTGTTTCAATGTTTGAGTTTTGTCATTGACAACAGTTGTTGTTCATTGTTTCCTTTGAAGTAACAGATTGACTTCATTCATTTTTGAGAAAATGCCTGCTAAATATCCAAGTCTCTCAGTTTGTCTCTCATTTATTCGTTCAAGTGAACTTGATGTTCCAGGAAAAAAGTTCAGCTTGCACCTCAAAAAGTGGCACAAGTACGTTTCCTTGAGACAGCTGCAATAGAAATGCTTTAAGCATACTTCCCATTTGTCACATACTTTTTTTTTTTTGAGACGGAGTCTCACTCTGTCGCCCACAGTGGAGTGCGGTGGTGTGATCTTGGCTCACTGCAGGCTCTGCCGTCCGTGTTCAAGCAATTCTCCTGCCTCAGCCTCCTGAGTAGCTGGGATTACATGCGCCTGCCACCTTGCCCGGCTAATTTTTGTATTTTTAGTAGAGACGGGGTCTCACCATCTTGGCTAGGCTGGTTTTGAACTCCTGACCTCAAGTGATCCACCTGCTTCAGCTGCCCATAGTGCTGGGATTACAGGCATGAGCCACTGCACCTGGCCCCACATAGACTGTCAAAAAGATTTCTGTTGACAGGGCGTGGAGGCTCATGCCTGTAATCCTAGCACTTTGGGAAGCCATGGCAGAAGGATTGCTTAAGGCCAGGAGTTCAAGAGTTCAAGACTAGCCTGGGCAACATAACGAAACCCTGTCTCTACAAAGGAATAAAAAAATTAGGCCTGGTGGTGTGCTTCTGTAGTCCTAGCTACTTGAGAGGCTGAGGCAGAAGGATTGCTTGAGCCCAGGAGTTTGAGGCTGCAGTAAGCCATGATTGTATGACTGTACTCTAGCCTAAGTGACAGAGGGAGACCGTACTCAAAAAAAAAAAAAAAGGAAAAAGTATATGTATTTGTGGTTGATATCTGATACAATTAATATTTTTACAGCTTCCTCAGAGACATTCATAAGTGAAATATCTTTTTGTGAGAGCGCTTGACAGTTGAAGAATACAGTGATTCTTAGCACACTTTGGTTAGTACTGTCTTGATTTGTGCTAAGGACTAATATCTTTACCCACCATTACTTTTGTACTGTCAGTGTAAATGTCAGTACAGTGAAAATGCCACATCTTACTATTAGGATGAAAATAGTTTTGATCTAGGGAATAAAATGTAGCTGTTATGGAGTAAAGCTCTTGACTCTCTCTTAATGTTGATCCTTAAAGGAAACAGACTTCATAGAAAATAGCAGCTGCAAAGCCTGTGGCAGCACTGAAGATGGTAATACTTGTGTAGAAGTAATTGTTACCAATGAAAATACATCATGTACCTGTCCTAGCAGTGGCAATCTTTTGGGGTCCCCTAAAATAAAGAAAGGTAAGTAAATAATTTCTTTTTAAAATGAACTCTTAACTCTATTCTTTCTTACTGTTAAATGTAAGAGCTTTTAGAGATTCTGTGAGCTAGAATTTTAAAACTGCTTTATAGTTCCAAGAATATCATATAATTTAGTCAGATACTTAATATTTCCTTTTTCTTTATGTTCTTTGACTTATTTTTGACAAAAACGAAAAATGGTAAATTCCTAATCATATTTTCATTATTTAATTTACTTTCTACTTAAAAAAAAAATCCTTCATTGGAAATGTTCTACTTTTAATAAGCCATTAATTATGAGATTTTTCTGTGGTCCCCAAAGAGTTCACTCTTTGTCCTAATATACTTATTGGTATGTTAATAGTAACTCTCACTTGATTTATTCTCAGGCTTATCTCCACACTGTAATGGTAGTGATTGTGGATATTCATCTAGCATGGAAGGGAGTGAAACAGGTTCTCGGGAGGGTTCGGATGTTGCCTGCACTGAAGGCATTTGTAATCATGATGAACACGGTAGGCTCACATTAAGTTTCCCAGTTATTTCTACTACATGGCTGACTTAAGAACATAAATAAGAAGGATTATTGATTTCTGCAGGTGATGACTCTTGTGTTCATCACTGTGAAGACAAAGAGGATGATGGTGATAGTTGTGTTGAATGTTGGGCAAATTCTGAAGAGAACGACACAAAAGGAAAAAATAAAAAGAAGAAGAAGAAAAGCAAGATACTGAAATGTGATGAACATGTAAGTGTCATAACTTGTAATTCTTAAACCTTTGCTGTTGAGGACAGAACACGTGTTTTCCTTGGAGTGGCATATGTGCAGCTTAGCTGCTAGGATTTACTTTTTTTAGAATGAGTTCTTTATGCAGTTCCATTGGGTGCTCATCGTGTGAGAGTGTGGGTTGGGGGCAGAGAGAGATGTGATCATTTGTGCAACAGTCCTTGTGAGTCAGAAATTCAATTGTTCTTTTTATACTTTTAAAATTATAAGCTGTGTAATCTTAAACAATTTGTTTAGTCCCTATCATATTAGGTTCTATGAAGGTGAAGTGAATGTATATTGGCAGGTGTGGCATAGTGTCTAGTACATAGTAAGTGCCTGGTAAAATAAAATGAATGCCAGCTGCTACTATTACTTAGTATTCCTTCTAAAGGTTTAATACTATGTCAGGATTTTTTTGAGATGGAGTCTCACTCTGTCGCCTATACTAGAGTACAGTGGCATAATCTTGGCTCACTGCAACCTCTGCCTCCCAGGTTCAAACAATTCTCCTGCCTCAGCTTCCTGAGTAGCTGGGATTACAGGCGCATGCCACCATGGCTGGCTAATTTTTGCATTTTTAGTAGAGATGGCATTTGACCATGTTGGCCAGGCTGGTCTTGAACACTTGACCTCAGGTGATCCACCTGCCTCGGCCTCCCAAAATGTTGAGATTGTAGGCATGAGCCACCGTGCCCCGCTTTTTTTTTTTTTTTTTTAAAGAATAATTGCTATTATATCATGCCTTTTTACCTGTGAAATCCTTTGCTGTGGTATCAGATCCAGAAGCTTGGAAGCTGTATTACAGATCCAGGTAATCGAGAGACCTCAGGAAATACCATGCACACAGTGTTTCACCGTGACAAGACCAAAGATACACATCCTGAAAGCTGTTGCAGCTCTGAAAAGGGTGGGCAGCCATTGCCTTGGTTTGAGCATAGGAAAAATGTACCACAGTTTGCAGAACCTACAGAAACGTTGTTTGGTCCCGATTCCGGAAAAGGTGCCAAGAGCTTAGTTGAACTCCTTGTAAGTATTCCATGTGGTCTTACTGTACATAACTGTTTGGGAACGGGGTGGATGTGGGAGGGGATAGTATTTGAGGGCTTAAGGTAGGTAGTTGAAGGAAGCTTATGAGAAATTAAGGGTAGTATTTCATTATTGTTTGGGGACTTCATTTCTGTCCTTCCACTCGTGGTTTATGCAACTACTCTGGAACACGTTTCCATGGCCGCCTCTGTCTCAGTAGAAGACATTATAGGTATTCCTTGAGTTACAGTGGGGTTACATTCCAATAAACCCATTATAACTCAAAAATACTGCGAGTTGAAAATACATTCAACATCCCAATAAACCCTTTGTAAAGTTAAAAAAAAAAAATCCCAAATAAGGCTGGGTGCAGTGGCTCATGCTTGTAATCCCAGCACTTTGGGAGACCGAGGTGGGTGGATCATGAGGTCAAGAGATCAAGACCATCCTGGCCAATATGATGAAACCCCGTCTCTACTAAAAATACAAAAATTAGCTGGGCATGGTGGCGTGTGCCAGTAGTCCCAGCTACCCGGGAGGCTAAGGCAGGAGAATCACTTGAAGCCAGGAGGCGGAGGTTTCAGTGAGCTGAGATCGTGCCACTGCAGTCCAGCCTGGCGACAGAGTGAGACTTTGTCTCAAAAAAAACCTGAGTAGAACCATTGACCATTGTTAAGTCAGGACCATCTGTAGTTAGGAGAAAGGATAGAGGTAGCATTGTATTCAGTAGTCTGCCTCCTTGAAGTAGGTTACTGTAAGCAAACTTTGCCTTTCTGATTGGCAAGTTATGGTAGCCACCCTTCCATACCAGAAAGAATATACAATTTGAACTAGAGGTTGCTTTCTTCTTTTAGGTGTCATGTAGGGTAAGACTCCAGTCCTGAGACTTTTTACCTGATCCCCAACTGACCCAGTGCGTAGTATAGGTGGCCCTTGGAGGAGGGGAGGAAGAAGAGTGGTGTCCTTTTCATTAGAGTCCTGATGGAACCAAATCCTTCGGAATACTAGCTTTTTTCTTTTTCTTTTTTTTGAGGTGGAGTTTTGCTCTGTTGCCCAGGCTGGAGTGCGATGGTGCGATCTCGGCTAATCGCAACCTCCGCCTCCCAGGTTCAAGCGATTCTCTGGCTTCAGCCTCCCGAGTAGCTGGGACTACAGGCTTGTGCCACCATGCCTGGCTAATTTTGTATTTTTAGTAGAGATGGGTTTCTCCATGTTGGTCAGGCTGGTCTCGAACTCCCAACCTCAGGTGATCTGCCCACCTCAGCCTCCCAAAGTGCTGGGATTACAGGCGTGAGCCACCGCGCCCAGCTAGTTTTTTTCTTTTTTATGGTTGTAAAGTTTAGTTTTAATATTTATTTATTTTTTTTTTTTGAGGAGTCTCGCTCTGTCGCCCAGGCTAGATAGAGTGCAGTGGCACGATCTTGGCTCACTGTAGCCTCTGCCTCCAAGGTTCAAGTGATTCTCCTGCCTCAGCCTCCCAAAATGCTGGGATTACAGGTGTGAGCCACCACCTGTATAAGTTTAATGTTTAAAAGTTTTAATGGTTGTAAAAGTTTACTTCTTAAGTAGAAAATGGTTATCTTTTACTTAGTTTGTAGAGATGACTGTTTCAAGATAGGACTAACTGGAGATACGTCTGGCTACTTAAAATATGGTAACTAGTTGTAACATCTTTAATTAGTTATTTTTTCAAGGCCAAGGTATGGTGGTAGTTTGCTAGGCTCATAGGCTTCTAGGAGAAATTATAGATTCAAGGTTTCAACTCAAGGAGTTGGATTTTATTCTCACTACTTTCTTAGGCAGAATGACATGATGCTTATTCTGCAAACACTCCAATTAAAGGCTTTATGTGACTGATGTGAAACTAAAAAGTTAGACTGGTTTAATTTTTAGCTGTCCTCCTCCATTACATAACATTTTGCATTCTTAAGTCATAGTCTTAACTACTGCTTTAATTTGCAGGATGAGTCTGAATGTACTTCAGATGAGGAAATCTTTATCTCACAAGATGAAATACAGTCATTTATGGCTAATAACCAGTCTTTCTACAGCAATAGAGAACAATACCGACAGCATCTGAAGGAGAAATTTAATAAATACTGCCGGTTAAATGATCACAAGAGGCCCATTTGTAGTGGCTGGTTGACAACGGCTGGAGCAAATTAAATAAATAAAATAGCTCTGTCTTTCAATGAAACACTCACGATGACTACTGCGCCTTCTCTTTCGAAAAACTCTTAATTTAGTGACTTATGGCAAAATTTTATCTTAAATCAATGTGATTCTTTCTTGTTTTGGGAGACGGTGGAGGTATCCTCATTAGTTCTTTCTTCAGGCTTGTGTCTTTAGTTGCGTGGCTGCGCAGGCCTGCCATATGATTTAAGCCATCTCTTTTCATTAAATGTTTCTCTTCCTGTGAGACTTACTAAAGCAACTTAGTGGCAAAAAGTAATGTTGTACTTATAATTCTGTACAGAAATGACAATGAGCTGAATATATGGTTTTACAAAGTAGACATCCACTTGCAAAATGTTTGGATGTAATGTTAAAGCGCAATGTGCAAAATTTAAAATAAAGAATATTTATTAATACGCACAGTAAAATTTGCTGTACATGTTTCTACTTAATATGTGGCAGTACTTTAGTATTTGCCACTTGTGGACTTGATGCTTGGCCAGTGTTGATGTTAGAAAGGATGAAGGACAGAGATACAGATTGTTGAAGACAAAAATCTTCCTTTGATGAGAATTGACAACTGAGAAAAGCAGTTTTCCAGTCTTTTTCTTTTGAGGAGATACTTTAAATACTTGCTACCATCTTACTTTCCCATGAGACTTTAATTGCTATTATTAAAGGTTCCCTAATACATAATACAAAGTACTTCTTAAATTCAGAGGTTCATATTGACCTAGAAGAATAAAAACAAAACTTGGCAGAATTTCAACCAAGGGTTGCCCGATAAGTAATTGCTCAACATGTAAGACTGGGCTCAGAAGGCTGCACTGAGAGCTAACCACATTGTGGGCTGTTTAAATGCATGTGAGGTTCAGCCTTATCTGGTATCCAGTAACAAAGTCACTGTGGTCTTACAGTTTACTCCTGTCACAGCTGTGAGTACTAAAGGAGAGAGTTCCCCCCAGGAGTAGCATTTTGCTGCCATTTAAAAGATCCAGTCAAATAGCTCCGTAGACACATGATGCTTAGAGATTTGTGTCTACATGTTTATAATACTTGGTGGCAGCATAAAATCATGGGACAATCAGTACTTCTGTGCAATGGAGGTGGAGTGAATTTTATGTGCTTTTAATCAGATTTTGAGTTAGATTTCAAGTGGGCAGCAGCAGAAACTTAGATTGAATTTTCATAGTGCCATTTCTTGGATCCACCTCCTGAGTTGTCTTTCAAATCTAAATGTTGTATAGGAATGGGGCAGAGGTAAAAGGACTCCTCTTGGACCCTTTTTGATTTCATCCCAGAATCTAAAAAATGACTGTGGGTCTCCCACAGCCCTTGGCTCAGAGGTGAATCCCCTCTTCACCACTGTTAAGAGTCAAATGTTCTTTTGAGATCCCTAAAAGGAAAGGCTGATTTAGTTTAGTTTTAATCTTTGCCATTGGGGCCAAACACAGGATAGGCAAATGAGTGTTTTTGAATGAATAAACCAGCCACATTCACCGCTTACTCCATTGCTTGCTGGAAGGGAGTCAGGTGGTTATTCAAAGATGCTTTTTCTTTAAGAGAATGGCTATATTAAGTACGCAGTTTTCAGCACTTTTAGTAAAGCGAGCTCTACTCTGAACAAAACCAGCAACCCGAGAAGCGATAATGATGTGAAGACAGTTGAGGAGCACATCCCTGGCGTAAGACTGGACTGCCTGTGGTCCAAACCATGCTTCACCACGTCAGTATACTCATCTTTAAAATTAAGATACTAATATGTGCCATCTCAGCGCGGTTGTGTAGATTAGTTACTATATTTAAAATGCCTGCTACACCATAAGCAGCAAATGTTAGATACTGTTTTAATCTTTGGCATATATCATGATACATTTGCTACAGTGGGGTAGGGGTAAGCGTGGGGGTCTAGGGCAGTTAGACACAGTGGGCCATTTAGGGACAGAATACCCCAGTACACGTGTACTTAGGAGTATTTCAGTTCTCCGTGGCTAGTAAAGCCAAGGGATCAGGTAGGGTGAATGAGTCCTTCCCAAGGTCACCTAGCATTGATGGCGGAGACACTCGGCGTTTTCTGGGCCGAATCCCTTCCCATCAGCCACCGGCGGGTTTGGGAGGGTGTGGAAGAGTGTTGGAGTCACCTTAAGTGCCCTTAATTCCTCATCCTGGCATTAGGGTTCAGGAGTAGAGAAGGGAGACTAAGCGGGACGCTTCAGTATGCGCCCTTGGGGCTGAAGGAACCTCCCCGCTAAACCTCGGTTTCCCTGACCCCAAAGGGCAGCGCTCACTGGGGAAGCGGCGCCGCCAGCTGCCAGGACGCTCCCGCGCAGCCCGGTTTCCCTACGCCGGGGCGGGGCAGAGGGGCGGAAGGGGCGGGGCGGCCGGGCCGCGGCGGCCTCCGACTGGATACGGCGGATCGCCGGGGGCCTGAGGGTGGAGTCCCGGCCGGAGGCAGGCCGGGACTCTGGTGGGTCTAGGCGCGGATCGGACCCAAGCAGGTCGGCGGCGGCGGCAGGAGAGCGGCCGGGCGTCAGCTCCTCGACCCCCGTGTCGGGCTAGTCCAGCGAGGCGGACGGGCGGCGTGGGCCCATGGCCAGGCCCGGCATGGAGCGGTGGCGCGACCGGCTGGCGCTGGTGACGGGGGCCTCGGGGGGCATCGGCGCGGCCGTGGCCCGGGCCCTGGTCCAGCAGGGACTGAAGGTGGTGGGCTGCGCCCGCACTGTGGGCAACATCGAGGTGAGGCCGGGCCGAGGGCGGGGACGTCGCGGGCGGGTCGTTTCCCCGGAGTCGGGTTCACCTGCCCGCCACGCCGGGGCCCTTTGCTCTAGTCGGGGCGGCCTCTCGGATCCCTTAAGGCAGGCTTCTCCCTTCCCCTTAAGTCTCATCTTTGAAGGAGCCGTTTGCCCTGACAGCCCCTGCTCGAGTTACCGAATCTCCGACCCCGGCATCTCCCCACCCGCCCCTCGGGTCTCCCCAGGGTATTGGCCCGAGGAAGGGGAAGCCGGAGGTCGGGGGTGGTGGTCTCGCCCCTGTGGCCTTCTCGCCCCCGGCGGCCAAGTGCCTCTAATCTCCAGAAGTCACCCACCACGCAGGGCAAGGTGGCTGGCCAACCAGATGGGCAGGAGCCAGGACTGAGGTTGGGGTTGGGGTGGGAGCTTTACTGAAGAGCCTCAGCCCCGCCCCCTCACCTCGGGGGTAACTCATGCCCAGTGGCATGAGGAATGAATGGAATATTCATTAGTGGGCCCTCCTCCACTCTCCTGGGGCGAACAGAGTGGGTGAAATCGGGCGGAAACCTTGAGAGGATAAAGCAACCTGGAACTCCTTACTCTGCTCTTGACGTGGGGTTGGGAGCCCTCAGAGCTCAGAGAAAAATCAAGATGGCCATTTTGGAGCAGGGAGGAATTTCTGTGCTAGGCTCTCTCTGGATGTGCCCTGTAAGCTCATTCTCAGTGTCGGGCTAGTGCTTAGCTGCAGGGCTTTATCTCCACCGTGCTCAAAGTCCTCAGGCAGGGAAAGGGTAAGGAGGCCTTGGGTGGGGGCAGAGGGAGAAGGTATACAGGAAGGAGGACTGTCCCCTCCCCTGCTGCTGACCAAAGGTATGCTTTATAACCCAGATAATCCCAAGGTCACCTGGCTCCATCACTGCCCCACTCTTTCCTCCCTTTATCCTATTCTGAGGAGCTCAGGACCCAGCCCCAGCCTTGGAGCCCAGAGGATCAGGCCAGGGATTAAACAACTGGATTCTGTAATTCTGAAGCCACTCTTGCCTTCTCACCTACTCCCCTACCGCAAGCTAGCCAGGAAGGGGGGGCCTGAGCCCCAAGGGGATCCCCAGGCTGATCACTCAGTCCCAGGGTGACTCCATGTCTGAGAGGAGAATGCCCCTGTTGTGAGGGGGTGACATGATGTTGTAGATCATTACTGAGGGGAGGTAGGGAGATCAGGTGGCACAGGTGGGGCAACAGGAAGGCAGTGACAGGGAGAAATACATTCTGAGCTCATCCCTTCTGGTTTTCTTGTGGCAGGAATTTTGAGTCTAGAGGAGGAAGCGGGAAGATGTACACCAGGGGAGGGGAAAGCTGCAGTCTTCCTTGCCCACAGTCTGCTTTGATTGATTCAGTCATTGATGTTAAAGCAGAATTTGGGTTCTAGCTTCCTACAGAGAAAACTCCTGTTTCCTGAAGTGATCAAATGTGGGTAAAATCTGGTGAAGGGGGGTTTCTGATTCTCAGAGGACTATACCTTTTGAACTCACAGAAAGTCAAAGCAGAAAAGAATGTCCCAAGACACCCGATCCTGTCCTTTATTCCTGGCTCAGCTTGGGAGGAGGAAGGGGCTCCAGGCCAGGGCAGCTGGCCAAGCTGGCCTTCCTCTAGGGCACCGCACGCCCCTTCCCCCTCGCCCACGTCTACACAGTCACCATCACAAGGCTCAAGTGCCCAGTCACTGGCTTCCAAAGAAGGCCACAGAACGTATTTTCTTCTTGCCTCTGAATGTCAGCTTCCCCCTGGGCTGCCTCTCAGTGGCTCTGCCTTCTCAGGTCTTTCTTGGCATGCTGAGGGCCTGGAGATGCACAGGGGGTGTTCAATGGCACCTGCCACCTGAATTGCCTCATAGTCTCCTGAGAAACCTCAGAGGGGAGGGTGGTGCACCAGGGCTCAGAGAGAAAGAATCTGTCCTGACTTTCTGACCCCTCCTTTAGGTAGGGAGAGAAGATTGGCAGCTGGGCTTGGTTGAAAGGCATGTCTGAGAACTCTGAGCCAGTTGGCTGCAGTTTGCGAGGGGAGGGGAATAGTTCAGAGATGAGGGACTGGCTGACACAATGCAGAAGAAGCTGGGTTAACCAGCCCAGTGACTCTCGGGACTGGTGTAGAAGCATGAAGTGGTGGAGAGGCGCATATTACCTATGGGCAGAAGAGGTGTTCCTGTTGAGGAAGAGGCAGAAAAGAGAGAGCACTCCATTCTCTAGGTCCCTGGCCCCTGTTCCACCCAGGACTTGAGTTTATTTATTTATTTATTTATTTATTTGAGACACAGTCTTGCTCTGTCACCCAGGCTGGAGTGCAGTGGCGTGATCTCAGCTCCTGCAACCTCCGCCTCCTGGGTTCAAGTGATTCTTGTGCCTCAGCCTCCCAAGTAGCCACCACACCCAGCTAATTTTTGTATTTTCAGTAGAGATAGGGTTCCACCAAGTTAGCCAAGGCTGGTCTCAAACTCCTGACCTCAACTGGTCCACCCGCCTTGGCCTTCCAAAGTGTTGGGATTACAGGCATGAGCCACCACGCCCAGCCAGGACTTGAGTTTATAGTGAGGTTTCTCCATTGATAACAGCCTTTTCCCTTCATCACTCGGGGAGCACTGTCATCCCTTAGACTTTGACCAAAGAGGACAGACTTAGGGGATGGGCAGTCCAACATCTTCGTGGCTGAAAGTCAGCTGCCAAAGGAGCATGTTTTATGAGTGTGACGGGGGTCGGGGTCTGAGGCTGGCTAGGGAGCCGTGGGAGTGAGCTGCTCACCCCAGTCAGACCCCTGTTGGGTTTCATAGGAGCTGGCTGCTGAATGTAAGAGTGCAGGCTACCCCGGGACTTTGATCCCCTACAGATGTGACCTATCAAATGAAGAGGACATCCTCTCCATGTTCTCAGCTATCCGTTCTCAGCACAGCGGTGTAGACATCTGCATCAACAATGCTGGCTTGGCCCGGCCTGACACCCTGCTCTCAGGCAGCACCAGTGGTTGGAAGGACATGTTCAATGTAAGAGCTCCAAGCCTCCATCTTCCAGGTGGAGGGTGGGGAGGAGAGAGGGGAGCCAGGGGTTTGTGAACCAGAGTGCTGCTGGGGACGGGACATCTAGGAAGAGGGAGCTTCGGGTTCCCACCTGGGGCATCTTGACTCTCTCTTGGCTTCTTGCCCTACCAGAGGGATAGAGAGTGGATGAATGGCCATATCAGCTCTTCTCTTCTTTGAGCCCCTGGAGGTAGTTCTTTTTTTTTTTTTTTTTTTTTTTTTTTGAGATAGAGTCTTGCTTTGTCACCCAGGCTGGAGTGCAGTGGCATGATCTCTGCTCACTGCAACTTCCGCTTCCCAGGTTCAAACGATTCTCCTGCTTGAGCCTCCTGAGTAGCTGGAATTACAGGCACCCATCATCAATGCCCATCTAATTTTTTTGTATTTTTAGTAGAGACAGGGTTTCACCTTGTTGGCCAGGCTGGTCTCAAACTCCTGATCTCAGGTGATCTGCCCATGTTGGCCTCCCAACGTGCTGGGATTACAGGCATGAGCCACCACGCCCGACCTGAAGGTAGTTCTTAAAGTCTAGAGTGATTTCCTTGTGTTAGAAGAAAGATTGTTAGGGGAGAGAACTGCTGCCTGTTGAATGTTTCCCACTTGTCAGTCCTGTGCCTGGGTGCTTGGGAACGTGATGTTATGGGAAGAAAAGGAAGAGAGAGACAAGTGATGATATTCTTACCTAGCCTCACTAGTAACTATGTGACTTTAGGCAGGTTGGTTACCTTCCTTGAGCTTCAGTCTTGTCACAATTAATTGGGATGAACACACCTCTATCATCAATATCTGGGGTCACAGCTCCAATGTCCCCTGGGGCCAGGTAGGTACATAAAGGAGTGAGGGAGGTTAGGAGGGGTCTGTGGTGTGTGAGGAAGCACACAGCCACTGCTCAAATCCTGCATAGTTGCTCTATGGTGGTGTGGGCCCAGTGTGGCCTGATTTGATGAAATTTTTTTTTTTTTTGAGGCGAAGTCTTGCTCTGTAGTTACCAGGCTGGAGTGCAGTGGCGTGATCTTGGCTCACTGCAACCTCCGCCTTCTGGGTTCAAGCTATTCTCCTGCCTCAGCCTCCTGAGTAGCTGGGACTACAGGCGGGCACCACCATGCCCAGCTAATTTTTTTTGTATTTAGTAGAGATGGGGTTTCATCATGTTGGCCAGGATGGTCTGTATCGCCTAACCTCGTGATCCGCCTGCCTTGGTCTCCCAGAGTGCTGGGATTACAGGTGTGAGCCACCACGCCCAGCTGATCTTATGATTTCTTTGAGAGAAGTGGGGAGTCTGATTTTATGTGACACCCCCCCACTCCCATTCACTAAAATGACAGCTCCATGAGGGCAAGTATTTTATCTGTTTTATTCTCTGGTATGGCTTGATCCCATAAGCACTGAAAAGATAGTTATTGAATAAATGAAACTTTCCAGTACATGTTGGAAGGGTTTTTAAAATGTTTTGAAACTGTGCACAGGCCAAACCCAACTTTCAGGACATGGGTTTTCAACTTCTGGATGGTATGATGGGGTGATAGTAGGGTATAAAAGTATCCTGAGAAGTTGAAAGCAGTGTGTGAATGGGGTGTTCTTTTCTCCCCACAATCCTTTCCCATCTGCTGACAGTAGACTTAGCACCTCACAGATGCTTGGGCCTGGAAATGAAGCCATGAAAATGAAGCCCTCAGCCTTCTTGGAGATCAGAGCCATGGTCCTCACCCACAGCACATGGGTCTCTAAACCTGGACCTCAACTCGCCCATCTGTAAAATGAGGGACTTACATTAAATTCCTACAGCTCCTTTCAGCTTGAACATTATCTGAGTCTATTAGGATCATCCTATGAGGCATCTTCTCTTTCCCTGCCCCTGATACCCTAGACCTGGGAGATTTACTCACCTGGTCCCAGGGGATCTATTTCTCCCACTCTACCTGCCAGGGGCTGAGTTCTCTGCCTCACAAGCCCACATTGCCAAGAAGATGAGAAACACGGCTGGAAACCTCCCTGTCCTGGCACCCATCTCTTCCTACTGCCATGAACACCAAGACAGGTTCACACCAAAGGTGTTCTGTTCCTCATGGCAGGCTCTGCCACCTGATTAAGAGAAACATCTAATCTCCTGCTGGTTCCCTCTCTTCTTAAGAGGAGAGGCCTGAGGACCTGCTGAAAGCTTTATCTCTGCTTGTCCTCCGGGTGAGGCTAATGAGTGGGGCCAACGGGTGGGGCAGTGTAGGCGCTTTACAGCAGACACGCCTTCAGACCTCTGTTCCCTGAAGGGTGGGGATGTGGGGGTCACCTCTGCCAGAGGGAGTAGGAGTGGCAAGTTACCTGACCCTCTAGAGTCTCCGTGCCTAGTCTTGTAGATGGAACCCACGTTAAAGGAAGGCATAGAAAGGAGGGTCAGGCCTTCTCTTCTCCACTCATCTCAAGGGAGGGGATGGGGAAGGAGCAGAGAGTAGCTGAGGAAGGTAGGGAGAGGCTAGGCTGTGTGCCGGAGGAGAGAGATTTGTAAGCCATTTTGGTAAGGATTTTGAGCAGTTTAGGAGGGAGCAGGGCCAGAGACTGTCACAGAGAAGAGAAGAGTAGGGTATTTGGGGGAAGAAATGGAAATGATTCCCTATGGAATTAGAGGGTCTGTGCTACTGTTCATAGAGGAGATGGCCAAGACAGAGTCTCCTGGGTCAGGAGTGGGTTTGAAGGGTTTCCATTCTTGTTTGCAGGAACTTGGGGGGTCAGCCAGGTGAGGAGCTACCTCTGTTATCAACTGGGGGTTGCGGCTTTAGGGAGAGGGGCATCTCGTGTAGAAGACAAGATGCTCTGTGCCTGTGGCTGGTCTCCGGGGGGACCTGGACACTGTTTTGGAATGCCACACTGCCCCCTTCCCCCCTAGCATTCTGTGGCTCCATCACTTGCTCAGTTGGGCCGGAGTGGAGACACCTCATTGCCCTCCCTGGCCTGCAGGTGAACGTGCTGGCCCTCAGCATCTGCACACGGGAAGCCTACCAGTCCATGAAGGAGCGGAATGTGGACGATGGGCACATCATTAACATCAATAGGTGAGGGCAGGTGGCCAATGGGTACCACTCACCCACCAGGCTGGGTAATGTGCTGCAGCTCACCTGACCTCTTTGGACCTCAGTTTCCTTGGTGGGAAAATACAGATTTAATACCTGAATGGCACAATTATGGTGAGGGAAAGAATAATGTTGTCAAGTACCAGCCCCTGGTTGGCTGGAATGGGCAGCTTAGCCCCTTCCCTCTACAGCTGAAGCCTGGGGCCTCTCCTGGGACTAAGTGCCTCGATTCCTCAGGCCTGGGGATGAACCCCACCTCATGGCACAAAGAGTACTATGTACAGTGTCTGCCACTGGGGAGCCCCAGTCTGAGGGGGGACATGGCCTCTGCCTGCCTTGAGATGTCCCAATAGAACCGTATCAGTGAACATACAGATTAGATGGAGAGAATTCTGACATTCTGCACCACCAGGAGAGTGCATTCTGTCGTCAGCTTAGGGATGAGTTCCAGGAAAAGGAGGGTTTTCCAAAGCTGTTTGAATAACCAAAATTAGATTAGTGAGCTGTAGGATGGCCAGTAGAGGTCCCCTTTAGAAGTCTTCCCGATGGGCATCTGGGTGGTGGGGCTGACCGGGTACGGCAGGAGCACCACTGGTCTCCCTGGAACTTCATTCTCTCCTCTTTCCCCTTCCTCTCCCCACCCAGCATGTCTGGCCACCGAGTGTTACCCCTGTCTGTGACCCACTTCTATAGTGCCACCAAGTATGCCGTCACTGCGCTGACAGAGGGACTGAGGCAAGAGCTTCGGGAGGCCCAGACCCACATCCGAGCCACGGTGAGGCTGTGGCCTAGCCCTGGTGGGCACAGGGTGGCGCAGGCCCTCCCCACCCACACACACCGTTCAGGAAGCCCATGTTCAGAATGTGCCGCTCAGAGCTCCTGGGAGTGGACTGGGCACAGAACTGGGTGCTGCTGCTCCAGGCATGGCCCTATGCAGCCCTTCATTTCCTCATTTCACTGATCCAGGAGCCAACGACCAGACTTAGACTTTGAGCTGGGAGGGGGCTGACCTGAGGGAAAGCAAGGGACTGTGGGAAACCAGGTGCACAGTGGCTGGAAACCGGGACTCTGGGCTCTTCTCTTGAAGGCCGCATGATCGTGAGCGAGTCACTGAACCTCCCTAAGCCTCGGCCTTCTCACTTGTGAAAAGGAGATGATGAGCTTTTCAGGGACACTTTTTTGTAAAACGTTTACCTGACATATAGGAAAGGCTCTGTAGATGGTAGGTATCATTGTGGTCACTGCCAGTGGCAGCTTCGGAGGGAGGAGGCCGCTGCCGGATATCAGGCAGCCATCACTGTGAAGCTGGGGTTCTGTGGCCTCCATCCTCTCCCCTCGACCTCCCCAAGACCTGGCAAAGCTCAGCCCCTGAGAAGGCCCTCTCTGTTGGCCCAGTGCATCTCTCCAGGTGTGGTGGAGACACAATTCGCCTTCAAACTCCACGACAAGGACCCTGAGAAGGCAGCTGCCACCTATGAGCAAATGAAGGTGGGGCCTCCCTCTGAGCCTGGTGAAGCCACTGACTCCCTAAATGAAGGCAGAGGGAAGCTCGGCCTTCAGACTCCACTCTTCCAGCCTTTGTGGCTCCTCCTGGAGGGTTGGGGTGGATGTGTGGATGCCACAGAGAAGCTCAGTGGTGGGAGGGAATTTGAGTCCATTCTGTCCTTGTCTCAACCCATTCCCCTGGTGCTCTCAGTGTCTCAAACCCGAGGATGTGGCCGAGGCTGTTATCTACGTCCTCAGCACCCCCGCACACATCCAGGTGAGTCTGGCCCTGACTGTCTACTCACTGGAGGAACCCAACCAGCCCCAGAGGAGGGGAGCAGGGAGCCCTGCAGGGCCAGGGGAGAGTGTCACAGCTGCCTCATGCCTTGTACCTTCCACAGATTGGAGACATCCAGATGAGGCCCACGGAGCAGGTGACCTAGTGACTGTGGGAGCTCCTCCTTCCCTCCCCACCCTTCATGGCTTGCCTCCTGCCTCTGGATTTTAGGTGTTGATTTCTGGATCACGGGATACCACTTCCTGTCCACACCCCGACCAGGGGCTAGAAAATTTGTTTGAGATTTTTATATCATCTTGTCAAATTGCTTCAGTTGTAAATGTGAAAAATGGGCTGGGGAAAGGAGGTGGTGTCCCTAATTGTTTTACTTGTTAACTTGTTCTTGTGCCCCTGGGCACTTGGCCTTTGTCTGCTCTCAGTGTCTTCCCTTTGACATGGGAAAGGAGTTGTGGCCAAAATCCCCATCTTCTTGCACCTCAACGTCTGTGGCTCAGGGCTGGGGTGGCAGAGGGAGGCCTTCACCTTATATCTGTGTTGTTATCCAGGGCTCCAGACTTCCTCCTCTGCCTGCCCCACTGCACCCTCTCCCCCTTATCTATCTCCTTCTCGGCTCCCCAGCCCAGTCTTGGCTTCTTGTCCCCTCCTGGGGTCATCCCTCCACTCTGACTCTGACTATGGCAGCAGAACACCAGGGCCTGGCCCAGTGGATTTCATGGTGATCATTAAAAAAGAAAAATCGCAACCAATCTGCCTTGGCTTCAGGAGTGTCTTTCCATTCTTTCCCCTTCTCTGTGATCAGGGGTGCTTGTGTCTCAGAATTTCTTCCAGGTAGGTCCCAGGTGGGTGGATTGGGGGCCTCACTCATGGGAGTATGGATTACCTTAGGTAGCAGGAATGGGTTTGTTTGGGCCTTGAAAACATGTAGGAGTTTGACAAAGCGAAGACAGGTGTGCAAGGCTGAGAGGTCTGGAAGAGCATGCAGTGCTGTGCGAACAGCTCAGAACTTAAGCACAGGAGCAAGGAGCCAGATGGGGCTGAAGAGGCAGCTCCTTCCTGCCTTCCTGGATCGCTGGGGGGCTGAGTGCTGCGCAAGAGTCTCGCCATTACCTGTGGGACGGGGGCGTTAGTGAGCTTGTCAGCAGGAACACGACAGGCTCAGAGTCACTTAGGAAGAGAATCAGCGGCCCGGGATAGGAAGTGACTGTTGGGGTCCTGCTGGCTGGTGATGGGCTAGTGAGAAGTTCTGGGAAAAATCACCAGCGCCGGGATGTGGGGAGGGAGGCAACAAGACTGAATTGGTTGACCAGGAAGGCCAACCCATCTCCTTAAAGGGCCCTTCACTGGTGCGTGGGTGAATGCGGTCCCCGGCCTCCTGGGACCTCGAGGAACACAGGACGCAGCCGGTAGTACGGCCAGCTCAGCTCGCCGCTCCTCTAGCCTTGAGGGAGGCGCTGTGGGGGACAGCCTGGCAGCCACGCATGCGCAAAACACCGTCAGGAAGGGGCCGGGGAGGGGCGGGCTCCCGAACCCGGAAGCGAGGGACCCACGTGGGAGCCTGGGAGCGGGTGGTCGTAGCTCGGTAGTCCAGTTGTGGGTAATCGGGGCTGTTTGTTCCTGTCCGAGAGAGCTCGGCGGAGACGGCTGTCGAGTACCCTTCACCTCGGTGTTGGGAGCCTGGGAGCGAACTGCGGCGCGGGTTACCGCTCCCGGGGACGCAGCAAGGGGCATCGAGTCCCTGGCGGGAGCTGCGCCATGGCATTGCTCTCGACCGTCCGGGGCGCGACCTGGGGTCGCCTCGTCACCCGTCATTTCTCCCATGCAGCGCGGCATGGGGAGCGGCCTGGTGGGGAGGAGCTAAGCCGCTTGCTGCTGGATGACCTGGTGCCGACCTCTCGGCTGGAGCTTCTGTTTGGCATGACCCCGTGTCTCCTGGCTCTGCAGGCCGCCCGCCGCTCTGTGGCCCGGCTCCTGCTCCAGGCGGGTAAAGCTGGGCTGCAGGGGAAGCGGGCCGAGCTGCTCCGGATGGCCGAGGCGCGGGACATTCCAGTTCTGCGGCCCAGACGGCAGAAACTGGACACAATGTGCCGCTACCAGGTCCACCAGGGTGTCTGCATGGAGGTGAGCCCGCTGCGGCCCCGGCCTTGGAGAGAGGCCGGGGAGGCGAGCCCAGGCGACGACCCCCAGCAGTTGTGGCTCGTCCTCGATGGGATCCAGGATCCCCGGAATTTTGGGGCTGTGCTGCGTTCCGCACACTTCCTCGGAGTGGATAAGGTCATCACCAGCCGGAGAAACAGGCACGGACGTCCCTCATTCTCTATGTGCCCCAACTTGGAGACGCAGCCGAGTTCCTAAGCACCTTGGCCCTTGGGTGATCCCTTAGCCAGACTTACCTGTCCCAGAACTCTCATCCCCCTAGCCCTTGGGAGCCCTGGGAGGGTAGGGAGCCGGGCTTGAGATGGCCCAGCCTAATGCGGGGAACGGGGAAACCTTGCAGCTGCCCGCTCACTCCAGTAGTCAGCAAGTCCAGCGCGGGGGCTATGGAGGTGATGGACGTGTTCTCCACTGATGACCTCACCGGATTTTTACAGGTAATGAGGGGCAAGAGGGGAAGGAACAGATGTGAGCCCAGCTCAGCCTCTTCAAGGGGACGAAGCTAGCCCCTGGCGAGGGAGAGAAAGGGGCATGTTGGCACCGCTTCCTTTGGCCTTCTAAATCCCTCTGGGGATGGAAGGGTCCTGGAGTTTTTAAAACGGCAAATGGAGCATTAGCTGAATTCTTCCTAGCGTTATACCCTTTCCTGCACCCCTTCCCCAGGTATGCACCACTTTGCCTCTTCTGTAAGTCAGCCTCAGTGTCTATTTGCCTACTAGGTCGGGCTTCAGTAAATGCATTTTGTTCAGCTGTGGGGAGCTGCGTACAGGAGACCTGAGTTCCTCGAATAGGGCACAGCTTGAAAGGATGTTTGAACAAGAAGATCTTTATGCCATTAGTATCTAGCAAGAGACAAACCTTGGAAACCCCTCTCCCATCCGTTTGTCTTCAGCTGTGCTTCCCTTGCTGGACACAAGGAGGCAGTATTGCTCTGCATATGGAATCCCCTCTGACCATACCCCCCCCAACCCCCACCCCAACTGCAGGGTGAGAAATTTCCCTCTTAAGAAGGGGGAGAGCTCTGGGACCTGTCTAGAACAACGCTGTCCAATAAAAATATGGTGTGAGAAACATAGGTAGTTTTAGCTTTTCTAGTAGCCACATTGAAAAGTAAAGAGATGACATTTTAAATAAATTGTGTCCAGTATATCCAAAATAATATCAATTTAACATGTAATCATTTTAATTATTATTAATATTATTAATTTTTTGAGAGAGTTTCATTCTTATTGCCCAAGCTGGAGTGCAGTGGTGCAATATTGGCTCACTGCAACCTCTGCCTCCTGGGTTCAAGTGATTCTCCTGCTTCAGCCTTCCAAGTAACTGGGATTATAGGCACACACCATGCCCAGCTAATTTTTTTTTTTTGTATTTAGATGGGGTTTCACTATGTTGGTCCGGCTGTTCTTGAACTCGTGACCTTAAGCGATCCACTCGCCTCGGCCTCCCAAAGTGCTGGGATTATAGGCATGAGCCACCGCACCTGGCCTTTAAAAAATATTATTAATGAAATATTTTACATTCCTTTAAAAAATGTTTTACATACAACACACCTCGATTTGAATTAGCCACCTTTCAATTGCTTAATAGCCACATGTAGCTAGTGGCTACTATATTGAACAGCACATATCTAGAAGCATTTTTTGGCTTCACTTTTTTGTAGAGAGCCCCTTTCTCCAAGCCTGATAGGAGATGAGGTTCCCACTCATCACTTCCAGCCCCTGAACAGGTAGCTTCTGAAAACACAGAAACACTGCAGAACATCCACTTAAGCTCCAGGCATCACATCTCCCTACTGTCATCAGCATCTGACCTGGAGAGTGTCATCCGCCTGTTGCTGTGGAAGAGCTGGAGGTGCCCCAAGCAGGGGCCTGTGCTGGGGCCCCATCCCTTCCTGCGTACTCAGAGACACTGCTGTAGCAATTTTCCTCCTCTTCCTGCAGCATCCACTTTTCTCTTACACTCTCTTCAGCATGCAAGCAAACATTCCCCTCTCACGCTCTTGATCTCACACCAGTCAGCTCTTCCTCTCACACTGAATCAAAGGCTTCATCAAGGTCACCAGTGGCCTCCATGTTGCTGCATTCCAGGGTCTGTTCTCAATTCTTTTCTGACTTGACCCATCTGCAGCAGCTGGCACAGTTGACCACTCCTTCCTCCTTGAAACACTATACCTGCTTTCCTTCTGCTTCACCATGTCCTCTCTGAGAGACATTTTTAGTGGTTCTTCCTCAACCCCCTGACTTCCGAGCATTAGCATTTCCCAGATTTTAGTCCTCGGATCTCTTTTGTTGTTGTTGTTAAGAGATGGGGTCAGCTGGGCACAATGGCTCACGCATGTAATCCCAGCACTTTGGGAGGCTGAGGCAGGCAGATCATGAGGTCAGGAGATCAAGACCATCCTGGCTAACACGGTGAAACACCATCTCTACTAAAAATACAAAAAATTAGCTGGGTGTGGTGGTTCGTGCCTGTAGTCCCAGCTACTCGGGAGGCGGAGGTAGGAGAATCGCTTGAACCCGGGAGGTGGAGGTGGTAGTGAGCCGAGATTGTGCCACTGCACTCCAGCCTGAGTGACAGAGTGACGTGTCAAAAAAAAAAAAGAGATGAGGTCTTGGCCGGGAGCGGTTGTTAAGAGATGGGGTCTTGGCCAGGCACGGTGGCTCACGCCTATAATCCTAGAACTTTGGGAGGCTGAGGCAGGTGGATCACCTGAGGTCAGGAGTTCGAGACCAACCTGGCCAAAATGGTGAAACCCTGTCTCTACTAAAAATACAAAAATTACCTGGGCATGGTGGCGGGCACTTGTAATCCCAGCTGCTCGGGAGGCTGAGGCAGAAGAGTTGCTTGAATCCAGGAGGCGGAGGTTGCAGTGAGCCGAGATCACAGCGTTGCACTCCAGCCTGGGCAATAAGAGTGAAACTCTATCTCAAAAAAAAAAAAAAGAGAGAGAGAGAGAGAGAGAGATGGGGTCTTGCTGTGTTGCCCAGCCTGGAGTCCAGTGGCACAATCACAGCTCAGTATAGCCTCCGAATTCCTGGGCTCAAGCCATCCTCCCACCTCAGCCTCCTGAGTAGTTGGAGATACAGGTGCACACCATCTCACCTAATTTTTTTCTTTCTTTTTTCTTTTTCTTTTTTTTTTTGTAGAGATGAGGTCTCACTTTGTTGCCCAGGCTGGTCTCAAACTCCTGGCTTCAA
Source organism: Homo sapiens (assembly GCF_000001405.40). Lineage (NCBI taxonomy): Eukaryota > Metazoa > Chordata > Mammalia > Primates > Hominidae > Homo > Homo sapiens. The sequence goes on from NC_000017.11 coordinate 36,605,410, forward strand.
GAAGTCCTCCTGCCTTAGCCTCCCAAAATGCTGGGATTACAGGCGTGAGCCACCTCACCTGGTCCTGGATCTCTTTTCTGTATATGTTCATTTCTTGTTGGTCTCATCTAGTCTCATGGCTTTAAATACTATCTGAATTCAAATTCCCGCCCAAGTGTATACTCCAGCCTGGACCTTGGTTCTGAATTCCAGATTCACTCATCTAGTTGCCTACTGCACAGTTGTTGTTATTGTTGTTGTTGTTTTGCTGTCAGGCGGGCATTTCAAACCTAACATTTCTAAAACTGAGCGCTTGTTCCTTCTGGAGCAACTCCATCCCTTTGGTTGTTTAGGTCAAAAACCTTGGCATCATCCTTAACTAAAGTTATTTCCGTATTATCACCATTTCTGCCTGTTTCCACTGCTACCACTCTGGCCCAAGCAAGTCACCATCATCTGTTGACCGTTATTGCAGAAACTTCCCACCTGGCCTCCTTTCTTCTGCTCTTGGCTCTCAGCACAGCAGGCAGAGTGATTCTGTTGAAGTCATACCATGTTACTTCTCTGCTCAAAACCTTTCAAAGCCTCTGTACCGCTCAGATTCAAAGGCAGAGTCCTTCCAGTAGCCCTGGAGACCATACCTCATGTGGCTCTTGTTCCTTCTTCTGTCTTGACGCCTCTCTTCCCACTGGCCACCTTACTGTTCTCAAACATGCCAGGGAGGCACCTGCCTCTGTGCTTGCTGATCTCTCTGCCTAGAATGTTCTTGCCCCAGATGTCTGCACGGTGCTCCTCCTTCTCCTTCAGGTCTGCACTCAAATGTCACCTCAGTGAGTCCATCCCCACCTGCCCTTCCACAAGGCTGGGATTTTGGTCTGTTTTGTTTTGTTCAGTGCCCTGTCCTCAGTGCCTAGAACAGAGCCCATGCTAGGTGCTTAATAACTATTGACTAATTGACTGGATCAGCAGATAAATGAATGTATGGGCAAGGCTGGGCTCTTCCTTGGCCAGGGCTCTGATGGATAATTTTTTTTTTTTTTTTTGAGATGGGGGTCTCACTCTGTCACCCAAGCAGGAGTGCAGTGGCGCAATCTTAGCTCGCTGCAATGTCTGCCTCCTGGTCTCAAGAGATCCTCGTGTCTCCTGAGTAGCTGGGATTACAGGCTGATTTTTGTATTTTTAGTAGAGACAGAGTTTCACCATGATGCTCAGGCTAGTCTTTTTTTTTTTTTTGAGACAGAGTGGAGTCTCGCTTTGTTGCCCAGGCTGGAGGCAGTGGTGTGCTCTCAGCTCACTGCAACCTCCGCCTCCCGGGTTCAAGCGATTCTCCTCCCTCAGACTCCCAAATAGCTGGGACTACAGGCATGTGCCACCACACCCAGCTAATTTTTTGTGTGTTTTTAGTAGAGACGGAGTTTCACCATGTTAGCCAGGGTGGTCTCAAACTCCTGACCTCAGGTGATCCGCCCGCCTCGGCCTCCCAAAGTGCTGGGATTACAGGCGTGAGCTACTGCGCCTGGTTTTTTGTTTTTTTTTTTAATTTGAGATGGAGTTTCACTCTTGCTGCCCAGGCTGGAGTACAATGGCGCAATCTCGGTTGACTGCAGCCTCTGCCTCCCGAGTTCAAGCGATTCTCCTGCCTCAGCCTCCTGAGTAGCTGGGATTACAGGCATGCACCACCATGCCCGGCTAATTTTGTATTTTTAGTAGAGACGGGGTTTCTCCATGTTGTTCAGACTGGTCTCGAACTCCCAACCTCAGGTGATCCCCCTGCCTTGGCCTCCCAAAGTGCTGGGGATTACAGGCGTGAGCCACCGTGCCTGGGCCAGGCTAGTTTTGAACTCCTGACCTCAGGTAATCTGCCTGCTTCAGCCTCCCAAAGTGCTGGAATTACAGGCTTGAGCCACTGCATACAGCCTCTGATGAAGATTTGATGAATTAGAATAGGAGAGGCAGGCATGGTGGCTGACGCTTGTAATCCTAGCACTCTGGGAGGCCAAGGTGGGAGGATCGCTTGAAGCCAGGAGTTCCAGACCAACCAGGGCAACATGGCAAAACCTCATCTCAAAAAAAAAAATGCAAAAACTAGCCGGGTGGGGTGGCGAGTGCCTGTAGTCCCAGCTACTTGGGAGGCTGAGGTGGGAGGATCACCAGAACCCAGGCGGTTGAGGCTGCGGTGAGCTGTGATCGTGCCACTGCACTCCAGCCTGAGCGAGAGTAAGACCCTATCTCAAAATTAAAATAAAAAAAGAATTAGAACATATCTTCTTCCCCCTTTCAGACCAAAGCCCAGCAGGGCTGGCTCGTGGCCGGCACGGTGGGCTGCCCAAGCACAGAGGATCCCCAGTCCTCCGAGATCCCCATCATGAGTTGCTTGGAGTTCCTCTGGGAACGGCCTACTCTCCTTGTGCTGGGTAGGTGGATGTCCCTGCGTTTGTGCCCAGATTACATTTCCCGAGCAACTGGGTGTCCAGCTGGGCAACCCTAACCCTCAGCCCCACGCCCTGCAGGGAATGAGGGCTCAGGTCTATCCCAGGAGGTGCAGGCCTCCTGCCAGCTTCTCCTCACCATCCTGCCCCGGCGCCAGCTGCCTCCTGGACTTGAGTCCTTGAACGTCTCTGTGGCTGCAGGTGAGTCTACTCCCCTTTCCCTTTCCTCTATCCCTCTAATCACGCAGGTGGGATTTGATGCCCTCTAATCCCATTTGCTGGCTGTTTGTGTGCCTCAGTTGCTTTATGTACAAAATGGGGAAATTACATCCCGTTGATGAGATGAGGGGCTGCCTGAATGTCTAGGTCTCTAAACATCATCCTTCTCCTCCGTCCTCTCTTCCCTTGTCCTTGTGTCTGTGCAGGAATTCTTCTTCACTCCATTTGCAGCCAGAGGAAGGGTTTCCCCACAGAGGGGGAGAGAAGGCAGCTTCTCCAAGACCCCCAAGAACCCTCAGCCAGGTCTGAAGGGCTCAGCATGGCTCAGCACCCAGGGCTGTCTTCAGGCCCAGAGAAAGAGAGGCAAAATGAGGGCTGACGTGGACTGTCCACAGTGTTCATGTGCTGGAGTCAGGGACGGCCGCACCTGCCTCCGCCGGCTCCAGTGTGCGGGGAGCCTCTGCCTGAGTGTGCACCAGGCCCATGTTTATTGACCACAGTCTGGGGGGGGGGGAAGGGGACTGCGGTGGACACCAGAGGAAGCTGTTTCCTGTTGTGATGTTGGACCTGTAGTAGGACATGGTGATTTGTTAATTTCCATGGGAAGCCATGATGGCCTAGCATGGAGGGAATCTGTTCCCAGGCCCTGCCTGGAAGTTGAGGGAAAGTTTAGACATCTGCAGAGAGGCAGGCAGCCCAGCCCAGGGGACCCGTTCCTCTTGAACCAGTCATTGCCTGTGGCAAATGTGTGTATGAGAATGTGGGGGGTGGAGGGCGGGGCCCTGATGTGGAGTAGACAGTGCGCACCTCAGGCCCACACACGGCCCCGCCCTGGGGCCTTGAGCGCAGGCCTCATCTTTCTGTGCCGCGGGACTCCGCACCTACCTCACAGGGTTGTTGTGAGGCTCAAATAAAACATCACTCAGCACGTGGGAGATTCTGGCCAATTCCTCCGTTAGGTGGCAGCCTCGCTCTTCGGTCCAGTCTTCAGGCAGCTTCCACAGCCTCCTTGCGGGGAGACTCCTGGCTGCAGCCCCATGAGAGGCGACGGGAAATTAGCAAACACCTCCCACCCCACGGGGGCCCCCCACGGGTGACTGAGTCAGTTCCCTTCAAGGGGAGGAACTGGGAGCAGGCTTGCCGTTGATTGTACAACCGAGACAGATTTGGCACTCCTCCCCTCGGGTCCCAGGAAAGCAGCAGGAGCCAGCAGTGTGAGGAGCATAGAAGTGTTTCTGTCCTGGTGGCACATTGGAACCACCTGGCATGCTTTAAAAAACCCAACACTGACACCAGAGAGTCTGACATGATGGGTGTGGCGCCACCTGGCATCCGGCTTTCGAAAGCGCCACCATTGGTCTAATGTGCAGCCAAGGCTGAGAATCACCACTAGGGCAGGTGGACTCAAATTCCACACCCTTGACATTTTGGGCCAGATAATTTTTTGTTGTGAGAGCCATCCTGTGCACTGTAGGATGTTTAGCAGAATCCCCGACCTATACGCACTAGATGCCTGTAGCATGACCTCTCATTATGAAACCAGAAATGTCTCCAGACGTTGCCAGATGGCTTCTAAGAGACAAAAATCTCCCCTCCTGGAGCATGGCTTTGGAGGATAGCAACCCCGAACTTGCAATCCTGACTGCTATGTGACCTTGGGGGGGCGCTCCTTACCCACCTGGGCCTCGGTGCCCTCCTGGGCGAAAGGGGAATAATCCTACCTTCCTGGATTGTTGGGAGAATATGGAGGGCAATAGGAACTCACATGTATTAGGTGCTCAATAAATAGTACTCCACTTTTCTCTGGAATCCATCTGCATTGGATTTGTCTCAATTCTAATAATGGCAATGCCAATTTAGAGCAACACTTAAAGTTGTTTAAAAAGGGCCTATGCTCCTTTTTTTTTGAGACAGGGTCTCACTCTGTCGCTCAGGCTGGAGTGCAGTGGCGCGATCTTGGCTCACTGCATCCTCTGCCTCCCAGGTTCAAGTGATTCTCCTGCCTCAGCCTTCCAAGTGGCTGGGACTACAGGCGTGCACCACGCGCAGCTAATTTTTATATTTTTTTTTTGGTAGAGATGGGGTTTCACTGTGTTGGCCAAGCTGGTCTCAAACTCCTGGCCTCAGGTGATCTGCCCTCCTCAGCCTCCCAAAGTGCTGGCATTACAGGTGTGAACCTGGCCTAAAAAGGGCCTAAGATCTTTTTTTTTTTTTGAGACGGAGTCTCGCTCTGTTGCCCAGGCTGGAGTGCAGTGGCGCGATCTCGGCTCACTGAAAGCTCTGCCTTCCGAGTTCATGCCACTCTCTTGCCTCAGCCTCCTGAGTAGCTGGGACTACAGGCGCCCGCCACCAAGCCTGGCTAATTTTTTGTGTTTTTCATAGAGACGGGGTTTCACCGTGTTAGCCAGGATGGTCTCGATCTCCTGACCTCGTGATTCACCTGCCTCGGCCTCCCAATGTGCTGGGATTACAGGCGTGAGCCACTGCGCCCGGCCTAAGATCTTTTTAAAGTCAAAGTTACTCCTCTCAAGAAAGAGGACAGAATTCCTTCATAAACTGCACTGATCAGCTTCTGCCCCCCTTGAGCTCCCTGTCCCTGACTGCCACGCAGGCTCTGACCCATCCCTGCTTCATTCTTGGCCAAGTGCCTAGTGTAGTGATGTTTCACTTTGGCTTGTCATTGGGGTCAAGGAGGAGAATATTTTTAATATTTCAGAAGCCCAGAGGCACCTGACTGATTAAATCAGAATCTCTGGAGAAGGAGCCATGTGTTGGTTTTTATTTTTTCTTTTTTTGAGACGGAGTCTTGCTCTGTTGCCCAGACTGGAGTGCAGTGGCACAATCCCAGCTCACTGCAACCTCTGGCTCCTGGGTTCAAGCGGTTCTCCTGCCTCAGCCTCCCAAGTAGCTGGGATTACAGGTATGTGCCACCACACCCAGCTAAGTTTTGTATTTTTAGTAGAGATGGGGTTTCTCCATGTTGGCCAGGCTGGTCTCAAATTCCCTGACCTCAGGTGATCTGCCCGCCTTGGCCTCCCACAGTGCTGGGATTACAGGCGTGCACTACCATGCCCAGCCGATATTTCTTAAAGCTACTAGTTGATCTCATTGTGTGACCAGGTTCAAGAATCAGTGGCCTTTGAGCCACTCACTCATGTCCAAGAAACTGCTTCCCATGCACACCTGTGCTTTTGAGCTCATGCCTGAAAGTTTAGGTGAGGGTGAGCTTTCATCTGTCCCTCAGGTTCCGGAAGGTGCTCATTCCAGTCCTGGCTCCATGGCTTTCCACTTAGATGGCTTCTCAGCCTCCTCATCTTGGGGATAGTACCATTACTACCAGCCCTATCTACCCCCTTCCTTTTCAACAGAAGTTATAAAAATAAAATGAGAGTATCGGTAAAAGATGTTCTGTAAACCAGAGGACACTGCACCCCAGGACTAGCGCACAATAATACAGACTTTGATGTGGTGGTTAATTTTGTGTATCAACTTGACTGGGCCATGGGTTGCCCAGATGTTTGGTCAAACATTCTGGGTGTTTCTCTGAGGCTGTTTTTGGAAGAGATTAACGTTTACATTGGTAGACTGAGTCAAGCAGACCCCTAATGTGAGTGGGTCTCATCCATTCAGTTGAGGGCCTGAATAGAACAAAAAGTCTGACCTCTCCCAAGTCAGAGAATCCTTCCTACCTTCAGACTAGACCTGAAATATCAGCTCTTCCTGGATCTCAAGCGTGCTGGCCTTTGAATGGAAATGATACCATTGGTTTTCCTGGTGCTCAGGCCTTCAAACTCAGGCTGGAATGAAACCATCAGCTCTCCTGGGCGTCCAGCTTGCTGACTCACCCTGCACGTCTTGAGACTTGCCCGCCTCCATCATTGCATGAGCCAATGCCTTATAATCTCTTGAACACACGCACAGTTGTTTCTGTTTCTCTGGAGAAACCTAATGCAGTTGATGAAAATGAATGTAGGCGTCCCAGTGCTCCCTGCATATGGGATGCAGGGTTCAGCTTGCTCTCTAGAACCAAGCCCAACATGGAATTTAGAAGTTGGAGTAGGGGCTACTTAGGCACCCCACCCCCCACAGACTCCTCCATGGTGGCTGGAACCCGATCTAACCTGCCCTGGACATGCTGTTCATCAGCTTTCCCTGTCCCAGTGGTCTGGGCCATCTAGAAGACTCTCCTGGGCTTAGTCAGGTACAGGGGGCTTCTCCCTGCTTCACTCCCTGGGCAGCAGGCTGGCTGGCCTCTGGGAAGACAGGTTCACTTAAACCAAAGGGGATTGAGGCTTAAATTACAGGCCATACACACACAGGTGTGTGCTAATTTCTGGTATACAGGCAGTCCCCCAACAAAGAGGAAGGGTCTGAGGTCCTAAGGATGAGGAGGATGAGGCCTGATTCTCCTTTAGGCAGCCTCTGGTACCTGGCGCGGTGCCTATACACTGAGTGGACACTGCTCAGCAAGTGTGGGTTAAGTACACGGGAGCTGGGGAGGCTGTGGCTGTGGGTGTGAAGGGGCTGGGTGGGGGTCCATCCCCTGCAGGGCAAAGTTGGAATGAAGTCAGAGGAGAGAGCAGTGGTGGTTAAGAGCAGGAGCCTGGCTGCTAGACAGTGCTTGCTTTGAGTTCCAACTCTGTGGCTTGCTAGAAGTATAAATGTGGACATGTCCCTTAAATTCCAAGCCTCAGTTTTCATCGCCTATAAAATGGGGATGACAGTGGTGTCCACTTCAAAGGATGGTGGTATGGATTGAAAGAGGTCATACATGTAAAACCCTCAGCCCCATGCCTGGAGGAGCATGGTAGCTGCTCCTCAAAGCCTCTAGGGCCAGATTTAGAGGTCAGGGTGCTGGGTTGTGCTTCCCAACCAACCTGGCCTCCGTTTTCCTGTAGGCTCTGGCCCCTTTCATCTGCAGTGCACAATGATTTACCACTGGGAACTGCTGGAGGGAGTTGAGGGAGGAGAGGGGTTGGAATGACATTTGTAGGATCCCCCTTTGTCAGGGCTCCAAGATCCTGAGATGCCGAGATGGAAAGGGTCTAAGAAGAATTGGCAGTGACTTGGTATTCTCGGAGCAGCTAAATCAAGGCTGGCACCCCAGATCCCTGCTGCAGGCCTGGAATATTTTTTTGGCAGGAGGCTAAATTGTCAATCCCCCTCCCCCTAGGTTGGGGTCCTGAATTAGACAGCACACCTCCCACCCCCGCTTTGCCGACACACATACACACACACCACCACTACCACCACCGACTCCTGCAGGGCCAGGTGCCAGGGATCCCCACAGTTTGTAAATGTAATCAACCTTGAGGTTTCTCACTTCCACAGGTGCAATTAGCATGCCCATCTGCTAATCCCTGATTAATGGTGTTTACAAACATGGGGCTCCACTGCAGAGCCGCTCAGCCACTCCCTCCTGGGGTTTTGAGGCAGGGGTCTTCCCTGCAACCTCTCCCCACTTCTTCAGGCCTCCTCCCCAGCCAGAACCCCTCTGCCTCCCCTTCCCCAGGCAGTGAACAGAGCTAGAGGTCCCTCCTCCTCCTTCCCCGAGCTTCCTGGCCCCTTCTCAGTGTACACATGTGGAAGCGGAGAGCAGGGAAAGCAGACAGGGAGGCTTGGCGGCAAGGCCAGGATCCTACTCATCCCTGTCCCACCGACTCAGTCTACCAGTGTCTTTCTTCCCAATTCTGAACTTCAAGGATGTGTACTGGGCGCGCTGCCTTTATTCACCACTCAGCTGCAGCCCTGAGGCCACACAAACATGTCCCCCTGCAGGAGTTCTCGGTGGGTCAGAAGTCCGGTACCAAAAGCAGGATGTCAGACAGTGCCGGCTCCACATGTGGGCCCTACCTTAGGCAAGTCACTTACCCTGATTGAGCCTCAGTTTCTTAATCTGCAAAATGGAGATAAGAATACTACCTACCATGTAGGCTTAAGGTTTGTATGTGAGGATTAATGATGGGATACATGAAAAAGACTTAGCACAGTGCCCGGGACACAGTAGGTGTTCAATAAATGTGAGCTTTTCAATGCGATGATGACGATGACAATGATGACGATGATGATGAAAAGAGGCTTTTGAAGCTAAAAAAAAATGCCCAAGAACGCCTCCTCCTCCCCTCACCCTGCTCTCTGGGGGGAAGGGCAAGTCCCAGCTCATTACTGGTGGGGGCTGCGTAGGGGGAGGTGTCAGATTGGAATCACTCCTGGGTCTGTTTGCAGCTTCCCTGTTTCATTAACACCTCCCTAGTGGTCTTCAGCTCATCCTGCTGGGGGAGGTGCTCCAGAAAGTTCTAACGGCCTCCTACCCAGCCCAGAGCTCAGTGCCTCTCACTTCTGGGCCTGTGCGCCAGGTGACATAGAGGCAGTTTTATGTTGGCCGCTGACCAGAGGTTGTCACTGTCCCCCTCTCCTGAGGGTCCTGGAAACCTGGTCAGGGGACGAAGCACCTGGAGCGGATCCTTCCTTTTATCCTCTTCCCTCAACCTCTAATCCATAGGTTTTAATCCCCCATCTCCTGGGCACCCCAACATGGCCACTTTCCCTTCCTTCAGAATCCCCCTGTGAACAGGGCGCAGTCTCAGGTTCCCATCCCACCCATCTCTTGCTAGCTGGATGCCCAAGGCAAGATGCTTGTCCTCTAGGACATTTAGTTGTCTCTTCTGTAAAATGAGGATGTCATACCTCACAGGGGGTTAGCACAGTGCCCAGTAAATTGTAAACTCTCAATAATTGTAGTTATTTTATGGGCAAATAAAATATTTATTTGCTCAAATATTGTAGTTATTTTATGGGCAAAACAACTGCTCTCAAAACTATGTTCTTAAATCGCAGAACTGTATGTAGCCCATTGGGGGTGGGTGGAAGGGGAGCAGGGCCAGAGCCCTGAGGACCATTAGCACCTCCAGAGAAGCTGGAAAGGGCTCGAGCTCTGCCTCCCAGTTAATTGGCTCAGCTCCTTCCCCAGATTGGGAAAGGGAGAGGGGCTGCTCTTTGAATCAGGACCAGGAGATTTCTACCTCAGGCTCTGCAAAGGCTGCTTTGAAACAGGACTCCTCCTGACTGCACTCCAAGGATTTTTATGGAAATGCCTGTCCTTCGCCCCTGCCATGTGCCCTCTCGGTCACAGTATTCCATTTCAGAGGACACCCTTCACCAGCTGCTGTGGGCCGGGGAGGAGGGGCTGGGCCTGTCTTTCTCCTGCCCTCTCTGCAGTCTGGCCCTTCTCCCCCTTCGGGCTCCAGCTTTCTTGGTAAGGTTTGTAGGCATCAGAAGGGAGATTCCATGAGAAGCAGTACCTTTGTGGTTTATCTGCAACCTGAGAAAAAAATCCATGGGCTGGCGGGCGCGGTGGCTCATGCCTGTAATCTCAGCGCTTTGGGAGGCCGAGGTGGGCGAATCATGAGGTCAGGAGTTTGAGACCAGCCTGACCAACATGGAGAAACCCCATCTCTACTATAAATACAAAAATTAGCTGGGCATGATGGCAGGCGCCTATAATCCCAGCTACTCAGGAGGCTGAGGCAGGAGAATCCCTGGAACCCAGTAGGCGGAGGTTACGGTGAGCTGAGATCGCGCTATTGCACTCCAGCCTGGGCAACAAGAGCAAAACTCCGTCTCAAAAAAAAAAAAAAATTCATGGGCTAAACAGCTCCCCTTAGAAAGAGGAAACTAAGCCAGGCGTGGTGGCTCATGCCTGTAATCCCAGTACTTTGGGAGGCCGAGGCAGGTGGATCACCTGAGGTCAGAAGTTCAAGACCAGCCTGGTCAACATAGTGAAACTTCATCTCTACTAAAAATACAAAAATTAGCTGGGCATGGTGCATTCCTGTAATCCCAGCTACTCGGGAGGCTGAGGCAGGAGAATCACTTGAACCTGGGAGGCAGAGGTTGCAGTGAGCTGAGATCACGCCACTGCACTCCAGCCTGGGCGACAGAGTGAGACTGTCTCAAACAACAACAACAACAACAACAACAACGACAACAAAACTTTCTTGCAGGCCGCCTGCTCCCTACAACCGCAGACACATAAGCCCCTCCCGCCCTCTAGGAATATCCCTGCCCCACTTAGACCTTCAAGCAGGAATCACCCTTACTGATTTTGTATTCCCAGGTCCCACCACAGGGCCAGGCACGTGCTGGGTGTTTCACAATGATGCATGAACAAGTGAATAAGTCCTGAGGTTGGAGGCTGATTGCCTCCTCTTCCTCTTCTCTGAAGTGGGCTGGAGGGGCAGATCCCTGAGCACGCCTCCAGCCGGCCTTGACCTTCCACTTTCAAGCAGTGTCAGAGGAGGCAAGTCAGAAATCATCCCCAGCCACAGCTGGTCTTGCTTCTCTGAAACAAGGGAGCTAATTGAGGCTGAGGAGATGCTTCACAGCCTCCCTCAGCCCCTCAGCTCTGCAGAGACCCACCTGTGCCAGACTTTCCGTCGACAGCCCCTTGCATAGATACAGGTATTAGCCTGGGTCAGGCACTGTGCATGGGGCTGGATCTTGTCTGAATCAGAGCCCTGAGGCCGACACACACTCTTAACAACAGTCTCGCTTCAGTGAGTGTGCGACCTGGAAGCCGTGTGCTTGGAACAGGAGGAGGAGTGATGTGGTGATGATGATGGTACTAGCATTTGTTATGCACTTACCATGGGCTTACATGCCTCATCTTGTTTCCCTTACCATACTTTTTGTTTGTTTGTTTGTTTTCTTTTATAGACAGGGTCTTGCTCTGTTGCCCAGGCTGGAGTGCAGTGATGCAATCATAGCTCACTGCAGCCTCCAACTCCGGGCTCAAGTGATCCTCCCACCTCAGCCTCCTGAGTAGCCTCCTTAGCCACTATGCCCAGCTGATTAAAAACGTTTTTGTTGTTGTTGAGATGGGATCTCCCTATGTTGCCCAGGCTGGCCTTGAACTCCTGAGCTCAAGTGATCCTCCTGCCTCGGCCTCCCGAGTAGCTGGGATTACAGGCATGAACCACCGCCCAGGCTTTCCGAGCTACCTTGACAAGCTCTAAGTGGGACATTCCAGTGGAGGTGCTGGGAGGCACCTCCATCCAGTTTCCCACTGGCTTTAGGTGGTGTTCCAGGCTGGAAGCCCAGAAGTGACAGCTCAGAGCTACTGTGGGGTGCTGCAAAGAGCCTTGGCCCCACAGAGACTCCAGACATGGGTTCAAATCCTGGCTCTGCTCCCAGATTTGAAGGCTCAGGCCTGGGGTGAGTTTCTTAACCTCTGAGCTTAGTTTCCTCCCTGTAAGATAGAGCCAATAACTGCTTTCACCCACGGTTGTGCTGGGAGGCTTGAGAGATGATGCCCTTGGCATATGGTAGACCTTCAATAACCCTTCCTTCCTTTCCGTCTTTTTTTTTTTTTTTTTGAGACGGAATCTCGCTCTGTTACCCAGGCTGGAGTGCGGTGTCCTGATCTCTGCTCACTGCAACCTCCGCCTCCCAGGTTCAAGTGATTCTCCTGCCTCAGCCTCCCGAGTAGCTGGGATTACAGGCTCCCACCACAACCACACCTGTCTAATTTTTGTATTTTGAGTAGAGGCGGGGTTTCACCATGTTGGCCAGGCTGGTCTCGAACTCCTGACCTCAAGTGATCCACCCGCTTTGGCTTCCCAAAGTGCTGGGATTACAGTCATGAGCCACTGCGCCTGGCCAACCCTTCCTATCTTGCCTCTTCCTTCTTCTCAGCAGCCTCCCTCTGTGTCTGCCCCTTTGCCCTTCCTAGCCTGGGGTCTGGCTTCTCCTCCCCCTTCACCTCTGCCTCTGGTTTCTGATGAGCTCTGTCCTGTCTGCCTGCCCTGGCCGGGTCACTGGGGGCTCTTTGCTGTTGCTCCCTCTCTGAGGCTGTGTCCGCACACCATGCCTGGTCCTCTCCTTCCCTCTCCCCACCGGCTTCCTGTGCCCTCGGGGCTGATCGATAGCAGCCGCTGGTTATCGATTGGGGTGGGTGTTCAAGTGTGACTGCTGCAGGCTGATATTGATGGGCAGAATTGGTGCTGAGGTCCCAGTGGAGCAGCAGCTGGGCAGCCTGGGGCTTTAGGGGGAAGTGGGGTTCTCCCCCCACACTTGAGGGGACCTGGGAGTGGGAGTCCTTGAGGGGACCTGGGAGTGTGAGTCCTTAAGGGGACCTGGGAGTGGGAGTCCTTAAGGGGGCAGACACCACAATGATGAAATTTGGGGCTGGGGGCAGAGGGCCTCTAAGGACAGAACGCCAAGGCTTAGCTTAGGCTGTCATTCATCAAGTATTTATTGAGCACCTACTCTGTGCCAGCTGGGGATATAGCAGTGAGCAAGTCAGCGACAACCAATAAGTAAAATTATATAGTATGTTGTAAGAAAAGTAGAGCAGGGGAAGGGGACATAGAGCCCCGTGGTTGGGGGAGGGCACAATTTTAAACAGGGGGACTGTAAACAAAGACCTGGAGAAAGGGCAGAAGTGAGTCCCTGAGAGCATTTCAAGCAGTGGAAACTCTAAGTGCAAAGGCTTCTGGGTAGGAGTGTGCCTGGTGTGCTCTAGGCCAGCGTGGCTGGAGAGAGGTAAGGAGGGAGGACAGTGAGAGGAAATGGGACAGACGGAGAGGTCACGGAAATAGAGGCTGGGTGCCACTGGGAGCGGACAGCCCAGGGCTGGAAGCTGCCCAACTCCAACCTGCGCAGCCTCCGTACAAGGGTAGCTTCCAGAACATGGTTCCAGAGCCAACTGACCAGGTCCCAGACACTTCACCTGCTTTGTCGATGAGATCGTGTGAATTAGGTTCTATCATTACCCTGTTGTAAAGCTGGGGAGACTGAGGCTTAGAGACATTTGACAACTTGCCCCAGGCCATGTGACAGAGCTGGAACTCAAACCCAAGTCTGACTCCAGAATTGTGGCTTTTGTTGTTATTGTCTTAGCTGTTTTTAAGTGTACCAGTCAGTAGTGTTAAGTATATTCACATTGCTGTGCAACAGCTCTGCAGAGCTCTTTTGCCTTACAAAACGGAAACTCTACCCTTTAAACCGCAGCTCCCCATCCACCACCCAGCCCTTGGCAAACACCATTCTCTGTTCTGTTTCTATGAATTGGATGACTTTAGATACCCCATAGAGTGGAATCATACAGCATTTGTCTTTTTGTGACTGGCTTATTTTAGCATCATGTCTTCAAGGTTTGTCCATATTGTGGCATGTGACAGAATTTCCTTCCTTTTTAAGACTGAATAATATTTCATTGTCTGTGTACACCACATTTTGTTTATCCATCCATCCATCGATGGGCACCTGGGTTGCTTCTGCCTCTTGGCTTTTTTGAATAATGCTGCTAGGAACATGGGTGTGCAAATATCGCTTCAAGACCCTGCCTTGGGCCAGGTGCAGTGGCTCATGCCTGTAATCCTAGCACTTTGGAAGGCCAAGGTGGATGGATAACTTGAGGTCAGGGGTTCAAGACCAGCCTGGCCAACATGGCAAAACCCCATCTCTACTAAAAATACAAAAATTAGCCAGGTGTGGTAGCGCATGCCTGTAATCCCAGCTACTTGGAAAGCTGAGGCAGGAGAATTGCTTGAACCTAGGAGGCGGAGGTTGCAGTGAGCCAAGATCGCACCACTGCACTCTAGCCTGGGCGACAGAGTGAGTCTCAAAAAGAAAAAAAAAAAAAGACGCTGCCTTCAGTTCTTTCGAATATATACCCAGAAGTGGGATTGCTGATCCGATTATAATTCTATTTTTAATTTTGTGAGGAATTGCATACTGTTTTCCATAGAAGCTGCACCATTTTACACTGCCCCCAAGAGTGCTCAAGGGTTCCAGTTTCTCCACATCCTCAATAAGACTGTTTATTTTCTGTCTTTCTGATGGTGGCCATCATAATGGATGCGAGGCGGCATCTCCTTGTGGTTTTGATTTACGTTTTTCCGGTCATTTGTGATGTCGGGCATCTTTTCATAGGCTTGCTGGCCACTTGTGTGTCGTCTTTGGAGAAATGTCCATTCGTGCTCTTTGTTCATTTTTACATCAGGTTGTTTACTTTTTTGCTATTGAGTTGTAGGAGTTCCTTATATATTCTGAATATTAACCTCTTATCAGTTATAAGATTTGCTAGTATTCTCTCCCATTGTGTAGGTGGCCTTTTCACTCTGCGGGTTGTATTCCTGGATGCACAGTTTACATTTTGATGTAATCCTATTTTTCTACTTCTGCTTTTGTTACCTGTGCTTTTGATGTCATAAGAAATCATTGCCAAACCACTCCTTTATGCTGTCAATAATTCTGCCTTTGGGTGGGTGGGAGGGAATGGTCAGGGACTATTGCAACAGTTGAGGGAATGATGACGTGTTTAGCCAGGAGCATGGAAGCCCCCAGGTGGTGGGAAGGCAGTGATTGTGGTATTCCAGTTACAGAGGGGCTTTCGTGGAGCAGAGTGATGACCCAGAAGGCAGAAACAGGACCAGTAGGAGGCCCAGGGAGGCAAAAAGCAGCTCAATCTAGCAAGATTCCAGAAGTGGAAGAGGATACCTTGGAGGTAGTGAGCTCCCTGTCACTAGAGTTGTGCGAGACCTCAGTTGATCACTCAGAATATTTCACAGGGGCTTCAGACAGAAGATATGTTTGGGGTTGATGGCCTCTGATCCCTTCTATGATTCCATAAGGAAGGAGGGAGCTCAAAGGTTCAGCCAGCAGGGTGGGATGGACGGGGCTGCAGCTGATAGGTATGCCCTCCTCTGTGCCTGGGGAAGTCTTGTGCTTTGAAGCCTAGCTGTGCAGGAGATTCCCTTAAGTTGCCATCACCCTGGAGCCTGAACCCAAGCCCTGGCCCAACCCATCCATAGGTCTTGGAGACCTGGACTGGAAGAGAGGAAGAGAGACTAAGATGTGCCTCCATCGCCTGCCAGGTGCTGCTTGCAGGCAGAACGGAAGAAACAGACTTTAGAATCTGGTGGACCTTGGTTCAGTTGCTGCCTCAGCCATTGGCTGAGTGGCTTTGGGCAATTTCTTTAATGTCTCTGATCCTAATTTTCTTCATCTGGGAGCAAGGGGTTGTCACCTCTCTTGTGGGGTTTCCTGCAGAATAACAATAACAGGGGCCTGGAGCCTGGCAGGTGCTCAGTTAACTGCACTGATCAGAATTAAGCTCCTTACAATTTTCCTTTTAGCACCCTTGGAAGCCAAGGACCCAAGCCAGCCACACCCCCAACATACCCCATCCTGTGACTGCTCCCCATGGCTTGGTCCCTGCCAGCCTCATAACCTGGATGAACCTCAGCCTTTTATCTCCTACTGAGGGCTGGGAGTGCAGACTCCGCATCTAGAACCCAACAGGGCCACAGTATACACCCAAGCCAGCTCAGGGCCCCTCTCTTGTTCTGACAGGTGGGGCTAAGTGACGGCCTGACACTGACATCCTGCCTGTCTGTCTATCCTCTGCCTCTTCCTGTCCCTGTAGCTGCTGACCCTGGTGTTTCCCCACTCCCGGCTTCCCAGTCCCTCTCAGCCCTGCACCTTGTGCCCCTGCTCACTTCCTTGCACATTGCACCCAGAGATCCCCCCACAACCACCAGCCCAGCCCATTGTGGAGAAAAAATCAAATCTCATTAAAGGCCATCGATTTTCTTCCAAATTTGCTGTGAGTACACTTTGAGGCTCTTCTGTATTCCTGCCTGCTCCCACCTCAGCCCCTCAACTACCCCTGCAGCTACGCCGGGGAAACAGGGGTGTCAGGGTTGGCAGGTGGCATGGAGGGCAAGGGGGCCCCCAGCCCCCCTTGGCCCTTCAATGTGGCAAGACCCTGGGTATGTCACTGATTTCTGGGGAGGGAGTATTTCCCCGTCTGTCTATCCCCGTCTTCCTACAGGGCTTGGGCTGTGTGTTGCATTGTGTATCTGTCTGTGTGTCAGTTTGTGTTTTGTGTGTATCTCTGTGGTGTGTCTCTGTGCATCTGTGTCTTTCCATTTCTGCATCTGTGCATCTGCCTCTGTGTGTACAGGTGTGTTTGCGTGACTGCAGGGGGCATGGGGGGCTGGGCTTGCAGTTGAACTCTGGATGCTCTGCTGCCCATGAGATAGCCAGCCTGGGGAAGGGGCTTGACTTGGGATAAACCCAAGATATGATTCTCCTCCACCAGGGGCCAGAGGCTGGGCTGGGATCTGAAAAGGGCACAGGCTTCCCTGCTGCCTCCTGCCCCCTCCTGTCCCTATGGAAATGGGACACCCTGCTGATTTCCTTGCGATGTTAGATTTGGGGTTTTGGGGGCTGGTGGAAGAGACTTCAGACTGGGCGTGGTGGCTCACACCTGTAATCCCAGTACTTTGGGAGGCCGAGGTGTGTGGATCACCTGAGGTCAGAAGTTCAAGACCAGCCTGGGCAACATGGTGAAACCCCATCTCTACTAAAAATACAAAAATTAGCTGGGCATGGTGGTGCGCACCTGTAATCCCAGCTACTCAGGAGGCTGAGACAGGATAATCACTTGAACCCAGGAGGCAGAGGTTGCAGTGAGCTGAGATCAAGCCACTGGACTCTAGCCTGGGCAACAGAGCAAGACTCCGTCTCAAAAAAAAAAAAAAAAAATTCAAACCTCATATGGGGGCATCATTTCAAACCTGATGTCGGATTCCTTCATCCCCTAATCTGAACTAAAGGGTCCCAGGTGGGGGACAGTTAGAGTTGGATGGACATATACTTGCCTGGTGAGTCTGGAGAGAGCGGACTAAGAGAGAAGGCTGGGCAGTGGCGGTGCCCTGCAGGGGTATGGCATGAGGGCATTCATGTCTGCCTGGGTCATGCTCCTGGGGTAATGTCAAACATCAAGGTCAGCCTTGACAGGGACAAAAAAAAGTCACAGAAGGGGCCCTTTGGCCTTTGTTGGGTGGGGAGGCTTGTGATCTGGTTGTAGGCCGAGCCTCTTCCCTCTAGCCCATTCGCTAGGCGCAGAGGTCAGCTGCGATCCTGAATTGGCCCTCCAAGCCCTGGGACACTGCCCCACGCCCCAGGGTGGGCATCTTGATGGAGCCCCTACTGATATGGGGCACGGGGTATGTTCCCAGTTGTGTGCCCTCAATGAAGTATCACTGCCGCCTTTTGCCCCAGCCCTGCACAGGCGTGTCATGTGAGTTCATGGCTGTGCATGTGTGTTCTCCCTGCAGCCTCTGCCGGGGAGCTGGAAGCAGCCCTTCGGATTCCAGGGACAGGCCAGATTTATGATACTGGGAGAAATATTTAGGCCTGAGACAGTTTGGTTGTGTTAATTATGGAAATCTAAAGATAATCTATATTTAATGCTGAATTTTGTCAAATTTGCTAAAGAATTAGGGGAGCGTGTGCAAACAGTGACACTTCAATGAAGAACAAGGTGCAATTAAACTCTGAAATTTACAGTGGAATAATTGGAAAGCATGACAAATATAGTTATCAGCAGCAACTAATTAGGGGTGTGCTCGAGGTTTCTGGGCTTGATTAATCTCGCCTGGATGCTAATAAGTTATGTAGGGCAGATGATAACTGGTTTGTCTCCTCCTTCCTTCTACCCTCTCTCCAAAGCACTTGAGGGGTAAGAATGTGACCCATTCAGTTCATCCCTCTGTGCAGCCCAGCCTGAAGGGGAGGGTGGGGGCACTCCAGCTCCTATGCTGGGACCCCTGCCCAGGTAGGGATGATGTGAACACCTTGCGCTGCCCCTGCTCAGGCATCCTGGGGGCTCCCTGGTTGGTAAGTTCTTCTTGGTGTCTCACTTGAGGCTTGTTGGGATTGGGGGAGAGTGGCTTGGAGCCTGTGTTGGGGTCTCGCTGAGCCTCAGTGGGCCAGATTCATTCCCTTGCTGTTGATGTAGCTGTCTGACTCCCACCTCTGCTTCCACTTCATGCCCGGTGGGAAGGGGCACTGGAAGCCCCCGCTCGGACCTGCAATAGATCCCATGCACCGTCTTCCTTGGCTGGGCACTTCCGTCCCTCTCCCCTCCCAGGATTCTGCTAATCTTCCTCACTGCTGATTGTGGCCAAGCCTTGGATTCATTGATTAAAGTTTAGGCTGGAGCTGATGCTATTACCCTGCTGGAGTGTGGCCAGCACCCTGGGCACCACCGCCAAGTCCAGCTGTGAAACAAGCACCGCCACCTCCCTTTCTCTGTCTCTCACCCTGTCTCTGATTCTGTGTCCAGTCTCTCCCCTGTCCTGGAGCCTCCCTCAGACCTGCTGCCCTTGTCACCCTTCAGGGGCCTACCTGGTATGACCAGCTGACGGGGGAGAGGTGATCACCTTCCCAAGAACTCTACCTTCTGCCATCCACCCCTTCCTCAGAAGTCCTCCTGACTGTCAGCTGCCCCACCTGGGGTCCCCCAAGGCAGCTCTGTGCATAGACCCCACCCTGAGCACCCCTTGCCATCTCCAGCCACTTGCTCAGTGTCATTGGCCACAGGATGGAGACTCTGATTGACAGTCTCAGATGAGGCTGATGAATCCAAAATGGGACGTTAGATGAACTTCTTCTTTGTGAATGTCATCAGTACAACCGGGTCTCTCAAAGCATGAGCATCCATGAGCACGCATGTCATAGGAGGCCGGTGTCTGCTGTGACTGGTGGAGGGGATGCTGGATAGGACAGGGGCCTTCAGCGTCTCCTTCAGAGATGAGGGGTGTGGCTTCTTTGAGGCCTGCTTCTCTTCTTGCTTTTGGGATGAGGAGCTTTGGGGTCAGACACACCCAGACTTGTGTCCCGGCCCTGGGGGTCCTGGGCTCTTCTTTTCCCAGGTCTCGTTTTCCTTCTTGTAGCATAGGGATAATTCCTTCACAGTGAGGAGCGCAGGAAACGGCTAGGAACTGAGCAGGCTCTGAGTACATGGGCACCCTCCCCTCCCCACTCCTGCTCCTTCCAGCTCCCCACCCCTCCACCCTTCAGGTGGACTTGCACACTGTTTTAATCAATGCTAGGATGCTGACGTGAAGGAAGCTGGGGTGGGAACCAGAGCCCAGAGCTTCACCTCACCCCAAAGCTGCTTGAGTCAGGGAACCCACCTAGCTTGAAGTCTGGTGTGTAAAGGTAAGAAAAAGGCTTTGTAAAGTCTCCAGCGAGGTCAGAAGTGCTGCTCTTGTTAGTGAGTAACAATGTGCTGGAGGAGTGAGTTCCAGTAGGCTCCTCACCTCTGCTCTCTCTCCACCTGATATGCCTAAAATGTAAATCCTATCATGGCCTACCCCTGCTCAGAAACCTTCAATAACTCCCTATTGCCTCCACGATAAAGTACAGAGCATAATGGTCAACACTGTCCACAGTTGGCCCCAGTCTGGTTGTTTCTTCTTCTTTCTTCTCCTTCTCCTTCTCCTTCGCCTTCTTCTTCTTCCTCTTCCTCTTCTTTTTCTTCTTCCTCTTCGCTCTTCGTCTTCTTTCTTCCTCTTCCTCTTCTCCTCCTCCTCCTCCTTCTCCTTTTCTTCTTCTTCTCCTCCTCCTCCTTTTTTTTTTTTTTTTTTTTGAGAAAGAGTCTTACTCTGTCCAGGCTAGAGTGCAGTGACAAGATCTCGGCTCACTGCAAACTCCGCCTCCTGGGTTCAAATGATTCTCCTGCCTCAGCCTCCCGAGTAGCTGGGATTACAAGTGCCCACGACCACGCCTGGCTAATTTTTGTATTTTTAGTAGAGTTGGGGTTTCGCCATGTGGGTCAGGCTGGTCTTGAACTCCTGACCTCAAATGATCTGCCTGCCTTGGCCTCCCAAAGTGCTGGGATTACAGGTGTGAGCCACTGCACCCGGCCCCTTTTGGGCTTCTTGAAGTCCCTTTGCTGTACCCACCCAAATGATGCCCTGTTCCCCAAACTCCCACAACACCTGACAATCTGTAGGCTTTTATTGGATCAATTTCCATTTTCTGACATGCTTTCCCTCCCACTCCCTCCCCACAGCCACTTTCTGGGAGGCCCAGCTCAAATCTCATCACCCCCTAAAGCCTCCCCTGATGCTCCTAGTTCCTCCAGCCATGCCCCCCCGCCGACCCCCCAACCTGAATTCCCTCTGGTTGCACAGCTGTTCCTTGCGTCTGTGTCAGGTGCGTCCACCAGAGGGCGACAGACACTGCGGGCACAAGCAAAATGGCCCCAGGATTGGCTGCGTTTCCCCTCCCCGCCCCCGGACCCATCCTGCCTCTGCTATGCTGTCCCCTGGACTTCCAGCCTGGCATCCTCACCGCTGGACTTCAGGGCTGGAGGACTTGGGGACAGTGCATGTTGTGTCCCTTTTCTGCAGAGCTGCCATCCCTGAAGATTTGGGTGAAATGACAGAGCCAGCTGCTCTTGTTTGTGTAGTGCGTGAGTTTCCCAGTCACTGTTGACGTTCTGGGTCCCCAGGGCAGGGTTGAGTGGCTTTTTTTGTTTGTTTTGAGATGGAGTCTACCTCTGTTGCCAGGCTGGAGTGCAGTGGCGTGATCTCGGCTCACTGCAAACTCCACCTCCCGTGTTCAGGTGATTCTCTTGCCTCAGCCTCCTGACTAGCTGTGATTACAGGCGCCCACTACCACACCTGGCTAATTTTTGTATTTTCAGTAGAGATGGGTTTCACCATGTTGACAGGCTGATCTCGAACTCCTGACCTCAAGTGATCCGCCTGCCTCAGCCTCCCAAAGTGCTGGGATTAGAGGTGTGAGCTACTGCACCCAACTGAGTTGGCTCATTTTACAGATGGGGAAGCACACCTTGATCATGGCTCTGTCTTTCAGAGACTGGAAAGTCACAGGTGCAGAATGCTCTGGACAGACTAAGGCTTAGAGCAAATTTGCTGAGGGTGACGTGGCCTGTAAGGGGAAGGGTTGACACTCGAACCCAGGCCTTTCTGACTGCCGGGTGAGTGTGTTTTTCTCCACATCAGTTTTTCTGATTATTCAAGATGTAGGTTTAATTCTGTCATTGTCACAGCCCTGACTCTGAGGCAAATGTAAATGGTGCCCCAGGCCTCAGACCCCAGCCCCCAAATCCCCACATGCTGCGCATCTGCGGACAGTCTGAGCCACAGCTTTCTGTGAAATGGTCAGGTGATGCGTAGCCTCTTCCTCACAGGGTTATTGTAGGACAGAATGAGATGATGCCCGCAGAGACCCCTGTGCTCCAGGATGGACCCCCTGCGAACCTGGGCTGGGACATTTCCCCAGGGGCTCTTAGTCTGTCTCTTGGGGGCTGGGACGGGGAATGCAAACACCTGCAGGTCTCCTTCAGCCCCTTTTGGGGGAAAGAAAAGAGACCTGGGGTCTCCTTCCTCAGGATTCTCCAGCCCTTGCAGCTGCTGGAAGTGAGCGGGCTCCGTCACCATGGCAACGTGGCCCAGCCGCCTGCAGGGCCAGTCCTGTGCCAGCCGCCGTTGACCTCACTTAGGATGATTACCTTTCGGCAAATAAAATAATTGTGTTAATAAAGAGGCTGTTCGCCTCTCATTCCCCATCCCGCTTTGCCTGTTTCCCATCCCTATCCGGTGGAAAGAGGATTCTCTCCACCTGGTTACCCCTGGCCTGTGGGATGCCTTACTCTTAAATTGTTGACGAGACCCTGACTGGGTTATAATCTTGGCCAATATTAATCGTGTCCCACCATTCCCTTCTTGCCTTCTGCCTCCTTGCCCTGGTGTCTCTTTTGAAGTTGTACAATTGAGATTATACTACTCATCCTGTCTTCTTTGGACACTGTTTTTTTTTTTTTTTTTTTTTTTTGAGACCAGCTTGGTCACTGAAGCTGGAGTGCAGTGGTGCAATCTTGGCTCACACAACCTGCGCCTCCTGGATTCAAGCAATTCTCCTGCCTCAGCCTCCCGAGTAGCTGGGATTACAGGCACACGCCACCACGCCCAGCTGATTTTTTTGTATTTTTAGTAGAGATAGGGTATCGCCATGTTGGCCAGGCTGGTCTTGAAATCCTGACCTCAAGTGATCTGCCCACCTCAGCCTCTCAAAGTGTTGGGATTACAGGTGTGAGCCACTGCGCCCAGCCTGGACATATTTTTGAACATCAACAGGGCCTCCCTAGCTGTTATAGTAATAAGTTCTATTTTTTGAGGGCCTACTGTGTTTTATACTCTTTATGAATGCCTTTGCAAATGCCCTCTCTCTAATCCCTTTAACAATTGTGCAAGTCAGGAGCTTCAATACCATTTTACTGAGAGAGAAAATGTGTATGTATATATTTTGAGTCTGGGTCCCCCTATGTTGCTCAGGCTGGTCTCAAACTCCTGGCCTCAAGCAATCCTCTGGCCTTGGCCTCTCAAAGTGCTAGGATTATAGGCACGAGCCACTGCACCTGGCCAAAATGTATGTTTTGGCAGGGCTAGAAACATGTGTTGGTTCAGCTCCTGGATTGCAGAACAGGCTTCTCTAACTGTGCCTGGGAACATTCAGTTCAGCTGCAGGCAGATACACACTTGCCATGGGCTCAAAACTGGGCTGGGCTTCCGGAGGGGAAGAAGAGAGAAACAGAGACCCTAGGAAGCTCCGAGTCATGGATCAGGTGGGTGGGAGTAGATGGATATAACCATGGAAAATGGACATGCAGGATGCAGTGTGAGATGCAAGGTGCAGTGTGGCCAGTGCTCCGAGACCAAGAGAATGATGGAGACCCTGTGCCAGGTGCTGCAGAAGCGGACCCCCAGAGAGACACTGACTCAGCGATGGAGGCCCTGAGAGAGATGAGGAGGATGAGACTGGCAGTTACTGAGCCTCTGATAAGCAGCTGACACTTTGCTGAGTGCTTCAAACTTGTTATTTCACACAATGCTCATCACAACCCCATTTTACAGATGGGGAAAGTAAGGCTTAGAAATTTCAAGTGAATTTCTCAAGGTTACACAGCTCATGTAGAGCCAGGATTCAAACCCAGATCAGCCTGACCTCCCTGCCTGGACTTAGTGGTCTTTTGACTCCATCAGGCTGATCAAGGATGGAGAGAGAGAGAGAGGAGAGTGAGTGAGAGAGAGAAAGAGAGAGAGAGAGACCCATGAAACAGATTGAGCAAGGCATGGAGTGCAGGCTTCATGCACACGGTGGGGCCTCTTCTGGGTCTGACAATGCCTTAGCCCCTGTTCTTTGAGGCTCTTGTTTAAGATTTGCCAAAAAGAGGTCACCCAAATTATGGCCGATTTAGAAAGTTTACTTTTCACCAGTGCACACAAAATAGTGCAAAGAGATTAGGCTCTTCGAAAGGTCATTTTAAGCCTTTCAAATAGTGACAGGGCCCTGCAGGCAGTGTCATCCTACATTCTCACACTGCAAGGGGACTGCCCTCGCTGGATTCTAGGGTCTCTCCCATGACTGGAGGAAAAGTGTCATCTGGACACTATGTCAGAAGTCTAGATTTGGCGCCCTCTGTGAGTCTGAGGGCGTCTCCCCTTCTGCACCCGGCCACCCCCATGAGAGGTCCTGCCAAGTGGGTGAGCTGCGGCGGCAGGCAGGGGTGCAGTGCCCATCATTCACACTAGATGGCGCTCTGACATTGGACAATCCTCTGAGCATGTGGCTGCCTAGTGGCCAGAGGGCAGGGCTGGATGGCTTTGAGGGGAGGCTGGTCTCACTGGACCTGACACCCCGACCTAGGGTAGGCCAAGGGGCGCCGGAGATGTCAGAAGCCAGGCTGGGGACCAGGAACTCTGCTCCTCCACCCGTGACTCCTGGTCATTCTTGGGTCGGGGCTGAAAGCGGGGCAGTGGGAGGAGCAGAGGGACCAGAGGGCAGCTGGAGGGGAGGGATGGGGTGGGGGGGGGCACATCAGCAGGCCCTGGTGGGGCAGCCCGGCACCCCTCAGCCAGTTAAGGGCCTGGGGAAGGTTGTCCTCTCATTGACCACTAAAGCCTAGGGCTGTAGACCTGGGGTCTCCCAGGAGTGGTTTGGCCATCTGCCTTGCCCTTGGACAAGGGGGCTGGGTAAGAGGCATGGGGGCTTGTTTACAATGCCTGCAGCTGGTAGGAAAGGAAGCCTTGGCAGATGTGACTGAAGGATCAGCTTTGCTTGGAGAGCAAGACCCAGGCACAGGACCTAAAGGCCTCAGGTTTGTGTCCCTGTTTAGGCATGTGACCTTGGGCAAGCCACTAAGACCTCTGCTTCCTAATCGTTTCTGCTTTCAGAGTTGGGAACCTTGAATGAGATCATGCACACAAAGGCACTCAGCACACCAAATGCAGGGCATCCCTCCTGTCCTGCCAGTTTGCGGAAGTGGCATCTTGCATTATTTCCCTGCCTGCAGGCCCAGTAAACACTCAGTGCTGTTGAGTGATTGGTGCCTGGGGGTGGAGGCAGCTGGAATTGGCAGTGTTCCAAAAGGGGCCTCCAAACCTTGTACTTGGGGGAGTATCCTTGAGAGACCCCGTCCTCAGATGTCCACATTTTCCCTGTTTGGAAATGCATGCCTTGGAGCTGGGCCTGACTGCTCCGCTTGCCCGCTCTTTGTCTCGTCCGTTGTCTGGGGCTCTGCGGGATCTAGAGAGAAAGAAAGGAAATCCCCAGCACTTGCTTGTGGGACAAGAAAGCAGAGGGGTGGGCTTTTCAGGGGACCTCTTCTCCAGCAGTCTGCTTGCCTACTTCCCTCACATCTGGTGCCAGGGGCGGAAACTGAGGCAAGGGAGAACCTTAAGGACAAACTACAAATCCCTGAATGCTAATAGGGATAGGAGAGTGAGGTGGTGAATTGACTTCCCGGTCCCATTGCAGGGACTGAGGGGGTCTGTAACCCTCGACTCCTGGGGGAGAGGTCTCGAATGGTTCGCTAGAGACATTCGAGGAGTTAGGAGATGGGCAGGGAAAGGTCTGGGAGGAGGAAGTTGAGGGTAAGGGCATTGGGGGCAGATTTATTTGGTTAACAAATGTTCCACAAACGCTCAGTGAGAACCTCATGTGGGCTAGGCACTGGTCTAGGTGCTGGGACTCGGGGGCCCAGGTGAATAAGCTTCCCGTCCTGGGCGAGTTTCCTGGAGTAAAAATCAGGCTGGCTGGGGCTTAACTCTATGTGGCTGCCCCATATCATCTAACACCTCTAAGTCCCAGTTTCATCATCTGTAAGATGGGAATAATAACAATGTCTCCCCCACGGGATGACCATGAATGTTAGATGCATGGAAGGTGCTTAGCACCCAGCTCCTGCATTTAACAAACGTGAACGGAGGTGGAGTTTGTCAGTATTATTGTGATCAAAGCTCTGGAGACTGTGACCTTGAGCAGATTGCTCACCCTCTTTGAACCTTGGGTTCCTTATCTGAGAAATGGGTTCATGACATCTGCCCTGCCTGTTACCACGGGACCCTGTTGTTAAACCAACTGAGATAATGCATGGGAGCACAGGGGATCTGTAAACTACATCACACACAGAGGGGAATGGTCCATTTAAATGATTTGGGGTACACATGTGTGCATGTATTTGTGCACATGTGTGCATGTGTGCACCACTATCAGAGACCCCAGCATTTGTGCTCCATCTTTCCTGCGGGTTTGTGTCCCTGTTTAGGCATGTGACCTTGGGCAAGTCACTAAGACCTCTGCTTCCTTTTGTGAAAGGGGCTAATCATGTCTGCTTTCAGAGTTGGGAACCTTGAATGAGATCACACACACAAAGGCACTCAGCACACCAAACGCGGGGCATCCCTCCTGTCCTGCCAGTTTGCAGGCCGTCTGAGCTCAGGTAAGCTGTCAGATGGATGGATATATGGTATCCTGGCAGTTCATGTTAGGAGTCTGTCCCTGGAGCCCTGGGGCTGGAACTGAGGTGCTGGCAGAGGTGTGGAGATGAGGGCCAGGCTGAGAGTTGCAGCATTTCTCCAAAGACCTTAGGGAAGTGAAGAAATAAATCTTTCTCAGAGATGGAGATGGGATCAACCCTTCCCCCTACCTCAACTCTGGGCTGGGCAAGGTTGTCTGCAGAGGTTGGGGGTCCTTGCTCCCCTCTTCCAACATCCTCTTCTCCATGCACCTCTCCACAACTGACCCCTTTCCTGTTAGTCTTAATTCCTGCTGCCAAGCTACAGAACAACCCAGGGAAAAATAACCACACCTGGGTAATTTTTGTGTTTTTAGTAGAGACGGAGTTTTGCTATGTTGGCCAGGCTGGTCTCGAACTCTTGACCTCAGGTGATCCGCCCGCCTTGGCCTCTCAAAGTGCTGGGATTACAGCTCCACACCTGGCCTGTTCTAGAGGTTTTTGATGTGCCCCTCCTGGCTCCTGGTACCTGCTTACCTGCATGAATACTTGTTAGTGCCCAGGGCTCCCCAGCCCCATCTCCCCAACCAGCTGACTGAGGGGTGGAGCCAGGCAGGGTGCAGCTTGGGCCTGAGGATGAAGAAGCAAAGAGCCAGGAGAGCCAGCTCCCGGCCATATACCCATTTCTAACCTCTCTTCCCCAGGAAAGGGGCAGTAGGAAGCAGTGTGGTGGAGTGGAAAGAGAGTGGGTGTTGGACTTGGCCAGGCTGGGTTCAAATCCTCACTAGCTGGGGGTGTCTGGGGCAAGATGGGATGGTAAGAGGACCTAGCCTGTGGGGTGGGCATGCAACCTTCATGGGATAATCTGTGTCAGGTGCCTCCAACTGTGAGTCCAAGCCTGTCCAAGTCTCAGTTAACGAGGATTTGGGCAATTTTGTGCTCCCCCCCACTGCCATCTCCCCACCCCAATTCTTTCTCAGCTCATTGATTGATTGATTGGGTGAAAGGATCATGGAGAGGATGCCATCCAGTTGGAGATATGGTGTGAGCTGAAAATCCCAGAGTAAATGTCCTTTCCAGGACAGCAGAGACGAAAAGAGCTTTTCTGGCTGGGAGATTCCAAGAAGGCTTTGTGAAGAAGGAGCAGCATTAACCCGAGTTTCTCAGTGGGCTCAGACTTACAGGTGGAGAAGGGAAGGGGATGCGGTGGGAGGAATGGCATGGGCAAAGGCCTTCAGTGAGAAAGCTGGGCACACAGCCGTAAAATGGCTGTGAATAGGCTGCTTTCCTAGAGCAAAGGGTAAGTGCGGTAAAACGGAAAGGGCGTTGTTCCCAATTCCTGGATTATTAAAACAAAAGCGGGATATATTGGGAAAAGAGTAGGAGGCTGAATTATTTGGATAATTACAAAACTGTTCCCTTGAATCCCCGATTTGCTTTGCTCCCTGTGGGTGGCTTGCCTCCTTTCTCCTTCACCGCGGGGATCACAGGCTTCAGAAACCCTGAGGGGAATGTCCCCAGAGAAGAGCCCCTCCCGTCTCCCCTTCTCCCTCAGGTCGTCACTTTGCCTCCTTAACCCCACTCCCACTCCTCAAAGGAAGAAGGTGGTGTTGGAGGAAGACTGGAGGGGGAGCCCCCTATCTGAGGTCCCCAGACTGTCTTCAGAGAAAGGGAGGAGCAGCCTCAGCTTGGCGTCTGGGGCCCTGTTTCATCCTTGGGTCCGTGAGGGAAGAGGATTCTGCTCCCTGCCAGAAACATTCCTGTAGAGTATTTGCATTACATCCGGCTCACACCCTCTTCCTTCGAAGAACAGATACCAGGAGATGGTGTTTGGGCAGGGGGATGGAGGAAGGAGGGAGAGAGGAGAGGGAGGAGGGGACGAAGAGGAAGAGGAAGAAGACGACAAAGAGGAGAAGAGGAGGAGGAAGAGGAAGAAGAGAAGGGGAGGAGGAAGAGGAGGAAAGAGCAGGAAAAGGAGGAGGAGGAGGAAGGGGAGAAGGAGGAGGGGAGGAGAGGGAGGAGGCGTAGGCAGCCAGCTGTCAGAGCTGCTTATTTTATTTTTCTTGCTCCTGGAGCAGGCTGGCAGAGCAGTCCCCGATAGCAGCAGGAATGAAGAACATGGGCCGAAGGAGGAGATAATTTAGGCCTGTTTCCCTGGCTGATTCCGCTGTGCCTCCTTCTATCTCTCTGCCTCTGATTCTCTCCTCCTCTGTCTCTCTCATGGTCTCTGAAGGAGATGAATTCCAGGTGACTCTCCGGGCTCCACTGTGCTTCCTGGGAGCTGCGCGCTGGGGGTGATGTTTGTCCCTTCTCACTGTAGACTGAGCTTGGGATTTCTCAGCCCCCAGTTACTTAGATGTGGCTTTGGTCCTCTTTGGGGCCCTAGGGTGGGTGGGGAGCCCACATTTTCTCTCTCCCCCATTCTTCTAGAGCCCAGCCAGCCTCCATGGGCCACCAACTACATCCTCCATGGAGAATCTTCAAAGCTCTAGAGCCCCTATTCCCAAACCATTTCCTGTCTTTTTTATTACATGGACTTACTCCAAAAAGGAGCGAAAGAACTTGTACATGTTTCCATTCTGATCAGTTCTTTCTGGATTTTCCGGGCATTTTTGTTACCAGGTGTCTGAAAGATCCTGAGTGCTATGAACTGGCTTTCACATCTGCGACCTGCTGTAGCCCTCCCACAACACTGGGCCCAGGGGTGTTGATTTTCTTTTACAAATGGGGCAACTAAGGCATGTTAACAGCTGAGCCTAGGTTTGAACCTGGTTCCCCCTGTGCTGGTGCAGAGCTGTTTCCCCTGGGATATATGTCTCCAGTGTCACTGCCCTTCCACTGGGTTTCCTGCTTTTACCTAACATCGACTCACACGGTCATTTTCGGGGTGGCAGGGCCTCCTGTCTTGTCGTTTTAATGGCCACATGGCATTCCATCATGTTGATGGATCATTTTGTTTGGTCACTCCCTCATCGTTGGATATGTGTGAGGTGTCTAATTTCTTGCTATAATAAATGCAACTGCTGTATTTTGTTCAAATTACTGTTGTTATCTTCATCCCCTGTATGTTCCACGAGTACGTTCAGGAATGGAAACCAGGACTCTTTGTCTCAACAGGGTCTGGGGTGGTGGTCAGTACCTAGCGTACTGACCCAGAACATGATCAAAGCAGGGATGGGTGGCAGCCACCTCTTGGGGCTGCCTTGGATTCACCTCCAGCCAGAAGAAGCTACAATGCCCCCTTTAGGGGCTGGCACATTGATGCACTGTAAATTCTCCATGTGCACATGTGGCAAAGTCTGGACCCACTTCATTGATACATAACATGGTTTATTTCAATGTTACTCAGAGCCACCACCACCACAAAATCTGGGGGGTGAAAGGACCCGTAGTATAAATCTGCACCAAACATTAGCCAGGGAATTTAATATTAGTCAAATGGCCAATGTTATCATTAACTGGCTTAACACAGAAACTGCTAATGGATTTCTCAAAACAAGTAACAAGGCTTAGAGAATAGACTAAATGTTATAACCATAAAGTTCAGTCTTTAGCCATAGCATCTCTATTTGGTGGAAAGCGTACATTTTATGAACAAAGTGAGTAATTTGGGAAAAAGGATCAAAGACAGGAGGAGACCCTTGTTTCAGTTCCAGTGTAAAGGGAGGTTGGTGGCGCAGGTGGCGAGTGGAGTTAGGAATTCAGATGGCCTTCCGGGGATGTGGGGCTCTAAGAGCTGGCAGAGGAGGGAAGCAGAGGGCCCTGGTCACTGAAGGGATGAGGAAGCAGCAGATCCTCCTGATCCAGGGGGAGGTGAAGGCACAGAGCAGGAAGGGACTCGCCTGGGGTCAGGATTGGATTCCTGTGGAGTTCCAAGCATCTGAGCCAAGCTGCCTCCTGGTTTCGCAAAGCATGGATATTAATAAGGGTGATTAGTAATCATGACGTGTGAATAATAAGGGGATGGTTAATTGTCCTGGTTATGATGAACAGCAGTCACTGGGAGAGGGTGGGGGAGCTGGGACCCCCAACACACACTTACACACACTTGCTCCTATATGAATCGTTCCTGGCTGCTGCTTACAAGGCAGCAGAACCAGCAAGCTAGAAGGGGGTCTGTATTTTTTTAATATAAAACCTAATAAGGCCGAATTTAAAAATTCATTTATAATTTCCTGGCTGGGTGCAGTGGCTCACACCTGTAATTCCGGTGCTTTGGGCAGCTGAGGTGGGAGGATTGCTCGAGCTCAGGAGGTAGAGGTTGCAGTGAGCTATGATAACGCCACTGCACTCCAGCCTAGGCGACAGAGCCAGACCCCATCTCTAAAAAAAAGATAATAATAATAATTTCCTTTTATACCGTTGTGAAAGGACACATTCACAGCAGAAACTCTGGAAAATATACAAATATATAAGGAAGAAAACAGAAACCACTGTAAACATTTTGTAAACACTGTAAACATTTTGTAAACACTGTAAACAATGTATATTGTAAACAAATATACATTGGAGGTGTATATGCTCCAGACTTTTCTTCCATGCATACATAAATATAGGCATAAACAGTATTTATTTATTTATTTTACACAGGGTCTCATTCTGTTACCCAGGCTGGAGTGCAGTGGCAAGATCACGG
This sequence comes from Homo sapiens, assembly GCF_000001405.40. Classification (NCBI taxonomy): domain Eukaryota; kingdom Metazoa; phylum Chordata; class Mammalia; order Primates; family Hominidae; genus Homo; species Homo sapiens. The sequence continues at coordinate 36,636,296 of NC_000017.11, forward strand.
CTCCTTGCAGCCCCAACCTCCCAGGCTCAATCAATCCTCCCACCTCAGCCTCCTGAGTATCTGGGACCACAGACACACACCACCACACCCGGCTGATTCTTTGATTTTTTTGTAGAGATGGTTCTTCCTATGTTGCCCAGGCTGGTCTCAAACTCCTAGGCTCAAGAACTCCTCCCGTCCCGGCCTCCCCAGGTGCTGGGATTACAGGCGTGAGCTGCTGTGTCCGGCCTATGAACTGTATTTGAAACAAAACATAATTAGGATAGTATTCTGCATGGCATTTGGTAACTTGCATTTTTTTTTCTAACTTACAGATACTTCATGTGCTCTTCTCCATGGCACTAAATGGTCTTTGAGAATATGGCTTTTTAATGAGGGGAACATTATTTGGGGCAATGGGGACTCTGTTAGGAAAGAAGTCCATCCTTTCTTGCCTCCCCCAGTTAGGAACGCTGCAAGGTCTTCGGGAAGGTGATGCTGGGGTGGGGCGGGTTACCTGGTGGGTCCTTGTGGTCAGGAAGTGGGGCAGAGAAGGGGGCAGGACTGCTTCAGAACCTGAGCTTGATGGAGGAAAATGTCTACTGAAAACAGTTTTTCCTCATACTCAGCTGAGGGTGGACAGCAGCCAGAATCCTTCACTGGGCATGGTTAGAGCCTGATACCGGTGTTAGTACATGGTCCTAGAAACATCTTTGAAGCCTTCTGAGCCTCAGTTTCCCCATCTGTATGCAGAGGAAGCAGCAACTATCTCTTGCTCACCTCCTGGTGGACTGTCATCAAGGACTGAGATACGAGCCCACGTATGAAGTCAAAAAATACTGAAGATGGAGCTCCCATCAGGTAGAAAGAAATGGGACAGACCTCAGGGTTACAGAAGAGAGGCCAAGAGACCTAGCCTTCCCACTGGCCACCTGTGAGACCCAAGGGAAGCCCTGTCCTCTTGCCCGAGACTTGCATGTAAACTGCAGGGCTGCACTCGGCAATCTCTAAGTATCCTGAGAGCTCCCAGATCTGCACTTCTCTGATAGGCCAAGCTGGGTCTGGCTACAGACGTTCAGGACACCTGGCTAGTGCTGGGGTGAAGGAGGGTCAGTGCTGCTGCTGCCTCAGGGCCCTGTTCTTGGGGAAGGGGTCACAGCTGGAGCCACAGACCCTCTATGTCATGGTTGAGCCACTCTGGAGAGAACATCTTCTGGTTTTGGGGGTGGAGATGGGGGAGTGTGTGTGATTTCATCTTTCCTAAAAATGGGAAAGAAATCACATGACAGGAAAGGATGGTCTAACTTCAAGGGCTTGCCCACCAATACCAGGAAGACTCTGACTGCCTCCTACTAAGCCCACCTTCCCCTATCTCAGCATTGCTAAGCACCCCTCTGCATTCATGGACTGATGGCAGATGGGGCACCGTAGAATCACTGGTACCTACATAGCTGTCACTTTGTCGGCATTCTTATGCCATTTTTTTCTTCCACCCCACCCCTCTTATGCAATTTTTATCCATTCGTTTATTAATCCACTCGATACATGAGAAGTATCCACTGTCTATTTCTCGATACATGAGAAGTATCCACTGTCTATTTCTCGATACATGAGAAGTATCCACTGCCTATTTGACCTACTGGCTCTGTGACCATGGGCAAAGTGCTTCAGTTTCCTGTCTTCAATGTCCTCGTCTGTAAAATGGGTCTATTGTAATGCAACAAGTTAATGAATATTGTTAATGTAACAAGTAAAATGAAATAGTAGGCTGGACATGGTGGCTCACGCCTATAATCCCAGCACTTTGGGAGACCGAGGCGGGTGGATCACCAGGTCAGGAGTTTGCGACCAGCCTGGCTAAGATGGTGAAACCCCGTCTCTACTAAAAATACAAAAATTGGTGGGCTGTGGTGGTGAGCACCTATAATCCCAGCTAATCGGGAGGCTGAGGCAGGAGAATCGCTTGAACCTGGGAGGCAGAGGTTACAGTGAGCCGAGTTCGTGCTGCTGCACTCTAGCCTGGGCGACAGAGCAAGACTCTGTCTCAAAAAAAAAAAAAGAAAGAAAGAAAGAAAGAAATAGTAAGTGTAGGGTGCTTTGAACAATGCTGGAAACATAGTAAGTGCTTGGTATCTATTTGCTCTCATCATCACCACCATCATCATCATTACTGCTACTCCTGCTGTTGTGTGCCAGGCACTGTGGGTAAAGTGAAGGCCGAGACACAGTCCCTGCTTTCAGGGAGTGCATAATCAGCTGCTTTCTCTGGGAGCTCCAAAGAAGGGAGTGCAGTAGAATTTTGACAGGCAGCCCCTCCACTCCATGCCGGCTCCCAGCTGTGGCTCCCCCAAGACGTGACCCCTGCCACCAAGACCCAGGCCAGTGTGTGGCTTCACCCAGTCCTTAAAAAGAACCAGCCCCTCCCCCCAGCTCCCTCTCCATTGCAGCAGCACGAAGGCTGCTTGGAGAGGTGACAAAAAATTAAAATTAAAGCTAAATTAAAAAGAAGATTCCCATTTCCTCTCCCCATCGCACTTTCCACCTTAATTTTATCGCATCTTCCTTCTCATTTTATTGACTTTTAGAAGCATTGCCACAAGATTTAGTGTGGAGCAGGAGGGGAGGTAATAAATGTGGTGCTCCTCTTGCCTCCAATTAATTCTTCCAGGGGGCGGGGGTAGGTAGAGAAGAGGTGGCTGCCCCTGGATGTGAAGCCCCAGGAAGAGGGATGCTTTAAGACCTCAGAGGTGGGGGAGATACCTCATGGTGGAAGTGATGCTAGCTTTGGTTTTTGTCCCTTCCCTGGACTCGTTTCCTGATGGCCGAGAGAAAGAGAATCAGTCCCAACCATGCTAATCAGGCCAGAAAACAGAAATCAGAATTCACACTCTCCCTGATCTAGCTTTAAAAATAACTCCAGAAATCCCTCCTCCCAAACTCCACCCATATTTCTTGGGATGAAGATTCCCCACCCGCCAAACAGATCTTTACTTAATTTTATTTTATTTCATGCACTCTTGGTACAAGGCATTTTTTCTTTCCCCCATCCTCCCTTCTTTCTTCCTCTATTTTTTTTTGCTTCTCCCACCGCCGCCCCCATCTCTAATATCATTTTCACCCGCCCACAGAGACCCTATGTGTTTGTAATTTTCTTCTGACCCTAATGGCTCTGGTTTCCCCTCAGTATTTAAGCGGAACAAGACAGAGGTAAGTGGCAAATAAACAGCAGTTCCTATTTATGCTGCCAATTTCGGTTGATGTTGGAAAGTCTGCCTTTAAATTAACTCTGCTGCTGTCTGATGCAGAGGAATGTCTGCCAGGCACGGAGAGCAGCCGGCTCCCTGCTGCCCAGTGCAGCCCCTCACCCTATTACCTGCCCGGGTTAGCTGGAGGATTGGGTGGTGGGTGGGTGTGGAGAGCTGGTGCCCAAAGTGGTTTATTTTTTTTAAACAGGCCACTCCCCTCTTCTTGGCTTTGGCCTTTCACCTCCATAGGCCAGTGGTTCTCCAAGTGTGGTTCCCTGGCCAGCAGCATCAGGGACATGTTAAACATGCAAATTCTCTAGCCACCCCAGACCTACTGAATCAGAAACTCTGGGGGTGGAATCCACCCATTGTGTTTTTTAAAAACAACTTTATAGAGGTATAATTTACATATCATAAAATTCACCCGTTTTAAGCATACTAGTCAATGGTTTTTAGTAAAGGTATTGAATTGTGCAACTGTTGCCACAACCCGGTTCTAGAACATTTCTGTCATCCCAATAAGATCCCAGGGGTCAGTTTACAGTCAGTCCCCTCCCCGTCCCCTAGCCCTAGGCAACCACCAATCTACTTTCTGTCTCTATAGATTTGCCTTTTCTGGATGATCTTTTGGGTCTGGCTTCTTTCACTTAGAATAAAGTTTTGTTAACAGCTTTATTGAGATGTAATTCATATACCATACGATTCACCCATGTAACATGCACAATTCAACGGCTTTTATATTCACAGAGTTGTGTGGCCATCATCACAACCAATTTTAGAACACTGTCAAAAGAAACCCTGTACCTCTTAGCTGTTCTTTCCAAACTCCCCTAGCCCCCTCAGTCGTAGGCAATCACAAATCTACTTTCTTTTTCTACAGATTCTGGGCATTTCATATAAATGAGAAATCATATAACATGCAGTCTTTGGTGACTGGCTCCTTTCACTTAGCAAAATTTCAAGGTTCATCCATGTTGTAACAATACATCATCAGTTCAGTCCTTTTTGCTGCTGAATAGTATTCCACTGTATGGATGTGCCACATTTTGCTTATCTATTCACCCCAAAGTTGTGGACTTTGGGGTTGCTCCCACTTTTTGGCTATCATGAATAATGCTGCTCTGAAAATTCTGTGCAAGTCTTAGCAGGAACATAAGAAATCTGTATTTTTCTTTCTTTTCTTTTCTTTTTTTTTTTTTTGAGACAGTCTTGCTTTGTCGCCCAGACTGGACTGCAGTGGCACGATCTTGGCTCACTGCAACCTCCATCTCCTGGGTTCAAGCAGTTCTACCTCAGGCTCCTGAGTAGCTGGGATTACAGGGGCCCGACACCATGCCCGGCTAATTTTGCATTTTTAGTAGAGACAGGGTTTCACCAGGGTTGACCAGGCTGGTCTTGAACTTCTGACCTCAGGTCTGGTGCTTCCCGGCGTCATTCCCATCTTCCTGAAGAGCCACCCTGGCCTCGCCACCTCAGTCAGTCAAATCACTTGTGCAAAGGCTCCTTCCCCTGGGCTCTGGACTCCGTAGGAATCCATCCCATTAACAGCTCCCCAGATAAACCCAGTTTGAGACAGTTCCTTAAGCTCTGGGTACTCAGTTTTCCAGACTGGTGAAGGCTGTGAGAATGCTGACCCTCAGGGATGCGCGGGGGGCGGAGGGCGAGGGGGCTTCCCTGGCTGGTGCTCTCATTCCAGGCAGGCAGAGGTTAGGGAAGCGTATCTTCCCTAACCTCTGTCTGCCCCATTTTCCACTAAAGTTATTTTGGGCTCCCAGTAGGTCGCTGGGTGGACTTTACCTCCCACTTCGACATCCTGCCCTGTCACCTGGCTCTTCTCCTTGGCTCGGCCTGCCTTCCCCTCTGGAACCCGCCGCCTCCACAGCGCGCCTCCAACACCGCTGTCTCTGCCCCGCGCCCCAGAGCGCTCCCAGCTTTCTTTCCTACCCTTCCCATGAGTGGAGCCGGGCCTGGGGCGCCTTAGGCGGTGACGATCTGCAGAAGTCTTTGAGAATGCAAGATCTTTTGGAGCCTTCGGTCCGCCAGGGCCGGGTCCAGTCAGGACGCCCCGCTCAGACCCCTTCCCAGCCTGGGGTGGGCCCAGGCCCGTCTGCCCCCACTGCCTTGTGTTCCAGGAGCCCCCGCTCGGAGCCCAGACCCGGTGCCCGAAGATGAGAGTGCCGCTTCTCTCCGTCGGGTGAGAAGCCAGCCCACGTCCCGCCGGCCAGGCACGGTGTCTCTCGGGGCGCCCCACGGGAACCCCTGTGCCTCCATCGGCGCCCTCGGCGGCGGGGCAGTCTTGGCGCTCTCCCCTCGCCCCTGGCCCAGGCCCGGCTCGCGGGTGTAGCTCTTCCTAGGGCCCCCTCCCCTTTCCGGGCCGCGCGTCCGCCCCGCATCGCGGCGGCTCCTCGGCAGTGTTTGTTTTTATTGGACGCACAGTGACCGTGACGGGCACGGGGCGCGAGCTCTCATCACCACAATGGGTGTGCATGGCGCGGGGCGGGGGGCGCTGCCGGCCTCGAGCGAGGGAGGGGAGAGGAGGGGGTGCGCCCGTGCCCTGCCCGCCCCGAGTTCCCGAGTCCGCGCCCCACCACCGCAGCGAGCCGCCCTTCTGGGCCGCTCCTCTGTTTTCCTTTCCCATCCGTTCCCTTTGCCTCGGCTGCTCGGAGACATGTCTGGTGGCGATCGGGGACCCAGAGCCCGGCAGCCGCTCCTGTCCCTGTCCCTGCGATCCCTGTCCCTTCCCTTTGTCTCCCCGCGCAGCGCTCTCCGCCGCGGAAACTTCGCGTGACACAAACTCCTGGGGTGACAGCGGAAAGGGGAGCGTGTACCTTGTGAATTAAGAGATTTAGTCACTTGTGGAATGACTTTATTTTATAGCGACTTCCTCCCCGACTGAGTGATGTTGCATGCATTGGTTGTATTTATAACTTAATAGCTTTTCTCAATTTTATTATACTTTTTATGATACTTGTGGCTTTATGGGACTTCATAATTTTTCTCAGATTCATTAAATTCAGCTGAGGGTGGAGCTCATGACGGGAGCAGATACCCGACTCCAGGATGGCAGGGGGAGCAGGCGGGGTGCCACTCTCTCCACCCTCTGCCCCTCCTCAGTTACTGGGCGTTTTAATGACTGCTGGTGGCTGTGGTAGTGGTGGCGGCGGTGGTGGAGGCGGAGGCACGGTGTCTCTCGGGTGATCTTGGCTTAGTTTTCTCATCTGGGATGTGGGATTTGCAGGGAAACCTGCCTCAGAGATTCCTGGCTGTTTCTCAGGCAGCGGCCCACTTTTGGTGACAGACTGTGTCTGATCTAGGCTTGTCCCCAGTTCCCTCGCTGCCCTTCCTCTCTGGTTCTTTCCAACACTAACTCCTAGAATCAGAAACGCTTCCAGATGTCCCAGTCCAGCCTCCTCACTCCACAGATGGGAAGACCTAGGCTCAGAGAGGTGCCACTCCAGAATCAGGGGCAGGCAGACCGCTTCACTCCACTGCTCTCTGCTGTCTCCAGGCAATGGCCGCAGACTCTAGCTTTGCCCTCAGCTTCCTTCCTGCCTCCAAATTTAATGTCCTGTTATGGTCTCAGAGGGAAGAGTATCATCATCATAATAGTTAATATTGATAGAACACACACAATTATGTTCTTTAATCTTCACAACAGCCCTGCCAGAGTAGCTACTAGTGTTTACCATTCTACAGATGAGGCAGCAGAGGCACAAACAGATGAAACCATTTGCAGAATAAGTGGCAGTGCTGGGGTGGAGAGACTCAAGGCTACTGTACTCTGTGGTGACCTCATCTGTGGTACTCTGCGACCACAGTCACAGCTAAGCGGATTATTTGCACATTTTCCTGATGACTTCTCTCTCTCAGAATTCTTTTTTTGTTGGAAGGAGGTGGGTGGGAAGAGCAAATAGTCCAGAGGATAAATTAACAGAGCAGGGGCTCTTAATTCCAGAGCTGTGATCTTGGTTGACAGAGTGGGAGAAGGCAGAAGGGGATGTGGGTCAGCTGTGGGTGGAGAGGATGGTGGGGGCACTGGCACGAGTGTCTCTGCTGCCCTCAGGCTTTCTGGCATCCAGGATGGTAGTGATTACTGATAGATGGCAACTTTAATCAAGTGCCAACCCCTGCCCTGCTCAGAGCCTTCCAGGGGCTTGTAGACCTCTTTTATTTCTGAGACTCTAATACATTTAAAAATGAAGAGATACCAGGCAGGGTTGCAAAAGTGTCATCTGATTTGCATTCCACAAGTTAACACTTTTAACTCAACAATAGACGATGCATATAGTTGTACCACTCACAGGATCATTTCAAGGCTTAAAAGATGGTGAATGTAAGGTAAGTTCCAGGGCAGCAGGTGTACTCATCCCCTGTCTTGGTCCCTGCTGTAGCTCCCGCATCTAGAGCAGTGCTTGGCACGCAGGAGGTGCCCCATCATCTTGGCTGCTGCTCTGATGAGTGAATGATGCACTCTAGCATGGGCTGAGAGACTCCAGCTTAAACCTATGGGAGAAACACCTTCTTTCAACCCTGTTGGGGTATCCCTGTGGCTGTCAACAGACCCCATTTGGAGATTATGGTAAAAGGATAAATTGGGGCCTTTGGTGGCTTTGAGGCCGGAGTGCTGTGGCCAGCCTGCCCCCTCCCCCCTAGCCCTTGTCCCACACAGGCCTTGTTGCTCCCCTTGCCAGCCCTTCTCAGGGTTTGCCTCTCTAAGGGAGTCTTCCTGGGCCAACCTTGACAAATCCATAACCCCCTGATCCTGTTACTTAAAGGATCAGTCTCAATCAGAGGTTCCTGGACCCTTGCACTGCAGACCCTCATGCGGGAGGGGGCCCTGGAATTCTTGCATGGAGGTCTTTCGACCACTAGGTCTGCCTAACTATACTTGGAGACCAACAGAAGCCCTGTCGTGTTGATGTCTGTGTTTTTATTTTTATTTTTTCCAAGACTATTGTGAAGAGTAAATTAAAATTCTTTAAAAGTGTTCCTGGATTTATTGTAGCTTTGGGTCATCAGGCATTTCCTCAATCAACAGATGTTAGAAGTACAACCACTAGTGTGCAGGTGACTGCATGTGGCTGGTGGGGTAGTGAGTAACTTTTGGATGCTAAAAAGGATCTTTGGAATCTGGAGAGTTGGACACTCCTGCTTAGAGGATGCTGTCTTCGTGTGTTCACAACTGCCAGGTTAACTACTCACATGGTGTGGTGATGGTATGTTGTATATGTGATCAGAAAGTATACTCAGTCTCTCAGATGAGACTGCAGGAAGGCAGTGGTGGAAAGGGTGTGGAGTCAGGGGGCCTAGGTTCGAACCCTTGCTCTACTTGTGAACTAGAGAGACATCTTGCGCCAAACCATGACCTCTTTTAAGTCTTAGTTTCCTCACCTATAAAATAGGTGAAGTAAAACCATCTCTGTCAAGGGGTGATGATGACCAGGAAAAAGCTTGTTAATTAGCGAATGCCAAATCAGTTGTCACAATGGTAAGCATCAGCCATCAAATTCTTTACGTACATGCAGTGGGCTCTCTGCAAGTCAACTGGCCCAGCCCATCAGAAAATGTAACAGTCCCTGCTGGCTCCTACCTTGCCTGGCTCCCCAGCCTGAATGGGAGCTGTGCCCCATGCTTACTCTGCTCGGAGCCTCCATTATGGGCCTTGAGTGCAGGACCCTCAAGATGCATTTGTAATTTTTATTGTTATATCTTTTAATTTTATTTCGCTCTCTCCGCTGTCTTGAGCAGGGGAGATAGGGAGCTGGTATTTATTGCTGTTGCTGCGACCTACCTCTTGGAACGTATGTATCAGTTAATTTAATCTCCTCTCGTTTTATTTAAACTGTTTTTCCTGATTCACTCTCTTCACTTCTCCATCCAGAGCCCCTCCTCCTCCATTTCCCCCCACCTTTGCCCCCTCCCCTCTGGTCCTACCCTCCTTTCTGTGTCTGCTTTGGGCTCCGTCCCTTTCCTCCTCCTTCTCCCCCTTCCTCCCCATCTTTCCTCTTAGTCCTCCTCCTCCCTCCCTCCTCCCACTCTCTCCTCCCTCCTCCCTGGCCTCTGGCCTGGGCCTTTCCATTCCTGGGTTAAGGGAGGATAAAGGGGCCTCTTGCACTGAGGTTGCTACAGTATTTTCCTGGCTTCCACTCCCCCCTCTTCTCTCTCTCCCTCTCTCTCTCTGCCCCGTTGCCTGATTGACATTTACAAATTACCCAGCTGAAAGTGTTCAATCCCTGACCCGCCTGTTTCTGTTCAGCAATGAGTGAGATTTGCAAGCATTTTGTCATATAATTACTGCAAATCCCTTGAAAATTTCCACAACAAGGCTAGGTGAATGGTAATTTGGGGGCCTCCAGCCCCCAATCACCTCGACAAAAGAAATCTGAGGCCAGAAATGCAAACCAGCCCCCGATCCTTGGTATTTATTTATTTATTTATTTGGAGGGTCAGGAGGGGCTCATTGGTCGTTTTGTTTATTTCCCCTAGAGATTTCTGAGGAAAACTTGAATGGTGCAGACACATACTTCTCCACTTCCTCCTTGTACGCATGCTGTAAAATATTTGGATTGGGAGATTTATTTGCCTTACACGAGTGTATTTGTGCTGATTTTATTGTATTGACTGGGTGCATTTTTTCTGCGTTCTACTACAGTTTTATTGTGTGCCAGTCGTGGGCATACATCACCCACATTGTTTTCCGCAAAAATTATGCCCCATTTCACTGTGTCTTGATAGGACTTACTGCATTAGTACCTGAGTGCGGAGATTTGCTGCTGCTGTAGCTACCCTGCCACCTGGGGCCGCTCCATCTGGGCAGCACCAGGCACACTGGGCCACAGACACGGATACCTGGGTTTCCGTGGCCACCCCTGTGTCCCCTAATGTCTGGTAGTCTTGGCCCATAGACCTGGGGAGGGGGATGGACATGGTGGAGGGGACTGCAGTTGGCCATAGGGTCAGTGGTCCTGGGGAAGAGGGTGGAAGAGGGCACAGCTGAGCAGTGGGTTGAGGAGGACATGGGGATCTGTTAATGTGTCTGCTTCCTGCCAGCATGTGAGGACGTCTCTACCCACAGGGATTCATTCCTGAGAAGCAGGCATGGGCCTTTCACAGTCTCTCTTAGGGACTTATAACTATGATGGAAACCATGAATTTCACACTTACCATGGGCAGGGGGTGTGGTGGATAGCACGGTTGTTCTCCCCATTTTACAGATGGGGAAATGGCAGCATGGAGAGACTTGGCCACTTGCCCTGGGTCACATCTTTAGGGAGGGGCAGGTGGGGATTGAAGTCCATGCTCCCCCGACCCCAGAACCTGCTTTTTTCACCCCCTCAGGAAGAATAGGAGAAAGGAGGCAGGTAGCGAGGATGGTGATTTAAGGCAGAAGAGTTTAAAGCTGGAAAGGGTCTTAGAAACCATCTCACTCACCTCCCTGAAAGATGGGGAAACTGAAGCCCCGGGGAGGTCAGCAATTTGCCCAAAGCCAAGCAGACTATGGGTGGTCAACTGAGCGAGCCTTATTTTCCTTCTTCTCCTGGGGCCATTTACAGGGTTGGGGTCTGGCTTTTGGGTATCTGTCTGGCTTATGTGGCTACTCCCTGGTGTAAGTTTCTGTGAATGTGTGTGTGATGTTGTGTGTGTAAGAGTGTGTGTACGTGTGCATGTCAGGCAGAGTGTAGCACTGTGAGGGTGCCATGGCTGATTTGGTGGATGAGATGGATTGCCTGATGCAGGCCTGGGTCCCCGCTGCCCCTGAAGGTGGCAGTGAACTTGGCCTGTGGTCACCCCTCCAGGTTCTCTTGTCTGGTGGTTCCTGAAGTCGCCTTTCCTGTGACCACGTTTTATGGGGGGCTGGAAGATAGGTTTGGGACTGACCTGTTCCCAGGACTTCCCGAGTGACCCTCCCATGTATAGCCATTTGTCCCGGGTGATCAGTGAGTGCACGGGAAATGCAGTGGATTGATTTAAACATCTCAGCCCTTCCCCCTTTCCATATACTTTTTTATTTTTTAAGTCAAAGCTTATATAATTAAATTAAAGAAAATGTGTCTAATAATAAACTGTATTTCCTCATGGTAAAGTCCCATTTTTGAAGCAAGGTTGTAATATCATATGTAGAAATGTTTTCCCTTGGGTATTAGCTGTCTCTTCCAGTTAATTGTTTCTATCATCACATCAGGAGCTTGTAAGGAAGGGGTGGGGAGGGGGCTGCGGTCCTGCCTCCTGCCTCAGCAGTGCCACCTCCAGGAGGATCCTCCAGAAGGAAGCTGCTCAGCATCAGAGGCTGGGCTTGTTTGAGGGTGTGGGGTCAGTCCCAGGCCCACGTGGCTCAGCTGCCTCGTGAGGGCAGCTCTGAACACAGACACCCCTGCAGGTGTGGCCAGGGAGGCCTCTGCTCCTTAACCAGCCCCACAGGCAGTAGCATGTGCCTGCCCTTTGGCACACACGTGCCTATGTGTGTGACCCACCCCCATGTGCACAGATGTGCTTGCACACACAGACATCACAAACCTGTAGGTGGACAAACTACCACATGCAGACACTACCTCACTTGTGTGCACAAATGCATGCAGACTTGTGCACACTGTAGGCACACTGCTGCACATGGGGTGTCGCAAGCTGATTTTTTTTTTTTTTTGAGACAGAGTCTTGCTCTGTTGCCCAGGCTGGAGTGTAGTGGCGTGATCTCAGCTCACCACAACCTCCACCTCCCAGGCTCAAGCCATCCTCCCACCTCAGCCCCCTGAGTAGCAGGGGCACGCCACCGCACTAGCTAATTTTTGTATTTTTTGTAGAGATGGGGGTTCACCATGTTGCCCAGGCTGGTCTTGAACTCCTGGGCTCAAGAAATCTTCCCTCAGCCTCCCAAGGTGCTGGGATTACAGGCGTGAGCTACCGAGCCCAGCCACAAACTGATTTTATATTTGTATAAATACCACTCTTTCCCTCCAATTGAAGTCAGCCTATGGCTTCAGAGTCAAGAGCCCAGGTTCCAGCTTTCTCCCAGTGTTAATCTGTGTGAGCTGAGGCAACTCCACACCCTCTCTAGGCTGTGGGTCTCTCTCGTGGTAGAAGCTCTGATGGCCTCAAGTCTCTCTGAGTTCTACCTTCCCTTCTCGCGGTTATGGTCTTCTCACTCAGGGTTTCTTAGAAGGAGGCACGAAGGGGATCTCTCCTTCTTCCTGACCTCTAGCCCCTGCTTTGTCTCCTGGCACTCAAGGTCCCCACGCTTCCTCTAACCACTTTCGGTCCAGAGGCCTTTCTTCACAATGCTAAGGTCCTGCAGTGTCCAGAGGCCATCGCAGTTCAGGCCACAAATATGGGAAGCAGGCAGCGGTGAGCCGGTCATGGCTCTGCCCTCTTCTCAGCAAGCCTGGAATTTGGGTTTGCATGGAAAGCTTTAAGGAGTCTTCTGGGTAACCCCTGCAAATCCCAGACACCCTCTCCCTGCAGATCTCCATAGGCAATGGCAAAGATGGCTCATCCCAGCCAAACTGGAACCATAAAGGTATGAGATCAGTAAAGGCCCAAGGGGCTGGCTGAAGGAGAGGAGCAGGAAGGAGGAGATGAGTGGCTGCCGAGGTGGCAGGGCCAGTAGGAATGCTGGCATTCTTTTTTTTTTTAGATGGAATCTCACTCTGTTGCACAGGCTGGAGTGCAGTAGGAAGATCTCAGCTCACTGCAACCTCCGCCTCCGGGGTTCAAGCAAGTCTCCTGCCTCAGCCTCCCGAGTAGCTGGGATTACAGGTGCCCACCACCAGGCCCAGCTAATTTTTGTATTTTTAGTAGAGACAGGGTTTCACCATGTTGCCCAGGCTGGTTTCGGACTCCTGATCTCAAGAGATCCACCCACCCTGGCCTCCCAAACTGCTGGGATTACAGGCGTGAGCCACTGCACCCAGCCAGAATGCTGGCATTCTTAACCCCAAGACCATCTGTCCCCGAGGACAAGGCTCCTGACTCAGTTTCCCCTGACAAAGCCAGAAATGGAAGTAGAAAGTTTTGAGACAGGTGTTTGTATTTGTGTCCTAGATGGATTTTCACAACATCTCATTCTTCACTCCCCCTAAATGAACACCCTCAATGGTGGGGGTTGGGAAGAAGGGGGAGAAGGGTGGTAACCAGGGGCAACCCTCCTTTCTCTCCCTCATCCCGAGTTAATGCCACTGAAGAGCTCTCCAGGGCCAGCGAATCACCCACATAATTATCCCTGGAGGTAATGGGCTTGGAGAGGTGGTGGGGGGCACTGAGGGGCAGAGGGGAGCTCAGGCCGAGGGATTTGTTGAGGAAGAGGAACAGAGGGATCTCCCCCACTGTGGGAGGTGGGCTGGGACAGAATGTGGGCGCTGGGCAGGTGTGGGTCTCAGCTGTCAACCCCGCATCCCAGTCTGCTTTTCCCACAGTGACATTGGAAGTCTGACCTGGGGGCTGGGGGAGGGGAAGGAGGGGATTATGTGTGGCAGTTTTTCCTGGCTTGGAGTCTGATTTCTCTCAAGAATCCAACCTGAAGGCCAGTTTGTCTTCTATTGTCTGGTTTGAAACTTGGTTGTGTGCGTGTGTGTGTGTGTGTGTGTGTGTGTGTGTGTGTGTGTCTCACGGGTTTTCTAGTTTGGGGAGAGGTAGGTCAAAACCAGGTACCCGACTTCAGGTTCTTCTCCCTCTTCTAACTTCAGTTCTTTCCTTGGAGGAGGGCATGTGGAGGAGGGGTGTCATGTCAGACACCCCCACTTCCTAGACACAGGAGGGAAACTGCTACCGCGGCTTACAGCTGCCAGCTCACCCCACAACACATTTCTACACAGAGTCTGGAGAGAGAGTGAGTGTGTGTGTGAGAGACAGACAGATGCACACAGGCAGAGACAGGTAGCGAGGGGTTAAGCTGGAGGGGGCTTTGCAGAGAGTGGGGAGGGGGCGATCTTTGAGGATAAAGCTAACTTCCAGGAGCAGAATCCCAGATTACAAGGCAAGCCAGGGAGCGGGGTCCAATGGCTGGTCTACGTCATCAGTGTCTAGATGCTTCTCTGCCTCCTCCTGCCAACCCATCGCAGCTCCAGCACAAATTTGCATTTAAATAGAGATTTTTTTTTTTTAATGAGAAGGACCCAAGGGAGCCCCTAGACTATTAAGTTTCCTTCTGGGGGCTGTGCAGAGCCTTCTTCATTTGCCCCTCCACTCCAGCCTCCACCCTTCCTCCCCCAACTGTCATATTATTCTGCAGCCATATATTCTGAGGGCCAGATGAGGCCCTGGCTCTGACAATCTGGGGGCACTTGTGGGGACAATGGGGTCAGTGCTCCTGGGAAGACTGAGAATGTGCAGCTCTCGACCCTCTTTGTCTGCTGCGCCCAAGCACCCCACCTTCAACTCCTTTAGGCCTGGACTGTCGGTCTTGTTGCCGGCTCCGGGCTGCAGGCGATAGCGGCGGAATCCGTGTTATCTCATCACATTGGGCAGTGTGTTAAGAGGCAGGAGACCCTATTTGAGTCTTGGCTCTGCTTTCCCAAGGCTGTGTAACCTTGGGCAAGTCGCTCAACCTCCCTGAGCCACAACTGTCCCATCTGTGGAATGGGGGTAATGATAGAATCTTCCCCATAGGTGGGTGTGAGGTTGAATGAGATAATGTGGCATGGTGCTTAGCAGAGTGCCTGGCACACTGTATGCCCTCGATAACCAAATTGAGAAGATTGGATAGAGCGAGATTTCAAGAAAAGCGTCTGATGCTGTAGTGGAAAGAGCAGGATCTGTAGTCAAGAGCCCGGGTTTATTTTCCTGCAGCCTTAGTTATGAGCCATGAGGCTTTCCCATCTATGGCCTGAACTTTCCTCCTCTGTCAATTGGAGATTCTGAGTTAAAACTCACCTCAAAGGGTTTTTGTGAGCATCAAATGATACAGCCAGGGCTCAGGGTCCCTAGCGCACAATTGGTGTTCAGAAAATGTTAGTTCTTCTCTCCTTCTTCTCCCACAGGGTGGGCGGGGCAGAAAAATGTCCCAGGGGCTTGGAGAATGTTTGGGAGGAATGGGGCCAGGGAAGGTGCCCAGGGATTTGCAGCTCAATGGGAGAAGGTATGGGTTGGTCCTAGGACCCTAAGCCCGGATGAGTGGGGACATGACATTGTGTGTGTTGGGGAGGTCACAGGAAATGAGGGTGTCAGCACACCCATGGCTGATGGCTAAGGAGCCTGGGAGGGAAATTGAAGGAGAAAAGGTCAGCTCAGGTGGTCCCCCTACCTACCTCTCCCCCAGCTCCTCATCACTGGTTCTAGGAGAAGGAAATGAGACGTGACAGGTCCCTGGCCACCTGGGATAGGCTGAGAATGGAGACAGGATGGGCATAGGAGGTGCGTGTGTGTGTGTGTGTGTGTGTGTGTGTGTGTGAGAGAGAGAGAGAGAGAGAGAGAAGGAGGAAAGTAGGGAGGAAAGGAGAGAGACCTGTTATTCCTGATTCGCCTGTCCCACCACCCCCTGCCCTGGGACCCAGATTAGTCCTGGCATCTCAACTAGCAGAGTGACAGTGACAAGTTCTTTCTATGGTTTAATTTCCCTCTCCCTCCTCTTTCAAATCTTTCTCTCCTTTCCCTTTCTCTTTTTTCTCTCCCTCTTTTTTCTCTTCTTCCTTCTCTTCTGTTTTAGTTTCTACTTCCTTTCCTCTGTTTCTTTTCCCTTTTTTTTTTTGAGACAGGGTCTTGCTCTGTTGCCCAGGCTGGAGTGTGGTGGCACGATGTCGGCTTATTGCAGCCTTGATCTCCCGGGCTCAAGTGATTCTCCCACCTCAGCCTCCCGAGTAGCTGGGACTACAGGTGCATACCACCATGCCTGGCTAATTTTTAAATTTTTTGTAGAGACAGTGTTTTGCTACATTACCCAGGCTGCTCTTGAATTTCTGCGATCCTCCCACTTTGACCTCCCAAAGTACTGAGATTACAGGTATGAGCCACTGCACTGGGCCTTATTTATGATTTTATTTTATTTTATTTTATTTTATTTTATTTTTTTATTTTATTTTATTTTATTTTATTTTATTTATTTTATTTTATTTTATTTTCTGAGACAGAGTCTTGCTCTGTCGCCCAGGCTGGAGTGTAGTGGTGCCATTTCAGCTCACTGCATCCTCCACCTTCTGGGTTCAAGCAATTCTCCTGCCTCAGCCTCCTGGGTAGCTAGGATTACAGGGGTTAGCCCAGCTAATTTTTGTATTTTTAGTAGAGATGGGGTTTCACCATGTTGGCCAGACTGGTCTCTAACTCCTGACCTCGTGATCCGCCTGCCTCCACCTTCCAAAGTGCTGAGATTGCAGGCATGAGTCACCATGCCCTGCCCTCTTTTTTTATTTTTAAGGAAATAATGTCTTACAGACAGACTTCAAGAGCCTCCCCCAACCGGCCCCCAGGGCCTAGCTAGCTCTTAAGGCACCTGTGTGAGAATTAGGCACCTACTGGAAGGACCTTGCCCTGTGGGTACAGGGTGTGGCTGGTTGATGGTGCTTTCTATGAACAATTAAAGGCATCTTTCCTTCTGATGGGGAAGCCTCATACCAGGGCACGAGTTAGTTGGTGGAGCAAAGGGTGGATTTAGCCCTTGCTTTCCTCCTTGTGCAGTGAGCAACCTGCACACCCATATAGGGCAGTCCTCCACCCCTTTTCCCTCTTCTTCCTCCCACTGAGGGGCCATTCTATACTGATGCTGTTGTGTATCCCTCACATCTACATGTGTATATTTCCCCCTTTTCTCCCTTCCCTTTTCAATTCCTTTTCCTTCTTTCTCCTCCTGTTCCCAGCACTCACTGTGACAAGTCTTACACACCAGTCTCTTTGCATGCCTTTGTATGTCTTTGTGTAGCAGCCTTAGTATGTGTGTACATTATTATTGCTACATGGGATGGGTGTTCTCGTGGCATTCTTTCAGGGATTGACACA
The DNA here is from genome assembly GCF_000001405.40 of Homo sapiens. Taxonomy (NCBI): domain Eukaryota; kingdom Metazoa; phylum Chordata; class Mammalia; order Primates; family Hominidae; genus Homo; species Homo sapiens. The sequence continues at coordinate 36,653,437 of NC_000017.11, forward strand.
TCATAGGTGCTCAAGATGGTGTGACTGGGTTGTGTGTCTATGTGTGTCTCTCTGTGCGTCTTGGCTCTCTGGCACTCCCCAGCCATTCCTTCCCCAGAGCTTAGAAGGGAGAGGGAATTAGAAGGGAATCCCACAGGGCTGAGGGCTTATCTCCTCCAGTCTCCTCTCAGCCTCTTCCTGGTCCATAGCTCTTTCACCATGATACTCAATCTTCCATGGAGACCCTGAAGAGGGCCCTGCCCTGCCCCATTGGCCTTGAGGTGGGGCCCCCTCTGCTTCCCTCCCCAGGCCTCCTAAGGCCTCCAAGCCAGAGCTGGTAGGAGAGCGGCAGGGGAGGGGGGAGTGGGAGGAGGAGAGGGAGCCCAAGGAAGCTGGGCAGGGGCTGGCGGCCCCTGGGACCCCTTTCTACAAGGACAGAGGCGGCACCAGCTGCTCCACAGAAGAAATATTCCCCAAAGTCAGAGTGGTCGTCTCGTATTTTAAGTGGCCCTTATTTATCACCATCCTCCTGGGCTCCCTATCGCTGCAAATGATGATAAAAGACAGCGGTGAGGGGGGCGCGGGGGCTGCTCCCGGCTGGCCCTGCCGCACCAGGGGAGGCGCAGGCACACAGCAACACACGGGCACAGCGACATGCACGATGACATACACACACAGATGCAGACACAGACACACAGTACCATCCATGACAACAGCTACACACACACACACACAGTGACATGCACACACAGACTTAGCTGCAACAGTGACATGCCCACAAATGCTAACCACAAACATACATGCTGGGTGACACCCAAAGCTGTGAACATACACATAGCCTGATACAGGCGCAGGGACACATTCACTTGCACACACATATACCAATATGCATGTACAGTGATAGACATACACCGGCACACACATGTGACAAACGTGTCACTCACCAAAACAAGCATGCACTCACACGCTCACCCCAGGCACTCACACCTCAGTGTACAATACCCACTCCTCGAGCCCACCGTGCTGATGTATCCACCATCTTCAGTGTGACTCTACGTGTGTCTGCCTCAGATGACCTCTGCATAGAGGCCACTGTCTCTATGTGGCAGCCAGCTCATAAGTGTGTACTCTACTCCATCTACACCTAGCCAAACACATGGATGTGCAAATGCATTCATAGTCCAACCAAAAATAATGAACACCAAACCTCACCTCTCACCATACACAGAAATTAACTCAAGATGTAAAACAATACAACTTCTGGAAGAAAACATGGGGGAAGACTTTTGGGATCTTGAGGTAGGCAGAGATTTCTTGGGTAGAACATAGTCATAGGCTGGAATTGCATATCATTGAGCACAAGCTCTGAAATCAGAAAACATCTCTTTGATTCCTGTCTTATTGTATAACTGGCTGCATTGAACTTAGGTAAGTTACTTACTTTCTCTGAGCTCATATGCCTTCTTGTACAATGAAGGTATAATACTACCTACCTCTCTGGATGCCTGTAAAGTTCAGAGAACTAATGCATGTGAAATAGTCTTTTTTAAAATTTTTATTGTTTTTGAGACAGGGTCTCACTCTGTCACCCAGGCTGGAGTTCAGTGGTGCAATGTCATTGCAACCTCCGCTTCCCAGGCTCAAGCAATTCTCCCACCTCAGCCTCCTGAGTAGCTGGGACTACAGGCATGTGCCACCATGCTCAGCTAATGTTTTAGTTTTATTTATTTATTTATTTATTTGCAGAGATGAGATCTTGTTATATTGCTCAGGCTGGTCTCAAACTCCTGGGCTCATGTGATCCTCCTGCCTTGGCCTCTCAAAGTGCTGGTATTACAGGTGTGAGTAATGGCAACTGGCCTGAAATACCTTTTGAAAGTTGTGATGCACTATATGAAGCTTGGCTAAATAGAAAAAAAGTTTTGTGTATTGTAATTATTCACACACATACTTAGGCATACCTCTTAAATAAGCAGTCCATAACGCACACACCTGCCTGCCTGCTCACTCAGGGGAGCTGGGATTGGGGCTGTCACATTGAACTTCCCCTTATCAAGGGAAGTCTCCCTCCACCCTAATCCCACACCCATTTCCACATCCAGTTGCCAATCAGCCTCCCTCCCCAGCCTCAGCCCATTAGTACAGCTCCCTGGGGGAATCTATTTTTTAAAGGTTATTAGCAGATTATTGGTTCTTTATCAACCTCAGGCCCCAATCTCCAATCTCCCAACGAAGCTATTGTCGCCTAATAAGATGCACTTGATAATCTTGGCATGAAGGTGGTGGAGGGCCTGGTGGGGTGGGGGCAGCTGGAAGGAGGGAAGGGTTAACAGCACCACCCCAGCCCCCACCCTCTCGGTCCTCAAATAGCTGAACTACTGTATGTTGTAGTTTTCAACTGCAAATCATCTTTAATAGCAGACATCACGGGATGGCTCATTACATTAAGCTATTTTTCATGCTATCTCCTGTAATATCCTCTAATCCAATGCGTTTCAAATCACCTCGGGCTAAAATAAGAGACATAGCGATGTAATAGCCTAGTGTATTAGTGGGTTAATTGCCCTGTTGTACTCCTTCTAGTAGCTATCTCTGGAATGACTTCTATATTAATTGTAAATTGCTTAATACATTTAACTCCTTGCCACCGCCCTATCCCCTAGCGAAGGAGGCCACTACCCAGTTGCTTGTGTGTGTGTGTGTGTGTGTGTGTGTGTGTGTGTGTGTGTGTGTGTTTTGTGGGCACTCCTTTCCAACTCTGGTTCCCCTCTGTCTCCTTGGTCCAAGCTGGAAGAGCAGGTTTGGAATATACTTCTCTGTCTAATGAGGGGAAGGGAATGAGACAGGCATTTATTGAACACCTACTATATGCCAGGCCCTGGGCTAGGCCTTTTCACCAAATGCTGTCTCACTGGAGCCTCAAAGACCCTGAGTAGTGGCAGCATTCAACCCAGAGGTCATGCAACTTGTTCAAGGTCACAGAGCTATGATATGATGAAGCTGTGGTTACACCCAGACCCGAGAGCTCCTAAACCACAGTGGCTGAGCGTGGGGCAGGACCCTGGAGCTTTGGACATTAAGTCAGATGCCGTCAGCAGGGTCCTGGGGCAGCTCCTGGTCTGCAGGGGAGAGACACAGCCCTTGAGAGACACAGCCCTTGACCTGTGGGAGTCCCCAGTCTGTTGGGAGAGACACAAGCCTTGCACTAGGGGAGTTCCCAGTCTGTTGAGGGAGCTCCAACCTCTAACCTGGGAAGCCCTAGTCTGATGGGAAGTCAGATCCTCTGCCAAGGGAAGCTCAGCAAATGGGGGACAGAGCTCCTGCTTTGGGAGCACCCACTCTGACGGGAGGGATATGTCTTTGCTCTAGAGAGTCTCTGGTCTGATGAAGAAAACGTCACTTCTGTCCTGGAGGAACCCTCAGTCAGATGAGGGAGACACCGATCCACACAGGGAAAACAGAAATAAGGTGCAAATGAATGACAGGCAGGCAGAGCAAGTGCACAGGGCAGACAGTGAGCTCAGAGCACGAGGGGAGAATCAGCCCTGGCCTGCGTGGGCCTCAGGGCCAGACTGGGGGTCCCTCCCTGTTCGTTGCCTCTCTCTCCCTTCCTAGATGTGTGGTCTCTGAACTTCCCCCGGGCTGCCCCTTTCCCAGTCTGCGGAGGGAAACACCCTGGCCAGGGCAGAGGTAGAGACCTTCTCCTCTTGGTGCTGACAGCCCCAGCCGGCTCCCCCTTTTCCACAGAAGCCTCCAGCGGCCTTGGGACTCTCTTTCCTCCTCTCTGGACAGGTGACAAGTGGGGGTCCCTGGGGGAGAGGAAGGAGAAAGACCAGGAAGGCAGAAGGAGCTGAAGGATGAGCATAGGGCCTGATGAAAGGGTGCCAAAGTCACAAGTCACAAGGGCAGACGAGTGTTTACCTTCTACAAAGTAGCACTTTCCACACACACAGGTACACACACACACACTTGCGCACACACATGCATGCACACACATAGGCGCACGCACACACAGGCACACACACACACTCGCGCACACACATAGGTGCGCACACAGCCGCACACTGCGCACACGCACACACACACGGACACACGCATGCACACACGCACACGCGCGCACACACACGATGCATTCTGCGTACCAGTCATACGGGAGTCACAGGATTGAAATACTCTTGTCCTGCTTTCTCGGGGCACATAGCTGGGCAGAGGGACCCAAGTTCAAAGTTGCCTCACGGAGCCTTCTTCCCTCAGGGGCGGTCCTAACGACCTCAGTCTGCGACAGAAGCGGGCCTTGGAGGCTCTCGGTGAGTCTGGGCCCGGGACTGTGGCCTCCTTACTCCCTGAGTTAAGTCCTTGGGCCAAAAAAAGAGAAAGAAGGAAGAAGAAGGAAAGGGAGGGGAGGGAAGGGACGCGGGGCGGAGGACGCAGCGGGCGGCCTGCGGAGCCGGCCTGGCTCGGGGTGGGGGCTCGGCCGGAGTTCCCGCGGCTGCTCGGCGGCGGCCGGCTCGGGAGCAACCTTGAGCGCGGCCGCGGAGACAGTGATTTAGGTGCCGGCACCGGAGCGTGAAGGTAAATGGCCACATTTCACCGTCGGGAGGTGAGCCGGAGGCGCCCGCCCTGGCCCTTCCCCCAAGGCCCCGGGCCGGTGCGGGCGGGAGTTTTGCTTCCCCTCTCTGACCCGCTCCGAGGCCCGCCTGGGAGGGCGGCGCCCCCACGGTGCAGGACAGGAGGGCTGCGCCGGGCTGCGGGGTGAGCAAGACCCCTAGAGCTGCCTTTCCCGACCCCTTCCTATTTGGGGGGCTGTTTCCCTCACTTCCCCGTCGCCCCGGCCTCCTCCCAAAGCTGCTTCCAGAGGGAAGCTGAGAAGCAAGTGCTTAAAGCCTCTGGCACTTGGGGGCGCCACCTTCTCTCAGGAGAGGGTGGGCGGCGGCACCTCCGGGGTGCTAGTCCACGCGCAGGGAGCTTCCCCAGGTCACCTCCTCTACTCCTCACCAGGGTCCATTGAGGCGGGGCCTGCCTTATCCCCATGGTGCAGATTAGGAGCCGAGGCCCGGGAGCTCGAGGGACCTGCAGAAGGCCACGCGGCTGGAAGGGGTGGAGGAGGCTGGGGACCCAGGCCCCTGAGCCTCCTGTGCTCTATTGCCTCTAAGAGGTTTGGAGTGGGGTGAGGTGGGGGGTGCTTGTGGGTGTGGGAAAGGTTGGCATCTGGCCGACCTCACTACTGTTGTGTGTGGAAGTCCTGGTTATAAAAATAATACAATGGCCAGGCATGGTGGCTTAGGCCTGTAATTCCAGCACTTAGGGAGGCTGAGGCAGGAGGATCGCCTGAGCCCAGGAGGTGGAGGCTGCAGTGAGCCATGATCATGCTACTGCATTCTAGCCTGGGCAACAGAGTGAGGCCCTGTTCTCAAAAAAATAATAATACATGCTCTTCACATTAAAAAAAATCCAGAAATGTGGATGTGATTTGAGAACCCTTTCTCCTTTGGGACAAAGCTTCCTTCCTGAGGCCCTGCCCCTCCTGCCAGGTGCTGAGCCCCTTGACCCCTCCCGTTCTAGGTAAAGCAGATGTGAGTGGAATGCTGAGATGAATTGTTCGATTCATTTCGCTGTGTTGCTGAAGAGAGGAAAAAAGAAAGAGAGCCATACCAGGGCACGCAAACATTGCCTGCGCAGAGGCATAGCATGGCACGATAGCCCCCAGCCCATCATTTTCCAGGCTCCAGCAGGGTGGCAGAACAAGGCAGGGTGGAGGGGCTCAGGGCACAAGGTCCTGGCCATGGAAGTCTCCAGCCAGTGCCAGTCTACACGGAGGCCTGCAGCAGATGGAAGGGAAATCGTTCCCTGGCTCCACTGGGGCATCTTTGGTCATTGTTATTCATAATGGCTGCTTTTTATTGGAAACCTACTACGTGGGTGGCGTACCTCTAATCATGCCAGCAGCCCTATGAAGTATGTATCGTTGTCCCTATTTTATGGATAGGAACACTGAGGTCAGCCCCCTGGCCTAAGACCCCATTGCTGAGAGGTGGTGTAGCTGGGATTGGACCCTGGTTCCACTGACCCTAAAGAGATTCTTCTTCCTGCAGCCACTGTCTCTCTATTCCACTGTCTGTGCCCTGGGGGAGAAAAGGGGTCTGCCGAGGCCTGGGGGAGCCTGCTTGGAGTTGGATGGTGAAGGAGACTGGCCTTTACCGCATCGATGTGGTTTTCCTGGGACCATTCTCCTGAGGAGTGGGGGCGGGACCCTGCTTAGAGAAGGGGATGGTGGGTGAGGTAAGTGGAGGTCTAAGTTCTCAGCTGGTCTTCTAATTTCAGGGGCTCTGTGGGCCCCTCACCCCATGTTACCCCCAAACATGGGCAGAGAGAGGAGTCAAAGGCAGACGGAAGAGGGTCACTTTGTGGGCAGTGACCTGAAGGTTCCTGGGGTCTGAGGGTCCCAGAGGAGGGTGTCTGGGGCGGGAGAGAGGTCATCCTTCATGGCCTGAAGACCAGAGGAGGCTGTCAGGGGCGGGAGAGAGGTCATCCTTCATGACCTGAAGAAACCTTGGCTGGGCCAGAGAAACTAAGTAGGGGTTGCAGGCAGATGTAGAGTCTCCTTTCCCCAGAACAGGGCCCCTGCGTGGGAGCCAAACAGGCCACAGGGCCCAGGTGCCTAGCAGGCTGAGTGGTGCAGAAAGCCTGAGTTCCTCACTTCTCATAGCTGACATTTATGGAATACCTACTATATGCCCCAACTGTGCTAAGCCTTCTCTTAACGCTGACAGCTATCTTATCCAGTAGGAACTTTTATTAACCCTGTTTGACAGATGAATAAACAGAGGTGCAGGCTCCCATCAGCTGAGCCTCTCCCAGGCCCGCTTCCACCCACCTGGGTCAGGAGGGCACAGCGTTTGGGGAGGGGGCTCCAACCCTTTTAATCTCAGCACAGGGCCAGGCACCTGGAAGTCTTCAGCAGATGGAAACTCTTGTCATTATTCTTGGCCTTTAGTGTGTAGAGCTTCAGGCTGGGGCCAACTTGCCTTTCAACCCATTGTCTCCTTGCTTGGCTCTGAGAGCCAGGGATCCCATCTCCTTACCTGGGGGCCTCAGGGCACACCTCCCTCCCAGCTTCTTCGGAATCTGCCTTTCTGCCTCCATCTTGGCCCTTGATCTTGGAAAGATGCCTGTAGCGGCACATGTGTGTATGTGAACATGATCGAGGTGGAGTGGGTGACTTCAGAGATGTCTCATTCTGTGATGAAGGCCCGGCAGAGAGCAGGGAAGGGTGTCCTAGGAAACCCCTCCCAGGACAGGCTCCGATCCTAGGTCAGGGATCTCTCCAGCCTTCACAGAGTGGGGAGCTTCAGGTTCCTCACTCCCACCCTTTCTGAGCTGGGACTGTCATATGGATAGAAGTGGGATGCGAACCTCTTTCCCTTCATCTGTCTTCACAGTGGTGACAGGACTGGGGGAATATCCTCTTTCTGGGTCCTCAGCCGTCTGCTGCCCCCTTTCTTAGAATCATTGGTTCACCCAGTGCCACACTTGGCAGGGATCTCAGATTCCAGCTGTTCTGACCCCATCTTCTGATAGATAAGGAAAGGGAGGCACAGAGAAGGGGAGTGACTTGCACAAGGTCACAGTCAGTTGGTGGCCGGCCTGTTGTCTCCTGGTGATGCTGGGGGAGGCAGCCAGATGATCATCGCATAGAGCTCCCACAAGACTGTCCCTCCTCTTTCCTGGGGTGTTGTCAGCTGAAGCACTGGCCACCCCCTCCCCATCCCCACGCACCAGGCAGAATTGTCTTAATGCAGCAAATTGTTCATACACATGTAAGCAAATATCTTCTCAAATTATCTCTTATCACCAAACAGGCTGCGATGCTCACCGGCTGGAGGGCTGAGGTTGTCTTTCAATCCACTGATGATGGGGAGGGGGCAGGGAAGGGGGGGCCGGCTGACACCAAAAATAAACCGGCGGAGCGGGGATGGTTGTCGCAAGGGGCAGAGCGAAGTTGTCAGGCGGCGAGAGCTTGTGAGGCGGCAGGATGATAATGTGGCATGACACTTCTGAAATGAGCGGCCCGTTGCCATGGTGAGCAGCCAGGAGGGACCGGCTCTCCCGAGGCTGAAATAAAACACGCTTTAAATGATGTTTGATTAGAATTTAGATCATGTAACCGAATACCTCAGTCCTCCTCTTCCCCGTGCTTTTCTGCTTTTCTTCTTTTCTCCTCTATTCCCCTTTTCTTCCCTCTGTCCCCACCTCTCCCCACCCCAGGGCAGACACAGATACACTCACACAGGCACACACCCACATGCACACACATGCAAATGTGCACCCAGACACACACATGCACCTGCATAAGCGTGGGCACACACATGCAGATGTGCACCCAGACACACACATGCATGCGTAGGCACACACACGTGCACACACATGTAGATGGGCACCCACACACATGTGCGTGCGTAGGCACACACGTGCACATGCAAATGTGCACCCAGACACACATGCATACATATAGGCACACACACATGCACACATATGTAAATGTGGACCCACACACATGTGCATGCAGAGACACACACATGTACACACACGCGCAAATGTGCACCCAGACACACACATGCACATGCAGAGGCACACACACGTGCAAGTGCACACCTGCACAGACACATACACATATACACACCTACCTTTCTCCTCTCCTCACCCCAGTTGTTCCATGCCTCAGTTGGACCTTGAATCAAAAATTCCAGCTCAGAGCAGATGCTGAGGATGCCTTAGAGGGCCACAGCACTGATCCAGGGTCAAGGGCTTGAGTTTCTGTTCTTTTGCTGTGATAACAATAATATTAAAACAATACAAGGCCGGGTGCGGTGGCTCATGCCTGTAATCCCAGCACTTTGGGAGGCTGAGGTGGGTGAATCATGAGGTCAGGAGATCGAGACCATCCTGGCTAACATGGTGAAACTCCGTCTCTACTAAAAATACAAAAAAATTAGCGAGGTATGGTAGCACACACCTGTAGTCCCAGCTACTTGGGAGGCTGAGGCAGGAGAGTTGCTTGAACCCAGGAGGCGGAGGTTGCGGTGAGCCAAGATCGCGCCATTGCACTCCAGCCTGGGTGGCAGAACGAGACTCTGTCTCAAAACAAACAAACAAACAAAACAAAAAACAATGCAAATACTCCAAGTCCCTTGTTTGTGCAGCCCTTTATTCTTCATAAAGCTCTTCCAAATGTAAGTTCATATTTTGTTCTCACACACAAGAAGTGAGAACAAAATATGAACTTGCATTTGGAAGAGCTTTATGAAGCTTTTTCTCTGATCGTACCCATTTTCTAGAGGAGGAGCCTGAGGCTCAGAGAGGCCAAATGTCTTGCCCAGGATCGTGCAGCGGGCAAGACGTGAACCCGGCACTTCCAGAGTCTGCTCTTTGGGCTCTTGGGGGAAGCCCCTGTAGGAGGAAGGGAGCACAGCCAGCTCTCTGTCCCCTGGATGCTCAGACGTTTACTTGTCCAACATGTTTTGAACACTCACTTTGCCATTGGCTTTGGCCTGAGTAAACCAACCAAGGTATGGGCAGAGAGACCCTGGCTTGCATCTAGAGGGTTTTGGGACAGACATTGTGATGTTCTGGCTATATGCCCCCACTTTCTGGTGTAGTAACAGGTTTGTGTTATGTTTGTGGTGTTTTTCCAGGGCATGCTGCCCAGGTGGGGAAGACAGCCAGTCCCAGGGACGGAGGGTGCTCCCATGATTCTTTGCTTTCTTGCGTTCGTTTCTTTCTTTCTTTCTTTCTTTCTTTCTTTCTTTCTTTCTTTCTTTCTTTCTTTCTTTCTTTCTTTTCTTTCTCTTCCTTCCTTCCTTCTTTCCTTCCTTTCTTTCTTTTCTTTCTTTCTTTCTTTCTTTCTTTCTTTCTTTCTTTCTTTCTTTCTTTCTTTCTTTCTTTCTTTCTTTCCTTCTTTCTTTCAAGATAGATGGGGTCTCACTATGTTGCCCAGGCTGGTCTTGAACTCCTGGGCTCAGGTGATCCTCCTGCCTCAGCCTCCCAAAATATTGGGAGTATGGGTGTAAGCCACCGTGCCTGGCTTCTGCTGTGATCATTGAGAGTGGGTAACAGAGGGCAGGCTGGTGCTGTGCAGGCTGGGAAGCAGGGTTGCTCCCTGGAATCCCCATTGTTCGTGCCCCCCCAGAGCTTCTCTGGGGCCCTAGCGAGGTTGTCATCATCCTATTCTATGACGAAGAGACATAGCCTGTCCCGGTGTCCGTCTTCCCTAACAGACCAGTGTCTCCAGATTGTCTCTCTGTTTACCAGCCGGTCCATCCTTTCATTCATCACTTCGCCGGCACACACTTGTTCTGCACGTGCTGTGCACCTGGCTCTCACTAGTCAGACCTGGTCTCCACCTTCACAAATGTGGGGTTTGTGGGTAGGTGGCCTGGAGACATACACACACAGACACACACAGTCTCCTTCAGTGCAGAGTGAGAAGTGCTCTGATGGAGGAGGGAGCAAAGTGCTCTCGGAGTGTCAAGGATGGGCTGCTCCCTGTCTGGTGGGGATCAAGGAAGTCTTCTTGGAGAAGGTGACATTTGAAGAAAGAGTAGGAATTTCAGGTAGTCAAATAGGAAGAGGCAGCCTGGGAGGAGACACCTTGATGTGTGAGAGTCCATCCTTACCCAACAGGCTGGAAGCTCCCTGGGTCAGGGAGGAGGGTGTGTCTCTCCCATCAGACTAAGATTTGAAAGGCAGAAGCTGAGCCCCTGTGCACACCCTCCTCCCAAGACTGGGGATTCCTTGAGGGTGAGTTGATATCTCCTATTTCTCTCATCGTTTGTTCCAAATTGCAAGGCATTTGTTTCTTTGCATGTCCTGTTAGTTCTATGATAGCAGGGAACCTGCTTTATACATTGTGTCTCCCTAGTGTCTGTCACGGGACTTGTTCTATACAAAGGAGTAAATATTAGGCCGGGCGCGGTGGCTCACGCCTGTAATCCCAGCACTTTGGGAGGCTGAGGTGGGAGGATCACGAGGTCAGGAGATCGAGACCATTCTGGCTAACAAGGTGAAACCCCGTCTCTACTAAAAATACAAAAAATTAGCCGGGCGTGGTGGCGGGCACCTGTAGTCCCAGCTACTCAGGAGGCTGAGGCAAGAGAATGGCGTGAACCGGGGAAGCGGAGCTTGCAGTGAGCCGAGATCATGCCACTGCACTCCAGCCTGGGCAACAGAGCGAGACTCTGTCTCAAAAAAAAAAAAAAACCAACAAAGGAGTCAATATTTATTGAGTACTTGCTGCGTGCCTGGAATTGTGCTAAAGGCTTCGCATGTTATTAACTCTTTCAGTGCTTACAACAGCCCTTTGAGTCAGGAACCGCCACTGCCCCCATTGTACAGATGGAGAAACTGAGTCTGGGAGGTTAATTAGTTTGTCTGAGGTCACATAATTAGCAGTTGGCAGAGTCAGGACCCAGTCGTAGGTGGTTTGGCTTTGAAGCCCATGGTCTCACCCCTGAACTCTCATACACGGGCCTTGATTACCTGTGAGTTGGGTGGGCTCAGCTTCCCCACATGACTTGGAGGGGCAGCACCTCATGGCCAGCTCCAACAGCCTGGGCGCCGCTAGCTTTGGAGAAACTCCTCGGAGCTTTCAAGGCAGTAAAGAGTGAGTGTGGAGTGTGGTGAGGAGTGAGGCCACTGACAAGTACCCGGGGTCCCCAAGGGAGAGATGGGGGTGGGAGAAGCACACAGGTCTAGAGGGTTTAGCTAGAGTTGGGAAAGGACTGAGGAAGTGGGGCCACAGAAGTTGACAGAGGCAGGTGGGCAGGGGCAGTCATTGCCTAGAACCAGGTCTCCCCCTTCCCTTCCCCACCTCTGTCCCTGTCCGGTCATGGTCAACACTTGAACCCAGTCCTTCACTTCCAGCCCCACAGCCCTGCCCTCAGCTGGCCTTCAGCCCCCTCACCCGGCCTCCCACCTTCCTCCTCTGGCCACCAGTTAGCTTCCTACAGCAGATTCGATTGCTTTATTCCTGTGCTCCAAGACCTTCCATGGCTCTGCGTGACCCCCGCCAGGCAGCAGCCCAGATCTCAAGGCTGCTCTCCAGCCCCGATGTGATCTGATCCCAGCCGTCCTTTCTGGCCTTGCCTCTCAAGTCTGTTCCTGGTGTCTTTTCTCATCTGCGTGTGCCCTCTCCATGAATCCCTCACTCAACCCCCAGTCGAATGCCTACTGTGTGTGTGTGTGACTCAGCTCAAGTCTTTCCCAGCCTGGAGCACTTTCCCTGACCACTCCTTCCAGAGGCGTGTCTGTTATGTGCAGTTCAGAGTTCCAAGTTGTCAAATTATTTCAAGTTCTTTCCTCAACTCGACTGTAAGCTCCCGGAGGAGGAGATCGTGGATGGCAGCGATAAGTGTGTGTCTGTGCCTGCTAATAACAACCACCTATTCAGTACCAAAACAATTCACATCCAAGGATTCCCAGCCTTTGTGCTGCGTCTCCCTCCAAGGAAGTTTCTGTGTGTTTGGTCTGCTGTGGGCCCCAGTTGCTGGGGAGGGAGGAAAATTGAAAGAAGCCCCCAAATCTCAGATTAGTTTCCATCAGGCAAAGCAGAGTATTTCTCCCAGGTGAAAAGGATAGAAGTGGATAAAGGCAGAAGGGAGCGCGGGGAGAACCAGGCCGCTGTTGGGGCTGAGGCTGGTGAAGGTTGTGGGGAGACTGAGACACCGTGGCCATGCTGCCAGAGGGAGCAGGAGATGGAAAAATAGGACTCTAAGAAGTTGGGATTTGTTTTAGGAATGTAAATGCCCATTTACAGATGCTTTGGTCAGAACTGGAGCTGCATTTCAGTGTCCTGTGGTGATGGACTGATGTCTTCTCTGAATGCAGCACCATATAGAGACTGGCCACAGGGTGACCCAGAACTACACAGGTTATGCTGTCACTTGAGCATAACCAATGCCTGCCAGGGGAGGCCAATGCCTGCCCTGGGCCAGGAGCTACATTTACACATAGCAACCTGAACTGGATGCCACCTGAACTGATGAGAAAACTAAGCTTCAGAGAATTTAGGAACACCGAAGGGAGAGAATGAGGAGGAGGAAGAGAGGGAAAAAGGTAGATCTGGCCCTGACTCAGAACTGTAACTCTTGACCTCTAATCTGAGAGCTACATCTTAGCGTGGGGCCACCATGGCCATTGAGTGCCCTGCTGTGGGAGACGTAGTAGGCTCATTGGGCTAGAAAATGAGTATATCAGCTTAGCTATGTCCTTGGGGTCAGAGGTGACCCAGGCCAAGGTCTCTGTAGCTATTAGGAGCCAGATGACAGTTTGATTCGTTAGCCTGGGGAAGCCCTCTTGTGAAGCCTGAGATGGGAGGGAATGGGAGGGTCTGGGAGACGTGCAGCAGGGTGGGCCGGGGCCATTGGATTGCTGACCATGAGGACTTGTCACCATGGATGACCTCCATTGCTGTACCAGTGAGCCTCCTCCCGTTGGCATGGGTAGCCTTATTGGGAAGTGGGCACCTTTATTAACTAAGAATCACTTCATTTAGTGAGTGAGGGGTGGGGCTTGGCTCAGCATAATACGGTGGGAAGCAGCCCAGGCTTTCAGGTCAGGAAACCTGGGTTCTAGGCCCCATTTGGCTGCAGGGGAGTCCCTGAACGTCACTGTGTGCCTCAGTTTCTCCTTCATAAGTTGTGGATGCAAATGCCCATTCTGCTCCTCTCAGAGGATGCTGCAGACATGACAGTGATTTGAAGGGTCAAGTTCACTGTTCAAATGCAAGCTGGAGGTGAGAATGGGGTCAGTAGCTCTTTAGCGAGATGAAGCCTCTGAGGACGGGCCAGTCACAGGCTCACTGATATAGTTTGGATATTTGTCCCTGCTGAAATCTCATGTTGAAGTGCAATCCCCAGTATTGAAGATAGGGCCCTGGTAGAAGGTGTTTGGATTATGGGGGCGGATACCTAATGAATGGCTTGGGCCATCCCCTTGGTGATAAGCAAGCTCTGGATCAGTTAGTCCACGTGCGGTCTGGTCATTTAAAAGTGTGTGGCACCTCCCCCACCCCATTCTCTGGCTCGCTCCTGCTTTCACATGTGACGTGCCTGCTCCCCCTTCACCTTCTGCCATGATTGTAAGTGTCCTGAGGCCTCCCTAGAAGCTGAGCAGGTGCCAGCACCATGCTTCCTATACAGCCTGCAGAACTCTGAGCCAATTACACATCTTTTCTTTATAAATTACCCCATCTCAGGTATTTTTTTTATAGCAAATCGAGAATGGCTTAATATGCTCATGCTTGGTGTGGGCAGCCCCATCAGGGTAGATGTCATTAGTGAGATCCCCATAGCCGAAGGAAGGGGCTCAGGCAGGGCTGGAATCTGTAGAAGGATGGAGCCAGGAGACAGGATCCTAGCAGACAGGGACTGTCATGCCTGCTTTCCAGGACCCCTTGGGAAAAAGAATATTTTGCATCCCTATCTCCCGTCAATTGCCTGGGGGCCCCACAAAGAATAGTAACAGAAATAATAACAAAAGCTCACATGTATTGAGGGTTTACCACATGTCAATCTCTATTCTAAGCACTTTACCTGCATTGACTCATTTCTGCCTCACGGTAACTCCATGTAAAGGTACTATTTTTATCCCCACTTTACTGATCAGAAACCCAAGGAGTTAAGTGACCTTTCTTAAGCAGTTAAGTGACTTGTAAGTGGCAGAGTCATGACTCAGTCCCCGATGGTCCAGGGCTTGTGCTGTGTTATGCTTTCAGGAAGTAATCCTGAATCCTTTATGCTTCAGAGGGTGACTCCTTGGCTACAAAGACTCATTAGTCCCACATCCAACAGCAGGCAGGGGTCCCCACCTTCCCCACCAAACAGCAAAACTTAGACATGAATCCCAGCCCTGGCTGTTATTCGCTGCTTATGCATTCCTGGCAAGTGAGTTCATCTGTAAAATGGGTGAACAAACATTTGTTGAATACCTGTCATGTGCCATATATGTATATTTGAGACAGAGTATTGCTTTGTCGCCCAGGCTGGAGTACAGTGGCGCAATTTCGGCTCACTGCAACCTCCACCTCCTGGGTTCAAGTGATTCTCCTGCCTCAGCCTCCAGAGCGGCTGGGATTACAGGTGCCTGCCACCATGCCCAGCTAATTTTTGTATTTTTGGTAGAGACGGGGTTTCACCATGTTGGCCAGGCTGGTCTCAAACTCCTAACCTCAAGTGATCCGCCCACCTCGGCCTTCCAAAGTGGTGGTATTAAGGCGCAAGCCACTGCACCTGGCCAATGTGCCAAATTTAATTGAAGCTTCACCATAACCTTATGAGACAGGCATTATTTCCTCCATTTTACAGCCAGGGAAGTTGAGGCACAGAGGGGTTAAACAAATTACCTAAGGCCACGGTGAAACAGGCTGAAACGGAACCCAGCCTGTCTGATTCAGAGCTCAGGCTCTCCTCCTCCTTCCTCAGAGTGTGAGCCACAAAGCCTCAATTCCTGGGGTGATAATAAGTATGAAAAAGGAGGTTTCTGTGATCAACTCTGCTTAGGGAAGGCTGTTTGCAACAAAGTTAAACAGACTATTTGCTGCAGAACTTATCAGAGCCTTTATTATACTTTTGCACACTGGGTAGTCCCAAGAGCAGAGCAGAGTTAGTATGAACAAAATCTTTGCTGTGAACAAGTTAGTTGAGGAGAAAGAATCTTGGGGGAGAAGTGTTCCTTGGAGCTCACTTTGGGAAATGTACTTCATCCTGCTGCTTTTCTGACAACAACAATCATGAAGACAGCAGCAATGTTACTAACATCATAAATGGGATCATCCGCTGGTTGCAGAGGCTCATGCCTGTAATCTCAGCACTTTGGGAGGCCAAGGCAGGAGGATTGCCTAAGCCCAGGAGTTCAAGACCAGCCCAGGCAACATAGGGAGACCCTGTCTCTACAAAAAATTTAAAAATTAGCCAGGCATGGTGGTGCACACTTGTGGTCCCAACATCTCAGGATGCTGAGGTGGGAGGATTGATTGAGCCCAGGAGGTGGAGGCTGCAGTGAGCCAAGATCGCATCACAGCACTCCAGCCTGGGTGGCAGAGTGAGATCCTGTCTCAAAAAAAAAAAAAAGGGTTGGGGGGCCAGGCGCAGTGGCTCATGCCTCTAATCCCAGCACTCTGGGAGGCCGAGGCAGGCAGATCACTTGAGATCAGGAGTTCCAGACCAGCCTGGCCAATATGGCAAAACCATGTCTCTACTAAAAATACAAAAATTAGCTGAGCATGGTGGTGGGCACCTGTAATCCCAGCTACTTGGGAGGCCAAGGTGGGAGAATCACTTGAACCCAGGAGGTGGAGATTGCAGAGAGCCGAGATGGCACCACTGCACTCCAGCCTGGGCAACAAAGTGAAACTTCATCTCAAAAAAAAAAAAAAAAAAGGGATCATCACCATCATTATCATTATAAGCTTTGCCTCAATTGCAATGTTACTTTCTGCCTATGTTATTTGGGAATTTTTTCAGGACATTGCCCTCCTCATTCTCCCCCGATGTTAAGTGCCCTGATTCCTTTCTTGTGCTCAGGGCAGTTTAAGCCTTTAGGTTTCACGTTCCTTGTGCCTGGATCACCTCTGTTCTCTGCTCCAACCTTTTGCCTGGGCTGTCCTTCTCAGGTTGTCCTCCCTTTCTCCCCTTCCCAGCCTTGTTCTTGGAGGAAAGTGAGAGAGGATTGGAGGGGAAGCGATTTGGCCAGGGGCATGTGGTATGCCCTGCCCCAGCCTCTCCTGCCTCCTTTCCCACAGGGCTTGGCTCTATAGACCTCCCTTCTGAGAAACCCTCTCTGATGGCCTCATCCCAGGGCAACCACTTAGCTACTCGGGGCCTCTCTTGGTCTTTTGATACCTAGTCTATATTATATACTGTGCAAAGGGTTGGGTTTTTTTTTTGGTGTACTATATTTATTTTTTAAAACACAGCTTTATTGAGGTATAGTTTGTGTACCATAAAATTCACCCATTATATTTATATGAAAACTGTTTATTATAATCAATATTTTACATAAAGAAAAGAGCATGAGTGAGTACACACAGAGGGATGAATTTTTACAAAATAAAAATATCTGTGTTATTAGCACCTGTCTCAGAAACATGACACCTTCAGAGAGATTTATTAAAAACATACAAACCAATCCACAAGACTTTCCCTTTCCTCCCTCCGTCCTGCCCTGCTCTTTCTCATTCCTTCCTTCCTCCCTCCCTTCCTTCCTCTTTCCTTCCCTCTTTTTTTTTTTTGAAACAGAGTCTTACTCTGTCACCCATACTGGAGTACAGTGGCATGATCTTGGCTCACTGCAACCTCCATCTCTCAGGTTCAAGCAATTCTCCTGCCTCAGCCTCCTGAGTAGCTGGGATTACAGGTGCACCACCAAGCCTGGCTACCTCTTTCCTTCCCTCTCTCCCTTCCTCTTTCCTCTGACAAGGTACCCAGGCAGAGCCTTGAGCTGTAAAGGGTCAGATGTTGAGTGTGGGCAGTGCCCAGGCCTCCTGAAGCACAGATCATTCCTTCTCCCTCCCTCCTTCCCTTCCCTTCCTTCCTTCCTTCCTCTAACCCCTTTATGTCTCCCTTCTTTCCTATTGGCTCTCATTCCAAATACCATCTGGGGTTTATAGTGAGAGGCACAGCCAGAGTAAATGTAAATGCCTGCCAAACAGTGCCCTAGAAGGCAAGGAGCGATGGGGTCAGGAGCTGAAAGACCCAAGTCCTGGCTTGGCCGCTGCCAGTTTCAAGGCCTGAGGCTTGTGACCACACCTCCCTGTGCCTCAGTTTTCTCTTCTGTGAATGAGAATTATGACATGACTGACTTCAAAGGGTGCTGAGAAGATGAAATAAGGTATTTTGCCCTTATGCCTGCCACGTGGTTACCATGTGCTTGCATGCAGGAAGCTCTCAGTGGCACCTGGCAGACAATTGCATTTCTTACTAAGATGAGACACAGATGGTGAGAATCATTGCCATTTATTGAGCACATACTACCTGTGAGGGCTTTACCTCTCATCTGCACAACCATCCTGCAAGGAGAGGGTATTATCTCCAGTTTACAGATGAAGAACTGCAAGTCCTGAAGACGTAGGTTGCTAAGGGTTGGAGCTGGAGCTTGAACCCAAGGAGTCTGGCTCGAGTGCCCATGCCCTAATCACTGGGCAAGCCTTACATCAATTTCTCCTGGACCCTTTGAGGTCTGGCTGTAGCTGTGAGCCAAGTATGGTTCTCTCCCAACTGCTAGGACAGGACCAGGCCAACCACAGGGCCACCCCTTGGCATGCTGAGAAATCGCCTAGGGGCAGGGATGGGGTTTTGGGAAGGGGATGAGGTACCCAGGCAGAGCCTTGACCTGTAAAGGGTCAGATATCGAGTGTGGGCAGTGCCCTGGCCTTCTGAAGCACAGATCTGCAGCTCCAGGGAGAATCTGGGACTCTGGTGCAGGGCGCCGTGGAGGCAGGAGTATGGCCCTGTGGGGTGGTCATAGCCCACAGCCCTGGAGCATCAGAGAAGAGCAGCCTGCCCCCTGCAGATCCTCCTCATCCTGCAGGCCAGTGTCACCGGAATGGAGGGTGTGGAGCAGGCCTGGCAGGACATGGCTGGGCATGGGGGTGGTGGTGACGCCTCTTCAGCTGGGGCAGGACTGAGGCAGAGTGACCTGCCCACCACCCATGCCAAGTGCTCAGGAAATCCTGGGGCAAGGCCTGGAGATTCCCACTGGTGGGGTCTGGTGGGGAATATTGGGGGCATCCCCAGTCTGGTGCCTCAGCCAGCCCCTCACTTCTTGGTGGGGTTCTGCAGGAGCACGGACGTCACCTGCCCTTTTGCTGGCCTTGACCATCCCTGCCCTGACCTCCAGGCTCCCTGGGGCCAGTCCAGACATCTGTATCCATCTTGCCCCAAACTCTGGAGATTCTGACAAATTTCCTTTCATTGCTTCCAGCCGTGTTATTTAAAGTAATTAACCTTAATTTATAAATTTTTATATCAAACTGCCTTTTAACTTTTAGAACTGGCAGGAACAGCCTTATCCCTGGGCTCCTAATAGTTCTCCATTTAATCAAAATTCATCCATCAGGTTCCAGTGTTAAATCATCTTTTAATTGGGAGTTACATTCTGGTTAATAGTTTTATAATTCGCCTCCTCTAATAGTTTTTACCACAGGGATCTCGACTCCATTTTTCCTGACTCTATTATTGCTGGCATGCGATTCTGCGGGGATGGCTTAACGCGGCCCTGCCTCTCTGGCCTCTGCTGGTCGCCTCTTTTGTTCTTGGTGGTCTCATTAATTCCTGAGAAGAGTTATCCTTCCTCCTCATTACTAGGGCAGAGCTGCTGTCCTCTTGAGGGGCAGCCTTCTGATTTCTGCAGCCTTAGGAGCTCTGGCCAGGAGATCTCCAAGAGAAAGCTGGAGCCAAAGAAAGGGACAGATGGAGACAGAGACAGAAAGACAGAGAGAAACAGAGAGAGAGGGAATATGGAGAGGAAGGAGCACGTGGGAAGCCGGCAGGCCAGGACCCTAGAGAGAGACAGAGGCGTCTGGGAGTGGACTGGCTCCTCTCCCGGCTCCTGCCACTGCCCCTCAGCTCCTGACTTCCTGGGAGTGGGGGGCCTTGGGTGAGGCAGGTGATATAGGAGGAAGGTGGCCCTACCTGAGACCCCAGGGTGGCCTGGAGGAGTGGCTGGGGCTGGAGGACAAGCAGAGTGGGCCTGGAAAGTCCTTGGAGGTCAGCAGGCAGGGAGGTCCCAGTCCACTCCCTGGTCACTCTGAGTTGCTCCTGTGCATGTTACAGCATCAGGATCATCACAGATGAGCCGGGGAGCCTCCTGGCGGCCAAGAGGATGAGGGTGTGAGATCCCAAGATCAGAAAGGAGAGACCTGCGGGAGACAGAGAAAGGGAAAAGTCAAGAGTGAGAAAAGAAAGGAGAGGGAAGAGAAGGAGGGGGAGAGAAAGGGAAAGAAAGGAAGAGGCCAGGTGTGGTGGCTCACGCCTGCAATCCCAGCACTTTGGGAGGCCGAGGCAGGCAGATGACTTGAGGTCAGGAGTTCAAGACCAGCCTGGCCAACATGGTGAAACCTTGTCTCTACTAAAAATGCAAAAATTAGCCAGGTAGGGTGGCGCATACCTGTAATCTCAGCTACTTGGGAGACTGAGGCAGGAGGTGGACTTGACCCTGGGAGGTGGAGGTTGCAGTGAGCTGAGATCGCACCACTGCACTCCAGCCTGGACGACAGAGTGAGACTCCATCTCAAAAAAAAAAAAAAAAAAGGAAGGAAGAGAAGAAGACAGAGGAGGGGTGAGGAGAAGAGAGGATGTGGTCACCTTGTCAGGGAGTCCTGGCCTGTGAGGAGATGGGCCTGTGTGGGTACATGCATATACACGTGTGCATACATGGGCACTCACACAAACCCACACATGCGCACAGGCCTGAAACCAGTCCTAGGAACAGCTAGTGCAGGGGTGTTGCTGGGCTGGGACATGGCCTGGAGCCTGGGGGTGGGGGTCTCTGAGAAGGTCTCCAGGAGATGTGAGCTGCGAGGGGTCAGGGAAGGGCCAGGGAAGGATGGAAGCTGGGCTGAGGCCACTGAAGTGAGCTTCCCTGGGGATGGAGGGCCTGGGTGGCTGGCGTACCTTGAAGTCATGTCTTGCTGAATCTGTAGTCTCCACCTCTGATTGGTGACTTTGCAAGACAGTAGGTCTCAGCCCTGGCTGCACGCTGGAGTCACCTGTGGGTGTTTAAAAATCCCAGTGCCCTGGCCTCACCTCACATGCTGTGATGGTTTTAAAGTAGATCCACAAATCCTTTGAGCCTCCTCCCTTCTGAAGATGGAGTCTAATTCTCTTCCCCTAGAGTGTGGGCTCCTTCTAAAACACAAACACAGCGGAAGTGGTGTGATTTAGGAGGTTAGGGCAGGGAAGGTACTGAGGCTTCCTCTCTGCACTGCTTTGGATCTCTTGCTCAGAAGGCAGCCAACTGACGGGTCATGAAAACACTCAAGCAGCCCTGTGCAGAGGCCCATGTGGCCAGGAAATGAAGCCTTTTGCTGGTGGCATTGAGTCATCTTGAAGCAGGTGCTCCAGCCTGGGCTGACGTCTGAACTCCAACCTCAGGAGAGATCCTGAGTCAGGACCACCTGGCTCAGCTGCTCCTGGATTTCTGACCTCAGAAACCACGTAAGCTCCTAAATGACCATCAACCAATAAGTGGATAAAGAAAATGTGAGATATATATATATATATATATATATACACACACACACACACACACCATGGAATACTACTCAGCCATAAAAAGGAAAGAAATAATGGCATTCGCAGCAACTTGGATGGAATTGGAGACCACTCTTCTAAGTGAAGTAACTCAGGAGTGGAAAACCCAAACATCGTATGTCCTCACTTATAAGTGGGAGCTAAGCTATGAGGACACAAAGGCATAAGAATGAAACAGTGGACTCTGGGGACTCAGGGAAAGGGCGGGAGTGATGAGGGATAGAAGACTACACACTGGGTGCGGTGTACACTGCTCGGGGTATGGATCCACCGAAATCTCCGAAATCACCACTAAAGAAATTATCCATGGAACCAAACACCACCTGTTCTGCCAAAACTATTGAAATAATTTAAAAAACAAAAGAAAAAAAAGAAACCGTGTGAGCTAATGTTTGTTGTTCTTTTAAGGTGCTAAATTTTGGGGGGTTATTTGGTATGCAGCAATAGGTAACTGACCCACATTCATTCCATCAGCATCCCAGGGGGTGGGGCTGGACACAGGTGTGTTTTAAAGCTCCACAGTAGTCTAGTGTGCACCCAGGTTGAGAACTGCTGCCCTAATGCCTGTGTGTGCATGACAGTGTGTGCCTGTGTACAGGCCACATGCGTGTGTATTGATGGAGGCGCCGTGTTCCACTTTTGTGTAACATTTGCCAGGGCACATTTGCCAGGGCACATAAGTACAAGCCCCGCCCACCTTGTGTGTTCCTCTCGGAGTGCATCAGTCCCTCTGTCCCAGGTACTTGTGTCAGGGTGTGGCTCAAGAAGGACTGGGGCATGGAAGGAGCCTTGGAGGTTTTGTGGCCAGAGTCACATGGGCTGTTCACCACTTCCTCTCTGTGTGCCCTCTCTGAGCCATAAAGCTCCCATATGGGGACCTGCAGATCAGCACTCTTCCCGAGACTTCAAGGAGGCAGTATTGGAGCTGGTGGATGCCTCCTGGGCTGGTTTTGGCAAAGTTTTGGTAGCCCTGTCACTTTTGTTATAATGGCTCTTGGCGTAATGCAATTTGACCTGCAGCTGTGCATACAGGAGAGCAATCAAATGTGTGGTTTCCTCTGCAGGACCTGACCTGAAGGAGGGTCTGCACTGGGTGGAGGGCAATTTTAGTCATGGCTGTATTAGGGTTTACGATTTAAGGCCAGTTGTCTTGGCCTCTGAAATGCCAGCTGGCTCAGATTGGCAGGATGAGGAGCTGGTCTTCCACACTGGAGAGTAAAGATGTTGATTCTGAAGCAGGAAGCACAAGAACTTTCTACTTTCGCTGAGGCAGGCTGGTGGCTCCAGCTGAGCCCAGACTCCTCCCAGCTGTGTGTCCTGGGCTGAGCCTCTTATTTTTGCTAGGCCTCAGCTTTCTCATCTATAAAGTGGAGGAGCAAATGATCTACCACCTCTTGCATGTGACATACTGTGTCTCCCCACCACAGCCCCTGTCAGGCTGCTGGGTAGCCTAGGAGAGGGACCCTCTGACCCTCAAACACAGCCCAATCCTCAAGGCTGTGCCTTCCGTTCCATTGGAACCAACTTCACCCTCAGTTACCCCCACTGAGGCCTCCGGGGAAGGTGGGAAGAAAAGAAAGGGTCACCACACACCTGCCTTTGCCCTCCCTAGCAGGGAGAAATCAGGGAGGATGTAGGGTGGAGGAGGAGCTTGATGCCCAAAGATGCTTGGGTTTGGAGTTTCTTGGTGGGTGAAATACAATGGGAAGAGAAGGAGAAGGAGGTAGAGGAGGAGGAGGAGGAGGGAGAGGAGAAGGCAGAGAGCAGCATTGGTTGCGATCCTGCCATGTGCTCCAGGAGCACTCTGCTCAGACCTTCCAGCCCATTGTGACGTCTGAGTTTCATGACAATAAGGATGATTGGTGCCATTTTACAGAGCAGGAAACTGAGGCTCAGGAAGGTGAAGGAATCTCCTTGCTCAGTGTCACATGGGCTAAGGAATGCAGATGGAACCAGGGTGGGAGCTCCGGCCCAGTGACTACAAAGCCTGGGCATTACTGTGGGGACTCGAGGGCAGGGAGAGGTCCAGTCCTTGCACCAGGCACCTTCTCCCAGTGGGGCCACTGGCCCCATTTCTTAGAGGCTGTACTAGGTTAGGGGTGGATGACAAGAATGATGGTGGAAGTGAGAGGTGCCCAGGACTGCCCCTGAAGCGAAAGGATTTAGGTTAGACTGTGGGAAGCATGCGGGTTCTGAAAGCCCAGGGTGGCAGGACACAGGGAGCCCGTGCTGCCTTCTTCCCTGGGACACTCAGGAGCTGGTCAGGAGCTGAGGCTCCCTTCACACCTGGTAGGCCTGAGCCTGAGAAGAGTTGAGGGTTGGCCCTTCAGCGAGGCAGGGGGATTGGCAGGTTGACCAATGCAGGGAACCACCAGCCTGTGTTTGGATGGACAGACTACCTCTGATTCTGCTGGTGCAGTTAGAGATCAAGTTCACAGGCTTCAGATATCAGAGCTTATAGTTCAGGCCCCGTCACTTGTGAACAGAGTGACTTTGGACAAGCCCCTTAACGCCCTGTGCCTCAGTTTCCTTATCTGTAAAATGAGGGTGAGGAAAAAGCTGTTTCATAGCCAGTGAGCATGCTAAATGAGATAAGCGCTTTATAGTATTTAGCCAAGCCCCGGGCATAGGGACTCACACAGTAAGTGGTGACTGCTATCATGAACTGTCTGGGAAGGCAGGAGGGGGCAGCTTGCTCCAGAGCCTGGAGTCCCAACCGGGTGGCACTGGGTGGTCTGGCATTAGTTTTGTTACCAGAAAGTGGTCTCAATCCAGACCCCGAGAGGGTTCTTGGATCTCACACAAGAAAGAATTTAGGGGGAGTCCATAAAGTGAAAGCAAGTTTATTAAGGAAGTAAAGGAATAAAAGAATGGCTACTCCAGGCCGGGCGCAGTGGCTCACGCCTGTAATCCCAGCACTTTGGGAGGCCAGGGCGGGCGGATCACCTGAGGTTGGGAGTTCAAGACCAGCCTGACCAATGTGGAGAAACCCCGTCTCTACTAAAAATGCAAAATTAGCCGGGCATGGTGGCGCATGCCTGTAATCCCATCTACTTGGGAGGCTGAGGCAGGAGAATAGCTTGAACCCAGGAGGCAGAGGTTGCGGTGAGCCAAGATCATGCCATTGCATTCCAGCCTGGGCAGCAGAGCAAAACTCCATCTCAAAAAAAAAAAAAAAAAATGGCTACTCCATAGACAGGGCAGCCCCAAGGGCTGCTGGTTGCCCATTTTTATGGTTATTTCTTGATGATATGCTAAACGAGGGGTGGATTATTCATGCCTCCCCCTTTTAGACCATATAGGGTAACTTCCTGATGTTGCCATGGCATTTGTAAACTGTCGTGGCGCTGCTAGGAGTGTAGGAGTAAGGACGACCAGAGATCATTCTTGTTGCCATCTTGGTTTTGGTGGGTTTGGGCCAGCTCCTTTACTGCAACCTGTTTTATCAGCAAGGTCTTTATGACCTGTATCTTGTAGCAACCTCTTGTCTTATCCTGTGACTTAGAATGCCTTAACCATCTGGGAATGCAGCCCTGTAGGTCTCAGCCTCCTTTTACCCACCTCCTATTCAAGATGGAATTGCTCTGGTTCACATGCCTCTGACATTTCTGACTCACCCTTTCTGGGAGACCTTGAAAAAAATTCACCAAACCTCTCTAGGTGTCAGTTTCTTTAATTGCCAGATGGAGACCCAAGTCCCTGTTCTTCTCTGGGGACCCAGAAATGATCGGTGTCTACAAATGTGTTTGCAGATGTTCTTGGCCTGAGCAGATAGAGTCCACCCTTCACTATTCAGTTGGGTTACCTCATGGGTCCCCCATAATAAACCTGTTCCCCACCCACACCCATAATAAACTGAAAAAACATTTATTTATTTATGGTTTTGAGACAGAGTCTCACTCTGTTGCCCTGGCTGGAGTGCAGTGGTGCTATCTTGGCTCACTGCAACCTCTGCCTCCTGGGTTCAAGCAATTCTCCTGTCTCAGCCTCCAGAGTAGCTGGGATTACAGGCATGTACCAACATGCCTGGCTAATTTTTGTATTTTTAGTAGAGACGGGGTTTCACCATATTGGTCAGGCTGGTCTCGAACTCCTGACCTCAGGAGATGCACCCGCCTTGGCCTCCCGAAGTGCTGGGATTACGGGCATGAGCCACCGCACCTGGCCTGAAAAAACATTTATTGAACCCCTCTCTTGTGCCAAGGCACTGTGCCCAGGCCACGGAAGTTACAAGGAACACTTGTTGGGTGCCACCTCTGTGTTCTAAAGGATGCACAACCATCTGTAACCTGCACAAACCACCCTGTGAGAGAGATGTGACAATCACTCCCATGTTACAGATGAAGAAGACGCAGCTTTGAGCCCAGAGGTAACTAGCTGAAGGTCACGTGGGAAGACGGTCAACCAGCTGCAGTGCAAACGCACCTGCTTCTGCCTCCAAACCCCTTCCTGTGCCTTCCATGCTGTCACTTGCTGGTGATTCCACAGGGCGCTCCTGGGATCTCATGTGTATTGTCATATCTGCAAATGAGCAACCGAGATCCCCAGAGGTTAAATTCCTGGTCCAATGCCCTTCCACTGGCAGGTGGCCACATCCCCTCCAAACTCAGTTTCCTCTGACCCCAGAACCCCGGCTCCCTCCTGCCTCAGTGACACCCTCCCACCATGGGACACGATGCCTTTGGGTCCTACTCTCTGTTTTCCTGTTTCCTTTGAGACCCTCTGTGCCCCTTGAATGAGGTCTTGATCATCAGGGACTCTGCCAGCTGGGGAGCTTTGTAAGGTGTAGTCACCCTGGGAGAGTCCTTGCTTGGGCCCACAGTCTTGGGGACTGAGGTCTGTGCAGTGACAATAAGGAGTCACAATCCTCCGGCACATTGTCCAACCGTGGCCTTTTCCTCTGACACGTAAACTCTCATTGAACCCATTTCACAGGTGAAACAGCTGATGCCTGAGTTGGGCCCTTTCCCTTTCATCAAGGGGCTGGAGCAGCTGAGACCAAGTCCCTGACATGGCCCCCTGGGCCTGGCTGGCTCTGTCTCTAGTAGAATAAGAGGTGAGATCAGGGACAGAGAAAGAGGGAGCAGGAAGCAGAGCTCAAAAGCAGAGCTGGCCTCAGGGTTGCAGAGCCTATGTGTGTTTGCAGGGTCTGGCGCAGGGAACAGAGAGATGGATTGGTGCTTCTGGTCCCCATCCCTCGGCTCCCAGAGACAGGCTGGGGTTCACCCTGAAGTGCTGGATCCTAATGGATGTCCCGCTGTGGGCCTGAGCTGGCCGCTGATCAGCTTCCTGCCGCACTTTGCTACCTTCCCAGTAGGACTGTCACTAGGCCCAGGGGTGATGGAACAGCTGAGGGACAAACTGGGGACCCGGCAGCAGAAAGGGGAGCAGTAAATCTCAGGGCTTTCAGCACTGCCAGTTGGTGGAGCGGTGTTAGAACCCCTCTGGCCTTATACAACCAAGTGCTTATTTTCCCCAGAGGGAAGCGGGTGGTGGGGAAGGAATAGAGGGGAAGAGACAGAAGGACAGGAAACTCACTAGAGAAGACAGAGACAGAGCAGGGAGTGGAGGAAGGAGCCCAGGGAGACAGGCTGAGTCTGAAGTTGCAGATCCTGACCGGGCTGCTCTGGAGTGGCAGCCAGCCTCAAGGGCCTCCATTTCCATGGGGGAAGAATTTGGACTCTGCTTCATGGGGAGCAGGCCTCTGTCTCTTTTGGGGATGGAGAGGGGGCAGTTAGAGCTTCCCCAGGCCAGGGGCCCTCCCCTTCTCCCACCCCACATCCAGGGAGTCTCATGCTTCACCCCAGCCCCTCTACTCTCTGACTCCTGACCTGGGAGAAGCTGCTGGTTCCTGGAACACGATTCCCAGGTCAGTGAACTGCCAGGCTTCAGCCTTAGAAGGAATCATGCCTCTGTCTCACAGATGGGGAAACCGAGGTGCTGGCAGGGGCTTTGGCTCAGATTTGTGTAGATGAGGCTGGGCTCCTCTCCTTCTGCCACAGTGCAATGAACAGTGGCACAGCCCTAGCCCACTGATGCCAAATCCTGGCCGGTTTTTGGTTTTCTGATTAATCCTGGGAGGAGGGGAGACAGACCCAGGCCCCCTTTTCACTCCCAGCACCAGATAGATGATTCTCTGGGGAGAAGTGAGGCTTAGAGGCAACGAGGGAGCGGGGGAAGGGCAGGAAGCATCTATCAGGGGCCTCATGGGGGTGGGTATTTTATATCTGCTGTTCTTTTGACTCATTACCATCTGTGGGGCAGAAATTATGACTCTGATTTTACACGTGAGGAAAGCCAGACTCAGGTTAATTAAATTGTCTAGGGTCACTCAGCTGGTGAGTGGAGGAAACCAGGATTCGAATCCAGGTCTGGCCCCAAAGTCTGGGCTCTTTCCAAACTGCCATGTGCATGGGGTGATGGATGGACATGGAAGGAGAGCGGCTGTCATGCTCTGTTCCCCCAACCCCTCAAAGTAGGCTGGAGAGAGGAGCACAGGCAGCCGGTGAGGAGATTGTGGGGCTCACTGGGACGGGATGGGCAGACACTGCTTGTTGTCAGACCTGGCGAATCTTGCCTGGAATCTTGGCTTTGCCACTCTGCATCTGCGTGGCGCCAGGCAAGTCCCTTCTCTTCTCTTTGCATAATAAAGCAAGCGGCTTCGAGGTGTCTCCCTGATGTTTCATGAGTGAATGAATGAAAAACAAATGAAGGTGTCAGGAGGAAGCACACCTATTCTTTTTTTTTTTTTTTGAGACGGAGTCTTGCTCTGTCACCCAGGCTGGAGTGCAGTGGCGTGATCTCAGCTCACTGCAAGCTCCGCCTCCTGGGTTCACGCCATTCTCCTGCCTCAACCTCCCAAGTAGCTGGGACTACAGGCGCCCACCACCACGCCTGGCTAATTTTTTGTATTTTTAGTAGAGACGGGGTTTCACCATGTTAGCCAGGATGGTCTCGATCTCCTGACCTTGTGATCCGCCCACCTCAGCCTCCCAAAGTGCTGGGATTACAGGCGTGAGCCACCGCGCCCGGCCAGAAGCCCACCTATTCTAACTAGAGTCAAAGGCTGGAGTGCCAACGGTGCCTCAGGACAGGTCCTGCGGAGATGAGCCCCTGAACCTCTGCTTCTCTCAACCCACTTAAATGAAGCCCCAGTCTTCCCCAGACACCACGTGGAGGCCGAGAAACCCACTGATAGATGGTGGGTGGGGGTGGACATACTGGTGGCCCCAGTTGGCTTCCTGTCACACCAGGGCATCCCCTCCCATATGAAGTCACCGTGAGATCTCTCTATCCCAGCTAGGTTAGTTGCTCTTAATTAAACCAATTGTTGGACTTAATACCCATCCCATTAACATGTCTCCCAGATCTATTAATTATGACCAGTGGAGGAAGGGCACAGGAGCTTTGGGTGGGGATGCAGGGGTTTGAAAACCAAGCCAATCTGCCTCACAGAGAAGAGAAGGGGCAAGTTCATTCCTGGATATGAGGGCAATCTGGCTGCAACATTTGTCACCCCGTTGATCACCAGGATTGATTTGGGTGATCTGGCTGGCTAGGCGGGTGTCCCCGTCCTCCCTCACTGCTCCATGTGTGTCCCTGCTGAAGCTGCACACTTGGAGAGGATGACCTTCCCTGATAGAGGAGGACTGTTCTTTGGTCAAGGGTATACCAGGAGCTCGACTCGCCTGCTGGAACCTCCGAACAACCTCTCAGGTTCACTCCTTGTTTCCTCCTGGGAGTCTTGGAAACATTCATTACAGCCTCAGAATTCCTGGAAGCCTGCTGTGTCTGCATCCCATGGGGTCTAACTGAGGCCCTCTGGCCACCATGACCCTTGGGACCCCTTTCCCATTTAGCTTTCTCAGAGCCACTGGGGCAGGGACAGGGGAGGTGGAGGTGACTGTCATTGGTGCAAGGTAGGGGCCAAGAACTCATCCGTGGGGTCAGAACGGAGGCTGAGTGGGAATGAGGATTACAGATGGAGAGCTGGAGTTACCCCAGCTCCACCCACACACCTGTGTTCAGAATGTTCCCTCTGCAGCTCTTTGGGACCAGGTAGGGCTCCCTAAATCCCTCTGTACTCTGATCAGGCCTTCCTGGATGGTGGGTGGACTTAGAGGCAGATGCTGGACCTACGCAGGGATGCTCAGACTATTAGTAGGCCCTCCCCTTGTGCCTTCTCCTTCCTCCTTCCCTCCCAACTGGGCCCTCCCCGCTGCCCCCAGTGTCAGGGGCCAGCCAGGGCAGGAAGGGAACTAGGGTGGGGCCCTCAGAGGTGCATAAATCATTATTGGCGAAGACCTCAGCCCTGAGCCGCCGGGTGGAGGCTGCTGCTCATGGTTCAGGCCAGGGCATAAATCATAATTCCCCTACAATAGATCCTTTTTCAGCCGCCATCAGGAAAACTGTGTTGGTTTTATCGATTTTTTGACACAGGGGCCTAGGCAGCGGGCGGCTCCTGAATCATTATGAAATGAAACTGATTAGGAATTCATGGAATACTAAATAAACTTTACGAGCCCGTTGTAAGTTTTTTGATGCATGGGGAGCGGAAAATGAAAACTAATGATATAAAAATTACACAGCGTGCTGAGTATTATTATACTGCTATTGATTTGCTTCAAACTGTACATCAAAATCGAAGAGGGCTGGGGCAGTGCCTGCAGCGAGGCTGGGGATATTTGGGCTCACCAGGGCTGGAGGGCTTTTTTTTTTTCCCTTTTCTATTTTTATTTATTTATTTTCTTTCTCTTTCCTCCAGCCTCCTGCTCTGTAATCTGACATCCTTTTCCCCACCTCTTCCAGCGAAGGCCCCGGGGAGCCGCCTCTTCATCCACTCACAGGTCACTCCCTTCTTAGCTGGAACCTGGACCCTGGCTCAACTTGAATTCCTTGGCCTCCCACTGGTTTCTCTCTGGAGCTGCATTTTTCAACCTGTGAGTCTCTCTTTCCCCTTCCACCTCCCCACCGTTTCTCTGGGGAAGGACAGTGTGCTTCAGGGAAATGAGGTGGAGATTCATTTCTTGTGTAGCCCCTTGCTGTGTGACCTTTGGCATGTTGCTGTGCCTCTCTGGACATTGTTGTGGATAGCAAAAACAGTGGACTCATTAGATCAGGGCCTCTTAAAGCATGGTCTGTGGACAGGCCACTGTCGTCTTCACAGCTTGTCAAAAATACCAATTCCTGGGCCTCATCCTTAGATGAACTGACTTCATTCTCAGAAGGGGGAATCTGGGGCCAGTTGCGGTGGCTCACGCCTGTAATCCCAGCACTTTGGGAGGCTGAGGTGGGTGGGTCACCTGAGGTCAGGAGCTCAAGACCAGCCTGGCCAACAGGTGAATCCCTGTCTCTATTAAAAATACAAAAATTAGCCAGGCATGATGGCTCACGCCTGTAGTCTGAGCTACTGGGGAGGCTGAGAGAGGAGAATCGCTTGAACCCAGGAGGCAGAAGTTGCAGTGAGCCGAGATTGTGCCACTGCATTCCAGCCTGGGTGACAGAGTGAGACTCCATTTCAAGGAAAAAAAAAAAAAGAAGAAGGGGGAATCTGTTTTATAAGTTCCCACGGGACTCCCGTGCACTGCAAATGCTGATCTGAAGAGACACATCTGAGCCACTTATCCCATTGGGTTGTCAGAGGTGGCCTTAAAGCTGTGAGTATTGCCTTCTATATTAGTCAGCTTTTGCTAGTTTATGGTGTAGTAATGAACAATCCCAAAATCTCAATGGCTTATAGCAACATAAGTTTTTTTTTTTTTGTTCATCATACATATCTGCTGCAGGTTGTTTGTGACTCTGTTCCATGTGTCTTCATTCTGGGGCTCGGGCTGAAAAAGCAGCTTCAATCTGGTGGCAGAGGGGAAGAGCAAGAAAGATGGTGGAAACGTGAGGTCCAAAGGCCTTAGCTTGGGCATGGTCTATGTCCCTCCTGTTCCTATTCCATTTGCTGAAAGGAGTCTTATCGCCAAGTCCAACAGTAGGATGGGAAGTACAATTCTCCCACAAGGATGGGTACCAGGGAGAGGCCCTGTAGGGATGGGTTGGGAGAGAAGGGAGTGGATTTTTTAACACGTCATACCACACCCTTCTGGGCTTGGTCTTGGGTCCAAGCTGCCCTGGAATTTGGAGTTCGGGGTCTTGTACTTCCACTCGACACATCCCTGTGTCTCCATAGCAACTGTTTACTGACCCCTTCCTCTACTCCCTCTGAGACCCTGGCCATCCTCCTGGGGTCTTCAGTGGGCAAAGCTTCGGCCCTCTGGCTCGAAGCGTCTCTGTTTCTTGCATTTCTGCCTGCATGCTGGGGAGGCCTGGAAACACTCACCCTGGTTCCTCAATAGAACTGCTGTGACAATTAGAATTCTTTTGTCAAACTGTTCTTTATCTAAATTCAGAGAGTAAATTTAGATTTTGCGTATTGGATTTTCTTAAAGTGGAATGCGTTCGGTAGCTTTCTTTTTAGCAAGTGTTTTACTTTTTCACAAGAGATGGTTCACACCAGTTATGTCTTTTGCTGGTATTCTTTTTTTATCAGATTCAATTTCACATCAGCCTGAGTCCCAGAAAGGTTGATGTCTTCCCCTGGACACACAGCATGGCATTCCCAGAGCCATGTTGCTGCCCAGATCTGGACATGCCAGGGCAGCCTCCTCTGGAAGCCCATTTACGCTTGAAGTCCAGGGACCACTTGTGGGGGACCCACTTGCTCTTACTGGGGTCTGGGAGATGTCAGGGACGTCAGTGGCACAAGCTTGACCCAAGGGGACTTCAGTATCTCTCTGAGGACATAGAAACACACTCACACTGACACTCACATACTCTGCATACAAATCTTTTCAGAACCAGACAAAGTGGATAACACAATGATCCAGAAGGGAAGCAGAGTGCAAGTCTTAAGGTTTGAGTTCAAATTTCAGTCCTGCCCCTAACTGGCTGTGTGGTCTTGCATAAGCTACTTCTTTTATCTGGGACTCCATTTTCTTCCACCGTCAAAGATGAATTTAAACTCAATCTACCTGGGATTGGAGTGGGCAGGGGTGAACACACTGGCACAATTCCCACCAGATGTTGAGGCCTATACAGTCCTAACTCTTTTCAGTTTGGAGAAAGATGCTGATGGAAACCCAAACTCAAACTGGCTTAAGCCAAAAGGAGAAGTTATTGAAGGGGCTCTAAGTCACATCTGGAACTTTGGAGACAGCTGAGATAAAGCCCAAAGCTGGGGGTGAGGGACCACATGTCAGGGGAGCTTGGAGACAGCCATGTAGCCTCGAGGCTGCCCTAGGCGAAGGGAAAGAGTGTCCACTCCACTGTCGGCATCCCATTTCTGCAAAAGCCTGGCTGGTGAAGTTTCAACCAGGTGACCCATGAGCAAAACTGGTTTCTGAAGGTACAGACGTGGGTTCACAGCCAGTTCCACCCTTTCGCAGCTGTGTGACCATGAGCCAGTCCCCCACTGTTTCTGAGCAGAGTTTCTGAGGGTCGAGTGTGAAAATGTAAGTGCTGGCTCCACCCCGGCTTCCAGAGAGCGCTCAGGCAAGACTCACATGCCCTGGGGCTAGAACCTACCCTGGCATGCAAAGCTTATCCCCTGAACCAACATGTTGGCTTGTGTCTTCCCCTCTAGTCTTTGATCAAGGGCAGGGCCACGTCATATTTGCGGTTGTTCCCAGTCTTGGCACTGTGCCTGCTGCGTGGCCGTATAATCCACGAATGGCTGTGGAATGGAGCTACAGGGAGCGGCAGATGGGATCCTTCACACAGCATGTCTGCCCACGTAGGACCTGAACATAGCTGGGCCCCTTCAGCCTCTGTCCTACCCCTGCGCCCACCCTATAGCCATGCAGCACACACACGGCCAGTTCCCAACGTGTGGGTGAACATTGCGGGTTTCACTGAAGTTTTTCTGGGAAACCAGGGGAGCAGATGGCATCATACAGCACACTCCAGCCTAATCACAGCAGCCCTGGGTTTCTCCCTTCTCTCCTTCGTCATCTCTCTTCCAGGCAGTGCTCTTCCCCTCCTCTCCAATCCCAGTTTCTTTAACAAAACCAAATCCTCATTTTACATCCCCAATGAAGCAAAACAAAGCCGGATAGGACACAGACCACAGGGCTCCTGCTCCACCGGTATCTCATTCAACCTCCTTTATCCCCATCTTTTTATTATGGCCAACCATTTTATCCTCACGCAGGCCTCTGTGCCCTGCACACACAACAGCTTCCTCAAGCTGCCCTCCATGTGGGTGCTGTGAGGCTCCGAGAGGAGACAGGACTTGCCCCATGCCACCCAGCCCCTGGGCAGGGCTCCTCCCTGCCTTGCCCCCAGAGGGCCTAGGTTAGGTCCCCTCCCCAAGCCCATTTGTCCCTGTGGTTGGGCATGGGGCAGGATGACACCTGGCTGGCTGATTCTCCTCGTAGTTTAGGGTGCTACACACACTGAATTCAGATGTGGCTCTGAGCAGGCCGTTCATTCATTCCTGACCGTATTGACTACAGAATTGAGTGCTACAAGCAAGGAGTTTAGCTCTTATTCTCCTACTGATTTGATTTAATGTTTGGTTTATTCCTGTCCCTTTCTCCCCCGCTCTCCTCATCAGTTTGACATTTGCATAGTGTTTCCCTGCAGTTTTGTCGAACACCCATGGGGGTTTTGCTGGCAACTCCCTGCTTTGGCTTGAATGGTTTTCTTTGGGGGAGTTTTGAACTCACTGAGGCATCTTCTTCCTCCCTCACCCTGGAGTTTGTGTTCTTCCTCCTACTGGGGAGAGGGCTACATAAATAATGAGACTTCCCTGGCTCTCGCCACCCGCTGCCTGAGCCTGTGGGATTCCTGTTGCCATGTGGCCTTCAATTATTCCCAAGTGTCCCGGGTGGGTGGGGGCCTCAGGTGCCCATGAATAAGTCTGCCCCTGCAGGTGGGTAACCTCAGCCTGCCCACCAAGCA
The DNA here is from genome assembly GCF_000001405.40 of Homo sapiens. Taxonomy (NCBI): domain Eukaryota; kingdom Metazoa; phylum Chordata; class Mammalia; order Primates; family Hominidae; genus Homo; species Homo sapiens. The sequence continues at coordinate 36,687,669 of NC_000017.11, forward strand.
CCTCTGCCAACGGTTTGGAATCCTGAGGTGCTGGCGCTGCTCAGCCGTGAAGCTTAGAGGCACCCCTGGCAGGCTGTCCAGGCCTCAGGGCTTGCGGACACCTGGTTGTCTTAGTGTGATGTCCCCCAGAATCAGACCTGTTATAAGGATTCAAGGGAGGTGGTTTATTTGGGAGTTGAAAGAAAGTCCAGGAAGGAATGGGAAGTGAGACCGGGAAGGTTACCACTGTGAGTTGTTGAGCTCAATCCTGCCCCAGTTCTCCAGGTTACTCAACATGCCTGAACCCCCCGGGGTGAGAGAGGATCAAGTTAGGACCCCTCCTCCTATTATAAGGCTGCTGAGCCAACAGAGGCAGGGCTCGGTGGGGACAGGGAGAGAAATCTGCAGATTCCTGAGTCCTGACTCCTGCACCTGGACCTCTTTCTCCAGCTTGCTCTAGAGTGGAGCTAGAACCGGTGGGATGAGGTTTCAGGGTGCAGCTAGATGCTGGAGAGGAAGCCTGCACACAGGCAAATGCACCAACAGAACTGGCAGGAGATGGTCCAGTGATTAAAGTGATCAGGCAGAGGTTGAATCATTGCCTGTCCAGGGACGCTGTAGGCAGAAGGCAGGGAGCTAGCCAATATTAAACACCTTCTGTGTAGCAGTCCTGGATATTTGGAACTAGAATTCAAGCTCCTTAAGAACTGGGGCCCACATTTTATTTACTTTTTTTTTTTTTTTTTTGAGGTGGAGTCTCGCTCTCTCACCCAGGCTGGAGTGCAGTGGCACAATCTTGGCTCACTGCAACCTCTGCCTTCCAGGTTCAAGTGATTCTCCTGCCTCAGCCTCCCAAGTAGCTGGGATTACAGGCACGCACCACCACGCCCTGCTAATTTTTGTATTTTTAGTAGAAACGAGATTTTGCCATGTTGGCCAGGCTGGTCTTGAACTCCTGACCTCAAATGATCTGTCCGCCTCGGCTTCCCAAAGTGCTGGGATTACAGGCGTGAGCCACCATGCCCGGCCTGTTTACCTTTGGATTCTCAGCGCCTAGCACTGTGCTTGGCTCCTGGTTGTAAAACCTAAAATAACAGGAAAAATAGCCACCATTGACAGCCACCTACTGTATTTTTTGTAAAGAATCCTGACAACAATTGCTCATGGCAGGTACTATAATCTCCACTTTACAGATGAGAAAACTGAGGTTCGGTGGGGTTGAATGACTTGCCCCCGGTCATACACTTCCTAAGCAGCAAAGCCAGGGTTGGGACTCAGGTTTGTCTGCCTTCCCGGATCCCTGATTTTTCTCCTCCTTGTGGCATGTCACTGCATCGGGACGGTGGTTGCACTACGGATGTCCCTGGAAGGCCCTCTTGATTCTGAGGTTCTGTCTTATTAGCTGCACCTCCCTCCACCCCCGGCCAACCGCAAAGAAAAGGAAAAGTCCTTTCCTCCTCCTCAGGTGGCTCGTGGTGGATTACTTAGCGCTTGACACGGCGTGTCTCTGTGTCACTGTTCCTGGGCGGAATTAAATCAGGGCAGGAAAATATTAATTTGGAGTTGGGGATGGAGGCCGCTCCTTTCCAATTATTCTCCACCCCATCAGGCTTATCCTGGCGCAAACAAGGAAGGAGGCTGGATTAATTGCTTTGGACTCTGCCCCACTCCGGTCCCAATTACTGGGCCGGCTTGGCTCCCAGCATTATGAAGCACACTGCTGTGCAGGAAATTGTGTGAAATTTTAACGGATTTTCAGATGCAATAATGGAGCACAGGATTCAAGGCCAGTATTCATGGGGCAGCCGGGCCCTCTATGCCTCGGCTGAGGTTAAGCTGTTTGGGGTTTCTTTGTATATTAAAGGATCATCTGGTTAACCCCAAAACCCAGGGCCGCCAGAACTGTTCAGACTCTGACCCCACAGAGGCAGGGTGGGCTCCTGGAGTGCAAGGAAACCCACTGCCTTCATGATAATAACAACACCATTTTTTGAGCCTCCGCAACGTCCCAGGTACTTACCCCAAACATCTTTAAGCCTGAGCCTTTGAAGTTCTTCTTATTTTTATCCCCCTATCTTATAAGGGAAGAAAAGGGGACTCAAAGAGGTTAAGTGATTTGCATAAGGTTTTCTGGCCACACCGCGGTGAAGCCAAAATTGGAACCCAGGTCTGTCTCCAAAGCGACCCTATTTTCTATATCACTCTGCCTCCTCCCTCATCTTCTATTTCTTCTTCTTAAGGATGCATTATCACAAATGTGGCTTCCCTACCACACCGGATATCTAGAGTAGAGTCCTTTCTTGTTCTGTCTCTGCATCTTCAGCCACTATCAGGGTACCCAGCACCAACAGGGGCCCAGGAGAAGTTTGTTGAACTGCAGTCAACCTGACCCAGTTGGGCATGACCCAGCCCCTGGACTCCAGGATTTATAAATGGAATGAGGGGGTGGGCTACTGCAACCCACAGACATCTCTGGGTCCTTGAGGTGAACCCCATTTGAGCCATATGGAACCGACAGAGAGGGTGAGGAGGGGGATCACGTCCCCAGCCTAACTGTGTAACAGGGGCTGTCCGGATGCTCCCCATATATCGTCTCTGTCAATCTTCACCATGACCCTAAGAGATGGCCAGTTATTAGGAAGTAGGTGTCTAAGAGGGGAAATCTGTCCTATTGTCAAAGGCAAGAGGTAGCTGGTGGCTTGGTCAGCAGTGGGGACTTTGATCTCTGCATGGCCAGCTCTGGAGGCTCTATGGCATTGTAAAAATGCATTGAGAGAATCCCATAAAATCTGCCCAGCAGAGGCAGCGGCTGGAGAGGAGGCAATAACCATGGAATATGGAGTGGAGTGGCCAGTGATAACGGAATATGAGAACCCCTGCCTTGGGGGCTAGGCATGACTGGGACACATTAGGCTGCTAGGGATGTATCTGGGGAGAGTGGTTGGATTTGCATTCTGGCCTCACTTTAACAACTGGAAGAAAATTCCTTGGAGGGAATTACAGTATGGCTTCTTGGCCCCCACCTTGAGGCATGACACGGGGGGTCTATGAAGGCTGCAGAGGAGCAGGAGGATAGGGATAGAGCTGGCAAGAGGGGTGACTGACTTGGGGGAGGGGGCAGTGAGAGGGAGTTTGGGGAAGTGAGTGCTATGTAGCTCACGAATTTTAGACTCTGGTGGGGCCACTACATGGAAAGAGAACCAGGTGTTCATGGTGGGCCCAAAGACAAGGACACTGGAGGCAATGAGGGCGGAGGAATGCAGGTGAGGCGCACAGTGACCATCATTAGCTGTCCAGTTCCTACCCGCCCCTTTCAGCAAAAGGAGAATTAATTATGTGCAGGGGATGCCCCCTTAATGGCCATCGTTTAGTTTAATTTAAGAAACAGATCCCTCCTCACACCCCCCTCGGTCAGCAGCACCACCATTGGCAGCTGCATTGATTAATGGCCTCCTCTTGGATACAGGGGAGCAGTGGTTCTGAAACTGGAGCGCGCCTGAGAAACGCCTCAAGGATTCCTTTACACACGGATTGCAAGAATCCATCCCTGGGTGGTGTCTGATAATTTGGATTTCTGACAGGTTCCCAGGTGATCTTGATGCTAGTGGTTCCGGGAACACACTTTGGAAATCACTGTAGTAGAGACAGGATTTCCTGTAGTCTCCCCACCCTCTGGACTCGGGAACTCTGCCCTTCACTGCCCCCTGTCTCAAGGGTCCTCTAATCCAATAGGGGCGGGCATAGCCATCTCTGCCACTTTACTACCCACAAGTGCACTCATCTCTCCAATGGTGTGTAAGACATGTGCATTCTCTGAGCATCATGGTGATCCCACCCCTGGGCATTTCTATTCCAAAGAGAGATGGATAAGTGCCAAGGACCCAATTCCTGGACCCCTCTGTCTAGATGCAGTCCCTCCTGAACTGGATCCTGGGGGACCCACCCGGTGCACCCTCAGCACCAAGCCAACCCAGAGGTGTCCCAGGAGGCTGGTCCCCTATTCTGCAGGGCCTCTGCTCCTATGCACCAGGTGAGAGAGGTCAGACAGCTAGCATCTCTGGCAGCCTGGTAGTTGCAGGAGGGGGCCCACAATTACAGACCTAATTGTGTGACCACAGGCAGGTCCCGCCCCCCATTGATTTGGAGCTGGCACTGCGGGCTTTGCCAGGGCTACCATCCAGAGAGCCTGTTTGCACCTGTGTCAAGGCGAGCTCAGGAAACCTAATTAGCTAGTTTGGTGTTTTATAATTAGGTCCTTTAAAAGAATTCATAGGTGGTGATAATAAGCCCATTTAGAAATCTATTAAGCTTTGGGGGAAGTTGAATAGAAACCTTGTAACTATGTGCACACTTGCTTTCTCTTTCCCCTCAGTGTCTCCTTTCTCCACTTTTTTCTCTTCTCTCGAGTCCTTCCTCCTGCTCTCTTTCCCACTCTGTATCGCTGGAGTTACTGACTCCTGCACCCATGCTAAATGCAATCCTCTTTTATTGCTTAGGAAGTCTTGCACACATACTGAAGCATTTAATCCTCCTCACAACCGTCAGAGGTGAGTACTTTCCTGATACCCACTTTATAGATGAGGAAACTGGAGTGCAAAGAGGTCAAGACACCCCTCTGAAGCGACATGTCCTTAAGTCGCTGAGCCAGAAATGGAACCTGGTCAGTCTGGCCTTACCCTCTCAGCAAAACTCACTTTGCTCAGCCTACATTGCCCTACTCACCCACAGCCCAGTGCTCCTGGCTCCAGTGCTCCTACCAAGCTGGCTGAGTTGACATTTTACACATCAAATTCCTGTTTTCTCAGAGACCTTGTGCCAGGGCTTCAGCGCTAACTTCAGATGGGTCTGTAATGAACAATGGCTTCTAATAAGTTTTGCTTCTCTGGCAACTCTTCCCACCTGGATTTCTGACAAGGTAGTATGGTAGAAGAGCAGGCTGGATGCTCCCCTCCCTCTCTTCCTCCTTCCTCCCACCCTTCCCCCCACTCCCTCCCTCTCTGAACTGGGGCTGAGAAGCCACAGATGAAGTCAATCAGCTTCTAACTGAAGGGCTCAGGGGATCCCCAGATGCTTCCAGATCTACATTAGGGACCCTAGCCCTCTCTTATCACCCCGTTTATTTCCTTCTAAGCACTTATAACATGACATTCTCTCAAAGATTTGTTCACTTATTCATTCACTTGTTTATTACCTATCTCTCCCCATGAGAATGCAAGCGCTGTGAGGGCAAGGACTTTATTTATATATATCTGATTCCCTGGAGCCTGCATTGGTTCCTAGCACAGAACAGGACTCAATAAATAGTGTTGAATAAGCAAATGTGTTGAACCTGATACTCAGTTTCCTTATCTATAAAATGGGATAATAATATCTGCTCTGCAGGGTCATAAAGAGCTTGGCACACAGCAGGTGACCCATAAATTATGCTATCCTCACTCCACCCCCTGCAGACCCCATTAAATTAAGCACTGAAATGCCCAGAGAAGCTCTCCTACTTAAAAAAAGCCCTTGGATGAATCCTCTTTTTTAGAGGGCAAATAGCTTTTCTTTTTATTTCTTTATTTCTTTTTTTAAAATATAATTGTAAAAATTTTAAATGAGATGAAGTCTCTCTATGTTGCCCAGGCTGGTCTCGAACTTCTTGGCTCAAGCGATCCGCCTGCCTCAGCCTCCCAAAGTGCTGGGATTAGAGGTGTGAGCCATGGTGCCTGGCCAAGACTTTTTCTGTAAAGCAAATGAGCCCTCCTAGATTTATCTGCTTTGGAAATTGGGTGCTTTTGTTTATATTGGTCTTCCCTAAAGTGGACTGACTGAGTGCATATAACTATAGAAGTGTATATATTAGTGTCTTCCTACAATAGTTACTGATTATGCAGATTCTGAGAGCGTAAGTTCAAATTGTGCCACCTTGAAGCATAACAATGACTGCAGAAACATGAAAGTCAGACATAGGGCTGCTGCTCTTTAGCACTGTTGGTAAAGAGCTTGCATTCTGATAGCTGTGTTTGGAGCTAGGCTCCTCCACTTGCTAGTCGCAATGACCAGTGGCATGACTAGTTGCATGACTGAATCTCTCCAAGGCTGCATTTTTTCTTCTGTAGAATGGGGGACAGTGGGGTGGTAGTCATAATATTTGTGCCTATCTTATAGCATAACAACCCTATTAAATGAGGACATGAGATCATTCATTCAAAAAAAAGCTTATTGAACACCTACTATGTGCCAAGCACTGTTCTGAACTCTAGTAATTCAGCAGTAACACATTTGATGCTGCATAAAGCTTACATTCTTTTTTTTTTTTTTTTTTGAGACGGGGTTTCACTCTTTGTTGCTGAGGCTGGAGTGCAGTGGCATGATCTTGGCTCACTGCAACCTCCGCTTCCTGGGTACAAATGATTCTCCTGCCTCAGCCTCCTGAATAGATGGGATTACAGGCATGCGCCACCACGCCTGGCTAATTTTGTATTTTTAGTAGAGACAGGGTTTCTCCGTGTTGGTCAGGCTGGTCTTGAACTCCCGACCTCAGGTGATCTGCCCGTCTTGGCCTCCCAAAGTGCTGGGATTACAGGCATAAGCCACCGTGCCCGGCCTGAGGCTTACATTCTAGTGGGAAATAATGCATGTAAAGCTCTCAGAACTGTGCTCTATGAATGCTGGCTAGAAGGGTGACTATGGCTGTACAGTGACATGGCTTATGGATATAGGTTCTTACCTCCATAGCCTCTTCAATGGGAGAAGATGTACACATGGCTGGACACATCTCCATGAAATTGATCTATGGTGAGACTGAACCTGCTCCACTCTTTCATGAGGCTGGAATTCTTTGCACATGTGTGTGCGTGCATGTGTGTTTTGGAAATGGGTGGGTGTGGGTGAATGTTGGGCCTTTTCAACCTGACATTCAGTGGTCAGGTGTCAACCTCATCTTTCCTTGTACAACTTATTGCACTGTCTTATGCCTTTGCCTTCCATAGTCTGCTTTTGCTCACCCTGTTCCCTCCTCCCAGACTGCTTTCTTCCTGTCTCTGCAAACTCTACCCATCCTTCAAGGTCTTCCTTCATGAAGCTGTCCCTGAACCTCTCCACTGGGAGAAATCCCTCCCTTCACTCTCCATCTTCCTCCTCTCTTACGCTTGTGTCCCTTCCTTCCCATTCCCTTGATCTGTTTCTGTTCCCCTGCTGAACCATGGACTCCTTCAGGACTAGATCCTGTTCTGTCCATCTCTGTGCCCTTTGCACTGCATTGCTTTACTTGAAATAGATTCTTAACAAACATTTCTTAGGCAATTAAACAAATGCATGGCTCAGAGGATTTATTTTGAATCATCAGACTTTTTCTGGGGTGAGAGATATGAGGCAGGAACCTGGTCTGGAGCAATAATGGCCTTTTTTGCATTGGCTCCTCTGGCTGTGTGCAGATGCTCCCACTTGTACACCAAAACCTGCCTCTCTGAGCACTTTCACATGCATCCATGAGGCCTGGGTGGTTGTTTTGGGTGTGTATTTGGGGGGGTGGTTACGGTGGCAGCCCAGTGCCCAGTGATGGATGAGGGGGGTGGAGGTGACTTTCCCAGGGGAAGATTAGCGCCTGGCAGCTATGATTTGTCTCGTGCCCTCCTGTCCTTTTGCTGGGCCCCACTGCAGGGTCATTCATTACAGAGGCTGCTGTCACAGACTGGGGGCAGGGGCTGAGCAATGTGTGCATGTGTGGGGGTGGCAGGCAAGACCCCTTCCTTAGGAGAGACTCTCATGCCAGAGACCAGAGACCACTCTGACTATGCAGCAGCTCTCTGGAGTTCTGAGAGAAGAGGACCAAGTTGTAATTCACCTTCTAAGACATACCACTGACTCAGGAGCAACACTGTGTGATAGGGTGGGGAAGGGCATGTAGTTATTCATTCACTTGGCAAAACATTCTTCTGAGTGCCCACCAGATCTGTTCTGTCCCTTCCAGGAACTCACGATTGCTGAAGGAAGATGGGCATGTACACAGACAGTGTCAGGAGGGAACAGGGGCTGGTGTGACAGGTGCCCTCCAGCCTGGGGCACTTGAAGGCAAGTGAGAAGCCATAGGGGATGGTGGAAAGAGCACTGAACTTGGAGGCTGAAAACTTAGGCTTGGGTCCTGGCTGCATTACTTACTAGCGTTGTGGCTTTGGGCCAGTCACTTAAAACTTGCTGATGCCTCGGTGCCCACATCTATGAAATGGGGCTGTGTTAAAAGTGAAAAAGATGTCAACGTGCTTATTTATTTATTTATTTATTTATTTATTTATTTATTTTTGAGACAGAGTCTTGCTCTGTCACCCAGGCTGGAATGCAGTGGCGCGATCTTGGCTCACTGCAACCTCTGACTCTCTGGTTCAGGTGATTCTCTTGCCTCAGCCTCCCAAGTAGCTGGGATTACAGGCACGTGCCACCACACCCAGATAATTTTTGTATCTTTTTTTTTTAGTGGAGACAGGGTTTCACCATGTTGGTGCGGATGGTCTTGATCTCCTGACCTCGTGATCCTCCCGCCTCAGCCTCCCAAAGTGCTGGGATTACAGGTGTGAGCCACCGCACCCGGCACAATGTGATTTTTTAAACTGGAAGGTACTATATAGGTGGGTGGGATCACTGCTTTGTCAGTCCTGTTGCAGGGATGGGATGGGGGCAGGGCAGCCAGATGAGATTCTAGAAAAAAAATAGAACCCCTTCCTCCCAATCCCCACATATTTATACAGTCCTCTGCAGTTTACAATGCACTTTCACACTCTGTATTTCTTGTTCCTTACAACAACTTTGCAAGCCAGGTCAAGGCAGGCATTATTAAATCCCATGTTTTAGGGGAAGAAGAAGCTCAAAGAGGATAAATGACTTGCCGAGGGTTAGTGAGCCCAGTTAGTGGGTGAGCTAAGGCTGGAATTTGGTTCTTTCTGATACCCAGGCCTGATGCTGTTTCCCTGCTTCTACACACCAGAGCCCCTCTGTCCCTGCTCTGGTCTGGATGACATTGCTCCCACCCCCCTGGGGCTCCCATCCCATAATGGATGCAGTACCTTCCCCAGTCCACGTACCTTCATTATGACAACTCATGACCACTTTTGGTTACAATAATGTCCGAAAGTAGCCATGAGAACAGAGAGAGCACTGTAGGTTTAAGAGTGTTCAATGGAAAGAGGAGACCAAGCTGAGATTTCCCAAGGGCTCTCACCCAAAATTGGTAGGCCAGCTGATAAATTAGTATGATAAGGAGAGAAGGAGAAAACTGAAGAGAGGGGAAGGAAAGAGAAGAAAAGGCAATAAAGAAAGAGATAAAAAGAAAGAAAGGAAGAAAGAAAGAAAAGAAGGAAAGAAAGAGGAAAGAAGGAAGGGAAAGAAAGAAAAGGAGAAAGAAATGGAAGTTGGGTGAAGAGCATGATGAGGGAGTAAGGGAAAGGCGAAAATAAAAAAGAGTGGGAGTAAGACAGAAAGGAATCCAGGAGAGATAAGGAAAGAGAGAAAAGGGGAAGGAGGGAGGCCAAAGAGGCTGGGGAGGGTGCTGGGGGGAGGGCCAGCTCCACTCTGGCAAGGGGTGCGAGATTGAAGGCTGAATCGCAGCAGGCAGTGAAGGAGAGGAATAAGTCATAAACGCTGCAGGGGCAAAGGTCAAATATAGACTGATGGCTCCATTGTTTCCCAGCCGGTGAGGAGGACCCTGTTGGGGGCTGCTGAGATGCTTAACCCTTCCCTGCCCAGCCCTTTGATGGTGAGGCAGGTGTGGGAATGCACAGTGAGAAAAGCACCTGTGTGTCCAGGGTGAGGATTAGGGGGTTAGAGTTGGGATTGGATGGGGGACAGGGTGGGGACTGGGTCATGGAAGAAGGGACTGAAAAGTCCTCTCCACTTCAACTCACAGGAGGTAGAATAAAATGAAAACATGCCACCTCTCTTTTTCTAATAGTGGTAGTCCTCTTTTGCATCTCTGTAGAGATTTCCTAGGGAAGAAGGAAGTTCTTGGGAAATGATTGAGTAACACCTATCAACAACAATAATAAATAGTATTAACAATATAAATAAATGTTTACTAAAGAATAAAATGAAATTCATATTAATTTTTATTAACCATTAATATATGCTATTATTGTGCAGTGCTTATGGGTTTGAAAATAACTTTGACAAACATGTTATTAAATCTAACAATCCTGTGTGATAGGTATTATCAGCACCATTTTATCAGTGAAGAAATTGATGCTCAGACTTGTCCAAATTGTGCCAGTTAGCAGCTTTCTGAATCCTAATCCACAGATCTTTGCACTACCCAGAATTTTCCTTGGGCAGTATCATACTCACCATAGAGGAAAAACAGAGACTTTCAGGAAGGGTTTGGTTATGAAATGACGCTTGCCGGTCGAGAAAGCCAGATGTAGTTGGTTAGAGAGGGGATGAGAGGATGATGTCCGTCTGTGGGATAGGTCTTCAGAACCACGGACAGTTCTCAGACCACCGTTTCCACATCCCCTCTTCGCCAGACTATGAAGCCTTGGGTGGGTGGGGAGGTGGTGCGGGGGAAATATCACCAGACTCCTTGAGCCCTCCCGAGGGGAGAGCTGGGGGGCTGGAGGATGGGATGTCTACTCCTCGTGGGCTGTAACTCCACCCCCCACCCCATGATGTATAGACTGACAAAGGACTTAATGCTGTGAATACATAAAGCGGCGGAGGCCTGGGCAGTGGAGGGTGACAGCTGCCCTTTAATGCTTGGCTTTTTAAAGATCATGGTAGAGTTCAGAAAGTATAGTCATGAGGTTTAATGATTTAATGGGGACGACTGGGGAGCAAAAATAGTTACTGCGCCCTGGGGAAAAGTGACTCCTCATACATATTACTTTAGCCTAATGGCCTATAACGCCCTCCCCCCGTGCCCATGGGGGGAGTCACGCTACATAGCCGCTGTAATACCGAATGGCCTGATTAAATGCATATTAAACAATACTAAATTGGGAAAAAAAAGGCGGAGGCTGCTAAATGTATTTATTCTGTGAGGGGAAGATATGACTCCTCCTCTAGCATTGGATGGAAGAAGTCCTCCTGCCTAGCTGGTTCCCCAAAAGATGTGGTGTCCCAGTGAGATTCAGAGGGAGGTAGGAACCTCATTTCTTTGGGAAGAACTTATGGGGGAAGGCACCTCCAAAATTGAAGGGAAATGCTATACAACCAAGGATCTGGAATGCCAGGAGTAAGAAGGGTCCACAAGATCTACTGTCCCAAGAGGCCGCAGGGATTCTCAGCTTCGAGTTCTGTCCACAGATATGTGGTTTGAGTCTAATCAGTCATTTTTGAGAGGCTGCTTTTCCGTAAAATCAGGGGCTACTTTTGGATTCTTGGGTCCAGTGTACTGTTCTCCTTAGCTGTAAACCACTCCCCTCCCTCAACATGGTCCTGGTCATCAGTTTCTAAGATCACTGATGAGGCTAGAGTGAGAATGAAGCCTTAGTTCCTCAATGCACCTGGATTCTATAGACCATGAATACATGCTAGAATCACCTTGGTAGGTTTTTAAACTACCAGTGTCTGGATTATTCTCCCCAAGAGATTCTGATTCACTTGGCTTGGTGTGCCTCCCAGGTGTTGGTATTTTTTAAAAGCTACCCAGGCGAGTCCAATGTGCATCCAAAGTTGAGAATCGCTTTAGTAGAGTGTCAGAGCTGGGAGAGACTTCGGAAAGCACCCAGTTTAAGATCTTTATTTCAGAGATGAGGCTGGGAGAGACTCTGGAAAGCATCCAGTTTAAGGTCTTTATTTCAGAGATGAGGAGTTGAGGCTCAGAGAGGCCATTGACTTCTCCAAGATCCATAGAGATGGACTGGACTCTTGACTCTCAGCCCTGTTTCCTTTCCATTGCACTCCTTCCTTTTTTATGGTAGAATGGACAAGGTCAGATCAGAACCAGTGACTATGAAACATCAGAATCCTGGCTCTGCAGCTCCCTGTCTCAGACCCAGGCAGACCCAAGATAGCATTTTTTTCCCCTGAACTTAGGTAAGAGGGATTCTTTGGTCACTCAGCTCTGTCTGAGATGTCAACATGTGGTTTTCTGACCCCAAGAACCTTCCAGACCACCTCTCTGGCCCCTAATCCCCTAGGCCTTGGCTGACCTATGGTCTCACATAGTGAAACTTTTTAAGAGCATGGGCTCTGGAGCCAAGCTACGTGGATTTAAAGCTTAGACCTGCCACTTATTACCAGTATAACTTTGGGGAAGTTAGTTAACACCTATGCGCTTCAGTTTTCCTATTTGTAAAAGGGAGATAATAACAGCACTCACCTCATAAGACTGATGTGAGGATGAAATGAGTTAATACATGTAAAAGTACATAGAACAGTGTCTAACATGTAGTAATTGCCATGTAAGTGATAACTATTGTTGATTTAACGTTTTAAACGTGCCTCCCTATCGAAGATTGAAATGCATTAAGTTTTTCATATATTTATATTTGCCTTCCACCTCCAAAACCCTTAAGGATAGATTCTAGGGCCCACACTTCAGAGATTTTGGCTCTCTCAGATCCTGAATGGCTTCAGGTTCTAGTCAGGATCCAGGTAAGTTCTTCAGACATTGCCTTCCACAAAGTGGAGGAGAAAAACCCTTCCAAAGCTTGGATAGGGAGAGAGTAAGGAGGACAGGAACACGGCTATGTAGAAGCTCAGCTCCAGGCAGAGTGCTAAGATGAAGGTTCTACCTGTCCTCTGGGCATGTTTGAAATGCTTAAAGATACCTAAGTGGGTGGTAATGGCTGCTAGACCCAAAAAAGCCCACTGGCAAGTGAAATTAAACAGAAAGGAGTCCTGCTTCTGGTTTCCTTGTGGGAATAGTGGTGGCCCATGAGTGTCCATTCACCTTTTTACATACTCCACAGCCTGATTTCATTGAGACACAATCTGATTTCCAAACTGAGCTTCCTGTTTGCTTAGCCACTGACTGGGATGCAGTGGGACAGGCCCCCAAACCATCCAAGGCATGGGCCGCAGTCCACAGTACTCTTCCCTGTTTCTGGCAAGCACCTGTCCATATGTCATGAGGAGAATGAGACAGGAGTATGGACTTCAAGGAGGCACCATCTTCTCACACTAGTTTCTGAATTTTTAGATGCTTTTAGTATAGAACTTTTAGTATAGGACTGTGCAAGAGTAGCCTTCCTAACATCATTGCCAATGACTACCCTTCCCAAGCCTTCTATCCTGGAACACAGCCCTACCGTCCCCAATTCATGTTGCTCCTTTTGACACTCCTGTCTTGGCTCATCCTGCTTTCTTCATCCGAATTGCCTTTCTCCATTATTCCATGTCCAACTTCTGCCCATCCTTCAAAACCCAGGTTAAAAGCCATCATCTCTAGCAAGTGTCCTCTGATTCACCCAATGGAATGGTCTCTCTCTGTCTTGAGCACTTTACAGTTTTCATATTTCCCTCCCTCATTGACCTGATCACAAACAGCCTTGCACCACCATTACCTGGACTCCCCATGGCTCAACCACTAGACTCTAAGCTTCGGAAGGGTATGGGCCCTTGTGTAACCAATCTGCATGTGCCCCACACTCTACAGTCTAACACCAGGCTTGTGCAGAGTTGGCGTGTATTGTTGAACAGATGGTAGAGGGTTGAGTGAATGAGTGAGTATCCTCACCTACCCTGAAGATCAAACCTCATTAAGTAAGAAGGTTAAGAGTTAGTCTTCTCTAGACCTAGTCAGAAAGACTTAAAAGGGGTAGAAGACATCCCCCTAGAGGAGTCAGTGGCAGAACCTCTCAGCTCCAACCCCAGACCATCTGCTTGGAGGAGCAGGGAGAGAAGGAGAACTGTGATTGATTCCTCCTTTCTGTTCCACCAGATACCCCTCTACACACTCACACACAGCGTCACACACACAGACCTCACTGCCTACTCTCCTCCCTTCCTCCTCCTTCAACTGCATTTAATATAAATGCCCATTAAAAAAAATTCTCCCCTCCCTGTGACTGCATGGGCCAGACCCTCCCACCCCCAGGTCCCTGACGCTCTTAGATTTTCCTGCTGCCACGTTCCACCCTGAGCCATGTCTTCTAGTATTTTGCTTTCAAATTGTGTCTCCTGCCATTTGTGCCACATTTAAAATGCTAACAGTACAGAATGTCATTTACAGAACCGGGGCGTTTGCTCCGGAAAATTAATTTGACTTATTCCTTCTGCCTGTTCCTATCTCCAGGCCAATATTATGCTACTCATTCTACAAGAGTAATACTTAATGAATAGGACTATTAATAATGTCAAGGTCCGCAGGGGCCTGGCGGCTAACGGATAGGCGTAGACGGAAGGAACCCATCACCTGACTCCTGGTTTAATGTCCCATGAAAATATCAGGCACTGCAGTGTAATTATGGAGCAGGGAGAAGCGAGTGGATGACGACCCAGAGTTTCTTAAATATTTTTCAAATTAGTTGATGCTTTTCCTTTTGGGGGAGGAGGATGTTTATCCCCCCACTCTCACTCCATTTTAGTTCTGGTCTGGAAGAGGAGGTGGACCTATTTTCATTAAACACACTCATGCATGCACGCGCATGCACACACACACACACACACACAGTGAGAGAGAGAGAGAGAACAATATATAACTCAGAGATGGTAATAGCTACTCTCACCCCAACATGTTGAGATACTGTGTTGGGTATGAGAAGGGGGAAGTAGACAGCATAGGTTTACATTTAGCAAAAGAGAAAAACACAAAGAAGGAAAAGAAAAAGTGGAATTTAAAAATCTGATTTACAGAGTATCCCAGTAATCCTCCTTTCTTCCATGCACTTCTTCCTTTCCCAGTGCACATAGAATTACCAAGGTAACAGGGCTTCTGGAGAAAACAAGAGGTCCTTCATTATCTGCAGCCCCAGCCCTCATCATCCCCTTCCCACAGTCCTGAATACCCAAGGAGAGGAAGAGTGGCCCTTGCTGTACAGCTTCTTCATTGCTTGAAGCGTGATTCCTTTCAAGCCCTGAGATTATGGCCCTGGGTTGGCCCACATGGCTGCTTTTATAGGAATGGAGCAGCAGGGTTGGGCAGGAACCATGGGAGAGGGAAGAGGGGAGGGATGGGGGAGGCCAGGACTGGGGGCAAAGGAGTTGGAGTGGGAGTCCTGTATGTCAGTCTCATCTCATGTGCAGAAAGTGGATAAGGATATCTGCCTTGCAGAATGGTGGTAAAGCCATGAGATAATGGGTGTGAAGGGCTGGGGCTGGGGCTGGCACACAGAGGGGCTGATAATATTAGTCCCTTTTGTCCAGTTCACAGATGGTGCAATCAGGCTCCACCATAGCAGGAACCAGGCATCTCTTTCTGGTGCAGAGTTGAACAAAGGATACTTGCCTCTCGCCCTGGGTGATGTGTGGGAGCTTCCAGTGTAGTGGGGGAACCTCTGCTCTTGAGGGGCCCTCAGACTCCCATGAAGGAGTCATGTTCCTACCTGAGGTTCCCAGTCTTATGGAAGAGACTCAGTTTCTGATCTGAGAGGGGCTTCTGGTCTGGTGCTGGAACCCCTGTCCTTGGAGGGTTCCCATTCTTATGGAGTAACCACAGTGCCTTCCACCAGGGAGGTCTGCAGTCTTATGAGAGTTCCAACCCCCTGGTCTGAGAAGCATTTTAGTTTTATGGGAGAAATCCAGCTTCCAATCAGGGTGGGGGCCTTCTGATCTGGTTGGGGAAACTGGGCCCTTACCCTGCAGAAACTCCAGTCTGATAGAGGAGACACAGCCTCTGTGTTCTGGAAGGCCTCCCAGTTCGATGGTAGAGAAAAATTCTTGCTCTGTGGGAGCCTAAATATGGAGAGGGATGTATAACACTTGGCATAGTAAAATCCCAGTCTAATGGGGGAGACAGAGTCTGTCTTTCAAGAGATTTCAGTCTGTTGAGAGAACAGGGTGGCCTAAAGAAGGCCCATCTGATGGAAGAAAACAGAGCCTGCCCGTCAGGGAGCTCCCAGACCACTGGGGAAGAGAGACCCCTTGGCCTCAGGGGATGCCAGTGTGATCGGGGAGGGCTTCTTTGCAGTGGCAGATACCCTGGTCTTATGGTCTTATTGGGAAGACATGGTACCCAAGGTGGGGCAGCTTCCACCCTTTACAGGGATGGCAGGGCGAGTAAAGGCAAGCAGACTGCAGAAACCCCGAAAGAGGGGAGGCACAAACCGTTCAGCTCAGCTGGGTAGAAATCGGCTCAAGCCCATCAGAGTGACAGATACCCGGGGAGGCTGGGCGTGCCAAGCTGGACCGGTCCGGCCAGGCTGGAAGCCCAGCTGCCTGCTTTTTCTCAGTGCCTGGAGACCACCCGCCTTTTCAGCACCACGGTCAGCGGCCTTTTCGCAGGCGCGCGCCCCAGCCCCGCCCCGGGTTGGGCTGGCATCCAGCCTCCGGGCCCTTCTGCGTGTCCCTCGGCCCACCGGCATCCCGGGCTGGAGGTGTGGGTGGGGCAGGCGACCGGGGTATGAGAGGCGGTGGGGTGCCTCCTCCGCGCGTCTCTGCGAGTATCTGTCTCCCCCATGCGTCCGCTGCTCCTCATAGAGGCGTCGGGAGAGTGTGTTCGCGACTTTCTCGCACAGCGGCTGCGCCCGCGCCTGACCCTGCCAAGAGAGGGGACACTTCCTCCACCTCATCCCCTACTCCAGGGTCAGGAAGGGGGTCAAGGCTTCCTCTTGGGGTCAGGTCAGCGAGAGCAGGTCAGATGTCTCTGAAGGCATGGGGAGGGGGGGGTGTGTGTGCCTGTGCACGCGCCGCGGGTGCGTTTGGGGATGTCGCAGGGAAGAGATCATCTTACTACCATGTCTTCTTGGGGCACTGCAGTACAGAATGATCAGGAGAGGAAATCTTCCTTCTGGCTCTGGATACCCTGCTCACCGCCTGGGTGAGTCAGGCCTGGGTCTGTAGCTGATCTTGCGTTCCCTTCCCCAATCCTGAACTGTTTGTGTGACAGTCTGTGCAGGGACATCTGGCTTCTGCAGGGAACCCTGAGGGGCCCATCCCATGCCAGCTGAGGTGGGGAGATCAGCGGCCCTACAGACATTCTGCCCAGCCCTTCCTCCTTTCTCTCCATCACCTGGTTTGGGCCTCTTAACACCTGAACCCTAACAGATCCAGGTGGTCCAACCAGACCCTGCTCATTCCACTCTTTGTACCCCCATCTCCCAGAAGCAAGGTAGAGGGGTGGAATGGCCTAGACACAGAGAGACATCCCATCTCTACCCCCACCTCCATCCTCATAAAAGGCAAATATGGAATCAGCAAAAAGAAAAAAAGGCCAAATAAAAAGTCATAAAGTCATCCAATTAATAATTATTCTGAGGGACTCATCAGAATTCACAGCTGGGCCAAGAAAATGGTGGAAGGAGGGGGTCAGAGAGGACAAACGTGGGGGACGCCTTCTTTTCCCTCACCCTCAGGTGAGAGTGAAGGCGCCTCCTGCCAAGTTCTCGTTTTCTCATTCGCTTCTTTTTTTTTTTTTTATGGGGCATCCTGAGTGTAAAAAATATGACTTGCCTTTATGGTGCTCCAACAGGAATGAAGCTATAAAATTATGAACAGTTTTTATGGCGGCTATTCGGGGGATGCTTTTATATTGATGGTATACAGCCTGAATCTGTCTTTTTTGCATCCCACCCCCCTTCCCTGGGCAGGGAGGGGAAGTCTGTGTAACTATTTTTCATGCATTTAATATATTAATTATCTGGTAAATGCTCCCCAGGCTGTGCTCGGGACATTGGAGAGTGACAGGTTCTCAGCGAGCCTCCGAAGGCAGCGCATCAGCCTGCAGTGTATTATGTCGGCGAGGTCAGGGTGGGGTTAATGTAACTTTTTATTTGCTGATTTTTCATAGGCGGGAGCAAAGCCGGGATGGAGGGAGGGAGAGAGAAGGAGGGAGAGAGATAGGAGTGGGGGGAGGAGAAGGTGCCACAAGAGCAGAGATAATGGTGAGGCAGATCTCTCCACCCCCAATTCACCTCTGTCAATGCCAGGAGGTTTGATTAAGTAGGAAAGGAGCAGTGGCCTCTCCTACTGGCTCTGGCACCCAAAGCCACACACTCCTGGTGACACTCTTGGGCATGAGACTTTCCCTTGCTGCATATTGCGCCCTTGAATGCAGGCACAGTGTCACCTTCCAACTCCTTCTCACTTGCTGAAACTGAAACCCCGGCTCTCGGGTCTGGAAGAAAAACTATAAGATTACCGCGGGAGTGTCTGACCAGCTTCCCTTTGTATACTCCCAGATAGGTGCTTACACACAGCCACGTGGACTTGTGCACACACAAGCTGGCTTTGTCACTCGAGTTCACATTGTCCCTCCTGCACGACATGTCAGATTCTGGTTCCTCGCCCATTCACAAAGCGCAGCTTCTGGCGATTAAACAAGGGAAGCGATGAACAGGTCTCACTGGCCACAGTTTCTCTTCTCTGTCAATGATACCAAGAGCACTCATGCCTAGAGCCGAGACCCTGTCCACCTTGCAAGAAAGGAAATCTGTCAGCCAACCCATCTCTGTCTGGAAAGCCTGGGGAGGGGGCTGTTCAGAGGTCCTGATGCCCAGGTCACCACTGGGCCTACGTGTGTGCTCCAAGTCTTGAGAGAATAAAGGCTACTTCTTAGATCAGACTGGGACCTCTCTGTTCCTGGCCTCTTGCCCCCGCCCTGCCATCTGCCGGCCCCAAGAGGGCAGCACAGGTGGGTCTTTTCTGCTTTGACTGGTTAGTGATCGTGAATACTTGAGTCCTGGCTCCCTAACGCTTTGAAGCCTTTATTTTGGTTTTTGTATAGAGTTTTTTTTCTTTACTGTAAAAATGTTTAATCATTCAGAAAAGTAGAGATATTGTTAGCATTATTATTTTAGGATTGGGGTAGACACTTTTGTGTGTTTAGCCAGGAAAATGGCAGCTCCTGCTGAACCAGGAGCACAGACCCCTGGGTTCAGGGCCTCAGCTCTGCCTAGACGTACTGTGTGATGCCTCTTTGTTCTTCACCAAAGAAGACAAAGTAGGGGCAGGATACTCCTGAGGTGCTGCAGACCCACCTACCTTTGCTCACTGAGGACTCAGGAGTGTGCGCCCACGTGCACATGTCCTATCCCCCTCCAACGAGAGAAGTTAGGAGCTTGAGTTCTAGAAACAGGGTCTTTGCTTTGCCACTTCCTGCTCTGTGACCTTGAGAGAGTTCCTTTCCTGCGTTCAGATTCAGTTTCCCCATCTGTAAATTGGGGCTTATTATATTAGGGCTGCAACCTTATAGGAATGTTGTAAAGAATAAAGAAGTGGAGCCGTGTAAGATGCTTAGCTCAGTGCCTGGTACAAACACTATTGCTGTTGCTATTGTGATTATTACTATTATTATTTTGATTCTACCCAGGCCTACCCGCCCTTTTTTTTTTTTTTTTTTGACTTGGAGTCTTGCTCTGTCACCCAGGCTGGAGTGCAATGGCGTGATCTCAGCTCACTGCAACCTCCGCCTTCCAGGTCCAAGCAATTCTCCCACCTCAGCCTCCCAAGTAGCTGGGATTACAGGCACCCGCCACCACGCCTGGCTAATTTTTGTATTTTTAGTGGGGACAGGGTTTCACCATGTTGGCTAGGCCAGTCCCAAACTCTTGACCTCAGGTGATCCACCTGCCTCGGCTTCCCAAAGTGCTGGGATTACGGGCGTGAGCCACCACACCCGGCCACCAGCCCATGCAGCCCAACCCCTGTGGAGTTACCACTCTTCTACAAATTTGCAAAGTCTGCATTCCAAGTGGCTATTTCCTCTTAGGCGTTTGGCCTGAGTTGTGGCATACCATGCGATAGGTGTGCAGTGATGTGTAATTGTGGTCCAAACAGCAGAGCTTAGTAGGCAAATGCCATTGCCATCTCTATTAAGTCAGCAAGGGGGTATCATTAAGGATGCAACATTGTTGGGCACCTATAGAGGGCTGGAGGTGTCAGGTACATTACCTCATTTGTCTTTCTTAATGGCCTTATGAGGTAGATAATATTATTAAACCATCTCACTGGTGAGGATCTTGAGGATCAGGGAGATTCAGTCAATGATATGCCAGCCTGAGGTCACCAGGTGGTAAGAACCAGGGCTGGGATTTAAGGCCACTGACTGCACAGCTCATGGGCTTCCTGTTTCTTCAGGCTGCCTCTGGCTCCATTTTTTAAATGATACCAACTAAAGCAGTGAGAGCAACCTTGTGAAAATCTAAGTGCCTACTATCTGTCAGACACTGGTGAGGGGCTCATGGGGGCTCACAACAATGAGGTGTTTTTGCTGGTCTGGAGGAGTCTGGAGGCCACTTGGAGGAGATAAGACATTTAGTAATAGTAGTAGTAGTAGCGCCACTACTCATAATATAAATAACATCAGCCACAATAGTTAATGCTTACTCTGTGTCAGGCACTTTTCCAAGAACATTATTCCACAACCCCATAAGACAGGTATTGTTATTACCCACTGGTCTGTAAATGAAATTCTGAGGTCCAGAGAATTTAAGGTGCGCAGAACTTGCACAACTTGCTAGTGGAAGATTCTGTGTCGGGACCAAGACTGACTCCAGAGGTGACACCCTCAAACTTGTCATCTGCTGTGTGCCAGTTACCCACTTTTCACAATTCTTTTTCAAGTTTGGGATTCTCATGCTCACTTAGGTGTATATAAATGTGTTGGCCCTTTTGTAATTTTTATTTTTGCAGAAGTATTTAATGAGAGCATTTTAAGTGCTGTGTTACTAACCATAATGACAATAACTACTAAATGTCTTGGTAGTGAGGTTTGAGGGCCTACTATGTGCCAGGCATTGTGTTAAATGCTTTGTTTGCATTACCTCATCTTTTTTTTTTTTTCTATCGCCTAGGCTGAAATGCAGTGGCACAATCTCAGCTCACTGCAACCTCTGCCCTCCGGGCTCCAGTGACTCTCTTGCCTCAGCCTCCCTAGTAGCTGGGATTACAGGTGTGCATCACCACGCTCAGCTAATTTTCATATTTTTAGTAGAGACGGGGTTTCACTATGTTGGCCAGGCTGGTCTTGAACTCCTGACCTCAAGTGATCCTCCTGCCTTGGCCTCCCAAAGTGCCAGGATTACACGTGTGAGCCACTGCACACAGCCTCTCATCTCATTTTCTCAATGTCCTTTTGAGGCGGGTAATATTATTGTCACCTCTGTTTTCCAGATGAGGAAACTGAGATTTTCAGTTGCGAAGTCACGTAATAAATGGTGAGGCCAGGAAAATGGTTTAAGTCCAGGCAATCCGTCTCCAGGTTTAGAGCTCTTAACCCAAAGCTCTTCATGAGAGAGAAGCTTATGGAATCCAAGGGAGAATTTCCCTATACTGCACCCCAGTCACACTCTCCTCCTCCCCCTCAAAGAGCTTTGAGGTAGAATTTTCCGAGAACCTTTATATATGTATGACAATGTATAGAGAGATTTTTCCTCATAAATGTGATCATTCTGTTGTATTGTTCTGCAGATTTCCCTCCTTTCATATTGATATATGTAGACCTAGTTCATTCTTTTAACTTCTACCTAATATTCCAGAGAATGGGCTTACCATAATTCACCCATTGACGGACATGTGGATTATTTCTGATTTTTTGATATTGAATGCAATGAGCAATGCTTCCTTGGGTATTCTAATACCGGCTTTTCAGGCACATGTGCTCAGCAGCTAGAAGTGGAATTACTGAATGGAACAGAATGTGCCTTTAATATTTTTCTAGTTGTTGCCAAACTGTCCTTCAAAAAGGCTGCATGCTCCCCCCAAGGCATATGGGAGGACCCCCATTTCCTGATCTGTTTACCATTAATGGCTATTATGCATATTTTTTTCCATTTTTGCTAAACTCATATATGAAAAAAAAGTCTTCATTGTTTTAATTTCCCTGGTTACTACTGAGACTGGGGACCTTTATATTTATTTGCCTTTTTTTCTGTCTTCTTTACTCTTTTTATAACCCATTGATGCATATGCTTTGCCCATTTCTTGATTGGGTTGAGGGTTTAAGGTTCTTATAATATTAATTTCCTGATGATTAAAGTAATACATGTTAAACGAAGAACATCAGAAGACACAAAAAATAATAAAGAAAATGGATATCACACATAATCTCACCATCCAGAAATAACACTTGGCATCATATTGGTGCATTTTTGCCACTCTTTTTCTCTGTGCAAATATATGTACTTTCTTTCTTTCTTTCTTTTTAAACGGACTTTTGCTCTTGTTGCCCAGGCTGGAGTGCAATGGTGCAATCTCGGCTCACTGCAACCTCCGCCTCCTGGGTTCAAGCAATTCTCCTGCCTCAGCCTCCCGAGTAGCTGGGATTACAGGCATGCGCCACCACACCTGGCTAATTTTGTATTTTTATTAGAGACGGGGTTTCTCCATGTTGGTCAGGCTAGTCTCGAACTCCTGCCCTCGGGTGATCCACCTGCCTTGGCCTCCCAAAGTGCTGGGATTACAGGTGTGAGCCACCATGCCCGGCCCAACATATGTACTTTCTACCTCCATTCCTAGCATAGCCTGGTATATATGGCCTTGGACCATTTTCTCCACTTGTCACTATAAAGGGGACATTTTCCTATGTTATTAAATATTTTAAATGCTATTTTTATATTTGCTTAGTATTGATCCAATTGATGTGTTAATATTTAATCATTATTCTAATTGCTAGACATATATAGGCTGTTTCCAGTTTTCCACTATTATATAATAAATAATGCTACAGTGAACATCTTTGTACATAAATCTCTGTCCACATCTCTGATTATTTCCTTAGGATAGATTTCTTCAAGTGGAATTACTAGATCAAAGGGTATACATTTTTAAAGATTTTGATCCATATTGCCAAATTGCTTTCTAGTAGGGATACATTGATTTCCATCCCCATTCACCATGTATGGGACATATATTTAACTGCACACTTTACAATTTAAAAAAAAAAAAACACTTTTCAATTGGAAGGTAAATGTATCTCTTTATTGTCTTAATCTTCATTGTCCCTTGCAGGGAACTTAAACATATTTTCCACTTCTCTTGGCCATTTGTATTCTACGAATTGTCTCTCCATGTTTTCTGCCCACTTTCTACTGGACTTATCCTCATGTTTTAGACAAAAAACCTGAGGTTCAGAGTAGCTGAGTAACCTACCCAGTTACATAGTTGGCAACAGCTACAGCCAGAATCCAAACCTCTCTTACTCCAAATCCTGAGCTCTTGCCCTGTGCTGCTTCTCTATGACTCTAGAGCAAGAATCAGCAAACTACGACTCAGCCTGCTGACTGTTTCGTAAATAAAATGTATTGGATCCTGGCCACGCCCATTTGTTTACTATCATCGATGGCTGTTCTTGCACCATGGCAGAGGTGAGCAGTTGCGACAGAGACAGTATGGCCAATAAAGCCTAAAATATTTACAATTGGTTTTACAGAAATTTTTTTTTTTAAGACACAGTCTGACTGTGTCACCCAGACTGGAGTGCAGAGGCGTGATCTCAGCTCACTGCAACCTCTGCCTCCCAGGCTCAAGCGATCCTCCCGCCTCAGCCTCTCAAGTAGCTGGGACCACAGACATGTACCACCATGCTTGGCTAATTTTTTGTATTTTTTATAGAGACAGGGTTTCACTATGTTGCCTAGGTTGGTCTCAAACTCATGAGCTCAAACAATCTGCCTGCCTTGGCCTCCCAAAGTGGTGGGATTACAGGCGTGAGCCACTGTGCCCAGCCCCAGTTTTACAGAAATGTTTTATGGAAAACATTTGCCGACCTATGCACCCACTGCTCTGGAGTAGCACTAGTATATCATTTCAAATGTCCTAGTAGCCCTCTTTTAAAAAGTAAAAAGAAACAAGTGAAATTAATTGTAAGAATGTATTTTATTTTCTTAATAATATCAAGATGTTAATATATAAGCACATAATTCGTATAAAGATTATTAATGAGATTTTTGCATTTTGGGGAGGGATATTATCTTTGAAATCTGTTTTATATTTTGCACTTAGAGCACGTCTCAATTTGGACTAGTCAAGTTCAAGTGTTCAACTGCTACATATGCCTAGCGGATTACCTTAAGAAACAATACAGCTCAAGAGCCCCAAGTTTTTCACCTGTGAAATGGGGATGGTGCTAATATCACTCACTTTGCAGGATTGTTGCAAGACTTGAATGGGAAGCTGTGTGTGTATACAGTTTGTAAAGCACTGCATACCCGCAATGGCGATGATTATAACTATGGGCTGGGGGATCTAGGGTGACTTGCCTTTCACTCTCAAGATGAGTAGAAATTTGATAGGCAGAGTGTAGTTATTGCTGAGAATAACTCCAATGGTTACACACATATATACTCATACCATGTTTTTGTTTGTTCTCTTCACTGGATCAGTGTCTTCTGAATAGTATTCAGGGTTAGAGAGGGCGGGAGTAAGTCTTGCTCACTCAGTGCAGAAGAGATTGTTCCATTAATTCCTCAAATGCCCCATTTCCTGTGGGCTGTGCCTACGGCCACTGGAGGTGTCTGTCTCTGAACTGCCCTGCTTGGCTGCCAAGCAGAATTAAAATTTGTCTTTTTAATTTACCACTTTATTCATCTATCAAATACTTACTGAATACCTATTGTTCAACAGCCTCTGAGATGAGAGTTCTTTTCCTAAAGGATTTCCTCAAAACATATAACTACAACAAAGCTACTGAAATTAAAATGAAAAACAATGAGAAAGAGGTAAACATGTTTAGGCATAGAACCTGTGTAACATGAATTTAGGCTCTGAGCTTCTTGGCAACCAGGGCAAAAAGGGAAATATATTAGATTACATAATTTCCACTATCTGGGAGAAAAATGTGTGCTACTTTTTTTTTTTTCTAAAAGAGACAAACTGTTCCTTGGTACTACATTCAAGCAGGTCATCATCACACAAGGCAGTCACACAGGGACTCTGAGCAGCATAATAGACAAAGCCTCCAACTGCAGATTTACAGCAAGTGCAGCCGTGGTCTTCCTGTGCTTGTTTCTTGTGTCTGCCCTCAATAAAAGCTGAGGGCACCATGGTAAAGCTCAAACGCAATGGAGGCAATACTACAGGAATCCAACCTATGTAATCCAGGTATGTGGCTTTCTAGGGATTTAGCTTGAAGCAAGGAAGGGGTTTCGAATGCCCATGGGAAGGTCTGCCCCAGCTGTCTCTGAAATCCAGTCCATCCTCTTCTTTGCCACTGCCACCACCTAGGGTGAGTCCTTGTCCTTTCTTGCCACCTCTCTGGTCTCTCTCCTGGACTCTCTTCCATTGAGAGCCAGTGATCTCTCTGCTACACAGACCTGATCATCACCCCAACACTCCACCAGCTCAAAATCCATCAGTGATCTAAGTGGTGGGATTTGGGGTGAATTTGTTTGCACTCAGCTTGGAATTTTTAATCATTGTTTGAATTCTTTATAATAAGTATGGATCATACTTGCAAAAACAGTAGGATGATTTTATTTTAGAAAAAAAAATCTGGGTTGAGATGCCCAGCTGTGCCAAGATGCTAATAGTGGTTAATTCTAGGTGGTGGGACTATGGGTGGTTGTTACTTTTTACTCTATATTGAAGTATATGTTTAAAGTTTACAAAATCATTTAGTCCTTCTTTTTTGCTTGTTTGTAACCTGAAACCCACTCACTCCTCCTCTGAGCTCTCCTTTTGCATAGTGACATCATTTATTAGGCACCTACTGTGTACAAGTCACTCTTAAAAAATAGTACTGGATTTAAGCCATATGTTGAACCCATTTCATGGATGAAGGAACTAAAGTTTCAGAGTTTATGGAGGAATTTGCCTGGGGTCACAGGGCTGGAGCGACAGAGATGTGATTAGGACCAGCAGTCTGCAGCCAAACTTCCAGTTTTCCTTTACACTCCAGTCTCCTACTCAGCACATTGTTTTTTGTTTTTTTTTTTAATTTTTAATTTTTATTAAAAAAGATTTTTTTTTGAGACAGGGTCTTTCTCTGTCACCTAGGCTGCAGTAGCTTACTGCAGCCTCGACCTCCTGGGCTCAAGTGATCCTCCTGCCTCAGCCTCCCGAGTAGCCGGGATGACAGGCACGCTCTACCATGCTCGGCTAATTTTTGAATTTTTTGTAGAGATGAGGTCTCGCTATGACCCAGGTTGGTCTCAAACTCCTGGGCTCAAGTGATCCTCAATCTTATCCTCCCAAAATGCTGGGATTATAGACATGAGCCATGGTGCCTGGCCTCATTGGCTCTTTTATTTCTTTTTTTTAATACTTCTTTTTTTTACTTTTTTTTTTTTCCGAGACAGGCTCTTGCTCGATCACCCAGGCTTGAGTGCAGTGGCGTGATCACGGCTCACTGCAGCCTTGACCTCCCGGGCTCAAGTAATCCTCCTGCCTCAGCCTCCCAAGTAGCTGGGATTACAGGCATGTATCACCACACCCAGCTAATTTTTTTAAATTCTTTTTTTTTGTAGAGACTAGGACTTGCTATGTTGCTCAGGCTCATCTCAAACTCCTAGACTCAAGTGGTTCTCCTGCCTTGGTCTCCCAAAGTGCTGGGAATGGGCGTGAGCCACCGTGCTGGCCTCTTTTATTTTATCTTTCTTTTCTTTTCTTTTTCTTTTTTTTTTTTTTTTTTTTGAGGCAGAGTCTCACTCTGTCACCCAGGCTGGAGTACAGTGGCAGGATCATAGCTCACTGCAGCCTTGACCTCCCAAGGTCAAGCAAGCCTTCTCACCTCAGCCTCCCAAGTAGCTGGGACCACAGGCATGTGCCATTGCCCCCAGCTAATTTTTCTGTCTTTGTTTTTTGTTTTTGTAGAGGTGGGGTCTCCCTATGTTGCCCAGGCTGTTCTCGAACTCCTGAGTTCAAGCCATCCACCTGCCTCAGCCTCCCAAAGTGCTGAGATTACAAGCATGAGCCACCATGCCCGGCCCTCTTTTATTTATTCACACCAGCATAGTACTTGGCTTATTCTAGATGTTCAATAAATGTTTATTATTACACACAGGTGCTTCCTAAATCTCACTTCTATGGTGGGAAATTTTTGAAATACTGACTTTTTTCTTCCTTCGTAACATCCCTTCCTTTTACCCCTCGGTATCGTTGCCTCAAAGGACCTCAGAGGATGAGGCCTGTGCCCAGGCAGACCCCTGAGAGCCAAGAGGGTGTGGCTGAGAGGTGGCATCTAGATAGCTTCATGGAGAATCCAGTGCCTCAGCAGGAGGAGCAGACCCCCTAACGTGCCTTCCATCATGACCTGGAAGGACACAGAACTGAAAGTGCCACTTGGACAAGAAAGAAGATCCTCTTAGAAGGCACCTGGGTGAACAGATCACATGGACGATCACGTGATACTCTCCCCACCCAGCCTCCAGCACTACAGAAGCCCTCCCAGACTTAGACGGAAGTCTAGGGAAAGGACGAGAACTCCGAGGAAATTCAAAAATCACTGAGACTGAATTTTTTTTCCACTGCCAGTGGCACAAGGACTCAGCATGGAAATTAAATTGCATTAAAGAAAAAATGTTTTATCATAAGAGTCTCCGGACTGAGACTTTTACTACACTGCCCCTATCTGGGCATTTGCTCGGCTGGAGAAACACATTTCAGGGTGGCACTGGCCTCTGAGCATGCGGAAGGAAGTGTGGAATTCTAAGCCACCTACTGAGGGCAGGGAGGTACTGGGAGTTCGGAACCCAGAAAAGCAGACAAACATCCTGAGGCCAAAGTTACGGAGACTGATAGGTGTTCTCCCCACCGGGAAGGTCTCCCCTTCTGTGTGTGGAGGTGGCAAGGAGGGCCCTCTTGTTGGCAAACTTAGAGCTTCCTCCCAAGGTATTTTGGACCCATTACGCTCTCAAACAGGAACCTAATTAAATATATATATTTATATATATATTTATAAATATATATATTTATATATATTTATAAATATATATATTTATATATATATTTATATATATTTATAAATATATATATTTATATATATTTATAAATATATATATTAATATATATATTTATAAATATATATAAATATACATATACATATATATTTTTTTAAGGGATGGGGTCTCTCTATGTTGCCCAGGCTAGTCTCAAACTCCTGGGCTCAAGCTGTCCTCCTGCCACAACCACCCAAAGTGCTGAGATTACAGGCGTGAACCACTGCACTTGGCCCAGGAACCTAATTTAGACCCAGAATTCCACACCATTGACCATGGAAAGAATGATCTTGGCCTGAGAAACTTTTAGAGCAGATATGACGAGTTGCCTATGTCTGCATCGTTAGTGCCCTGGTGGACTCTCTCCTTCTAAGCAGCACAGCTCCCTGGGGGACCTTCAAAAAGAGTGAGCCATGAAATGGCCCCCCAGGGGATAAAAAAGAAGGGAGTCTGCTGAATGAAGTTACTTACCAGTGACCCTGCCAATTTGAGCCTCCGCCCGGCAAGGACAGTGAATTTGGCTTTGCCATGGTTGATGCTGTCAGAGAGAGCTTGGGCGGTGGGATAGGGAGGGGCCGCGTTAGTGGACCAGCTGGGTGGCTGAGATGTGGTGGGAACATCACTGTGCTCTAGTTGCAAAGTCTGGTGCCAGTTTTCACTCTGCTCTTACCAGCCTGGCCTGAGAAACCCACTGCCTCTTTCTGAGCCTTGGTGCCCTCCGTTAGACATAACTGCCTCACATGGTTGTGGGGAGGGCGCTTGGTAAGCTCTTGGTGACTTCCCCTAAGAATCTGTCATCCTATTTCACTAGCAGCAGCCTCATCCAGTCTTAGCTGCAACCCCGTGTCACCCGTGGAAATCCCGTTATCCCATGAAAATGCTGTGATTCAATGCAATTAGGATAAAGAGGGACCTGGGGGCTACCACCAGTGGTTACACTGCAGCTGGAAAGCAAGTGGCCTCTTTACTACCAGTAAGCGCGGGGTGTCCTTCAGCCGAGCCAGTCAGGACGCTGGTACTGGGCCTCCTGGATGACCCTACGCCTTCTTTAAAGCCAGATAGCCCATATTCCCGGCAAACACTTTCATTATGCTCTTCTTTTGGGGCGTGGTGAGGTTAGTGTTAATTGCGGGGCTGTTCATAATAAATCAGCTCTGAGCCTGGAATTTTTGTTTTTGTTTTTGTTTTGTTTATTTTATTTTATTTTGTTTTATTTTATATTTTTGAGACAGAGTCTCCCTCTCTTGCCCAGGCTGGAGTGCAGTGACACGATCTCGGCTCACTACAACTTCCACCTCCCAGGTTCAAACAATTCTCCTGCCTCAGCCTGCCAAGTAGCTGGGATTACAGGTGCCCGCCACCATGCCCAGATAAATTTTTTTTGTATTTTTAGTAGAGACCATTTAGTGAAACCACTTAGGTTTCACCATTTTGGCCAGGCTGGTCTCGAACTCCTGACCTCAAGTGATCCACCCACCTCGGCCTCCCAAAGTGCTGGAATTACAGACGTGAGCCAAGGTACCCGGCCAGTTTATTATTATTTCAGAGACAGGGTCTCACTCTGCCACCCAAGCTGACCTGCAATGCTACCATCATAGCTCACTGCAGTCTCAACTTCCTGGTTCCACCTCAGCCTCCCAAGTAGCTGGGACTACAGGCATATGCCACCACGCCTGGCTAATTTTTGTGGGTTTTTTTGTTTGTTTTTTGTAGAGATGGGTTCTTGGTATGTTGCCCAAGCTGATCTCAGACTCCTGGGCTCAGCCAATCCTCCCACCTTGGCCCCCCAAAGTGCTGGGATTACAGGCATGAGCCACCACAGCCAGCCATTTTTGTTTTAGTTGGAATATGCACAGCAAGAAAGCCACTGGGGCATCAGCCTTTCCTGTACATTACCTCATTCCATCCTTACTACGCTCTGCTGAGGCAAGGTAGGCAAGCATTGTTTTACCTTTTCAAATCTATTTTGTATCTCTCCATCACCTCTGCCATCTTCCTAGTCCAAGCCACTGTCAATTTTTTTTATTAAGGTTTTCTAAGGTATAGTTTATATTTAGTGAAGTGCACAAATCCTAAGCATACAGCTGGATGAAGTTTTACACCCAGGTAACCACTGCTGAGATCAAGCTATACATTCCCAGCTTTATAGCAGGCTTCCTCTACCTCCCTACAGCCATTATCCCTCCCAAGGATAACAGCTATCCTGACTGCTATTCTTACAGATTCCTTCTGCCTGTTTTTGAACTTCATATAAATAGCACCATGCAGCGTGTCCTCCCTTGTGTTGTGAGATTCACCCATGTAGCATGCATCAATCGAGTCGTTTGTTCTTTTTAACTGCTGCATAATGTTCCATTATGTGAATAGACCATAATTTATTTGTTCATTCTATAACTGGTGGACATTTGAGTTGTTTCCAGCTTTCAGCTATTACAAATAAAGCTTGTGTCTTTTAGCGGACATTATGCTAGGTCATAGAGTACATTTATTTTTAGCTTTAAAAGGTACTACCAAATATTTTTTTCCAAAGTAGTTACATTGATTTACATTCCCCCCTGCAGTGTATGTGAGTTTCGGGTGCTTCACAACCTCATCAACCCTTCTTGGTAGTCTCGGTCAGTCTTGTAAAATTTAACCACTCTGATGGGTCTGTAGTAGAATCTCATGGAGGTTGTACCTTGCGTTTCTCTGATGATAAATGATGTTGAGCATCCTTTCATTTGTTTATTGCAAGCCACTGTTATGCTCTCATGGGTCACTGTGCAGAACTCCTACCCAACCTCGCTCTTCCTGCTCTGGGCCTCTCCAATCCCTTCTGTCCAGTACAGCTGCAGCAAAGAGTATTCCTAACATAGCATTTTGGTCCTGTTGCTCTCCTGCTTAAAACCCTTCTATAGCTTTCCCTTGCCCTTTGGATCAAGGGCCAAATCCTTGACCTGTTCCTGCTTTCCCAGGACTCCTGCCTGCCTCTCCAGCTTCATCTAAGATCATTCTGTCCCTTGTACTTCAGCCACTCTGGTCTCTTTTGGGCATGTGAGTTGTTTCCAGGTTTTAGCTATTACAAAAGCTCGTGTCTTCTCCTTCCCAGCATTTATCTTATATTCTGTAATTATATGCTGATTGTTTGATTGATGTCTGTCTCTGCTACTAGACGGTAAGATCCATAGGAGCAAACCCTACACTTGTCTTGCTCATTTTGCATCTCTAGTGCCTAATGTAGTGCCTGACACATAGTAGATCCACAGTGCATATTTGTTGAATAAGTAAATACACTGATATGGTGTGTCCCCACCCAAATCTCATGTCAAGTTGTAATCTCCACATGTTGAAGGAGGGGCCTGGTGGGAGGTGATTGGATCATGAGGGCGGTTTCTAGTGGTTTAGCACCATTAGTGCTGTCTCGTGGTAGAGTTCTCATGAGACCTGGTTGTTTAGAAGTGTGTAGCACTTCCAGGCCGGGTGCGGTGGCTCACGCCTGTAATCCCAGCACTTTGGGAGGCCAAGGCGGGTGGATCACGAGGTCAGCAGTTCGAGACCAGCCTGACCAACGTGGTGAAACCCTGTCTCTACTAAAAATACAAAAATTAGCCTGGCGTGGTGGCATGCACCTGTAATCCCAGCTACTCAGGAGGCTAAGGCAGGAGAATCGCTTGAAACCGGGAGGCAGAGGTTGCAGTGAGCTGAGATTGCATCATTGCACTTCAGCCTGGGCGACAGAGCGAGACTCCGTCTAAAAAAAAAAAAAGTGTGTAACACTTCCTCCTTTGCTCTCTTTCTTCTGCTCTGCCATTTGCCTGCTTCCATTTCACCTTCCTCCATGAATGTAAGTTTCCTGAGGCCTCCCAGTTATGCTTCATGTATAGCCTACAGAACTGTGAGTCAATTAAACCTCTCTATAAATTACCCAGTCTCAGGTAGTTCTTTATAGCAGTGTGAGAACAGACTAACATGTACACCTCCAGTTTACAAATTAAGAAACTGAGGCTCTGAGAGGGAAGGTGCCCTCAGGTTGCAGACCTGGAGCTAGAAGCCACATTTCCTGATTCTTCAATGCTCTTTTCACCGTACCCCAATGCCTCTGATGAGATGATGAGTGAAAACATTTTGCTGTTGCTTTTACACAATTCTAGTGTAAGGATTGCTGTGTTATGACTATCGTCGTTGTTATTATTATCGGATGGACATCAGAATGTCAGCTCCAGGAGAGCAGCAATGGTGTTTCATTTTCCACTGGATCCCAGCACCTCAGTACAGTGCTTGGAACAGAGGAGACACATTGGTGGGATTGACAGTTAACTATTGGTTGAATTGCAGCATTGTTGGCATAGACTAGTATAAAGAAAAATGTCAGCTCCTTTTAAAAGCAGATGCTATGGAACTGTTCATATGTTTTCATTTTGCTGGGACTTTATGGGACTGATTATTGTTTAAATTAAGAAGCTGGTGACTGGTACCTGGAAATCTGTCACATGCTAAATGGTATTCACTGAAACTCAGTAATCCCAAACTTCCTCTGGTTGCACTCAGGCAGGTTGACCTTCATTTTCCCCCTTGGGAAAAAGTTACCTTGAATCATGAAGGATGGAAAAAAGAGGACACTCAAAAGGCCACAAGGAACCTACCAAAGAGAATTAGGGCTTTGCTCATTGTTGGCAAGCAAATTGCTGCTGCTCATTGCAAATGAATCTTATTTGTCCACCATCAAGTCTTATCTGCTCATCGTGGCGGGTCCTGCTGCTGCGCTGCTTGGCAGCAGATGGGTTCCAGGGATGGCAGCTCCATGGAAGTAATAAAATGGCATTTCTTTTCCAATTGTCTCTCATTGAGACCTCTTGGTAATTCAGATTGATTGTCTTACAGCCCAGCACAGGGACTGACTGAGTGAAGTTTGTCTGGGCCCGGGCTTTTATTGCTGTCTCAGGAACTGAATGATATACACAGCCAGATTATTCTCCAGCTGCCCAAGGGTTCTGTCCTTTCCAGTCAGGGGCAAGCCCTGAAGGTGGGTGAGGCGAGGAGGCTCCTTCAAGTCTGGAACCAGGCTTCTGGACTCCTGGCCCAGTGCTCTGTTTAGAGCAGCTGATACATTACCAGGAACAGGCCTATGATAGTCTTCATCACCTGCCTCAGCCAGGACCACGGTGCCTCAGCATTCCCAGTGGCTTTAGGCTTTGTCTGCAGTGGGAATGTCTTGTCCATCCCCTAAGATCCATCCATCTGGGAGTCCCAAGATGCTCCCAGAGGTGCAGCCCCACACCCTTCCTGTGGCTCTGCCTAAGCTCTTGGTGCCTGAGGGAACGGAGAGAATCAACAGCTTCTTAGTTTTGAGCTGTTTATCAGTTTTTTTGTTTTTTGTTTTTGAGATGGAGTCCTTGCTTTGTCGTCCAGGCTGGAGTGCAGTGGCACAATCTCGGCTCACTGCAACCTCTGCTTCCTGGGTTCAAGTGATTCTCCTGCCTCAGCGTCCCGAGTAGCTGGGACTACAGGTGCATGCCACTACGCCTGGCTAATTTTTGTGTTTTTAGTAGAGACGGGGTTTCACCATGTTGGGCAGGCTGGTCTTGAGCTCCTGACCTCAGGTGATCCACCAGCCTCAGCCTCCCAAAGTGTTGGGATTACAGGCGTGAGCCACTGTGCCCGGCCCGTTTTGTTTTTATGAGCAGGGAGAGTCAGAGGTTCTGGGGTGCTGAGAGTGAATCTGGGGTCTGGCAGGGCACTATACACCCCCTCACCCCAACAGCTAAACCAACAGCTAGAATCTCTGCTCTGAAGGCTCTTGAAAGTCCTGTGTTGAAAGGGCCAGACCCCCACCCCTGGGAGCAAGGCCAACCTCGTGTCCCCTTGTACCCTCTCCTTTCTATTTCTGTAAATTTTTTTAGTTCTCCTCCTGGCCCTGTCTCCTCTTTCCCTCATTTCTGTATCCCCATCCCCTCAGACCCATCTACCCCTCAACCCCATCTGACTGCCGATTGAAAAGGCCTGATAATAATGTGAAATAATATAGTATCACCCAGAGGCTGCTGACAGGCAGTGTGGCCACCTCTGAAAACAGGCAGGGAGGCAGGGAGGGCAAGGAAATTATAGGCTGCACAAAGGAGAAAAAGTTAAAGTGAGAGCTCCATAAAAGAAAGTGGAACTATTATGCTGCAAAATGCCAACTCATTACAAAGCGGCCAAATAAGAGAGAAATACGGCGCTGCCTGTAATAGCAGTTTACAAGGGAACATTGTACAGCAACAGAAGAGACGCTGCTATAATTTGCTCTAACAACTCCAATTATCCCTTTTATTGATTTGGCAACACATTTAATAGGAGTAGCCACACCTCTTCTGTTACAAATCATTAAAGGTGTTGAACGGTGTAATTTTAAAATTGTCCTCCTACAGTTGTCAGTATGACAGCATAATTCCCCCTGATTTCGGCTATGTAAACACCGAGGCACAGTCATTTCCCCCTTACAAGGCCAGAGATGTTGTCAGCCTGGGGTTTTTGTGCAGAAACATCCATTTAATGCGTATCTTTTTTTCCCCAGCCCGCACTCCTAATTGCAGTGAGGTTTGGTTTACTCTTTTTTTTTTTTCCTTTCTCTCTCACTCCTTCCCTCTTTTCTTCCAACTAAGAGGTGTGTGTGATGGGGGAGGTCAGGGACGGAAATAAACAGGCGGTTTGGTCTTCTCTTTCTTCCCTGGCAGCCTTAATTGCTACTTAAGCGTGGGCCCTGCACTTAACATCCGGGGGGCAGGCCCGGTGCGTGGTGCACGCCGGGCGCGCTGTGCACAGTCTCCGGAGGCCGCCAGTGCGACCCCGCCCCACCCGCGCACCCCCGCCCGGAGGGCCCCAGCGCGCATGCGCTCGCCGCAGGGCGGCCTGCGGGGCTGTGGACGCGAGGCCAGCTCGTAGGGGGCTGGGCGGTCAGCGGGGTCAAGGGACAGCCACGCTGGGACGGAGGACGGGGACAGGGGAGCCCCTGCGGCGCCACTTCTTCCTCTCCGAGTCCTGTCTGCCCTTGATGGAGCCACTGGTGGGGTTACTTGCTGGCGGTCGGCCACTTTCGCCCCTCCCTCGCCAGCCCGCCAGCTCCCTAAGGTTTTGTGGTTTTTTGTCACCACCACACCTCAGTGTTGAGCTAAGTGAGGACGTCCCCCCAGCAAATGTATTGGACGGAAGGAAACGCTGTGCGGGAGGAGGCGGAGGAAAGTAGGCCACCCGGGGCTCAAGTGGTGAGAAGAGGCAGCCAGGCAGGGTGGAAGGTGGGGTGTGGCCAGCTTGTTGGGTGTCCCACCCTGTGCTGTTGGGGGCGTGGAGGGTAGTGTGGGGTGGCCAGGGCGGGCTCACGTCCTCATCCCCCTCCTCTTTCCCAGAACCACACCCAAACCCTCTTCAACCCCCTGTGTGTGGGCTGTGGCAGGGGTCAACCTCTTGTGTTCAGGTCCCCTAGGGGCCCACCCCACTCTACTAGGAACCAGGGGTCGGATGCTGTCAGGGGAAGCCGTGTGGCTTGAGGAGTCGAGACCCTTTCCAAATCCACCCCTGTGGAATCTTGAGCAAATCCCCACACCCAACTTAGCTTCAGTGTGGTGGAGGTGGGCCCAGCGCCTCTCTTGAGGGAGTGCTGCTGTAGGTACCTTCCAGCAGGCCAGGCTCCTGAGCTGGGATCACCATGAAGCTGGCATCTCTCCTGGTAGCACCTATTCTGGGGCCTTGAGCTCCGACACTCTTACGCTGGAGTTGAACTTAAGCTGCAGCGGGAGGGCTTTAAGCTAGACCCGCAGAATTTGAGCTCTAAGGACTTGCTTAAGATTGGGAGAGTAACTTCTTCTGCAAGGGGGCCAGCAGAGGGGCTCTCGGGTTGAAGGAGGGTTATGCTGGCCCAAGCATTGCCATCATAGCCACAGCTGGGCTGTGCCTCAGAGTCTGCAGGAGCAGGGCCCTTGGCCTTGGCTCCCAGGACAGTTGGGAGATGGAGGGCAGCCCCAGTAGCTGCCATCTTCCTGTCATCTACCCACACGTCTCCAGATCTGTTTGCCTGCATCAGGGCCTGACTCCTGCCCCACATGGGCCTGTGTACCATTCAAGAAGAAAGCTTAGCTGTCTCCAACCCCGGCATTCCCACAAGGGAAAGCTTGAGATCTGCTGAGGGAGGGTCCTGGGAAGAGGCCTTCTTCTGTTCTCCTGTACAGCAGAGGTGTTGGCATGTGCACGTGTGTGTCTGCATGTGTGTGCATCTGTGAACATCTGTCTGTGGCTCTCGTTCTGAGCACCTGTGTGTCTCCGCTTCTGCCTTGTTCTGTCTTGGCACCTCTGGGTGTCTGTATGTCTTTTTCTAATCCTGGCTCTCTTCTTGTGCTTCTCTGGGCCTCGTCTTTTCATCTTTGTGTTTTTTGCTTACTGTATTGTAATATCCATTTCCATGCTGGAATTCTCCTACCAGACCATGGGCTCTGTGAGGGCAAAGACTGTCTTTTATCTTCCCATGTGTGCACATAGTAGGAGCCTAGTACATTTCTGTGGAGTAAATGAATGGAGATCTGGCTCTGTTAAGAATCCCTTAGTGTCTGTGTCTCTGGCTGCCTGACTTTCTGGGTCTCTGTGACCCTCAGAAGCTAGTTTTGTGGTTCTGTGTAGGGGTATACCTGGTTTATTCCCATGCATATGTGTATTTCTTGTGGTAGTTTTTCTCTCCTTGTCTATGTCTGTTTCAGGTTTGTTGATCTGCCTGAATGTCTCTGCATGTGGCCCCACATCTCTCCTCATGCCTGCTGGTCTCAGAGTATAATGGATGCTGAGTCCAAAGCAGGTGTTTCCTGGGCATTCGTGGCAGGGGAATTGGACTTCCAAATCTGCCCCCTCTCCACGTGGGTGAGCTTCTCCCAGACTCTCCATCATAAGAGGCTGTGAGCACCCGAAACTGATCACCTTCTCAGCCTAGAATGGGAGTGAGCTGTGGTCCTCTCCCTCTCTTCCTCTCACTGTGACCCCAATCACAGCACCTGCCCTTCTCTAATTGGCTGATGTCAATGGAAGGGGGAAGGGAAGGCTGATGTCCAAGGAGGAAATCCCATTAGGTGAGCCAGAGCCAAGTTATTAGTGGTTAAGATGTAATTGGAGTTGGTGAATAATCTCATTCAATTCATCACGTATTTATGGCGCATCCAGCTGTGTGACCTTGGGTGCGGTGTTTCACCTCTCTGATGAAATAAGACCTTAATGTTTGCCAAGGACCCTGGATTTCTGAGATTCTGAGTCCCTGAAGCTGGAAGGAATCTCTACCGAATTCCGATCACTTGCTGCTGCCTCTCTCCTTGCTTCTGAGTTATTTGTGCAATTACCTGCATTCCCTCCTAAACTCTACATTCCTTCAGGCCAGGGTCTTATATAACTATCCCCCACAGTTTAGTGCCTTGCACACAGTGGGTGATTTATCAGTTTTTCTGAATGGATGACTGAATGCTAGGCACTGTGATTAATAACAAAGAAATAGAATTAGAAGCCCTGTGCTTAGGCAGTATACAATTTTAGGGGAACGGGGAGGGCGGAGATGACCTTTGCACTTTATATTATAGCTTTGGGAACTTGTGTGAGTTCCTCAGCCTCTTTGTGCCTCTATCTCCTCATTAATAACATGCAAATAATAACGGCTACTAACTAAGGATTTTGTGAGGATTAAATGTGATCGTATGTACAGTTAAATCCTTCGTGTAGTGTTTGGCACTTAGTAGATCCTTAATTAATGTGTGTTCCTGCTCTATTCCCAACTAGAGAACAAGCACCAAGCCCTGTGGATTTCAGAAGGTGAGAAATCACTGATGGGTGGGGTTTTTGGATTGAAGCTGGGGAGTGGGGATCTATAGCGAGATTTCTAGACTGCTTTATTGTACCCTATGCTTCTTTTTTTTTTTTATCTCCCCTCACTTCCTCCCCTCCCAACACACATGAAGACAAATAGCAGGTGCTCAGAAAGTATTTATTGAATTAATGCAGAAAATGAAGCCCATTTCTTTGTGGCTAAAGATAGCAGATCTCAAACCAGGCTTCTCAATGGAATCACCTGGGATCTTTTTAGAAATCTACTTTCTTGCCCCTCAAATCCAAAATTCAGTCTGTCTCACACACACACATACTGATCAGAATCTCCAGGCTTGGGCTCAGAACTAATGTTTTTTAAAGCTGCCCAAGTGACTCTGATATGTGGACAATTTGGGATATCCTGGCTTAGGATATGATCAAGATGATAAATATTTAATGTACATTTGAAAATAATTGATATCAGATTGTAGGATATAAATGTTAAACATTCAATTATAATTTAAATATTGTTTATACAAGCCTGTGTTCATAGCCATGTTCCACTCCCATGTCTGCTTAACCACATGGGGGAATATTGGAGTTGAGGGTGAGGAAGGGTGCGTGTCTCAGTGGGGCTTGAAATTGGGACTGGAAGGAGAGCTTGGCCCAGATCAGAGACATGAAGCAACCAAAAGGGAAAGAGAGAAGGCCGGGCATGATCTGCAAAGCTATAGAAAGAGCTGGTTACTACATCCACTTCCTTTGGCCAGAACTCCACCTCCACAGAGTCCTCAAAGATCTTCTCCTGAACTCCGCACTCCCCAGCCTTGAGAGGAGACACAGGAGCTGGAGGAAGCAGCTTTATCCCTCACTTTGTGGTTCAGTCCAGCCTGTTTTCCAAGGGGTAAAGGGCAGTGGAAGGATAACTAAGAAAATAATAATAACAAATGAAAGCATCTCTGTGGAGCTTCGAGATGGTTTTGTGGTTTTGACATCCTTGGTTTATTGAGTCTGCTATGCTTGTCATTACAAGGAACTACATCGTCTCTTTAGTGTGACCAACACATGCTGGGTCCCTGCTATGTGCCAATCCAACCCTGTAAGATGGAGGTCATGACTATTTCCATTTTACAGATGGGGAACTGTGGCTCAGAACCCAGATTCCTTGACCCCAAGGCTCATGATTTTCCCGCATGCCTTCCTGGGGATGGCTCCAGCCGATGGAGCCTGGGATGAAGAGACCGACCAGCTCCCTGGACCACACCCTGTCCTTCTCCTTGTGGTCCCTTAGCTCTCCTTTCTTGTTGCTTCTGCCCTCATCCTTTTCCTGAGTGGTCTCTCCTCAAGTGTGTGTCTGGTGCCCCAGGAAGCTCCTCTTTCACCCACCCCTCCACCACCTGCCCTGTTTGATTTGACTTCATTCATTCGCTTGTCTATTCATCTACCTTTTTTCACCTAGCAAGCACTTGGCAGGCTTGGCCAGGCATTGTGCTAGGCTCGGGTGTCCAGAGGTGAGGAAGACCTTTCAGAGCTCCCAAGCAAGAGAGGGCAGTACATTCAAGGCCAATACATTGGGTTCGGCACTCCAAGGGCAGAGAAGAGAAACCAGCCTCCAACTTGGTCCTGTGAAAACTGGACTTTTCATGTTGCACATGACAAGGGTCCAGCCAGAATGGCTAAAACAACCCACACTCTGGGGGTACCTCAAGCAATGGGGATAGAATCGACCCTGAGGATGCCCAGCAGATCAATTGCATGGGCCACGGGCCTTCCTGGGATGGAAGGGTGCGCCTTCCTCTAATCTTCTACCCGCAGGGCCCCTCAGGAGGCTTCTTTATTCTGGTTAACTTTCAGGTCCCTCCAAATGATCTGTCTTTAGAAGGGCTCCACCTCCTTCTAAGTGGCATTCTTCCCTCGAGTTCTGTCCATCCCACTGTGTGTGTATGTAAGATAGCAAGAGAGATGGAGGCACACATGCATGCTTATATCCCATCTCAGCCTTTCTCCGTGGCGGGTCTTGGGCAGTAATTGAAGAGCCGGAGCCCCCATTCTATGCAGTGAGCCCCACTCTTGCCCTGTGTGGGGAGCATGTGGGCAGAGCCACCACAGGATTCCCTATCCTGGTGGGGAAGAGAAGGCATGACTTGAGAGCTCTCACCAGAGCCTAGGCTCAGGAGAAGAGCAAGCCAGTGGGACAGGAAGGAAGAGGAGGAGAAAAAAGGACAGACCTTGACAGTGGGATGACCAAGGGCAGAATCCTGGGACAGCCAACAGCTGCCACCTCCCAGGAAGACAGGAACCAGGGCCCCTTGACAGGAGCAAGACTCCCACCCCCAGTGGCTGAGCCTCCTGCCTGGGAGGTTGGCTGGACCCAACCAGGCCGGGGTTGTATGTGTCCCCCAGCGGGGACAGTGTTGGCAGTTCTAAGGTCTCAAGGGCCAACGGGTTAGGCAGGCAGCAGGAAGGTTTGTGGTGTCAGCCCTTTTCTAGCTCCCTCTCCCTCATCCTACACCATGTCCCCCGACAAGCCCCCAACCCAATCCTCCTCCTCCTGTCCTGCTCCTCCTCCCTTTTCCATTTGGAAGAAGGAGGCTTGCTGTCTTTGTATTTTAACTGTAGCAAAAAGATTAAATTGTTTACGAGCCGGGAGCCTCTGCTGGTTGGATGAGCCGGAAGAGACAAAGATAGACATTCTAATTCTCCCCCGTTCTCCAGGCCTCCGTCCCCCTGGCTGCTGCTAATTCTTTTATCTGCCCCCAACACTCCAGGCATTATGTGCATTCATAAAAAAGGGGGGGTGGAGTGGAGAGAACCCTCGCCGAAGCCAGCAAAATTACTGTTCTCTGCGCGGTTTCTCTGATAGCAATCTCTTGAATGCTGATTACTTTTTTCCCCTCTCCCCTGCCCCCTCCCCCCTTCCCCAGCACCCAACATAAGTTGGTCTTTAACCCTTTATCTTTAGCAAGCAGAAAGACATGGAAAACATCTCACTCAGTGGGTGGAAAAAAAAAAAAAAGCAAGGGGGGCAAGGAAAGAAAAAAAAACAACAACCCAGCACAGAGAAGAATTACTGTTATCTCCTCACCAGAAGAGGAACAGCAGAGATAAGGGAAGCCTGAAGAATTAAAAGAAACGTAGCGTTGGGGCTCTAAATTCACGCCGAAGCCGGCTGTATTTGTCTGTCACGGGGGTTCATAATTTTCTGAGGTTGTTTTGATAGACTTATTGTGCGGACTGCATAGAAAACTCATCAGCATTTGTTGCCTCTGAGCGTTATTGTCAGAGGTAACTGCGTGTCTGTAGACTGGGGGAGATAATGGCTGAAGTAGAAAGCAGATAAAGCCCAGGCTCTTCTCATTAAGGACTATCTCTGCCTCCGCAGACCGGCCGGGATTGAGTGACTGGGGCGGCAGCACGGGGCATACATTATGCCAGCAAAAGCAAAAGGCGGCGGCATGAGTGCGGGCAGCTGGAGGACCCCGTGGCCCTGGATGAATGGCCGAGGGGAGCGCTTGGATGGTGCCCGCAGTGTGGTCGGCTGCAGGGGTGCCAGTCGGGGACACCCAGGGGCTCCCTGAGCTCTGGGGGTTTATGGCAGAGCAATGAGGAGGGGTTGCAGTGCAGGCAATTCTTTGGTTCCATTCTGACATTGCACAGAGGGGGAAACTGAGGTCTGGAGAGGGGAAGGGGTGTGTCTGGGGCCTCCTACTGAGGGAGGGCAGAGCAGGTTCCTCTGATTCTGGGGTATTTATCCAGATCCATGCCTCGCCTGTGCAGTGGCTGAGAGATGGGAGCCTCCCATAACCCAGTCCACTGTCCACGTGGAGATGTGGAGGGGTCATATACTGTTAATACCTGTGGGTCCCTCCCTCCCTCCCTTCCTCCAGCACATTTTCTTGGAGTGCCCATGAGAAGCCAGGCACTGGGGAATGTGCGGGCACTGTGGTCATGGGCGCACTGTGTGTAACCCCCCAGCCATCCTCCTCCCTCCATCTACTATGGAACTACCCTCTCCAGCAAAGGGGGCAGGCAGACCTGGGCAGAGAGGTTCACAGTGTCCTCAAGCCAAGCCTAAGGCCAGATGGGGACAAGCTGTGCAGTGAAAGACTAGAGGCTAGGTCAGCAGAACTGGGCTTTGTGTAGCCTGGGAGGGGGACACTTCTCTGGCCCCTTTCCCATCTGTGAAATGGGAACAATAATGTAGCCCACTTCATAGGGTGGTTGAAAGGACTGATGAGATAGTTTATAGAAGAAGGTTTGTTAGCACGTTGCCTGGACACACTAAGTGCTCGGTAAGCCTGTTATTATCTTTATAATGATTGTTCCTCTGGTGGCCCTAAGGACCTTCTGGACAGCTCAGTACTGCTTCCTTCATCTGACCCAGGGTGGGGCCTCCAGGGAAAGGCATCTGAGCTGTAAGTGAATGTTTTATCCTTGTCACATGCTCCCATAGAGGGGAGGCCTTGGCGTTGTCTGAGTCCATTCCTTTCAGTTGGCTGATGAGAACTGAGCCCAGGGAAGAAAGGGCCCAGCTCAGGGCACACCGCAGGCTCCAGGCAGAACTGGACAAAGGACCGGGTCTCACAGCCATGGCAAAACCTTGCATGCTTTCTTTGGCAGCATCCTGCCTTCTGGGTTGCTTCTGCCTGGGAGGCTGGCCAGGCAGGAGAGTACTGGTGCATGGCTGCAGCCATCAGGGGAAGAGGGGACCCAAGGCCCTGCCACCAGCCCCAGGGACCCTGAGCCCATATCTGAGGCTGTTCTGGTCTCTTGCCTCCTCAGAATGACCTGGGCCAGGCTTGGAAATGCCAGCGCTTTTAGCAGTTGATTGATCTGCATTTGGTTTGGCTCAGGCCAACTGAGAGGGGCAGCATCAACAGCGCAGGGATTTAGTGATTGAGGGGGAGATGGACTACAGACTGGAAGAGGGGCTCCGGACAGACGCTGGGGAGTCTAGAGGGTCAGCCTGGGGGTCGCTGACCACAGAATCTGCAGTATGAGCACAGGAGCCACTCTGGCCCTGTAGGACTAGTGGGGAAAACCAACACAATAAAAGTTCTTACAAACAACCAGTGCAGTGAATGAGAAAACTACAGGAGTACAGAGGAGGGAGGAGCCAGCCTGGTCCAGGGTGGGGAATGGAGAGCCCAGGAGACAGTAGAGTCAAGACTGGAAGATTAGATAGTGGACACGGTGGGGAAGGGCATTCCAAGCAGAGGGAACAGCCTGTGTAAAGACCCGGAGGCAAAGAAGAGCGCGGGATGAGTGGGAACAGTGAGGAGGTGGGTGTGTGCATAGGGGAGGGGGAGGCATGTTGGGAAGAACCTCAAATGCCAGAGGAAGAAGACAGGGCTTTATCCAGTGCATCAATGGGGTCCCCTGAGTGTTCCAAATAGCTGGAAATGCTCACCTCCTGGAAAATTGGGCTCTACCAGTGACCACTGCCCTTGTCAACTCCCTGCCCCGCAATGTCCCCAGCTGTTATTGAGTTAGTGAACTCAATAAGGGGCTGATAAATGATGGCAGAGCCTGGCAGGAGTGGCAGAATGTGGAGCGGAAAGAGCATAGACTCTGGAATGCCTGCATCTCATGGATTTAAAATTAAATCTCCGTTTCAAGTTGTGTGACTTTGGGGGCTAGGCATGTAACCTCCCTGGACTCAGTTTTCTAATCTATAAAGTGGGGACAACAGCTGTCTCCAAGCATAACTGTGAGAATTATCTGGGGATGGTGTGAAGTGCCTGGCATGTCGCAGCCTTGAAACAAATGCCAGTTCTCCCTCCCCCACCCACCACAGGCTGCCAGCATTCCAGCTGGGGCAGTGTGTCCCAGTACCTTGTCCTTGCCCTCCTCAGGCAGCGCTCACCTGCAGGCAGCCCTGTGGGCTGTCACTCATCATCTGCCCTGTGCCCAAGCATTGTCTCCCTTGCTTTTGCTGACAGTGATGTCCTGGCTTTGGTCCCAGCCTGTCCTCCTTGGCAGAACACCTGGCATTTCACTCCACCCTCGCCCCCAACCGGTAATACCTGTCAGCCCAGCCTTGCCAACATCCCTAGATGTGACCTACACCTGCCTAGACCCACAGACTGTTCCCTAGACCCTTTTGGCTGTCCAGGCCAGACCTGTCCCTAGTCCACATGTCAGTTCCGTGCCCTGTAACACAGCTAGCTACTGGGAGGTTCTGGACCCTGGAAGGTCTCAGGGTTCCCCTGCAGCTTGGGTTGGGTGCAGGGGTAGATTCAGGGTGGCAGGCTCAGCTCAACCTCACAGAGAGAGTTATGGCTGAGAGTTATTTCCTGAGAGTCAGGAAACTTGGCTGAACCCTGGCTAATGGGCTGTGTGGCTGTGGGCAATACACTGGCCCTCTCTGGGCCTCAGATTTTTAACCAATAATTGGAGAGAATCCATCCCTAAGGCCTGTTCTGGCTCTAATGGTCTCGGATTCTAGGAGGAAAGGGCCAGAAGTCTGCAGCAAAGGTCTGTAACCCCCTTCCTCTGTGCCCTGAAAGGGGCAGCAGGAAAGCCTCATATCCCAGCGCAGCCCCGCCTCCGCTGTCTTGGCGAGGCACGCACTCACTCCTTGGGATTT
Organism: Homo sapiens; assembly: GCF_000001405.40. Lineage (NCBI taxonomy): Eukaryota > Metazoa > Chordata > Mammalia > Primates > Hominidae > Homo > Homo sapiens. Next base: position 36,731,964 of record NC_000017.11, read on the forward strand.
ACAATGGGCTGAATTCATTTGCATAACAAAATTGGCTCGGGTATCCAAGTGTTGCAGGAAGACAAGTGTAACATTACGCAGAACAAGCAGCTGGGAGGAAGGTTACCACCAACAATGAGGGAACAAGATGCCCGCCCACCTGCTGCCTCTGCCAACCTTTCATCCACAGGCATGGGGGGCTGCCCGGGGGCAGTGTCAGGGGTGGGGGAGAAGAGATCTGCAGGCATGGGAGATGGCTGCCTGCCCAGGGATCTGGGCTGGGTGGATGGGTCGGATGGGAGGGGAACTCCTGCTCCTAGGGTCTTCTCACTGTTAGGGTGAAGAGGTTTCCTTTGCTATTTCTAAATGCCTGCACCATTTAAATGGTCCCAAAATTATCTCCCCACTCTCAGGACTTGATAACACAAGAACTTAACCACTAACCATGCACCGGTCCACTCATCCACTCTCATCCATTCACTCGCTCATCCACACATCTGCCATCTATCCACCTGCCACCATCCATCCGCCTGCCACCATCCATCCATCCATTCATCCATTCACTCATCAATTTACCCATCCGCTCATCTCCCCATCCATCTGCCTATCCATTCTTTCATCCTTCCACGCACCTTCCCACTCTCACCCACTCACCTATACACTCATCTATTTACTAATCCCTCTGCCCACCCATGTGTCCATCCATCTATCCTTCCATCCACCCACTCATCCACTTACTCATCCACCAGGCCCCTCATTAATTCACCCATCCACCCTTGCATCCATCTAACAAAGCCAGATGTTGGACACGTGTTTGTGCCAGGTACAGCACTGGGGATTTCTCTGTGCCTCAGCTTCTTCGTCTATAAAATAAGGGTAATAATGGGATCTACCTCACAAGCTTGACCATGGCCCAGACTAAGTGCTGTGTAAGTGTTTTCTGATGTTAATCTTATTAGGCACTGGGGAATCTAAAGGTAAATAAAACAGAGTTGCTGCCCTAAAGGAAATCACACACTTCCTGGGGAAAAATGCAAGAAAACTGGCATTAGGGTCCCTCGTGGGATGTGCTCATCTGTAGGGAAATATTAAGGGTTGCGGGACGGCCAAAGCTTGGGCGTCCTGTCTCATTCCAGGCTCATTTGGGAGGTAGGAGGGGACAAGAAGTATCGTTATTGATCTTTGTATATTACAGATGAGGAAACTGAGGCCTAGGAGAGTTAAAGGACCGCCCAAGACCACACCACCGCACAGAGACACCAGGACTGAACGCTTGTGTCTTCTGACTTGCAGCTTCCAGCAGCCTGGATCATGCTCTTCTTACCTCATCTGGGTAGCAAGAGAAGGCTGCTCTAAAGCTACCTTACTCCCAGGTTGCAGGAGCAGAACCAAGACGTTCAGATCCCTTGAGGAAGAGAATGGCTCAGCATGAGGGGGCCTCACCCAGAGCCCTGGGTCTGCTCTGAGCCCCTCACTTAAAGAGGGAAGCTGACCAAATGAGGTGAGCCTGCTCAGGGGACTAGGGCTGGGGAAGGTGGACATCCATTTGGTCTTTGGAACTGAGGCCTGAGCAATGCATTCTGGCTGTGCTATGGGTCGGGGGGCGCACCACGGAGCTTGACCTCAGCATAGAATGTGGATTCTGCTTAACACACCTGAGGGCTGCATGGGGCACAGGATGGAGATGTGCTGTATGCAATCCTAAGCAGTGGAGCCAAGATCAACCCATGAAAGCTACAGGAAAATATGCCTACATGAAATGTACAGGAAGGCACATTTGATAATTTCTAACTATAATGATCAGTTCCCACCTCACAGAACTGTTCCAGGCAAAGTGGTCATGTCCTTGTCACTAAAAGCACTGAGATGCTAGAAGGGGGCACAGTGTGGTAGAAGAATTGTGGCCTTTGGAGCATGTCAGGCCTGAGTTCAAATCCAGATGTTGCCTGATGCTATCTGCGTGACCTCAGGCAAGTCACAGAACTTCTCTGAGGCTAGTCTGAAACATGGGAATTAGAAATCTCCATCACAATAGCTTGTGAGAATCCAGTAACAATGACCAATGCTTAACAGTGTGCTGGCGGGGCGTGGTGGCTCACGCCTGTAATCCCAGCACTTTGGGAGGCTGAGGTGGGTGGACCACTTGAGGTCAGGAGTTTGAGAGCAGCCTGGCCAACGTGGTGAAACCCCATCTCTACTAAAAACACAAAATTAGCCAGGTATGGTAGTGCACACCTGTAATCCCAGCTACTCGCGAGGCTGAGGCAGGAGAATTGCCTGAACCCCAGAGGCAGAGGTTGCAGTGAGCCAAGACTGTGCCACTGCACTCCAGCCTGGGCAAAAAAAGTGAGACTCTGGGCTGGGCACAGTGGCTCATGCCAGTAATTCCAGCACTTTGGGAGGCTGAGGTGGGTGGATCACCTGAGGTCAGGAATTTGAGACCAGTCTGGCTAACATGGTGAAATCCCGTCTCTACCAAAAATACAAAAAATTAGCCGGGCCTGGTGGTGCACACCTGTAATCCCACCTACTCGGGAGGCTGAGGCAGGAGAATCGCTTGAACCTGGGAGGGGGAGGTTGTAGTGAGCCGTGATAGCGCCACTGCACTCCAGCCTGGGTGACAGAGCGAGACTCCATCTCAAAAAACAAAACAAAACAAAACAACAGTGTTCTGAGTAAGTCTTCCTCACAGCCAATGTGTCAGACAGGTCCTTTAATTGTTTAAATAAACTTTTCACTTTAGAATAATTTCAGCTATATGGAAAAGTCACAGAGGTAGTGCAGAGAGTTCCCATAAGCTCCCCACCCAGCTTCCCCTACTGTTAACATCTTACGTCAGCGGCCAGCATAGTATTTTTTCAAAACTAAGAAACCAACATTGGTACATTTCTCCACCTTACTAATGAGGTTTCAGAGGCACAGAGAAGCTGAGCTTCCAGCCCAGAATCACAATTCATTATGACACATTCAATGAAATGCAATGTAGGAGAATGCTCAGCACTGATGTCTTTCTCATTCCAGAAAACCTAGGTGGGTCTGGGCTCCACTGTCTGTCTTATTAAGAGGCCCTGGCGGGCTGGGCCTCATCTCTGCACCTGTGTCCATCTTCCCTGCAGCAGAACAGAGCAACAGAGCAAGTGGCACCAGAGAGACCACCCACGGAGGGCACTTCGTGAAGAGCGAGGATTGGCTCTGACCAGTGCTTATCAGCAGGCACACAGTAGGTGCTCTATAAGGATTTGTTGCATAAATTAACAAATGAGCAGTGAAGTAATGAAGTAGAGAGCATTTCACTTTGTGTAGAAGACTGAATTCAGGCACTTCCAGGAGCTTTTCCAAATGTAAAGCTCTGGGAGCCTGAGATGACCAGTCTCCTCCCTAGCTGGGCTCCATTCCTCCCCTGAGAAATTGGAAGCACCAATTTGCATCCTGTGTACAGCAGGCACTCAACGCATGATGCCGATATTAGTATCTCCACCCACATTTTCCCTTGGTCCCAATTTCACCTCCACTTATTTAAATTTTATTTTACCCTGTTGGGCATTTTCTGCAAGCTGTCTCCAATCCTTGAAGGGGGTGTGTGTGTGTGCATGTGTGTATCCATGGTGGTACATAAAGAAACCAAGAGGCTGGGCGAGGTGGCTCATGCTGGTAATCCCAACACATTGGGAGGCCAAAGTAGTAAGATCACTTAGCCTGGGAGTTCAAGACCAGCCTGGGCAACATAGGGAGACTCCATCTCTATAAAAAATAAAAAGTTATCTGGGTGGGTGGCACATGCCCGTAGTCCCAGCTACTTGGGAGGCTGAGGTGGGAGGATCACCTGAGCCCGGGAGGTTGAGGCTGCAGTGAGCCATGATCACGTCACTGTACTCCAGCCTGGGCAAAACTTTATCAAAAACAACAACAACAAACAACAACAACAACAGAAAACACAAGCATGGAAAGAAAGACACTGTGGAGTCAGTCACTGATGGTAATAATTGGTAATAATGGGGTAATAATGTGTCGGAGGTGAGATTGGTGGGTGGTCCTCTACTTTGAGGTTCCCAAGGGGCATGCCAGGCCTCGTGCTGGGGATGCTGTAATGGAATGCCTAGCCTCTGTTTTCAGGAGCTCAGAGCCTGGCAGAGGGGTCAGCCCATGACACCAGATGTGGTAAGAATCCCCTGGGGTCATCCTGGGCACTCCAGCAGAGGGTCCTCCAGGCACCCGCCCCCAGAATCACACAGGCTGCAGCATTTCTCTGAACCAAGGGCTCTTAGGGCCCTGGCCCTCACATGGGAACCTCCTCACCACTTCTCTCCTTCAAAATCCTTCTCTTCACTTCCTGTCCCTCCTGCATCTCCTCCTTGTCCCCTCAGCAGCCCCACAGCTTTGTGTTGGCCTCTGCCCCGCAGTCTCAGGCCTCCATGTGGGAGTTTGGGTTTGGCTCCCTCGGGAGACTGTGAGAGCCTCGGAAAGAGGAACTCGGCTCCTCCCCAGCATCCAGCACAGTGCCCCTCAAGTGGGAAGACGTGAAAAGGTCCCTCAAAGACCTGGTGCTCCCAATATACATCTGGCCTTGGCCCCAGTGGCAGGAGCCAGCAGCAGGTCTGAATTTATTCATCTGCAGGGTGAGAATGAGAAAGGAGGGCATGCCCCGGCCTGGGAGGATAGGCCATCACCGAGACGGTCGCCTCTGGGGCTGCTACCGCTCTCCCCTCCTCCATGGTGACCCTGGGAGCTCTCGGAGCAGGTTCAACTGTGTTCATCAAAAGATATGGCCAAAACCTAAATCCCAGTGCCCGTGACGTGACCTTATTTAGAATAGAGTCTTTGCAGATGTAATTAAGGATTTTGAGATGACATCATCCTGAATTCAGGGTGGGTCTAAATCCAATGGCTGGTTTCCTTATGAGAGACAGAAGAGGCAGATTTGAGACACAGAGAAACATAGAGAAGAAGGCCATGTGAGGACAGAGGCAGAGATTGGAATGACTCCCAGCTACAAGCCCGGGAACACCAAGATTGCCAGCAGCCTCCAGAAGGTGGGAGAAAGACAAGGAATAGATCCTCCTTCAGATCCTCCAGAAGGAAGCAGCCCTGCCAACACCTTGATTTCAGACTTCTGGACTCTGAAACTGTGAGAGAATACATTTCTGTCTCTTGAAGCCACCAAACTTGTGGCAATTTGCTGCAGCAGTGCTAGGAAACTAATGCCGCCCCTTTCTCTGTATCTTGGTTCACCTGTCCCCAGCACGATTTTTTGGCAACCTCTTAGAACAATGAGAGGACATCACCCATCCTTGCCCCTCAATCCAAGGATTGTGCTGAGAGATCTCACCAGCAACACTGCCACCTAAATGCTGGTAACTTCCAGCACACCCCTCCCTGTGCCTCAGTTTCTCCATCTGGATAGTGAAGAGTTGGGTAAGCTGATTTCTAAGGTCCTTTCTAGCCTTAAGAGTCCACATGACCCCAAACTATAAAGCTACTAGAAGAAAACATGGGGGAAATGCCTTATGACATTGGTCTGGGAAAAGTTCTTTTGGATAAGACCTCATAAGCACAAGCAACAAAAGCAGAAGAAGAAAGTGGGATGACATCAAACTGAAAAACTTTGGCCCAGCAAAGAAAACAATCAGCAGAGTGAGGTACAGAATGGGAGAAAGTATTTTCAAACTATGCATCTGATAAGGGGTTACTCTCCAGAAGATGTAAGGAACTCAAATAACTCAGTAGCAGAAAACTACTCAGAAGACTGGGGAGGGAGGATTGCTTGAGCCCAGGAGGTTGAGGCTACAGTGAGCCATGGTCTTGCCACTGCACTCCAGCTTGGGACCCTGTCTCAGAAAAAACAAATTATTTGATTAAAAATCAAGGAACAGACCTGAATAAACATTTCCCAAAAGAAGAAATGAAAATGGCCAACAAGTATACAAGTATATGAAAAAATGTTTAACATCACTTTTTTTTTTTTTTGAGACAGGATCTGGCTCTGTCATCCAGGCTGGAGTGCAGTGGCACGATCTAGGCTCACTGCAGCCTCTGCCTCCCAGGCTCAAGCCATCCTTCCACCTCAACCTCCTGAGTAGCTGAGACCACAGATGTGTGCCACCATGCCTGACTAATTTTTGTATTTTTTGTAGAGACAGGGTTTCACCATGTTGTCCAGGCTGGTCTCAAACTCCTGAGTTCAAGTGGTCTGCCCGCCTCAGCCTCCCAAAGTGCTGGGATTACAGACATGAGCCACTTCATTTGGCCCTAACATCACTAATCATCAGGAAGATGCAAATCAAAACTACAATGAGATATCATCTTACCCTAGTTAGAATGGCTATTATCAAAAAGACAAAAAATAACAAGTGCTGGTGTGGTTGTGGAGAAAGGGGAACTCTTATACACTGTTGGTGGGAATGTAAATTAGTATTGCCACTATGGGAAACAGTATGGAGGTTCCTCAAAAAATTAAAAATAGCTTGTAATCCAAGCACTTTGAGAGGCTGAGATGGGAGGATTGCTTGAGCCCAGGAGTTCAAAGTTGTGATGAGCTATGATTACACCACTGCACTCTAGCCTGGACAACAGAGAGACACCCTATCTCAAAAGAGGAAGAAAAGACTAGGAAGACAGAAAGACAGGGAGGAAGGAGGGAGGGAGGGGAGGAAGGAGGGAGGGAGGGGAGGAAGGAGGGAGGGAGGGAAGGAAGGAAGGAAGGAAAGAAAGTAGGAAGGAAGGAAAGAAAGTAGGAAGGAAGGAAAGAAAGGAAAAAGGAAAGAAAAGGACTATGATCCAGGAAGGAATAGAACTAATATGATCCAGTAATCCCACTACTGGATCCAAAGGCAATGAAATCAGTATGTCAAAGAGACATCTGCAGTCCTTTATTTATTGCAGGGGTATTCATAATAATCAAGATATGGTATCAACCTAAGTGTCCATTGGTGGATGAGTAAAAAAGAAAATGTGGTACATAGAAACAATGGAATACTATTAATCCATGAAAATATGAAATCCTGTCATTTGTGGCAACATGATGGATTGGGATGGACTTGGAGGACATTATGTTATGTGAAATAAGCAAGGCACACAAAGTCAAATACTGCATGATCTTATTCATATGTAGAATCTAAGAAAATTGTTCTCACAGAAGTAGAGAGTAAAATAGTGGTTACCAGAAACAGGGAGCTGGGGGTAGGGAGGGTGGGATGGGGAGAGATTAGTCAACAGATACAAAGTTATGGTTAGATAGGAGGTGTTCTATTATTGCACAGTAGGAGGGCTGTAATTAATAGTACTGTGCCAGGCACAGTGGCTCATGCCTGTAATTCCAGCACTTCGGGAGGCTGAGGCAGGAGGATGGTTTGAACCTAGAAGTTCAAGACCAAGCTAAGCAACATAGGGAGACCCTGTCTCTACAAAAAATAAAAAGTTAGCTGAGCGTGGTGGAGCATGCCTGTAGTCGCAGCTACCTCCCACCTCGGCCTCCCACAGTGGGATTACAGGCATGAGCCACTGCTCCCAACCTCACTTTGGGCTTTTCTTTCTTTCTTTTCTTTTGGTTTTTCTTTTTCCTTTTTTTTTTTCCAAGATGGAGTCTCACTCTGTTGCTCAGCCTGGAGTGCAGTGGCGGCATGCTCTTGGCTCACTGCAACCTCCGCCTTCCAGGTTCAAGCAATTCTCCTGCCTCAGCTTCCCAAGTAGGTGGGATTACAGGTGCCTGCCACCAAGCCCGGCTAATTTTTGTATTTTTAGTAGAGATGGAGTTCCACGATGCTGGCCACGCTGGTCTCAAACTCCTGACCTCAGGTGATCCACACGCCTCAGCCTACCAAAGTGCTGGGGTTACAGGTGTGAGCCGCCGTGCCCGGCTCACTCTGGGCTTTTCTAAGCTCTCTCCATTAGTCCTTACAACAACCTTGTGAATTAGGACTCAATACCCCAATTCCACAGAGGAGGAAACGAAGAAGTTGCGGGGGTTGGCTTCCTTGGGCCGGGCCAGGGATTCTGCAGAAGTGGCAGAGGTACCCCTGTGTGCTGTCCAGCTTGAAGAATGGGGCAGGGTAGGGGCACAGTCTTGGTGAGGGTGAGAGATCGCTTACAAGGAACTGAAACATTCAAACTTATTTAAGGCGAAAGGAAAGAGGGAAGAGAGGGAGGGAGGAGGAAGGGAAAAAAGAAAGACTATATGGGGGGATTTATGGGAGGATTCAGGGGTCTCTGCCACTGAGAGCCCACTCAGGCCCCCCAGTCCCCTTGCCGTCCCAGTCAACTGCAGATGCTAAATTCTCCTCAGCAGCCCGATCTGGGGGAGGGCACTCTAGGAACACGAGATTGGGCCTGTGATGTCGGGCATGTGACCAGGTGGTGCCCAGAGCTCTGCTGACCGCAGGGGTGACCTCAGTGAGGGGCTGCCCCACTTAGGCCCTCATGCCTGTCTTCTGCCAAGTGAGGGCTCTGGCTCTCGGCTAAGCAAGTCTGTGATCCATCTGCTCTCTCTAATTAATAATGACAGTAGCACCGCTTCCCGAGCATTGATTGCACTGTGGCCCTGAGATTGGTGCAGAGCTGGCTGCCCCACACCACCACTTTCTAGCTCTGTGGCCTGAATGAGTTTCTTAGTCTCCAAACCTTCATTTCCCATCTGAAATCGGGATGTTCTAGCTCCCACATAGACGTTTCAGAACCAGCCGAGCTCATGTGTCAGTGGGGAGCTGGGGACACAGTAAGCCCTGTTTCTCAGCATCATGGCTCTGTCATTATTCTTATTCCTACAACACTACCAACATCGAGGACATACCAAGCACGGTACTAAATGACTTCTTAACTCATTAGTCCTTATGGCCCCAGAGAGGAGGAGACTAAGGCTCCGAGAAAGCACCTGGCTGCTCACATCAGGCCCATGGTCCACAGCAGAGCCCTGCACACCTGGTGAGCTGTGCGACTCCCAGACCTCACTAAGCCAGAGCCCAGCAGAGTCTTCCAAAGACAACAGAATCTTCCCACGTTCAGTGGGAGGAAGGAGGAAGTATTTATTGGGCATCTACTGTGTTCTCATGATGAAATTTAAGTTTTACACCTGATATAGGTGGTTGGTCTAATTATGTTCAAGGTAGAGATGAGGAAACTAGGCAGAGAGGTTCCGTAGCTTACACTGGGGCGTCTGGCATCGGACATGAGAGCCAGGAGCTTCCCAGACTGGAGCACTGCAGGTGCTCCAGTGGGTGGGGTGTGTGCTGGGGTGTGTGTGTATGTGAGAGAGAGTGTGTGGGTGGGAGCGTGTGTATGAGTAGGGGATCAATGTTTGCCTCCTCCTTCCTCCCACTGAACTGACCACAGGGTGTGAGTGCATGTGTGTGTGAGAGTGTGTGCTGGTGTGTAAGAGTGTGTGCTGGTGTATGTGTGTAATAGTGTGTGCTGGCATGTGTGTAAGAGAGTGCTGGTGTGTGTATGTGTGTAAGAGTGTGTGTGCTGGTATGTAAGAGTGTGTGTGCTAGTGTATGTGTAAGAGAAGGTGCTGGTGTATATGTATGTGTGTAAGTGTGTGCTGGTGTGTGTATGTGTATGTAAGAGTGTGTGCTGGTGTGTGTGTAAGGGTGTGCTGGTGTGTGTAAGAGTGTGCTTGTGTATATGTTTGTGTGTAAGAGTGTGCTGGTGTGTGTATGTGTATGTAAGAGTGTGTGCTGGTGTGTGTGTAAGACTGCTTGGATGTAAGAGTGTGTGCTGGTGTGTGTGTGTATAAGAGAGTGTGTGCTGGTGTGTGTATGTGAGACTGTGTGTATGGGTGTGTGAGAAAGAGTGTGTGAGAGAATGTGTGTGTGCTTGCGGATGTGTGAGAGAGGGAGATGGGGATGTGTGTGTGCCTGTGAGACAGGTATACTTCTGTGTATGTGTTTACGTGTGAGAGTGTATGTGTATGTGTGAGAGTATGAGAATGTGTGTGTAGTGTGTGTGTGCATGACTGTGTGTGTATTGTGTGTTCGTGTGTGCATGTGTGACAGAGTGCTGTGTATGGTGTGTGAGAGAATGTGCTGGGTGTGTATGTGAGAGTGTGTGCTGTGGTGTGTATGTGAGAGTGTGTGTGCTGGGTGTGTGTGATGTGAGAGGTAGATATATGAGTGTGTGAGAGGGAGGAAGAGGGTGTGAGAGAATGTGTGTGAGAGACTGTGCTTGCGGGTGTGTACGTGAGAGGGAGAGAGACGCGGGAGAGTGTGAGAGCGTGTGTGTCTGTGAGAGAGAAAGGTATACTTCTGTGCATGTATGTGTTGAGTGTGTGAGTATGTGAGACAGAGTGTGAGTGTGTATGTGTATGTGTGAGAGGAAGAGAGTTTGAGAGAATGTGTGTGTGCTGTGTGTGTGTGTGTGTGTGTGTGGCCAGGGAGGGGGCCTCTGTCTCCTGGGCTCCTTATATCAGGGACAGTGTCTGTGCGGTGTGGATGGGAGTCATAGGGAGGCCTGGGAGCTGAGAGCTGGGAGCAGGCACCAGCCTATTAATGCCGCCCTCCTGAGGTGGGTGCAGATAAGTGGCCCCAGGGGCCGGGCCCGGGCTGAGGCCCCTCTAACTGGCTTGTTGCCATGGAGATGCTAGCTGTGAATACAGGCCTAGAAGTCCAGCTCAAGCCTCCCCTTCCTGGCAAGAGAAGACCCCCAGCTGGGGTGTGTTTGTCTGGCAAGGGAACTGCAGAGCCATGCCGTCCACGCCCCCTCCCCCCCATTATTTAAAGCAAAGGCTTCCGTTCCTTCCATTTTCCCTCAGGAGGGCTGTCCTGGGTCAAGGGAGAAAATGGCTGTCTTGATGGTCCCGACACTGGGGAATGGTGGGTCCCCTTGCGGTTGGGTGACCAGGGCAGGCAGGGAAACACATGTGGTTACGCAGCCACACCTGTGTTCCAGACCGTACAGCCAACCCCACCCAGCGACCAGACTCCTGCTGGCATCGGGGACGCTGAGAGGTTCGGGTGGGTCCCCGAGCAGGGGCAAGTTTATGTGAAAACCACCAGCTCTCCTGAGGTGGGTTCTACCTGGAGTCAGGACACGTGAGGGTTTTCGTTAATGTTTTCTTGTGAAAAATTTCAAACATTAAAAGCCGGAGAGAGCATTTAATGAACCCCGAGTACCCACTACTCAGTTGCAACAATTATTAGCTTTGTCCATCTCGTTTCATCTGTCCCCTCTTTTTTTTTTTTTTTTGCCAGGGTAGTTGAAAACAAATCCCAGATATCAGGTGACTTCATGTGGAATGACTTCAGTAAGTACCTCTCACTAACTGGCCATGCCAGGATCACACCTGAGGAAATTAACAGTAATCCCATGGTGAGCGTCAGCTGACACTCAGTCCCTCTTTAACTGCGCCCCGCCTCCTCCCGTAAATATGTAAACCCACACTGCAAGGGTGGATGGAGGGCCATGTGGCCGGGCGGCTTCTGTGCTTTAGCTTTGGAGCCTTAAGAGGGTGAGGGTTGAATACCTGTGGCTTTGGGTGGGTGGTTTGCTTTATGGGGCCTCTCTTTCTTCCTATGCCAAAGGTACTGACCTCTCCCAAGGCGGTCAGGAGGACTGAATGAAATTGTATGAGTACAGTACTGGGTACTTGGTAGGGACTCAATGAATGGTGGCAGTGCTTACGATGTTTTCTATTTTGCATATAAGGAAACTGAAGTTCAGAGCAGGAGAGTGACTTGCTCAAGCTCACACAGCTCAGAGTGGTTAAGCTAGGATGGAAGCGTAGGTCTTCTAAGTGCTCTGGGATGTGTGTTCAACACAGCCCCCTCACCCCCTCTAATACTGGCCTTGTCTGCCACCACCCCATACTACAAATGGAAATGACACAGAGGGTGACATCAACAGGTCCCTTTTTCTCGATAGCCACTAGATCATGGTGCTGTGGGCTGAGCAGATGATTGATAGGACATCACTGGGCCTGGCTCTCCAGGAGACCTAGAAAAAGATCTTGCCCCTCTCTGGGCCTCAGTTTCCCTATCTGTACCACAAGGGCATTGACCTCCACGTGGTCTTCGAGACCTCTTCCAGTTCTGCTTTGTTTGCACCAGGGTTAGTAACCGTGGGAATGGGAGAGATGGAGATACTTGAGGCTGATGGGGAGTTGCACAGCCCAAGACCCCAGGCTGCAAGACAGTATGGGGATGAGGGCGATCCTCCCATATTGGAGATCAGGGATGGGGTGGCCCAGCTAGGTAGAAGTGAAGCTCCCCCACCCCCACTGGATTGTGAACCTCCTGAAATTAGGGCTGTGACTTGTACCTTATAAGTATCACATAGATGAGAAAAAATTTCATCGATGTAATGGATGGAACACTAGATAGGAGATCAGTAAGGAAATAGAAGACTTTAAAAACACTGTAAACCAGCTAGACCTAACAGACACTGCTTTCTAACGGCGATTGAAGAGCACATTCCACCCAGCAACAGCAGAATACACATTCTTCTCAAGTGCACACGGACCATTCTCTAGCATAGATCATATCTTAGGCCACAAATCAAATCTCAATAAATTTAGAAAAATTGAAATTACACAAAATATGTTCTCTGACAACAGAGTAATGAAATTAGAAGGTCAAAAACAGAAGGAAATTTGAAAATTCACAAATATGTAAAAATTAAACGACACACTCCTAACCAAAGGGTCAAAAAATAAATCATAAGGGAAATTAGAAAATACTTTGAGACGAATGAAAACAAAAACACAACATACTAAAACTTACAGGATGCAGTAAAAGCAGTGCTCAGAGGGAAATTTATAGCTGTAAACACCTACCTTAAAATAGAAGATCTCAAATCAATAACCTTCCACCTTACTAAAAAAAAAAAAAGCAAACTAAATCCAAAGCAAGCAAATAAAAAAATTAGAGCAGAGATAAATGAAACAGAGAACAGAAAAACGATAGAGAAAAATCAGCAAAACCAAAAGTTGGTTGTCTGAAATGATCTACAGAATTGACAAACCTTTAGCTAAACTGACCGAGAAAAAAAAAAAGAGAGAGAAAACTGAAATTACTAAAGTCAGGAATGGAAGTGGAGACCTTGCCACTGACCTTACAGAAATAAAAAGGATTATACAATTTCACTGATAGATTCGAAAGAAACTCCACAACATTTCTAGAGATTGGAGAGAACATCCGGAAATGGTTACCAGTAGTTGCCTTCAGGGAAACAGGGCTGGGGTGGGTGGAGCTGGGGTGCCTGCTTTTTATTATAAGTCCTTAAGGGCTATTTTTGTAAATGCTTTGATTGCAAAATATAAGACACATACAGAAAAGTGGATTTTTAAAAAGTACCGCTCAGTAATTTATCACCAAGTGAATATCCATGAAACCACCACTTGGTCAAGAGGAACATTACCACCTCCCCAGAAGCCCCTCCTGTACTCTAGCCAATCCTCCTCCCCAAAGAAAACCACCATTCTGACCTTTATGGCAAATACTCTTGCTCTCCTTGATAGTTTTGCCATCTCTACACACAATAGTTGGGTTCAGTTCGTGCTTGATAAATCCAATCAAGTAGCAGGTCCTCTTTTGGGTCCGGCTTCTTGCATTTTACATTCTGTTTGTGAGATTCCCCATGCTGTTGTAGGAAGCAATCGTTGGCTCAAATTTTCTTAGCTGTATCATATTCCATTTTATGAGTACACCATCATTTATGTGTCTGTTCAACTATTGATGGAATGGGCTTTTTAAAAAGCCATGTACCTAAAGATAGGTTGATTAAAATATTTCTGATAAAATGCACATTTAAAATGCAACTCAACACATATTAGTTTAATTTCATCCCTAGGATCCTCATTCCCTTTTCTGCTCCAATAAGTCATGAAGACAGCTTGGGTCTCAGAAGAAAATAGGCCGTTTAAGCAGAAGCCCAGAGGGAACACATCTGAGAGATGCCCACACCCTCATGGGGTCCTCTCATCAGCCCTTCTCCCCAAATTTTCAGCCTCAAATGGGGGAGGTCACACAGATGGAGAGAAACCACTCTCTCCCTTCCACCCGAGGTCTGCAGATTCCTGACACACATACGAGTGCACACCCAGGCAGACAGGCAAGAGCGTGGCCCCCACACATGAGCACACACACGGGCACCTAGGCATATCCCAGAAGTGGCAATGCCTGCTGGCACCTGACCAGCAGGCGAGGTCTGTGCACAGAGAAGTTGTGGAAGAAGAGGAGGGGAAAGCGTGGGGGAAAAATCCCCTCATTTCTGAAGAAATGTCCCAGATTAGATTTGTAAATCAAAAACCAATATATAACATGCAAGAATTGATCTGTTTTATATTCCTCAGTTACATTTTTGTGAAGCACATTTAGAAGATTTAGAACGTATTTGCGCCTGCTGGTTGGGCCATTATATGCTTGAGTTCATACATCTATTTGTGAGGCTATAAAACAGGCATCGACTACCATGTAAATTGTGTTCTCCACAATAAATTATATGCATACTTGCAAAAATACATAACTGCCGTGCCTGGGCCAACGCGGCCAGAATACTAATGAGGGCGAAAGTTGCTTTGTCCCTCTTCTCCGGCCTAATTTAGCCTCTACATCAAAAATTATGTAGGAAAAATCACTTTATCCTCTCACTGAGAAATAAAATAGCACTCATGGGTACCCTCATCTCTTCCCACCCCCCTTCCTTTTAACCGAACACTACCATTTTCATACTAATTTTAGCTGCTCCAGGTTTACGGGGAGGAAGGCTGGCTGAGCTGAAGCTGGGGTGCCAGCGGGCTGCCTGGATGTATGAGAAGGCTGTGGGAGTGGGCATGTGCATGCACACACTCACACACACACATGCATACACACGTAGGCACATTCCCTCCGTGTGGTTTGAATTCGCTTGTGCCAGGGCATGTTCACAGCATGCACACAGACCTACATGTAAATGTGAAGACTCACCCCAGACACGCATGCACAGACACTCCACGAGCATTTGCCCACGTGGCGCAGATTCATTCCCTCTCCCCGGTACAGACTCCTATGCACAGAGACACACTGGGGAAATTCAGTTCAGTTCGGTTCAATTCAGTTCAAACAGGTCAGTCCAGCAAACACTGACTGAGCACCTATTAGATGCCATGTGCTGTACTTGGCATTGGGACTACGGAGATTTTTTTTTAAAAAAGGCAGAATCTCAGCTTATAGCTCAGGGGAAGAGGCAGCTTTAGGAACAAATGCAGACAAGTCAGTATGCTGAGGGCTGTAGCAGAGACAGAGAGCATACAGGTACACACACTCACGCCCTGGTCATTGTCAGTGTGCATATTTTCCAGTACTCATATGTGCACACACAGATGCACACAGAGTCCCTGCACTTACACAGGCACATACCTCACACCACATGGACTCACGTGTGCATGCACAACACACACATACACACACCGGTACACTCAAGCATCAGCATAGCCACCCTCCCACTGACACCGCATGCTGGTGCCTGCCTCACCTCTGTCTTTCCTGCAAGCCCAAGTTAACTTCACGCCCTGTCTGGCTTGCCCTTTCTTGGGTTCTGTTGCTGTCTATCCTGGAAGCAGAGCCACTTCCAACAGCAGGCTGGCTAGTGTTGCTCCCACTTCTCCCAGGGGCCTGCCCAAGGTTCCATCTTGCTGGGAGCTTCCGCAGGCTCACAAGAGGAAGGAGAAGTAGACACAGGAAGATCTCATTTCCATGACCTCAGGCCAGTCCGTGCCCTGTCCCAGGCCTCAGTTTACTCCTTTTCTTTTTCTTTTTTCCTTTCTTTTTTTTTTTTTTTTTTTTTTGAGATGGAGTCTCACTCTGTCACCCAGGCTGGAGTGCAGTGGCGTGATCTCTGCTCACTGCAACCTCCACCTCCCAGGTTCAAGCAATTCTCGTGCCTCAGCCTCCCGAGTAGCTGGAACTACAGGTGTGCACCACTACATCTAGCTGCCTTTTTTGTATTTTTAGTAGAGACAGGGTTTCACCATGTTTGCCAGGCTGGTCTCCAACTCCTGACCTCAGGTGATCCGCCCGTGTTGGCCTCCCAAAATGCTGGGATTACAGGCGTAAGCCACCGTGCGCCCGGCCTACCCATTTTTAAAATGTGGGAATTGGATGGTCTCTGAGGCCATCAGGCTCCAGATGTCCACAGTTTGTGCTGAAGAAGGTGGCGCCTCAGTCCAAGTCAGAGAGTGTGAGACAACTGCAGAGACGCCCCCAACCTGGAGGCATCTCGGCCCCGCTCCGAGCTCCCAGCCTAAGAGAAGCGTTTGACCTCAGGGGCAGGCCTCATGAGGGCAGGAGAAGTCATGTCCTGGAGAAAAGGAGTGGCAAGATGTGGTAGGGGAGAGAAGACTTGGTGCAAGAGGGCCAGCTGGGATATTTATAGGTGCCAGCCACGGTTCTAGGGGAATTTCATTCTATCTTCAAACACCTGAAGGGCTGCCGTGGGGCAGAGGGAAAGGACTTCCTCTGCATGACCCAGTTGGTAGAACTAGGACAGTGGGAAAGTGGTGGAGGCTGCAAGGAGACAGACAGCCTTTAGTTGAATACAGTGATCAGCGTGATTTCTCCGTGCGTGCACCCGCCTACCAGCATGCGTGGTGTACATTCTGCTGCTGTGTATTCCGTCTCCTTGCAGCCCTTTCTTTCCTCTGCTCCCTATAGCTCATCCTATGGCTTTTCATACCGTACTATTTTCTCTTTATCTCAGCTTGTTCTTGGAGTAGAAAATATGTTCTTTTTAAAAACGAAAATCAGATTTTTATTGAGGAAAAAATATTAAGTTCACATGATGAAAAATTCAAATTGGTCAAAGGATGTATGGCGAAAAGAAGGTCTCTCTCTCTGGCTGCCCAGGCTCCTCCGGCTGCCCAGGCTCCTCCGGCTCATCGTCATCCAGCTTCCTTCTCCAGAAACAACCACTGTTACCAATTGTTATGTGTTTTTTCAGAAATATACTGTGCGTGCAAGCATCTCTCTCTGTCTGTTGATCTGTCCTTTATTTAACACAAATGTGAGCATACCATGTGCCCTGATCCTTGCCTCCCCTCCCCTCCCCTCATCCCAACCTAACTACGTAGCTTGGAAGGTGTTTCTGAGGAAAAGTTCTCCATTGGGCGATATCTGACAATGAAATGGGCTAACGAGCTCTCAACACTGGGGATGTGGAGGCACAGGCTAGATGACCACTTGGGGAAAGAAAAATGGGAGAGTTGGGCCCTTCCTTGGAGGAGGAAGGTTAGACTCATGCCGTCTAAGGCCCTTTCCATGAACCAGCTGCTTGGATACAAAGAGAACAGCTCTCTTTATCTTGCGTTCTTCCCATTTTTCCCCACTCCCTCCCAGCGCCCCACAAGCTGGGCCAGGGTCACCAGTGTTTAAAGCCGCCCAGCCTTGGCTTCCAGCCCTTGTGTAATTGACAAGAATTCCCCCCCTCCCTAAGAGATGGCCTCTCTCTGTGCCAGCCACATGCCACTAAACTCCAAATTAAGAGGCCCAGCTGAGATTTCTGTCTTATTCCACCCATACTCCTGGGGCCAATCCTCTCTCATTTCAGGAGGGGAATGGAACTCAGTTTGGATTTGGGAAGGGGGGTAGAGGGGGCTCGCCACCAAAGCTGGTGCCTCTATGCTCCAGAGAGATGTGCGTGTCCTACCATGCGGCTTAAGACTTCTCCAAAACACCGTCCCCCCAAATCCAATAAAATTGCAAATTTCACTGTATTTCACAATATCCTAAATAAACATGAACAGCATGCGTTTCTCTTCCTTGCATCAAATATTAATCTGCCCGTGGCCAGCGCCCGCTCCCCCGCGTGTGTGCGCACGCTGGGTAAACACTGGGGAGATTGTGATGCCAGACCTTCCCTTCTCTTCCCCGAGTCGAGAGCATGACAAATTTTTCTCCTAATTACACCTGCCACTGTTTGCCTTCTAATACTGTAAATCCTCCATCACATAGTTTTTCAGATTCGGGATTAGGTTCTCTTCCTGTCGTACGAATGATTGGAGGGGGCAGGGATGGGGGAGGAGGCTGGGGTGGTGTGGGCTGCATGGCCTTGCTTTCCACGATTTCGCTGTGAGGACTCCTGAGCTGGGCACCAGCAGTGTGTCCAGGCACCTCGCCCTTCTTCAGGGTGGGAAGGAGATGTCAAGAGGCAGCGGGGAGGAGGGAATGGAGAAAAGATACCTGTGCAGGTGTACAGAACCTGCTCAACCCAGCTTCATTAGCCCCCGCTAGGTGCCCAGGAGCCCTGGAGATAATGAAGCTTCTGAGATCCAAGCGAGAAGGTGAATGTGCAGCTTCTGGTGCGGTGCCCAGCACGGAGTTGGTGGACAGTGACCTGGAGCTCCCCACTTGCTCTGTCTCCTGACTGAAGCCATCCTCATCTCTCTCCTGGACTGTGAAACCTGGCTTCCCACTGGTTTCCACCTCACCTCACCCCTCTCCAAAGAACCCATTGTCCCCAGCTGCCAGAGGCTCTTTCTAAGCCCAGAGCCCTCCATCGAGACAGGCCCTGTCTCAGAACTCCAGCTGACTTCCCACCATGTTTGAGTCATGTCCAGCCCCATCCTCTACGGCCCTCCACCACCGTCCACCTCAATTCTCCTGCCTCATGCCCCGTCCTCAGGCTTCCTGTCCACCCACCGTAGACTGAGCCTACCTCGTCCACCGCCTCACCCTTCCCCACATGCGCTGTGCAAACTGCTACCTCCTCTTCTTTGCTCCCTCTGCCTGGAATGGATGCTTGTTGAAATTTCAGCTTTCTTCCCAGGTATTCACCCCCGATGACGTCACCTCTTTGAAGCCCTCCTTTGTGATCCCATGGAGCTTCACATCTACCATGTTTGGGACTCAGATCTTTGCCTCATCTGTCAGTGGTGTAGGAGGGTCTGTAGGTGCTTTCAAGGTGGAGTCCAGGTCCTAAGCATCTCTGTCCCTCAATACCTCTCTAGTTTCCAAGTCTTGGCACTGCAGAAGGATGATACCTGGTGCATGGTCGGGGGGAGCGTCCTGCTGTTTCTAAATCTCATGACCAAGTCAACTGCCTGCTCCAGCTGTGGGAGAGAATGGGCAGCTGCCCACCTGGCAGGTAATAGGGAACCCCAGCCAGTGCAAGAGGATCAATCCCTCCAGGCTACGGTGACAGGAGGAGGAAGGAGGACGTTGAAAAGCCCAGACCTTCCATTCCCTTCCCCGCTGCAGCGTGCGCTGGTCTGATAGGGTCCCCTCCCAGTTGTCTGTGTGTCTGGAGCATCCAAGCTGTACAAAGGACACCGAATCATTCTCCAGGGGTTTTGGCGTATGCAGTGTTATTGGCTATTTTAATTTGGTGAGGAAATGCAGATAACAGCTTTGGCTTCTTATTACCCTCCGTTCCTAGAGGCCCTTCTGCCTCCAGGTCTGCCCCAGCCCATTGGCGCAGGAGGACCCCATCCCACTGTGTCTGAAACCTCGAGCTGGGCTAAGAGGGGCAGTCTTAGGCGGGGTCCAGGCTACCCTGGTGAGGTCTCCATCCTTTCAAAGCTCCCCTGGAGTTGTTCTCGAAGCCTCCCAGAGTCAGCTTGTTCAGCTTGAATAATATCTGTCCCTGGCCTTGTCCCCTCCCCACACATTTCACCTTCAAAGGGCCAGGAGAAATTTCCCTAATTAATTAACTCCTCTGCAGCCTGCCCTCCATGTCATTGGGTGATTAATCGTCACTGTGACTTTAAATCCAGGGGCGGAGGGAAGTTGGCAGGGGTGGAGGCCAGAAGCAGGGATGCTGGGGGTTGGGGGAGGCAGCCTGAGGGCCTTTCCTGGGGTTGGAAGACCCCCACCTCATCCCCATTCTTGTCCTTGCCCAGGGCCTGGCCAAGAGGCCCCAGAGCCAGACCACAAATACATCCATCAATAATCAATCAATGAGTCTCAAATAGAGACGGTGAGAACTAGGCCATTCTGGGAGAGGCGGGGTGGCTCCTGCCTATTCTAAAGTCTGCAAAACAGGGTAGCAGTTAAGAACATGGGCTTTGGAGTCAGGAGGAACTGAGTTCTAATCCTGACTCTTTCTCTTTCCAGCCGTGTGACCGATGGCAGGTCACTTTGCCTTCCGGGGCCTCAGTGTTCTCACCTATACAATGGGGATGAGCAAATAGGACCTACCTCCCAGGACACCTGGGAGGATGAAATGAGATCACGTGTGTGAAGCTCTTAGCATGGCGTGGGGGACACAGCAAGTGCAGGGGACGCAGCAACAGTGTGGCGGCTGCTACATCACGGAGGCTGTAAGGCCAGACTCCTTGTCCCCAGTGCCCAGCTAGGTCCCTTGCCCCCCCGGCTCTGTTGTCTTTAGTGGCTCTTCCTCCTCACTCACTCCTCTGTGCAGTCACACAGCCCAACCCAGCTGCTGCACTCACCTGCTGCATGACCCTGGGCAAGGTGCTTACTTTCCTTACGTCTGCATTTCCTGATTTAGAAAACAGGGTAAAGCTGCCCTGCCTGCATGCTTCCAAGGCTCTGGCACACACACAAGGATGTAGCCCAGCCCTTCCTCCAAGGAGTTCCATGACAGGAAAGACAGAAGGGGAAAGAAATACTTGCAAATTCGGTGTGAGCTATGACAGAGGTGCACGGACATTCAGCAGGAGGCAGGCAATGGCATCACGGGCTCAGAGTACAGTGAGGGTGAAAGAAGATGATTCCACACATAATAGTTGCTCAGTAAACATCTTTTCCCTTCTCCAGCCTTACTCTTTCCATATAGCCTAACTTTTTAGACTCAGCTGCTTTCCACCTCAGAACCCCAATCTCTGTCCTTTCTGCTGAGCCTGCAAAATCTGGAAGGAGGGATAGAAGACGGGCCCCTTGGGGAGCCCCTCCTATCATCACCAACCTTAGTTAACATTTGCTGTTTACTGTTTCCAGGCACTGGGCAGGTGTTCTGCATACATTAAAATCTAATTGAATCCTCACAACAGCTCCACGGAACAGTTGTCAAGGCTGACCCAGAACCTAAGGGAGACAGACCAGAGGGATAAATCCAGGTAGGCTTCCACTGGGGCTGCAGAGACTTAGGGTTTTAAAAAGTGGGTGCTGCCAAAGAGGGGCGGTCCCATCCGAAAAAGCAAATGACTGGCCCTCAGACTCCTGGCAAGACCCCAGGAGGCCTGTGGTGCTCAGGTTTATTCACTTCATTCACTACTTTAAGGAAGCTTCATTGATCTTGTGCCCTGTAGTGGGGAGTTCAGTAAGCCCAGCCCCATCTCATCTCAGCAGCTCCTCTCCACCGGAGTTCAGCCACCCCAGGCGCTCTGCGAGACAGATACACTGGTGGGAGCCTGGGTGGAGGGTAGGGGTTTGTCCTGCCTACAGAACGTGTCTGGGACTTAAAGCAGGCTCAGAGGAATCTCCGGGATCTTTCAATGCAGCTCCATGCTCCCAGTGAGTGTGTGGTGTGGGGTGGGCATGGGGCAGTGAGGAGCGAAGGGGTGTGGAGGGAGGGGGACCAGCCTTGCTCAAGGTCACAGGGGTTCTTAGTAATAGAACCCAGACCACTGGGCACCAGGGTTTTCCAGAACAGGATTCCTAGTGGGTGTGGTGTGGCTGGGGAAAGGGAGGGCTGTGATTGCTGCCATATGGGGGTAGGGGGAGAGCTGTCAGAAACAGCATTTGGGGGAACAATCAGGGTGGAAACAGTATCCAGAAGGTCAGGGTGCCAAAATTTTGTAGGCAGCACAGGGTAAATTAAACAGGTTTTGAAGCAAACACACATATCTTACTGCCCCGCCCCTTCTCAGGCTGTGCGACCACCGGCAAGTTACTTCACCTCTCTGGGCGTCAGTCTGCTGAATGTAAAGTGCTTAGTTCTCAGAAAGGCTAAGACAAATATCCATTTTCTTCTTTTTCCTTTCGCTACTTGCCCCCTCCCTGGGAGCTTCACCCTCACTGTAGTTCCTGGTGGACTCATTCATTCATTCGACAGGGAACCGATTTAGTACCAGGTACTGTTCTAAGCACTGGAGATAAGGAGTGAACAGACAAAAACATCTACCCTCAGGGGGTTTACACTCTAGTGGAGGGAGACAGACAGCAAATTACATCAGTTATTTAAGTGTCTAAGTGCTTGTATAAGTGCTATACAGAATGAAGAGGAAAGGAGACATAGAGGGTGTTGTGGGAATGGGTTCAATTTTAAAGAGAGTAGTCAAGGAGGGCGTCATTGAGAAGGTGACATTTGAGCAAAGACCTGACTGAGGCAAACTCTGCTGATTTTTGGGGAAGGAACTCCTGGGCAGAGGGAACAGCCAGCACAAAGGCCCTGAGGAAGGATTGGCCTGGCCAGTTCAGGGAGAGGCGAGGAAGCCAGAGAGACCAGTGGAAGGAGGGAGGCCGGCATGGTAGGAGGTAAGGTCACGGGGAGGAGGCCAAGGGAGCCAGATGGGGCAGTGCTCACAGACCATTGCAAGGGCTTTGACTCTGAAGGAAGCTGAGAGCCAGGCAGGGTTTGAGCAGGGCAGGGACACGGTATGACTTAGAACGAGGTTCCTCTGGCTACTGGTCAAGAGCAGGCTGTGGGGCAACAAGGGTGGAAGCCCATTTGGAGGCTACTGCAGTCACCCAGGTGAGAGGCAGTGGTGGAGAGCAGTGGTCAGATTCCGGATGAATTTTGCAGGGAGAGCTACCCAGGTTAGCTGATGGATTGGCTGTGGGGTTGAGTGAGAAAGAAAGGAGTCAAGGGCGACGAGGCTCGGAGAGGTTAGGGTGGGCTGCTTCTGAGTGTGCTGTGAGCCAGTGCCTTTCTCTTGTACAGAACATGTCCAGACTGCTGTCTCCAATAGCCTATACCCTCCAGTTCCCTTCTCTCCTGCTCCGTGGAGCTCTGTGGCAGCCATTTCTACTACAGTGTGGGCCTTGCATGGGAGCTGTTAGGGAGGCATGTGCACACACACGCACACTCACATGTGTGTGTGTTCATGGGCTGCCTCCAAGAGCTTCGATCCTGTTTTATGTGATGGCATGCAGGCCTCCCTCCTCTGTTTTATGTGATTGCATGCAGGCCTCCCTCCTCTGATGAAGAATTGCTAAGGAGGCCAGGTGTTGTGGCTCACGCCTGTAATCCCAGCACTTTGGGAGGCTGAGGCGGGTGGATCACTTGAGGTTAGGAGTTCGAGACCAGCCTGGCCAACATGGCGAAACCCCGTCTCTACTAAAAATACAAAAATTAGCCGGGCATAGTGCTGCGCGCCTGTAGTCCCAGCTACTTGGGAGGCTGAGGCAGGAGAATCACTTGAACCTGGGAGGTGGAGCTTGCAGTGAGCCGAGATCACACCACTGTACTCCAGCCTGGATGACAGAGCAAAACTCTGTCTCAAAAATAAAAAAAGAAAGAAAGAAAGAAAGAGAAGAAACGTTAAGAAGCTGAAGCCCTTCCATATGTCTGAGCCTTGGTGTATTCATCTGAGAAATGGGAGTGAGGATTGTGGAAGAACCCTGGGTTGGGCTGAGGGCTGGGCAGGTAGGAGCTAGAATGCCTGGATGTTGTTGCCATGAAGCTAGGAGAGGGCTGGAGGTTCAAGAAGGTTTCTAGATACCTGGGTTGGGGGAGGGGGTGCAGAGGGAGTGGGGTCAAGGTATGAGGCATGAGTCAAGGGTGTGGGGTTGGAGGGTGGGGTGTGAGAGGTGGGCCCTGGGAAGAGCTGAGGGACCAGTCTGGGAGGGGTGAGGTGCTTGGTAAGTACTTGGTAGAGGGCGCAGCAGGTACTCTGGCGAGATGCTGGGTACTGCAGCATATATGCAGCGTGCATGATGAGCTCTAGGTGTTCGGGGCTCTCTGGTGAACGCGCATCACCTTGTTTACCTCCTTTCATACTCCTGTCCACTTCGCCAGCTCCACACTGCCCCCTGGCAGTGCCTTGTGTGCACCAGAAGTGAGTTCTCCCTGGGGCCTTGGCATTCCGTTCCCTCTGCCAGGATTGCTTATCCTGGATGTCCACGTGCTCTTTTGCCTTCTCCATGGCTTTGCTCACAGGTCCTCCCCAGCCAGGCCTTCCCTGACCCTATCCAATCTGCAGCCCCACCCAGCGCTCCCTCTTCCCTTCTCTGACTTCATTTCTTTCCATAGTGTGTGTCACCGTCTTTCATCTATTTCACTGATTTTGCTTATTATCTCCTTCCTCTAGAAGCTAAGCTCCATGTGGGTAGGGACTTCTGGTTTTTTTGTTTGTTTGTTTTGTATTGTTTTTGAGACACAGTGATGCTCTGTTGCGCAGGCTGGAGTGCAGTGGCACGATCTCAGCTCACTGCAACCTCCGCCTCCGGGGTTCAAGTGATTCTTATGCCTCAGCCTCCTGAGTAGTTGGGGTTACAGGTGTACAACACCATGCCCAGCTAGTTTTTTGTATTTTTAGTAGAGACTGGGTTTCACCATGTCGGCCAGACTGGTCTTTAACTCCTGACCTCAAGTGATCTGCCCACCTTGGCCTCCCAAAGTGCTGGGATTACAGGAGTGAGCCACCACACCTGGCCTGTTGGTTTTTAACGGTGGTGAAATGTACATACAGTACTTACTATTTCAATCATTTGTAAGTGTACAATTCAGTGGCATTAAATGCATTCTCACTGTTGTGGAAGCATCCCTGTCTATACCCTATACTTTTTCATCATCTCCAAAATAAACTTTGAGCCCATTAAACAATAACTTCCCCATCCCTCCCCCCCCCAGCTCCTGGTAACCTCTATTCTATTTTCTGTCTCTGAATTTGCCTATTCTGGGTACCTTATATAAGTGGAATCCTACAATATTTGTCCTTCTGTGTTTGGCTAACTGTACTTAGCATAATATTTTCAAGTTCGATCTATGTTGTACTATATATCAAAATTCCATTTCTTTTTATGGCTGAATAATATTCCATCACCTGTACACACAATGTTTTGGTTACAACTGCGTGCTCTGTGCCTGGCATAGTGCCTGACTCATGGTCAGTGCTCAGTAAATATTTGTTGAATGACTGAGTGAATGAATGAATGACTGAGTGAGTGAATGAATGAATGAGTGAATGAATGAATGAATGAATGAGTGGAAGGGGTGATGAGTCTTTATGGTTTTGTTTTTGTTTTAGAACCATCGTGTTTGAGATCCTAGAGAAGTGTTTGCATAGAGATGACAATAAGTGCCCCTGGGTGTTGAGGAGAAAGGAGGATGAGGGGTAAATGGTGTGTGAGCAAGGGTATGAAGAGGGGGTACAGCTGGTCTCCCGAAAGGGGTTCCTTCCTGCCCTGGGCAGAGCACCTCCACCCTCCCTTCCTCACTCCAGAGGAGCCTGGGGCGGGAAGTCTTCTGCAGGAATCCAGTCTCAGACTCCCTGCCCCTGGCCTGCTTTGGCTTCTCCTCTCCCTTTGGGGTGCCTGGAGTGTATGTGGGGTGCTCAGAGCATATGTGGGGTGCTCTGTGCCTCGGGAGGGGGCCCCAGGTCTGGCAGGCTGGAGATGATGTCCCTGCTGGGCAGCTGTCCTCAACCTGAGATTGCCGAGGGTCTGAACTCACCCATGAGAGGGTCCAGATGTCCAGCCTCATCCCTGCTAATTAGTGCAATTAATTAGCAACTGGCTTCATGGCCCTGGGAGTCCTGAGCTCCTTTCGCACGCTGGAATAGTACTGCAAACAGGTGTCGGGGGAATTATGGGGGTCAGTGAAGGAGATAGACTGTAGGCTGACCCTTCCCTGGACAGAGAGCCCCCTGCCCAAGAGTGATTGTAGTGGCTTTTCTCTCTTCTGTCTGGCTGGGCCCAGGAAAGCCATGCCTGGGAAGTGGTGGAATAAAGGGAGGAGGCCCAAGTCCCACAGCCAGAGCTGCAGAAGGAGTAGGAAACACGGTGTCACCTATTCCGGGTTTTTGCAGGAAACCTGGGCTCTGCCAGAAGATTCCCTGACCCCTGCAGGAGATACAGCCCCTGTCCTGGGAGATGTCCCCAGTTTGATTTTGCAGATACAATCACTGCCCTAGGGGAGCTCCTGGTCAGATTGGGGAATTAAGTAGAAGACACAAATTTGAGGCTGGGCGCAGCAGCTTACACCTGTAATCCCAGCACTTTGGGAGGCCAAGGCGAGTGGATCACTTGAGGTCAGGAGTTTGAGACCAGCCTGGCCAACGTGGTGAAATCTGTCTCCACTAAAAATACAAAAACAATTAGCTGCGTGTGGTGGTGCACACCTGTAACCCCAGCTACTCAGAGGCTGAGGCAGGAGAATTGTTTGAACCCGGAAGGCAGAGGTTGCAGTGAGCCAAGGTCATGCCACTGCACTGCAGCCTGGGTGACAGAGTGACTCTGTCTCATGAGAAAAAAAAAAAAAGGGACACAAATTTGAGAAAACAGTCCCTGGGCTCTTTGAGTAACACAGAGATAAGTGCCAAAGGAGGAGGTCCAGAGAAGGGAGGGTGGGTCCTAGGGGGAGGAGCTGTCCTGCTGACCTTGAAGGAATAGAGGGCAGATCTCAGCGGGATGCCCTTGAACTTCCCGGAAACAGTGAGCCGCAGCACTGAGTTGGGACTCATTTGAGGGAGAGGGTGGCCAAGACACAGTACAGACCAGGCCCGCAAGAGCCTTCAGACTTCAAGCTGGAGACCGTGGGCACCGCACCCACTCAAGGTTGGGGAGAAAAACCGCCATTGACCTCCATGAATAGGGGCTGGAGGGGTGCGGGCCCAGCTTGGGGGATAGAATCAGAGAAGCAGCAAGCTCCCACCACTTAGGGAAGATGTTCCTGGTGAACGTCATTGCTACCAACTGGCCATGAGCAAGAGAAAGAGGGTGGCTGGGGAGAATCACAGTCTGGAGGGAGGTGTTTGGGATGAAGGGATAAGTATTTTCCATTTTGCTTTAGCTTTTTTAAAGGTCCCAGAGGGGCATTTACATAGAGATGACAAGCTATCAGGAGGGGGTCTGGGGCTGAGGAAGACGGTCAGGCCAGAGGTTAAAGATTCAAGGCAGCCTCAACACCTTTACCTGGCACTAATGAGATGTTAATAAAGATGTCCCTATTCTTCTATGTGTGGTCTATGGAACAGCAGCATCAACACCACTTGAGAGTTTGTCAGAAATGTAGAATCTTGGGTCCCATCCTGAACTGACTGCTACGGTTTCAATGTCTATGTCCCCTCCAGAATTCATGTTGAAACTGAATCCCCAATGCAACAGGATTAGGAGGTGGGGCCTGTAGGAGATGATTAAGTCACGAGGCCTCCACCCTCATGAATAGATTAGCACCCTTATAAAAGGGCTTGAAGGAACTAACTAGGCCCTTTTTGCCCCTCTTTTTTTCTGCCATGTGAGGACACAGTAGCAATGTGCTGTGCTGGAATCAGAGAGCAGCCCTCTCAGACACAGAATTTGCCGGTGCCTTGATCTTGGACTTCCCAGCCTCTAGAACTGCAAGAAACAAATTTCTATTATTTATATATTACCCAGTCTGTGATATTTTCATTATAGCAGCACAAGTGGACTAAGACACGGACTAATCAGATTCTGCATCTTAACAGGATCCTCCAGTGATTCGTGTGCACATTGAAGTTCAACAGGCTCTGCTCCAGATGCTATCATTATTCTCCTAATTTTATGGTTGAGGAAGCTGAGGCTCTGATGGTGAAGAAGATGGCGAGGCATTGGCTGGAGGGGAGAGTTCAGGTACTTAAAGTACCTGGGTTTAAAGTTCAAGGGGCATAAGTTTCCCAGTGGGGAGCAGGGAACATATGTTGCACAGTGCTGTGCTAGTAAATGTTTAACAATTGATTTGAGGAATGGGGGGGAGTCCTGATTTGAAGTGTTTGCCAATTTCCATGGTGTAACTACTCCCACCATGGTGAATTTCAAATTACTAACCTGGTGTCACTGAACATGGCCTTGGAAAGAGACAACCATGATTGGCTCCAACACACCACTGATCTATATGTGTACATGTATTTTCTTAGCTTCAGAGAAAAATCCAAAGAAACAGATCCAACCCCTCCCCCACCAGCTTTAACCTCTGTTCACTCCCACCACACCCCTAAATATGGACAGACAGACAGACTGGCAGACAGATGGATGCTGCTGTGCTAGTACCTCTGCATGTGATTAGCCTACGGTGTTGCATGTGTCTGTCCCCTTTCTTGGGGATAGGATCAGTGACATGTTGGCCTCTGCCCCGTATCCTAACTAAATGTCACCTTCAGCCAGACTGTTCCAGCAGGTTTTCCTCAGAGAGTGAGCGCTGGGAGCTTGGAGCCCAGGCCTGGGTAGATATCAGTGGTCAGACATGCCTAGTTTACTCTTTTCACCTGGAAACTTGATTTCTCCTAAGCCTGAGACCACTGTGTGGGTGGGGCCCGAGTAAGCAGCCTGGCGCCATGACCCGCCCCAGCTGTAGCCTGTTCTTCCCATATTACCCAGAGCCTTCCGGGTCTGGGCTGCTGCCCCCCGTCTTTCTTTTGGAAAGTTGAGGACCATGGGACGCCTGCGCAGAGCTCAAAGCTCTAGCTTCTAGTCTTCCGTTGCTGCTTATTCATGGGTGGTCCTGGGAACCCATTTATGACATTTACACACTTGTTTAGGGTGCTTTTGCATTCATGAAACGCTTGGATGTACATTGTCTCATTTCATCCTGATAAGAATCCTGCAGGGCAAGTGCTATTATACTTTATTTTTTCTTTTTAAATTCATTAGAATATTGAACTTTTTTAGTCAGCAGAGGAAGCAGGGCCTTCGTGGCATTAAGAGAATTGTGTGACGTCACCAGGCTGGGAAGGGCTGGGCTGCACTGCAGCTGAGGTTCAGTTTACCCACCAGTAAGCGAGATGAGCAGACTCAGTTCTCTTTAAAGTCTCTTCCAGCTCTGACATTCTGGACATTGGAAAGGTCAGGGGAAAAAATGCCAGGAGCTCTTTTATTTTTTTAAACAGGGACATTCCGCAGAGTGGACTGGGTGTCTGCGAGTGCATGGATATGTGTGTGCATGTGTGTGGATGGGTAGACATGAGTGTGTGAGAATGCGGCTGTATTGAGGGTACATGAATGTGGATGTGTGTGTAGGCGCCAAGGTGTGCCTCTGGGTGTTGGTATTGTGTGTACAGGTGTGGTTGCATCTGTGTGTGCAAGGTGTGTAGGTGCATAGGTGTTGCTGTGGGTGCAGGGTGCTGTATGACAGTGAGTGTGCCAGTGTGTGACGGAGTGTGTGTGGATATGTGAATAGGTGTGTATATGTGAGTACCAGTGTGCAACAGAGTGTGAGTGTGGATGTGTGAATAGGTGTGTATAGTGACTGTGCTGGTGTGTGATGGAGTGTGAGTGGATGTGTGAATAGGTGTGTATGGTGACTGTGCTGGTGTGTGATGGAGTATGAGTGTGGATAATAGGTTATGGTATAGTGAGTGTGCCCAGTGTGTGACGGAGTGTGAGTGTGGATGTGTGAGTAGGTGTGTATAGTGAGTGTGCTGGTGTGTGACAAAGTGTGGATGTGTGAATAGGTGTGTGTAGTGAGTGTGCTGGTGTGTGGAGTGTGAGTGTGGATGTGTGAGTAGGTGTGTATAGTGAGTGTGCCAGTGTGTGACGGAGTGTGAGTATGGATGTGTGAATAGATGTGTATAGCGAGTGAGTGTATATTGGGAGAGAGAAAACGTGGCGCAGCACCAATTGACGTCTGTCTGTCCCTCCACCTCTCCCAGCACCCTCGTCCCCTCCTCCCCACCCTGTGGTCCCTTCGTCCTGATCCTCAAAGGCTCTGTGGGGGTTCTGCGGCTGAACGCCTGCCTGCCTCCTCCCCTTCCCCCACTGAGGGCCAGGACACACTCCCGGCCGGAGCGGGTGGCCACAGTCCCTTTCCCCTGGGCCAGTGCCTGCGACGGGTGCTGGATTAGCCGAGGAGTGATACAATGGCACATACGGTCCTGAGTGCCGGGTGCGGCCCAGGGCCCCTTACTCAGTGCCATCGGGATTAGAGCTAATGAGTTGGAAGGAGTTAACAATGCTTCGGGCCAGCGGAGGCCCAGGAGACCTCTCAGGCCCCGCGCTGTGGCCGCCTTTCACCACTGAGGTGTAATCCGCTTTGAAATCAAAGGTGGTACAAAGTATGAATTTAAATTTGACATTTACGGCTCCGGTGAGATGACGTATTCTGGAAAGGTCTCTTCTTCTTTAAGGGGGCTGGGGGTGGGGGAGAAGGCAGGGGGAGGGGAGGAGAGTGAAGCCATCTGCTCTGAGAGGAAGGCCCAGGCTTGTCCAGGCCTGGCCAACTTTCCCCCCATGGCTTGGGCTGGGGGAAAGGGGTGGGGTGGGAGTTTTGGGGGCAGATGAGAAGAAGGAGGGGGTGGCATCATTCATCCTCCCAGCCTCAATTTAGAGGGTCCCCCTAGTATAGGGCTCCCTGATCCCTAGGAAGGAGTCCCTAAGAAGACAAAGCCGAATTCTTGTCAAAAAGATCTTTAGCCCCATTTTTTTTTCCTGTTGGATTTTTAAAGTTTTTTTAAACATTGTGGTAAAACATATATCACTTATACCATTTTAACGATTTTTAAGGGTACAATTCAGTGGCATTAATTACATTTCACAGTGTTGTACAACCATGACCACTCTGTTTCTAAAACTTTTCACCACCCCAGACAGAAACCTATTAAGCAATAACTTTCTATTCTCTTCTTCCCACAGCCCCTGGTAATGTCTACTTTCTGTCTCTATGAATTTGCCTTTTCTAGATATTTCCTGTAAGTGGAATTATACAATATGTGTCCTTTTGTGCCTGGCTTATTTCACTTAGCATTGTGTCCTCAAGGTTTATCCATGTTGTAGCATGTGTCATAACTTAATTCTTCTTAATGCTGCGTAGAATTCCGTCCTATGTCTGTGTCACATTTTGTGTTTCACATTTTGTGTTTCCATTCACTGGTTGATGGACACTTCAGTTTGGCCATCGTGAATAATGCTGCAATGAACATGGGTGTACAAGTATTGGTTTGAGTCCCTGTTTTCAGTTCCTTTGGCTCTATACCTAGGAATAGACTTGCTATCATATGGTAATTTTAGGTTTCATTTTCTGAGGAATCTCCAAACTGTTTTCCACAGTGGCTGCACCGTGTTACAGTCCCACCAGCAATACATAAGGGTTCCAATAGTGCCACATCCTCTCCAATGCTTATTTCCTGTGTGTTTCTGTTTTAATTATAGCCATCCCAGTATGATGGAGTGATAGCTTCCTGTGGTTTGTTTGTTTTGAGACAGAGTCTCTATCGCCCAGGCTGGAGTGCAGTGGCAAGATCCTGGCTCAAGGCAACCTCTGCCTCCTGGGTTCAAGCGATTCTCCTGCCTCAGCCTCCCGAGTAGCTGGGATCACATGCCTGTTTGCTAATTTTTGTGTTTTTAGTAGAGATGGGGTTTTGCCATGTTGGCCAGGCTGGTCTCCAACTCCTGATCTCAAGTGGTCTGCCTGCCTCGGCCTCCCAAAGTGCTGGGATTGTAGGCATGAACCATCGTGCCTGGCCCACCTTCCTGTGGTTTTGATTTGCATTTGCCTGTGCTTAGGGAGGCGGAGCTTCGTTTCCTGTGCTTGTTTGCCAAGTATGCCTCTTCTTTGGAACCTGGCCCCATTTGATACACCCAGAAGCTGAGGCTCTCACTCCCCAGCGTGCTGTGGTATCCTGCGTCCTTCTCCATTTGGCCCCAGCCCCTCTAGGCTTTTATCCTGCCCCGCCCCCACCCTCACACTCCCAGCAGCCTCTGCGACTCCCACATTTCCCAGACATCTCCTGGACTCTGCTGACTGTGGACTGGGTGGAAGAAGGGGAGGCATCTGCTATGTGTGGGGCACCAGGACTCCCTCAGCCCACCTCGCTGAGTCCCTTTCCTCACATCCCGCCACGATTTCTCCTACTCACTCTTCCAGGCCAGACAGCAGCCACTCTGGGCTCCCCGAGAACCATTCCATGTCCCAGCATTGAGCTCCTCATAGTGGATGGTAACTGTGAGCTCCATTGTCAGGGTCTTTTCCAAGAGCAGGAGCTGTGTTCACTCCCTTCCCAGGGGCCCTCAGCAAGGAGCCCTGGGTCAGGCAGGTGCTCCTTGCATTTTCTTTGATCCTCACTCTGCCACATCTCTGACATTGGTTTGGGAGAGGGAGAAGGGATGGGAGAACACTGACCCTTGCTGACATGTATTGGGCACTTACTATGTCCCAGGCCATGCTAAGCCCTTTGCTGGCATTGTCTGTCTCAACTTCACAGTAATTCCACAAAGTAGGCACCTTTGTTATCTTCTTCTTCTTTTTTTTTTTTTTTTTTGAGATGGAGTCTCGTTCTGTCACCCAGATTGGAGTGCAGTGGTGTGATCTCCACTCACTGCAACCTCCACCTCCCAGCTTCAAGCGGTTCTCCTGCCTCAACCTGCCAAGTAGCTGGGATTACAGACACCTGCCATCATGCCTGGCTAATTTTTGTATTTTTGTGGAGATGGGGTTTCACCATGTTGGCCAGGCTGGTCTCGAACTCCTGACCTCAGGTGATTCACTCACCTGAGCCTCCCAAAGTGCTGGGATTACAGGTGTGAACCACCGCGCCTGGCCTGTTATCTCCTTTTTTTGCAGAAAGACTGAACTCACAGGTGGGCCCAAGGGGCCTGTTTTCCAGCCCCACCCTCCCATCTGTTTGTTTTGTTTTGTTTGTTTGTTTGTTTGTTTGTTGAGATGGAGTCTCACTCTGTCGCCCAGGCTGGGGTGCAGTGGTGTGATCTTGGCTCACTGCAACCTCCGCCTCCAAGGTTCAAGCAATTCTCCTGCCTCAGCCTCCCGAGTGGCTGGGATTACAGGTGCGCACCACCATGCCCAGCTAATTTTTGTATTTTTGGTAGAGACGGGTTTCACCATGTTGGCCAGGCTGGTCTGGAACTCCTGATCTCAAGTCATCCGCCTGCCTCAGCCTCCCAAAGTGCTGGGATTATAGGTGTGAGCCACTGTGCCCGGCCCCTGCCCTCCTATCTTTGATGGACACTCTTGGGCCCTCCCAAGCCTTCCCTTCTGGATTTTCATACCATTTCATCCCACATCTTGCCCCCAAGTTGGGTAGGGGTGATGAACAGAAAATAACATCTGCCCCCTTACCCAAGCATAGGCCTTAGGTAGCCCAAGCTCCTCCACAAGAGTGTGTGACTCCTCTATGTGGTAAGGAAAGGGTGAGGGATTCTTCTCCCTCTGCTACAGATGAAGGAATGGAGACTTGGAGACATTAAGCAACTTGTCTAATGTTACACAGACAGCGGGGATGGAGATAGGGCTTAGTCTCAGATCTTCTGCTCTCAAATCCAGAGCTCTTTGCTTTAATCAAGTTGCCTCCTTAGAAGCAGAGCTGGTTTCATCCACCTGTAGCAGGCATTTACAAACACAACCCCAACCTTAGTCAACCTTAGGTTGACTTTCCTCCGCCCCTAAGTTTTCTCACCCCTAAAGTGGGAATCAAGAAACCTACCTCCCCCAGTTGCTATGAGAGGTTATAAGGAATGAGAAGCACCTAGCTCAGTGCCCGGCACATGGAAGGTGCTCCATAAATTACTTTCCCTTCGCTCTTTTAGCACAATCTCTCCCCACTTTTCTTGGGGGTCTGCCATGGTGGGAAATGAGAATTTCTGGTTGGGGAGGTAGTCGACCGCGTTTGAAGTGACAGTGACAGATGGGAGGGTGGCTCTCCCAGGCGCCTGGCCAGCCCCACGGTGCGTGTCCACCAGTCCCCGGACATTCCCTCCCTCTTCCTGGCCCACGATGAGGTGTCATTTGCCGCCTGTCCCTTCTCGTCATCGATTTCTAAGTCGTTAATTAACGGGGCTTGTCAGCTGGGAAGATGAATTCTGTCCTCGGCTCTCGGGGTCTTTTGTTTTGGGATTGTAAATGTTATAGATCTCCCATGATGGAAGGCCATGAGGTCAGGGGGTGCTGGGCTGCCCAGTGGCGGTGGCAGGCAGTGAGAGGAGCTTGTGGGCCTGGCTGGATCTCGCTAGTCTGGGACAGGCCCCCAGGAGCCTTCACAGCAGCCTCTATTGGCTTGGCTCCCTGGGGATGGGGTGGGAGGGAGAGGGGAGTTTTCCTGCCATCTAAAGCTTTCTTCTGTGAGAAGCTGCCCTGTGCCAAATGGTATAGATTCAGCCATGCCCAGGATGGGGACTGGCTGGAGGGGATATAGACTCTACTCAGTTTGATGGGGGAGATAGCATTATCCTCAGGGATTAGCTAGTCTGATGGGGGAGACAGTGTTATCCTTGGGTAATAACCGGTCTGATGAAGGAGTCATAGCTCTGGCTTGGGAGAGCCCTTAGTCTAATAGGGGAGACCGAATTCCTGTTTTAGGAGAACCCATAATCAGATGGGAGAGGTACAAGTCTGCCTTGGGAACCCCTAGTCTGATGGAAAAAAATGAGACCCTGTCCTTGGGCACTTATAGGCATTGAGAAAATAAGATATTTTCAGGCAAAAGTTCACTCATAACTTGACTTAAGTGGATTTGGGTCCTCTATGTCCTGATACCTGAGGCAAACCACTCCCTGAGCCAGCGGGTCCCCTACGCTGAGGGAATCCAGGCCATCCCTCGGCCTCTCATGCAAGATAAGATCTCAGGGAAGGGAAATGATTTCACCATCAGCTGAGCTGAGTTTCAGGAGGGTAAAACTGATGCCTAAGAACAAGGATTGATATAAAAATGAAAAATTGTATACTTGGCTTTTGATGACTTGAACTGCAAATGGGTATGTGTTACGGGAAGAGCTTACAGAACACTGACAAATAGCCATGGAGTGGCCACATACATGAAGGAGAACTGGCTTCTCTATGCAAAGGGAAGCTGGGGGTGGGGAGGGGAGGACATGCTGTCAGTTTTCTGGGTGCTGAGAGCCACTCTGTCCTGCGGCTGAGTAGGGTCTGGCTGCACGTGGACTAGAATCCAGGATAGGCCCTCAGGAAACCTGGTTTGGGCATCAAGATTGCTTCTATCTTGCTGTGCAAACTTGGGGATTTTTTTCCCTGTCTCTGGGTCTCTGTATTGCAAAAGGAGTAGATCAAAGGTGTGGGCCCCCCACCTCCAACTCTCAGAAGCAGCATGGGTGGAGCTCAGGCTTCCATGCCACCAGGGATTTGAGTTTGGTTGTGATCTATTGCTTTGGCCAAGTAGCTCAACCCGTTTGAACTTCATTTCTTTATCTATACATTGGAGATGACAGCAGCACACAGTTTTTAAGGTTGTTGTGATATTGTGGGTAAAGTGCGTACAGCAGGGCCAGGCTCAGTATGTGTGGCTGTCGTTGTTATTATTTAGGAGAACCCACAATCAGATGGCAGAGATACAGCTCTGCCTTGGGAACCCCTCAGTCTGATGGAAAAAGACAGACCCTATCCTAGGGAGTTTGGACATTGAGAGAATAAGATATTTGCAGGCAAAAATCCATGCATAACTTGGCTGAAGTACATTTGGATCCTCTGTGTCCTGGTACTGATGACATTACTAGTAAACAAGGGCCTTAGAGAACCCTTGGCTCACAGGGACCAGCAGGCCCAGTGTGCTGCCCCGAGCCCTGTGGCTGGAGGAACTGCTTTCAGCTCACTGAACGTTTACAGGAACTTCAGGTCTTGTCCCCCCAACCTCGGTCATTTTATCACCCAGTCCTGTTTCTGATCCCTGGGACCCTGATCTAGGGAGTAACCTTGATGCCTACCTGCTGCTGGAGGTGGGCAGAAGAGATGTGCCCCCAGCCCGGACCTCTCAGAAGCGGCCTGGCTCCCAGGTTCCTGCCGGAGCTGGAGAAAACCTAGCCTGGTTTGGGCAATGGTTCCTGGGGAGGGGGGTGGCCTCAGCCTTGGGGTAAGTCTGGGAGGGAACAAGGAGGCAGAGGCAAAGTCTTGCTGCTGCTGGTGGTAGGAGGCCTTCCAGGAGCCTATGCTTTCAGGCTGAGGTGGGGAGGGGGCCTTTGCTGTGGGACAGCCCCAGGAGGGACAGGGACACTGTGTCAGCCACCACCCACCCCCTCTGCCTTATGAATGAATGGGTCTAGGATAGCAGGCCCCATTCTTGGCCTCCTCCAGAAGTGGGGAGTAGGAGAGGGGAAGCCTAACATGACTCGAATGCAGGGTGCTGCTTGTGGAGCCAGAAAATGCGTGCCAGCCCTGGATGTGAAGTCAAGTCCAGGGGCACAGGTGTGGAGAGGTGCCCCCTTAGGTTCCTCCTAAACCCTTAGGTGCCACCTGACCCAAGCCCCCATTTTACAGATGAAGGAACTGACACCTGGAAAGGGCCAGACATTTACCCAGAGCCGGGACCAGAATCCAGACTTCTGGGCTCGTAGCCCAGGGCTCTTTCCCCATCACCACGTGGTGGAATAAGGCCAGGACTCCACAGCCTCCTTTCTGTGCAATCTGGGTCCCCATGGCCATTTTGGTCATCCCCCAATGTCCCATTGGACAAAACTGGAGGTTAAGGCGAGTGGCTGTGGAATGAGCCGCTGTGGGAGGTGCAGCTTCCTGGCTTCCCCTTCCGGAGGTCTCAGGGTTCAGGGAAGCCACGGTGTGGTGGGCAGGGTGATGGGGACTGTAGCAGAGGATGCCCGCTGGGAGGCAGAAGAGCCCTGCCTGGGGGCAGGGGATGAGGGGTGTTGGTGAACGTCTGGGGTCCCCGCCCCAGGCCTGGGGTGAGACGACTCCTCCGTGCGGGCTGCAGGTGCCTGCTTTCCTCCTGCAGAGGTGGCCACCGAGGCTCCTGCTATAAATCATGAGCTAAGGGGCTGGAATCAGGGAGGAGGAGCTGGGCGGGGCGCTGTTGGGGAAATTTACAGTGGTGATTTTCTTCTCCAGACTGGGAGCTGAGGGAGCTGTAGTAACTCTGCCATGGCTCCTTGTCCGTATCACCCATGCCCCCCTCCGGAGGCTCCATTGACCTCACAGGAGCAGGGGTGAGGTTAGCACAGGGAGGATGCAGGAGAGACTTCAGCCAGAAGGTCCCAGACACTGGGATGGTCTGAGTATACAGAAATGGGTGAGTGCTGGAGGCAGCAATGTGCAGAGGCAGGGGTGAATGGGATAGACTATGGGGTACCACTTAGCCATTTAACAAATAGCAGGTGCCTTGCATGTGCCAGCTTTGCCTGTGCCAGGTGCTGCCAAGCATGACAGATGTGAGCCAAACCCTCTGGAGCCCAGGGGCAAGATGGACTTTAATGGAATAAACTGGAAACACATCCTCCCTGGGGATGGTGAGCCTCCTTGCTGATTCCTTATGGCCAGAGGGAATCTGGAGGAATCACTGCCCTCCAGTGTCTGGGCCAGGTCTGAGGCCCGGGAGCTGCCTTCCTGGCCCACGCTGACCTCCATTGAGGTCTTAATTACAGCTGCCTTTCCCATTCCGGCCTCTCATGGTGACATCTTCATACGGCTCTGGGACCATCGAGTTTCCTGATCTCTTCTCCTGGTCTCTTCCAACCCAGTCTCAGGGGTCCCAGCTTTCTCTAAGGTAAAGCCTGGCCCTGTCTGGACATGGAGAAAGCCCTATCCCCCTCTCCTCCCCGACTTCTCAGAATACCCAGGTTTCCAGGGCAAGGGCTCAGGAAAGATGCTACTGGAGCAACAGAGGTGAGGGGAGAAGGAAAAGGGGCAGAGGCACCTCTGTGGCACTCAGAGAATAATTTGAGATGCCGAACAAAGATTCCAGACCCAGAGGTAGCCTGGGGAGGAAGAAAGAGTGCCACAGACATCTGGAGGCCTGATTCGTGGCTTGGCAACCTATCAGCTAGCTGTGTAACCTTGGGCAAGTCACAGAGCCTCAGTTTCTTATCTGTAAAATGGGGTTAAAAACAGCCAACATTGTGGCCAGGTGCCGTGACTCAGGCCTGTAATCCCAGCACTTTGGGAGGCCAAGGCAGGAGGATTACTTGAGCTCAGGAGTTTGAGGCCAGCCTGGGCAACATCGTGAGACCCCTGTCTCTACAAAAAATGTAAAAAAGAATTAGCTGGATCTGGTGGTGCATGCCTATAGTCTCAGCTTCCAGGGAGGCTGAGGTAGGAGGATCACTTGATCCAGGGGTGTGGAGGCTGCAGAGAGCCGAGATTGTGCCATTGCATTCCAGCCTGGGTGACAGAGTGAGACCTTGTCTCTATAAAAAAGATAAAAAAGGCCAGGTGCGGTGGCTCATGCCTGTGATCCCAGCACTTTGGGAGGCCAAGGAAGGCGGATCGCTTAAGGTCAGGAGTTTGAGACCAGCCTGACCAACATGGTGAAACCCCTTCTCTACTGAAAATACAAAAATTTCCCGGTCATGGTAAAGCAAACCTGTAATCCCAGCTACTCTGGAGGCTGGATCGCTTGAACCTGGGAGGCGGAGGTTGCAGCCAGCCAAGATTGTGCCACTGCACTCCAGTCTGGATGACAGAGTGAGACTGTGTCTCAAAAAAGTTAAAAAAAAAATTAGCTGGGCATGATGGCACATGTCTATAGTCCCATCTACTTGGAAGGCTGAGACAGGAGGATCACTTGAGCCCAGGAGTTTGAGGCTGCAGTGAGCTGTGATTGTGCCACTGTACTCCAGCTGGATGACAGAGTGAGACCCTGTCTAAGAAACAAACAAACAAACAAAAAAACTCCCAACATTGCCTTCCATGAGAGTTAAATAGAATAGTTTGTAAATCAAAAGGTATACTTATGCAAGCAAAATAAGGGGACAAGATTAAATAACAATAATTAAACTTTATTAAGCAAGCACCTATTCTGAGCCAGACATCGCCTTACTGAAAGCTCACAGTAACCCAGCAGGCAGACATTGTTAGTCTCACATCTTATAAGCAAAGAAACCTTGGTGCAGAGAAGGTATGCAATTTGCCACTGTCTCACAAGTACTGACAGAGGGGGATGGAGGCTCAAACATCTGTCTTCAAAGCCTTAATCTCACCCAAGTCAAGCGGGTGGACTGGTGGTTGAGGTGTGGCCAAGGAGGGTAAGAACTAGAACTTTTGCCTCTCTTCCCTTCCCCTTCCCCTTCCCCTTCCCCTTCAACCTTCCCCTCCCTTCCCCTCCCTTTCCTTCCTCTTTCTCTCTCTTTCTTTTTTATTTGGCAGGGTCTTGATCTGTCACCCAGGTTGGAGTGCAGTGGCACAATCACAGCTCACTGTAACCTTGAATTCCTGGGCTCAAGTGATCATCTGGCTTCAGCCTCCCAAACTGCTGGGACTACAGGTGTGAGCCACTATGCCTGGCCAGAGCTTTTTTTCAGACATCTTCTATCTACTTTTACTAGGTAATGTTCTCACATAGTACAAAATTCAAAAGGTGCAAATGGGTCAGAGTGGAGAGTACATCTTGCTTCTTTTATTGTATAGCCTTCCAGAGAGAACTTATCTATGCCTAGTAGGCATATATGTGTTTATATATTTATATACATATTTAGATATTTAGATTGGTAGATGATAGATCATTTAAATTTTTTTTTGCAAAAACAGGTCCATACTAGCTGCACTTATTTCTAGGAAGCACTTTCCATCAGCCAGAGGTGAGCTCCCTGTGACAGGAGGCGTTTAGAGAGAGGTTGAGTAACTGCCTGGGGTGTTGCAGAAGGGAACCCACCATTGGAAGGGCTGGTCTGTGCTTCTAGCCGAGTGGTTCCTGAATCCTCTCTGTCGCTATGCTTTGCAGAGATAGAAATGAGGTGTGGGGAGGTAAAAAGGAAGTGACCTGTCCCACAGTGAATCTGCAGAAAAGCCAGTGAAGACCAGGTGGATGAAAATGAGGCTGGGGCCATGCCCATGGGGAGATGTTGGACGATGCTTGAGTGCAAGATGGCAGCAGGCCGGGAGAGGCCCAGAAGAGAACTCACCACGCCGTGGGGGTGAGTAGCGGGAGGGACAGCAGCATGTGCATCCCCCAAAGGCCTCCAGTTTGTTTGTAAAGTCTCAGGCAGGAATCTGCCCTTGTGATCCTGAGGCCTCATGTTTCAGGGCTCAAAGCTGGCCCTGGGGACAGGAGGTGGCAACTGGTGTCTGACCCCCTAAACCTGGTGCCTCCACTGATCAACAGACCAGATAAGGGACAGGTCACCCCCTGACCTTAGGGCCTTGAGGCCCAGGGCGGGGAGTGGGTGGTGGTGCTGCAGTTAGAGGATCCCATTCTCAGGACAGTAAACCCTCGAAAGAACTTCTCACCCACTATTTTCCAAGCTTTAGTCACTTGCATTCTGCTTTCATAATGTTGACCATTTCCAAGTTCCCTTGTATTTTTAAACTTAAAATAAAGTGCATGTATCTTAAATGTACAGTTTCATCAGTTTTCACTTGCGTATTCACCCGTGCAGTCGGCCCCATCACAATACGAAATATTTTCAGCACCCAGAAGCCTCCCTCATAGCCCCTCCCACTCAGTGCCCCCCAAAAGTAACCATAGATTAGTTTTATGTGTTTGAACTTCCGATAAATTGACTCAACCAGAAGGTCCTCTTCTTTGTCATGCTTCCCTCATTCAACATCATATCTGTGAGCTTCACCCATGTTGTTGGGCAAGGCGATAGTTTTTCCTCATTCATGCTGCCTAGTACTCAGTGGTATGAGTACACCACAATGTATTTATCCATTCTCCTGTTGGTAGACATTTGAATTATTTCTGGTTTGAGGCTATTAAAAACAGTGCCACTGTGGACAGTCCTGTTCATGTATTTTGGTGGACACATGACCACATTTCTGTTGGGCACACATTTTGATGAATGGTCCACAATTATAATATCACACAGAATAGTTTCACTGCCTTAAAAATCCCCTGTTCATCCCTCTCCCCACCTCTCCAAACCCCTAGCCGCTACTGATCTTTTTACTATCTCAATAGTTTTGCTTTTTGCAAAATGCCATATAATTGGAATATAGCATGTGGTCTTTTAGACTGGCTTCTTTCACTTAACAATATCATCTTAGTTTGCCTACCATGCCCTACCATGTCCTCTCTACCCTACCCTACATGTCCTCTCATAGCTTGGTAGCTCCTTTCTTTTTAACACCAAATAATATTCCATTGTGTGGACTTACAACAGTTTGTTTATCCATTCACCTATTGAAGGACATCTTGTCTAGCTCCAAGTTTTGGCAATTAAGAATAAAGCTGCTATAAACATTTGTGTGCAGTTTTTTTTGTGAGGACATAAGGTTTCAACTGAGTTGGGTAAATACCTAGGAGTGCAATTACTAGATCATATGGTGAGATTATGTTTCCCTTTGTAAGAAACTACCAAACTGTATTCCAAAGTGGCCATACCATTCCACATTCCCACCAGCAGTGAACAAGAGTTGTTGCTCTCCCTCCTTGCCGGCATTTAGTGTTGTTGGTATTTGGGGTTTTAGACATTCTAATAGCGGTGCGCCATCTCATTGTTGTTTTAATTTGCAGTTCCTTAATGACATGGGGTGTCAAGCATCTTTTCATATGCTTATTTGCCATCTGGATATCTTCTCTGAAGAGGTAACTGTTCAAATCTTTCGCCCACTTTTTAATTGGGTTGTTTGTTTTCTTATTGTTGAGTTTTAAGAGTTCATTGTACATTTTGGAAACAAGCCCTTTATCAGATAAGTGTTTTGCAAGCACTTTCTCCCAGTCTGTGGCTTGTCTGTTCATTCTCTTAAAATATACTGTATTCACGTTAAAATGAAACTTCATATCACAATGGTAATGGGGAAAGCAGAATACTTTGCCATGAAAGAAGGTAACCATAAAAATTTAAAAATAAAGTGCCCAATGTTTCAAGTTCTTCTCCTCTGACAAAAAAAAAAGCCCAGTGTTATTCCATCCTGGCTGAGTCCTGCCACCTGCTTCTGAGCTCTAAGCCTGAGGCTTAATGTCTATTGTTAAAAAAGAACTAACAAGTGGCGAAGAGGTATGCAAGCTGTACCAGCCTCAAACCAAGACCTTCTGCTAATCAAAATCAGAAAGCTTGAAAAATAATTTAAGGAGTAACTTTTTTTCCGTGTAAGCAATCTTATTGAATGCTGGTCAACGTAGCACCTGAAAGAAACTTTGGGAATCACTGATCTAGTCCACTCCCTCGCCCTTGCCTCTACCTCACTGCTAAAATCCTTTGATCTTTCACCCAGTGTGTGTGCACCTCCAGTGACCAGGAAATCACCCCTTTCCAAGACAGCCTGTCTCTCCAGAGGAAGTTCTAGTAGGAAGTTCTTTATTGCATCAAGCCAAGTTTCCCTGCATCCTCCCCTACTTGTCCTACCTCCCCACTTTGGGGAATCCCAGGGTCAAGGCTCATCTGTTTGTTCCAAAGAGTCATTAACCTTTTACAGCCTCAGTTTCTTCATCTAAAAAAATGGGGGATAATAATACCCACTTTCCAGGGAGATCTTTGTGATGAAACGAGATACAGCATGTAAGGTGCTCAGCCCCATGCCTGCTTCCCAGAGGGGTGAGAAAAAAGGAGGCCTTTTGTTGATTCAACTGTGAACTTGCCCACAGGAGGAAGTGGACATGGGTCTGCACCATTTTTTCTGGGTGATGTCTCAGCATTGTTGAGAGGGGCCAAGATTTGAAAGTCTAGGAAGGAACTGGGTCTATGTTCTGATGGACCCCTAGGGATAATCTGATCCAAGCTCTTCATTTCATAGCTTAAGAATCTGGAGGTTAGAGGGGCTGAGAGATGTGTCCAAAGTCACAGAGCAAAAAGCACAAAGGCAGAGCAGAGACCTGTGGGGCAGGCAGTGGTTTCTTAGGGCTGAAAGGAGCACCAGACCTGGAGTCCCGAGCCCTAGCTATGGGCCATGCAGCTATTAATATATAGATACCGTACTATGTGGCCTTGGGCAAGTATTTTTTCCTCTCTAGGCCTCAGTTTCTTCACTTATAAAATGAATCGTTGACCTAAATATGTTTTTTGTTTGTTTTATAGAGACAGAGTCTTGCTATGTTGCCCAGGCTGGTCTTGAACGCCTGGCCTTGAGCATTCCTCCTGCCTCTGCCTCCCAACGTGCTGGGATTACAAGCATGAGTCACTGCACCCAACTGACCTAAATG
This sequence comes from Homo sapiens, assembly GCF_000001405.40. Classification (NCBI taxonomy): domain Eukaryota; kingdom Metazoa; phylum Chordata; class Mammalia; order Primates; family Hominidae; genus Homo; species Homo sapiens. The sequence goes on from NC_000017.11 coordinate 36,774,901, forward strand.
TTTTTGAGGCTGTTTCTGCTTCTGAAATTCTATGATCAAGGAGGTAGTTCTTGAGCTTGAGGAAAGTGTGGGACCAATTCATCCGAAGACAAAGGCATTCCAGGCAGAAGACACAGCACAAGCAAAGGCTGGGAAGTAACTGGATTAGACTGGGCATCTGGGCGATGAGACCCTAGGGCGTTTTAAGCGTACAGAAAAGTACTTAGCATGGTATCTGACTCAATAAATTCTCTTTCCCTGAGTAAAATTTCCCACTTCCACATCTCTACTTCATCCATTAAATGGAGGATAATGTTTGTGGTGGACTTGCTGAACCCAAGTATTGAAGTCATAGCCCAGCACAAGGCTGCCCAGCTAGGAACTAGATTTCCCAGCCCCAGACAGGAACAGACACTTTTCAAAAGAAGACATACACATAGCCAACAAGCATACAAAAAAATACTCAACATCACTAGTCATTAGAGAATTGCAAATCTAAACCACAATGAGATACCATCTCACACCAGTCAGATGGCTATTATTAAAAGTCAAAAAGTAAGAGATGCTGGCAAGGTTGTGGAGAAAAGGAAACAGTTATACACAGCTGGTGGGAATGTAAATTTAGTTCAGCCATTGTGGAAAGCAGTTTAGCGATTTCTCAAAGAAGTTAAAACAGAATTTCCATTCAACCCAGCAATCCCATTATGAAGTATACACCCAAAGGAAAATAAATCATTCTATCACAAAGACACATGCACACATATGTTTATTCTAACACTATTCACAATAGCAAAGACATGGAATCAACCTAAACGACCATCAACATTAGACTGGATAAAGAAAATATAGACCAGGCACAGTGGCTCACCTGTAATACCAGCACTTTGGAGGCCGAGGCGGGCAGATCACTTGAGGTCAAGAGTTCGAGACCAGCCTGACCAACATGACAAAACCCGTCTCTACTAAAAATACAGAAAAATTAGCTGGGTGTGGCAGCGGATGCCTGTAGTTCCAGCTACTCGGGAGGCTGAGGCATGAGAATTGCTTGAGCCCGGGAGGCAGAGGTTGCCGTGAGCCAAGATCACACCACTGCACTCCAGCCTGGTACATATACACCATGGAATACTACTCAGCCATAAAAAAGAAAGAGATCATGTCCTTTGCAGCAACATGGATGGAGCTGGAGGCCATTATCCTAAGTGAACTAACGCAGGAGCAGAAAACCAAATACTGCATGTTCTCACTTGTAAGAGGGAGCTAAACATTGCATAGATATGAACACAAAGAAGGGAACGACAGACACCGGGGCCTGCTGGAGGGTGGAGGTTGGGAAGAGGGAGAGGACTGAAAAACCCTCCATCAGGTACTATGTTTATTACCTGGGGATGAAATAATCTGTACACCACACTCACGTGACATGCAATTTACCTGGATAACAAACCTGCACATGTACTCCTGAACCTAAAAGTCAAAATTACATAAATAAATAAATGTTCCGGCCCCTTTATGGCTCAGGGTGGCCACATGACAAAGTCCTCACCAATGGAATGGGAGCAGAAGTGATGTGTTGCAACTTCCAGGCCTGGCTTTTAAGACACAACTCATGCGCACTTTTGATTCTTTCTGAAGACATGACGTGGGCAGGCCAGTGTGACCGTGTAGACAAGAGCATCACCAAGGGGTAATAGGGGAAACCTCATGGAGGGAGCCAGGCTCTTGTTTGGTTGTGTGGGGTGGAGCAGCCCTCCTACCCACCCTGTTACATGAGAACAAGGAAACCTTTCTGTTCTTTCAGCCAGTGGACGCTTTCTTACAGCAGCTCAGCCTTTTGCCATAACGAACACAATGTCTCTATGTGGGTAGGGGCAGAGGGGAAAATCAAGTGACTCCTCAATGTCGAGTTTTGAGGGTTTCTGAGGGCTAGCTTGCCGTTCCTCTCACAAGAAGCTCTGTCTTTCACCATTCTCCCTGGGTGATGGCTATCAGCCCATTAAAATGCATGGAAGGTCCCTATTTTAAAAAAAGGAAAAGGAAGGAAAGAAGGAAGAGAGGAAGGGAGGGAGAAAGGGAGAAAGGTAAGGGAAGGCAAGCATAAAGCCAAAGAAAGATCCCTAGGGTCACAGAGCTGTAGGAAGTCTTAGCGATGACCTTGTCCACCTCCAACCCTCCCAGTTACCTCCCCCATCCCCCCTTTTTTTGTATTTTTTTTTAGTAGAGATGGGGTTTCACCATGTTGGCCAGGCTGGTCTCGAACTCCTGACCTCAAGTGATCCACCCACCTTGGCCTCCCAAAGTGCTGGGATTGCAACCGTGAGCCGTCGTGCCTGGCCCTCACCCTGCCCTTTTTATAGAAGAGGAAAACAAGTCTCAGAGAGGTATTGTCATAACATAAACAAAATGTTTGGGGGTTGGGGAAACAAGAAGGTGAGGGCGTGTGTGCTGTTGTCCATGGTCCTGAAACTTCTCACACTACAAGTCATTATTTTTCTCTCTCTGGGACCTTGATGATTCCTGTTTGTTCTCTTCCAGGAATTCTGAATCAAGGAAGAGGAGAGGGGGTCGTGGGGCAGAAGAGAGGTCACTGACAGAGAGGGGCACAGGGGCAGAAGCTGTCCAGAGGCATAGCTGTGACAAGTTGTCAGGGAGAAGAAGAGAGACTTTTGTTTTGACATAGTTTTCAAACAATGGTGGTTGCCTGGAAAGAAACCAACCACTCTACAACTATAGCCTAAATACTAAATGACTGAGGAAGAATAAGAAACGTGTGTCTCAAATGATACAAAGCTGTGCATGTGTCAACATGAGCAAACTAATTCAGATGGGCACGTAGAACACAAATGGGAGGGGGGATGGGGTTGACTGTATTTATTCTTTGTTTTTCTTTTCTTGCCTGATGAAATATTTGTAATTTTTACACTGTCAGAAAGCAATCAAAACTGTGATTATGGTTCACAATTTTGACAGCTAGTTTCGTGTACTTTAAGTAGTTCTATTGTGTTTTAGACAATTTGAACAATTTGCTTTTCCCTTGAAAGTTGAGGAAAGACTGCACATGCCTTTAATTCCCACTAAACCTGTGTGGAGAGCAAACCATACAGCTGGCATTTGTTGAACTCTGCTCTAAGCAAGCATGTTGTGCTTAAGAACTCATTTATTCCCCATAACAAACCCAGGTAGATAGGTAGATAGGTGCCATCATAGTAGATGAGGAAATGGCGTGTCAAAGTAGTAGATACCTGGTCCAAGGCAGCCTGGCTCCACATCCTGTATTTTCAGCCCCTGGCTAGTCCAATTCTTGGTATCTTACTGGGCCACAGCAGAACCAGACATAGGCTTCCTGGTTCCCAGGGTAGACCCTTTCCTTCCTACCATCTTCATGCAGTACATCTCAGAACTGGGGTGTGTTTACCAAAGGGGTATGTAGTGCTAAGGAGTTGCACAGATCTGCACAGACTGAGGCACAGGACTGGTCTTAGAGGGAAAACCACAGGGAGGAAAGAGTGGGTTTCTCCTGAGACCTGAGCTCCAGCCCCACTTCATGGCCCAGAGAGCTCCGGCCAGGGAGGAATATCCAATTTCCAGGCATGGTTGAAACCGGAGCTGGGTGCCCCCACCAGCTTGCCTCCTGTGTTCCTCCTCCATGTGTGCTGAAGTGGAATAGGCGGAGGGCACAAGGGGAAGCATTGTTCCTGCCCCCACCTTGTGCAACCCAGCTCTCAGTGGAGCGTGGAGGAATTTGTGTAACTTTCCTGGAGGTTAAGAGCAGGTCAGTGCAGGGCTGCAGCCCAGGCTACTCTCCCAGCAAAGGGAGCCTCGGGCTAAGCCAGGCGGCCCCGTGGGAACAGAAGCACATACCTGCTGTCCATGCCCTGAAACGGGAGGGCAGCCTGAGCTGCTGGGCGTGAAGATGCAGATCCCAAATCCCCCAGCTGCCCTCCTCCAGCACAGGGGCAGATCACAGAAGCCTGAACTGACAAGGAACCTGGAAACAGGCAACCAAATTCCCACATCTGCCAGGTGGGCACACTCAGGCTCAGAGAAGAAAGAGGAGCTTTCATGAATCATGTACCTTCCTGAGTGCCATTCATTCATTCATTCATTCACTCATCATTCATTCATTCATTTAGCAAACACTTGTGGTGGAATGTCAAGGGCAGACACTATCACTATCCTAGAAGGTTCGATGTATTTCTTATTCTGGTTGGCATTCGGGAGAGACAATAGAGACTCAAAGAGGGCATGAGATCTTTCCAAGGTCACACAGCTGGTTTGAGGCAGGTCTGCTAAGTGTCAGCCTAAGCCTCTTTCCCCTGCACCAAACATGCAAGCATGTATATATGGTGTATGGAAAGTCAGACGGAAAAGTGGGTCCTAAGTCATTGGATCAACTCTCTTGTCTCCTGGCAAATGATATGACAGAGTCAATTCCACTCAACAATTGATTTGGTGTCTACTCTGGGCAAAATACTTAATTGATTCTCTTCTTCTGGGAAGATTTCCAGGAACCAACTAGGCTCCTGCATTGGGAAGTTAGTCCTGATCAAATCTTTCCTCCTTTAATTTAAGCCATTTTCCCATTTGTCATACACAGGATGTGAAGATAGCTTGTGTTTCAAGCAAAGTTCTTCATCATCACAGGAAGGCAAAAGGTTGGAATGGACCATGAATGTGGCAGGTGTTTTCACACTCTGGCACCTATAAAGAGTCAGAGCCCAACAGAGATTGGTGGGATGAATGAATGTACACAAAATTCAACATTTAAATGGCACTCCAAAGGTTTACAGAAGATGTTCATGTACACTCTTTCAGTCCACAAAGCAATCCTGGAAGGCAGGCACTTTATCCCCATGTCACAGATGGGAAAACTGAGGCTCAGAAAGCATAAATAGGTTGCTGAGGGTCACAGAGCTCATGGGCAGCCATGTTGAGATCCATACCTAGACCTCCTAACTCCTAGTCCAGCGCTGCTTCTGTGACGCCACATGGCTGAGGTACATGTATGTGGTTCTAGTGGGCAGTATTAATATAATGACAGTGGCAGCTGTGTTTCTCTGGCCTTTCTGCAGGGAGGGAAATGCTCAGCTGGTCTGAAAGCCATTTCTTCCTACCCTTGAGTGGGGGGTGGAAGTAGAGGAGGGACATCTATCTGGCCAGATGTGTTGGGAGGGAGGGTGAGTCCATGGCTTGGGTTAATGATCCTTGCCACCCACATCACTGGGTGGTGGGAACAGGTGGCCAAGACTGAGCTGACCAGTGGGACTAGGCTGAGCTAGGAGGCACCAGCTGCTGTCCAGATAAAGATGACCTTTCTTAGCCACAGCTCCCCCAGGGAGAGAGATATGGAGTATCTCATCCATGGTCTCCACCTTAGTGCAGACCCCTATCAGTGCTCAACCAGACCATTACAACTGCCTCGCAAACTGCCTCTGTACCTAACTTCATCCAGTCCCATGCCAGCTTCACACTGCTGGCAGAGCTGTGTTTATATGGCACAAATGTGTTGGTGTCACTTATCTTCAGAGAAGCCTTCAATCCTCTCCCCGCTGGTACACAGCCTAAACTCCCAAGCAGGCGCTCACTATTTGTCCCCAACCTACCCTCCTAAATCTGACCACAAAACTCCCCTTCAAGCCCCCATACCTCAAAGACGTTTCCCACCTCGACTCCATTGTTCTTGCTGTTGCCTTTGCCTGGGATGGTCAGGTACAGTGACTTGTGCCTGTAATCCCAGCATTTTGAAGGCTGAGGTGGGAGGATCACATGAGGCCAGGAGTTCGAGACCAGCCTGAGAAACAGAGCAAGGCCTTGTCTCTATTTTAAAAAATGAAATATTGCCGCTGGGCATGGTGGCTCACACCTGTAATCCCAGCGCTTTGGGAGGCCAAGGTGGGCAGATCACCTGAGGTCAGGAGTTTGAGACCAGCCTGGCCAACATGGCAAAACCCTGTCTCTACTAATAATATGATAATTAGCTAGGCGTGGTGGCATGCACTTGTAATCCCAGCTACTCAGGAGGCTGAGGCAGGAGAATCACTTGAACCCGGGAGACAGAGATTTCAGTGAGCCGAGATCGTGCCATTGCACTGCAGCCTGGGCAACAAGAGTGAAAATGAAACTCCATCTCAGGGGTCGGGGGAGAAGATTGCCCTTGCCTGGGATGCCTACCTCACACCCTGTTGGTCTCTGACACTGATCCCTCCTTCGTCTCAACTTGCAACTCAGTTTTCCTCTTGTGACATTTGCCCCCTTCTTACCTTGTGTTTCTGTGCCTTTTATCTCCTGCCCTAGACCAGGAGCTCCTTGAGTATCTCATTTAGTTCCCCCTGCCCCCCTGCATGGCACTTACTCATGGAAGGGGCTTAGGAGCATACAGTGGGCATGGGAAGGGGCTGGGAAGAGGGAAGGCAGGAGGGGGCATGCTCTCAGTCCAGGATCCAGAGCCAAGCTGAGCTGAATTCAAATCCTGACTCCACCACTCATTAGCCGTGTGACTTTGGGCAAGTTGCTTTAACATCTGTGCCTCAGTTTCCTCATCTGTCAAATAGGGATAATCATTTGCTTCATGGGACTCTTTGAGGATTAAATGAGGTAACAGATTAAAACATTCAGCGCAAAGTCTGGCACATAGTATGTATTCAATAAATGTTAGATATTATTTATAATTTAGTTACATAAATGGGCTAGATGAGATTTCATTGTCATGAGAATTTCAAATGGAGAGTGAGAACTAACATTTATTTCTTATTTTATTTTTTTGAAACCAGGTCTCACCTGTCACCCAGGCTGAAGTACAGTGGTGCAATCACAGCTCACTGCAGCCTCTAATTCCTGGGCTCAAGCAATCCTCCTGTCTCAGCCTCCCGAGCAGCTGGGACTACAGGCATGTGCCACCATAGCCGGCTAGTTAAAACATTTTTTTTTTTTTTTGTAGAGACAGAGGTCTTGCTATGTTGCCCAGGCTGTTCACAAACTCCTGGCGTCAAGCCATCCACCTGTCTTTGCCTCCCAAAGCACTGAGTTTACAGAAGTGAGCCACCATGCCTGGCTCCATGAAGAACTAACATTTATTGAGCACCCGCTCTGTTCCAGGCAGGGCGCTCAGCATCTCCATGTGCTTCTCCTTATTCAGTCCTCACAAGGATGCCAGGAGGTAGGCATCATTCCCATTTTTCATCTGAAGAATCTGAGGCCCAGGGAGGTTTGCGTGGTGGGCCTTTGGACACAGATGGGAAATGGTGGGACTGAGGGTCAACCCAGATCTGTGTGACTCCATCTCTGTGCTCTCTTTCCATTCAACCTGACCGACTCAGGAATTCAGAGGGAGATCCCTAGGAAGTGGTCCCTAGAAGGAGGCACACCTCCATCTCCTCACAGGCCAGCTCCCCTACCCAGTCCCTCACAAGGCCCAGCTCTCCAGGGAGTAGGGGCGCTGGTGCTGAAGTTGAGGGGGGATTACCGGTGTTGGGGGCCTTTCCCGACTTCCCATGGATCCTCTCCTCTTCCTCTCCTGCAGCAGCTGAGCCAGGGCTGTCTCTTGGGTTCAGTCCGGTTGGCTCCAGGCCAATTCCAGGTGTCACATCAGGCCTTGGCTTTCAGAAGGCTGCAGGGGGTTCCTCCAGGAAGGGCAGTGTGCTTCCTCCAGGGTCCACCATGGAGGTGCCGCTGTGCCACTTGGGAAAGCAGGAGCTCCGGGGAGCCTAACCCACCGATTCTGGGATCCTGGCCTTGGCACCCCTCAGCTGGTCTCAGGCAAGATACTTCAGGGCAAAGGGACTCAGTTTCCCCACATGCAAAAGGGGAATAATCTCTATTCCCCAGCTTGCCATGAGCATTAGTTAAGATTGCGGACTTAAAGCTCCAGGCCTGGTGCTTACTAGATGCTCAGTAAACACTAGTTTCCTGCTTCCTCCACATCCTCCCCCTCTCCCTTGGGACTGTCCTTTGAGGGCCTTCTCTTATGTTTTTCAGGAGATCTGCTTGAAAATGTCCACCTACTCCACCCAGGACAGCAGAAACTACTCGGGGAGGCTGTACTGGGCCCCTTCTTCCAGCTGAGGTCCTGGTCACTTTAGTCTCTCCCTCTAGGTGTGGGGTGGAGGGAGGACTTTGCCCTGCCTCCAGCCCTGGGGCCTTGTTCCTTCTGACTTGATACTATAGCTGCTGGGATCAGAGGTGACTGGGAGACTGGTTTGGTCAAGAAGGAGGGTAAAGAGTAGTGCCTAGCCTGCCTAGACCACTTTCCCATCCCCAGAGGGTGCCATTTAACTCCCGCTGCAGGTGCCATGAGCCCCGGACCCTGCACTGGCTTGGGGAGAGGGTGCACTGGGCCCCAATTTTTCTTATCTCTTGGCCAAATTCCAGGCATTCCCACTGTGAATCCCAGGAACTGAACTTATCCTTGCCTCTCTCGGGTCCAGGGATTAGCATCCCCTCTCCCGACCCCTGATGATACACCTCAGGGAGGCCTGGTCCGGACCTAGTCAGCTGCTTCATCAGCTCTGTGCTCTGGAGCTCCTGTAAGGGTGACATGCTTCTCCATGCTTTACAGATGGATAACCTGAAGCACAGAGACATCAAACAGGCCACACAGCTAGAAGTGCCAGGACCAGAGCCCAAGTTTATCCAGCTCCAAGGCACATGGTCTTTCTCCCATACCCACTTACCTCCCTGCCTCCTAGTCTGAAGCGGAAACACTCAACAAAGAAAGCTCCCTCACCACCTAATTGATGTGGCATTGGAAACAGCCTTGTTCTTCCTCACTTAGAATAGACTCCCTTTGCTCCATTCCAGAGAGGGGAGAAGAAGCAATGAACTGCCTGGGGGAGGCAGTTCTGCAGAAAGAATCTGAAGGCCACTGTGGAAGGAATTGGCCACGGAAGCTGCATGATGACAACAGTGCTGGGCTTGTCCTGACCTGGCCTCACTCCGGCCAATTTTTCCTAATCAACATGGCCCTGGGGAGGGAGCAGCCTGCCTGGAATAGGAATGAAGAAAGACAGATTAGGGGTCACTCTCCTGGCTTTAACTTGCATGGGCTTGCTGGGTTCCTTTAGATCCCTGCATGAACCATTCAATGCAAACCATACATGTCTGTTAGGACTCTTGGTTGCAAGTGACAGAAAACCTTCCTCAGCTTCAGAAAGCGGGGAGGGTTTATTGATTCTCATAATGGAATAGTTCAGGGGTAGGTCTGGCTTCGGGTAAAGTTTGATACAGGGCCCAAATGACATCACCAGAATCCATCTCTCAGCTCAGTTGCTTGTGTTTATCTCTATTCTTCAGCTCTGTGGCTGGCAGAAATAGCTGTGCCACACTAAGATACATACTCGCCTACTCCAGTGGAAAAGAGGGAATTTCCCTTCCCAGAAGCCCCAGCATTTCACTGGCTGTGATTGGTTTATATGCTCTGGAGCTCTCACTATGACTGGAGGTCATGAAGATTGAATAAACTTGGAGGACATGAAGATTGAATAAACCCAGAACCCATCCCTGGGGCTCTGGGTGGTATAATCCCACCAGATCACCTAGGGAATGGAGAAGGAGTAGTTTCCCAAACGGAATTTGGGCTTCAGTTTTTAGTAGAGGGGGCAGTGAGTGCTGGGCGATCAACAACAATATCCCTCCCACCCCAACAAGGAGAGCCCCAGTCCCCATTTAAATAGCCCAGCTCTGGCTCCGACTCACCCTCTCTGCCCCTCTCCTTTCATCTCATCCCATCCTGCTCCTGAACTTGCAGCTTGGGCTCCATCATAGGACAGGGTCCCTAGAAACAGAGTCTGAGACAAGGATTAGGGCACATGTGATTAATCAGGGGTGTGGTCCCAGGAGAAAGGGTATGAAAGAAGCAGAATTAGGCAAGGGCAGAGAGGAGCGAGGATGCAGCCTCAGCCAGATTCAGCCTGATATCACAGGGCACTCTGGAGCATCAGCTGTGCCAGAGAGTTGGTCCCTCCTTGAGGCAAGGGGGCCAGCCTTTTGCACTCTCCTCCCCTCATGTCAATCAGTCATTGGTTATGGGCTTCCCAGGAATGTGTAACCTTTCAGGGTAGGCAGCTTCCATTCAGCCAGTGCAATTCTCCAGAGATGGGGGCAGCTGAGAGCCATTACAGCTAACATGCCCAGCAGCAAGGAGGGTTTGGGCAGAATGTCAGCTACAGGCTCCTTGCCTTGCCCTTCAGATTGAATACTCAGTTCCGTTGTTTCCTTGGCAATGGCCTGACTCCCTCCATGATCCCAGGGCTAAATCACCTTTATATCCCTCTGACTGCTTAGCAATGCCTCTCCAAGCTTGGGGGACCCTAAGGGCCTCCTACCCCTAGCACTGCTCCCAAGGGTACCCCTGCTCCCACAGGGCCCCTAGAGCAGGAGCCAACCAGAGAGAGCTGCCTTGCACCGGGATGGAGCCTGGGGCTGTCTTGGACAATGGCAGAGTCCCTGGCCTCCTGGTTTCCTCTGCCTCACTCCTCCCCAGTTCTGACTTTTGTCTGCTACTTTGGCATTCAGCTTCCTGGGCATCTGCCTCCTTCTGGTGTACATATTGGAGCCTCTTCTCAGAATGGTCAATTCTGTTGGCCTTTCCAGTTCCCCCACCCTGGATTCTTCTCTAGACAGCTGATGCCCTTTGACAAGAATGGTTTAAGTTAAGTCTCTTGCCAGGTGCCAACTGCTTTTGAAGGCTTAGATTCTGTCTTGTTTGAGGGCTTTGCTTATTAGTTTAAGAGTGCCGGGCTGGGCGTGGTAGCTCACGCCTGTAATCCCAGCACTTTGGGAGGCCAAGGCGGGTGGATCATGAGGTCAGGAGTTCAAGACCAGCCTGGGCAACATGGTGAAACACTGTCTCTACTAAAAATGCAAAAATTAGCTGGGTGTGGTGGTGCATGCCTATAGTCCCAGCTACTCAGGAGGCTGAGGCAGGAGAATCGCTTGAACCTGGGAGGTGGAGGTTGCAGTGAGCCAAGATCACGCCACTGCACTCTAGCCTGGGCAACAGAGAAAAATGTCATCTCAAAAAAGAAAAAAAAAAAAAAAAGAGTGCCTCCCCCATACAAACTTATAGGACAAAAAATGTTTCTAAGACATATGAGCAACAAAAGTTAACATTCTAATATACAAAAAGTTTTTATGAATCAACAATAAAATATATGAACACTGCAGCAACAAAATTGGTCAAAGGACATGAACAGGCAATATTACACAAGAAGAAATGGATATGAGAAGGTACTTGACCTCACTAGTAATCAAATAAATTCAAATTAAAGCAGCAATGAGGAATCATTTGTTCACTTTTCCCATTGGCAAATATTTCATGTTACTGAGGATGAGGAGAAATGGCCAGTCTTGTGCTTTGATGGTGGGGCAACAGCAGTGTAAAGAAGTACACTTGGCCGGGCGCGGTGGCTCACGCCTGTAATCCCAGCACTTTGGGAGGCCGAGGCGGGCGGATCACGAGGTCAGGAGATCGAGACCATCCCGGCTAAAACGGTGAAACCCCGTCTCTACTAAAAATACAAAAAATTAGCCGGGCGTAGTGGCGGGTGCCTGTAGTCCCAGCTACTTGGGAGGCTGAGGCAGGAGAATGGCGTGAACCCGGGAGGCGGAGCTTGCAGTGAGCCGAGATCCCGCCACTGCACTCCAGCCTGGGCGACAGAGCGAGACTCCGTCTCAAAAAAAAAAAAAAAAAAAAAAAAAAAAAAAGAAGTACACTTCTGGGCCGGGCACAGTGAATCACACCTGTAATCCCAATACTTTAGGAGGCAGAGGTGGGAGGATCATTTGAGCCCAGGAGTTTGAGACCAGCCTGGGCAACACAGTGAGACCCCATCTCTACAAAACATTTAAAAGTTAACCAGGCATGGTAGTACATGCCTGTAATTCCAGCTACTCAGGAGGCTGTTGTGGGAGGATCACTTTAGCCCAGGAGGCTGAGGCTTCAGTGAGCCATGATTACACCACTGTATTCCAGCCTGAGCAACAGAGTGAGACCCTGTCTCAAAAAGAAAGAAAAGAGAGAGGAGGGGAGGAAGGAACGAAAGAAGGAAGGAAGGAAGGAAAGAAGGAAGGAAGGAAGGGAGGGAGGGAAGAAGGAAGGAAGGAAGGGAGGGAAGAAAGAAAAGAAGGAAAGAAAAAAAGAAGAAAGGAAAGAAAAATAGAAGAAAGAGCAAGAAAGAAGAAAGAAGAAAGAAAGGAAAGAGAAAGAAAGAAGAAAGGAAGGATGGAAGGAAGGAAGAAAGGAAGGAAGGAAAAGAACGAAGGGAAAGCAAAGGAAGGAAAGAAGGACATTTCTGGAAGGCAATGTGGAAACCCTTGGCAAGCCTGGAAAATGTGTATAACCTTAGAATCTACAATTCAACTTCTTGGAATTTATCCTAGGGAAACACTGAAAGATGTGCCCAAGGGTATATGTGCAATGATGTTTATCTCAGTACTATTTATAATAGCAAAAAAATGGAAATGACTTAATAACCCATAAATAGAGAACTGGTTGAATCAATTATGCTTCACTCATATAATGAAATCATATGCAGCCATTAAAAATGATGCCTGGGCCATAGTGGCTCACACCTGTAATCCCAGAGCTTTGGGAAGCTGAAGCAGGAGGATCATTTGAGGCCAGGAGTTCAAGACCAGCTTGGGCAATATGGTGAGACCCTGTATCTGCAAAAAATAAAAATAGAAAAATTAGCCAGGTGTAGTGGTACATGCCTGGAGTCCCAGCTCCTCAGGAGGCTAAGGTGGGAGGATCGTTTGAGCCCAGGAGTTTGAGGCTGCAGTGAGCTATGATTGCACCACTGCACTCCAGCCTGGGCAATAGAGCAAGACCCTGTCTCAAAAAAACAAACAAAAAAGACGTATGTATCCGTTGACATCAACAGAGCCCCATAATCCATTAAATTTTAAAAAGGTTATAAAAGATCATGTAGAGTATGCTTCATTTGTGTTGAATTGTATACCTAAGTGGGTACTCCCAGGAAGGAGTCTGGAAGAGTAGTCTCCAAAATTTCTAGGTGGTAGGAAGTGGATTCTGTGGTTTGTGCCTTCTATAGGTAACCAGTGCCCAGTGACCATCTGGGTGTGCCCCGTGGTCCCAGTTCTCATTCTGATGGAGCCGACTTGCCCTGGGATTGGGATGACTGACTGTGCCCTTGGATACGCTCAAGGGGATGGACCAGGGGACATCAGCATGGATTATTCTAGAGATCCTGAGAAAGACTGTTGCATAGCAAAGCTCTCTAAAACGTACATGGTGTAAAACAATAACCATTTTATAACCAATTCTGTTGTCAGGAATTTGGAGAAGGCACAACTGGAATGCCTTATCTCTGCCCCATGATATCCAGGGCCTCAGCTGGGAAGTTACAACTTCCAGCTACAGATGACTTGACCAGGAATCAGCTGGAGAGCTCTTCAGACCTGGAGTCACTGGAAGGCTGGGCTTAGCTGGAGCTGTCAACTGGAGCACCTACACGCGGGCTGAATGTAGCTTGGACTTCTGACAGCTTGTCATCCGGTTCCCAGGGGTGGCGTCTTTAAGAGGGAAGACTCTGGAGGGTATTTTAAGAGGCCAAAGCAAAAGGGGCAAGGCTTCTGACTTAGCCTCAGAAACCATGTCAGCACCACTTTGCCACATTCTCTTGGTTGCAAATGAGTCACTAAAGCCAGCTCAGATGCAAGAGGAGGGGAATTAGACCCCACCTCTTGATGGGGAAGTTACAAGGTCACATTGCAGAAGAGCATGTAAGATGGAGATAGCATGTGGCCTTCTACAGAAAAGACAATCTGTCATAGACAGTTTTTTTTCCCTGCTGGACCCAAAGCTTCGAGATGTGAGATTTGGAACAGCTGTAGCTGCCCTGGAATCACGAAGGGGAAGCCTGCCTATAAAACCAGCATGGAGGAGAGCCAAGGGATGCCAGAGAGTGAGAGCGAGACAGTGTGAGAGAGAGAGCAGATCCAGAGGGCATCATTTGAGCCTGACCATGCTTCTTTGTCCCAAGAGCCAATAATCCCCTTACACTTCAGCTAGTTTGAGCTGTTTTCTACCACGGGTAGAAGAAATAGTTCTAATCAATACAAGAGGATTTTAAGAGGATTTTACTACCTTTTTATACTTTTTCATTTAAAACTTTTTTTAATTCTTTCTTTTTCTTTCTTTCTTTTTTCTTTCTCTCTTTCTGTCTCTCTTTCTCTCTCTTTCTTTCTTTCTTTCTTTCTTTCTTTCTTTCTTTCAGACAGTCTTACTCTGTTGACCAGGCTTGAGTACAGTGGCATAACCAATTATAGCTCACTGTAGCCTCAAACTCAGGGCTCAGGTGATCCTCCAACCTCAGCCTCCCAAGTAGCTAGGACTACAGGTGCATGCCATCACACCCAGCTAATTTTTATTTTATTTTTTCTAGAGACCAGGGTCTCACTATGTTGTCCAGGCTGGTCTTGAACTCTTGACCTCAAGTGATCCTCTGGCCTCGGCCTCTCAAAGTGCTAGATTACAGGCATGAGCCACTGAACCTGACCTACTTTTCCATATTGCTTGAATTTTCCATTATAAGTATGTTATATTTTCAGTGTTACAAAAAATTTTTTTTGAGACAGAGTCTTGCCCTGTCACTCAGGCTGGAGTGCAGCAGCACAATCTCAGCTCACAGCAGCCTTGACCTCTCAGGCTCAAGCCATCCTTGCACCTCAGCCTCCTGAGTAGCTGGGACCACAGGCATGCACTACCAAGGCTGGCTAATTTTTAAATTTTTTGTTGAGATGGAGTCTCACTATGTTGTCCAGGCTGGTCTTGAATTCCTGGGCTCAAACAATCCTCCCATCTCAACCTCCCAAAAAAGTGTTGAGTGGCATGAGCCACTGGACCTGGCAAACATTTTAATTGAGCAGCTATTTGTGAGTCACAGATGGCAAACACCCTGACTTTAATCACCTCACATTTTGATCGATCTGAAAAGTAAATACTTTGCCTACCATTGTCTTTTGTTAAAGCGCAGCACCTCCTGCTCCCATGCCACCACCCCTCACCACTTCCTAAGTTTTCTCTAAGATTCAAGCACTTTCCAAATATTCCATTCAGTACACAGTTATCTGGTGTGATGGCCTCTGCACAGCATGGCTCCTGGCCTTCAGAGCCCTCAATCTAGGCAGGAGACAGAAGTGAACAGAATCGTTCTGATCAAGGGCTGTAAGTACTAGAACGGAAGAACAGTGTGCTGTGGGAAGAAATGGAGAAAGAAAGGAGAATTCCTACTAAAATGGAGGCGAAGGAGGCATTTCAGGTAGAGGAACTAGCTTGAGCAAAGGCCAGGTAGTAGAGCCACACAGGATGTATGATTTGTGTGGTTAGCATGATGCAAAACAGGTGACTACAGGGTGGCCTTGAATGCTGGTATAAGACGTTTTTGCTTTATCCTAGAGAGAATGAGGAGCCACTGGAGGGATCCAAACAGAGAAGTGTCATGATCTGATGTGAGGTGGGATGGTCAACCTGATGGTGGTGTAGACAGTGGATGGGAGAGACCCAAGGCCAGGTAGGTGGCTACTGCAATAGTCCAAGCAGTCAGTACTGAGTCCTACATAGCCTTGTGCCCTTGTAGTTACTCTGTCTAAGCCTCATCTGGGAGCAGGCATTCTCTGCTGTCTATGCCCAGGGCCTGTGCTTGAGGAGAGAGGTCATTCTGGTCTTCTCCAGAGCCATGCTCTGACCTTGGTCAGCGGCCTTGTCCTGCCAGAGCCCCATTTATTTGGCTTCCCCGCTACACCCAGGTCGTGGTTCTACTTAGGGTGTGTGGGAAGTAGTAGCTGTCTCCCTCCACCCTCATTCAGTCAGCTTGACTGAGGAATCTCCAGATTGGAAGCAAGTCTTCAAATATTAACAGCTAAAAAGAATAAAAACAAGAACAGCCACATGTATGACAAGACAGTATCAACACTTTGCATGGATTATCCCATGTGATACTCTTGGCAACCTTATGAGGTGGATGCCATTGCCGTGTCCATTTCACAGATGAGAAAATGGAGTCTCTGAGTCGTTCATGCAATGGCTGCTCACTCTGGGGCCTCCAATAAGGCATAGCCTAGAGTCCACACCACAGGCTGGATGAGGTCCTTGGTCTCTACAGCCTGGAATGCAGTGGCCCTCTTTCTACTGCTGCTTATTTGTCCAAGCTCAACAAAGGTGTCCCCTCCTCTAGTGATCCCAACCCCCCGCCCCCCGCAAACCCTTGTTGCCACTTCAGGTTTCCCCACTCCCTGCTCTCCTCTGCCCCAGCATGCATCCATCTGGCTGCCCTGCCATGGTTTGCTCATCTGTCCTAGAGGGTGAGCTCCCCAAGGACAAGCAGACAGATCTCACTCTCCCTGTGGTCCCGTGCCAGCACAGAGAGGCTCTCACTGAAGGCATCAGATGTTGAAGTAGAAGGAGGGGGCGCCCTGCTGCCCTCCCTGCTTTGGGGCTTTCCACCTTTCCAGAGGAATGGGCTGCCTCCCCAGCCTCCCTCTGAAACTTGCCCCCACCCCTGTGTGGGAGACTGAGAGGGGCTTTCCCAAGCTGTGTGTCCCCTGCCGTTGAGATCACATCCCCACCTTCTGTCTTTTCTTTTCCAAATAAGCATCCAAATTCAAAGGCTGTGATAAGCTCTAGCTAAAGGCTGGAAACCAGCTCAGGCTCACATACCAGGGTGTCCAACCCATGCCCAACCAGGAAAAAAGAAGGAGATTGAAGGAGAAAAAGGGAGAGAGATGGTCACCAAGCTGAAGGCAGATGAAGAAGTGAGAGAGAGCAAAGTGCCTTCTTGCTGGGAGCCTCCCTTGTGTCTGGAATGATCAGAAATCGGGGAGAAATGGTACAGCCTTCAGCAGACGAAATTGAGCAGTTGTGCTGTGAGGCAGGCTGTGGTACTTAAATGCAATAGCTGATCTAATCACCAGTCTCGTTCTCTGGGAAGCTTTTTGCTGCATTTTAGCACAGAAAAGTGTTGTCTTTCTCTCTTTTGTGGCTCGAGCTGCTATTTAAGAAAGCAAAAAAAAAAAAATCAATATGCCTTCTCAGGCTTTCATTCTTTTTCCCCCAAAAGGTGTTTCTTTGGGGAGGGGGAAAAGGTAGAGGGGGGAGTCGAGGAGCGTTTTTGTCATTCATAAGCCATGGTGACAAATCCTTGACATCATTCGCGGTTCCTATCGATCAGCTCCGTCCGCGGCACCAGAGGACAAATAGAAATCATTTGTCTGTCTTGGCTCCCAAACAACCTGAGACAAAGGGCTCGGCCAGCAATCAGCAGCTGGAGGTATTAGCAGCGGGTCAAGTTCGGAGATCAGAGGTCAAACAGGTTGTCATCAGTTTCTCACAGCTATCAGAGCAAGGGCAGGGGAGGGGCAGAATAAAACCCACCAACAACACAGCTGGTTCTTATTAGCCAAATCCTGCCAACCCTGCCTCCCTGCAAAGAAAGATGGGCCACTGCCCCCCCAGGGACGCCCTGGGATGCAGGATTTCATGGGTTGGCGGCAGGGGTGTGAGAGGCCAAGGAAGAAAAGAAGCAAGATCTGAGCTCTGCCTCTTGCTGTGTGTCCTGAGCACCCTCCCAAGGGAAGCTCTGAGTTATTCTGTCCTGGGCCGTGAAAAAGAGAGAGAAAGAGGAGAGAGAGAGAGACAGAGAGGAGAAAGAGAGAGAGAGAGACAGAGAGGGGAAAGAGAGAGAGAGAGACAGAGAGAGACAGAGAGAGACAGAGACCGGGACCTCAGGTTTCTCTGGGAGTCCTAGCAAGCAAGTTAATCTTGTATAATTGGAAGTGGCTTAAATGGCCTGGGAAACAGGGGATGCAGCCAGGGTACAGTTGAGTCATGTTAAGTCCCTGATTACACATCACCTGTTTTGGTTTCTCCTCCCACCCTCGAGATGAGACCCAATTCTTAGGACAATTAATCTAGACAAAGATATGGAAGGATGAGGGTGGCATATCCAGCCCCCGTGGAGTGACACGTACGGCGGGTGACTGGGGAGTGAGGAGAAGCATGACAAATAGGATGGCATCTGACAGCTCTTTTCACTGAGCACTTGCCATCAAGGCTGTGGGCCTGCTGCAGCCGTTATCTCACTGAAGCATCAATGAGAGCCCTGGGAGGGGCCTGTTGGTTCCATTTCACAGATGGGAAGACTGAGGCCCAGAGAGATTAGATCACCAGTATCATTGAGGCCACAAAGCACATATCTGAAAAGTGGATCCCAGGGAACAAAGAAAGGGGCACCTTTGATGGGATCCACTTTTCACTTTTCAATGAGCACAAGTCCAACTGATGGGAACATATTGAGAGTTCTGGGTCCCTGACTTCGCCAGCTGCTCCTTTGGCACACCCCCAAGCACCCAAGGACTCTATTGCCTTATAAGGATGAAAAGACCCAGAATTGGAACTTGCAGCTCTAAGGAAGTCCCCCGCGAAGGGAGAGTAAGGTAATTCAGGAGGTTTGGAGCTCACCAAGGTGGGAACACTTTGAGCCCACACTGGCCCAGGCTGGAAGGCAGGACTTCACCACACTAATCAGGTGGTAAATCCAGCTCTCAGGAGCCTACTGGCCCTCAGATAAGTTAATAGGAATGATGGCTTCTCTTCAGTGCCACTGGGTCACGGTGAAATGGGAGGGGGCAAGTTTAGTGCATGTCTGAAGACACATGGGTGGCCTGTCACCCAAAGGCCTCTGCTGGAATAGGGGCCCTTCTCAAGTCTAGGGGGCTCCAGGGGACGTAGGACACATTTTAATGAAGATGAGTAGGGAATTCTCTGATGCACCCGTTACTTGTTCCAACTCTCTCTCTCTCTCTCTCCCTCTCTCTCTTTTTTCTAAGAGGTGGGGTCTCACTATTTTGCCCAGGCTGATTTTAAACTCCTGGGCTCAAGTGATCCTCCTACCCTGGCCTCCCAATGTCCTGGGATTACAGGCATGAGCCACCACTCCCGGCCTGTTCCAACTCTCTAAGGAACCTTTAAGATGTGGAAGAAAAAGAAAGATAAAGGCAGTAGTGGAGCTGTGAAGATTGGAGTCTTTGAAGGAAACTTCAATGATGCATGTAGGATAAATATCCTTCTGAAACAGGAGCCCTTAAACAGAACTAAGACCTGTGGCTGTAAAAGGGTAGCCTGAGGATCTACACATCTGCACGTGGGATAAAACTGCATAGAACTCAACACACACACACAAACACATGTGAATGTAAAACTGGTGAAACCTGAATATGGTCAATGGGTAGTACCCGTGTCAATCTCTGGCTTGTGCCACTGTACTATAGCTATGCAAGATGTTTCCACTGGGGAAACTGGATGAAGGGTATATGGGATCTCTCTGTTTTACTTCTTACAACTGCATGTGAATTTACTATGACCTCAAAAGACAAAAGTTAAAAAAAGGAAAAATAAACAAAAAAGCATTTTGTTCCCTCAGCAGAGTTCTCTCTGCCTCCTGACATAAAGATAGGAAAAGGCACAGTCAGGAGAGGAATAAGTGCTCTATCCACAAGCTCTCTCCATGTAGAAAACAGATAAGAATGGTCTGCATTATGTGTATTTTTCACCAAATCCATCCTTCTGAAGAACCACATTGTATTTATGCACACATTATTATCCCATTATTTGGTGAAGAAAACTGAGGCCGGGGTGGTGTACTTATTTGCCGGAAGCCACAGTGGCCGAGCTGGCATTTCAATCCCAGTCAGCTGACTCCAAAGCCTGCGCTCTTTCCACCACAGCACAGTGGTCAAGTTGGCAGTGTTCCTATTTCCAGAGCCCCAGAAAGTATGCTCTCCAAGGGTAGATTTGGCCTAGGAAGCTAAATATGCCAATTCCATCAAGCATTCGTTAAAAATTTTGCCGTCCAGGAGTATGGAGGGGTAGTTTTTTGTTTGTTTGTCAAAAAAAAAAAAGAATAAAAGAGGCCTGTCCTCAAGGATCTGAGTCTGTGGTTTTGCCAGGAAACTAACATGCCTAGAGATGGGCTGAACTTTCCTAAGAGCAACACAGGGTCAGAGAAGAGGGAGATGTGTGGGAAGGGGGCCTCTTGGAAGGGGGCAACTATGCCTCTTTCTTTTCCTTTTTTTTTTTTTCTTGCTTTGAGACGGAGCCTCACTCTGTCACCAAGGCTGGAGTGCAGTGGTATGATCTGGCTCACTGCAACCTCTGCCTCCCAGCTCAAGTGATTCTCCTGCCTCAACCTCCCAAGTAGCTGGGATTACAGGCGCCCACCACCATGCCTGCTAATTTTTGTATTTTTAGTAGAGATGGAGTTTCATCATGTTGGCCAGGCTGATCTCAAACTCCTGACCTCAAGTGATCTGTCTGCCTCAGCCTCCCAAAGTGCTGGGATTACAGGTGTGAGCCACCACTCCTGGCCTCTTTTTCAATTTTTTTGTTGTGGCAAAATTACATGTAACATAAAATTTACCATCTTCACCATTTTGAAGTGTATAATTCAGTGATACTAAGTAAATTCATATTAGGTAAAACCATCATTATCATCCACCCACAGAACTCTTCATCTTCCCAAACTGCAACTTTGTATCCATTAAACAACTCCCCATTCCCCACCCTCCTCACAGGCCCTGGCAACTCATTCTACTTTCTGTCTCTATGAATTTGACTACTCTAAGTACCTCATATGAATGGAATCATACAGTATTTGTCCTTTTGGGACAGACTTACTTCACTATCCTCAAGGCTCATCCATGTTGTAGCACGTGTCAGGATTTCCTTCCTTTTTCATGCTGAATAGTATTCCATCATATGCACCTACCACATTTTGCTTATCCATTCATCTTTTGATAGATACCTGCATTACTTCCCCGTTTTAGCTATTGTGACTAATGCTGCCATGAACATGGGTGTACAAATATTTTCTATTTTTCTTTTTTTTTTTCAAGATGGAGCTTTGTTCTGTCACCCAGGCTGGAGTGCAGTGGTGCGATCTCAACTCACTGCAACCTCCGCCTCCCAGATTCAAGCCATTCTCCTGCCTCAGCCTCCCAAGTAGCTGGGACTACAGGTGCCCGCCACCATGCACGGCTAATTTTTGTGTTTTGAGTAGAGACGGAGTTTCACCATGTTGGCCAGGCTGGTCTCTAACTCCTGGCCTCAAGTTGTCTGCCCACCTCGGCCTCCCAAAGTGCTGGGATTACTGGCATGAACCACTGCGCCCTGCCACAAATATCTTTTCAAGATTCTGCGTTCAATTCTTTTGAGCATATACCCAGAAGCAGAATTGCTGCATCACATGATAATTCTATTTTTAATTTTTTGAGGAAAGGGGATGGCTTTCACTTAAGGATCATACAGTTTGGTTTCATTTTTAGTTTGTTTGGCTTGTTCTTTAAAAAAAAAAAGTAATATATGTACATAATTCACAATTCAAAAGGTGAAATCTCCCTCCCACCTCTATCCTCCAGTCAGTCACCCGGTTCACCTCCCTGGAGTCAACCAATGTTATCAGCTTCTTGCTTATTCTTCAAGAGAGATTCCAGGCATGTACAAATACATCTATCTATTAGAAGGGTTTCGATAGGTGGAGAAGGGAAGAAAGAAAGGGCACCAAAGAGGATAGACTTGTCATGGGGAGATTCATCCTACTAGGGTAAATTTTTTTCTGTCGCTGTTTTAGGGGTGTCTCTTATAAACATCACATGATTTGACTTTAGATTTTTGACTCAATCTTTAAGTCTTTTTTTTTAATATGTAGGTTTTGTCCATTTACATTTTTTTCTGTATTTAACTGGTTTTGCCTTATTGATAGAGGGAAATAATTCCTTTGGCAGAAACAAATGACCCTTAGTTTTACCTCCTGGTTGACTTTTAATTTTGCTTTCAAAGATTCTGATCTTCTAATCTTTGCTGTCCCTTTTACCTTTCTTCCCTAGTGTTTTGGAAGAAGTTTTTTGTTTTGTTTTTGAGACAGAGTCTCACTGTCACCCAGGCAGGAGTGCAGTGACATGATCTTGGCTCACTGCAACCTCTGCCTCCCAGGTTCAAGTGATTCTTCTGCCTCAGCCTCCCAAGTAGCTGGGAGTGCAGGCGTGCACCAACATGCTTCGTTAATTTTTGTATTTCTAGTAGAGACAAGGTTTCACCGTGTTGGCCGGGCTGGCCTTGAACTCCTGACCTCAAGTGATCCGCCCACCTAGGCCTCTTAAAGTGTTGGGATTACAGGTGTGAGCCACCATGCCCAGCCTGGAATAAGTTTTTATTCCATTACTGGTTAACTTTTTAACCAGTAAGAATATTTTTTAAAAAATTCTTTAACTTGGAATCATTTAACATTTTATTTTGAGAGTCTTGAGCGCTAAAGAAATAAAGAATAATACAAGCAACACCTATATTCTTACCATTTATCATTAATGTGCCAGTAATCAATGTATTGCCTCTTGGCACCAAACCTGCCATCATTTGCCTGCTTCATGTTACTGCAGCTGGACCCTGTAAACACTTCTCCTCTACGCACACTGGTTTTGTGGATAGAGGGCTCTAGAGGAACATCACGAGGCACAGCAGAAGAATGGGCTTCTCTTCCTGGTTCCTGAGTTCAATTCCTGTTCCCAGGACACAGCTGCCAGCAGCGTATGGGAGACCCAGTGGTGCTTACCCTCTGGCAATTTACACTGGCACCCCTGTGGTTGGCTTTCTGCTTGCCAGCCCTGGCCTGTCAGCTGTGGCCCAGCTTTGGCTTGAAGCACCTCGGTGAACCTCTCCACATGGTCCACAGCCCCACCCTCTCTAAGGTCTGACTCCCAGACATGGGTTGGGGGTTTCTCCCAAGTGCCATGGTTCCTTGGGTGTGCTTCCTGAGCCCTAGAGGTAGTAACTGCCCCCCATGTCTGCTACCCCTCTTTAAAGGTACCTTTTCCCCTCTTAGTTGGTAACCACCTTTTATTAATTTTTTCAGTTAATTGCTTTTTATATTACTTTTTTCTGTGTGGTTTCTGTCTCCTGACTGGACCTTGACTGATACATTTAACAAAGTTCATATTTTTGTCACATATGCTTGCTGTTATTTTTTTTCTTTTAAGGAAATTACACATTACGGATATAGCTAAAGTCCCTTCTAATGGCCATCCCTGGTTCTATACCCTTTCTCCAAGAGGGAACCATTATTATGAGTTTGAGGTAAATCCTCATATTTTAAAAATGTTTCCATCCATTCATATGTATCCACAAATAATGCATGCTATTTTTACATTTTAAAATGTATATGAGTGATATGCTTTTCATATCATTCTGAATCTTTTTTCTATCTACCCAACATTATATAACTTAAAACTATGCATGTGGATATATGTAGATCTAGTTAATTCCTCTAAAACTGTTGTATAATATCCCATCATATAAACATATCATGTTATTAATTCATTCCCCTATAGATGGTCATTTGGATTGTTTTTAATATTTGGCCAGTTGCAAACAACGATGCAATATACATCTGGCATATGCACATGACAGAATTTCTCCAGGGAATATATTTAGAAATGGGATTTTTTGAATAGCTCATAGAGGATGTACTTTCTTTCTTTCTTTTTTCTTTTTTTTTTTTAGAGACAGGGTCTCACTCTGTCGCACAGGCAGGAATGCAGTGGCATGATCATGGCAAGGATGTACATTTTTAAATGTTATTAGCTGCTGCTTATTTGTAATAATGCTATCATTTTCTCAATACCCTCATCAACACTTTATTTTATTTATTTATTCTTTAGAGACAGGGTCTTGCTCTGTTGTCCATCCTGGAGTACAATGGTGCAATCAATCATAGCTCACTGCAGCCTTGACCACCCGGGTCAAGCAATCCTCCATCTCGGCCTCCCAAAGTGCTGGGATTACAGGTATGAACCCCTGCATCCGGCAACACTTTATATTGTTAGGCCTTTTAATTTTTCCCAATCTGGTGGACTGGGCAAAAAATAGTATCTCACTTTTCTTTTCATGGCTTTAGTGGCTATTTGAATATTCCTTTGTATGAATTTTCTGTTCATATGTTTCTCATTTTTCTGTTGGGTTGTCTTTTTCTTACAGATTATAGAAATTCTTTATATATTCTGATAGATACATTATATATTGCAAATATCTCCCAGTAAATTGTTCACCTTTTAATCTTGCACATGGTATATTTTGCCTGAGATAAGATTTAATTTTAGCAAAGTTAAGTAATCTATTTTTTTATTTTATAGGATGTTCTTACTGTGTCTTTCTTGTTTGAGAAATCATTCTCTATCCTGGGTCATGAAAAATATTTTCTTATAATTTCTTCTAACTGTTTTTCATGTTTAGGTCACTAAAACATCTATATTTTACTTTTGTTAATGACATGTCACAGCTCTGTTATTAAATAGTCTTTCTTTTCCCTAATGATTAGTGGTGACATCTCTAACATATGCTACATTCTTATATATAGATAGAAATCTGTTCTCGGGTCCTCTGATCTGTTTTATTGGTTTATTTATCTATTCCTGTGTTAATTAGGATGTTAAGAACCCAAGCTGCTATTATGAGAGTTCCAACAATCATGTGACTTAAAAAACAAAGTTTATATTTTATGCACATAACCTTGCAAGGTGAGCTCTGCTCCGTGGAGCCTTTCCTTCATGCTGCTGGCCCAACACAGGTTGGCCAGGGGCTGTGCTCTTTGTCATGTCCATGCTAGGACCTCAGCTAATGGAGCAGCCACTATCTGAAATGTTGGTGATTGCCATGGAAGAGAGAAAGAGAGTGCTGGATGGTCTTGTACCAATCATTAAATGTGTCCTCCTAGAAGTGACACACTTCACTTCAGCTCACAACTCATTGGCCCCATGTAACTGAAAGAGACCAGGAAATGCAGGCCTATCATGTGCCACAAGGCAAAGAGCTGGGAATGTTTGGGGAACAGTATTAATGACTATAACACACATGCATTTTAAGTTTATAAATTTCCCTCGAAATACGGCTTTAACTGCTCCTTAGAAATTTTACCCAAGACTTTCATTATCATTTTAAAATAAGCATCTCATTTTGTAATAGTTTTAGATTTAAAGAAAAATTATGAAGATAGGAACTGGAAAGTTTCCATATAACCCCTCTCAATTTCCCTTACTTAACATCTTATATTAGTATGATATATTTGTCATTATTAATGAACCACAATACATTATTATTATTATTATTATTATTATTATTATTACTCTGTTACCCAGGCTAAAGTGCAGTGGTGCAATCACGTCTCACTGCAGCCTTGACCTCCTGGGCTCAAGTGATCCTCCTGCCTCAGCCTCCCGAGTAGCTGGGACCACAGGCACACGCCACCACACCTGGCTAAGAGATGGGGTCTCTTTATGTTGCCCAGGCTGGTCTTGAACTCCTGGACTCAAGTGATTCTTCTACCTCAGCCTCTCAAAGTGTTGGGATTACAGGCGTGAGCCACCACACCCAGCTCCAATACATTATTATTAATTAAAACCCATACTTTAATTCAGATTTCCTCTGTTTTTACCTGATGTCCTTTTCCTGTTTCTTTTTGGAATATTTATTATTTTATTTATTATATGAGATCCAGGAGAGAAAGGAGCAATGTAAAATCCAGCAATCCCTAGTGGTATATATCCAAAAGAAAGAAAATTAGTCTTTTGAAGAGACACCCACAGTTGCATGTTTATTGTGGCACCATTCGCAATAGCCAAGACATGGAATCAGCCTAAGTGTCTATCAACAGAGGAATGGATAAAGAAAATGTATTATGTATACACAACGGAACATTATTCAGCCACAAAAAAGAATGATCCTCCTGCCTCAGGAAGATCCTGTCAATTGCAACAACATGGATGGGATTGAAGGAACCTAATGTCCTTTCTCGATTCCAGGATCCCATCCAGGATGCTGCGTTACATTTAATCATCATGTCTCCTTCGGCCCCTTTTGTCTGTGACAGTATCTCCGGTGTTCCTTGTTTTTCATGACCTTAACAGTTTTAAGGAGTACTGGTCAGGTATTTTGTAGAATGTTCCTCAACTGGGATTCATCTGATAGTCTTCTCATGTTTACACTGAGGTTATATTTGTATGTTTGTTTGTTTGTTTGTTTGTTTGTTTTGAGATGGAGTCTCGCTCTGTCACCCAGGCTGGAGTGCAATGGCACGATCTCGGCTCACTGCAACCTCTGCCTCCCAGGTTCAAGTGATTCTCCTGCCTCAGCCTCCCGAGTAGCTGGGATTACAGGTGCTGGCCACCACACCCAGCTAATTTTTGTATTTTTGTAGAGATGAGGTTTCACCATGTTGGCCAGGCTGGTCTTGAACTCCTGACCTCAGGTGATCCTCAGGTGATCGGCCCACCTTGGCCTCCCAAAGTGCAGGGATTACAGGTGCAAGCCACAAGGTTATGGTTCTTTTGAGAGGGAGATCACAGAAGTAAAGTGTCATTCTCATGACATCATACCAAGGGCTTATACTATTGATAGGATATCGCTGTTGATGTTAACCTTGATCACACAGCTAAGGTAGTGCTTGTCAGGTTTCTCTACTGTAAAGTTACTCCTCCTCCATCACCCCTTCCATAATGTACTTTTTTTTTTTTTTTTTTTAGACAGAGTCTTGCTCTGTCACCCAGGCTAGTGTGCAGTGGCGCGATGTCAGCTCACTGCAACCTCCGCCTCCTGGGTTCAAGCAATTCTCCTGCCTCAGCCTCCCAAGGGGCTGGGATTACAGGCACCTGCCACCAGGCCTGGCTAATTTTTGCATTTTTAGTAGAGACAGGGTTTCGCCATGTTGGCCAGGCTGTTCTTGAACTCCTGACTCAAGTGATCCACCCGCTTCGGCCTCCCAAAGTGCTAGGATTACAGGCATGAGCCACCACGCCCCACCCATAATGTACTTTTTGGAAGAAAATCACTATGCTAAGCCCACACATAAGGAATAGGAAGTTATGTTCCACCTCCTGGAAGGCAGAGCCTCTACATAATTGAAATTCCTCTGCACAGGAGGCTTGTCTATTCTCCCCATTAATTTATTTATTCAACCATGTATTTGTATCAGTATGGATTCATGGATATTTATTTACTTTGGATTATAATCCAATACTGTGTTATTTATTTTGTTGCTCAAATTATTCCAGCCTTGGCCACTGGGAGCACTTTCGGTGGGCTCCTGTGTGTCTTAGACATACCCTCATCAATGTGAGTTGTTTTATATCTGAGCATTTCCTTATTTTTTGGCACTAAAAGATGCTCCAGGCTCATCTTGTATATTTCCTGTCTAGTCCTAGAATCAGACGTTTTTCCAAGAACCCTGGTTCTTTTCACTGGAGAATGGTATTAGAAACCAAGATCTGAGCACTAGGTGTGATTGTTGCTACTGGTGGTCATTGCTTCTAGGCCCTCAGTTGGCAAGGCGAAGAAATATATGTGTGTATACTGACCATTTATCCACACATATCTATACAAAATTCTATATGTAATCATCTGTATTTCTATTGAGCTAAACATAAGTTCATCTGCTGTCTCCACCTCTCATCCATTACCACATGGATCATTCAACTTCAAGTTCAATGCTTTGCTTATGTATAACCTCCCATTACAACCACTTGCTGGGAGCAGTGAAACTCTGGGTCCCATCTGTTTACTTAAATGTTCAACAAACCCCCGTAACATGGGTTTCCCTGTATAACAAACCTGCACATGTACCCCTGAACCTAAAATAAAGGTTAAAGAAAAGTTTAATTCCAGTATACATATATAGTGGTTTCGAATTTCTAACCTTTTCATTATTATTATTATTATTATTATTATTATTATTATTATTATTATTATTATTATTTGAGACAGGGTCTCACTCTGTCACCCAGGCTGAAGTGCAATGGTGCAATCTCAGGTCACTGCAACCTCCGCCTCCCAGGTTCAAGCAATTCTCCTGCCTCAGCCTCCCGAGTAGCTAGAATTACAGGTGCACACCACCATGCCTGGCTAATTTTCATAATATTAGAAGAGATGAGGTTTCTCCATGTTGGCCAGGCTGGTCTTGAACTCCTGGCCTCAGGTGATCCACCCATCTCAGCTTCCCAAAGTACTGGGATTACAGTCGTGAGCCACCACTCCTGGCCTCATTATCATTTAATTCTAAATATTTAATTAATTGACATTGGTTTACTCTTTAACTATGAATTATTTAGAAGTTTGGGGGGTTTTTTGTTTCATAACGTAGAAGGTTTTGATAGCTTGCTTTTTCTGTGGTTGATTTCTAATTTTATTGCATTGTGGTCTGAAAACATGTTCTGTATAATGTTGATTCTCTGGAATGTTTTGAGAGTTCCTCTGTGATCTAATACGTAATTCTAGTAACAGTTCCATGTGTGATTGGGGAAAAACATATGAATTTTGGTACATCTACTCTATGCCATTAAAAACATCATTATGAAAATGTAGAAAGTACACAAATGTTTGAGATAATGTGAAATGGAAAAAAGAACATGAAACACGTGATATTAGCAGCAATGTAAAATCTTCAGGCATAAAAACAAAGACTGGAAAAGAATAAACAAGAATGAAAATAAGCATTGACTACTAGTGGTAGGATTCTAGATAATTTTTTTCTTACCTCAAAATTGTATTTAATGTGTTTTACTGTTTCTGTAATTCACAAAACTCTAAAAAATGTTTACCCTGGAAAATATTGGTTTGGATAAATTAACAAAGGCTTAAGAGCATTTAGTACTACAGCCTTTTTTTTTTTTTTTTGAGACATGGTCTCTGTTGCCCAGGCTGGAGTGCAATGGCGTGATCACAGCTCACTGCAGCCTCAAGTTCCTGAGCTCAAGCAATCCTCCTGCCTCAGCCTCCTAAGTAGGTAGGACTATTGATGCATGCCACCATACCTGGCCAATTTTTTATAATTTTTTATAGAGATTAGATCTCCCTATGTTTCCCAGGTTGGTCTTGAAGTCCTGGCCTCAAGCAATCCTCTTGCCTCGGCCTCCCAAAGTGCAAGGATTATAGACTCGAGCCACCACACTCGGCCAACAGACATTTTTTGAGCTCTTGCTATGTGTAGGGCACCATGCTAGATCTTAGGGATCCAGAAATGTTAAGTCGAGGTCACTTTCTTCAGTTTCTAACTCTAAATGTCATGGATATGTAGTTCAGAAAGGGCAGACCAAGCACAAGGAATTCCTATACAGGGCACCTAGTGAGAGGGCCCCAGAGAGGTCCTTATATGGTGTGGCTGGAAGACACCATTGGGAGAAATTAATTTAGACTCAGCCAGGGGAGAAGAGGGTATGCAAAGTTTATGGTGGGATTCACAAAGGATCTCAAGGGGGTGGACACAGGGAGGAACTACAGGCAAAGGGGAGACCTTGAATAATACTAAAATTTGATATTTGCATAAGATTTTATAGTTTACACACCCTCCTAGCACACACACACATGCACACACACACAAGTTCATTGCTTTTTACCTATATTTATGCTATTTATCCTGTGAGGCAGACATTACTCTTTTTATACCCATTTTTACAGTTGAAAACTGAGGTTCAGAGAGGGAAAGCAACTTGTCCAAAGTTACACAACTGGAAAGTGACAGAGCCAGGACTCCGATACTAGTCTTCTCGCTCCAGGTGGAGGTTTCTTCAGGTAAACCCCTCTTTGAAAATAACTCTTTGGCAATGCACTTAAAAAGAGCCATAAAAATGGCTCATCAAAGCTGTCCCACTCAGTGAGAAGAATAGTATCAAGTGTCCTCTCAAGAAGGAGCTATTGTGAACACAGAAACTGAGGACCAGAAAGTCAAGCTAGGTGGACGGTTGAGCTGAACTAAAACTGAATTGGGTGTTTTGTGGAACTAGACTCTTGTCCTTTGCTGAGCACAGAAGGGGCCCATCCAGCTACCCCAGAGGGCACCAGACCTTGGTGCTGGGAGCTCAAAGCCAATGCAGCCACTGGTCCATTCTAACCCAGCTCTGCAGCCTCTATTCACATAGTCCCTCAGACTGTGAAATGAATGAATGAATGAATGAATGAATGAACAAAAATGTTCTGCTTCTCACCTCCACCTTTTTCCCCACCACCCGCCTACTTGGTGTGAGAGCCCTGTTCTCCACTCCCAAAGGTCAACCCCCAACATCCCTCCTCTACTATCTGCAGGGAATCTACTCAACCTCTTCAGTCTGACTTCTCAACCAGTACCTTATCCCCCTCCTCCTGCCACCTTCTTAGCTGCCCCCAAGCCTGGCCCTGGGAGGAGCGAAGGTTACCTGGGAACTAGCATTCCCAATGCTGCCCCCGCCCCCCCGCCCCACAATACACACTCAGTTACTGACTCTCCCACTTCTTCTCCCAATTTTCTCATCCTGCTGCTAAGCTGTCCTTTTAACTGGCATCCTATATGGCTTTTTTTTTTTTCTTTTGAGATGGAGTCTTGCTCTGTCACCCAGGCTGGAGTACAATGGTGCGATCTCGGCTCACTGCAGCCTCCACCTCCCGAGTTCAAGTGATTCTCCTGCCTCAGTCTCCCAAGTAGCTGGGATTACAGGCGCCTGCCACCGTGCTTGGCTAATTTTTGTATTTTTGGTAGAGATGGGGTTTTGCCGTGTTAGCCAGGTTGGTTTTGAGCTCCTAACCTCAGGTGATCTGCCTGCCTTGGCCTCCCAAAGTGCTGGGATTACAGGTGGGAGCCACCGTGCCTGGCCTAACATGTTATATGTATTTATTACAGACAATCTCAAATCCGTTTTTAAAGAGAATAGGGTGTGACTTCATTAATAATAAACACATATTTCTTAGACAAACACATATTTAAGAAATATTTATTGGACACCTATTATGTGTGTAGCTTTGTGTTAAACGCTGGCAATACAGTGACAAGCAAAACAGCTACAGTTCCTACCCTGATAGAGTGTACAGTCTAGTCAGGGGAGCAGACACTAAGAAGTATGCTTATAAATAAATACATACAGTTGTTCCTCTGTACCTGCAAGTTCTGCATCCACAGGTTCAATCAGCCATGGATCAAAAATACTCTTAAAAAAAAAAGAATAGGCCGGGCACAATGGCTCACGCCTGTCATCGCAGCACATTGTGAGGCCGAGGTAGGCAGATCACCTGAGGTCAGGGGTCCAAAACCAACCTGGCCAACATGGTAAAACCCTGTCTCTAGTAAAAATACAAAAAAATCAGCTAGGCATGGTGGTGTGCACCTGTAATCCCAACTACTGGGGTGGCTGAGGCAGGAGAATTGCTTGAACCTGGGAGGTGTAGGTTGCAGTGAGCCAAGATTGCGCCACCGCACTCCAGCCTGGGTGACGGAGTGAAACTGTCTCAAGAATAAATAAGTAAAAAAAAAAAATACAGCAATAAAAAACAATGTAATATAACAACTATTTACATAGCATTTACATTGTATTGGGTGTTATAAGTAGTCAGACTTGATTTAAAGTCTAAGGGAGGATATGCATAGATTATATGTAAATATTATACTCCACCATTTTATACAAGGGACTTGAGCATCCTCGAATTTTGGTATCCGAGGGGAGTCCTAGAACCAACCTCTCACAGATACCAAGGGGCAATTGTACGTGTGACAAGAGCTTTGAAAGAAAAAAATAACAGAAGATGCCTACTCTAGATTTGCACAGAATGCAGAGCTAGTAAGAGCTCTAATGATCACAATACACGCACTGAAGTCTATACATTTCCCTGTAAGCACTGCTTTAACTGCACCCTGTAAATGTTGACATTAAGTGCATTCATTATCATTCAATTCTAAATATTTAATAATTTTTGTTGATTTCTTTTTAACCCACAGATAATGTTGAGGTGAAGTTATTGTTTGTTTGTTTTTTGTTTGTTTGTTTGAGACGGAGTCTTGCTCTGTCACCAGGCTGGATTACAGTGGCGTGGTCTCGGCACACTGCAACCTCTGCCTCCCGGGTTCAAGTCATTCTCCTGCCTCAACCTCCCAAGTAGCTGGGATTACAGGCGCCCACCACCCCACCCAGCTAATTTTTGTATTTTTAGTAGAGACGGATTTCACCATGTTGGCCAGGATGGTCTCCATCTCCTGACCTCGTGATCCGCCCACTTGGCCTCCCAAAGTGCTGGGATTACAGGCATGAGCCACTGCGCCCGGCCGAGGTCAAGTTTTTCATTTCAAAACATGTAGGGTTTTGGTAACTCTCTTTTGGTGGTTGATTTCTAATTTTATTGCATTATGAGCTGAGAACCATAACGTTCTGTATATGGTAATTCTCTGGAATGTTTTTAAGACGTCTCTTGTGACCTAATAATTGTCCACACTGGGCTACCATTCCACGTCCAACTAAATAAAAATAAAGTCTATACATTTTGGTATATCAACGTATATCAATGCCATTAAAAGGATTATTAAAAAGATCATGAGAATGGAGAGATGAAAAAGCTGCCCAGGAGAGAAGCTGAGGGAAGAAAACGTGTGAAGGCTTTGGGGCAGAAAGGAACCATTGAAAGCCTAGACTGGCGGTGAGGCTGTAGCCAGAGAGAGTCAGGAGCGGGCAGACACTGATAGGGGTGAAGTAGGCAGGGGCCAATTTATAAATAAATAAAATGGAAAATAATATACGTGAATAATGGCCGAATAGCATTACAAGAGCCAGTCATCACCTCCAGGCCCCCACTGGTCTCCCTCAAGAAAGTACAGGGCAGCGGAGACTTCATCTCGAGCTGATTTGGACTTTGGGGGTCAGAAAGATAACTCAGCGGGCCAGTGCAGTCCGCCTCCCCTGGTTCCCAGCTCGATTCCCTCCACCACCTTTCAGCCTCAGGTTTCCTCACCTGGGAGTAAGATCCACCCCTCAGGCGGTTCTGAGCTCAGGGGATGGACCTAATGGCTGCAAGGCCTGCGTCCTAACGGGCTTGCAGAACTGCCAGCGCCCGGCCCTGCTTCTGTGTCATCTCTCTGCCTATTCGGGGCGCTCCCAAGTGCGGGCTAGTGCGGTGGTGACGCGCCGCAGCTGCAGTGTGCCAGAGCCTGGGTGCGAATGCAGCCATTCTGCTAGCTGTCCCTGGGCCGGCTGAGACTCTGGGTGTCCAAGTCAGCATCCGTAAAAATGGAAGCAATCACTCGATCCACCTCATATGGTGGGGGGAGGGGTAACTGAGCGCATAACTCACTTTAAACACCTGGCTCCGAGCCTGGCACTTAATAAGCGCTCATTAAACGAGGGTGTCCTTGCCTTGCCGTCTCCCGCATTCGGGCCGCTCCCCGCATTTCCACCCCGCTCCCACTGCTGGGTAAATGTTCATCTGGACGGGGACAGGATCGGGAACCGCCGGGCAGGGGGTCTGCGCGGCGGCGTCCTCCCCTCCCCGCCCGGCTCTCCCGCTCCATCCCCGCGGCCTGGCCAAGGGCAGCGCCAAGGGCGCCCGCGGAGGGCGCAGCTGCCCCGGACGGAGCCCCCGCCACCCCCACAGCCGCGCGGGTGCTCCAGAGCATCCAACTTCATTTCCACTTCAATTTTATCAGCGGCCGGGGAGCCGGGCGGGAGATAGGAGGCCGGCCCTGACACGAATTAGCCCGGAGATTGTCCGATACGCCTTGGCCAGGGCGCCGGCGCCGCGCGCTCGCCTCCCTCGCCTCTCCTTTGTGTCCGCCTCGCCTCGCCTCTCGGCCTCGCCGCGCTCCATTCCCGCGGCGCTGGCCCGGGCCGAGCGAACTGCTTTGCCTTTGGCCACGTTGAGCGCGCCGAGGCAGCCGGGGGCGCGGGGCTCCAGGACCCGTCTGCTCCTGGTGCCCCCAGCTCCTCAGGGTCCGGCCGGGTCACCTGGGCCGATCCAGGCGGGCAGGGGCCTCGCTGCTCCTCCCCCGCAGCCCCTCTCGCCCTCCCGGGGACCGTGTGCGGGGAGCAGCTGGGAGCTGCGTCTGGAGGGGCTGTCCGACTGGGGAACTTGTCCTGTGCCTTGTCCATGCCATTACATTCATCCTCCCAAGAACCCTGAGAAATGAGGAGATCGTCAGAGAAGGGGAAACTGAGGCTCAGAGAGGCGACAGTACTCGCCCAAGGTCACGCTGCGAGTAAGTGGTCATCTGTCCATTCCCTAGAGCCTCGGTGAGGGGGGTTGTCGGGCATATTTACACAGTTGGCATTTCCCCTTTACCTACTATGGGAGGTTGCGAGAATTGATTATTCCCCACATTTATTGCAAGAAGGAGGCCAAATATGATGAGGATGATGGAGGCACTTAAAGCTTGCAAAGACAGGTGCATGACTTCCTTCCAAACCCTCTTCTCCCAGGTGCCCTCCCAGGACACACCCCCTCCCAAGCTTCCTCCCCACTTCCCCCTATAACCCCCCACCCCAATCCAGGCTTGACCCAAAGACACTGTTTTGCTATGTTCCAGCTAGACCAATGGTGGAGGCCCAAGAACCATCTCTGGGACCCAGCAGGGGTCTCTCCCCAGCCCCTCCCTAGAGCTTGGGGTGAGGAATGCTAGCCCTGCCTGGCTTCCCACCTCTGTTTTGGGGTGCTTCTGGGGAAAATTTATATCCCTCTCAGGTTTGGGAACCAATCCCACACTAAAAAGAAAGAAGAAAGAGAGAAGGAAATGATTTTAATTTTTTTAGGTCCAGAAATGAAGCAGAAGTGAGTAAATTTTAATGAAACGGTGCAAAAATGACATCATTTACTCAGAAATCATTAATTTGTCAGCATTAATATTTCAGCTACAACATTGCCTGTCATTTTGTGCCTGCAATGACTGATAAATCTATAAAAGCGTGCTGCTAATTTACTGAATATTTATGTGCAGTGTCATTTGCAGAGTAAGAATGGAATTTATTTCATGCCGAGTTCTGCGGGAGAACATTCCCCACAAACCTTCACCCTGGTAGGTGGGGGAGGGCAGGGGGAGACTCCAAACTTCCTGGAAAACTGGTAACAGGATGAGAAGAAAGGGGGCCCCTCGGGGCTCAGCCCCCCCAGCCCCAGAGCACAGGGAGGGAACACCTCACTTTTGCTCAGGTGGTGCAAAGGCACTCCTGGGATCCCCTCCGTGCCCCCATCGTGGCCAGTTCACATTTGACCTCTCCTGCAGCATTCTCCTCAAAGCTATCTGCTCCCAGAAAGGCGCCCTGGATTCTGCTGCCCTCTCACTGCAGTGGGAAGGTGCGGTTACTGGCTCGCTGGTGTGGGGCAGGCCCTAGAGAGGATGGCAGGGCAGGTGGGCTGCAGGTCCTGGATGGGTTATCAGAAGAGGGGACCTGAGGCCGGGGGTAGTGGCTCATGCCTGTAATCCCAGTGCTTTGGGAGGCCAAGGCAGGAGGATCACTTGAGGTCAGGAGTTCGAGACCAGCCCCACCAACATGGTGAAATACTAAAAATACAAAAATTAGCCAGGTGTGGTGGTGGGCACCTGTAATCCCAGCTACTCAGGAAGCTGAGGCAGGAGAATTGCTTGAACCTGGGAGGCAGAGGTTGCAGTGAGCCAAGATCGCGCCACTCCACTCTAACCTGGGTGAGAGAGGGAGACTCTGTCTCAAAAAAAAGAAAAGAAAAAAAGAAGAAGAAGAAGAAGAGGGGATCTGAGAAGAGCTAATGTGCCTAACGTGGAGTCAGGCAGCCTGAGTTCCAGTCCTGGCTCTGTGAATATTCTCAGCAGTCTGGGTCTCAGTGTCCTCATCTGGAACATGGGAACGCTATCAGCACCTGCTTCCAGAGACACAGTGAGGATTGGCTGACCTAATGCATGTAACGGACCCGGGAAACATTAGCTACTGCTGCTGCTGCTGTCACTGAAAGAATCACTGCCAGATTCCCTGCTCCTGGGGTGTTCTTTTTCTGGGTCTTTTTCCCCAGGTGGGAAGTGGGAGGCCCTGAGACCCCATCCCCACAATCCTGAGAGGAACACAACCCCCAACAAGGCTCCTCCCTCCCCTACGTGGGTCTGCTTCCCCAGCCTCAAAGGGGAGTCCCATTCTCCTCACCCACTCCCTTCTCATTTCCATAGGCTGAGTCTCCAGAATTCCATGGTGGTATCTATCCAGAAGCACCTTCCTGAAGCGCCCAGCCCAGCCGGTGTTTCCCTGGCCCTCAGAGCTGTCCATTTCACAGAGAGCAAAATCAAGGCTCTGAGAGTGGTGCCAGCTGCCTAACGACCCCTCGCCCCCATTTCCCCTTTCCCATCCCAACAAGAGCACAAATCACGAGCCTTCAGGTTTTGCACAATTTTGCTCAATTTCCTGCCTGAATGGCACAGGGCCTGACCCTCTGCAGGTGCTCAGGAAATGTTCGTGGAATCAATAAAGGACAGCTAAATCTCCCATCTTCTGAAAGCTCTTTGTCTCCTCCCTCCCTCCTGCTCCCCACACTCCATCAGGGTGGCTGGTGGCCTCCTCCTCTGGAAAGCCTCTCGAATGGCTCCTTTCTCTTCTTTGCCCCTGCTGCTGCTCTAGTGGAGTCCTTGCTAGCACTTACGCGGGCCACTGCACTAGGCTGCTCAGAGGTCTCTCTACCTCCATTTCCCACCTCTGATGCAGTCGCCCTGAGCTGCCAGCGCTCTCTCAGGAGCATCCTGCCAGCACCACTCCCTAACTTACAGCTCCAGCGGCCCCCACTGCTGGAGAAATGGCGCCCGCCTGCCCTTCCAGATCTGGCATGCTGGCCTCTTCTTCCTCTCTGAGAGCCCCGCCTGCTATTTAACATGCAGGTCAACACTTGTCTGTCTCCAGGGCTTTGCTGTCCCTTCTGCCCAGTGTCCTTCCATTCCTCACAGCCAAATCACATCTATCCTTCAAGGCCCATCACAGCCGATCCTGGTCCCTTCAGAATTCCTCCTCATCCAAGCAAGGCCACGGGGACAGGGAGCTGCCTTCTCTCCCAAGCAAGCCCTAGTGTGGGAGAAAATGTCAGGCAAAGGAAAGGAAGGGCACCCATTGTCTGCATCTTGGGGAGAACACTGGACTGGTGGTCGGGGGGCCTGGGTTCTCTTTCTGGTCAGCACTGTGTGGCCTTGACCTTGCCTATCTATGAAATGGGCTGGTCCAGATCTCTCCAGTCCACACTCTGAATCTATCTTGTTCACGGCTGCATCTTGCACCAAGCCTAGCACAAGGCACATAGTTCCTCAATAAATACTCACTGAGTGACAGACTTCTAAAGCCCTGCTCTATGCCAGGGTTCTGAGATTCTGCAACTTGGTATTGTCCAGGCAGACATTTGGGGGACTACCCAGGGACAGGCAGAAGGAACTGCTTCACTACCAACATTGAAGAGTGGCAGACTTTCACATAAATGACATTATTTAATCCTCGTAACAGCCCTGTGGCCTGCACTTCCCCATCACCATTTCACAGATGAGGAAACTGAGGCTAGAAGGTTAAGTGACCTGATCAAGCTCACACCCAGGTCCTTGGCTTCAAATCCAGTGCTCTTTCTGCTGCCCCCAAATGCTTTCATTTGCTCTTAGAATAAACCCCAAGACTTCTGTGGCCTGTGAGACTGTGTGATCATGCCCCTGAGATCTTCTTCAAACTCACTCGCCCCCCTGGATCAGAGCCACACTGGACTCTGGCTGCTCCTTGAACGCTGTAAGCTCATTCCCTCCTCCAGGCCTTTGCACTGCTATTTCCTCCGCCTGGAAAGTTTGTCTTCGCCATCCAGATCTCAGCTCCCATGCCACCTTTTCAGAGGCCTTCCTTGCCCACCAAGCTAAAATAGATATTTCGTTTCCCTCAGACACCACCTGACACGGTCTCATATGTCTGTGGCCTGTTGGTTGCCTGTGTCCTCCCTGAGGGTTCCTGTCTGGCCCTATAAGCTAGGTCTCTGGAACGCACCTGGCTGAGAGTGACTATTGGATGGATGGATCCATGCCTTGCAGCTCTGCCTGGGTATGTTAGAGGAAAACTATGAACCTCCTGTCTTCCAGGAGAAGAGATGGGGTGGCTGGAAGGCAGGGATGTGGTAGGTTGGGGGCACCAGGAATGCAAGGTGCAGCCCAGTCCCAGAAGCTGGAATCCAGAAAAGGGAGGCTGGGAGGCACTGCCCACCCTTGTCCTAGCCACGCCCCCCTCCACCCCCATGCCTCACACTCATTTCCTTCCCGGAGTCAGTCTCATTTGCTTTCCCTAAAAGCCGCTGGAGGAGCCAATATGTACGTGATGAATATTTCATCTCCTGAGCGTGGGTTTGCGGGAGAGCTGTGATCCCCTGGGGAGGGAGCACTGCCCAGCCGTGCCTGGGAAGAAGGGGGGCTGAGAGGGGCACTGGCAATAGGCTCTGAAGAAGGCAGGTTTTAGGGTCCACCCACCTGCTCCTGCCGACACCGTTGGCCTTGGGAGGCTCAGAGAGGTCAGGGCAGCCCGAATCTGAGGCACAAATACTTCGTGCCCCATGGGGCTCCCAGTCCTTCGTTGGGGTTCGCCTGTGGCAAGGGGCAGATGTTTTCCTGAGCCCAGAGATGCATGAAAAATGGGGAAAATGAGGCTTAGGGAGGCTGAGAGGGAGAGGGGAGAGAACAATACCAGGGTTCTGAGGTTCTGAGGTTTGCGCACCCACGAACCCACACTCAGGAGATGTCCAGGCTGAAGGTGCCACTGGCATGACTATGGCTGAAGGTGTGGAGCACATCCTGGTCCTCACATATAGTGGCCCCTCAAATAGGAGTCCTGGGAACTGTCTCCCCCTGGGGATGGGGGCTGGGAAGCTACAGCCTGAGAAGGGAAGGGAGGGACAGGTAAGCACAGAGGAAGAAGGAGGAATGAGGAGCATGTGGCTCACTTCGCTCCTGCCCTGTGCCCATCCCCAGCCCCACGCTGTGCTCTCCACCCTTCCCCTCCGTGGCCACAGCAGCCAATGATGGCCAAGGCAAGCTTATCCAGCTCTGGAAGCTGCCAGTCCTGGTTGCCAGTCCTCTGCTCCCTCACCAGTTGACTGACCTTTGAATCTACCTAAACCTCAGTTTCCCCATTTGAAAAATAGCATTAGTTATACCACCTGGCTGGGTAATTCTGAAGGGCCAGCAGAGTGCCTGGCACATGATAAAGACTCAGGGGATTTACAGTCTACACCACATACACATGCACACAGGCACACACACGCCCCACCATCACCTCTCCTCTGTCATCCACCTCTGGTTTGAAAACAAAGGACCACCCGTTGCCTCCTCCTTCACCCAGGCTCTCTCACCTCTCCCTCTACCCTGTCCACCCCCTCACCACACACCCCACTCCACAACCTTGAGCCTCTGTTCCCTGAGGAGCGGAGTGGGCGTTGGGAAGGAAGGGGAGGTATCTCATCTCCTGGGCCTCGGCCAGCCCTGGGTCAAGACGACCCCTTGCCGCAGTGTCCCCCAGCCCTCTGCAGCCAGATCTGCCCCTCCCCCGGCGGCCAGGCTCAGTCCCGTCCCTCCATCCCCACCCACCACATTACCCTCTGAATACTCTCATTATACCATTACTAATTAGGGCTGCTCAGCAAATTGGCGGCTGCATTCGAGGGAGACAGTGTGCGGAGCATATGGCATAATATCATATTAATGAACACTCTAAATTCAAACCCGGGTCAGCTGCTCGCTTCTCGCCAGTGTCACCCACGCTAAAGGAGGGAGGGGAAAAAAAGCAGTCAACCTTTCCCTCCCTTCCCTTGCCTCTCTCCAAACACACATTCTGCAGCGTGGGCTGGGCTGGGCTGGCATCGCACTGTGGACCTGCATGGCCCAAAGAAGGGCCTCCCTCCCGCCATGTGTAAGCGGACGCTTCTACGATTAGAACTAATTAATAATAAACCAGGGCCATGGCCGGGCTCTTCCCCTATATTATCTCTGTGGTTCCCAACATCCCTGC
This sequence comes from Homo sapiens, assembly GCF_000001405.40. Classification (NCBI taxonomy): domain Eukaryota; kingdom Metazoa; phylum Chordata; class Mammalia; order Primates; family Hominidae; genus Homo; species Homo sapiens. Next base: position 36,814,675 of record NC_000017.11, read on the forward strand.
CGAGGGGGCTTCAGCACAGGGGGGCGAACTGAGAGCCTCTGAGGTCACGGTGCTTTTTCCGGGTGACAGGGTGGCTGGGCTGGACATCAACCTAGGCTTTCTGCTCTCCAGTCCTGCTTGTCCTGCTCTGTCCAGCCCACAGGTGGAGAATTTGGCTCGTCAAGTTCTACCCGGCACACCTGGGTGGACAAGCACCTTCCTCTTTCTCATTCTCTCTCCCTCGCCTCTCTCCCACGTTCTACAGAGGACGCGAAGATGATGAATTCACGTATGGCCTGGGAGTGTTGGTGGTACCCCCGGCCTCCCTGCATCCTGGGAGGAGGAGACGAAGCGGAAGCTTGGGTGGGGGGCGGATTCTGGGGTCAGTCTGAGGAGGCCTTGGGGAAGAAGTGAGCGCTAAGCAAGGCTCCCAAGAGGAATGGAAGGGCCTGAACCAAAGCTGGCTTGCCCTCAGCCAGGGGGCAGTGCCCACAGATGCCCTGGATGGAGCCTGTCCAAGGCGTCCTGTGTCTGCTAGTCTGAGCCAGGGATGAGCCTGAACGGGCCTCCCATGCTATCCATCTTTCTGTCTGATGGGCTGTTGTCAGTATCCTCAATAGGATCACAGGTTTCTTGAGCTCCCAATTCCTCATTTCACATCAAGGTAAGAGGCTGCTTCATGCCTGCTGCCCTTGAGCCCAGAGACTGCGGAAAGCGAGGGGCTGGCCACTTGTGCACACATCTCCTATCTCTGCCCAGGCTTGTCCTTGCCCTGATCAAAGCATCCTTCAATTTTGCCTCCCCCAAGGAGCCTTCCCTGATTAAGACCACAGAGTCCTTAGCATCTGAGAGTGTCTTAGAGATTGATCTTAGGTGGTGTCCCCAAATTGAGGACTGGGCCTTTCTATCACAGAAGGGAGGGTGGCCAGATCCTCACCGAAACAAATAAACAAAAACCTCTCCTGCCTGTGCCTGCCCCCACTCCAAACTCGGGGAGCTGAGCTTCCTAAGCTGGGGCATCCTCCGGGTGTCTCAGATATGGGGGTGCTCTGGGCTGGGAGTCAAGGTGGATTTCACCTCCAATTAAGTCACAGTGCAAACCCCTTCGGGCCCCTTCTCTGGCTGCAATCTTTGTGAATTCAGTTCCTGACATCCTCCCAGTCCTCCTCACCCAGGGGCTGTGAAGATCAGCAGATGTTCCGGGCCCAGGAAAGTGTTTATCAGGACACATTGTTAGGGGGAATCTTGTCAAAGAATTGGAGCTTCCAGGCTCCTCTCTCAAGTCTAACAGGAACAAGGACTTCCTGTCCACCTCTTGGGTGTATGTGATGAGTGTATGTGTGTGTGTGTATGTGATGTGTATGTGATGAGTCTGTTGGGGAGGACTGGGGATGATTTGGGGTGTTTACTTTCTTAGCAGGGCCCCAATCCGGAATCAGGGAGGAGTCACTTGGGTTTTGACCTTCGTTTTACTGTAGGTCTCCAGGGAGTGAGTGCCTTCTTTCTTTACTTCTCCGTCTATGGAATGGGTATATTCACAGTAGCTTAGCCGGGACTGAGAGATGCTTCTGTGAAAGACCCACTCCGTGAGGCTTGAGACTCTGGCCTAGCTGGGCATCCACCACCTCCCACCTCCTGCGTTGGCGCCATCAAGATGGAAGAGCTGCCTGACCAAGTGACTGCTCCTCTCCTGGGCTGTCACACAGGAAGAGAGGCTGGAGTGCCCTGTGCCACTGCCCAGAGACCTCTGCTGTGGGCAGCCTTGAGCTAGCCAGCTGTGGGGCCCTTGCTGCCACCCAAGGTGTGAGAGGCCCCCTTGGCGACAGACATTCAGCCCCCCACCGCATGACAGGTGCCTTCGTCTGTGTCTGCGGCACCAGAACCCAGCCTCAGCCACTTGGGGGCTCTGCCTGTGCATGCCACCCCCCCGCCCCGCACCCCCAGCCACCCTGCCTGGTATCCAGGCCACACTGTCTCATCCTGGGCCCTGCCCCACTCGCCACCACTCACACCATGGTCATAGAATCATTTTCCTTTGTCTCCAGAACCCACACACCCTCCCCTCCTCCCCGTAGCTCTACCAGCAGGGGAGCCCAGGAGAAGCAGACTAGCCAGGCGGAACGCAGGGGTGTCAGTGAGCCCTGGATGACAGTTATTTATCTGCCCCCACCAAGCCATTACCTACCCCCCCACCCCGCCCCGCCCCGCTGCTGGACCCCCATCCCTTCCCTCTCCGCTAGTAGAGGAGTAAACAAACCCACTCAGGGGGAGGTGTTGGCTGGTCTCTGGATTTTAGAAGCTGCTTGTGAGGACTTGTCTGGGGGTGGGGACAACCCCACTCCATCTCTCCAGAGGCAATAATGCAACTCTATGTTGCAGATTTGGCTCTGTCGTGCGTGTGTGTGCGTGTGTGTGCATGTGTGTGCCTGTGTGCGTGTGTACCTGCGTGTGTGCGTGTGCGTGCATGTGCGTGTGTGTGTGTGCATGTGCGTACGTGTGTGGGTGTGTGCATGTGTTGCGTGTGTACGTGTATGCGCGTGTGTGTGCATGTGTGCATGCATGTGCGTGCATGCATGTGTGTGTGAACCAAGGTTCCAAGGAGGTCTGGACTCTTCCCAAAGAGGAGAGGCTGAGCTAGAAGGGAGCTGAAAGGCCATCTCCTTGGAAGCCTGAACCTGGGGCCCAGGGAGGTGAGGGACCTTCCCCAGGTGACAAAGCCAGCAGGAGGAACCCTCAGGTCTGGGTAAAGTGTACTTTCCACAAGTGACCCCTATTGCTAGATCTCTGTTCAGAGACCCTGTAAACACCACAACCCCATACCCACACTTTTCACACAGTCTTCTCCCATTGGCCCTATGTCTGGGGTGAGAATGGGACCAGCTACACTACTTGTAGTTCCCGATGCAAAATGAAAGTGCAGGCCCCTTGTTCAGACATTATTAAGGCTTTCAAGATAGCGACAGAAGAGCATTAAACCATTAAACCTTCTAACCACAGGGCTCTGTACACAGATCACCAGCCCATGAACCTGGCCCTGGGCTAGGACCTTGTCAATCTATTTCCTCTGCAGCTGTGAAGACCTTGGGTAAAATCCCCACACACATTCTAGAAGCCTCCCTGCCTGGTACCAGGGTTCCATAGCCACTGCCACCCCCACCACAGCAGTCAGCTCAGTGACTCCAGCCTGGGGAGGGGAAACTGAGTCAGCATTCTGGACCTGGGCTGATCCCCAGAATCAGGTGGCGAGCTGGCCTGGGGGTGAGACTGCACCTGTCTCTTGCAGCGGGCAGTGGGCATAGGCTCTAGCATGAAGAGAGAAGCTGCTCAGAGCTAAGGCTCTGCGGATTTCAGAAGAGGCAGGAGCCAGGGTTTTCTGGGAGCTGTACTTCCTCCTTGTTTCCGTATATCTTGTAGAGGGCCTGTGTTGTTCACTTTTGTGGGTATGTAATGTTGTATATGCAAAGAAAGCCTGTGCTGTGTGCCTCATGTGTGCACTGCACACTTGTGTGTGCACTCACAGCCCAAGTGCAAGGTAGGCTGGCTTACTGCCCACTCCCCTACCCACCTGGTGCCACCCCCGTGGGTGTCCAGGCCCCCATGCCCATGGAGGGCATGTTCCTATCCTTGGGCATTCTGCATTGGAATTCAGGCCCTTGCCAGCCTGTTCCGTGCTCGCTAACTATAAACTATCTGATTTATATTCATTAACCAGTACTAGACAGCGGCAGGCACAGGCTAACTTCAGTGGGGGACAGGCCTCCATCGACAGGTGGACTGCATTTCAGTTAATTAAGGGGCTGTAATTGTTGTACAGGACAAGGGTCCCCAGGGCACAGGCTTTGTAAATAACTACCCTCCACTGCCCCCACCTTTCACCCCACCCCTCCCCGCCTACTTTCCTCCTTCACAGGTCTCAGAAGCCAGGTAAAGTAGCTGGGACAGGAAAGAAGACTGTGGAGAGGTGGGAGTGAAGACCTGGTTGGCGGGGGATGCCCCTCCTACATCCTTGCAAGGCTACAATTCCCTGGGGTGGGCTGGGGCTGGGCTGGGGGAGCCCTGGGCAGAGCATGGTGGGCTGGGTCATAAACAATGATCTTACTGCCCAAACTGGCTGAGTCCAGGAAGGCAGGACCCACCTCCACACACGCACTCTTGCACGCAGGAACAAACACAGACACACAAAGGTACACATGCACACCTCTCCAGATCTAGTTATTTATGCTGTTTTCCCCTCACCTGCCTACATACCCACCCTGTGAGCTCAGCCCTGGCACCTGGGCACTGGGCAGGCTTTCTGGCATCTGTTCGGCACAGGGAGACTTCAGGGGGTCAGGCAGAAACTAAACAAGAAGGAGCTGTCATCTCACCAACCTAGAAAAATGAAGGGAGGCACCTACCTCTCATAAGAATTGATGAGGGAGGCTTGTGGCCTTTGGAACTCTCAAATAGGGTGACTTCTGGTCTGATAGGGGATGGGAGGGCCATCCAGGGGCTCCCACTTTGATAGCGAAGAGGGTCCCTCCTCTAAAGAAATTCCTGACATAGAGCGAGGGACGGGAGGTGGTCTGGGAAGACAGGAGTCTGATGACGGAGGTACACACTAAAGACGCCCACAGCACCAGTGTGAACAGGTATCATTCAAGTGTGTGGATGGTCCTGGAGAATGCCACAGAGCAGGCAGGGCCTCCGAGGAGACGAGAATCTTGACCAGAGCTTTAAATTAAGGGATGATCCAACTATGGCAGCGGAGGAGGCAGCTTTGCCCCAGGACTGTTGCTTCCAGCTCTTCTTTGCACAGATGCCTCCAAGTGCCCACTGTGTGCCAGAGGCAAATAAAACTGCCAGGTTCCCTGCCCTCCCAGAGAGCAAAGAGTGAGAGACCACGTGTGCACGCATGTGTATACATACCTGTATGTGTGCAGGTCATGTGTATGTATGCCTATGTGCTCTGAGCATATTTTCCAAATATCAGTTGAGGGTCTGCTACATTTCAAACACCCTATGGACACAGGACAAAACAGCAAGCATGACATTCACCTGTGTACATGTGTGTGGGCATGTGATACGTGTCTGTGTAGTGTGCACATGTGTCTGTGTGTGCGTGTGCAGGCCCTGCAACGGAGCTTTCGCCAGCCCACTCAGGACTTGAACCAAGTCTCCTACCTTGCAATCATTCTCCTGGAATTACTATCCTTGGATATTTTTGAACCTGTGACTACTTCTGCTTGCACTGCCCACCTCCACCCCTTGCTGTGGGCCAAGGGAGCCTATATGTGTTTTGTTTTCTGCCTAAAAATGTATCTGCTGATCTTGAGTCACTGAATAATCACCCTAAGTCAAATCAGAATTGAGTTTTGTTAGGCTCAGGTGGGTGGATCGCTTGAGCTCAGGAGTTCAAGACCAGCCAGGGTAGCATGGTGAAACCCCATCTCTAACAGAAATACAAAAAAAAGCAGCCGGGCTTGGTGGCGCATGCCTGTGTTCCCAGCTACCCAGGAGGCTGAAGTGGGAGGATCACTTGAGCCTGGGAGGTGGAGGTTGCAGTGAGCTAAGATCACACCATTGCACTCCAGCCTGAATGACTGACTGAGACCCCATCTCAAAAAAGAGAGAAAGAAAAAAGAACTGTTTTTTGTGAACTTCACTCGCAGTTCAGGGTATCTGCACCCATCCTCCACCCTGCCCCCCACCCACACCCCATCCCAGGCATAAATCGCAAAGTTGGCCACAACCCTTACAGCGACTTTCGACAAGGTGCTCTGGAAGTAGGCATTTAACTTGGATCTATCTAGACAGAGTCTAGCAAAGAAGAGAAAATAAGTTTCCATGTCTATCCCCCGCCCCACCCCCATTTCCACCTATCAGCCCTTATCTAAAGGAAAAATTAGAGAGTTATTAGGAATTTGATTAGGGGTGAGCAGGTTGGTAATGAAATTACATTTCAGCTCTTTCTCAGCCCCTGTAAGTATTAAGTGGTTTGATCAATGGTGTTCATACAATTAATTCTGCCTGATTGCAGAGAGTGACTCTATCGACAGCCGGGTTTCCCACCTCGAACTTTGTCTCTTAGCCAAACGTGCCTTCGGGAAGCTTGGAGGGTGCAGGTGGGGGCCCCTGTCAGTGAAGCCCTTTGCTGAATGCCACCTTCAAGCTCATATGGATTATTTTTTCTTTAAGCTTAAAGGAAATTTAGGAATCACATCAAAATTAAATTATTGAGTTCTAGACCAGGAGAGACGAGATCACACACCCTCCTGCACCAGTTTCTTCATTTGACCAGCGTTTCTTGAGCACCCACACCAGCTCTGAGACCTAATCCTCTCCAGGCTCCCTTCCTGGGACAGGGCAACACAGCCATCTTCCCCTAGCCTCTCCTGGGTGTTATCCCTGGCTATCAAGAGAGCCTTCCCTGTATCTCACTCAAATCTCTGCTGCTTTAATTTAATCCACCGACTCTCGTTGGGTCTTTTAGGGATGTAGAAGGCTGCTTCATATGGCCCTTCATGAAACAACACCCCCGACAACAAAGGTTGTATTCTTGAAGCTGGGGAACCTCCAATTTCTGGGACTCTGCCCACAATGACATATTTCTTTCCGTCACCCACCCTGTGTCCCTGTGGCCTCTGGACACATTGCTTCAGCAGGGGTGGGGTGGCACTTTGTAGGTTTGTGGCGACTCTTTACATAATTCCAGAGTAAGCCCTGCTGCTCAGGAAGCTTCCCTGGAGAGGTTACATTTCCTGGAGGGGAAGGCTGTTAGGGGTGTGGGTGACCATGAGATGCTGGGAAGGCTGAAGGGGCAAAGAGAGGACACAGATAGACTGAGACTGGGAACCACGAAACTTTCTAATATTGTATTATTTGAACCTTCACTGAAGGACATGTGCTGTTGTTTATTTGTCTGTTTGTTTTTTAAGATGAAGTTTTGCTCTTGTTGCCCAGGCTGGAGTGCAATGGGAGGATCTTGGCTCACTGTAAACTCTACCTCCCGGGTTCAAGCGATTCTCCTGCCTCAGCCAGTAGCTGGGATTACAGGCATGCACCACCCTACCCAGATAATTTTTGTATTTTTGGTAGAGTTGGGGTTTCACCGTGTTGACCAGGCTGATCTCGAACTCCTGACCTAAAGTGGCCCACCGCCTCGGCCTCCCAAAGTGCTGGGATTATAGGCGTGAGCTACCGTGCCCAGCCAGAACGTGCTGTTTTAAGATGTGGATTCATGAAATTCTCCCAACTGCCCGATGAAATAGATGCTCTTTTATGCTCCTAAAGCAGATAAGAAAACGGAGGGATAGATGAGTTAAGGTCTCCTCCAACCTAGTAAGTGGTGGGACTTCCTGAGAGGAAGAGTGGAAAGGGAACCTGCTTTCCTTGCTCAGCTGGGGCTCACCCTAATGCCCCAAAGACCTCCTCCACCTTTGGGCAGCCCTTCTCCAGCAGAAACAGAAGTGAGGGCTTGCCAGCAGCCCTGGGGCACCCCAGTCACTCACCCTTACCTGCGCTTTTTTTCTCAATGTCAAGAAGGCCTCCTTGCTAGCATATCTGCCTCAGTATCCCAAGAATTCCTGTTGGGTCACTTGTCCAGTTCTGACAGCAATGGGCAAATTGTAACATCCAATGCCAGCGCTGCAGCACCAGGGGTTAACAGAGGAACCCCTTGAAGGAAAAGGATTCTGTGCTCCTAACTAGCAGGATGTACTGAGTGAAGAGGCCAACTGGCCAAAGCCTTGGGTGAGGGGCTTGTGGGCCAGGGAGGTGGCCTTTTACCTGTTTGGCCAAAAAGAAGGGAAAGGAAATGGTTATAAGGCCCTCTTTCTTTTTGTAAATGTTTACTCCAGATTCTCAGCCCAACAACCATAATGACCAACAATGAAGCATGCAGTCCACTAATTTTCATCCATTCATCTTATAGGATATATGCATCAACAATACATAAAAACATAGGCACATGTCCATGATATAGTGTTAAAGGGGAAAAGCAGTATGAGCCCAACTTGGAGTCTGTGTGTGTGTGTGTGTGTGTGTGTGTGTGTGTGTGCGCGTGAGGCCCTGTGCTGAGCAGTAGCCACAGGTAATCTTGTGTACCCCTGTTCGTAATCCTGTGGGGTGATAGCATAATTATCCTCTTTTTATAAATGGGGAAACTGAGGCTGAGAGCATTTAGGTCACTCACCCAACACAGCTAATACCTGGTAAAGTCACGATTCACATGTGCTCTTAATCATTGCCTTATAATGATCCTGTATCCTTGGCCAATCCTTTTCACCTTACAAAGGATATTCGTGTTTATGATTTCAAATAAAAATATTCACAGCCACTCCAACAAGCATCTAATAATGAGCCCATTTTAGAGATTAAGAAACTGACACTCAAAGAAGTTAGGAGACTTGCCCAAAGTCACAGAGCTAATCAACTGTTGCAAAAGAAGGACTCCAACTCAGGTCTGTACAGATGCAAAACCCTGCACTATTTCAGAGAAAAATAGAAACAGAGATAAGAGAAGCCAACATGGACAGACATCAAAACAGACACAGCAGAGACAGAGTGACACACAGCCTGAAAAAGGGAAAAAAAGCATTTCCCTCCCTCTGCCTGTCTCTACTCAAATGCAGAGGGGAAAATATCATTTTAAGCAGGTGCCTTGCAGCCTTGCATTTAAGAAAAACGCATGGAATTAAGTTCCTAAAAAGGTAGGAAAGCTGAACCAAACCATCACTGGGGCTTGAAATGAGATTTTATGTTTTCCCTATTCTGGGCACTGAGCCGTCAATGGTGCCACGTGCCAGGCTAGTGAGGACCACTTGTTCGTTAGGGGTACCAGGGGATGGTGGCTGTCCGCCCAGCCTGGCCCAGCCTGGCCCTACCCTGGTGGGTGCCAGCTGCTTGCCAGGCCCATGAGAGGGTTGGGCTCAGAGAACACCTGTGTGGGTGTTCTAACTCCTTGCTGCCCAAAGTGTGGTCCACAGACCAGCAGTACAGCACCCCAGGGGAGCCTGCTAGGGATGCAGAGTGTCAGGCCCTGCCTTCTGAATCAGAATTTGCTTGAACAGGAGCTGGGAGTGACGTGTCTATCCATCACAGTTTGAGAAACCCTGCTCCAGCTGAAATCTGAAAAGAGGAAGGACAGGCCCAGGTCTCAAAGGCCTTCCTCCCGCTGCCTGGGGCCCCCAAATCTGAGCGGCGCACACAGACTCTGGGAGAGCTGAGGCCTGAGAGGTTGTGGCTGTGGGTACAGGGGAAGGTGGGAGGGAGGGGCCTTCCCCCACCTGAACTGCTTGAGGCGCCTGCCAGCCTCAGCCAGAGAGGGTGGGGGTGGGGGTTTGTCTTTGTCAGCAGATCTTTCTGGTAGGAGAGTCAAGGTGCCCCTAGTTCCCTCCCCTCCCACGTGAGTGTGAGAACGCTGTGTGCAGGGATGGAGGGCAGGTGGCCAAGGGCACCAGGTTCACCTTCCCCAGAGGCACCATGGTCTTGATGCCCGTCCCTGCCCCTGCTGGCCCCAAAGGGTCAGACCGAGGAGCTGCTTCTCTCCAGAATAAGGAGGACCTCAGTCCCTCTGCTCCCTGCCCCAGGCCTGAGAGTTTCCCTTCCTCCTTCCTCCGCCGACTCCTACTAAAGCACCTGCTCCCCACAGCCTCCTCCAGGACACCTGGCTCACAGGGCCAGTCCCTCTGACCATCAGAACCTAGCAGGTGTGGCCTTCGGCTGGCTCCCAGCACACAACTCCTTAAAGAGACCCTGAGAACAGAGACTCAGAGGCCATGAGTGGCTGTGATGGCGAAGAGTTGTGCCCATGGTCTCAAGCCTGGGGAAGGGGCTGGGCTGCCACTTTTAGCTCACAGAAGTAGTCATCATCTAGTTCGAGAGGTTCTCAGTCCTGGCTGCACACCTAACTCATTTAGAGAACTTTCGAAAGTACAGAGGCATGCGGCCCAGCCCAGACCAATAGAATCAGAATTTCTTGGGATAGGTGGGAGTGGTAGGGGAAGAGGCATTTGTCTTCTTTAAATACTCAAGTGCAGCCACCTAGCCAGTCTACCCACCTCACTGCCGATGAGGAAGTGTGGCCCAGGTAACAACAATACAGCTGCACCCCATAGGAAGGGCTTACTCAGTGTCTCACAGCACAGCCCAGACTACAACCTGCCCAGGCAGCGCAACAGACACCAGGCACTGACAGGTCTACCAAGCTCAGGCGCAGGTGCAGAGGGAGTACAAAGGCCCCTTCCCAGCCGGGCTGGGAGAGCCCTCCTCCCTCAGCCTCCAGCTGGGAGTTGGTGGGGCAGGGGCAAAAACTGGTGCAAAGAGCTCTGCCCCTCAGCTGCTGTGTGACCTCAGCCAAGTTGCTTAACCTCACAGACTCTCCATTTGCTCAAGTATTTAAGAATGCCTAGGCTGGGCACGGTGACTCATGCTTGTAATCCCATCACTTTGGGAGGCTGAAGCAGATGGTTTGCTTGAGCCTCAAGAGTTCAAGACCAGCCTAGCCAACAAGGTGAGACCCCATTAAAAAAAAAAGTCAAAAATTAAAAAAAAAAAAGCCTAAATTGCAGACTTTCGGTAAGGATGCCTAACACATGGAGGTGCTCAGTAAAATGTTGCTGAAGGAATGAATGAATGAGTGAATGAATGAATGAATGAGTGAATGAGTGAATGAATGAATGAGTGAATGAGTGAATGAATGAATGAGTGAATGAATTTACACCTGGTGCTCTACTTTGACACCTAAGATCGGGAAACCAAACCCAAGAGAGTCCTGCTCATCCAAGGTTCCTGAGCTTTTGAAACTTCTGGGAAGGGTGGAGGCAGGTGAGGTGGTGGAGGCTTTTCTTCAAGGGGCAGAGTTTATCCACATGGTTGAGGCCCCAGGATTTCAGGCCAAGGCGTGGGAAACTTGACAAGAATAAGTGTGTCCTTCATCTTCCAGCGGCCTCCTGCCCCGGCCTGTTCCACTGGAAGAGCTTTAGCTCCACTGTGGGAGGGGCTGGACTACTCTCCTTCCCTTCACCCCTCTCCCCTGCTGGGGCCCAGCCAAGGCACAGCGCGGGGGTGGGGGGTCACCTAGATGCAGTGTTGAGCTGTGCTGAGATCACAGAGATGCTGGCGCGGCTGACCCCTGGGGTGCAGGAACTGGCAGCGCCCCCCATCCTGGGCCAGCAGGGGTGAGTCTAGCCAGCAGAGGGAGGTGGGACCCTCTCAGACTGGTGACAGGTAATTGGCCTACTCTGAGAGCTGGAGGAAGGAAGAGGGTGAGGGGAGTCCCTCTCAGCCTCCCTCCTGCCTACAGGCTCCAGCAGCACCCATGGGCACCGCCCATACCACATTCCCAGTCAATTTCCTGAACCTCAAACTTCTCCCTGCTAGCTCTGCTTCACCGCTGCTGCCGCTCCCCTTTCCATGAAAGCTGCACCTCCTGGATTTCCTTCTCTCATTCCTCCCCCCACCCCATGTCACCATAACCTCCGGTGCCGGTGCTGGCTCCCCTCCGTGGGGTGCCCTGGGCCACAGGTGAGACCGGGCAGGGCCCACCACAATTGGCTCCTTTATCACTGCTTTGATGAGACAAAAACCCTGCGGATGGATGAAGAGATCAAACTAACCGTCCTGGGGCAGGAAGGTGGGGTAGGGAGTATCTCCCAGGATCTGAGCTGCCATCCTGGGGCAGGAGGGGGCACTGGTTTGTTTTCCTTCCTTGAGCAGGTACAAAAGAAGCCACATTCACGTAACCCTGCCTTTGAAGCTTGCCTTTGAAATCTGGACTCCTGGGTCTGTGCCAATCAGGCCCAGACGCCAGTACCCCCACCCCACCCAGCCCACTCAGCCCTCCATTGATGCTGCAGTTGGGAGATCAAAGGGTCCTGGCCCCCTCCTCACCTGAAGTCTAGGACCCTGGGTTGGGGACAACTGTCAGGACCAGAGCACAAACACAGATTTCAGAGGACTCCCAAACATGCATCGGGCATCTATTATCTGCCAGATGTCTTCACACATAGGGATGGCCTCATTCTTCCTCACAGTCATCATTGTGTCCTGGGTCCCCTTTTACAGATGAGGACACGGAGGCTTTGAGAAGTTAAATAACCTATCCCAGTAGTTAGGATTGGAAACCTTCCGATCCCATATCCAGGGCTGTCTCCCCACTGGAGAGTCCTACCACCCTAAAGAGAAGACAATTCCCAATTCCTGGCCACTAATCCAGTGATATGCTTCAGTCCGCAAAGCCAGCATCTCATAAAACGTCGCCCCTTTCTTATTTCAACGTGCGCTAATTTCCTTCCTCCCCTCCTCTTCACAGGTAGGATGGACAGGCAGCCAGGTGTCTGCCAGGGAGCTCAGTTTTCTTCTTCTCCAGGCACATCAACTCTCACTTTGCCTTTGAATTTCTGGCAGCAAGGACTGGAGAACCCACAGAACAGGAATACCCCTGTCTCAACACTGAGTTCCCCCTTAGAATAATGGAGGGGTGGTAGGGGCCAGCCCCCATGCGCTCCTTCCCAGGTGGAGAGAGGCAGAGCGGAAGACCTCCCCCACTCCAGCGCAGGCTGAAGCCTCTGTCACCTGAACCCTCACCTGGCCCTCCGCTTCCTCTCAGCACCCCATCTCCTGGCCGCTTACCTCGCTCCAGACAACCTGATCAAAGGCAAGAACCTGGGAGCCATTAATGATCTCCTCCTCTCCTCCTCCGCCTCTCTCCCCTCTCCACCCCTTCCCCTGCTCTTCCTGCCAGGACATAAATAAGCAATTCTCCCGGGCGGAACAGGCGTGGCAGAGGCAGAAGGACCCTTCTACATCAGCTCCCTCAAGCTGAGACCCAGAGAGATAGTGACTTTCTTATGGCCACACAACAAATTAGTGGCTGAGCTGGGACCAGGGTAATATTTAGATCTTTGGAAGCCTAAACAATGAAGAAATTTTGTTTTCTCCCGCTGATATAGGTGTTTCAAAATAGAAACAATATGAAGCTGTGAAACAGAGCTAATAAATATCAGCTCTGTCCAATAGAACTTTCTAAATTTTTCATGTGTGTGTGTGTGTGTAGACAGGGTTTAACCATGTTGCCCAGGCTGTTCTCAAACTCCTGGCCTCCCAAATAGCTGGGACTACAGGCATGAATGCCACCGCTCGTGGCCCAATAGAACGCTCTGCAATGATGGAACTATTCTGTATTTGTACTGTCCAATATGATAGTAACTAGCCACATGTGGCTATGAAGCACTTGAATCGTGCCCAGTGTGACTCAGGAGATAAACTTAATTTCATTTCACTTTAATTGACATTTATATAGCCGCATGATATGTGATCATGCTAAGTTGACATCACTTCTTTCTAGATTTTTTGCTTGCAAAATTCTGGTTAAGTTTATCAAAACTGAACTTTTTGGTTTGGGTTTTGTTTTTTTGGAGGGGGGAGGGACCCTAAACCACTAAGTCTTAACTATTGAGAAAACATGTCCTCTCTAGAACCCATATTTGGGTCTGTAAAAAGGAACAAATACAAAGAAAAATCCTATGGGATGATGTCAAAAGAGAGATAGATTACATCGTGGCGGGCATGGGAGGGCCACCTAAGGGGGACTTTCATGGAGAGGGCAGTGAAGTAGACCTTGGAGGATCCGGGCAGGGGAGGTTAGTGAGAGGTAGGGGCATCCAGGCAGTGGAAACAGCATAAGCAAAGGCACAGAGGCAGGAAAGATAGAGTATGCTCAGGGTCAGTGTCTAGTGCACAGGATATATGTAGGATCAGCAGGACATGAAGATTTCCCAGTTTTCTGAGCTGCAAAGATTTCCCAGTTTTCTTTCACCTTGTGCTCAGATCATTGTCCAGTTTTCCCAGAGGACCAATGGTGGCCGTCTCTGCTGGAGGAAGAGAAGACCCATCTGAAGCCATGGGAAGGGAAGGGGCAAGAAAGGAAGGCAGCCAGTGTCAATGGGCCATGGTGATGGAGGGGCTCTGGGTCTCCCCATCCACATTCTAACTCTGGAAGAGACACCCAGAGGGTGGGACAGATGCTGAGGCCAGGTAGAATCAGAACCCAAAGGACCTTAGAGCCCCAAACTCCCCACCTAAGTCTGTGCCCCAAGGTCCTCAGTAACAGTATCCTGTTCCAGGTGGTTGGGAGTGAGAAGATATCCCCTCCATGGTCAGGTTAAACATTTATAAATTAAGGATCCAAAAAACACAAACTATAAATTAATATAAGAAAGAAAAAATAGTGACTGCAATATGGGAAAAGATAGGAACAGGCAATTCAAAAAAGAGGAAACCCAAATAAATGATCAACAAATAGAGAAAGATGATCCACTCCATTAGTTCAGGACAGTGCAATTAAAACAGCAGTGTGAGGCCAGGCACAGTGGCTTATGCTTGTAATCCGAGGACTTTGGGAGGCTGACGCAGGAGGATCACTTGAACCCGAGTTTGAGACCAGCCTGGGCAACAAAGGGAGATTCCATCTCTACAAAAACTCAAAAAATTAGCTGGGCGTGGTGGCATGCACTTGTGTTCCCAGCTATACAGGAGGCTGAGGCAGGAGGACCACTCGAGCCCAGAAGGTTGAGGCTGCAGTGAGCCATGATGGCATCACTGTACTCCTTCCTGGGTGACAGAGTAAGATCCTGGCTCAAAAAAAAAAAAAAAAAAACAAAAACCCCAAGAAACAGACAGCAACACAAGAACGACAAACAACAGTGTGACATCATTTCAGATCCATTAGACTGGCAAACTGAAAGTCTGACGATACCCATGTATTGGTGTGGACGTAGAACAACCTAACACTGTTGGAAGGAGATTATTCAAGAGTTGGGAGATTAGGCCGGGTGAAATGGCTCACGCCTGTAATCCCAGCACTTTGGGAGGCCGAGGCAGGTGGATCACCTGAGGTCAGGAGTTCGAGACCAGCCTGGCCAACAAGGTGAAACCCCATCTCTACTAAAAAAAAAAATAAAAATTTATTTTTATTATGGTGGTGTGCCCCTGTAATCCCAACTACTTGGGATTACAAGACTGTGGCAGGAGAATTGCTTGAACCCGGGAGGCAGAGGTTGCAGTGAGCCATGATCGTGCCATTGCACTCCAGCCTGGGCAACAGAGTCAGACTCCATCTCAAAAAAAAAGAGTTGGGAAATTATAAATGGATACACCCTCTTTGGAGAGCCATTTGGCAATATCTCAGAAACTGTTAATGTTTGTACGTATTGTTGTATTGATAGTTCCCAGTGACTCACACCTTCCAGTATCCACGTCCTCACACATTAACTCTAGGGATGGCCATTGACTTGCTCTGACCAATGGGTTATTAGCAAGAGTAAGGCAAGCAGAGGCTTAATAAGCACTTTGCACAGGGTGGCTTGTTCTCTGGGACACTACTTCTTAGAATCCTGAGGCCACCATGTTGTGAGAAAGCCCAAGCTAGCCGCATGGAGAGGCTATCGAAAAGAAAACTGAGGAACACATCTGACAGCTAGAACCACAGGCCCACGCATAGGGTCCCGTTGAGCTGCTTCAGATGTTTAAGTCACCCAGGATGCAACCCCAGACATTGTGGAAAGAGACAAGCTGTTCTCACTGTGCCCTGCCGAATTTCTAATGCATAGAATTGTGAGCAAATAGAAGGGATGTTGTTTTAAGCCACTAAGTTTGGGGGAGGTCTATGATGCAGCAATAGATAACTGATAGACCTGTCACCCAGCAATTTCATTCCTAGTTATATGCCCCAGAGAAACCCTTGTATGTGTGCACAAAGAGAAATATACAGGGATGCTTATTATAGCCTATCAAGAAATGAAGGACAAATTGAGGCATATTTCTTCATTCAATAAATATGGCACAGAGCTACTTGTAGGAACAAGAATAAAACCCAAAAACATACTGAACAAAACACCCAAGGTGCAGAAGTTTATATATGGGATGCCACTTATATAAAGTTTAGAAGTATGCAAACTCATACAATATAATGCTTACGTATTTATAATCTGTAGTTAAAACTTGCATCAAAAGAATAAATCCTAAATTCAGGAGGGTGATTACCTCTGGGAAGGGAGGGAGGAGAATGAGTCTTGGGGGAAACATACAGGGGGTTTCCATCATACTTATAATGTTTTGTTTCTTTAAAAAGATATATATCTGAAGCAAAGATAGCAAAATGCTAAGATTTAACAAAGCTGAGTAGAAGATACATGGGTGATCATTATATTATTGTTTATAGTTTTCTTTGTATGAGAAATATTTCATAATAAAAAAGCTAATTTAGAAAATAAGAACGGGGTGGGAGGCTCTGAATGGTGACAGACAATTTAAGAAGATATAGAGACCGGGCATGGTGGCTCACACCTGTAATCCCAGTGTTTTAGGGGGTCAAGGCAGGAGAATTGCTTGAGGCCAGGAGTTTGAGAGCAGCCTGGGCAACATAGTGAGACCCCATCTTGACAAAAAATTAAAAAATATTTGCTGGGCGCAGTGGTGTATACCTGTAGTCCCAGCTACTCAGGAGGCTGAGGCAGGAGGATCCCTTGAGCCTGGGAGGTCAAGCCTGTAGTGACCTATGATTGCACCACTGCACTCCAGCCTAGGCAACAGAGAACAGCGCCAGACCATGTCCCCCCAAAAAAAGAGAGAGAGAGGGAGAGAGACACAAATGGAGAGAAGGTTCTGATGCCTCCTAGGCCTAAACCCAGGCACCACCTCCCCAGGCCAGCTGCATTCCTGCCCATGGTTTCTTAAGTATTCTGTGTATCCTTATCATATAAACCCCTCTTTCATTAAAAAAAATTTTTTTTTAATTTTTTAAGACTGGGCTCAGTGGCTCACGCCTGTAGTCCCAGCACTTTGGGAGGCCGAGGTGGAAGGATCACTTGAACTCAGCAGTTCCAGACCAGTCTGGGTGACATAGTGAGAACCTGTCTTTACAAAAAAAGAAAAAATTAGCTGGGCATGGTGGTGCACACCTGTAGTCTGAGCTACTTGGGAGTCTGAGGTGGGAGAATCGCTTGAGCCGGGGAGTTTGAGGCTGTAGTGAGTTGTGATCATGCCACTGCACTCCAGCCTGCGCAGCAGAGAGAGGCTCCATCTCTAAATAAATAAATAAATAAATTTTTAAAAAGACTGTAAATAGTCAAGTTGCTTCAGCCTGGTGGAGAGGGTGCAGAGAAGCAGAGTGGTACTAGAGCATGCAACCAGGGCTTAGAAGACCTGAGCTTGAGTCAACTCCTTCACAACTCTCTGCAGGACCTTTTGCAAATTGCTGTCTCTCTCTGACCCTCCATTTCCTTCTCTGAAATCTGAGGCTGGTGGATTAGATGAAGGAGAGTCAACAGACAGAGCTATCAGAGCCAACAAGGAGCTCCTCCACACCCAGCCAAGGTGACTTCATCTCCATAAGGGAAGGGAGAGCAGGCATTTGAAGAAGCCCCTGGGGATTGTGCTACCCACACCTGGCTGAGATGATCTCTCAGGACCCTCCACTCCCAGCATTCTAGGAGTCCATGATGTGGCGGGGTCTACCTAAATTCTGTTAACATTGTTAGCAAAATTAATAGGACACATCTGAGGGATCTGATGGACATACTCTCCCCGCCTCTCAGGCTAGCCAGTCCATCCATCCATCCACCCATTCATGCATCCACCCATCCATCCATCCACCCATCCATCCACCATCCATCTGTCCATCCATCCATTCAGGAAACATTTATTGAGTGCCTACTATAGGCAGGTACTGTGCAAAGTACTGGAAATTCAGCAGTGAACAAAATAGATGTAATAATAATTAACACATTAATCTCACGCTCACTTCTAAGCACTTTACTTATTTATTCTGAAAACAGTTATATAAAGTAACCACTCTAAGGCTGGGTACAGTGGCTCATGCCTGTAATCCCAGCACTTTGGGAGGTCAAGGGGGCAGATCTTCTGAGCTCAGGAGTCCAAGACCAACCTGGGCAACATGTTAAAACCCTGTCTCTATCAAAAATACAAAAAATTAGCTGGGTGTGGTCGTGCACACCTGTAATCCCAGCTACTCGGGAGACTAAGGAACGAGAAATGCTTGAACCTAGGAGATGGAGGCTGCAGTGAGTCAAGATCATGCCACTGCACTCTAGCCTGGGTGACAGAGTGAGACCCCATCTCAAATAAATAAATAAAAAATAAAGTAGCCACTCTATAAGTAGCCATCTGTGTTACAGATGGGGAAACTGAGGCACAGAATGGTTAAATATCTTGTTCAAGACCACCAGAGTAAGTGGCACAGCCAGGCTAGGAACCCCAAGTTCCCACATGGCTAAGCCCTCTGCAGGCAGCTGTCCACCCTTCAGGCCTCTCTTCCCAGGCCTTCTCCCCCACAGCTATCTGTGCATATATGGGCCATTCTCTCATCTCCTGCCTCCACCTCCCACAAAGCCAAGGACTTTCCTTGTGGCAGGGAGGAGGGACTGTGAACCACACAGGAGCCAGGTGGGCCCGCTACGTGCTGGAGGGAAAGAACGTGGTCCCTCACATTTGTGAAGTTAGAGAGGGCCACTCAGCTCTTGCAAGGAGATGGGAAGGGCAGAACCATCTTTCCAATTGATCCTGGTGGGAGTCCTGGGAGGTGGGTGGGATGGGACCACGTAAGACCTGGAAGTCATCAGTCATAGTAACTACCACTTATTGAGTGTCCAGCACTGATTCAAGGGAGTTCTTGACAAATATCTCATT
Organism: Homo sapiens; assembly: GCF_000001405.40. Classification (NCBI taxonomy): domain Eukaryota; kingdom Metazoa; phylum Chordata; class Mammalia; order Primates; family Hominidae; genus Homo; species Homo sapiens. Next base: position 36,833,341 of record NC_000017.11, read on the forward strand.
TAATCTTCATAAAGCTCCCTTAAAGAAAGGGTAAACATTACTATTCCCATTTTACAGATGAGAAAACTGAGTTTAGAGAGGCTAGGTAATTTGCCCAAGTTGCTAAGCTGAAATTTGAACCCAGGTTTTTTAACTTATTTCATCACTCAACCAATGTTAATATTTGCGGGAGCCAGGTGCTGTTCTAGGTGCTGAGGACAGCAGTGAGCAAGGCAACCAGGTTCCTGCCCTCATGGGGCTTCCATTCCAGCAGGAGGATGCAGGGAGTAAACAAGTAAACAAATGACAATCATCATCTCAAGTATGACAAGTGTTATGAAGACAATAGAAGTGGGACTTATGATTGAGAATGCCTGAGAGGCCTCCATTCCTTAGCAATACAATGGACTGGACACCCTGCAGACAACCTTCCAATACAAAACACCTAGAAATGCCGGGTAAAAAAATATAACAAACATCTTACCACAGGTACAGTCAAGTGGCAAAAAATTGAGGGAAATCTCCAGGAGTCAAAACAAAGAAGACTGCTCCTGTCTTCACCTGGACTCGAGTGAAAATGAAAAAGCCACCAGGCGTGGTGGCAAGTGCCTGTAGTTCCAGATACTGCGGAGGCTGAGGTGGGAGGATCTCTCTCTCTTTTCATTAAAAAAAAAAATTGTAGAGATGGGGTCTCACTATGTTTCCCAGACTAGTCTGCAACTCCTGGACTTAAGCAATCTTCCTACCTTGGCCTCCCTAAGCAGTCTTCCTACCTTGGCCTGCCAAAGTGTTGAGATTACAAGCGTGAACCACTGTGCCTGGCCAGGAGGGTCTTTTGATCCCAGGTCAAGGCTGCAGTGAGTTATGATCGCACCACTGCACTCCAGCTTGGATGACACAGCAAGACCACATCTCTAAAATGAAATTTTTTTAAAGAAAATGTAGACCAGGTGAGGTGGCTCACACCTGTAATCCCAGCACTTTGGGAGACTGAGGCGGATGGATCACGAGGTCAGGAGTTCGAGACCAGCCTGGCCAACATGGTGAAACCCTGTTTCTACTAAAAATACAAAAATTAGCCGGGCATAGTGGTGGGTGCCTGCAGTCCCAGCTACTCGGGGGCCTGAGGCAGGAGAACTGCTTGAACCCGGCAGGCGGAGGTTGCAGTGAGCCAAGATCGCGCCACTGCACTGTAGCCTGGGCAACAGAGCAAGACTGTCTCAAAAACAAACAAACAAAAAACAAAAACAAACAAACAAACAAAAAAAACAAAACCACACATATGAAGAAAAAGAAACTGTAGCTGGGTGCAGTGGCTCATGCCTGTAATCCCAGCACTTTGGGAGGCCGAGACAGGCGGATCACAAAGAGTCAGCAGTTCGAGACCAGCCTGGCCAACATGGTGAAACCCCGTCTCTACTAAAAATACAAAAATTATCTGGGCATGGTGGTAGGCACCTGTAGTCCCAGCTACTCGGGAGGCTGAGGCAGGAGAATCGCTTGAATCTAGGGGGCGGATGTTGCAGTGAGCCAAGATCGTGCCACTTTACTCCAGCCTGGGTGAAAGAGCAAAACTCCATCTCAAAAAAAAAAAAAAAAGAAAAAAGAAAGAAAGAAAAAGAAAATATAAAAGCCTCTCCTGGGAATTCTATAACCATCGATCTGTCTTCATATGGGGTGGGTCTCAGCTGTACACCACCCATGGAGAGCAGAAAAACCCAAGGCAATAAGTGAACTAAAACAGACCTACATTGGTAACAGCCTTAGGATTGAGATAAATACAGATCCTCTCTGGAGAGACAAACCTTCAATACAGGTGTCTATGACTCTCCTACATAAAGCTCTTTGAGCCTGAGCCCGCATTTCAAAACCACACATCACCCAAGGAAATACACAACCATGAGTGAGCGTCTGCCAAAACAGTGAGCACCCGATGGGGAGCCTGTGGATTTCATATTGTGGAGTCATCAAACAGAGAACCCCAAAAATTTGTCTATCTCCCATGTTTAAAAAAGAAATGACATGAGATTGGTGGTCAGGGAAGAGGTTTGGAGGAAGACTCTTGAGATAGGACTTGAATGAAGAGATGGAGCCAGCCATGCAAAGAGACGGAGAAGAGTATCCCAGGCAGAGGACACAGCAAGTGCAAAGGCCAAGGCCAGACTGAACTTGGCCTGTTGAAGAACAGAAGGAAAACAGTGTTCTGGGCAGTGTGGGTGATTTTAAGGGAGGGCAATACAGGATGAGATGCCAGAGATAGGAAGGGGCCTGACCACAGTGATAGGCCCTGTAGGCCCCGTGAGAGGCTTTTATGGGAAGTGGTGTGGGGGACTTTAATCAGGAACTTGACGTAAGTTGATCTGCATTTGTATGTATTTTATTATTATTATTTTGAGACAGAGTCTCTCTCTGCCACCCAGGCTAGAGTGCAGTGACGTGATCTCGGCTCATTGCAACCTCCACCCCTCAGGTTCAAGTGATTCTCGTGCCTCAGCCTCCCAAGTAGCTGGGATTACAGGCACCTGCCACAACACCCGACCTATTTTTGTATTTTTAGTTGAGATGGGGGTCTCACTGCATTGGCCAGGCTGTTCTTGAACTCCTGACCTCAAGTGATCTGCCCTCCTCAGCCTCCCAAAGTGCTGGGATTACAGGCATGAGCCACTGCGCCCGGCCATTAATCTGCATTTTTTAAAGGGTCCCTTTGGTCACCATGTAGGGATGGATTGTAGGGAGGAAGCATGGTGGCAGGGTCCCAACTATTCCGATCTTCTCTGGAAGAAGACCCTCTTTGCCCAGAGAGGGGTCCCTGAGGAGTGTGTGTGTGAGGTGGAGATTGGTAGATGGGAAGAGACCATTGATCAGCGAACTCAGCCAGAGAGGAAGAAATAAGAAGCTGAGCCTGGTTAGCCCACTGTGACTCAGCCCCATTGCCCAAATTAGTGATTTCATTGATTCACTGATTCATTCAGTAAAATGCTATTGAGTGTCTCCCAAGGTGCCAGATTCTAGGGACACACTGGGGCTGGAGGGTGAGAGGCCTGGTCCCTGTCCTGAAGGAATTTGCAGTCACCGACAATGACAACCTGTGGGGAAAGTTCTGGGCCAGTGGGAGGGGAGAGGAAAGGTGAGTGCCCATTCTCAGGGAGGGAGCAGCGTCAGGAACAGCTTCTCAGACGGTGACAGGAACTGCTCCTCCCCTGGATCTCAGGGACCCAGCCCATCTCCAGCTGAACCTCCTTGTGCCCCTCCCTGTAGAAAGGCAGAGTGTGAGCTGGGCGCGGTGGCTCACGCCTGTAATCCCAGCACTTTGGGAGGCCAAGGCGGGTGGGGATCACCTGAGGTCAGGAGTTTGAGACCAGCCTGGCCAACGTGGTAAAACCCCATCTCTACTAAAAAAAATAAAAAATAAAAAATTAGCTGGGTGTGGTGGCACGTACCTGTAGTCCCAGCTACTCGGGAGGCTGAGGCAGGAGAATCTCTTGAACCCGGAAGGCAGAGGTTGCAGTGAGCCAAGATTGCCCCACTGCACTCCAGCCTGGGTGACAGAGTGAGACTCCATCTCAAAAAAAAAGAAAGGCAGAGTGTGGGTGGTCACCCCTGTCACACAGAGCTCCCAGCTGGAAGGAGAACTTCTCTGTGGTGCCCTGAGGAAGGAAAAGCAGAGACAGCAGCTGATGGAAACAGCCACAAGCCTGACATCAGGACCTCCCTTCACTTCCATTCTCTTGTTTGATCATCACAGCAATCTGAGGGTGTCAGCAGAGTGGGCACCACCACCCCATGTCACAGATGAAGAAACTGAGGATCAGCGAAGCTAAGGGCCTTACCTAAGGCCTCACAGATAAGGTGTGGCTGGGCCCACACCAGAAATGTCCTCTGTTCCAGTGCTGTTGAGAGGAACATCCATCTGCAGGCTTCCTCCCATGCCCACTGCCCTCAATCCCACTCCTGCACAGGCTCAACTCCCCTTGGCCATCAGGGCCCTGGCAGCAGGAGTGGCAGTCAAGACACGGCCAGGAGCAGAGAATCTCAGGGCAGCCGTGCCAGCTTCCCAGGCTGGGCTTCCCAACTTCTCCGCAAGTTTCCTGGGAAGAGTCCCCTGGAATGGGGCACCAGGAACGAACTTTATAAAATTCTCCACAACCAGCCAAGCAGAACCTATTTTCCCTCACAATGCAATTAACGGCACCAACATTTACAAAATATGATTACAAGCGCTTTGGTTAAGTAGAGGAAAGTATATTAGATAGCAGCGAGGGGTTGATCTTAATGTGCATTTTTTCGAGAGACTTGCATTTTCTTTGTGCAAATAAAGAGGCCCTAAATTCTCCATAGGCACTAAAATCAATGCAGTGGAACCATGATAACAAACACAGGCTCCACTTTTTGCTACATCCCCCAATTAATTAAGCCTTTCACGGGCATGTAATTAGGAACATTAGCAAGTCATAAAATTGCCGTGAGTCTTTAAATTATGTGCTGGCCCTCAGCAATTTGTTTTTAATTCCTTCTGAAGACAATGGCACTGCGGGGCCCAATAGATCTTCATAGCGCCTACTGTGCTCTTCGTAACAGCCCTGCCCCAGCTCCCCTCCTGGCAGCTCCGGTGCCTGCATTTCAGCTCCCAGGGCCCAGGAAGTGCCTGGCAGCTTTGCTTCTCCCTTCTCTCTCTCTCTCCCACTTCAATTCCTCCTCTTCTTCTTTCCTTGTGCTTTTCTCTGTCTCCTTTCACCTTTATTTTTATTCTCCTTTTCCTTGGCCTCTTCCTCCTCCCTTAATTCATCCTCCACTCTTTCTTTTTCCTTCCCTTCTTTTCTCAGCTTCCTCCTTCCCCATCACAGTTTTCCTCCTCCCTTCTTCCTTTCTTGCCCCTTGACTTGCTCGTCTTTGTTTTTACTTCGTCTTTTTTTTCTATCTTCCCTTGATTTCTCCTTTTTTCCTGCGCTCTTTTTCCTTCTCCTCCACTGTTTTCTTTTCTTTGTTTGAGACAGGGTCTCACTCTGTTGCCCAGGCTGGAGTGCAGTGGTGCAATCATAGCTCACTGGAGCCTCAAACTCCTGGGTTCAAGCTATCCTCGTGCCTCAGCCTCCTGAGTAGCTGGGACCATAGGTGTGCCCCACCACGCCTGGCCAATTTTTAAAAATTATCTTGTAGGCCAGGCACGGTGGCTCACGCCTGTAATCACAGCACTTTGGGAGGTTGAGGTGGGCAGATCACTTGAGGCCAGGAGTTGGAGACCAGCCTGGCCAACATGGTGAAACCCTGTCTCTACTAAAACTACAAAAATTAGGCCAGGCGCAGTGGCTCAGGCCTGTAATCCCAGCACTTTGGGAGGCCGAGGCGGGCAGATCACGAGGTCAGACGTTCGAGACCAGCCTGCCCAACATAGTGAAACCCCGTCCCTACTAAAAATACAAAAAATTAGCCAGGCGTGGTGGCAGGCACCTGTAATCCCAGCAATTCAGGAGGCTGAGGCAGGAGAATCACTTGAACCTGGGAAGTGGAGGTTGCAGTGAGCCGAGATCGTGCCATTGCACTCCAGCCTAGGCGACAGAGCGCGACTCTGTCTCAAAAATAAATAAATAAACAAATAAACAAACAAACAAACTACAAAAATTAGCCAGGCATGACGGCAGGTGCCTGTAGTCCCAGCTCATTGAGAGGCTGAGGCATGAGAATTGCTTGAAACAAAGAGATGGAGGTTGCAGTGAGCCGAGATCACATCATTATATTCCAGCCTGGGCAACAGAGCAAGACTCTGTCTCAAAAAAATAAGTAAATAAACAAAAAATAAAAATTATTTGGTAGAGACAAGGTCTCACTGTGTTGCCCAGCTGTGTTACTTGAACTCCTGGCCTCAGACGATCCACCCGCCTTGGCTTCCCAAAGCACTGGGATGACAGGCATGAGCCACCACACCTGGCCCTCCTTCACTGTTTTCTTTTCTCTCTTCCTCCTCCATCCCCTCTTCTTTCCCTGCTTCCCGCACCCCCAGCACAAGGCTCCTCCCTGCCCTCACTGTGACCCCTCAGGAGTGAGCCGGGCACAGGGGCTGCTCCCCCTCCCTCACCCTCCCACCAGACCCCGCTCCTGGCTCCTGGATTCCCATCCACATTGTAAAGAACTAGCCTGACCTGCCACCCTGACCTGCCACCCTGTGATTTGTGGCATCAGTTATATCCCTAGGGAGCCAAACCCTGAAGCAATCTGGAGGTGTCTGAGGGGATGAGGGGTCGGGGTGATGACCCCTGCTCCCACCACCCTTCCTCCTCTGCGGGCCAAGCAGAGGACTGTGGTATTTGCCTTGCTGGCCAAATGCCCTAGAAAGGATCTATGTCTGCCTTGCACTCGTCTGCCAGGGCCCTGGCACCCATGGGAGTGGGAGAATCCTGGCCCTGACTGCTATTTGTGGCCCTTCCAAGCCTGTTGCCACTGGCTTCAGGCCTCAGGGGAATTAAGTCTTTGGGCTCAGGCCTTCTAAACCCAGCCCCGCCCTTGCCTCTTCCACCCACATCTCCCTTTTCTACCATCCAGAGGTTTCTTTTCTTTTCTTTTTTTGAGACAGAGTCTCGCTCTGTTGGCCAGGCTGGAGTGCAGTGGCACGATCTCGGCTCACTGCAACCTTTGCCTCCCAGGTTCAAGCGATTCTCCTACCTCAGCCTCCTGAGTAGCTAGGATTAAAAGCATGTGCCACACGCCAAGCTAATTTTTGTATTTTTTTTTAATAGGGATGGGGTTTCACCATGTTGGCCAGGCTGGTCTCGAAATCCTGACCTCAGGTAATCCGCCCACCTCGGCCTCCCAAAGTGCTGGGATTACAGGCGTGAGCCACCGCGCCTGGCCCCATCCAGAGGTTTCTAACATGAATCAAGATCTACTGGAAGATGTTGACCTGAGCCTGGAATAGCACCCGTGTCTCCCACTACCAGCCCCATTGGCCAATCAAACTGTTTTCCAAGGTGTATTGAAATTTTGGTTAGAGAAGGACCAACTTCTGTCTGGGCCCCTGTCCCCTTCCTTGGTACCACCAGTGTTCCACCCCACTCCTGGAGGTCACAAGACTTCTGTGAAATCTGAGAGTCTCCAAGTTTTAGAGCCAGGAGGAACATTACAAAAGTGTGTAGTGGTGCAATCACAGCTCACTGTAGCCTTGAACTCCTGGGTTCAAGCCACCCTCCTGCCTCAGCCTCCTGAGTAGGTGTCTATGGAAACTCTTCTTCTCAGTCTCTTCTCAGCTTCTTCTCCCAGTGAAAACCAGCTCTTTCTGTACTTCCCAATGGTGATAGGCATTGCAAGCACTGGATGCTATTTTGAGTTCTACTTGCCTTCTGCGCACGCAACAAGATGGTCTTCTCCACCCCACTGAGGTTAGTCATGGCCTTTGTGTTTTGTGTGAACCAATGAACTGTGAGCAGAAGTGGTATGTGTCATTCCGGTGGAAGTATTGAAGAGCCAAGGTACAATTCTCCATGTCTTCTCTCGGCTACCATGGAAGCACATGTTGATAGGAAGATATCTTGGTGGAGGTGGCCTGGAATCTCTGTCATCACATGGTGGCAGCTTCCCTAGAAAGCTGCCCAGACTCACAGAAGATTTTTTTTTAAGCAAAAAGTAGACCTTTGTTGTGTTAAGCCACTGAAATTTTGATGATGTTTGTCACCACAGCATAACCTTTCCTGTCCTGACTAATCCACCAAGAAAGAGCCTCTGATTGGTCCAGCTTATCTTTTTGCCCAGGCTTATCCTGTGAACTTGTTTGTTTGTTTATTTTCTCCTTGACCATTCACTGAGCCAGTGTGAGGGTTAGCTGCCTTTAGGTCAGATGCCTACACTACCCCAATCAGGGAAAACAGTTCTTCAATGTGTAAGCTTCCCCTACTCACCAGAATAAATGTAACTTAACTTCTTCTTAAATGCAATATAACTTCTTAGGTTGGCCTACAAGGCCCTCAGTGAGCTTACGCTCTCTGTCTACCTCTCTCCAACCACATTTTCCTCTTCTCCCAACCCTCTTTCGCATCTCAGGCCCCAGAGACACTGAGCTTCTCTTCATTCCCTTATCACATCAGCTCTGTCACAAGCCATCGCTGTTCCCTTTGTCTAAAACGCTGTTCCTCTCACGTCTCCTCCTGAGGAGATACTGATTTTAAAATGTTTTAAAATGGTATTGTGTATATTTAAGGCCTATATCATGATGTTATAAGATACATTATCTGGCTGGGCAATGGGGCTCATACCTGTAATCCCAGCACTTTGAGAGGCCAAGGCGGGCGGATCACCTGAGGTCAGGAGTTCGAGACCAGCCTGGCCAACATGGTGAAACCCCATCTCTACTAATAATACAAAAATTAGCCGGGTGTGGTGGCGCACGCCTATAATCCCAGCTACTTAGGAGGCTGAGGCAGGAGAATTGCTTGAACCCGGGAGGTGGAGGTTGCAGTGAGCTGAGATTATGCCACTGCACTCCATCCTAGGCAACAGAGCCAGACTTCATCTCAAAAAAAAAAAAAAAAAAAAAAAAGATGCATTATCTATCTATCCAGATGTAGATGTAGAGAGTAACCATTTTAGCAGCATCTCTGTCGTCTTTCCATCTCTCTCCTCACCCCAACACATTGTCTAACAACAACGATGATGAGAAGGCCAATATTTATTGACTGCCTACCACTGCCCTGCACTGGGCGAAGCACCATTCAGAGCTGATCTCTTCGAACAATCACTATTACTGTCCTATTCTAGATCCTCCAGAACCTCTATACTCGATTGCCTCCCTATGGTCCTGCAGAAGGTCTTAGTAATACTCTGTTGAATGACTGAATGTTGCCTTCATGAAATTACTAAATGAATAAATGAATTCTGACTTATCTGCAAAGAAGAGACCAGGAATTCATGTAACACATCCAGAAAAAAACTAAAGATTACCTCTTCCCTCATTCACATAAGCCTGCTTTGTAAACTGCCTAGGCAGCTGTGAGCCTGTCTTCAGGGAGTCTGGATGGTCAGGGTGTCCCCAGTGAAAAGGACACACATTCCCCCTCTTGCTGGCACATGCAGGCATTCCCTGGCCCTGGCCAACAGCCCCCTTCCAGCCCCAACCAGGACCCACTCGCAGTCTCAACACCAAGGCAAGTGGGTGCCCCAGGAGCCCAGCCTGGAGGCAGCTGCATTCCCTCAGGACAGACAGCTGTGATTGGAAGCCTGGCGAATGGAGTCTAACCTTGAGTAAGTGTTTTCTTGTTGTCATCCACAGATCTAACGCAAAGCCTGCAGAGAATGCACGCTGGAGACATATATTATACCCAGAGCTTTTTATCTTGCACACGTGACCCTGCCCATCATGAGCTGTGCGTTTTATTCTTGCTGGTGGGACAAAAACCACCTCCCACTGCAGCATATATCAAGGGAAAGAATGTTGAACTTTCTTTGCATTAATATAAATAGCTGTTTAGGCCTCATTCCCCAGCCTGGGACCCTCTGTGCACCTGTCCTTCATCTACTCTATTTGGCATCTGGTTCAAGTTTGGTTTATTTAGAGCCCAGGTCGGCGGGCTTTTACATATTAAAGGTGCATTTTAAAAGAGCATTTTCTATTCTAATTTGGGGGAGCCAAGCTCTTTAGGGCTTTCGGGAGCGGTGTCCACCTGATTTACATTTCCCCCATTGGAGCCGAGCCACAGACGCACATTAGAATGTAAATAATAGTGATGGATACATGTATCTTTAAAGATCCATTTTCTCTCCATTTTTTCTTTCTTTGAGGGGAGGGGACAGGCCAGGGAGGAACTGAAGTATTCAGGCTGTGGGGGCAGAGGAAAGAAAGAGGAGGGAGGGAGATGTGCTGGGTTTCCCGGGAAGGCTGCAGTTCCCAGGGGACGGAAGGCAGCAGTTCAGAGGGCTGGGGGGCCAGGGTCTCTGCAGGAGGCAAGGCCAGTCCCTGCTTTGTCTGGGGAGAGGCTACTGGACTGCGATTGAGCCGGTGTTCCAATATTGGCTCCAGGCTGGGCACGGTGGCTCACGCCTGTAATCCTAGCACTTTGGGAGTGGGAGGCAGAGGCGGGTGGATCACTTGATGTCAGGAGTTCCAAACTAGCCTGGCCAACATGGTGAAACCCCATCTCTACTAAAAATATTTTAAATATTAGCCGAGCCTGGTGGTGGGCGCCTATAATCCCAGCTACTCAGGAGGCTGAGACAGGAGAATCGCTTGAACCCAGGAGGTGGGGGTTGCAGTGAGTCGAGAGGGCGCCATTGCACTCCAACCTGGGCCACAAGAGTGAAACTCTGTCTCAAAAAAAAATTGGCTCCAGTGTGGCTTTGGGAAGTTCCCTTCACCTCTCTGAGCCCACCAGGCCAAGGGATCATAGAAATCATCCCACACAGGGTGGCCATGAGGAATAAGTGAAGTGACACCTAGGAAACCCTGGCACAGTGCTTGACCCACAACCTGTGAGGAGCTTTATTCATGTTGGCTTTTGTTCTTTATTGTTATCCTTGTAAATCTTGTCTTCTATCCCAAGCTCTGGTGCCCCGCACATGGCAGACACTTGATTAGTGTATATAAGCTGGACTCCCTTCATTCAATGGCAAGAAATTTACCTGAGCCTGGTGCAGTGGCACACACCTATAATCTCAGTTATTTGGAGGCTGAGGTGGGAGGATTGCTTGAGCCCAGGAGTTCAAGACTGCCGTGAGCTGTGATCATGCCACTGCACTCAGCCTGGATGACAGAGCGAGACTCTATCTCTAAAAAAGAAAGAAAGAAAAGAAAGAAAGAAGAAAGAAAGAAAGAAAGAGAGAAAGAAAGAAAGAAAGAAAAAAAAAAGAAAGAAAGAAAGAAAGAAGAAAGAAAGAAAGAAAAAAGAAAGACATTAACCCAGCTCCTACCGTGGGCTGGAGGAAGATGATGATTCAGATATGGTTCCTCACCTCTACCCATCTGCCACTCCTGCCAAAGGCAGGACTTACCCACCTCCTGGTGGCCTCCATCTAAGCCATGCTCTCTCATACTTTCCATGCCCTAAGCCCAGGACCTCCTCTCCCCTCTGCTTCACCTGAATAGATCCCATTCAGCCCCATTCCAGGAAGCTTCTCCGACCCTCCGAGCTGTGTCAGGTGCCCTCCCTGAGGGTCTGGAGTGCCCATTACTTCCTCCCATCACACCGCTTACCATCCTACATGGTAACTGGTACGTCTGTATCTCCTACTAAAGTCCAAGCCCCAGGAGAAGAGGAATTGTGTCTGTTTTGGTCACCTTTATATCCCCAGCCTGGCAGATATTAGGTGCTCAATACATGCTTGTTGAATGAATGAATCTCTGTATAACCAAACCAACACCTAGCACAAACTAGGTGCTCAATACGTGTTTATTAAATAAAATGATGAAGTTGATGCTTTCAAGGAATTCAGTCTTATCAGGGGTCAATGCACATGCTGCTATTTTGTGCAAATGGAGCTCAGAAGGAGCAGCTGGGAGAGTCAGGAGGACTTCCTAGAGGAGGTGGCAGGTCAGTAGGGTCTTGAAGAATAAGTAGGGATTGTTCCAGAGGAAGAGGGAGAGATGTTGAACAGAGTGGATATTTTGACAGGGGAGAGACCCTGAATGGGAACACCAAGAGACAGAATTCTTTCCTGGATCTTGGGCCAGGATGCTATTGTTAAGCAATTCGGGATGGGATTCATCTAGGATGTGTTCAAATGTGGGCACGGGTAGAGCTAATTGTGGGGAGCAGGGAGAGGCTGGAGCAGTGTGGTGGGGAGGTGTCTGGACTCAGCTGTAGCTGGGAAGTGGGAGAGAGTGAGGAGAGAATGCCCACCCCTTATCCCTGAAAGGAGACCCAGCTTAGGTGCTCACGGCCAGGCAGGGACCAGGCCCGGTGCCCAGAGCCTCTGAGGGGCTGGGATAGTAAGGATGGAGGAGGAGATGAGATGAAGGTGCCCTCCTGGCCTCGATTTCCCCAGCAAGAAGCTTGGGCTGATAGGATTGCTTCAGAAATCCAAGGCAGAAAGCCTAGAGCCATCACTCAGGAGCCATGGTGGGGAGCAGTGGTGATGTCAGAAGCAATGACAGTGCAGAAGGGAAAACAAGAGTGGGGAGAAGGAAAGAGAATCAGGGACCAGAGGACCCCTTGACCCAGAGAAACAGGAAGTTAGGGTGGGGGGAGTGGGAAATGGGTGTTGGGACAGCAGGGCAGGGGTGCAGAATAGTGGGGGATGGGGGAGGGCCTCCCAGGGAGGGAGGTTCAGAGCTTGGCTATAGCAGTGCTGAGAGGAGGAAGGTGGTTAGGACTCTGGAGGCGGAGGGCAGATGAAGATGTTCTTTCATCTTCTTCCTGGCAAGAAGGGGCCAGGCCGTGATAGGGAGAATGACGGAAAGTCTCTTTGGAGCTGTTGGTTTGAAAGAATTTGTCTTTGGAACAAGCTTTTTATCAGTCAGCTTTAAAGATCAGCATTCCTTAGAGGCTGCTCCATCTTCCTCTCTCTCTGTTTCTCTCTCGCATCCCCTCCTTCTCCTGGTCTCTCTATCTCCCTTCCCATCTCACGGTCCCTTTTTCGGCACCGCATTTGTCTGTGTGGTTTTTCTGCTCCTGGAAATCCCTTGCCCTCTTCTGCCTCACTGCTCGCTGACAACAGGCCAGGCCCTGCTCCGTGTCTCCAGGTGGCCGTGGGGACAGAGAGGGGAGAGGGCAGGGGCAAGACTGGCAGAGCCACCAGTCTGTGATCTGGGCTGGGCTGTGAGGCCCTGGGCCCCAGGGAGGAAAAGGGGTGGGGAGAGCTGCAGGCCATCTGGTCCCTTGCCCCTGCCACAGCCCCCCTCTCCAAGCCAAAGTACCTTTGCTCATCACGGCCAACTGCCCAGGTATGGCCCTCACCTGTCACATGTCCACAGCAGAGCCAGGTTCGAGGAGCCAAGGGAGAGAGGCTGGTGCTTACAGGGTGTCAGGCTCTCTCCCATGTTAGCCAGAGAGGAGTCTGGGCCTCATTTTCCCCAGGGGAAACTGAGGCATCCCACTCTCATGAGGCAAGTGAGGGAAGGGCAGATGGAACTGATGGCGAGGAGGGGGCTGGCTAGAAGGTCAGAAGGAAGCCAAGCCAGAAAAAGTGGGGGGCTGGGCCACCCTCCTTTTCCAGTCCCTCTCCTTTCTCATTAGCATTTTATGTTCCCCACCATCAACGGAGATAGCCTGGGCCTTATCTCATCTCCTGCCCTGGCTGGGATGGCCTGGAGGACTCTCATTTCCCGCCCCTGGGTGTTCAAGCTGAAAAGTTAATGATTTGTTTTTCTTGGAGGGGATAGGTCTGGGGGGCAGGCATGGGGTCACAGGTTTCCTTGGAGCCACCAGGAGCTTCCTTCTTTCTTTCTAGTCCAGGAGGGGCAGTGAACTAGGGAGGAGGGGAGTCCATTGGTGGCCTGGGTGTCAGTCCTGAGCTGCAGCTCCAAGAAGCCCCAACCCGGGGCCAGCAACTCTAAGCCATTTCTGAGGTGCCTCATCAGCACCCCACCCTCCAGAGCTTGGGGGTGACCCTCTGGGGCACCAGGCTCCCCCCACGCCAGGCCCGGCTATTCCTAGTGTCTGGAATGGGAGGGGTCTGTGCTCCGTGAGAAACAGGGAGCGAGCCAGGCCATGTGTACAGAGAGGCATCAATTTCACAGGGCTTGCTCCTGAGTGGGTTTCACATAAAAGGATTAAAGCGAGAGGAAGTGCAGAGGAAATGGGATGTTGGACACCTTGTTAAACGGGCTGTCAGGGCTCCCAGAGCGTGGGTGCTAACTCTATTCCCTGTCTCCACAGAGAGCAGGCCAGGCCATTACCTGAGCGATCAAAGATAGGGCGTGTGAGTCCGGAGAGTTCTGACAGCGCCTGGAGGACCAAGAGCAGGGCCAGGCAGGAAGATGAGGCCTGGACTAGCCCCACTGCCACCTCTCAGGCCTCATTCCTGAGGGGTTAGGGGAAATGGAGGCTCAAGGCTTCCGCTTACCTGTGCCTGGGGAGCTCCTTGCCCTGGGATTAAATCACAGCACGATTTGGGTGTGGGGAGGGAGGTGGGAGGGCATTTGACCTAATGATGTGTAGATTACCATTTCCTTCCTTATCTTAACACCAAGGGACATTCTTTTTCCTGAGCCCCGGAATTGGCTCAGTTTGTGAATGAATCTGATGGGATCAGCACTTTTCCTGGAGAGATAAGGGGGTTATCAGGGTGGAGGGAGGTCTTCCTCTGGGAGGAGCAGCGGAGAGAAGGACCTGGGGGTGGGGGGCATGCCGTGGGGAGGGCCCAAGTGACCTACCAACCGGGTAGCTCAGCCATCTATACCGGGACCCCTGGCCGTTCCCGCTGGCTGTCCCTCCTCTGTCTGGACTGCTTCCTGCCCACTTCACCCAGCCAATTCTTGCTCATTCTTTATATTTATTTATTTAGTTTTGAGTCTCGCTCTGTCACCCAGGCTGGAGTGCAGTGGTGCGATCTCACTGCAACCTCTACCTCCAGCAGGTTCAAGCGATTCTCCTGCCTCAACCTCCCAAGTAGCTGGGATTACAGGTGTGCGTCACCATGCCCAGCTAATTTTTGTATTTTTAGTAGAGACAGGGTCTTGCCATGTTGGCCAGACTGGTCTCGGACTCCTGACCTCAGGTGATCCGCCCGCCTCGGCCTCCCAAAGTGCTGTGATTACAGGCGTGAGCCACTGAGCCTGGCCAATTCCTGCTAATTCTTTAGACACTTAGCCCTGGCTGAATGTTGGGATCCCCTGGGAAACTCTACACACTTTCCCAAGCTAGGATCCACCGCAGAAGATGCAGCCAGAATCTCTGGGGGCTCTGGGCAGAGTCTTCAAAGCCCTCTTACAAGTGCCCCAGGAGGCTTTCCCTAATGCCTCAGGCTGTTAGAGACCCACCCCCTCTGTTGCCTCAGCTCCTGAGGTAGATCTCCACAGGTCACACCTATCACAGGACAGGGTAGTTTTCTGCTTACCTTTCTGTCTAGACCTCTCACCCCAGACTGTGAACGCCCTGAACTTAGGGCCAGGGGCACTCACCATTGCCCCCTGGGCTTAACCCTGCACTCGGTGGGCTGCGGGAGGTTGGGAATGAGAGCAGGTCTTAAGTCATCTTCCCATCTCCTCTACCTGCAGCAGAGGCTGCGTAGAGCTGGTCCTGGTGTGCACATTGAATGTGTGATGATCGCATTTCATTTCACCCTCTGAGATGTGAGGATGGGAGGAGAGTTAGCAGAGGTCCCTCATCCTGCCTAGTGGGGGTGCAGATGGGGTTTCAGGACAACTCCTCCCCTGTTCCCGCCCCAGTGCTTTTGATTTTTTTATTTTTAATTTTTCTTTTTAGAGACAGGATCTCACTGTGTCACCCAGACTGCAGTGAGGTGATGCAATCATAGCTCACTGCAGCCTCGGAACTCCAGGCTCAGCCTCCGAAAGATCTGGAAATACAGGACTGAGCCACCGCACTCAGCCACCCACTGACTTTTTTTTTTTTTTTTTTTTTGAGATGGAGTCTCACTCTGTCACCCAAGCTGGAGTGCAATGGTGCAATCTTGGCTCACTGCAACCTCCACCTCCCAGGTTCAAGTGATTCTCTTCCCGTGCCTGAGGCTCCCAAGTAGCTGGGATTACAGGTGAGCATCACCATGCCCAGCTAATTTTTGTATTTTTAGTAGAGACGGGGTTTCACCATGTTGGCCAGCCAGGTCTCGAACTCCTGACCTCAAGTGATCCTCCTGTCTTGGCCTCCCAAAATGCTGAGATTATAGACATGAGCCACTGTGCCCGGCCCACCCACTGATTTTTAAATGCTTTCAACATGGGGAGGTGAGAGTTTAGATCAGAGATCAGCAAACTTTTTCTGCAAAGAGCCAGGGTAGGCCGGGCACAGTGGCTCACGCCTGTAATCCCAACACTTTGGGAGGCAAGGCGGCTGAATCACCTGAGGTCAGGAGTTCAAGACCAGCCTGGCAAATATGGCGAAACCCCGTCTCTGCTGAAAATACCAAAACTAGCCAGGTGTGGTGGTATGCACCTGTAATCCCAGCTACTCGGGGGACTGAGATAGGAGAATCGCTTGAACCTGGCAGGTGGAGGTTGCAGTGAGTCAAGATTGTGCCACTGCACTCCAGCCTGGGCGACAGAGTGAGACTCCATTAAAAAAAAAAAACAACAAAAAAAACAGAGAGCCAGGGTAGTAAATATTTTAGGATTGATGGGCCATAAACTCTTTGTCTCAACTACTCAACTCTGCTGTGGTTGTTCAAAAACAGCCAAAGACGTAACATAAATGAGTAGGCGTGGCTGTGCTCCATAAATGCTTTATTTATGGATGCTGAAATCTGAATTTCATATAAGTGTCACATGTCACAACATTTCTCCTGTTGATTTTTTTCAACCTTTAAAAAAGTCATCCTTCATTCGTGGCCATATACAAACAGGGGCAGGCCACCTGGAGTAGGCCAATGGGCCATCATTTGCAGATTCCTGGATTAGGTGAAGTTCCCAATTCCAAGCTTGCAGCCCAGATCTGCTCTCCCCCGTCCCCTCCACCCCACTCACTCCTGAGGTTACCAGGGACCTGGGCCACACCAGCTGCCCCTCGATAAGATAAAGGTATGTGTGTGAAGGGACAGGAACAAGTGAGCGGAAATCCTGATCCCTCCAGGGATGGGGGCGGGAGCGTGAAGGCTGTGAATTTGAGAGACGTGCTGATGAGTAATGTGGTTTCACTTCAGGTCATTTCCTGAAAGTCAGATCCACTTTGCACGTGAGGACAAGAGTGGGAGCTTCCGAATTCACTCTCGGGGCCTCCAAATTAAAAGCCAAATAGGATGTAGCTTTTGCCTGGGCTGCATCTTCATCTGTCAAGAGCAGTTATCTTCAGTGTGCCACTGGGGCCTGCTACTGTCTGTCATTCACCCCCACCCAGTGCCTGTGGGGGCATGCACACCCCAGCAGGGGGAGGTATCCAGTAACGGGTCCAGATACCACTGGTTATTCCAACAAGGAGGGAGGTGAGATTAGGGGCCCCTGAGGGAGGACTTACCCAGCCAGGTCTTTAGAGGAACCTGCCACCTCTGGCCCAAACTTCTAGCCAGTCTTGCCACTTAGGGCCTAGGCTAGACTCTTGGAGGTTCTCTCTGGAAAAGGGTTGGGAATGCTCTACAAAGGCCCAGTTATCTAGAGAGGAAGGAAAATAGCAGAGTCTGATGCTCAGAAACTGCCAGCTTCCGGCCTTGCACCGTGGCTCACATCTGTAATCCCAGCACTCTGGGAGGCCCAGGCGGGAGGATTGCTTGAAGCCAGGAGTTTGAGACCAGCCTGGGCAATATAATGAGACCCCGTCTCTATAAGAAACATAAAAAATTAGCCAACGTGGTGGTGCATGCCTGTAGTCCCTGCTACTCAGGAGGCTAAAGCAGGAGGATCACTTGAGCCCAGGAGGTCAAGGCTGCAGTAAGCTAAGATTGCACCACTGCACTCCATTCCAGGCTAGAGTGAGACTCCATCTCTAAAGAAAAAACAAAAAAAAAACATGCAACAAAACTGCCAGCCCCAGCCCCTGCGGGGAGAGATGGGAAAGAAGGCAGGAAGACGGATGGTGACTCAGAGAAGACCCAGAAAGGAAGGGCCTCTGAGTCACATACTCAGATTCCTAATCTCAGCCCAGACCTTGACTTGCTGTGTGACCTTGGGCCAATTGCTTTGTCTCTCTGAGTTTAAATGTCCTCAACATGGAGAGTCTTACCAGCTTTGGCCCATCTCAAGCCTGTACAGTTTAAGGCCCACAGGAAGCCCAAGAGAGCATCTCGTAGGCCCCGAATGTCATTCCTGTGCAAGACTGAAAGTCAGTGTGTCCCGGAAGACAGCCTGGACGCAGTGTGTTCTGCAGTAGGACCACTGAACTCATGACACCCTGTTCTTTCCTTGCTCTCCCCCGCAGCAGCAGTCTGGGGGCCTAGAAGCTGAGCTGACCTGTTTCTTTGTCCTCCTTGCCCCCAAAAACTCCATAGGAAAAGACACTCTTTGTAATCAGAAGACTTAGGTTAAGACTCAGCTCATCACCAGTCACGTGATCGCTGGCAAATGACCTCTCTGAACTTCGGGATTCTCATCTATAAAATGAGTCTAACAACATCTCATTGGGCTGTGGTGACAAGTTGTCTTAGGAATGTGAAATTGCTTTGTAAACATAACGGGCCACACCTGATATATATTTACATTTTTCCCGCTACTCACAGCCAGTCACAGTCGTCTCACTATGTTCTAATGCCATCCTAGCCATGGTGCAGAGATAGAACCAGAGTGGACAAGGACTCTGTTGACACCCTGCCCCATCCCCACCCCCTGATTTGTCAATGGTGGAAGCTGCAATGCTGGACTCCTAGACTTGATTTATTGGAGAATGGGGCTTTCATTCCCATTTGCTTCAACCAGCCCCGGCTGGGTCCCCACACCCTGGGTGGCTGAGCCAGGCTGGGATGTGACCTCCTAGCCATGCTCTCTGGGCCCTATGGCCCTGGTCTATCACCTCTGCTCCCACCCAAATAATCCAAGGCCTTGAACCTGGCCTCCCTGCCTTGCTGTCTGAGAATCAATGGTCCCACACCTCCCAAGATGACTGAGAAGGAGAACGCTTCTACCCCACCTTCTCCCATGTATGGGTGCCATGCCTTCTCTGTAAAAACAATCCAATATTGTTTGAAAACTTATAAGAGCAGAATATGCTCCTTAGAAGACACTTAAATACAGGAATATATAGGAAAAAGAAAAGGAAGAAAGAAATGTGGTCTAATATCCAGAATTTACGAGGAACTTAAACAAATTTACAAGAAAAAAATCCCATCAAAAAGTGGGCAAAGGATATGAACAGACACTTCTCAAAAAAAGACATTTACGCAGCCAACAAACATATGAAAAAAAGCTCAACATCACTGATCATTAGAGAAATGCAAATCAAAACCATAATGAGATACCATCTCTCACCAGTTAGAATGGCAATCATTAAAAAGTCAAGAAACAATAGATGCTGGTGAGGCTGTGGAGAAATAGGAATGCTTTTACACTGTTGGTGGGATTGTAAATTAGTTCAACCATTGTGGAAGACAGTTTGTGGATTCCTCAAGGATCTAGAACCAGAAATACCATTTGACTCAACAATTCCATTCCTGGGTACATACTCAAAGGAATATAAATCCTTCTATTATAAAGACACATGCACACCTGTGTTTACTGCAGCACTATTTACAATAGCAAAGGCATGGAACCAACCCAAATCCCTATCAATGACAGACTGGATAAAGAAAATATGGTACCTATACACCATGGAATACTATGCAGCCATAAAAAGGAATGAGATTATCATGTCCTTTGCAGGGACATGGATGAAGCTGGAATCCATCATCCTCAGCAAACTAACACAGGAACAGAAAACCAAACACCACGTGTTCTCACTCATAAGTGGGAGTTGAACAATCAGAACACATGGACACAGGGAGGGGAACATCACACATCAGGGTATGTTAGGGGGTGGGGGATGAGGGGAGAGAACTTAGAGGATGGGTCAATAGGTGCAGCAAACCACCATGGCACATGTATACCTACATAACAAACCTGCATGTCCTGTACATGTATCCCAGAACTTGAAGTAAAATAAAAATAAAATGAAAGAGAGAGAGAGAGACAAAAGAGAAGGAAGAAAGAAAGAAAGAAAGAAAGAAAGAAGAAAGAAAGAAAAAGAAAGAAAGGAAGAAAGGGAAAGAAAGAAAGAAAGAGAAAGAAAGAAAGAAAGAAAGAAAGAAAGAAAGAAAGAAAGAAAGAAAGAAAGAAAGAAAGAAAGAAAGAAAAAAGGAAGGAAGGAAGGAAGGAAGAAAGAGAGAGACTTGCTCTTGGTGTTCCTTTCCTCTGTGTCTGTGCCCTTCTTTAGGAAACCCTGTGGACTTGCCCCTACTGGAGCCCATGTGACTCAGCCCCTCCAGGCTCGTAGGCAGTCAGGGCAGTGACAGTGATAGGACCTCCTTGTCTGTGGCCCTCGTAGCAACAAGCCCTGTATACAGTGGGTGCTCAATAAATGTTGCTTGGTTGACCAGGTGAGGGTGTATTTCCTGGGATGTTAGTACAGTTTTGCTGAGAGCAAGAGGAGGTAGTTGGTTGCCCGGTTCTTGTGAGGCCAGGAAGATTTACATAACATTAGGGGTTCAGAAATTAAGATTTGGGGCAGAATGGCTAGATATCAGCAAAATAATGATCCTTTTAATGACAAGATGAAGATGGGAACTCTAAGGCTCTGCTTCTCTGCTATGGGGTGGAAAGCAATGTCTCCTTTGAATGGAATTTTTTTCATTCATTCATGCAGTCAGCTAATACTCACTGAATTCCTTCTGTGTGTCAGCCTCTGGGCTCAGACATGAGCAAGGAAGGCACCCAAAGAAAAAGTAAGAACATTTTGTCTGTCGATGGATGAATGGATAAAGAAATGTGAGATATAGATACAGATATAGATAATATTAATTGGCCTTTGAAAAGAAGAAAATCCTCCCTTTGCAGCAACATGAGTAAACCTGGAGGAGGTTATGCCAGACACAGAAAGACAAATACTGCACGACCTCTCTTACATGTGAAATCTGCAATAGTCAAACTCATGGAAACGGAGGTAGGTGGAATTGTGGTTACCAGAGACTAGAGGAAGGGGGAAATGGGAGATGTCGGTCTTGGGGTATAAGGTTTCAGTTACATCAGATGAATAAGTTCTGAAGATCTAAGGTACAGCAATGTGACTCCAGTGAAAAATATTGTATTGTATACTTGAAATTTGCTAAGAGGATAGGTCTTATGTGTTCTTACCACCAAAATAAAAGAAAGAGAAGAAAATGGTACCTGTGAGGTGATGGATGTGTTAGCTTGATTATGGTGAATATTTCACAATGTATACATCTATCAAATCATCAAATTAGACACCTCAAATATATGCTTTTTTTTTTTTTTTTTTTTTGAGACAGTCTCACTCTGTTGTCCAGGCTGGAGTGCAGTGGTGCGATCTTGGCTTACCGCAACCTCCGCCTCCCGGGTTCAGGCAAATCTCCTGCCTCAACCTCCCAAGTAGCTGGGACTATAGGTACGCGCCACCGCACCTGGCTAATTTTTGTATTTTTAGTAGAAACGGGTTTCACCATGATGGCCAGGCTGGTCTCAAACTCCTGACCTCAAGTGATCTGCCTTCCTCAGCCTCCCAAAGTGCTGGGATTACAGGTGTAAGCCATTGTGCCCAGCCAAATATATGCAATTTTTAATTGCCAACGCATCTCACTAAAACTGGGGGAAAAGAAGGATGTTTTCCTGGAGGAAAAGGACTGGAGTTGGGGGAGGCGGGGAGGGGAAGGGAGGGAGGTGAGAAGAGGAGGAGGGAGCTGAGTGGCTGCCTGTTTCCAGGAGGTTGGGAGAACAATGTGGCCTGAGTCCTAGATGCCCTGGCAGTCCACAGTGAGTGTAGGGGGTGTCCTGCCTCCCATGCCCTTTGCTGGTCTCCTACATATGGAAACCTCCCTAGCAATGGGAGGAGGGCTGGCCAGGGGATCCCTCAGCATCCTACTCCAGGTAAAGGAAGCTGTTTCTCTCTCTGTGCCTGCACAGCACCTGTAAATGCCATCATCTTAGATCAAACTTAGATCAGACTAGTCCCCCCATACCCCTAAGCAATTGGTGGGGACTGGTTTGATTTAAGTTACCCATGGCGGGCCTGGAGGTGGGTAGGGAGAGGAGGGAATATAGTTTAAGTTAAAACAAAACAAAACCAAAAAACGTTTGTGGCTGAGAGCTCTCAACTGGAACAGCCTGACTGGCTGGGCCCAAAGCCAGAAGATAGGTCCCAGGATCAGGTGACCCCGCCATGCCCTTGGGAAGGCCCTGGGGGGTTGAGGGGTTAATGCCACTTCCTCCCCAGGCCACCCTCCAGAGTCCTGCCTTTTCCTATCTTCCTCCAGCCTCATCTCCCATCAGGATCCTTAGTTTGAGGTCTGAAGGGAGGGAGGGCCTAGGCCCAAGGACTTCCAGAATGGAGAGGAGGTGAAGGTTCACTCTACAGCTAAGCCTCAATGCCTACTGCCCCTAACCTCCGCCAGGCAGCCCATCCTGGTCCAATGCCAGGGCGAGGCACCAAGGATGCAAAGAAGGTTCTGCTCTGAGGGAGCTCAGCAGGGCACAAGAACTCCTCAAGGGGGTGCAATTAGTGCCATAGGGGTGACATCTCCAGGTGCTATGCAGGCACAGAGATGCAAACAGCTCTCTTTACCTGGAACCAGAGAGAAGAGGGGGTATTGAGAGGGGTCTTGATGGTTGAGTAGGAGTTTGCCAGACAGAGAAGTGGTTGGAGGGCGTTTTCAGCAGAAGCAAAGCATGAGCACAGCACACAGGGGTGAGGAAGGCTGGGTGTAAGAAACAGTGGGCTGCTGTGCGGGAGCGGAGTCAGAATGCCTGGTTTGCATCCAGCATTCCAGTTCCTCCCTTTCTTTCTCTCTTTCTCCCTTTCTCTCCCTCTTTCTTTCTTTTTCTTTTTTTAAATATTTATTTATTTATTTATTTATTTTATTTTTGAGATGAAGTCTCACTCTGTCACCCAGGCTGGAGTGCAGTGGTACAATCTCCACTCACTCCAACATCCACCTCCCAAATTCAAGCGATTCTCCTGCTTCAGCCTCCCGAGTAGCTGGGACTACAGGCATGTACCACCATGCCTGGCTAATTTTTGTATTTTTAGTAGAGACAGGGTTTCACCATGTTGGCCAGGATGGTCTCGATCTCCTGACTTCATGATCCACCCACCTCAGCCTCCCAAAGTGCTGGGATTACAGGCATGAGCCACTGTGCCCAGCCTGTGTAGCTATCTTTAGATATGCAAATACTTACTATTGTATTACAACTGCCTACAGTATTCAGTACAGTAATGTGCTGTACTGATTTGTAGCCTAGGAGCATAGGCTATGCCATACGGCCAAGGTGTGTCATAGGCTCTACCAGGTAGGTTTGTGTAAACACACTCTCTGATGCTCACAGAGTGATGAAATCGCCTAACAATGCATTTCTCAGAACATATCCCCATCGTTAATCAACACACGACTGTACATGATAAAGCACGTAGAGCAGTGCCTGGCACATAGTGAGCATTTGATCAATGTTAGCTGCTATCATTATTATTATTATCAGAGAGGTGGAGGGGAGTGGCCACAGAACAAGCTAGAAAGGGAGGAGGAAGCCTGCGTAGGAAGGGCCTTGAACACCGGGCTCAGAAGCTTGGGGTTGATACTGAAAGCAGCAGGGAAACGTTTTTTAAATAGAAGAATGATATAGTTTACAGACAGTTTACTCCAGGACCTGGCAAACAGCAGGCATTTAATAAATACCTCTTGAGTGAATGAATGAATCAAGATTGGAGGAGGAGAGACCAATTAGGCGGCCACTTCAGCGACCCAGGTATCCCATCATGAGGGCTGAACCCAGGGCAGCTGCCATGGAGTTTTGGGGGGACCCTCAGCCAGGCACTGGGCTTCCCTGCCCACACCCACCTGCCCACCCCCCGCCTAACCAGGACAGGCAGCTTCATGGTCCCCGCTGCTCGTGTGCAGCGCACAACACCGCCTCATAACTCACTGTGCTTATGATGAAGCGGAGCGGTTGTTTGGGAAGACAGCCACTCTGATACCCAACAGCCCCCAGGGCCGTTCCTGATGTTTCTCTTCCACCATCCACTGCTTAACATGCCAAGTCTCCCTCCCACACCCTGCTCCCCATGCCCCTCCAATGGCACCGATCTCTTCCCCCATTCACACACACCCCTCCGCCTGCCTCTCCAGTGCCGCAGCCTGGAGGAAATTTATTGCAGCTCCAGACTGCTATGGGCAAATACTAATAAAATGCTGTTTTGCTGCAATTTGTTTAATTGGCCACAGCAGAGACGTTGTGAGCATGTGCAGCCTCTGCCCGCGCCTGCCTGCCTGCCCGCCTGCCCAGCTCACAGATGCTCTCTCCTCCCTCCGCCTTGTCTCCCTGGCTGTGGCTACCGAGAATGGGATAATGCAGAGAGGAGAGACAAGAGCGGAGGCCGAATGAGCCCATCTCCATCTATTCTTACAGCATTTTACTGAGTGAACCTTTCACCCATGAACCTTGGGATCCTGTGAACAGCCAGACTGCCTGGGTTCAAATCCCACTACTTATTTCCTCCTCTTACTGGTGTCACCTTAGGCAAGTCATGCAACCTCTCTGTGCCCCAGTTTCCTCACCTGTAAAATGGAAACAATAGCAACACTGTTGTGAGGATTAAATGAGCTACTTCATGTAAAACACTCAGAACAGTGCTTGGTCCATGGGAGGCGCAAAATCAATGTGAAGGACTTGGACTGCTTGGGTTCTAATCCCAGCTCGGCCACTTAGCAGCTGTGTGCCTTGGGCATGTTACTTAAGCACTTCGTAGCTCCGTTTTCCCATCTGTGAAATGGGGGTAGTGATTACATCTATCTCACAGAGTTGCGTGAAGATTAAAGGTGTCAATCAACAGAAAGGGACTGAGAACAGAGCCTGCCACGAAATAAGAGCTGCAAAAGCATGAACCGTTGTTGCGAAACAGACAGTGGCAGCGGCGGGAGCTAAGTGCTCTGGGTGGGGGTGCTCGGGAAGACTTTGCACCCCGCGTTCCTTCTCTGGAGTGAGTTATGGGGGAGGGGTGAGTCCCCAGAGATGGGAATTCCCAATGGTAAACAGTTCGAGCTGGTTCCTTGTGTCTTGAGGCCAGCGAAAGACCCTCGCAGTGTGTCTCTCGTGGGTTAGGAGGTGCAGTGACCCTGCTACAGCTCCCCAGACAGAGCCTGGGGCTGTGCTGCTGCTTGTGGGGTCAGCTCAACCTCCCAGCTGCTCCCCTCTTGGCCCCTGGCACCCACTCCCCGGGGGTGGGCATCTTGCCACCCGCCAGATGGCACTAGCAGAGGCTGGGGCGTGGGGGTGGGTGGGGAGCGTTAGGCCAGGCTGCAGGAGCTGGGCACAGGGGTCTTGGGACAGATGGGCTTGTGTCTGTCCCGAGAATAGCATGCCTGGGGCAGGGCGGAGGCATCCCCATGAGGCTTTTGGGAGCTGGCTGAGGCCTATAAGATACAGTGCACACGAGCATTCATACATTTACACACACTCACGCACAAAAATGTGCGGCATGTTTCCGGCAACCTTGACTCAGCTGGCTCAGGCACCTTTGTCCAAAGGAAACTCACCACTCCTAAAGAAACCTTGCACCCTGACCTCTAGGTCATGAATGCTAGAGCGTGCCACAGGTAACAGGAGGCACTTATACCACTTCCACTCCGAGCTTTGCTTCCCTCATCCGCAAAATGTGGAGACAGCTTCCCTGTCTCCTGGGGAGGAGGTCAGTGGCATAGGCCTGAGAAGAACACCCTGAAGCCAGCTGGCCAAGTTTGGATTCAGGCTTTTCTCCTGGGGATTCAACTGTGTGCCCTTGGGCAAATAACTTCACCTCTCCGTGTCTCACTTTCATTATCCATAAAATGGGAATGAAGACAATAGCACATACCTCAGAGAGGTGTCATGAGAGTTAGAAAGGAGCTAATGCCATGAGTGCAGGAAACGGGCGTGGAAACGGGGCCTGGCACCGCAGGCGTGCCCTCTCCCTGGGCCACTTCATGACTGCTGCCCAGCGGCAGTTCCTGTTGCTGTGCTGGACTCTCTGACGGCCAAGTGTGGGGACTTGTCTCTTCCCTGGCACATGGTAGCATTCCGCAAATGCTTCTTGGCTTGTTGGCAGGATGGGTGTCCTGTGCGGGGGTCCCGGCCTGCTAGGGTGGGTAGGTTGCTGGGAAGCTCCCCCAGCCGACCCTCGGAGGCCCGCCCTGCCGCTTCATCTAGAATGGTACCGTCTGCAGCCACAGGCAATCCCATGCTATCCCTGCAGCCCTGGGCCAGGTGCTCTGAGCCTCCCTCCTCTGTACTCTACCCACAAATCGAAGCCCGCCCTGCCTCTCACTGCTCCCCTTCCCAATTCAGGCATAATCTCCCCCAAGCAGGGCTTTAATCCCGCCTCCCCCACCTGCAGCCTCTCCCACAATGCCCTGAGCTGCTCAGTGAAGTGCATATATCCTCGCTGTACTTTCTAGGCTCTTCCCTGCAAGGTGAGGGCCTTCCCAAAGCAGCCTATCTTCCATTGAACGGAAGAGAAAACCGAGGCCCCAGAAGGGAGAACGCTGCTGCCTCTCACCGTCCTGAGGGGAGCAGCCAGGAGAGCTGGGGCTCAGGGTGTCCAACAAGGAAGGGACCATGTAAGTCGGGGGCTGGCACTGAACACCTACATCCTGCCCCCACCCATGAATGGCCCCACATTCTGTTGACCCTCTTCCAATCTTGGGCATTCAATGGAGCAGGGGGGTCGGGGTCGGGGAGTGGGGTTGGGGGTGGAGGAATGAGGGAGGTGGGATGGTGGGGGGCAGAGCGTGCCCTCCCTGGCTCGGTGAGGCCGATGCAGCCAGCTGTGGCGAGCAGCAGCTGGATACACATACCAGGATGCACGGTCCCACGCCCTCTGCCAGGGCCCAGCAGTCAGGGGAGAGGGAGGCCAGGGAAGGCAGTGAAGTGGCTGGTGAGGCTCCCAGGAGGGGGGTGGGAAGAAGGGGAGGCCTGGGGAATGCTCCGCCGGCCCCAGGGCCCCAAGTTTCCCCCAGAAGGCCTCTGGTACTCCTCACCCTGACTCCACCAGGAGGTGGAGTGACTTCAGAGTTTCCGTAGAGGAAGGCCCAAGCCGGAGCCTTGTTGCCCACTCCATCTCTGGGGAGCGGGCTGCACTGTGGTCACAGGAGGGTGGTAGGAGTGGACAGGGTAGCCACAGGCCCCAGGACTGGGAGGGGAAGATCATCGTTCAGAACCACCCAGGAAACCCAGGGGCAGAGGCGTGGGCTCCATGCGCTCTGTTCCCCAGCACCAGGGACTCTCTGTTTGAGTTCCTTTGAGGGGTTAAAGGAATCAGGAAAGAGAGGCGATGTCAAGCACGTGCTCCTTCCCAAACACTAACTGAGAAGCAGCCTCAGTGAACAGCAGCACAGCCCTTGCCTGCATGAAACCTGGAGTTTAATGGAAGAGACAGAGGACAGGCACTTCCCCATCCGTGTTTTCGGGGCCATAATAGGTTCGTGCAAAAGCTGGCTTGGACAAGTGGGCACCTACCTCAGTAGGGGATAGGGGAGGCTTCCTGGAGGAGGTGATGCCAAGCGAGACCAGGAAGAGGAGGAGGAGCCGGCCAGTGAGGGGAGCCCGGGCAGGGAGGACTGTTCCTCCCGCTGACAGAACAGCACGTGCCATGACCCAGGGCAAGGTGTGGGGGTCATTTTGAAGAACCCAGAGTTCAGAGTGGCCAAGAGCACCAGCAGAAAGGCTGGAGAGGTGGGCTAGGACCAGGTCATAGGAGAGTTATGACCCAGGAGCATTTATTTATTTTATTATTATTTTTTTGAGACAGAGTCTTGCTCTGTCGCCCAGGCTGGAGTGTAGTGGTACAATCTCAGCTCACTGCAACCCCCACTTCCCAGGTTCAAGTGAGTCTTGTGCCTCAGCCTCCGGGGTAGCTGGGATTACATGCATGCACCACCACACCCAGCTAATTTTTTTGTATTTTAAGTAGAGATGGGGTTTCACCATGTTGCCCAGGCTGGTCTCGAGCTTCTGGCCTCAAATGATCCACCCGCCTCAGCCTCCCAAAACTCTGGGATTACAGGCTCACACCACCGTGCCTGGCCGACCCAGGAACATTTAAGTAGTGGAGGAACAAGCTGAAGTTTGCATTTTCAGATCACTCTTATTGCAACTGGAGAGTAGACCAGAGGCAAGGAGGCCAATCAGGAGGCAGGGAGGCCAATCAGGAGGCTGGTGGAGTAGTCCAGGGTGTGCAGCTGGTGGCCTGACCAAAAAGAAGTATTTCAGATGCAGAACTGATGGGAGCTGGAAATGACTGGTTGGTGGAGTGAGAGAGGAGAGGAGAAGGTGGAGTGAGAGAGGAGGAGTGGCTGTGGTGCCAGTCACTAACATGTAGGATGCCAGGGTTGGCCAATGGGGCTGGGCCAGGCCTTGGGTTTAACCTTGGCCCTCTAGAGTGTAAGGAGCCAGCTCCTCCCGTGTCCCTGACCCTATGCCTCCTCCCCAGCTGATGTGCCAAGCACCAGGTCCAAGCGTGTGCATTCGCTCGCCAAACCCCCTCAGTGTGGCAGCAGGGCAGGGAGAACACGGAAACCTCTAGCCACCTGGTTCTTGCCCTCTGAGCTCTTCCAGTCAGTAAAGGAGGTGGGCCGTGTGCACAAACAACAGCCACACGAGGTCTGATCTGTCCAAGTCCGAACTTTATTGCTTTTGACCACAGGCTGTTTGCAAGGGCAGTAAATGATTAAGGGCCACATGAGTGGTAGGGACTGTAATTGCCTCAGAGAGTCTGAGGAATGGGAAAGCCCTTCTGGATGTACAGAAGAGAATTCTGGTCAGGGCTTGGGGGTGGAGAGGGACAGGGCTGCAGGCAGACTGGGAGCTGGGAGACTGGGTTCAAAGTCCAAGCTATGCTCCAACTTGGCTGACTGGCCAAGGACTGTATCTCTCCGGGTCTCTGTTTCCTCATCTGTAAAATGGGGGAAAAGATAAAGCTTAATTAAACTCCCAGTCTCCAAGTCTGGCGTGGGATTGTAGAGTGAATGGACACAAACAGTCTCTGAGAATGTATGTGCCACTCCTTTGAAAGGGACTGGGGTCCACTCTGCTCAGGTCATAGGATTTGTTTTGGAAGGCCAGCGTTTTTAGAGTTAGGCACACCAGAGTTCAAATCCTGGCTCTGCCATTTACTGGCTGGGTGCCTTTAGCCAAGTGACACGACCTGTCCAGGACTCGTTGTCTGTAGAATGGGATGGCTCCCCCCGCACACAGGGTAAATAAGATTACTGACCTCCATTGGCATGGGCATGACACCGAATCTCTCGGGCAAGTTCACACCAGCCCCAAATGCCCCAGGGTAAGGAAGCCTGGGCCTGAGGCCTGCGGGGACCTTGGCCATTCTTCACCACAAATCTTCCCAGCTGCACAAGAGGTCCTCATTGCCCACCTCCCTCCCCATCCTAAAGCTTCCCACTGACTCTGCCGAGTGGGGGAGTGGGGCCAAATCTCCCGCTGCTCCCCCTCTGGCCCAGATAACACACACACCAATGGGGACCCTGGCCTGCGGAAACTGCCCAGATAAACACTGCCTGCCTCAGATAACCGAGGCCCTATCGGCTTGGCATCTTGTTCTCCAAACCACAGGCGCTGGTGATAAAGGGATTGTGTAGGGGGCTGCATCTGCTGGGGCCCAGGTGGGAGCCTTTTGCAGGTTTTTTGGTTTTTGTTTTTCTTCCTCTCACTATTATTTACAACAAATGTTTGGCCCCTTCAGGGACAAGCCAGTCCTCTGGCAGCCAGGGTCTCCCAACTAGCTCCCCCTCCCTCTCTCATCAAAAACCAGACGGCCATTTGTCCCCCCTGATGGATTTCCAAGGGAGGGAGAGGAAGGCATTGGAGATGGGATTAGGGGGTGGCAGACAGGCAAATTCTGTTCAGAGCTTTTGGTGATTATAAAAAGCTTGGGAGGGAGGGTTGCTCCTTCAGGGACATCTGATACTAACCACCATTTATTGAGCACTTACTATGTATGAGGTGCAGCTTATTTGATCCAGTGGGAGTGCTAACCATCCCCTTCATTTCCATTTTACAGGCAAGACAACTGAGGTTCAGAAGGTCACGATACAACTGGTAAGAAAGACTAGAATCAAAGGCCAGGTTTGAAGCAAAGCCTCTGCTCTTGCCCTCTGCACCCTGTTCCCAAGGGCCGCCCCTGCTTCTGGCCCTTTCTGGGGCATGGAAAGGAAACAGGTGGCTGCTCTCCTAGGCACAGAAAAGTCTGAGCCACACCTGGAAGCTGGCTTTGGGCCAGAGCTGGGATGCTGGGCCGGGAACCTGGGCCCGGAGGGGTCTTGCTGGCTCCCTGGCTCTAGGGTTGTCACATCCTGGGTGGCCTTGGAGGTCATCTGGAGCAAAGGTCTCCTGGGACAGACAGGGAAACAGATGAAAATAGACGTGTGACAGGCCTGGGATCAGCCAGCCAGTGGGTGCTGCTTGAAGACCTTGGCTCCGGGCGATCCCAGCTCACTGATTTTACAGATGAGGAAACTGAGGCCCGGAGCAGGAAAACGACTTGCCAAAAGGCTACATAGCTAAAGCCAGTAGAGCTGACACTCGGGAGGCTGAGGCAGAAGGATCCCTTGAGCCCAGAGGTTCGAGGCCAACATGGGAGGCTCTCTTAAAAAAAATTAAAATAAAGTTAAGCTAGGAATCCAACCCAGGCATCCTGACTTGCAGTGCAGGGCTATTTTCACTCTCCCATATTAGACATACACCACCAGATACAGACACAGAAAACCACAGCCACAGAGGCTCAGGCACAAGGGGCCACCCGGGGGGCACAAGACATGTGCACACTTCCAAGTATACGTGCTCACACCTGGCACTCCCACGACACCGTGTGGGACCCGCTGTCCATCCCCCCACCCCGGGACCTGAAGGAGACCCAGCTGGACTTACTCTCCCCTCCCCTGCCCCTCTCCCCCCACCTCTAGAACAGCACCAAGCCAGGGAGCTCCACGCTGTGCTTAAAAAGGGCACTTAATTTTTCATTCTTAAATGCTGGGATGCTCTTGTCTTCCAGCTTCGCCCAAACCCCTTGGTGGAGATGGATGGAGGCGCGGAACACAGTTATCAGAAAGATTAAGCCAGGACTTGTCATTTTTTTATATCACAGAGCAGTCAGCTCGACGAGTGATGTCCTCCAGTCCGCCAGGATGAGTCCAGAACCTTTAGTGCCAGTAGTAAAAAAGACTATAAAAAACACCATCGGAGAAAGGGTAATGATGAAATTTAACTGCTCCCGATCACACACCTGGGGTCTGCTCGCCGTGGAACCGGGGGGTTCGGCCACATCATCCTTTACTGCTGTGTCCTTGTCTGTGCATTTAAGGTCCTTCCACTGAACCAGAACACACGTTCATGGTGGGGAGCCTGGGGCTGTCTGCCCCACCCCACCCTGCATGGTGCAGAGCACAGACAGTGGGAGGGAGCAGGGCAGACTCTGTCCTAGGAGGCCTTGAGGCCTGTTGGGCCTGGAAAAGGGGCCGTAGGGCTGGATACCCCAGGAGTGTTGCTGAGCTGCAGGGTTACAGAGGAGCTCCAGCCACAGGGCTACTGAAAACAGCATGGGGCTAGACTGTGGTTGGCTAGAATCTTCCTTCCTTCCATTTACCCTTCCTTCCTTCCTCCCTCCCTCCCTCCCTTCCTTCCTTCCTCCCTTCCTCCCTCCCCCCCCTTTCCTTCCTCCCTCCCCCCCCTTTCCTTCCTCCCTCCCCTCCTCCCTCCTTTCCTTCCTTCCTTCCCTCCCTCCATCTCACTTTATGTGCCAGGTACTGTGTTACCTACATGATTGTCACCTGAATATTCTCACTGCTCTTAGAATACAGCACTCTGCTTACCTAATTTCTAGCCATGTCTCCCCACCCCAGCCCCTCCTGTCCCATGACCCCATACCACTCTGCCCACTCGACCCTCCCAGTGCTCTATTCTAGCTGTATTGAAACATTCAAAGTAATTTGCTCTCTCCAGCCTCTGGGCTTTCACGCATGCTGTTCCCTCTGCCTGGAACCCCCGTCTGGCTAACCCCTACTCATTAGCAGGTCAAAGCCGCAGCTTCCTCCGGGAAGCCCTCCCTGACATTCTCCAATCAGCTCCCTTGCCAAGAGCTCCCTGCATCTCCCCTTTGTTGTACGTTTCATCACAGTATATTGTCACTGTTGGTTTAATTGTAAGGCGCGTGAAGGCCCCTGTTGAGGACACTATTCTGGGTCTGGGAAGTTAGCAATGAACAAAACAGACAAAATCCCTGGCCATCGTGAAGCTTATATCCCAGTGAAGCGGGGCAGACGAGGACCATCTGTCTCTTTCAACCTTTGTGGACATGTCACTAAAGGTATGGCTGAGTTTAAACCTGAAAAGGGGCCAGGTGCAGTGGCTCACACTTGTAATCCCAGCTCTTTGGGAGGCCAAGGCAGGTGGATCACTTGAGCCCAGACCAGCCTGCACAACATGATGAAACTCCATCTCTACAAAAAAATACAAAAAAAAAAAATTAGCTGGGCATAGTGGCATAAGCCCATAGTCCCAGCTACTCGGGAGGCTGAGAGGCGAGGATCGCTTGAGCCTGGGAGGTTGAGACTACAGTGAGTTGAGATCGTGCCACTGCACTGTAGCCTGGACAACAGAGCAAGACCCTGTCTCAAAAAAAAAAAAAAAAAAAAAAGGCCAGGCACGGTGCCTCACACCTGTAATCCCAGCACTTTGGGAGGCCAAGTCAAGTGATCACTTGAGCTCAGGGGTTCAACACCAGCCTGGGCAACATAGTGAAATCCCATCTCTACCAAAAATACAAAAAGTAGCCAGGCATGGTGGTGCACGCCTGTGGTCCCAGCTACTCAGGATGCCGAGGTGGGAGGGTGGCTGGAGCTTGGAAAGCGGAGGCTGCAGTGAGCTGAGATTGCACCACTGCACTCCAACCTGAGTGACAGAGGGAGATCCAGTCTCAAGAAAAAGCCTGAAAAGGACTTTTGAGGTAGGTGGGATTACCCTCCCTGTGCAACAGAGAGCCCTCAGGTCACTGGTTAGGGAATAGCAGGACCAGGGTTCAAACCAAGGCCAGATGGGCCCCCTAGCTTGAGCTTCCTCCTTGCTCAGCCTGCCTGGCCTCACTGGCCCCTTTGCTATTCCTAACATGCCACGCATGCTCTCTTGTCCAAGTCTTTGAACATGCATTTCCCTCTGCCTGGAATACTCTTCCTGCTGACAACCTTAGGCTCCCCCCGGTCTCCTTCAAGTCTTTGCTCAAATGTCATTTTCTTAATAAAGTCTTCCCTGACACAACTCCACACACACGCTCCTATGCACCTCATATTCTATATGTTACCTGTTTCATTTTGTCTACCTTTACTAGAGTGTTGGTTCCCTAAGGGCAGAGCTTTTGTCTTTTCTGTTCGTTGTCACATCACCAGTGCCTATCATAGGTGCTCAGTAAATATTTGCTGGGTGAACTGATGGACACAAGAAACACAGAGCTGAATCAGGACGGGTCCCTGCCTTGAAAGGCCTGAGTCTGGCCAAGGGAGACAGTCATTGTCATCTGAGTGAATCATGTTCTAACACAGCAGACTTCCTCCTATCCTTGTCCCCTTACCACCTCAGGACACAGCCCTCTCCCAAGACTCAGTCTTTCTCTGGCACTCAGATTGTCTGTCTATGGGCAGAGAGTGCCCCGATCGGCCCCAGGGAGGGTGAGCTGGGAGGGGCAGGGTGAGCGGGACCCACAGTGGCTGACCTGGCACAGCCGGCACGGTCTCAGTTCTGGAGCAGCCCTGGGGGGACCTGGGGAGAGGAAGGGCAGCAGAGTTCAGGAAACAGAGCCCCAGCCCCAGCCTGCTGATGGCATCGGCTCCTGTCCCCACAGTGCCTGTAAAAGGCCATTCCTCAGGACCCAGGAGTCCCAAATGCCAGTCCAAAACTCCACACCTGACCCACCAAGGGACCTTGAGCAAGTCACCTTCCGTCCCTGAGTCCCAGTGTTTTCTCCCCTACGGATTAGAACTGGCCAGGCAAGGTGGCTCATGTCTGTAATCCCAGCGCTTTGGGAGGTGGGCAGATCACCTGAGGTCAGGAGTTCAAGACCAACCTGGCCAACATGGTGAAACCCCGTCTCTACAAAAAATACAAAAATTAGCCAGGCATGATGGCAGGTGCCTGTAATTCCAGCTACTTGAGAGGCTAAGGCAGGAAAGTCACTTGAACCCAGGAGGTGGAGGTTGCAGTGAGCCGAGATCATGCCATTGCACTCCAGTCTGGGCGACAGAGCTACACTCTGTCTCCAAAACAACAACAACAACAACCACCACCACCACCACCTACACAGATGGCTCCAAACCTTTTCAAGGATAAGGACCCCTCTTTAGAATTTTTTACTGAAGCATCATAAACACACACAGTGATTTTTCACAAAGTTCATCAGCATCTTGACCAAGAAATAAAACATCACTGACTCCCAAGAAGTCCCCTTACGGCCCTTCCCAGTCCCTACTTCCCCAAAAGGTAAAGATTGTCCTGATGGTTAACACTAGATTGTTTCCCCTGTTTTCTGAACCTTGAGGCTCCCTTCGTAACTCTACAAAATGTTCTTTTGATTTTAGCCCCCAAGATGATGCTCACCAGCTGGAGTTCGCACCCATGTTAATTCCCTCCCACATCGAATCAGGGTGATCTTTGTGACCAGTAAAGTATGGCAGAGGTGACAGTATATGGCTTCTGAGGCTAAGTCATCAATGGCAGGTGGCTTCTGCCTTGCTCTATTGGATCACAGCTCTCAGAGAGCTGGGTGCCCTGGTATGAGCCATCCTATGGAGCGCTCCACACAAAAAGGAACTGAGGCCTCCCACCGGCAGCAGGTGGCAACATGCCAACCACACAAGTGTGCCATCTTGGAAGCAGATCTTCCAGCCCTGGTCAGGCCTTCAGATGACTGCAGTTTCCGCCAACATATGACTGTAACGTCACAGGAGACCCTAAGCCAGAGCTGCTGGCCAAGCTACTCCTGAATTCCAGACCCATGGAAACTGTGAGAAATAGTAAATATTTATTGTTGTTTTAAGCTACTAAGTTTTGGGATAATTTGTTACACAGTAATAGATAAGTACTACAGTATTCATTGATTGAGCAATACTCAATGAACCAAGCCCCTTTGGCGTTCAGTCAGCCTTTAAAGGAATTCATTTTTAAAATTATCTGAATAGTATCAACTCACACTTGAATAAAGGACTTTCATTTTGGTCCTTTTGACAAAGACATCGTTCAGGCTAAGGACTGGCAATAACTCCAATGTCCCTGCAGGATCTGAGGCCCCAAGTTCGGGCCAGAGTGTGGAATTAATGTTGACTCAGTTGACCTCTAAAGCTCTTTTTATACGAAAACCCTGGACTCAGAGACTTTCAGGGACCTGTTTGCCAGTCCTCGCTCCTTCCATATGGTTGGTCAATAGAATATGATAGTGAGGAACCCAGGCTTTGGGGTCAAGCAGGTCTGTGTTCAAAGCCTGGCTCCTCCTCTTCCCAATCTATGTGACCTCCTCAAACAAGTAGCTTCAAATAAGTATGCTCTGAATCTCAGTTTCCTCATCAGAAAAATTGGAGAAGAGACGCCTGGCTCCTAGGCGTCGTATGAAGAGGAAATAACACATAGCTTGTCCTTGTGATGAGGCAGCTGTGCTGATCATCAGACCACAGACTGGCTGGGCACTCTCAGAGGTATTGGGAGACTGTTCCCCTCTCACCCGGCCTGCCCTGCGGGTGGCTGCACCCCTCCTTTGTGAGTTTGAAGGGCCAGGTGAGCATATGGCCACATGGCAGGACTTGGATGGAGTGAAGCCTGCTTCCTCTCCCTCGTTAGCATCGCCCGGGGACCTGCTCTCTCCTTAGCAAAGGCCTGGATAACGAAGGCCACAGCCTATTAATTGCGGTGACAGTGATAAAGGAAGAGGGGGAGGCTGCTATTTGTCTTGCCCGTAACCTCTCGCATCATTCCAAGATGAATGAAAACTCATTTTCTGCTTTGATTCAGTCTAATTTCTCTGGGCCCCCTGGGCCTCATGGGGGGAAGGGACTCACAGCCCTTGCTGAGGAGGAATCGCAGGGAGGAGGAGAAAGGGTCAGAGGTCACAGAGGGAGGAGGGTGGGCTCCACTGGGGAACCAAGATCTTGGTGGGGGCAGTGATTAGAGCATTCAGTCATTAAGTGGATGGCGGGCTGGGGCTTACACAGGTGCTGGCTAAGGGCATTCACAAACTAATCTGGTGAAGAGGTGAATGTGCTACCCACTTCACAGATGAGACAATGGTGGCACTTGGGAGAAAATGGCTAGCACAAGGTCACACAGCGAGTGAGGGCCAACATCCAGCTTCAGCAGGGAGGAGAGGCTGGCCAGGGCCCTCGCTGGCTCTTTCCCAGTCAGTCAGTCACTCACAGCATGGTGTCCCACCTGGATGAATGACTTCATCGGCACAGAAGTCCCATGGACGGGAAAGGACCATCCAGCAGGGAAGCTGCCAGCCTACCTGTCCTTTCTCCCTCGGGGACTGGAAAAGGAGAGGGGCCAGGGGATGGGGAATGGACCTTTTTGGCCATCAAGGAACAAAGACTCGCCAAGTAGGGCCTTGTTGGAATTGCCATTTTCTCTGCTGTAAGATGGAGCCAACAGTCCCCGCCTCCCAGGACCACATGGTGGCTGGAGAGGGCAGGTGATGGGCATGTGTGTGAGGGTACTTCACACCCACTACTTCCTCTCCGTCGAAAGGGAGAAGCAAAGCAGTCGTCCCCAGATATTTGACCTGCTTTGTCCTAGGTTAACCATCTCCGGGGGTCAGTCTGCCCCTGAGTCCCTGCACCTGCCTGTCCTGATCTATCACCTGGGTCCCCTTTGATGGTCCAGAGGTCCCCTTACCACCTCAGGACACAGCCTTCTCCTAAGACTCAGCCTTTTTCTGACACCCAGGCCATCAGCCTGTGGGCAGAGAGTGCCCCAGTCGGCCCCAGGGAGGGTGAGCTGGGAGGGGCAAGATGAGCGGGACCCACAGTGGCTGACCTGGCACAGCCAGCACGGTCTCAGTTCTAGAGCAGCCCCAGGGGAGCTGGGGAGAGGAGGGGCAAGAGACTCAGGACCCAGAGAGTGGGAAGGGCCTGGGTCTGTGATTTCCCTGCTAAAGTGGCCTAGCAGCCCCAGGGGAGCCGCATGGACTGTGAAGAAGGTGGGAGATACCCCCAGGCCAGCTGCAGGTTCACAGGAGAAACTCGGCTACGTGTGTCCAATGCGCTTCACACAACATCCTCCCGGGTCTTTGGGCCACAAGGTGGAGGCGCTGTAACTGGGAGGAATTTTGTGATGGTGCAATGCATGAGTCAGCATGGGCTCTAGAGCCCGGCAGCCTGACGTGAGCTGCAGCTCTGCTGTGTGACCTTGGGTACGTTGCTTTGCCTCTCTGGACTTCACTTTCGCTATCTGTAAAATAATCTTCCTCATATGGTTATCAGTTCACTTATGTAAAGCACTTAGAGCATGTGTCTAAGTGGGCTGGGACAGACCTGAGCCTGGGTTGTGCTCTGAGGGGCTGCAGCCAGGCTAGGAAGGGCTGGCGGAGGATGTGCGTGAGAAGTAAAGCAGCTGACTCCACTCGTGTCCCCCTCGCCCCCCACCAATCTATGGCATCCTCCCATCTGCCCCAGATCTGAATTGCAAATGACCTTCCTTTCCCCACCACTCCAGCTGGAGACAGCTGAGTCCAA
The DNA here is from genome assembly GCF_000001405.40 of Homo sapiens. Lineage (NCBI taxonomy): Eukaryota > Metazoa > Chordata > Mammalia > Primates > Hominidae > Homo > Homo sapiens. The sequence continues at coordinate 36,870,787 of NC_000017.11, forward strand.
AGAAGATGTGTGCCTGCCCCTGTAGGGTGCCCTAGCCTTGCTCTGTCTCAAAGGGTCTGCAGGCGGAGCCCTTAGACCAGGGCCCCTTTCCAGGATCCTGAGAGAGTAGGCAAGGCCCAGTTAGAGCCACCTAGCCTGGCATTCAAGGCCTTCACAGCCTGGCCTCACCTTCTTTCTCTGCTCCCATGTCCATCCCCATCCCCTATCACCCATCCCACCCACTTCTCCATAGGCTCAGCCAAAGTCCCATGCTAATGTAGGGAAGGTGGATGATCTTCGCTGAGTGCTTACAGGTGCTTACAGCACTGGGCGCTGTATTACAAGCATCAGCTTGGATACACCTCCTACAACTCCATGAGGCATGTACTGTTGAGAATTCCATTCTACAGATGGAGGGACTGAGACTCAGAGAGGTTACATACCTCTAGCAGGTGGCAGAGCTGGGACACAGACACACAATCACATCTTGCTCCCTCCAGAACCCAGCTCTTAACCATTACTCTGTTCTGCCATGAAGCAGATCCTGCATAAAATATATAGGAGAAATGAAGTCAGGGAGCCAGGACCTGTAATGAAGGAATAAAAGGAGCTTCTAGAGGTAGTCATTCATCCACTGATTTGATATTTACCAAGCATCTACTAGATGCTGAGCACTCAGAGATAATTATAATGATGATGAGAATAACATCAATGGTAGTAACATTAGTGATAGTGGTAAGATAAAAACTATTGCTGACATCTTCTGAGCTCCTACAATGTGTTTGGCACTGTGCTAGGTCTTCTGTTGCAGAACTCTAATCCTTACAGCAGCCCTGCAAGACAGTTATTATTATTATTATCGCCACTTTATAGATGAGTCCACTGAGGCTCAGAGAGCCTGTATCTAAATTCACTTAGATTTCAAGCATCTGAGCAAGAATTTGAACCCCCAGACTGTCTTTGAATAACAACAACACTCATGAGACTGTCTAGCATTTATTGGATACTTTCCAGACAGTCTGCTAAGCACTTAAAATGATCATGTAAGCCAGGTGTCATTATCATCTCTGTCTTAGTGATGAGGAGACTGTGGCTTGGAGGTCAAGTAAACTGCTCAAGGTAATGGGCTGAGGACACAGTGCAGCCAGGATTTGAAGCCAGGTCCACCAATCTGCTCCCATCTCCATCCCCATCCCCTACCTCCCACCCCACCCTTTTCTCCATAGGCTCAGCCTAAGTCCTATACTAATGTAGGGAAGGTAGAAGTCTTCTATTTCCCCACAATGCCCCTCAAGGAAAGGGCTGTCTAGAGTAAGCAGTTTAAGTACAAGGACTCTATTCTCTCTCTTCTGGGCTAATGCAACTGCCTCCTACTGGGACTTCTCTAGTTGCTTCTCCTCCAAACCTTCGTTCATAGTCCGTTGTTACTCTACTGACAGAGGTCCTGTCCTAAAACTCAACCGGTGGCAGAGGCAGCTAACTGTGCACCAAAAGTTCATGCTGCACCTTTCAAAGGGGGCATATATCACTGGAGGGCACCACCCTGCCAGGTCCTACATTTCCCAGAGCCCTTTGCAACTGCTTGAGGCCGTGTAATTACTTCTCGCGGGTGGAATGCAGGCAGAAGTGATGTGTGTTGCTTCTGGGCCAAGTGATTAAGAAGCAACTGTACCTTCTCCACCCTCTCTCTTTCCTTGTCCACCAGCTGGAAGTGGGGGATTCCAAGACCTTCCAAGATTCCTCACTCTTAGGGGTGTTGTGGACTGAAGTTTGTGCCTCCCCCCAAAAAATTGATATTTGTAATTAATATTCATAATCAAATTCAAAATTCCTATGTTGAAATCCTAACCCAATGTGATAGTATCTGGAGGCGGGCCCTTTGAGAGGTAATTATGGGTAGATATCAGGTCATGAGGGTGAGGCCCTCATGAACGGGAATATTGCCCTTATGAAAAGAGGAGACACAGTCTCCCCTGTCCCACTCTGCTCTCTGCGTGTGAGGATACAATGAGAAGACAGCTGTCTGCAAACCAGGAAATGGGCCCTTAACAGACACCAGATCCACAGCAGCTTGATCTTGGACTTCCCAGCCCCCAGAACTATCAGAAATAAATGTTTGTTGTTTAAGTCACCCAGTCTATCTAGGGTTGGTTGTTATCACAGCCCAAATTGACTAAGACGGGGGTGTAAGGAGGCTGGTGCGTCCTGAATCACCATGTGGAAGAAGTGACCCAGCAATCTGGAGCACCCATATTGGACTGCTGTGTAAGTAAGAAGGACACCTTTTGGGGGAAGCCACTGAAATTTGGCGGTTTACTTATTACAGCAGCCAGGCTTACCTAAAGAATAATATATTCACTCCTGGTTCATAATTTTTTTTCTTTTTTTTTAAGACAGAGTCTCACTCTGTCACCCAGGATGGAATGGAGTGGCAATCTTGGCTCACTGCAACCTCCATGTCCTGGGTTCAAGTGATTCTCATGCCTCAGCCTCCCAAGTTGCTGGGGCTAACAGGCATGCACCATCACACCCAGCTAATTCTTTTTATTTTTAGTAGAGACAGGGTTGTGCCATGTTGGCCAGGCTGATCTCAAACTCCTGACCTCAGGTGATCAGCCCACTTCGGCCTCCCAAAGTGCTGGGATTACAGGCATGAGCCACTGCAGCCGGCCCTGGTTCATACTTCTAAATGGGCTCATCCTTCTAAATGGTTTCCTCCATCTGAAGAATAAAGCTTAAACTCCTGGCCAAGGTCTATAAGACCTTTCACAATCTGGGTTCCGCCACCTTTCCAGTCCCATCTCCCACCCCCACCTTTAAAAAGAAAATGTGTTCAATCACAGAACTGCTCTATTCCCTGACACAGCATGGTCTTCATACTCGTGGGTGTTTACATGGCTGACCCTCTGTCTGGAACACTATCCCGCTCTTCTCTTTAGAAAATGTTGATTCAGCTTTCAAGACCCGTTTTCCATATTACCTCCTCACTGAAATCTTCCCTTTCTGTAGCAGAGGACGTTGCACCCACAGAAACCTCCACAGATGCACTTATCAGAGTGCATTGTAATTATTTGTTCCTATATCTGATTGTCTGACCAGACTGTGGAGTCCTCTGGGGCTGGACTTGTGGCCCATCAAGTTTTGTATCACCAGTGCCTTACAACATAGAAAGTGCCCAGCAAAGACATGGATTTATGGATAAACTGGTAAACAACCAAAAAGTCTAAAGTCTATGCCCCAAGTTCTGCAGGGCTTAGCCTCAGGCATAAATCCCTCCACAGAGATGAAACTGGGAAGTCTGTTTCCTGCCCTTCAAAGACAAAGTGAGTCCTGGCGCAGTGGCTCACACCTGTAATCCCAGCACTTTGGGAGGCCAAGATAGGCGGATCACTTGAGGCCAGGAGTTCAAGACCAGCCTGGCCAACATGGTGAAACCCTGTCTGTACTAAAAAAAAAAAATAGAAAAATTAGTCAGGCATGGTGATGGGTGCATGTAATCCCAGCTACTTGGGAGGCTAAGGCACAAGAATCGCTTGAACCCAGGAGGCGGAAGTTGCAGTGAGCCAAGATCGTGCCATTGCACTCCAGCCTAAGTGACAGAGCAAGACTCTGTCTCAAAAAAACAAAACAAAACAAAACAAAAAAAATAAAGTAATACAAGCCCAGGGCCCCAGAGGGAGAAGCAATCCTGTGTCCTCTCTTGTCTAAAGTCCCTGAAAATTCCTCCCATGGCCTGAACCCAGATGACCCCTTAGGGCTCATTCTTAAGACAGGGGAGAGGATTGAGGAGAAATGACAGGTTCTAGACTTAAGCTGATTCATTCACCTGCTTCAAGGCCTACTGAGAGCAGAAGGCCTGGCCTCAGCCTCCTCCTGAATAATCATGGGCCGTCTCCAGGGTTAAACAGGCCTGGGTTCGAGTCCTGGTCCTGCCATTACTCATGGGACTTGGACATGTTGATCATATCCCTGTTTGAAAATAGGAAAATACCACTCTCAGGGTGGTTGTGAAGACCTACAACATTTCTTATTGGTTAGGTCTTACATTTTCTAACCTAAGGATGGGCCTCCCAGCCAGGACCTGGGATCCAGGGCATCACAGTCCCAGGACATCCTGTCCTCCTCCCTCCTATCCCCACCTCCACCGCTGCTGAGGCCCTCTGTCTCCCCAAGAATCTCAGCTGCTTCTGCAATGAGTTCACACTGGATTTTTTTTTCTTTCACCAAGTTGTGAGTGGGGACATAGCTGAGACACTTGGGGTTTCAAGTAAAGAAAGAGTCTGATGGGTGCAGCACACCAACAGGGCGCATGTATACATATGTAACAAACCTGCACGTTGTGCACATGTACCCTAAAACTTAAAGTATAATAATAATAAAATATAAAATAAAGAGTCTGAGACTTGGAGAGATAGGGAAGGGATGGAATGACAAGGAAAGAAAGGAAACAAAGGTAAGACAGGAAAATTTAAAAACAGAGCTGGCCAGGCAGGGTGGCTCACACCTGTAAACCCGGCACTTTGGCAGGCCAAGGAGGGCAGACTGCTTGAGCCCAGGAGTTTGAGACCAACATTTAGCCGGGCATGGTGGCACATGCCTGTATTCCCAGCTACTCCCAGCTAAGGTGGGAAGATTGCTTGAGCCCAGGAGGTTGAGGCTACAGTGAGTTGTGATCATGTCACTGCACTCCAGGCTGGGCGATAGAGCAAGACCCTGTCTCAAAACAACAACAACCACAAACAGAACCAAAGACCAAGACACTAAGGAACACAACAGAGACAGAAAGATGAAGACAAAACAGAGAAAAAGCAAGAAAGAGAGAAGCAGAAGTGGAAAGGTGCAGCCATGGAGAAAGTGAGTCAGAGGGGAAGGGGAGGGGGCCGTTGACAAGCCGGGCAAGGACAGGGACAAAGTGAAGGCCCCTCGGCCCCCAGCTGAGCACGGCTTTCAGCCTCAGAGGGTTCTGCTGCTGAGAAAGCAAAGTCTCTTCTCCCTCATTCGAATGAATTTGATATTCAATCAATGAAGATTAACTCGCCCAAGGTAAAGGGGTTTTTCCATCTGTAAGGAAGTCGAAGACAATTATGCAGATGAGAAAATTACCCTGAGATGAGGAGCCTCTTGTATATGATAATTATGTGAAGGGTGGACTCCCACACTGATTAGCATATCTCCAAGACCAGACCCAGATGGAGGAGGCAGGAGGAGCAGAGGTCACCAGGAATCCCCCTCAGAGAGGTGGGTTGGAGATGTCCCAGCCCCAGTGGTCGTCTTTGGAGAAGAGGACACGTCGCCACCATCAGTAAAGACTAACTGGAGCCTTGTTCCCACAGTGTCCATCGAAGCTGCCTGGGCCAGAGCAGGGCCGATCAAGCTTTAATATGAGTATGAAGCCCTGGAGATCCTCCTCAGATGCAGGCTCTGATCTGGGGGGTCTGGGTGAGATTCTGCCTTTTTTTTTTTTTTTGAGACAAAGTTTCACTCCTATTGCCCCGGCTAGAGTATAATGGCACAGTCTTGGCTCACTGCAACCTCTGCCTCCCAGGTTCAAGCGATTCTCATGCCTCAGCCTCCCAAGTAGCTGGGATTACAGGTGCCTGCCACCACACTCGGCTAATTTTTGTATTTTAAGTAGAGATGGTTTTTCACCATGTTGGCCAGGCTGGTCTCGAATCCTGACCTCAGGTGATCCTCCCAAAGTGCTGGGATTACAGGCATGAGCCACCGCACCTGGTTTTTTTTTTTTTTTTTTTTTTTTTTCTGAGACGGAGTCTCGCTCTGTCGCCCAGGTTGGAGTGCAGTGGCACAATCTTGGCTCACTGCAACCTCCACCTCCCAGGTTCAAGCAACTCTCCTGCCTTAGCCTCCCGAGTAGCTGGGACTACAGGTGCCCGCAACCATGCCCGGCTAATTTTTTGTATTTTTAGTAGAGACAGGATTTCACTGTGTTAGCCAGGATGGTCTCAATCTCCTGACCTCGTGATCTACCCGCCTCGGCCTCCCAAAGTGCTGGGATTACAGGCGTAAGCCACCGCACCCGGCCAGGTTCTGCATTTCTAAGAAGCTCCCAGCTGATGCCAATGCTGCCAGTCCACAGGCCACACTTTAGAGGTCCTGGCTCTGTGGTTCTCACCTCTGGTTGCACCCTAGTCGCCTGGGGAGCATAAAAAGCAGACCAATGCCTGGGGCTCACTCCAAACCAATTCAATTAGAACCTTTGCAAGAACAGCCTGAACACTGGAATTTTTTTTTTTTTTTTTTTTGGTGAAAAAAACAACGATTCTAATGTACAGCCAGGAATGAGAGCCCCTGACTTGAATGGTGGCTGGAATCCTGAGAAGTCCATGGATCTATTCCAAGTCTCCAGGGACACTCAGGCCCTAAGACCCTCAGAAGCCAGAGGCCTGGGCCGGAGCCAGGGCAAGGGCTATGGAAGAGGCAGGGAAGAGCAAAAAAATGGACTGAGTAACCCAGCTTGGGAATGGACTGAAGACACCGCACTGGGTGTGCTGGGGAGCCTTGAACCACAAAAACCAGCTATGATGTGTGAAATACCCGCTGTGGACTAAGCCCTGCACATGTATTCTCTGTGACTCTTAAATGGGGTTATTTTTAATCCCAATTTGACAGATGAGGAAGTTAGGCTCAGAGAGGCAAAGTGATTTCCCCAAGGTTGTAGAGTTGGGATTTGAATCCAGCTGGGTCTGACCCCCAAAGCTCAGGCCATTGCCTCCCACCCACTGGGGAGGGGCCCTGGGGGTAAGCTTATCCAAGGAAGTTAGTGGCTGGCCCTGGACCCTAAGGCCTGACTGAGCTAGAGGGTCCCTCCGGCCTGCTATGCCAGAGGAAGGCCGGCCTCACGTGATGGAGGGGAGTGAGCAAGGGCTTGGAAGTCAAACAGCCTTGGGTTCAAATCCTGGCTTTTATGAGCCTTGTAACCTCAAGCAAGTCATTGCCCTTGCTGAGCATCTGACGGGCTCCTCCTTGGCCAATAGGGATGATAGGACCAACTTCACAGGGTTGCTGGGAGAAGGAGATGAGGTCAGGTGTCTCATGTGTGTGCCATGGAGTTTGGGCAGGGTTTTCCTCTTCTGAGGGAATGGAGGTTGGCTGAGCCAAGGCTCAAAGGCTCTAGGACTCATCAGAGCCCGCCCACCTCTTCGGGGCTTTGGCAGGGTTGCCACAGGCTCCTCCTCTACTCTGATGCAACACTGATGGGAACCTAGGGCTTTCCAAATGATGCACCGGGCCTGGGTCCAAGCCTGTCTGAGTCTGGTCTGGACTCATCAGCAATATCCTACCATACAGACAGCATTGAGTGTGGCCCCTCTGCCTGGGATACCTTGGGGCATGAGCCCCAGCATCTCTCCCATAGCAGATGCCCCATTACCCGTTGGTGGGCAGGGGTGGGGAGCTCTATAAAGAAAGGCAGTGGGCTTGGAATCTTCCGGCACTAGCCAGCCTTCCTGTCCTCTCCCAGGAATTCCCCTTGGAGAACCATCCTGTCTCCACGGCTGCTGAGTAAGGGTGTACCCCACACACGTGGCCCTTGTCCACTCACCAAAGTGTGCACTCTGCCTGGAAGGGGCTTCTTTAGTTAATTGCCGTGAAAGCACCCTGTGTGGCATCAGGGAGGAACTTGCCTTCTGAGGGCCTCAGTCTCCAGCTCTGTAAAATGGGGACAGTAAGGGGTGCTCAGTGAAGGTTCAAGACCTTCTCCCTCTGAACACACAACCTCTCCTCACCACCAACCCCACCCCCAGCACCCTTTTGGCTACCATTCACTCAAACAAACAGAAACCAGGGGCTGGGGTGTACTGACTCAGAGGTGGGGGGCGCCCCAGTCCTCACCCTGTGTTTCTATTTCCATATTGTTCCCCACAATCTTCCCCTCCTAGCCAGGCCAATGGAGGATGAGGATGAGGAGAGAAAGAAGGGAAAAGAAAAGGGGGCTACAGAGGTGGAAGCTGGGAGCTGCACCCATGCCCCCATGTCTCTGTGAATGCGTTTCTCTGTTTTCTGTATCTGTGACTCTGTCCTGTCTCCGTCCCTCCCTCCCTCCCTCTCTCTCTCTCTGTCCATGGATGTGTTGGTGTACTTGTCTGGGCATCTGCGTGTGTGTAGAAATGTATCACTGTAACTTCGTGCCTGTGCATGCTGTAGTTGTGTGTGTCTCCCGCTCTGTGTGTGTGTGGGTGTGTGAACCCCTGTCTCTGCACGGATGTGTGTATAGCTCTGAATGTGTGTGTGTGAAGCAGGGGATTGTGTCTGTGTACATGTGTGTCTGGACTGGAGTCTATCGGGTGTGTATGTTTGAACATGTGTATGATAGCATCTATGGGTGTATCTGAGTGTGTGTCTGCGTGGGTGCATATCAATGGTGTATGAAGATCTGAGTGTGTCTAGGTTAGTGTGTATCAGTGTGGAGGGGTGAGTGCCTGGGAAGGGATGAGTCAGAAGTAGGTATGTGTATCTGCATGCACCTATGTGGGTGTGTGACAGCGTGTGTGGGTGTCTAGGTGTATCAGCATCTGGGAGAGAGGGGTTATCAGCATGGAGGGTGAGTGTGTGCATATGATTGTGTCTATCTTCTCAGTATATGGGATGTGGGGTGTGTTTGTGTATCTGTGTCTGGGAGGAGTGTGTTGGTGCGGGGGGATGTGTATCCTATGTGAGACTTGTGAGCGTATATTAGTGTGCTGGGTATGAGTATGTGTGTCTCTGTACGGGGGTGTCAGTGTGTGGAGTATGTGTGTGTATCTCTGTGTAGGTCTGAATGGGTGTGTTTCAGCGTTTGAGGAGTGTGCATATCTGTGCACAAATCACTGTGAGCGTGTCTATCAGTATCTTAAAGTAGGGCGTATGTGTGTCTGCGCAGGGTGTATGGGAGTGTGCGGCTGTGTCTGTGTGTGTGTCTCTGTCTGTGTATCTGTGTAAGTCTGCACCTCTCCAGCTTGGCTGGGCCCCGGCACTGTAAATCCATCAACTCCACATGATTTTGTCAATTCTGACAGCTAACTTCAACATGACGACAAATCTGGCCCCAGAGGATATTAAGCAAAGACACATGAGCCTATAATTTTCTGCTTGCACGTGTGAGATGCTATAATAATCAAAAGAAAATGAGTTTCTAACTACCCCAGCTCTTTGTGCTGCTGCCTTCATGCCGGCTGCACTAATTGAATCACCCGGCACCACTGTATCAATGGTAACTTGGGTATTGGGGGGTAATCAGGCGTGTGGGGGGGACCAGCTTGGAGAGGTGCGGGGGCTTTTGTGAAGGTCCCATCTGCCTCATGCACCAAAGCCGCCAGCCGCCCGCCCGCATTTGGCTGGACAAGGGAGTGACTGAAGGGCAGCCCTCACCAAGGGGAAGGCCTGGGAGGGGATGCCTGGGGGAGGGGGCACCTGTACCCAGATGCTGCAGCTCAGGCCCCTTGGTCCCGGAAGGAGAATTGTACAAAAATAATAAAGATCCAGGCTTTGGAGATCGGCCTACCTGGGCTCAAACCTGGCTGATGGCCCGTATGTCATTTGATTTCTGGGGCTTAGTGTCCTCATGTAGAAAGTAGAACAGCCAATCTACCTCACAGGGACATACACACAGATTAAGCACCCTCAGTTAGTTGCCTTGCAGAGAGGAGGCACTTGGAAGTTGTCACAATTTTTACTGTTACCAAGTATTGACAGTGCTTTCCCATGCCTTATCTGCTTGTCTCTTCACAGTGTGAGATAAGGCTCATTATCCCATTTCATTCCTGAAGAAACAGAGGCTCAGAGAAATTAAGTAACTTGGCCACTTGGGAGAGACACGTCTTTCTCTACCTACAATTGGAGGGGCTTGATCAGGATGTATGTGTGTTTTCTAAGAAGGAGGAGGAACAGTCCCTTATAACTTCTAGAAGTCCCCCTGACAGTCCTGTGACTCATCAAAAATCATAATCACTCACCTTGAGATGGCGGTTGCCAGGGCCGCTTACTGTGTATTAACTCATGTAACCCACACAATGAGTTTGTGAGGTAGAAACACAATTATCCCTGTTTTACAGATGAGAAGACTGAAGCACAGGGAGGCTAAATAACTCTCCCAAAGGTCACGTGGTTCGTAGGTGGTAGAATTGGGCTTCAAGCCTGGAAAGTCAGTCTCCACAGTCCTCATTTTGATCTATCATTTGTCCTTCCTCTTAAAGATCCAGTTGTGCCCCACACTCACTTTTGCCCCTCAAAGTCTTCTAAACTGAATCCCACATTTGTCTCTAAGAGCTGTCCTCTCTGTACCCAAGGGACCATTCTTCCCGACGTCAGGCTGCAGAGTGGAATGGAAATCCCTCCATCCCCAACCTCACTGTGCACCCCCACATCAAGGCAGGAGATTACCCCATCATCTTGCTCTCTAGCTCATGCCTTCCACTCTAGCTCACCACTTCCAATCAAATAGCAAGTGTTCACCAAGCAGCCGTTTATATTCCTGGACCTGGTTGGAGAACTGAGGGCTTCAAAGAGGAAATTATTTTAACTCCATACTTTTGTACAACAAAGCTTGAAGCAGTAGAAAGAGCACAAGCTTTGGAGACAGGCAGATCTGAGTTCTGATTTTGGCACTGGCAGTCACTAGCTGGGGTCCCTTGGGCATGTGGCTGAACATCTCTGTGGCTCAATTTTCTCAACTATAAAATGGAGACATAGTTCCCCCTAAGATCAGAAAAAGGGCAAGTATGTCTGCTCTTATCACTCCTATTTCACACTGACCTGGAGATCCTGCCCAGTGCAATAAGACAAGAAAAAGAAATAAAAGACATACAGATTGGAAAGGAAAAATAGAAACCATCTTTATTCACAGACAACATGATTGTCTTCATAGAAAACTCTAAGAATCAATCAAAAATAAAACTAGAAGTATTAAGTTCAGTAAAATTTCATAATAGGTCAATATTCAAAAATAAATTATATCTCTACATGCTGATAATAAACAATTGGAAGTTGAAATTAAAATAAGAACATTAATCCCACCTCACAAGATTCCTAGAAGGAGTCAAATGAAGTAATATTTATCTAGAAGTATTGTGCTTGTGTGCTTCCTGATAAGCTTTCTTGAGAGGGGAAGAAAGAAAGGCTGAAAGAGAATCACACCCAACACCCATCCCCTCCTGTCTGCACCAAAACCACAGAGAGGGAGTATTTCTGATACATCCTCAATGGTTGTGCCTATTAAAAATCTTAGGGCTTTATTTATCCACAATTTGGGAGAGGCGGGACCTGGGGAGATGGTTCATCAAAATCTGGGGCTCCCTGGGGAACAAGTTGTCATGAACACATGAGCATTGTCCACCATGGTGGTCTGCCCAGAGAGGGACAGAGAGCCACAGCCTGTGTGCACTCCTCCTCCTGTCCCTCCACCTGCTCTTTTGTCTCATCTTTGTATTATTCTGCATACCTGCTGAGCTGGGCCCAAAATGTACAATGCAACCTGAACAAATCTTAGGCCATTTGAAGCCTGGGTCACATCCAGAAGAAACCCTGATAGTCTCCAAAAGCATTGATTGGCAATGAAGCCTTTGCAAAACTCCCAAACAAGCGGCAAGGTGGGAAAAGCAACTATGTCGTACAACAGACAGAAACTCTCTCCAAATCCTCTTCAGGCCTGCCTTTCCCCAAAGTGCCATAGGTCACTACACTCCCCACCCCCTTTTTTCTTTTTCCTTTTTCTCTCCTAAAACTCCAGCTCTGCTCTCTCTTGCCTCCACCTCTAGTTGACTGGATCGATTCTATTCTGATCCAGCTTTTGCTGCTAACTTTATGCTCTTTCTTCAGTGAAGCATCTTCCACTTTGTATCACCTTGATCAGCTCAGATGTGGGAACATGGCAGGAGAAGAAAGGCTGTAAATATTCACATCTTAATATTTTTGTTCCTGCTTCATCAGAAGCCTTCAAGTGGCTCACAGCCTTGTAGGAGGAGGACAAGTATAGATGGCTACACCACACCACAGTGACATTCTCCTCAAGGCTGGTCTGAAGCACTATAGATGCAAAGTGGAGGTTCAATTCCTGCAGCAGGTGGGCATCAGGAGGAGGCGACTTTGAACCGGGGCTTGAAGAATGAGTAGGTATTCCCCTGATGGGGGGACAGAGAGGAACGGGGAGAGGAGGGAGCAGCTACACTTCACCTCCTCACTTTGTATCCAGTATCTTCTTTTATTTTTGAGATGGAGTTTCGCTCTTGTTCCCCAGGCTGGAGTGCAATGGCGTGATCTCAGCTCACCACAACCTCCACCTCCCGGGTTCAAGTGATTCTCCTGCCTCAGCCTCTCAAATAGCTAGGATTACAGGCATGCACCACCACGCCCAGCTAATTTTGTATTTTTAGTAGAGATGAGGTTTCTCCATGTTGGCCAGGCTGGTCTCGAAATCCTGACCTCAGGTGATCTGCCCGCCTCAGCCTCCCAAAGTGCTGGAATTACAGGCATGAGCCACCGCACCTTGCCCAGTATCTTCTTTACTACCCGCCCTCCCACCAATAGTCTTGCGAGGTGGGTATACATGAATATTCCCATTTTACTGAATTGGAGACTGAGGCCCAAGAGGAAATGAACTCGTCAAGGTCACCCAGAGAATAGTTGGAGCTGGTAGGACTTGAATTCTGGACTCTGTGGCTTCAAAGCCCTTTTGGTGGGCAGGTGAAGGGAGAGGAGAGAGAACTTCAAACAGCCTCTGTGGTGGGAGGGTGGGGGTGGAGTGAGGAGGCTCTGGTCACCGGGACATACAGGTGAGACCAGTGAGGTGCAGTCAGTGTGTACAGCACGTCATCATTTGTGGCAGAGGCAGGAAAGACTATACATATTTGTTTATTCTTGGATATAAGGTCTCTGGAAGGACACCCAAGAATCTGGGGACATTGGTTCCCCTTGGGATAGGAACTGGGAGTTGAAAGAGAGAACCAGGACACCGGGGTAGAGGTAGAGGGAGACATTCCACCCTCTCTTTTATGCTTTTTGAAATTTGTTGTTGTTGTTGTTTTGAGATGGAGTCTTGCTCTGTCGCTCAGGCTGGAGTGCAGTGGCATGGTCTCGGTTCACTGCAACCTCCGTCTCCCGGGTTCAAGTGATTCTCCTGCCTCAACCTCCCGAGTAGCTGGGATTACAGGTGCCCGCCACCACGTCTGGCTAATTTTTGTATTTTTAGTAGAGACGGGGTTTCACCGTGTTGGCCAGGCTGGTCTGGAACTCCTGACCTCAAGTGATCCGCCTGCTTTGACCTCCCAAAGTGCTGCAATTACGGGCATGAGCCACCAAGCCAGGCCTGTTTTTGTTTGTTTGTCTTTGAGATGGAGTCTCGCTCTGTTGCCCAGGCTGGAGTGCAGTGGCACTATCTCAGCTCTCTGCAACCTCCGCCTCCAGGGTTCAAGCGATTCTCCGCTTCAGCCTCCTGAATAGCTGAGATTACAGGCGTGTGCCACCATGCCCGGCCAATTTTTTGTATTTTTAGTAGAGACAGGGTTTCACCATGTTGGCCAGGCTGGTCCTGAACTCCCGACCTGAAGTGATTCACCAGCCTCAGCCTCCCAAAGTGCTGGGATTACAGGCGTGAGCCACCGTGCCTGGCCACTTTTTGAAATTTGAATCATGTGAATGTGCTACGTATTCAAAAAAAATAAACTAAATTGTTCTTAAAAGAAAGTAAATTTAAAAATAAACATTACACAGTCACATTAAAATCCAAACTAAAACAGTCCCCAGCCTCTGACCATGTACTGGAGGGTCACCTGGAGTCTCGGCGGTAGCCCCCGTTGGGGCCTGGTTCCGCTGCAGAAGGGATATGTGTGGCGTCTAAGTCAGCGGCAGGGCCCTCGGCTGGCTGCCACCAGGGCCCGCTCCCCCTCCAGTATGATGGGTGAGGGGTTGTCAGACGGAGGAGCAGTGGGGGCTGCAGGAGAGACGTCCGAGATGGGACGGGACATTTGGGCAGTTGGGGCCGATTTGTCGCCATTTTCACGGGCAGACTTGTGAATTAAGTGGCATGAAATTGAGCACAGACCAGGCTCCCCCCCAGAGACGGGGCAGCCCCCGCCCAGGAGGGGAGAAGGCAAGGGGGCGGGAGCGGGAGGGGTGGCCCCGCTCCACGCTCAGCTGCTTCTGGGTGCAGATGGAGACAGAATGGAAGGGGGAGGGGCTCAGCTCTTCCTCCCGGGCCCCTCCTCACCCTCAGCTCTCCTCCGACAAGCAGAGGGCCTGCCGGACCCCAGCGATGGGCTAGCCTGGACTGGCTCACTTGTGCCCAAGCACCCCTAGGAGTCAAGGCTGGGGTGGCAGCCCGACCAGACACCCATTCAGGGGGCCCCTCAGCATCTCTCTGCTTATCTCTGCGTCTTTCTGCTGCCATTTTTGCTCAGTACTGAGAAATGACGACTAAAGGGAAGCAGGGCCTGACGCTGCTTCTCTGGATGGATAGAGAAGCTTTTGTGCCAGGAAGAGTTGGAGGCGGCAAAGCCTCCAGTGGGAGATACGAGGCTCGTGGGTTGCGGTTTGGGTTCTAACCGGGTGGCTTTGAGTGAGTTCCTTATCCTTTCCTCAGCCTCCATCTCCTTATCTGTAATAATAATGATAGCAACCCTGGGCCTGGTGTTGTTCTAAGTGTCTTGTGTACTCTGCAGCAATTCATTCCATCGTGATAATACCTTATCCGGCAGCACTGTTATCAGTTACTCCCCCGTTTTACAGATGAGAAAACAGATCATCCGGCCAGTGAGTGGTGAAAATGGGATTTTTGTTTAACACGCTGTCACCTCGGGGAGTCGAGGGGAAGATTAAATGAGATAATGAACATGTATAGTTTACCCACGATGCGTGTGTAACAAATGAGAGCTGCTGTCATCACTGCTCTGTCTGCCTCTCGGCAGGGGACAGGTAGCTCAAATGCAAAGTGTTTTCAGATCACCCAGTTTACATTTCATGGACTTGACAGACGGAAGACGAAGGCCCAGGGAAGAAAAGTGACTTGCACAAGGTCACTTGAGCTGGGCTAGGACTGAACAGACAGCTCAGTGACCTGAGTCCTTGCTCTCCAGGCCCCTAAGGACATCTCGGGGCTCTGCAGATGGGCGAGGGCCTACTTTACTTGTCCACGAGGAGAGGCACAGCCTGGAATTTCAATTATCCTGGGCACCGCAGGCTCCGAGTTCCTCCCCGGACGGGCGTGGGACCTAGCCCTAGCCTGGGTGGGGACGACGAGAGAAGACAGCCTTGGTCTGCCAACCTGGGCACCTCCCGCTGGACAGAGCTTTGTCCCACAATTAAGAAGGATGTGTTTGCCTCAGCGCCAGGCCCAAAGAGCCCACAAAAGCCACAAGGAGCCCTGCAGGTGGCCAGGGGGAGGTCAGGCCCCATGGTGCTTAATAGGACCTAATCTCCGCCAGTGTTGTCGGAAATGAAAATGAAAAACAGCCGCGATTTTGTGGTTTAAAAATTAGCATGTGTGCCTACGTCGTAAGCCCCTGGCCTGCATTACCATACAGATTCATCCCAGGCCCAGCACGCGGCCAAAATATGTAATTACACACAGGCTCGGGGTAGAAAAGTTGCTCTCCTCATTGCTATCTATATAATATGGATTTTAAAAAATGAGAGCTAGGTCTGAAATGTTGTGAGGGACTTACTTCATGAGGTATGCTGCCCATGGCATTTGAGGAGAGGGAGGGTCTCACCCCCTCAGCAGTATGTGATGTGGGGGGCACATGGATATGCCAAGTTCAGAGCTATCTCCCCGGACTGGGGGAAGAGAACAAGGAAGGGAAAGCCTTGCTATGAAGGATGGTGCTCTCTATGTCTGGGTCCCATTCAGTGCTCTCATTTGCACAGAAAGCCTGAAAAGTAGGTATCTTTGTCTTCACTTGAAAGATGAAGACACTTTGGGAGGCTGACGTGGTTGGATCACTTGAGGCCAGGAGTTCAAGACTAGCCTGGCCAACATGGTGAAACCCCGTCTCTACTAAAAATACAAAAATTATCTGGGCGTGGTGGTGCACACCTGTAATCCCAGCTACTCAGGAGGCTGAGGCACAAGAATTGCTTGAACCTGGGAGACAGAGTTTGCAGTGAGCAGAGATCAAGCCACTGCACTCCATCATAGGTGACAAATTGAGACTCTGTCTCGAAAGAAAGAAAGAAAGAAAGAAAGAAAGAAAGAAAGAAAGAAAGAAAGAAGAAAGAAAAGAAAAGAAAGGAAGAAAGAAAAAGAGAAAGAAAAAAGAAAAGAGAAAGAGAAAAAAGAAAGAAAAGGAAGGAAGGAAGGCAGGAAAGGAAGGAAGGAAGGAGAAAGAGAGAGAGAAAGAAAGAAGAGGAAAGTGAGGCTGGCAAGTGGCAAAGCTCAAAATTCAAACTCATGACTCCAAAGACTGTGCACTTTCCAATATGGCTCCCAACTTCAACTCATGAACAGAGACCTTAGTTGAAGTCAGTAGGGGAGGCTGAAGGGGGTGATAGATGCGGGAGGTATGTATCAGTGTTCAAATATGAAGACTGAAGAGAATTGGGGTCTTCACATAGGGATCAATGGTAGGAAAGAAAAGAAAAACAGAGTTCCCAACCATTAGCACAAAACTGACACACAGTAGCTATAAGAAATGAATGATTGGTGGAATGAATGAACTGAAGCCCTAAAATAAAAATCAGCATCCTTGTTCCCGGCTGGGTGGGGGATAATGCCCAGATACTGAGAGAGAGGAATAAATCTATGTCCCAATGCGGGATCAATGTCCCAATCCAGAGTTGGACAGGAAAGGGAGTTCCAGTGTAGAAATCAATACCCCAGTGAAGATTTGGTTGAGGCCATCAGCATCTCATATGGGGATCAATGTCCCAATGGAGAGTTGGTTGAGAGGAATTGATGCCCCCCACCATACAGATGGGTAAGAAAGTCAACATCCCAATGTAGAGATCAATGCCCCAATTCAGAGTTGGTTAAGGAAAATCGATGTCCCAATGTAGGGAGCACTGTCCAAATATCCGGATCAATGGCAGTCAATGATATACAAAAGTGGTGGTAACAATGTTCCAATGTGATATCAATGATAGCCAAAGTCCCACTATAGAAATGGATGGGAGTTCATGTCCCAGTGTAGACACCAGCTTGCCAATATGAAGATCAATAGGACACCTATTTGTGACTTCTAGGCTTCCCTTGGAGCTTTTCTACTATTTGCTCTAAAGGGGTGACAGTTCCCAGGGTCCCTACTCTGGCTAAGTCCTCCACTGCAGAAAATTTGGGCATCTGCCCCAACACACCCCAGCCTGGTTATCCACAGTAGTTCCTCTTGGAGTTCCCCTTGGACTTCTGTAGCCAATCTCCAGAGACAGCTTGCAAATGAGTCCAAAAGATCCCAGCAGCCTGGAAGAGGCTACTTACTTTCCAGGGATTATTTCCTGCAGGGAGACCAGGCCTCTGGCTCTTCCAGACTCAGCCCAAACCAGTAGCAAGTGAGATATAGTCACAACCAGTCACGTTCTCACTCCTTGGCTTGATATGTGTCTAAAATCCACAGTTATCCATGTTACTATTGCATCTGTCATTTGAGTGATTGCTTCCCCACATTTTACAGCTGAGAAAAGCAAGGCCCAGAAGAGTAAGTAGGTGGCCGCAGAGAAGTGGCAGAGATGAAACTAGAAGCCTGATCCCCACCTGCCAGCTCAGCCCTTTTCCAGCTGATCTAGGTTGATGTGGCAGAACACACCCCACCCCCAGCCTAAGTGGGTTCTGGGAGTGTGTCACGCAGTTTAGGCAGACAGGTTCAAGGGATCTCTCCCCCAAACCTTCACTTTCCTGCATCTTTCCCATCACTGCTCAAATTCCCCAAAGTTGGGAGACAAGAAAAAGGCCCCTGTTGCTCTCCAGGGTTGGCGATGGAGTTGAGGGGTGAGATGACTAAAGCCTCCCAGCTTCAGCTGCCCCAGGGGCTTAAGGGGAGGGTGTGATTTTTCTCTTGCTCAGACAAAGGCTGGGGCTGTGGCATCTGTCGCTGACTCTTGTGTCTTGCAGCTGCTCCGACAGTCAGACCCAAGGCAGGTGCCAGTTTGGGGAGGGAGGGGCATGAGCGCCCTCAACATGCACTCAAACTCCACTTCTTCCCCTCACCCTCACGTGTAAATGCAGTGTCTCCTGCCACCCTTCCCCACCCCAACAAGCCCACCTTGTCCCTCCAAGACCTAGGGTTTGGGGGATGAGACCCACATTCCCCATGACTCTACTACCCCTTCCCCAAGCGCTTGTCCTGCCGAGTTCCGCTGCCATCACACTTGAGCACCTTTGCCCAGCCAAGGAGGAGCTGGGGGGAGGGGCTGTCTGGCAGGAGATAGGGGACCCTTGTGCCTGATGGGATGTCTCTTTACTCAAGCTTCTCTTCTGGGACCAGAGAGTTTTCTGCAGGCCTCCTGAGAGGCTGGAGCCTCCAGTTCTTCACCCTGGGAAGGGGAGAGGCTCATCACAGAGATGAGCAAAACACTGCTGGAAGGGGAGAGAGAGAGCCTGGGGTATTGTCAGACTAGGTGTGTGTGTGAGAGAACATGAGAACACATTCCCCCCCACACAGGGATATTCATGCACAGTTTTGCAGACATACATGCATACATGTGCACGCGTGCACACACACACTGTCATGAAGCCAAGAGACATGAGACAAGTTGGAAAAGTGTTTCAAATACCCAATCAGCACTCTGTGTTCTCCATCTTTTCAAAAATATTTATTTATTCACGTATTTATTAAAATCACATTACAACCCCATCCCCACTGTCTTTTCAATGTGTAAAGAGAAGCTTAAGGCAAAAAAAAAAAATTTTAATTAAAAAGAAATGCAAAATTTTCATTTAAAAAGAAAAAAGAAAATGTCTAAGGCAGCTGAGGCTCCTCCATTCAGGCGACTAATTGTAAAGATCATACACGTATTTTCCTTTTAATTCTGTGAGCAGGGAGAATATGGTCAGGGCAGCAGTGGAGCCAGGAGGAGGAAGATGAGGGTGGTGGTGAGAATGTCCCTATTAAGACGACGATACAGGGGAAAAAGAATATTTCTGTGCAAGCTGCTTGATGGGGAAAAACGTAAATTTTATACAAAGATGCTCCCGAGCCCCCTTCCCAGTGCAAGCCTCTAGACTTCTTGCTCCCACTCCCAACCTCCCAGCCGCCTCCCTCCTCCTCCCTGCCTGTCCCAGGCCTCTTCTTCCCTCCCTCCCCTGCAGCCCTCACCCCTCCCCAGGGCCCCCTCCTCAGATGCAATCCCCCTGCTGTAATTTCTGGGGGAATTGCTTCATCTCGGGTGCAGATATATTTGTGTCAAGGTGCAGCTGCACAGATAGCCTTCCTCTATGCATAGTAAGAGGGTTTCAGAGAGAGAGGTTGTGCCCAGAGCAAGGCCTTATCAGAGCAAGCTGCCTGCCATTTATCTGACTCCCCATCAAATAGGAAAACGGGCCTCAGGCTGCTGCTTCCACTTTCCTTGGGAAAGCCATGGGGGGAATAATAATTTACTCCAATCTTTTTGTTTCCAGCGCTCACCTTCAGCCTGACACAGCCCCTCTGCCACTCCCCACTTCCAGCAATGCCAGCCTGGGGGTACAAGGTTGAGCCCCAGCCCCCAAGGGCCCACCCCAGGGACACCCCCAGAAATGCCCTTGCTGGTTGAGTGGACCTTCATAATGGATTGGCATGAGCTGGAGAAGATCCCCTTTGGCATCAGGGATTGTAGGCACAGGAGAAAGGAGGCAGAGACCCGGTGGGGAGCTGGGGAGGCTTGGCCTGGCTGCAGGGGGCCTGGCTTCCTTCCCAGCCCCCACACATATGCAGATCCCCCACAAACTCTCACTGTGTGCGTGTGTATGTGTGTGTGCTCACACGCCCAGATGCACATGCAGTCCCTGTATGAGGACCTATCGGTACCTTTATCTGTGTGTCTGTCCATCTGTCTGTCTGTCTGTGTCTGGGGAGGAGATGAATGGGGGACTGGGGGCGGTTTCTGTTCTGTGTCACAGACTCTGACCTCTCATCTCAGTTCACAATCCCAACAGCCATGAGCAAGTCCAAGACAGGATGACAGGGACTGTCTGAAAGGGAGTGAACAGTGGGCGAGGGAGGGGTCCCAGCCGGGCCTGGTGGTGGGTCGTCTTGCCTCACCCTCCCTGGCGAAGGCTGCTCCAGGGAGCAGCAGGCAGCCCATCTGGTGCAGGAGCTGCAGAGAGGTGGGCAGCGGGGAGGGGGCTGCTCCCCACAGGCCAGCCATAAATCACAGTTATGTGGCCAGGGGGCAGGGGGCAGCCGTAGCAGCACACACAGGACGAGGCAGAGAGGCCAGGGTCAGGTGCAGCTGTAAATTGTCACCTAAATGCTTCCAAGTGAAGGCTAATCAGAGCACGGTGACAGAACACACCTGGCCCCACCCTGCCCCAGTGGGCACACTTATGTCTGTGCAAGCACATACACACTCACAGATACAAAACCATGCTGGGACATGTTCTGCATACAAAGCTGCACACGCAAAGGTGTCACACCCATACCTGGATACACAAAGACACACGTGTTTGTTAGTGCCATGTGTGCATGTGTTCGGACACACTCCCAGGCAGCCCTGTACCCATCGTGTTCATTCAGACCCAAGGACACAAAGATCTACCTAATGCCCCTGGGTGGATACGCCCATGCACAGGTGGGCATGGAGAGTGGAGAGCAGACACTGTCCGATGCCCAGGGCTAGTATGATCTGGAGGGCAAATCCCCCACCGGGAAGACGCAGGAATGAAAAGAGGTAAACGTACTGAGTGGAACTGGGCCACCCCAGCCCTGGAACCCCAGTGACTATGCTCTCCTCCCAACCTCTCCCTGGCTGGGCCTTCATGCCATTCACCAGCCTTTCTCTAGAAGGTCATTCCTCAAATGTGAAGAGCTCACACCGCACCCATGGTGGAGTAAGATGGAATTTGGTCTCTCCCTGCACCCGTGTTGGAGTAAGGCTCTTTCATTCATTCACTGCCATCTACTAGGCATTGTGCGAGGCTCTGGCTATAGAATGCCCCACCCTCAAATGTAAAACCTAGCAGAGAAGAGACAAATGAGCAGATGCTTACGGCACATGGGGATCCTTGCTGCAAGCGAGGCTAGCCCAGGGCAGTGAGGACATGGCAGAGGGGGACAAGGAAGGCGTTCTGGAGGAAACTATGCCCAAGCTGAGGCCTGACACGTGGAAGCCAGCCAGGTGGAGAAGCAGAGTGAAAGAGGGAAGTGTGCAACCCTCCCAGAGAATGTCCATGGCAGCAGGTAAGGAAGGCAAGTGATAGGATGGCCCTTGGCATGTGCTGAGGCACCCCACAAGGCATCCACCTCTGAGCCTTGAAACCAGCAGTGAGACTGCTACACTCCCTTACCTGGACCCGTCAGGGGACACCCAGCTTGCATCTCCCAGGGCTTCCCTGGTGACTCTTGTACCCTGTTCTCCATGCAAAGGCAACCTGACCAGAGGGAAAACTGATAGCTGGACCCAGCCTCCAGCAGATGGCATCATCACTGGTGAATGGAACAAGGATCAGGAGCCCTGAGGGGCGCTGAGAACAAAAGCACCGAGCCCCGTTCCCCAGCCCTCTTCTCTCGGGCCTCCTGGAAGTCTGCGGAGTTTCAGCAAAGCCTTCTCTGATTCATTCTCCATGCAGAGGCTTTTTGAAGGTGCTCAGGGTAGCTCTGCGAGGTCCATGGAGCACCTGGGATTGAGGGTGATGAGGATGGGTTGAAAAGCAGGACTCTGGGACCCCAGCCTCAGTTCAGCCCTTCATCCACTTGCCCTATTGGGCTTCCTAACAGGACTGCATTTGAACAAAGGACTCAGTGTGGGAAAAGGGCCAACCCATAGGACAAAGTCCAAAGGCAGCTTGGCATTCAGCAACCCCCAAACTTCACCCTATCTGCCCTTACTCCTGTGACTCAGCCCAGGGGTCTCTCTACAGCCCTCAACACTCCCCTGCTCCCTCATCCCACCAGCCCTCCTATACACACCAGTCCCCTTATCCCTCCCACCCCTGCCCCACCCTGACCCTCTCCCCAAGCCAAACTCCAACTCTTCATTTTCATTTCCAAACACTCCATGAGTACCTGCAACATACACGCCCTATCTCTTGTAAGTCTCCTCTAGAGAAGTCTGGGAGATGTAGCTTCATTTTACAAATGAGAAAACTGAGGCTCGAGAGCTTAAACGATCTGTGACCTTAGGAAAGCTGCAGGAAAGCTCATTCTGGGCCTAACCTAAGCCTCCAAGCACAGAATTGATTCCCCTCTCTTCCATCCCACCCACAGTGACCATGGAGCAGGGGCTTTTCTCTCCTCATTCTTGCACCAAGGCTTAGAAGAAGGCACAAGTTTCTGGGGGTCAGTGGTCAGAGGTGAGAAAGAGAAAGAAGAGAACCAAGGCATCCTCAGAAGCAAAGAGTAGGGACACCATCCTGCAAAGCAAATATGAATTATTTCAGAACATTTTCAAATGAAAAATCCTCTCTTCCTGCCCAGCCCTGTGATGCATTAACTCCTCTTTCCACCCTTCTCACCTGTGTGGAGAGTGGCCAGGCCAGGAGGGCCCCACCCAGCCCAGAGCTCCCAGGGAATGGGGCTGGAAGTCAGCCCATCGTTTCTTTGGCCTGAACGCCTTTTGGTTTGCTCAAAGTGTCTCCTGATTCCTTGTCTGCACCCAGGATCAGTGAGCAAGCATTACCGGGAGCCTTTCCTACTCCTAACATTGTGTGTCCCTTCACAGCTTCCAGGGAACCCTCCCTACGCTCCAGGAAAATGGGCTGTATTCTTCCCATTTTACAGATGGGAGACAGGTTCAAAAGGTTTCAGTGACAAGCCCAGGGTCTGATAAATGGCAGAGCTGAGACTCAAACCTGCCATGGACCAGATGGCCACAGGGGAAGGGGTGCCTGTGGGTCACATGTTCATAAAGGGAGGCCTGGCCTGGCCACGATGGCCATTGACATCTTCGGTTATGAGTGTCCTCTCTTTTTTTCCTGTCTTTTTTTTTTTTTTTTTTTTGAGACAGAGTCTCACTCTGTTGCCCAGGCTCAAGTGCAGTGGTGCGATCTCAGCTCACTGCAACCTCCACTTCCCAGGTTCAAGCAATTCTCCTGCCTCACTCAGCCTCCTGAGTAGCTAGGATTACATGCGCATACCACCATGCCTGGCTAATTTTTGTATTTTTAGTAGAGACAGGGTTTTGCCATGTTGGCCAGGCTGGTCTCAAACTCCTGACCTCTGGTGATCCTCCCACCTTGGCCTCCCAAAGTGCTGGAATTACAGGCATTAGCCACTGTGCCCAGCCAAGTGTCCTGTCTCTCTTAAGGGGGTGGCTCCTTCCAGTCAGGTAGAACAAGAGAGAAGAGAGCAGAGGCTCAGGCTCTCAGGCACGCTTCCGACACTTTTGGAGCCCCAGTTTTCTCATCTCCTCAATGGTACGAGTAATATTAAATAGTATCTGTCCAGGATTCTTGAGAGAACTCAGTGTGACTGTGCCAGGAGCCTGTGCAGTGCAGGCTCTCCACACACGCCCGTGGCTTCCTCATGCCCTGAAGCATGAGGGTGGGCTACGTGCTTGTTAATTGATGGAAATGCCTGGGTGGAGGACATCACATCTTGAGGTAGCTGGAACTGCACAGGGCCTCTGCTCTGTGCCTGGCCTGCACGTGACATGGTGTGAGTAAGGAGTCCTTTTTTCTTCTTCCCCTACCCACTGCCTGTCCTCTCTTGCCCTGGGGAAGGACCAGCCCCCTCAGAGCTTAAGCAGGTAAAGGACGCGGAGCAGCTCCTTCCCAGCTGGTTCAGGGTTTTTTTTCCTAGGTAGGGCTGCCCCTCGACCCACACCCCAGGCCAGCCTCGCAGAGGCCTCTGATCCCCCTCACGGATCACTGGAAATGGACCCAACACTCTCCATCACCACTGCAGACAACAGCCTGATACAAATTTGCAGGCAAAGGAGGGGGCAGTCGATACGGATTAGAAAGAAGGACCTCCTCTGGCCTGGAGCCTGGGGCCGCCATTGATCAGCATCTTCACTGAGGAAGCCAGCTTGGCCAGTGGCCAGTGGGCACCCAGGTCGGGGCCATGGCCTCAGTCTGCCACCTTACCCCGCCAAAGAGTCCTGAAGAACTGGGGACCCCTAAGTGCACTTTGTAGAGGAGGAAACAAAAAATCAAGGAGAGATCGGGGAGAAGCAAACAGGCAACCCAGCCCCAGCCCCAGCCAGCTCCGCACCTCCAGCAGAGCCAGTTTTTCTTGGTGTTGAGAAAATGGTCAGCAGCTTGTCACAGTCCAGTGAATCTAAACAGCCCTCTGGAAATGTTGTTGAATTTCAGTCCCAACGCAGAGATACCCATATACATGCCTGCCTCTCCTCCTGCCCCTTCCTGAAACACAAACAGTTCTCTCATGGTTGCATACACGCCATGTGATCCAATTCCATCTGAGAGCATTTGTTGAGTACCCATGTGTGCTAGGCTGCGACTATAGACAGCTTCATGCCCTAAGGAATACACATCTAAGAGAAAAGACAAACGTGACAAGAGGTCATCATAGGGCTGGCGGAAAGGTGCACCTACAGAAGTACAAGCAGTGTATAGAAGAAGGGGTGATCAACTGGGGTTGGGGATGGCACTTCTCACAGGAGATGTCTCAGCAGAGTTTCTAAGGATGAACAGGAGTTTGCCAGGTAAACGTGGTGACAAGTGAATTGTTATCATGTTGCTTCCCACCAACATTTGGCCACACACTGGGCTCTCCTCCCTTTTGCTGCCTGTGTACTTTCCATTACGAGCTTCTTTCACTCACAACACGCTCTATGCTGTTCCACTTGCCTGCAATGTTCTTTCCCTTCATCCCTGACTATTCTCTATTCAATCTTCAAGGCTCACCTTAAAGAATTATCTCTCCTCAGAGAGAGCTATGGCCCCCCTAATTAAAGGCAGCCATAGCATCCTACATCTTCCATTTTCTAACTCTAACAAGCTCGCTGGTTGGTTGGTTTGCTGGCTGGCTGATTGGTTGGTTGGTTGGTTGGTTGAGTGGATGGATGGCTGCATGGATGGATGGATGGATGGTTTGTTCAAGAAGCTAAACTAAAGAGAAATTAGAACTGCAGAGATATGTAGAGTACAAGGGAGTGGGATAACTGTGGTAGAATCATGGGAGATGAAACTGAAGAGTCTGCCAGGGGTGGGATTGTGGAAGGTCCTGTAGCCATGCCTAGTACACATTGACATACAAAGTGAATCCTAGAACCTTAGCAGTATGTTCTGGAGATAATAGCATCTTTGAAGGGGTAGAAAGGATATGATACCTTTCCTCCCCATCATAAGGGTCACAGCCAAAATTTCTATAACAAAAACCAAGTTAATAAGAGAAAAGCATTAAATGTATTTAAGCAAAGTTTGATGTGACACAGGAGCCTTCAGAAATGAAAACCCAAAGACTCAGAGAAAACTGTCTATTTTTACGTTTAGGTTCAATGAAGAAGGGGACAGCCATATAGAAATGTGATTAGACAGAAAAGATGTGACTTAACAGTAAGAGACTGAGTGGGGGAGCCCAGCAAGGCCTGTCTGTTCAGATTCTTCTTGGCCTCTCTGCATAGCATTCCTTCCTCGCTGGTATAGGGCAGGACCCCTTCTGGAATGAGGGTCTTATGACCTACTACCAGACAAGGTAGGTCAGAGAATTTCTTTATGGCCACCTCCTACACACAAAGGCAGGGGAAGGGGTAGAGTAATATTTCTAGTTTCTATGACCCGTCTTGGAGAAGAGAAATTCTAGTTTCCATGGCCTGCCCTGGGGGAGAAAAGGGAGCAGGAGAAAAAAGACCAGGAGAAGGTCAGAGAGAGACTTTGTTTCTGAGGTCCCGCCAGTGTCCTCCAGTTCAAAGTACTCAGCATGTCAAAGTGCCAAACTGTGGGGTATCATTTTCTAATCCCCAATACCTTCATTTTGCAAATGAGGAAGCTGAGGTCCAGAGAAGTGGGGCTTGCTACGAATCCGCCAGAGGGCAGAAGCAATGGCTCTGCCAAGATTATACCCCTGGGCTTGGGCTCCAGGTCCAGGGCTCTTTCAATGGCACACTCAGCCTCCTATATCCCCGGAGGGATTAGACGTGATAAGATATGCCCTTATTTTTCAGGGGTCTCCTAGGTTGGGCCTTCCTCTCTGGATATACTGCCAAAGGCCACGTGCCGTGCTCCCATGCACACAGCACCTGTATCCATCAGAGCAAGCGACTGAAACCCAGCTTAATCTAGTTTCATCCAAAAGGGGAGCATTGGCCTGTGTAACTGGGAAAGGCAGGTGCAGCTGACTTCAGGTGCAGCTGGATCCAGGCACTCAAGCAATATTGCCAAATCTTACAACTCTGTGTCTGTCTTTGTGTTGGCTACATCCTCTCCTCCTGATGTGCTTCCTTCATCTGGGGTAAGAAGGATGGGTGGGGACAGATGGCATGACCTCATGGAACTGGTAAGGTAGAGAGAGGGAAAACTTGCCTCTGTATAGAAAATCCCAGCTAAATCTTCCAGTGGTTCTAGCTCAGGTTCAGTCCCTGTAATTAGAAAAATGGGGCACTATGATTTGGCAATCCTAAATTTCTGGATCTCATGTCCGTGTTAGAGGCCAGGAGAGGGCATGGTACAGTGATTGACAGCTTATCCATTGAAATGGAAAGGAGAGGACAATTGCTTCTAGGCCTTTTGGCTAAGACCAAGTGAAAGGAGAGGACATTACTTCAAAGGGAAGGGGTGCTGTTCAGAGCAAGGGAGGGATGCTGAGCAGTCAAAAATGACAGATGGCCACAGCAGTCCTATTCCAGTGCTGGATAACAGGGCAGCACCTGGATGACTCCTTGAATATAATAATAATAATAGGCCGGGCACGGTGGCTCACGCCTGTAATCCCAGTACTTTGGGAGGCCAAGGTGGGCAGATCACCTGAGGTTAGATATTCGAGACCAGCCTGGCCAACATGGTGAAACCCCATCTCTACAAAAGTTAGATGGGTGTGGTGGCACCTGCCTGTAATCCCAGCTACTCGGGAGGCTGAGGCAGGAGAATTGCTTGAACTCGGGAGGCGGAGGTTGCGGTGAGCTGAGATTGCACCACTGCACTTCAGCCTGGGCGACAGAGCAAGACTCCGTCTCAAAAATAATAATAATATAGCTTTTAGAGTATCCTATGCAAGTACTCTGCATACATTGTCTTATTTAATCTCATTTAAATTTGAAGGGAGCAGGTTTGAGTCCCAGCTCTGCCATTTATCAGACCCTGGGCTTGTCACTGAAACCTTTTGAACCTGTCTCCCGTCTGTAAAATGGGAAGAATACAGCCCATTTTCCTGGAGCGTAGGGAGGGTTCCCTGGAAGCTGTGAAGGGACACACAATGTTAGGAGTAGGAAAGGCTCCCGGTAATGCTTGCTCACTGATCCTGGGTGCAGACAAGGAACCAGGAGACACTTTGAGCAAACCAAAAGGCGTTCAGGCCAAAGAAACGATGGGCTGACTTCCAGCCCCATTCCCTGGGAGCTCTGGGCTGGGTGGGGCCCTCCTGGCCTGGCCACTCTCCACACAGGTGAGAAGGGTGGAAAGAGGAGTTAATGCATCACAGGGCTGGGCAGGAAGAGAGGATTTTTCATTTGAAAATGTTCTGAAATAATTCATATTTGCTTTGCAGGATGGTGTTGTGCGCTGTCAGCTCTGTAATAACTTTTAGGCCTTTATTTATTGTTTTGCCTTAATGATTTCATGTTGCTCCAGTGTCGAGAATTCTCAGTGTCTTGTAACACATAATGGCAGAGAAGACTCAGGCCATGGCAGGCATGGAGCGAGGGTGTCATGCTCCCCGACAGACCCCACTGGTCTCCAGGAGATGGCAGAGCCTAGAGCAGAAAGCGGAGGCCATCAACCTCTGTGCAAAGTTATCTGCGAGCACTAATTCTCAACAACACCCTAGGGAGCTGGTACTATTATCCCATTTTACAGAAGTGAAAACTGAGCCTTGGAACAATCACAAGACTTGCCGTCTGATCGTGTGTGACCAAGCCAGGATTTAAACACAGGCCTGTTGGTGTGTCTTCAACTTTGGCATATATAGAAATTACCTAGAGAGGGCCAGGTGCAGTGGCTCATGCCTGTAATCCCAGCACTTTGGGAGGCCAAGGCAGGTCGATCACAAGGTCAGGAGTTCAAGACCAGCCTGGCCAATATGGTGAAACCCCGTCTCTATTAAAAATACAAAAATTAGCTGGGCGTGGTGGTGGGTGCCTGTAATCCCAGCTACTCAGGAAGCTGAGACAGGAGAATCACTTGAACCCAGGAGGCAGAGATTGCAGTGAGGCGAGATCCCGCCACTGAAGGGATCCCACTCCTGGGTGACAGAGCAAGACCAAAAAAAAAAAAAGAAAGGAAGGAAAGAAAGAAAAGAAAGAAAGAAGAAAGAAAGAAGGAAAGGAAGGAAGGAAGGGAAAAGAAAAGAAAAGAAAAAGAAAAGAAATCATCTAGAGAGAATCTAAAATATGGGTCCCTAGGACCCAACTGTGGAGATGGAATTCAGTAGGTCTAGGATGGAGGCTGAAGCTCTGCATTTAGCAAGGTGCCCAGATGAGTCAGAGCCATAGGAACTCAGCTGGTGGCTGGGACCACACTAGTCACATAATCAGTGGGACCGAGTTCCTCAAGAATTATGGTCCCATGACTGGCCCATTTCTCTCACAAATGTCCCATCAGCTACTCCTGTTCCTCTGCCATTCTCCATCCTGTATCTCTGAGGGCTTGGACTGCCCCGCACCCCCAGAGCTCTAGCCCCTTCTGTGAAGCTGGGAGAGGAAGGGGAGAGGAGGGGAGGAAGGGGAGAGGAGGGGAGGAAGGGGAGGCTTTCTTGGTTGCCATGGTGATTCTCCACCTCCCAGTCTGTGGGGGGAGGCAGCTTCATTGTGAGCCTCCAGCCAAGGCCTGGAGGGCAGCAAGCTGTCCTGGGCTGGGAGGATGCAGAGGGGTGGGAAGAGGACTCTAGCCACTGGGGAGAGGGGAACAGGGGAAGACAGGCTGGGGACAAGGAGGAGGACCCTCGGCCCAGGGCAGCCGGAGCAGAGAGCCAGCCCCTCCAGATGCTGGGGCTGCCAGCCTTCAGCCCAGGAGGCGAAGAGGGGTGTGTGCAGGAGCTGAGGCTGACAGGGCCTGATGCTCCCTGAGCCCAGAGCTGGCAGAAGACCCAGGGCAGGTGGTGGCAGAGATGCAGGGACGGGTGAGACAGCTAGAGAGGCTGGCGCAGGACAGAGTCAGAGCCACAAGGGCTGGGAAAGACCAGGGCTCAGAAAGCAAAGAAGAGATAAAGAAAAATAAAACAAAGCAAGAGAACCCCTCAAGGACCCCAGGCCATGGCCCACTCCCACCCCCAGCGGGGCCAGGGCTGGCACAGCCTGGGGTCCCAGCCTGCTGGGCTGGGCTGGCAAACCGGATGGCACAGGCTGCGGCAGAGGCAGATGGAGCAAGGAGGGGCCTGACCCACGGCCCGCTGGGGAATGGCTGGGATTGTCTGTTCTTTGGAGCCCTCCCACTGTCCCCCAAACCTCCTGCCTCTGGGAGCATGCTGGGGAAACAGGGAGAAAAAAAGAAGCAACATTTCGGAGCCAGCATCTCCACCTCCTCCTGCTCCATGTTGGCCTTCTTTCCCTGCCAGTGGCACGTGCTGCATGCTCCCAACCTGGCTCTGGCAAAGACCAGGACATTGTTGGGGGGCTGGAGAGTGATGTAGGGGAGGAGAGAGGAGGGAAAGATGCTGGGAGGCGACAACTCAGAGGGGAGGAAGAGGAAGGAAAGGAGAGCCCTGGCAGAGGCCATCCCTCACCACCAGTATTTTTGAAGCAAGCACTTACTTGGTACCAGGCCCCACTGAGTACTTCCTGTGTATTCACTCATTTACTCCTCCCAACAGGCCTATTTCATAGGTGCTGTTGTTCTAATCCCCATTTCATAGATGAGAAACTGAGGCAGATAGGGGTTGAGTGACCTGCCCAAGCGACAAGCTGGGAATCAGCAGAAAGAGGGATTGAACCCAGGAGAGGTTCAGAGGTTGCTCTCTTAGCCACTACACTCTCCTGTCCTTCATGCCCCTCACCCACGTGTTGAGTGTTTCAATATTTTTTCCTTCTTACCCATCTTTTCTCAGTGTTTCTCCAGCCAGCCCTTATTCCTTCTGGTGGTGTGTCCCAGTTTGCCTGGGCCTCTAGGCCAGCACCAGGACATGAATGGCCGGGAGCAAACACATCGCGTGTATGGACACATGGACACACGGACACACATGCACGACTGCTGCGGAGTCCACCAACATGTGAATGTCTGTACACATCTGTACAGAACAAGTGCGCACACCCATGTGTCTGTGTACATGCACACGGGTCCATTCGCACATGTGAGGCCACCATTCATACCACACCCTGGGTGGGTCTTGAGTTCTCACCCACAGAGCATTAACTGTGGCAAAATAATCCCAAACAACGGTCGAGTCAAAAAAATCTGTTTGGCTTTGTACTAAAGTGCTGCTTGGCATATGGGGTTTTTGGCAATACATTTACCTTTCTAGGTTTAGCTCGGGCTGATGTGGCTTCCTGCATGTCAACCTCTGAGAACCTGCCAGATGCCAGGCCCTCGGCAAGGCACTACCCAGACAGTCTCTCCACGCCTCACGGCAGCCATGAGGCAGGGCTTGCCATCCCCATTTTACAGACAAGAACCTTGAGACAGCGAGTTCCCATTTGCACAGACTCACAGGGAGAGTGAGGATTCGAACCCCAGGGCAGTTCAAGGGTCGGTAAAGCTTGAGTGCCTGCAGGTGGGTTGTGAGCCAGACATGTGACCTCCCAGGCGTGCCTCATCCGTCTGGAATGTGGCTGCCTCACCGTCTGGTCACGTCTGGGCCCCTCTTCTGCAGCGAGGCTGGTGGGTATGGAGGGGCTGTGGTGGCTCACGCTGAGCTGCTCTACAGAAGGCCCCACACAGGGCCGGGTGCAGCGAGGTATGAAAAAGGCTTTTCCCCAGCGATGACGAACACGATAGTGATGGCTCAGACTATACAAAGAACAGACTGACTTATCACCACCACATAGACACAGGCATATCCATTCCTTCAGTATTTCTCAAGCACCTACTATGTGCCTGGCATTTAATGGGCTCTGAGGACCATGCAAATAGGAATCAAGCTTGGACCCTGCCTTCCTTCCAATAGCTTAGGAGAATAGTGATCAGGTGTGGAAACAGCTTTCATTACAAGGCTGAAAAAACCTGAATGCTGTAAGAGAAATGCAGATGAAAAATGAGAGTCTACTTCCCACTGGGGACATCAAGGTAGCCCTCCTGGAGAAAGAGGCTCCTGATGGGTCTTGGAGAGTGGGTATGATTTGATGCAGTAATGAAAGTGAAGGGGTTCTTGGTTTTCTAAAGAACACAGTTCAAGACATAGGATGGGATATTGGCGGGTGGACATAGGGAAAGCAAGTAGCTCCATTTGTCTGTGGCAAAACTGTGTGAAGGGAGTGGCAGGAGGTAGGTTAGGGTCAGATGACAGAAGATCTTGAGATGCTGGACTAAGAGCTTGGATTTTATAGATAAGGGGGAGCCATCAAAGACTGTCAAACAAGGGAAATCCTTGGGACCTGTTTCATTTAGTCTAGACTAATCTGCAGTTGTGAACAAAGTAATAGATTGGAAATATACATGCATGCACACATACACATACATGCACACATACACATACATGCACATCTTCAGAAATGTGCAGACGTGGCAGACCCAGTGGCTCACACTTATAATCCCAGCACTTTGGGAGGCCGAGGTGCAGGGATTGCTTGAGCCCACAGTGAGAACTTATCTCTACAAAAAATGAGGATCACTTGAGCCCAGGAGGTCAAGGCTGCAGTGAGCCATGATCGTGCCACTGCACTCCCACCTGGGTGACGGAGCAAGACCCTGCCTCAGACAAAAAAAAAAAATGTACAAACACACATGTACATGAATGTACACTTCAAAAGCAAAGGATTAATTCCTGAACCCAGCTATTTTAAAATTCTGAATTGTATTTGTTTATTTAAACATGGCCGGGTACAGTGGCTCACGCCTGTAATCCCAGCACTTTGGGAGGCCAAGGCAGGCAGATCACCTGAGGTCAGGAGTTTGAGACCAGCCTGGCCAACATGGTAAAACCTTGTCTCTAACTAAACATACAAAAATCAGCCAGGTGTGGTGGCGAGTACATAGTCCCAGCTACTTGGGAGGCTGAGGCAGGAGAATCGCTTGAATCTAGGAGGCAGAGGTTGCAGTAAGCCCAGATTGTGCCACTGCACTCCAGCCTAGGTGACAGAGGGAGACTCTGCCTCATAAATAAATAAATAAATGTAATACATTCACAGTATCTAAAATCCAAATGAAATATAAGCAAATGGCTGGGTGTGGTGGTCCACACCTGTAATCCCAGCACTTTGGGAGGCCAAGGTGGGCAGATCACCTGAGGCCAAGAGTTCCACACCAGCCTGGCCAACATGGCAAAACCCCGTCTCTACTGAAAATATAAAAAATTAGCCGGGCGTGGTGGCAGGAGCCTATAACTGCAGCTACACGGGAGGCTGAGGTAGGAGAATCGCTTGAACCCAGGAGGCAGAGGCTGCAGTGAGCCGAGATCATGCCATTGCACTCCAGCCTGGGCAACAAGAGCAAAAATCCTTCTCAAAAAAAAAAAAATATATATATATATATATGCAAATATGCTGAAAAATTAAGCTACTTCTCACCCCGTGTTCCAGGGCCCCAATTTGTTCTGTCCAAAAGCAAGTACAGTGGCCAGTTTGAGAGCTTCCTTCCAGAGACCTTCTGTGTTTAGACAAGCAAATACCCAGCTGCATTGTTATTACATACGTTTTTCTGCACCTTGGTTTTCTCACGTAATATACCTTGGAGATCCTTACATATCAGTACACGGAGGGCTGTCCTGGTCTTTTTAACAGCAGTATACTCCTCCATAATAACGGGACATTTACATTATTTCTGCTCTTTTGCTCTTACTAAAAATGTTGAGCACCTACTAAATGTGCCCAGCACATTTATTGAGCACCTGCTATGTGCTGGGCAGCATTCCAGGTGCTAGAGATAGAACAGTAAACAAAACAGGCAGAAGTCCCTGCCCTCATGGAACATGACTTCTATTGTGAACGTGTGAGTACATCTTCAGGATGCATTCCTAGAGGTGGAACAGCCGAAACAAAGCATCTGTGCATTTTTAAAATTTAGTAGATAAAGCCAAATCCCCATCCCCACCAAGACAGAGTCTATCAATTTACCCTTGCAATGTATGAGAGTGCCTATTTTCCCACACTTTTACCAACAAAATGTTATCAGATATCTTTATGTGTGCCAAGGTGACAGGTGAAAAACAACTGTGATTTTAATTTGCATTTCTCTTATGATGAGTGAGGTTAAGCATCTTCTCATATATTTGAGAGCAATTTCAAGGCTGGGCATAGTGGCTTATGTCTGTAATCTCTGCAGTTTGGGAGGCAGAGGTGGAAGGATCAATGGAGCCCAGGAGTTCAAGCCCAGCCTGAGCAACTTAGGGAGTCTCCATCTCTACAAAAAAAAAAAAAAAAAAAAATACAAAAATTAGCTGGGCATGGTAGTGTGCACCTGTAGTCGCCTCAGGATGCTGATGCAGGAGAATCACTGGAGCCTGGGAGGTCAAGACTGCAGTTAGCCATGATCATGCCACTGTACTCCAACCTGGGAGACAGAGCAAGACTGTCTCAAACAAACAAAGCAATTTCAGGCCCTTTCCTGTCAACTTTCTAATATCCTTTGCTCATATTTTTATTAGATTGTGGATATTTTTCACACTGAGCTGTGGATATTTTTTTTTGGTCTATTAAAGAAATGAGCTCTTTGCCTGTGGTGTGAGTTGCAAATATTTCTCCCCTAGTTTGTCATTGGTTTTTGTACTTTGCATATGGTGGGTTTTTTTTTTTATAATGCAGACTTGTAAAATGTGAAATAAAATTTTAAAGAAATTCTGCTCATGCACTTTGCCTCCTTATGGTGAAATGTTTGTTAGGATTGAAAGAGATATAGGCTGGTGCAGTGGCTCACACCTGTAATCCCAGGACTTTGGGAGGCCGAGGTGGGCGGATTATTTGAGGTCATGAGTTCGAGACCAGCCCAGCCAAAATGGCGAAACTCTTCTACTAAAAATACAAAAATTAGCCAGGCATGGTGGCACGCTCCTGTAATCCCAGCTACTTGGGAGGCTGAGGCATGAGAATCACTTGAACCTGGGAGGTGGAGGTTACAGTGAGCCCAGATTGTGCCACTGCACTCCAGCCCGGGCAACAGAGCAAGACTCAGTCTCAAAAACAAAAAAAGAAAAAAGAAAAACAAAGGCATATAGATGCCAACAACACAATCTTGGGTTCCATTAATAAAAGCACATGTTCTGGCTGGGTACGGTGTCTCACACCTGTAATCCCAGCACTTTGGGAGGCTGAGGCGGGTGGATTATCTGAGGTCAGGAGTTTGAGACCACCCTGGCCAACATGGTGAAACCTTGTCTCTACTAAAAATACAAAATTAGCTGGGCGTAGTGATGCACGCCTGTAGTCCCAGCTACTAGGGAGGCTAAGGCAGGAGAATCATTTGAACCCAGCAGGCGAAAGTTGTAGTGAGCCGAGATCGCGCCATTGCACTCCAGGCTGGGTGAGAAGAGTGAAACTCCATCTCAGGAAAAAAAAAAAAAAAGTGCACGTTCTAGAAAAGGAAGGTGAGTGTCCTATCCTTTTCTGGTGCTCCATCTTAAGAGGTCTTTGGACAAAGAGGGGCAAGCTCAGAAGAGGGTAACCAAGATGGTGACTGGGTTTTAAATCAAGTCACATAAGGAATGGCAATAGAACTGGCATCTTTGAGCCTAGAGCAGATCGCTGTCTATGACTATCATCTGAGGCAGTGGGACTAGCCTCATGATATAAAACCAGGCCGTATGGTGGAGAATCTTGGAAGCCAAGAGTCAGACAATAGAGCTCTTTTCAAGGCAGAGCTGTCTGAAGGTGGAATAGCCTATTTTGTGAGGAAATAGTTCATTACCAGAGATGCACAAACTGGAACTCGATGACGACCTCTCAAAGATGC
This sequence comes from Homo sapiens, assembly GCF_000001405.40. Classification (NCBI taxonomy): domain Eukaryota; kingdom Metazoa; phylum Chordata; class Mammalia; order Primates; family Hominidae; genus Homo; species Homo sapiens. The sequence continues at coordinate 36,905,969 of NC_000017.11, forward strand.
CAAGGGTTAGGCCACATCCCTTTCAAAACTCCTTCCAATCCTGAGACCTCATCATTCTACAAGAATACAAGGAATAGGCCTGGTGTGGTGGCTCACCCCTGTAATCCCAGCACTTTGGGAGGCCGAGGTGGGCGGATCACGAGGTCAGGAGTTCAAGACCAGCCTGGCCAATATGGTGAAACCCCGTCTCTACTAAAATACAAAAATTAGCGGGGCATGGTGGCAGGCACCTGTAGTCCCAGCTACTTAGGAGGCTGAGGCAGGAGAATCGCTTGAACCCGGGAGGCGGAGGTTGCAGTGAGCCAAGATCGCGCCACTGCACCCCAGCCTGGCTGACAGAGTGAGACTCCATCTCAAAAAAAAAAAAAGAAGAAGAAGAATACAAGGAATATTAAAATTCTTCATTTTACAGATGAAGAAAAGGGGGAAACTGATATGCATTGTGCACCTACTTTGTCCTAGGCACTTCAGCATATATGACTTGATTTTAAAGGATGAGAACCAGGAAGGTTAAGTGGTTCACCTAAGGCTGCACAGCAATTTAGAACTGGAACCCACATCCCCAGTCTCCAACTCTAGAGCTCTCTCCACTGAACCTCCTGTCCCTGATGAAAAATTAAACATATGTTCACTGCATGTTTATTGCATACCTATTCTGAATGGACACTAACGTGGACAAGAAAAGCACATTGTATGCAGGGTGTTAATAAAGTCATGGGGTCTTTGCTCTGCAGAAGGTCACTGCCTAGTGGGCAGGTACAGGTGCCATCTCTACGTTGCTTGATTTAATGCAAATTGTGTCCCCTGGAGTTGTGCAATGTGGTAGCCCCAGATAGACCGATAAGGAAATATGAAGCGATTTGGCAAGTGTTGTAATGAAATCACACACAAAGTGCCATGGGAATGTAGAAGGCATAATTAATTCTACTAGGGAAGTGAATCCAGGAAAGCTACACAAAGGAGGTGATGCCCGAGCAGGGCCTTGAAGAATGTGTAAAAAAACAAAAGGCAGAAGAGAATAATATGTATATTCATGCCACATACATTTATTGAGCAGTTCCAGGTTTCCAGGGATAGATGAATAATTCACTATTGAGTAGGGGAGACAGACAAATCACCAATAAATTGCCATAGCGTATAAGTGTAACGGTGAAAACGTACTCGCCAGGCAAAAGTGGCGATAGCTCCTTCTGGAATCAAGTGAGGCATCTGGGAAAGCTCCTGGAGAAGTGATATCTGAGATTTTAGGAGCCGAAATAAATATTTTCCCAGGCTGATGATAAGGCAATTGGGAGAAAGGGAAAAGCATTCTAAGCAGAGGGAATGGCACGTGCAAAGTTTCTGACTCTTGAAAGATGATTCTCTCTGTCTTCAGGTGCCCAAAGCAGATCTGAAAGGCTTGAGTGGAAAATGTGGGCATGGTGGGTCGCCAAGCAGGAGGTGGAATTGACATACAGGCGTTTGGGCAGGACCCACCAGGTTTCCAGATGAGTGGGGAAACGGCATTGGTGTGTATCGGGATTTAGGAGGCTTAGCAACCTTCCCTTCAAAGTCATGCCCCAGATTGAGAGCTGGAAGAGAAAAGTGTGAGCTGTAAATCCCCAGCTCCTCCCGCTGTGCCCAGTACTACAGAGCTAGGAGTCTCCACCAGCTCTCCAGTCCCACCGCTGCGACCCCGGCTAATCCAGCCTCCTGGCCCATCTGACACACACTTCCACTTAACATTTTGTTAGCGACTCTATAAACGAGCTCTCCCTGACCTTCAATCCCTGGCTAATTGCTGGTTTCATGTACAAGACTAGCTTAATTTTACGTGATAATTACCTGAGAGTGGCAATACATATGGCATTGCATGTTCGAAATGTCAGGCCTGGAAATCTACCAAGTGGCCATAGTCAGGGGCAAAGGGAGGAGGCAGCCAGGGGCCACGAGGAGAGACAAAAATTGTGGACACTCAATGCAGACAGAACTCCAGAGAAGCAGGGTCCTGGTCTACAGCAGGTCTCAGAATCCTCAGCTGGTACAGTACACCCAGGGGCACAGGCCAGAGGAGCGGCATGTGCCGCAGCCTCACATGCGCATGCGCCCATCTCGGAGAAACACCAGCCAGGTCAGAGGCACGGCTCATACACGCTCTCAGTCACCTTTTCAACATACGCTCACTGAGCCCCTACTATGTGCCAGGCAGTGTACAGGCAATTGTACTAGTTTCAAACTCCCACCCCACCCAGGGAAGGTAGGAAGATGTGGAGGGTATGTTTGGGTTGTCACAATTATTTGGGGGCTGCTACAGGCACTGAATAAGCAAGGCCAGGAATGCTAAATGGCCCACACAGTCCCGTTCAATGAAGAATTGGCCTTCCTGTTGCTTGAGCCCAGGAGTTCAAGAGCAGCCTGGGCAACATGGTGAGACTCCATTTCTACAAATAATAATAATAATAAACCAATTAGCCAGGCGTGTTGGTGTGCACCTGTAGTCCCAGCTACTCAGGAGGCTGAAGCAAGAGGATCCCCTTGAGTTCAGGAGGTCAAGGCTGAAGTGAGCTGTGTTCTTGCCACTGCACTCTAGCATGGGCTACAGAGCGAGACCCTGTCTCAATTTAAAAAAAAAAAAAATTGGCCTCCCCAAATGCCTGTGGTGGCCCCACTGTGAAACACCCTGTTGAAAACCATCACATCTAAGCCAGGACCCCAGTCCGGAAGAAGCCAAGTGTCCTCTGCCCTATTGGAGATTACAGTTGGGGAAGGAAGACAATGGCAAGGACTTGTGCTGCATGAGAGAGTAATGGAAGGGGACCCAGGAACATGTGACAGGTGAACTGACAGAGTCCAGAGTTCAGAAAAGACCTCCCTTTAAAAGTGACGGCCGGGCACGGTGGCTCACGCCTGTAATTCCAACACTTTGGGAGGCAAAGGGCGGTGGAGCACGAGGTCAGGAGTTTGAGACCAGCCTGCCCAACATGGCAAAACCCCGTCTCTACTAAAAATACAAAAAATTAGCCGGGCATGGTGGTGGGCGCCTGTAATCCCAGCTATTCAGGAGGCCGAGGCAGGAGAATCGCTTGAACCTGGGAGGTGGAGGTTGCAGTGAGCCAAGGTCTCGCCACTGCACTCCAGCCTGGGTGACAAAGAGAAACTCCATCTCCAAAAAAAAAAAAAAAAGTGCCATTTCAGAACTAAGCTAGACACAAAAGGATTAACGTGGCAGGGTTCCACTTCCATGAAGTACAAGAGGACTGAAATTCATGGAGAAAGAAGTAAAAGGGTGGTTGCCAGAAGCTGGGGGAGGAAAGATGGGGAGTTATTGCTTAATGGGTACAGGGTTTCAATTTGGGACGATGAGAAAGCTCTGGAGATGGACACTGGTGATGGTTGCATAACAATGTGAATGTACTTAATGCCACTGAACTAAACACTTTAAAATGGTGGAAAATGGTAAATTTTATGTTATGTGTATTCTACCACAATTTTAAAAAACAGTGCTTACAAATCTTAGTCGTGCGCTGCTGTCCCCTGCCAAAAAAGTGTCATTTCAGCTGCATTCTAAAGGAGGGGCAGGACACAACTCATCCACTCATTTGCTGCACAATAGTTGAACAGCACCTGTAAGGCACAGGTTTGGAAGAATTTCTGTCTTCTGCGTCTCAGGTTGGATAAATAAAGCAAGTTCTCTGCCTCACAGTGCTTCAGTCCAGCTAGCAAGAGAAGCACGTCTCTCTGGTATACAGAAGAATGAATCCAGAGGGGGGACCCACACAACTCAGAAGAAACACACCAAGGAGAAAGGCAGTGCATCTGGAGGACGCAGAGAATTAATGCTCTTTGGAGAAGTGGCCACAACATGATCTTGAGAGGTGGGGGCACTTGTATAGGCTGAGATGGGGGAGAAGCCAGCCCAGAAACTGCCTCTTTCCTGGATGACCTCTGTCCCCAAGACCATTTGGGGCAAAGGAGCTATTTACTATAGGAAGTGAAGACCCATTTTTCTCCCAGCACCTTTGGTGCCCAGAACAGCACTTGGCACAAAAATAAGTGAATACGAAATGGTATCTGTGTGTGTCTGCACCACGTGCCACACACCTGGGTACACACATCCACTGCAGAGGGACAGCTCAGGTTCATTTTTTCCTCATCACTCCAGGGAACAAGGCAAGGCAGGGAAGGTCTAGAGCCCTGTGGCAGTGGGGCAGGGGGGCATGGGCAAAGAAGGAGAAAGGGTGCTTCTGGTCCCCTTGGGGGACCCTTCTGTGGGAAGCCCATGCACACACACACTCAGAGGCACACAGGCCACAGGATCAGGTAAGAGGCACAGTCCCCAGATGAAGGCAAGTTCTAAAAACCCCTTTAGCCTCCTCACCCATGGAACTGTGGACTCCTAAGCTGTGTTGGAGTAAATTACTTGCTTAATGAGATTTCAATTAATAAAAACAAATTAAAATCACTTTGGTAATTAAGCTGCTGTGAACCTCGCCAGCAGCTCTCCCTCAGACCTCAGATTTCCATGGGGAAGGAGCTGGGAACGGGGGTCCACTTGGACTCAGGCAGCAGTGCTGCTGGGACCTAGGCGGCAGGGGGCTCCTCGCCTTGGGGCTTCCACCCCAGGAGCCACAGCTTCCTCAAACCAGAGGTGGGTGTATGGGAGGGTGCAGTACACAGCAGGCAGCACAGGCTCTAAACTTCCATTCACATCGAAGCCCTGCCACTTGGTGGCTGTGCGACCTAGGGCATGTTAATTAACCTGTCTGAGCCTCAGTTTCCTCATCTGCAAAATGGGTTAATACTAGTAACCTACATCATTGGGTTGTGGGAAGATTAAAGGAATGAACGCATGTAAGAATATAGAAGAGGGCCTGTCCCACAGCAAGGGGTCTTAACTCACTTTACCCTGTGTGGTGCTATGGGGGGACTTTTCCAGTCTTTATGATTTGCCTTGTCCTGAACCCCAAACCCCTCCAGGAAAGCCCTATTTCTCTGAGTTAGGTGAATGAAGACCTACCCACAGAGGTTCCCTTGGAGGTGAGGTTTCTCCAAGTTCTGTCCCACCCAGGCCCCCATCTCTTTTCATCAGAGCCAGCAGCTCAAATCTGGGAGCTATAACACTAAAATCTCTTGAAGAACAAACACTCCTGTCTCTGGGTCACAAAATCACCCCCATTCTCCCACATGAGAGACCGGGAGGGTTAAGTAGTGCTGATGTCACTGACCCCATTCCGCAGATGAGTAAAAGGGCTTAATGACTTACCTGGTGGCTCAAAGAGAGAAGCAGTGCCCAGGGCTAGCTGGAATCTGAGAAACCCACATTCTCATCCAGTGCTAACAGAACTGTAAACAATTTCAGCCTTTCTGGAGGGCGCAATGCTAAGTGTATAATAATTTGAAATTATTAAGGTTTTAGGTTTTTTTTGTTCTTTAAAGTTTGTAGCATTTACACTTTTGAAGTTATTAAAGCAAAAACTACACTAAGCCTTTTGGGACAGCCGTGTGTGTGTGTGTGTGTGTGTGTGTGTGTGTGTGTGTGTACTTTACGTATAACATGTTTTATATATATATATATATATATATATATATATATATACACAAACACATACACACACACACATCCCAAATGCCAAATGTCATTTTTCTCTGTGGTGGTAGAAAATACAGATGGTTTTTGTTTTACTCATTCATTCACTCATTCGTGCAATAAATATTTTTATTTTTATTTATTTTTAATTTTATGAAGACAAGGTCTCACAGTTGCCCAGGCTGGAGTGCAGTGGCATGATCTCAGCTCACTGCAGCCTTGACCTCCCAGGCTCAAGTGATCTTCCCACCTCAGCCTCCCGAGTAGCTGGGACCACAGGTATGCACCACTGGACCCAGCTAATTTTTTATTTTTTATAGAGACAAGGTCTCTCTATGTTGCCCAGGCTGGTCTTGAGCTCCTGGACACAAGCAATTCTCCCGCCTCAGCCTCCCAAAGTGCTCAGATTACAGGCATGAGCCACCACACCTAGCCAGCAAGTATTTTTAGTGTCCATGAAATAGCACAATGAACAAGACAGACTTAAACCCTGTCTTCGGGAAACTCACAGCCTCTTGATGAAGATGGACATTGAACACAAAACGACAAGGTGAATATTATAGAAGAGGAAGGGCGGGGCCTCAGATGCCCATTACAGAAGGAAGCAATGGAGAGGGTGAGATTTGCCATAAACATTTATTTCTTTTGTAATTAGACTAAAATAAAACAATGTATACATTTTTAAAATAAATCCCAAGGGTCCCATAACTAGTTAGTAACAGAACTGAAAGTGGAAACTAAAAGCATTCTGGCTCCTGGGCAAATGATTTTTTTTTTTAACTGACACCGCCCCTGGGAAGTTTGAATAGCATCCTAGTCTTCAGTAAAAAATATCTCAAAACTCTCAAAGGAGATGTCTGACAGAGGTGGTCCTATCATCTATGCACCTCGTGTCAGATGGAGGAGATATATCCCCATTCATACATCCATGTCAGATGGAGGAGGCTTTGTGCGCACGCGCGCGCGCGCACACACACACACACACACACACACACACGCCCCTCTGACTCCTCCTGGCATGCCCTCCTTCATCTGTGTGGCCTTTCTGGATGATGAGAGATGTTACTGGGATCCAGAAAGGGTCACTCCAATTGGCCACACACATACGCCCCATGCCAGATGGTACTGGGTCAATGGGCAGTGGGTAGCTCACCACCACTCATCTCTGGAGGAGGAGTCCCAAACATTCCTTGCTCTCAGTGGCCCCAGTCTCTCCACCAGCTGACCTCCAGTCCTGTTTCAACCCACCCTGGCTGGGTCTGCCATCTGGGGGCCAGGCAAAAGGGGGAACATCTCAGCACCCAGAACCTCCCACCATCTGCTCCTTCCCACTCCCTGAGAAGTGCTAATCTCGCAGGGCCCTTCCCCTGCAGACCCCTTTTCCCTGGGGAAGGTGAGGGTGGTGCCATCCTCTAAGTGCCCAGCTTCGGTGAGGGCTGCTGGAGCCGTGATGCCCTCCGCTGGGAGATGCCACCCGATTCCATGTGCCATCTTCTCCTCCCCTCAGACTTCATGTATCATATTTTGTGCTGACTTCAGACAATCAAGGGAGGAGGACACAGAGTTGTACTTTCCAAGTAGCTGGCAACCCTTAATCAATGTTAATTGGCTCTAATTAGCATATGTTAATTAATGATATTTACTATAAATTAAAGGTATGAGTGCTCCCAGAGGTTTCCTGTTCATCCAATTAGTGCCAATTAGTTGCAATTAACACGTGTAAATGAGATTCCATTGAACCCAAAACAAACAGCACAGAATCTCTCAGATTCCCCCTTGCACCTTTTCAATCAGCCAGAGGAGGGGGTGGAGTGTGGAAGGTGAGGGAGAGACAGGAGAAAGAGAGACGCCCCAGACTGATCTCTTGCAGGAAGCTGACCCTCCCACCCACCCGGAATGAGAGCGGACAGAGCCACACTGGGCAGAGCGAGCCCCTGAGCATGCCCTTCTGCCCCTGGCTCTCCCTAGGGAGGGCTCCCTAAGGGCCCTGGCCTTGAGATGCTCTTTAGAGCTGAGGGCCATCCCTTGGACATCTCTGAACCTGCCAGGGCTTAACCCAGTGCATGGCACATAGTAGGTGCTCAGTAAAAATAAAACTGGGGGCCGGGCACGGTGGCTCATGCCTGTAATCCCAGCACTTTGGGAGGCCAAGGTGGGCGGATCACCCAAAGTCAAGAGTTCGAGACCAGCTTGGCCAACATGGTGAAACCCCATCTCTACTATAAATACAAAAATTAACCTGGCGTGGTGGTGCGTGCCTGTAATCCCAGCTACTCGGGAGGCTGAGGCAGGAGAATCGCTTGAACCTGGAAGGTGGAGGTTGCAGTGAGCAGAGATCATGCCACTGTACTCCAGCCTGGGCGATAGAGTGAGACTCTGTCTCAAAATAAATAAATAAGCAGGATGAATTAAAAGTTGGTTTCCTTGCATCAAGGTCCAATATCTTTAAATATATAAAATTAAAGGCTGTAATGGTTTTTTTTAAAGCATGCAGTGTTCTCTTCTCCGTAAGGTCTTCCCAAGGGGCCTACCAAGGGGCAAAGTAGGATTTGCCTCTATCACGTAATTTTAATATAATCTATATATGTCCACAGAGATTTTACTTCACTGCTAATGCTATTTCTTTTTTACTCAACTACTCTCTGAGGCCCAAACCTCTGCCATGGCTAGAGAAACCGCTACCATGAACAGTCAACTGCTACCCCTAGCCAACCCAGCGGCTCACACATGTAATCCCAGCTCCGTGGCTCACACCTGTAATCCCAGCACTTTGGGAGGCCCATTCGGGAGAATCACTTCAAGCCAGGAGAGCAAGACTAGCCTGGACAACGTAGCAAGACCCCACCTCTATCTTTAAAAAGAAATGCCACCTCAAATTATCCACCACACAGAACCCTCTGTAAAACGGTGATGTAAGATATAGCTCCCAATAACTTTTTTATTCCTAGTCACTTTGGCTACACCAAACTTTTACATTAATGTTGATATTCATTAATTTATTTTAGAGACAGAGTCTCTCTCTGTCATGCCCAGGCTGGAGTGCAGTGGTGTGATCTCGGCTCACTACAACCTCTCCCTCCCAGGTTCAAGCGATTCTCCTGCCTCAGTCTCCCAAGTAGCTAGGATTTCAGGTGCCCGCCACCATGCCTGGCTAAGCTTTTGTATTTTTAGTAGAGACAGGGTTTCACCATATTGGCCAGGCTGGTCTTGAACTCTTGACCTCAGGTGATCCGCCCACCTCGGCCTCCCAAATTGCTGGGATTACAAGTGTGAGCCACCGCACCTAGCCAATATGTATTATTTTAAAATATTGACTGTTGACAGTGTCAGGTGCTGCTTCAGGGGCTGGGGATACAGGAGTGAACAAATCGTCTATGAATCCTGGCCCTTGTGTAGCTCACATTCCACCGTGTACTATTACCTCCCACCTTGGGATTCGGATGTATCTAGAGTCAGAGTGACTTGGGTTCATATCCCAGTGCTGCCTCTCAGCAGCTGTAGGGTAGGGTTATTTAATCTCTCTTGGCCTCGGTTTATTTATCTGTAACATGGGTATGCTGATACCTATCTCAGAGGCATATTATGGGGAGGATTAAGCTCCTTCCCTTGTCCCATTCCCTGGTGGGGCAGAGTTTGGAGTTAAGCCACAAGGAAGGTAGAAAAGAGGGAGGCAAGGGTGCGGCAAACCGACAAGGCACATGTATACATATGTAACAAACCTGCACATTGTGCACATGTACCCTAGAACTTAAAGTATAATAATAAAAAACAAATAAATAAAATAAATAAAAAACTATTAACAGAAAAAAAGAAAAGAAAAGAAAAGAGGGAGGTAAAAGCCAGAAGATCACTCTGGGCTGGCAAATGAATGTCTGATTAAGTCCTCCTCTCGACGTCTGGGTTGGCTATCCCGGCTGGCCACGACAGTCCCTCCTACCTGCGCGGCACTTCACAGTCTACAAAGCTATTGCGTGACTAGCCTCCCAGCAAATTCTCATCAGCCACACGCTGGGTTAGGAAAGTGGGTCCAGGAGGAACCTGGTTTAGAAAGGGGGAGTGTTTCTACTATAAAGACACATGCACACGTATGTTTATTGCAGCCCTGTTCACAATAGCAAAGACTTGGAACCAACCCAAATGCCCATCAATGATAGACTGGATAAAGAAAATGTGGCACATATACACCATGGAATACTACACAGCCATAAAAAAAATGAGTTCATGTTGTTTGCAGGGACTTGGATGAAGCTGGAAACCATCATTCTCAGCAAACTCACACAGGAACAGGAAACCAAACACCGCGTGTTCTCACTCATAAGTGGGAGTTGAACAATGAGAACAGATGAACACAGGGAGGGGAACAACACACACCAGGGCCTGTCGGGGGGTGGGAGGCCAGGGGAGGGATAGCATTAGGAGAAATACCTAATGTAGATGATGGGTTGATGGGTGCAGCAAACCACAATGGCACGTGTATACCTATGTAACAAAGCTGCACAGTCTGCACATGTATCCCAGAACTTAAAGTATAATAAACAATAATAATAATGAAAAAAGAAAGGGGGAGTGCTCCCTGCATCATGCAGGGCTGAAGCCCAGACATCTGACTCCTCCCAGCATGCCCTCCTTCATCCATGTGGCCTTTCTGAGTGATGAGAGATGTCACTGGGATCCAGAAAGGGTCACCCCAACTGGCCAGAAGCAGGGATTCACCCACTTATGCCAAAACTGAAGGTGGGTCTTGCATGTTGAGGCACCAGGGCCCCTTCAGCTGGAGCAAGATTGCCTCCAGGTCAGAGGCCACAGCACCCATAGCTCTTGCGTCCCCTCCTTTGCCATCTCAACACTGCCCCCACTCTTGGATACTCACGCAGGGTGTTTGATCATTTCAGATTGCCTCAGCATCCTCTTCCACAAAGCAAGGGGGTATGCTGAGATGGCCCTAAAACCTTTTCGACCTGATGTTCTAGGATTTTGGAGGTCCTCTGCAGAGTGCTGGCCCCACTTCTCCGCTGATAGGCAACCATAGAAAGCCTTGGTTTTCCTCCTCCTTGGGGGAGCTGTCCCACCTGTGATGGCCTAACGGGTCCTGCTCACCCTCAGACCTTTCTCACTGATTCGACGTCATCTTCCACCCCCACCCCGACCTTCCCTGGGATAGTGATGAACCACCAGACATGGTCCCCAAGAGACCCAGCCTCAGAAAAAGTTCTCCATCACCCTGATCAGACCAAAGTCGATTTGGAGGCCAGGGGGAGGACGGGAGCCAATGGTGTTTAGTAAAAAGAGCTCAAGTGGGTTATCTTCAGGGAGGGGCATGTGGCTGCAGAATAGATGTCTGTCCTGAGGACTCTTAGGGCTCGCTCTTTCTTCCCTACCGCTGCACCCCACCCCAGGGCCAGCAGGGCATGTGGGAGGGAGTCTGGAAGCAAGTGAAAAGAACGCTCTCCTGAGTGCTCTTCCTCCCAGCAAAAATAAAACTACTACGGTTGGAGGCCTCCCTGGGCCAGGTACAGTGCTAGGCCATTGACTTGCATGATTTCCATTTAAAGGGGGTGGCATTTGCTCCATTTTTTATCTCTAAGTGCTGTGGGCATCTTGGTCTCGGCCTGGTCAGCTTTGGGACTGATGATCAGCCAATTCTGGCCATGGAATAGGAAGGTTGCAGTACATGGTGAGGAAAATGCTGCCCACTGTGTCCCACCAATCAGCACACACATGCACATGCGCACACACACACACACATGCACGCACACACACACACACACGCATCCCTCTCCTCTCTCTTGGCCAGGTGGATGCTGGCTCCATCAGCCTGGGCTGAAGCTAGATCCAGGGAGAGGAGGCTACCACTAGGAAGGCCACAGGTAAAAAGCTAAAGGAATCAGGGACATGAGTGGGGCAAATTCTCAGCTTTCAATGACAAGAACATTGCCTCCAAACCAGCAATTATGGGTGCCCATGAAACTCAAGGGTGGAGAAAAGGGACACTGGCAAAGTGTCTGCTTTTTATCCCACTAATGCCTCTTGAGAAGTGATATCCCTCTAAAGCCAAAGTTCCTGAGATGAGGTTTAACATGGCCACTTTGGAAGAAAAAAAAAAAACCCTCGGCTCCAGGAACGTAACAACAGAAAATAATTAAGGTCTAATAAGGTCAGTGTTCCACCTTAACACCTTTTCAGTTCCAGTTAAAACCTCTACTAATTTGCCAAGAAAAACCAGCCTCACTTGGGCCTTATTATTTGAATCACGTCCTGTCTCTTAATTTAAACGAGAGACTCACATAAGGATTTTTTTTTATTTTAAATTACAATGCTGACTTTCTTCCAGTTGATTACGGTATATGACTCTCTGTTAGAAGGCCATTATTTTTTGCTATGATTTACAAAGCATTTAAAGCGAAATCAATGTAATAAATATCGAAGTATTGTAATAGATAATTCCATATATTTAACTGGAGACACAGCACAGCCCTGGTTCAGGCAGTCAGGAGATGAGCAGGGTGAGGACGGGATGGGGGAGACAGCTGGTATCCACTCTCTTCTTTTCTCCCCTTTTCTTTTCTCTGTATTCATTTAGCCAGGATTCACCCAGCCCTCCCTAAGATTCTGCACACTGGACTTGGGACTGTGGGGAGTCATGGGTGCTCAAGACGCATTATCCAGAGGCCGTGGGCTGTTTGAAGAAATTCCTCTGCAACAACTGGCTCATGAATACTGGAGGCCACCGTGGGTGGGAGGCCACACTAGCACCCTCTAAGGAGCTGTGATGAGAGAAGATTTCTCATCACAGTGGAGGAGAGGTGTGGGTGGGGGGCAGGTCAGGAAAGGCTTTTGCTAGCATCTCCTCCTTTCCTCTTCCTGCTCCTCCCCTCCCCTTCTTAACTCCTCCTTTCCCTCCTCTTCCCCTCCTCTGCCCTCCTCTCATTCCTGTCTCTTCCCTCCCTGGACTGAGCTGTCTCTAGGCCTCTGGCGGCAACCAGCACATACTGGCCTCTGACTGGACAAGCTCAGCTCAGGACAATCAGCCCAGCATTTGCAGATGTGAAAGCCCCCGAGGAGGGCAGAAGTGTGAAGGTGGATAGGGTGCCCAGCCTTCATCTGCCCTCTCAAGTGTGTGACCTTGTGTTCACCCCCAGTGACAGAGCTCACAGCAGTGTTTGCAGGGCCAGTCGCTTTGAGACTGCCTGCCCTGGGGCAGGGAGCAAATTTCAAGCTGCCTTCCTTCCTGTGCACCCCCATCTCAAAAAGGACCCAGAAGCAGGTTCCTTTCCAGCTAGCCCCTGACCTGCCACTCCATGAGGAGCACCCCCAGCCCCGCCACTTCTTCCTGGCCTCAGAGCTATTGTGTGGGGGTCACACATCTGCTCCCAGGTGGGCTCTGCTCCCGGGTTCCTGGCTGGATTCAGAAACTCATGCCCACCAGTGAGGGGGCCACACATGGGCCACCAGCCTATGGGTGGGTCCAGATAACACATCTCCACTGCAAGTCATGTGTTCTGTCTGCAGAGCTATTCGAGTGCCATGGGATCTTAATAAGGGCTTTGTGGACTCAATGCTGCAGCTCGTGATGGGGTGTGGGTAGCACACTTTTAGCAGATCCCAGAGAAGGAAGATGTATGGTCCCTTGCCGTACCACCCCAAGCCTGAACCCAAAGCCCCAAGTCCCTAGCTCTGAACAGATTTCACCATAAATCCCAGGAGGGGACGGGCAGAGGGAAAGGGAGCAGAGAAAAGAGATTTACAGCGAACTTGCTTCCTGACACCTCTTTGGCCCGTCCCATAAAATAACAATATCATCAGATAAATCATACAGAGTCTCAGGGGACCTTCCCCTTGTCTTTGTGGGGTCTTTGAGGGGAGATGAGGAGACATGGTCAGGTCCACCCAGCTGCGTTCTCCCTGGCAATATCAGTTCCAGCTGCCATGAGGACGTCTCAGATTTAATCCCTGGGCTATGTATGGGGTGGTGGGGTAGGAATGAGGTAGGGAAGAAGAGTGTTGGCTATGGACACCCAAGAGACAGCATGGCATAAGAGATTCAGCATGAGCTTTGAGCAAATCCCGGCTCAAATTCCTAGCTGTGTGACCTCAGACAAGTTACTCAACCTCTCTGGGCCTTGGTTTATTTCTCTGTAAATGCAGGACATGGAATATCTACATGACAGGATATGTATGAGGAGTTATTGAGAATAATGTATGCCAAAGCTGGTGTATCGTAGGTACTTAAAATACGGGAACTACCGTAGCCACAAATGTTTTCTCTCATCTAGGATATAAAATGCTGTGGCCGTGTTCCCAGCAGAGGGAATCAAATGCTGAGCCCTCTGCAGAGACACCACACTCCCTTGTCCTCTCTGGCTATTGTCTCAGCCTTGGTCTTTGAGCTTAGAAAGGCAGAGCTCCCCATTAACTCACAATGTGACTGTAAACAAGTTTCTTCCCCTCTCCAGGCCTGTTTCGCATCTATAAAATGAGGAGGTGGAAAGTACTTGGTCTTTAAGGCCCAGTCCATTGTAAGATAAAATCTCAAATCAGGAGAAATTTCTAACTGTAACCAAAGGGAGCAGGCAGGACCCAGACGCTGCAGGCGGTGAAGCCAGCTGAAACTGGCATGGTCATGCAGCCTGGGGCGGACGCTGTTGCCATCCTAGGAAGAGAGTGTAGGGCTCCATCCAACCGGTCCCACAACTCTGACCACCCCAAGTGAGAGATTCCTCTGTCTGCAGCCTGCATGGCCGTGGACACAGTCTGCGGCATTGCACCAAGGGACCTTCGTCCAGGGGGAGGGCTGTGTTTCCAGAGCTGGGAGCTGGGTGGGTGAGGCTCCATCCAGGCTCATGCTTCGTACCTGGAGCAACCTCGTACTTCCCTTCCTGCCTGTGCGGTCTCCTCCTCCCGCCAGTCCTCCCCAACCCTGTTTTTTCCCCTCCCTTCAGCATCTTCAGCTATTAAGGATGATAGCTTGGGCTTGGGCTCCAGCCTTCCAGCCTCTGCCCTCTCTCTCTCTCCCTCCTTCCTTCTTTCCTTTCTCCTCTTGCTTTTCCATCTTCTCCTTGTACTTCATTTCCTCCTCTCTTTCCTTCCTTCTCCAGTTCCTCCCTTTTCCTCCTTCACTGTTTGATTTTTAGCCCTCTGATTTTTTCTTCCTCTTCTCCACTCTTTATTTCTTTTCATCCTCCTCCCGGTCCTTTTTTCTGCTTTGTCACCTCCTTCGTTTTCTTCTCTCTCTGGCTGACTCAGGGGACCGGAGGTGGGCCTATCTGGAGTGAGTGAGTAAGTGTGTTGGGAGGTGAGGGTGGAGGGCTGGAGGGGGGCAGTGATCTGGCCTGAGCCCCTCCAGTATTGCTCCAGCCCCAGCCGCAGGAGGATCAGGAGTTCACCCGCAGGGCAGCTGTCAGCGGCTCAGTGGATGGATGAGTGAAAGTGTAGGGGGTGGGGAGGTGAAGTTGCTGGAGAGGGGGCCCTTTTTAAATAAAAATGAAAGGAGCTTGGCGGATGAAGTGACAGGGACTGTTTCATAATAAGCCCCACCCAAGGCACCTCTGCCAGGGGACCCAGCCCTGCTGCCCACCTCCCTCCAATCCTGTGCCCTGTCTCCATCCCCAAAGTTTCTTTCAGCACAGAGCCTGTTTGTTTCTCTGATCTTCTGGGCAGGCCAGAGAGCAGGCAATCCCCCACACTCAACTCCCCAGAACCACTCCCCGCCCAGCCTTCCCCATCTCCCACTGTGGGGCGGCTGGGATTGGAACCCTGGGCAACCTGCTCACAGAGTGATGTCTGGGCAGATTAGCACCCCAAAGCTGGCAGGCCTATTAGGAGGCCTTTGTGGGGGAGGAGACCAGGGGAGGCGAAAGGGATTTTCCATTCTCTGAGCAACTGGATTACACAGTCAGGGGATCAGGGAAGAACTGCTACTTAAGCTGCCTCTGCCCTGGCTCTCCGCCTCTCACGGGCTCAGCAGGGATCTTACCAAGCCCTGCCTTGCCTGCTTTTTGAAGAATCTTTATGTAACTTGAGTTAGGTTTAGGGGCAAAACCAAGTCTCATCTCCTGCCCAGCCCTGAGCTATTACACCAAACAGGAGCTCAAGAGGGCTCCGCTTGCCACCACTTCCGCCAAGCCTCACCTTCCACAGAGCCCCCAGGTCTGGAGGTGGATCTGGAAGGTGTGACTCAGAATGGTGAAGTGACTTGCTCTGAGTCACACCATGAGTGAAAGGCAACCAGGATAGCTACCTGACTGTGGACTGGATTTATGGGAGAATGTTCTCTGAAGAGTGAGCCAGGTCTGTGCCAGGGACTGGAAGGGGCCCAAGGCTCTGCTGTTCCCCCTACAAGAAGGAAGTTTGCAGTCTGGGCACGGTGGCTCACACCTGTAATCCGAGCACTTTGAGAGTCTAAGGCAGGAGGATTGATTGACCCCAGGAGTTCAAGACCAGCCTGGGTAACATAGGGAGACATCTCTATAAAAAATTTAAAAATTAGCCAGGTGTGGTGGCATGTTCCTGTGGTCCCAGCTACCTGGGAGGCTGAGGTGGGAGGATAGGTTGGGCCCATGAGTTGGAGCCATGATAATGCCACTGCACTCTAGCCTGGGTGACAGAGCAAGACCTTGTCTCAAAAAAATAAAAAAGAAGGAAGTTTGTTCCTGAGTTTTTTGTCAGCCCAATATATGCTTTAGAGGGAGGGGAACCCTACTCCCATTTGTTCTCTCAGGCTGCAGAAGACCAGACCACAGTGGATGGTGAAGAAGAGGAGAGATGTGGAGAAGATTAGGTTGAAAGAGTCCCAAGTCTTAAAGCCTACTCCCAGCCTTATCACTAACTTGCTGTGTGACCTTGGACAAACCACCTCTCCTCTCTGAGCTTCAGTTTTCTTATCTGCAAAATGGAGATGAAAACTTCTCTTTCAAGCATTGTCTTGAAGGGTGAATAAGACAAGGTACTAGAAGAGCATCAGGCACAGCCCCTGGCACATACAGCTGCTCCCTCAATAATAGTGGAAGCAAAGTCTTTTCCCCAGGAGCTGCTGGAAGCAGAATCTTCCACCCAGGAGCTGTGCCCACTCCCTAGGATAGCAGGCTCTGCTACACAGCCAAGCAACTGGTTCTTCCCACCAGGAGGGCAAATCCATCAGATTCAGCAAGATTGGCCTCCCCAGCCTGGCATAAGGTTACTGGGGGGTCATGACCCCATACCTTAGGTCCACTTTCTAGAAACAGTCCGCACACAAGAGGACCAAAGACCCCCACCCTAGCCCTGTGTGGCCCCTGAAGGCCTTTTGCTGACAAAGTGGTCATCTCTGACCTTCCTGATGGCCTATGCTCCTTCCAACCAGAAAATGTCTGTGATCCTGTGACCCCTAGAAGCCCTGCCTTGCTAATGGTTTTATGATCTTCCCTACAGAATTCTCTCTTTGCCTTCTATACCTCTCAGCCCCTTTCAGTAGGTCCTAGTCAAAATAAACAACATTTATGACCAGAGCAAGATTCAAGGTCTGCATTGCAAACAAATGCAGAGCTCTTTGAAGGTGCCTGGGGAATCCATCACTTCCTGGGGTGTGACGTTCCCCAGGCCCAAGGGGAGGTAGGCCCTGGGAAGGGACTCAAGCCTGAGAAGCTGGGCCCTGGATCAGAGTTTAGAGTCTGAGGATCCCCTACTGCCTCTCCCTCCTCAGCACCAAACTCATCCTCTATGCAAGAGGAGAGGGGAGGGGAGAAGAGGGACTGGGCATGGCATGAGAGGTCCGCTGTGCCCAGCAACCTCTCCTACGCTATGTTCAAGGCCACCTTGGTGGCCAGGACTTGATCCATATGTCATCAGGGGAGAAGACAAAATGAAAGAGAGGGGGGAAAATACAGAGATAAACAAAGACACAGGCAGCAAACAGGAGTGAATGAGAGGGTTAGAGACCAAACCCAAGGGTCTCAGCCTTGATCCCTACTCTGGCACTCACCTGGACAGAAGAGCCGCCACCATGGCCACGCTGGGACAACTTTCCTAAAGAAAACTCATCCAAAACTCTGCAGGCCAGTGTAGCTAAAGGGAGAGAGGGAAAGAGAGAAGCAGGCTCCCGTCTGAGTTTCTCTCGGAGGCCTGAGTGAGTGATTACACAGAGGGAAAAGTGGAGGCCCTCCATACAGAATGAAAACCCTCTCCTCCATCCCACCACAGATGAGAGGCAGAAGCCCTCCCCCATACTCTCCTAAACATCCTCCAACAGAGAAGCGGCCCGCAGGCGGCAGCTCAGGCTGTGTTGTCTCAGTTTTGCCTTCTGCACGCTACTGTGGATGAGAGGCAGTCTTCTCTGGCAGGTGTGGTCACGGAGCAGGTTTGTTTTCAAGGGGGACTGGCCCTGCCTGGGGAACTGTTAGTGGAGAATATTAATGTGGGATTCCCAAAGGCCCAGGTCTGAGAGCAGCTTTCTAGGACACACAGCTCAATGCGTTCTTCAGCACCATGCCAGCCTCCAGAACTGGGGCACGGGCCTGGGGGCTGGTGTTCTCTGACTCACAGCTGGGCTTGGGGGGTGGGGGGAGAAAACTTTCCTCCTGGAGCCTGTGCCTTATCATTTACCCTGCTAAAAATATTATGCTATCCAACAGGTTGGGTGAGGAGCTAGCCAGGAAATATGTGTGGGTAGCAAAGGTATCTATCACATTTATCAGATCCCCACGAATAGTATTTGTATATGTGGCATATAATTAATGTTCGATGAGTGAGTCAGAGAGAGATAAATTGGAAAGGAAACAAAGAAACAGAAAGAGAGCTGGAAATGCAAGTGTGAGTGTTTCCAGGATAAAT
This sequence comes from Homo sapiens, assembly GCF_000001405.40. Lineage (NCBI taxonomy): Eukaryota > Metazoa > Chordata > Mammalia > Primates > Hominidae > Homo > Homo sapiens. The sequence goes on from NC_000017.11 coordinate 36,924,339, forward strand.
ATACTTTGTTTGAAATTATTCTTTGCCTAAACTGAAAGAAGAATAATTTTTAATAACTTTTAATGACCTTATACAAGTAAATGTAGATGTTTCATCAGGGTGCCCTGGTACCCAGCACAGTGCTTTTTGTATGGAAAGTCCTCCATGTCATAGAGCTTTTGGTCTAGAAGAGCCTTGGAGACCATCTCAGCCACTGGGTCTCAACCTTGGTTGAACATAGAATAACCTGGGGAGCTTTAAAAAAAAAAAAGATGCAAGGAACTCACCTCCCAGAGATGCTAATCTAACTGGTCTGGGGTGGAGCCCAGACATCTGTATTTTTTGAAAGCTCCCCGGATGATTCCTCTGTGCATCCAAGGTTGAGAACTGCCCATCCAGGCCCATTCTTTTTTTTTTTTTTTTTTTTTTTTTTTGAGACAGAGTGAAGTGGCGCGATCTTGGCTCACTGCAAACTCCACCCTCCGAGTTCAAGCAATTCTCCTGCCTCAGCCTCCCGAGTAGCTGGGATTACAGGTGCCCACCACCAAACCTGGCCAATTTTTGTATTTTTAGTAGAGACGGGGTTTCGCCATGTTGGCCAGGCTGCTTTCAAACTCCTGACCTCAGGTGATCCACCCGCCTTGGCCTCCCAAAGTGCTTGGATTACAGACATAAGCCACCACATCCAGCCCCAGGCCTGTTCTTTACAGATGTGCAAACTGAGGCCTAGAGAGCAGGTTGCCTAGATCCACACAGCTAATTGGCAGCAGAATCAGGATCAGAGAAGCTAATCAGGCATCCTGACTCCTATATACCTCTCTGACATGTTTGTCAAATGAGCAAATAAAAGGTTGATCCTCTTTTGGAGGCATCTGTCTGCAGAGACCAGCTACCCCACCCCCTCTCCCACTCCTACGTTTTCATATTATTTTCATCAGAGGCTAGACAGGCTGGCATCTTGACCCTGATCCTCCAGGCTTCCCATCCTGAAGGCCTCAGGGTTCACAGGGCAAACACACAGTTCCCAGGTAAAAAAAACTGTCCACCACGTCTGGAGCCTCCAAGAGTAACAGAGCAGCTGCTGCTCCATGGCCATACGGAGCGTGTCAGTGAATGTTAGTGTACTCCCCAGAGCAGGGGTGGAGGAGTGTGCATGTGTGTGTGCAAATGTGCACATGCACACAAATGCACATTTCAGGAGGAGACTGGGCAGAACAGTCTCCTGCATGTGGGCACACATCCTTCTGGGAACATCAGCACTTGGCAGTGAGAGTACCAACATGTGTACACATACATATCCACATGTGGGGTGAGACGCATGTTGCTGTTAGCATCCGTCTATGCAGGAGGGTAGGTAAGTGTGTGAGAAAATGTGTAAATGTAACAAAGACTTTGAAAAGCGGCCTGTGTGTGCTGCTACATGTATCTAGAATCGTGTACCAGTACAGAAATCTGAATCTACATTTCTAAAATCTACATTTACACTTACCTGTGAAGGCATATATACGAAAATATGTACATGGCTGGCTGGCCATGTGACTAAGTGTGACTGGCAGTCTGTGTTTGCAGGATGCAGGTTTATGTGAGAGAGAAAGGTTTCTGCTGTTTCTATCACACTTCCCCTAAGTAATCACTGGGAAACATATATGTTGGAAAACTGTATCTTTCATGCTTAAATATATCTCAGCATATATAAATGAAACATGATACTGTGCCAACTGAGATGCTACACATTAACGTTGTTTATCATTGATAGAATTAAATAACCCATGCAAGGCCCTGGTAGCATTTCTTACAATTTTATTTAACACTGTTTTGGCCAAGCAGCACTTGGCAAACACACATACACACTGTGGCTTACTGTAACAAATGCACGATTTGTAGGACATAATACACAATACAAGAAAAGTATAACAAAAGAGTGTCATCTAAAAATTCCAAATGACCCCCATCTTTCTTTGGGGCTCATCTTATTCCCCTTCCTTCCCTAAACCTGACGAAAACCCATCCCTTCACACTTCCCTAGGAGGTCTCTGCATTCGTGCTAAAGACAGATAAAGTGGAGGGTGAGGATTTGAGGTGGGGGAAGAGATAACACTCCAAGACCTGGTCTCTGGAATGTGTCTACTCCTCCCCAGTCTGTCAGAGGCAGGCCCAAGCCCCAGCATGTGTTAAAACTGAGAGACCAAAGAAAGCATTTTTGTATAGGTTCTGCAGACCCTCAACATTGACTGACATAGTTACTCATTCAGAAGGAGGAAAAGGAGCTTCGTACTTATCAGATTGGTAAATCCTTCATTAAAAGATTAATATAAATAGTTCCTTGCTTTTATTTCTTTCTTTCTTTCTTTTTCTTTTTTTTTTTTTTTTTTTTTCGAGATGGGGTCTCACTCTGTCACCCAAGCTGGAAGGCAGTGAGTGGCATGGTTCTCAGCTCACTGCAATCTTTGCCTCCTGGACTCAAGTGACCTCCCACCTCAGCCTCTCGCCCACTTTTCTTTCTTATGGGGAAACTATATCCTTCCTGGAGCCTAAATGAGAACAACCTTGCACACAGTTACAGGCTTGCCAGCTCACCTTTCAAAATGCATGCTGGTCAATGGACTAGAATGTTAGCTAAATTATGAATGGCCTGAGGGAAAAGAAAAACTAAGAGCTGGGAAGCTGGGCTCTTCATCTACACGACCAAACTTGAACATGAGCAAGATGGTAGGACCACCAATAACCATCCTACAAGCTGAAAATGCAAAATGCTTCCTTCCTTACCAGCCACTGGGCAGTGAAAAGAAATCACATTTAGTCCCCTGAATAGATGGCACTTGTAGATCTTTTCAAACTTGCCAAGGACTTCTTCATCTCCCAAGAGTCAGGCCAAGATCCCACAGGGAACCTCAAAACTCTGTTCCCTAGGATCTGTATTTTTGTTTTTGTTTTTTAAATTTTTTTTTAAGTTTTTATTTTTGGAGATGAGGTCTCACTATGTTGGCCAGGCTGGCCTCGAACTCCTAGCCTCAAGCAATCCTCCCATCTTGATCTCCCAAAGTGCTGGGATTACAGGCCTGAGCCAAGGTGCCCGGTCCCTAGGATCCGTTTTTAACCATCCCTGGGCTTCATTTTGGCACGGCAGTACCAAGATTGAGACAAGAAACTCTTCCCTATGCTTGCTTTCCTGTGTTCTAAGTTTCTCTCGCTACTTTTTCTCCTATGGAGACCCCTTAGGACTGTAAAATAAAGGAGGCCAAGTCCAATTTAAACAGCAATTGGACTTAACTCCACCCCTGTGCCCCAAATCCTCTGCCACTACCAACGAAGCAGTCATCAGAACTGTCTTTTTAGACAGCCCCCGGCCCCTCTTCAAGGACGGGCAGGGCTATCAGCCAACCTGTTTGGGAGACAGCTGAATGTCAGCACCAGAAAGTATTGTATCATCTTCGCACCGCTGGAGTCAGGAAGTGGGGTCTCCAGAGCCTGGTGCCAGGGCCTGTCTCCTGAGTGAATACAGAAGGAAAAAAAGTTTCCTAACATTTGGATTCAAAGTGAGAACGGTGAGTGGCACCCATCATCACTGTGCGTGCAACCCCAACAAACACACACGCGCGCGCGCGCGCGCACACACACACACACACACACACACACTGTCCATGCAGACAAAATCATGAATCATCTCCATGGCTGAACGTTTTAGCGTTCAGTAATATTCTCAGAGGCCCAAGGTTTTCAGCCAAATCCCAGGTCTGTGCACAAGGACACTGCATAAATCCCTCCCCTTATGAAAGGCCAGTCTGAGCAGATGGGACCACTCTTAAGTAAACTGTAGAGCCCTCCCTTCATCCATCGCGGAAGGAGCAGCGGGGGGGCTGGCCCTCTCAGCCCCGAGAGCAGAGAGCGGCAGAAGCTGTTAATTCTTGAGGCTAATGTTCACATCTCCAACTTATCTCTCCGAGGGGAAGTGTCCATTTGACCACATGATCCTCCCTCCCCTACCCTCCCCCAAGGGGAAATCAAATCTTGAAGTGAGACCGGAAGAGCTGCTGCGGAACGTGAGCACGGGAGAGCTGGTGGGGGTAGAAGGCGGTGAGGGGCCGAAAGGCTCCTCAAACCCAGTTTCTTTCCATGCTAAGGCTGGGGAAATAACCTCATGGCAACTACACTTTCCGATAACCCGCCTCATTAATATTTATTAAACAAAAGATTATTTTTTAAAGAAGAAAGGGCCAGATAATTAAACACTCAGCGGAGGTAGATGGCATCAGTTGGGCTTCCTCCACCCTGTTCTTGGTGTGGCCCCCACCCGCAGCCTAAGCCGAATGTGTACCTTGTACCATCAACCTCCCCAGCCCCTGCTCATCTCCCCAGGTGTGTCAGGAAGACACAAGGCAGGTGGAAAGAGAAAGAGACAGACTCGGGCACCCCAGGTGCTCACCAGGAAATGCACAGACTGTGAAATTACACCAGGGCTGGACAACTTACCACCACACTGGAACCCTTGGGGTACTGAAATAATTAACTTGCTAATCAGCTACACCTTGCTCTTTCTTTCTTCCTGGAAAAAAACAATTGCAAATCGCCTTCCCATCAGGTTCCCATGTCAGTCACTTGGAGACCAACAATGCTTTTGAAGAAATACACTCTCTGCCGCCATGTAGACCAAAATGGGTCATACCAAGTCAGGCCTCCTCCTCCCCAACCCTTCCCACTAGGCCTCAGGGGGCACACAGAGACACAATGTTTCTGGAGATGCAGGGTTTTTTTTTTCCCTCCCACTGCACAGAGCTTTTCCATGTCCGCTAAGCTTTCTTGCTTTCAGCCCCCTTTAGCCTGCTTGCTGGCACTAAACAGCCAAGATCCATGTGGAGAAAAGAGGATTGATTAGAATTGCAATAATGATCCCTGGCATCTGTCCGGTGTTAGTGTTCACAAAGTGTTTTCACACATTATCTCATTCGGCCAGAGGAGGTCGGAGCTGGAAGGGACCTCAGTAATCATTTAGCCGAATCCCCTCATGTTACAGATGAGAAAACTGAGGCCCGGAAAGGCTAAACGTCTTCCCTAATGGCCAGGGACAGTGTAGCCAAGTCTCCAAGCTCCTTGTCTAGGAATCCTGTGCTGCTTCCAACCCTCTGAAAAGAAAGAGCGTGGTCACGTTTTTGCGCCACAGTAGATATTAAACAAGTAGATATTAATCCAAAAATGAGAAAAGTAGAACATGAGAATGAATAAAAGCAACTCCTGTAAGAAATGGCTTGGGTTGGGGGGCGGCTGGAAGTGGGGAAGACAATTAGTCTAAGTCCTGAATGGAACACGTTAATTAACAAAGTTCCCCCTCTTTTTGTCCCCCTTCATCTCTCCACTTCTCTCCAGGTTTAAAAATATGAACATTATGCAGTTTGGAATCTAAGGCTTAATTCAGCTGCAGGTCCCGGGAGGAGAGGGAGTCTTTTCTTGGCTTCAGATCTGGCACCTATGCTCCCAAGGGTTGGCAGCATGACGGGCTTGTGTGTGCCTCTGTGTCCACTCAAGACGTTGGATTTAGCAGTGAAAACCAGGCATCTTGATCCTTTCACAGATCAGATGATTTGCAAATTAATGGCTCTTTTCCCCCAAGGCTCTGAGGAGGTTAAAAAAGATTTCTGGTGAAGGGGGGTGGAAAAATATAAAACGGGGAAAGGAAAGGAAACTGACATTGGATTTTGTGTCAGGAAAATACTTCCCTGTGAATGGCGCTTGTGTGCGTGGACATGGGTGTCTGCATTTCCATGGGGCTGTCGTGCCCCTGTTGCCCGAGGCTGTTGGAAGGTAAGCGGTTCCTTTGTGTGTTCGTTTATTACTAAGCCCAACTCTTTCCCCTCTAAAACTCCTTCTTCTCCCTGTTGAGCTGACCATGCTTCTGGATTTATGAAGAGAGATGTTTTAGCAGAAATCCCCCAGAGTGTCCCATCAGCCCTAAATCCCAGGCCCGCTCACCCCCACAAGACCCCATGACACACAGCATGCCAACACGGCTTCCTCTTGCCTATGCATTAGCCATCCATTGTGGCAACCTGACATCTCTCACACATAAAACCGTAAGAGAGAAATAAAATATCTGTCTCTTGGCGAAAATAAAGCTTTGCCTCCCTCCTGATGTATAGGATATAAAATAAAGCCTCGGCTCCAATAGTGGGTTTTCCTTATGCCAGAGTTGCCTTTGCACACACGGAGACAATGAAGACGGATGGTTTGGGACGAGGCCCAGCCTCCTGGGGCCGCCTTCACCCTCTTTTATTATAGTCTCTCCCCCCTCCCTGCCTTTTTCTTTCTTCTTCACTTTCTTTCCTTTCTGGGTTGGATTTGCCTTTTATATGCCCTTCTCTTTCTTTCCCCTGGAACTTTATTTCTCCTGCTCACTTTCTTTCTAAAGCTTGACAGAGATGGTGGGAAAGGAACCAAGTTTCTCACCTTCCCAAACATGCCTGCCACCTCTCCTCACCTCCCCATCTCCGATCCCCAGCTCTCTCTGGACCACCAGCCCCTCTGACTCATTTTGCTGCTGCTGCTTTGAGATTTGCTTTGGTCAAATGTACAAATGTTCCCAAGGGACAATTAAAAATGTGTTTAGTGGTGGGGAGGGGGTGGATTTTTTTCTAGGGAGCTGCCCTTCCTCCCTCCTTTTTCTCTCTGGGCTGGGTGGTTTATAGATCTCAGCATTTCTTTATTTAGCCTCTGAGGAGGCCAACAGAGCAAAGCTGCCACCTCACAGGGGTGAGAGTTGACATTCACCTCCCAAACCTAAGCCTCAAAGCTGCATTACCAGACAGACTGTGGGCGTTGGACCCCTTCCAGCCAACTCAGCTACCAAGGGGACCATCAAGTCCCAGACCAGTCCCCTGCCTCTTCTCCCCAGTCTAAGAACTGAGGGTGCTGTGAGGGAACATAGGGGGCTTCCCCATGCTCACACAGAGAGACCAGAACTGTCACCCTCACAGTCACAGAGACATGACCACCTTCCTGCCTCTCACACACTTGGCGCTCCTTCCCACAGTGCATAGAGCCCACCTTTCCCTCCTTTGTCCCTAGAGGCCTCTCTCTTGCCTGGTGGCAACTGCGCCTCTCTGCGCCTCTGTGTCTCTCAACCCAAGTCTGAGGAAGGTTGTCTCTGGAAGCCTCTCCCCATCCTTGCCCTGACCTCCCACCACTCTCCTTCCATCAACCCCAGACTGCTTCTCAGCCCGTTCAAAACCTCACCTGCCTTAGGGGACTGCGGGACACCGCCCAGGTCCTTGGAAGAGTTAGTACTGCCTGAAAGAAGAGGGTGCAGGGTCTGGGCCCCTGGGGGAACAACATGGGAGGGGGAGCTGGTATTGCAGGGAGGTAAGAAATGTCCCAGGGACAGGGGTGGCTTTCAGCCTCTGAAACTGATCTCCCAAGGTGGAGGGCGGTAGAAGGGCTTCAGTGTGTGTAACCACATCACCCTAATCTGAGGAGATCTTTATTAATGCTGCCCAAAACCTGGAGGGGGAAGGAAGGCAGCAATATCTATGGAACTCTGCCCAAAAGTGGAGGTGGGGGCAGGGCTTAGAGCTGCCAAGTCCAGAAAAAACTCAATCTCAGTCCCAAAGGTCGTTAGCTTTGGGGTTCTCTCTCTCTGTCTCCCCCAACTTGATGTCTCTCCAGATATCGGCAGTGACCACCGCCATTAGGTAAGGGGAGAGAGTCAATTAGTGAGAGGATTAATTACTGTGAGGCACGAGCCCCGTTTGTCTTCCTTACTGGGTGTTCAGACAGAGGAACACGGGCACGCACCCAAATACACATTGTTGTCACGCCGTCTTAGACGTTTTATTTATTTGTTGGATTCCTGCCCAGAGCCGCTTTTCCACGGGCGCAGAGTCTCCCACCAAACACGCTGCCTCTTTCTCTCAGCACGCACTCGCCTGTCCCAAAGCCGCACACCCCCAGACCCGCGGGACGCCCCCTCCGTGCCTGCAGGGCCCTCGGCTCCGCGCCCGTCCCCGCGGCCTTCTTCGTGGCAGGGTCTCTCTCTGGGTCTAATTTCTGTTTCTTTTCCTCCACTTCTCCCCGCATTTCCCCGACAGATCTTTCCTTTCTTTATCCCCGCCTGCTTTTCCGCACTCCGTCTCATCTTTTCTCTGGTTTTCTGCCTTTATTTTCTTTTCCTGTCCCTCTCTCCTCACTTCTGCCTCTGTCTCTCTTTTCTGTTCTTCAGCTCAGCGTCTCCCTCCCAAGATTATCCACGTCCTGTCTTTGCTCCGCGGCGCGGAGCTGACTCGCAACTGGAATCTCCACGCTTGACCTCGCTGTTCCACCCGCTCCCTGCCCCACCCCACGCCCCTGCCCCCCCTCCCCCACGCCCCTGCCCCATGCCCAGGGTCCCTCCAGCGCTCGTGGGAAGCCAGAGTTGTTTACCCAGGCCAGGCACATACCGTGACGCCCCGGCCTGCCGGATGCTGCCCTTTCCTGGCCCTGCGGTCCCTGCTCCCCCTTAACCAGCCCAAGCCCCCCTTGCTTATAAAACATGGCCAGGCGCAAAGTGCACACTGGAGCAAGGTGCCAAGCTCCCCACCCAACTTCTCACCTTAAATAGTGCTCTGACCTAGGGATCTCGGACAAGCCTCCTAACTTGGGCCTCCTGGCCGGGAAAGTGGAGATAGTACCCTTCTCTTCCACCCCCCACCACCCTCTTGCTATACGGTTCAGGGGAGACCGTGATACAAGCTGTGAAGTACTGCACACGAGTAGATCATTTCCATGAGAGAGTGATGGGTGAGATTAAGGCAATTTGAGTCCGGAGAGAACTAGACGGGAAGGAGAGGCGGGAGACCTTGGCGCTCAGATCCGAGCGACCTTATCCACGCAGTTCCCTGCGTGGCATTACCGCGGCCTCACCGAGTCTGGGCGGAGTTTGCGTGGCCTCTGGGACCGGCAGAGTCCAGGGGTGCTCCGGGCTGGCTATTTCCTCCCTCCTCCGGGATGGGTGTAGCAGGGTGTGTACTCCGCATGGGGTAACCTCCTAGAGCCGGCTACGCCCCAGGCGCCTCCTTTCACGGCCTTGTCACTCTTTTCTGCTCCTTGGGCTGTTCTGGAACCGAAGAGAGAGGAGGGAAATGGCTAGGGGCGGCCATCATCCTCGGGATCAATAGCAGCCGAGAGTGACTGGGCAGGCTCTGTCCATGGGCCGAGCGTCATTCTGGAACCTGGAGGGGGCGGGGGCGGGGGAAGGAAGGGAAGTGGAAGTTTGAGAGGGGCACCTTCAGGCTCCCCAAACTGCATGGCAGCTGGAGAGAGCTGACAGAACCCTCTCCAACCCGGGTTCTGACCAGGGTCCCTCTGGGGCTGATCGTCAAGGAGCTTCTCAAGAAAAGAAACCTGGACTGTGAAAGTCACCTCCTAGGCCCTCTGGGGCCGTATCCGGGGGTGCCTGGGAGGAGGGTGGAAAGGATTCTGCAGTCACCGAGCTATGGGCGAAAATGATCCCCGCGGACCCTGGTCCAGAATGTACAGGTCCTGGGCGGTGTAAGTGGCTGTGGGTCTGTGGAGGACATTGGGTAGGAAAACGCTTGCGTAGTTGAGGATGCAGACAATAAATGTGGCCGGGAAGGTGAGGAGGGAAGGTTGGTGCTCTTCGCTGAACGGAACTGGCTTAAATGCAGAGCTGAGCTGAGCGGCTTCGGAGAAGGCGAATTTAGAAAGCCTGGTCAATTTTCTCTCCATGTCCCTGCGACCGATTATGTTTTAAAACAAAAGCTCAATGGAAACGAAAACAAAACAAAACCCACCATTTGTCTAATGTGCTGTCCCCGTGGAGGAGTTAAATCTGGACTCCAAACCTAGAATCTGGAGCCAAGAGGCGCACTTTGAGTTGCGCTCCTGGCCCCCCTTGCAGAGACGCCAGGGTTGGCTCCTGCGGACCTGTTTACTGAGCCATCTGGACACCAGGACGAGCGGAGCCTGACGCCCTAGAGCGAGCGTCCTGTCCTCATCCTCAACTCTCCTGCCTCGCTGGTCCGTCTGTGGGGAGGGGCCTTCTTTCCCCTATACCTAGGTCCCAAGGTTCTTACACCCCTAAATGGATGGAGCAACCTCCTCCTGCCCACCAGAGGGAGGTGACAGGCCCTGGGTTGGGGAAGGGCCGACAGCTAGGTCCAGCTGTCGTCCGGTAGGTCCCACTGACCGCCCCACACTCCACCGTGACCCCTCTGCTTTGCATGAGAAGGAGCCCAGCTGGGACGGGGGCGGAGGCAAGCCACCCGGGACTGGGGCCACTATAGATTCCAGAAAGGGGCGGTTGGGTCGAGGGCGCTGGCGGCGAGAACCGGGACAGCTGCGGGGAGGGGAGGAGTGTGAGGACAGCAGGGCTGGACTGGCCCCCTCCCCGCAGGCCTCACGCAGCGCAGCAGGCTGGGAGGCGCCTGGGGGTCCGGGTGGAAGAAGTGGGGACCCCATGCCACACGGCTTTTGGCGCTTGCGGGGGTGCCAGAAGCCTACCGAGTACCGGTCGTCTTCCGCCGGGAAGTGCCGGGTCCGCAGGAGGAGCGCGAAGCCGAGTCCGAGCCCGCGGAGCCCGCCCCCTAGATCGCAGAACCGCCTTCTCCATCCTCTGCCCTGCCCCGCGTCGGGGTCTGGGAGCGACCGGCGGAGGCCGGCGGCGCGCCGGAGCTGACTAGTCCCCTACGCTCCTCCGGCCCGCAGCGGGGAGCCCACATGTGTATGTGCAAGAAGGTGTGGAGAAGGCGTTAGGGTCCCGGCACCCACGGGTCAGGGCAGAACGCCAACGAGTCGCACTGCGGGTCTCCGCGGCTTCGGTTTCCATGACATGGTGACGCCGGCGGCAAGGCGGGGGGCTGCCTGTGGGCCTTGAGGTTGCTGGGCGGTGCGGGCGGAGTCAGCAAAGGGGCGTTGGCAAAGCCCTAAAACCCCACGGTTCCACGGAGCGCAAGCCAGATTCTCTGAAGCAGCTTCCCCGTTCGTCCGAAGAGGGTATTCCATCTGCACAGCGGGATTCCCTGCCAGCCCAGGTTCACTGCGACTCCGCTTCCCCGAGCATTTCCCCCGTTTCAGCTTCCGTCTGGTCTGCGCATCGCGAGTGGGGTCCAAAGGCCAATTCCACAATACCAGCCAGCTCCGGAGGGACGCCCACTATCACTGCCTTCCATGCTCGGGCCAAATGAGCCTTCCTAGCACCCCCTCCCCCGAAGCACAAAAACGGGGAGCAAAAGTGGGACCGCCCAGCCCAACCACCTTCAGACTCCACTTCAGGAGAAATCCTGGTTAAGCCCACCCAGAACAGGTGTGGTCGAAACGGAATTTAGGGTTTGACTTGAGTGCTCCGAAAAACTACAGTAACTCTTCCAGGCGAAGGCACTCTAGACCAGGATCTGTCCCCCACGTGTGGGAAAATAGGCCCCTGGGGGCGGCGGTCCCGAGTTCCTAGCCAGAGCGGGATTAGGGAGTTACGGGTTCCCTGAGGAGTGAACTATGGAGGGTGTGGTTTGCTGTTGTCTGGGGAAGCCGGTGCCAACCCGAAGCCTGGACAGGGGAGGACTGGAATCCCGGCACACGCTGCCCATGCACTGCACGCCCATCTACTGCAGCCTCTTCGTGGCGTCCCGGCACCCCCCCCTCCTCCTTCCCTCTTCCCAACGCCACGACCACCACCCCCAGCC